>NC_000013.11:52158106-53408106 GCF_000001405.40 Homo sapiens | reverse complement strand
TACACTTGATAATGACAATAAATAGCTACGCTAATGGTTTATATATTTACTATACTATAATTTTATCATTATTTTAGAATGAATAATTTTTATAATAATTCTAATTATTACAAAGTTCACTACAAAACAGCCTCAGGCAGGTCTTGCAGGAGGTATCCAGAAGAAGGCCTTGTTATCACAGAAGATGACAGCTCCATGCGTGTTAGTGCCCCCTGAAGACCTTTCAATGGGACAAGATGTGGAGGTGGAAGACAGCGCTGTTGATGATTCTGACCCTAAGTAGGCCTAGGCTAATGTGTGTGTCTGTGTCTTTGTTTTTAACAAAAAGTTTTGAAAGTAGAAAATAAATAATTTTAAAAATAGAAAAAAAGTTTATGGAATAAAGATATAAAGAAAAATTTTTACAGCTGTACAATGTGTTCGTGTTTTAAGCTAAGTGTTATTACAAGAGTCAAAACTTTTTAAAAAAATTTACAGTAAGTTAAGGCTAACTTATTAAAGAATGAAAAATATTTGTATAAGTTTAGTGTAGCCTATGTACAGTGTTTATAAAGTCTACAGTAGTGTACAGTAATGTCCTAGGCCTTCAGGTTCACTCACTATTCACTCACTGACTCACCCAGAGCAACTTCCAGTCCTGCAAGTGCAATTCATGGTAGGTACCCTATGCAGATGTACCATCTTTTATCTTTTATGCCATATTTTTACTGCAACTTTTCTATGTTTAGGCATCTTTAGAGACCCAAATAATTACCGTTATGTTACAATTGGCCACAGTATTCAGTACAGTAACATGCTGCACAGGTTTCTAGCCTAGAAGCCATAGGCTATGCCATACGGCCTAGGTGTATGGTAGGCTATAGCATCTAGGTTTGTGTAAACACACTCTTAAAATTAAATGTTCAAACCATGATGAAATCACCTAATGATGCATTTTTCAGGACATATCCTTGTCCTTAAGAGGTGCATGACCACACAATTATCATGCCTCTACACAATGTTTTGTTTTGTTTTGTTTTGACAGAGTCTCATTTTGTCACCCAGGCTGGAGTGCAGTGATGCAACCTTGGCTCACTGCAACCTCTGCCTCCCAAGTTCAAGTGGTTCTCCTGCCTCAGCCTCCCGAGTAGCTGAGACTAAAGGCACACACCACCACACCCAGATAATTTTTGTATTTTTAGTAGAGATGGGGTTTCGCCAAGTTAGCCAGGCTGGTCTCGAACTCCTGACCTCAAGTGATCCACCTACCTCAGCCTCCCAAAGTGCTGGGATTACAGGCATGAGCCACCACACTCAACCCATAGTTTCTGACTCTATTTCTTATCTGGCATTTGCAAAGAAAGGAAGTAGGACCAATAAGAGTAGAGAGTTTGAGTCAATGCTGCCTTTTGGATCTAAACTACAGTTCTATCACTTACTGTGTGGCCTTAAGAAAGTTACTTAACCTCTCTGGGCCTTGGTTTCCCAGAAATTGGTGATAATAATAACATTTGAAAGGGTCTTTATGAAGATATAGCAAGCATACCATACTATCCTGAAGCTTTTCAGTCACTCAATTAACTGCTGTTTCTTACTATTGCCATTAGAAACCAGTTCTTAAGGTTCCCAAGCCACTGCTCTCTGCATGACACCATCTTATCTCACATTCCCTATGTTACAACTCCTGCTTCTGTTCTGAATTGTAACAGACAAGAAAGAAATGGCATCATATTGCTAAGACTGTTAACCTGACACCACCACACCACCACTCCTGCCCTGCTCAAATCATTCTTCAATTAGTAAACTCAATTTTTGAATTTTCCTCTTTTCTTAGATACTCAAATTTCAGAGCTAGAACTATATGTAATTCCAGTTGCATATAAAAATTCTTTATGTCAGCAAGGATTAAATGCTATTATTAATGGCTTGAGGTAGGCTAGTAGGGTAACCAAGATTTCCTTTGGAAACCTTTCTTCAATGAGCAAATTTTCTTTTATATAGAAAAATACAATTTGGACAGGATTTTTACCAGAAATTTAATTTAATTTAAACAGAGATAAGCTCATAAAGAGATATGAAAGTGAAGCAGGATTTTCCTCTTGGCCCCTTTGCCAGACTCCCGGCAGGGGTGCCCCGTCTACTCGGCCCACTGTGCTCAGCCCCTTACGGGAGGGAGCATGTGAGCAAATGAGTGTGGGATCTGGCCAGCCACTCCAAGCACTGACACAGAAGCAAGCACTGTGCAAGGCCTGTGGCCAGAGCAGGCATGTTGCCTCGAGGGGAACACAGAAGCACCCAGGCAAGAGTTCCTGTGACCCTGAAGCCCTAGAGGTGGCGTTAGTGAGCTAATTAGCTTTTTTAGTTCCACTGTCCACAGTCCGATGGACAGCAGCATGTTAGCTGCTCAGTCAGCCCCTGGCCCCGTTGTATGAGGCAGCTGCCCTCTACTGACAAGAACAAAAGGACACTGTCACAGCATTTCTGGGTACCCACACTCTGTGGGTCCCAAGCTCTTGTCCAGCATCCAAGAAGAATGAGGATATGCTGACAATTAAAGAATGAGCAATGCAGGGAGTTTTATTGAGTGATGAAACAGCTCTTCATGAAGAGGGGACACGGGGGTGGTCCCCCTACCTGAAGGCAGCAAAGTCCCCCCGTGTGACTGAGTCCAGGGCTTTTATGGGCTCAGAATAGGGGAGGGGCAGGCCATTGGTAGTATTGGAAAAGGCAACATTTGATGGGTTAAAAGGCATTATTCAGAAAGAATCAATGGGGAAAGGGCAGGCAAACAGGAGCAGAATTTCTCACTCTGGGTCACAAGTTTCATTAGGGACCAGCAGTCTGGTCTTTCAGCCTTCAGGCTGTGTTTTGGCTTGAAGGTGGGGTTTCACCAGGAACTCCCCCCATCTGCTTAGGCATTTGTCTGCCTTCTGTCACTATCAAAATGAGGTATATTTTCTTGGCTAAAAAAGACAGAGAAGATGTCCAGTTAATAAGT
This sequence comes from Homo sapiens, assembly GCF_000001405.40. NCBI lineage: Eukaryota > Metazoa > Chordata > Mammalia > Primates > Hominidae > Homo > Homo sapiens. The sequence continues at coordinate 53,405,129 of NC_000013.11, read as the reverse complement.
GTTGACACCCAGAAAAGGGGAATGGATTCAAGTGATCCACTTAATGATGAAACAAAAATCATGGATTTGACCTCTTGAGATATTAAAGGTTTAAATTGCCTTGAAAGTGATGACCAACACTGTTTCAGCCCACTCACTTCTTTGGGCCACAGAATTTTCACTGACCGATTTTGCTGTTACTGATAGGACACTGTCATATCAATATGACGTATGGCACCTTCACAGAATAGGAATAGAGCACCTTCTTACAATAAGTATTGAGTTCCTTTGATGAAAAGTCTCCTGTGTACACACTGTGTTAGGTGTTCTCATTTCATGCCTGTCTCTTGTTAAGCCCACTCTTAACAATTTAGCCACTGGACTCCAAGTTTACTTTCATGGATAATTTAGGTTATATCTTCACGTTAGGTATTTCTAACTGAATTGTATTAGATTGCTTTCTCCCCACCTCTATTAAATTTCTGTTCATTCAAAAGCAAGAGTAATGTTTAATATTATTTAAAATGAACTGTGAGTTGTAAAGACTAGGCAACTAAGTGACCAATTAATAGGATGTCACGTGAAACATTTCCTTCAACAGAGCAGAATTTCCCTAAAATAAAACCATTTCTCCCCATGCCTTTTGGGGATACAGAGAGGAAAAGTGAGTAAGTATGGATTCATGAAACATTTTTTTAATTCACATTCTGACCAAGGCTGTCAGGAGGTACAACATATCTGCAACACTTAGGGAGATCACATGTCCTCAGGGAGCGTTTAACTGATACATGCACAAATTCTTCCCCCATGACTTAACCTCTGTCACATAAACCCACCCAGATTTCTCCCTAGACCTCCCACTATTCTCTCTACCAGTGGGGATAACGGGAGACAACTATTTACTTCGTTTACATAACATCCTAACATGATACCACCCAGAAGGTGGATCCATGGTAGAGATCAGCTAAGACCTTAGATTTACTTCATTGTACTTGAAATGTGTGCTATAAGTACTGTTCCTTCTGCAACTGCAAGAATACAAATATGGTATTGTCTGTTTCTTCTCCTTATTATATATGCTTCTTCACAAGTGCCAATTTAGCACAATTTCTCTAAAGTTTACTCACTTAACTCAGTTTAATTCCCTCCACTATGATTGATAATTTCTGTTTGTCCCACACAATAGCTTTCCTCATTTTATCCATATTGCCATTCAACACTTTCAAGCATAGCAATAATATGGCATTCCCCAAATAAAATATTGTTCTGGAAATGTTAACATGTGTTCTGGGGGGAGGGAGATAGTCATTGGTTTTTGAAAAGCTTGGGAAATGTTGGATTAAAGATTTTTAAAATGTCTTTATTGCAGGTCTTTTCAGAGTCTTTACACTGTTATGTGCATCGTAAAGTGCATAAAAAGGAATATAGAACATATAATCCCATATACTCTATGACCACGGTTCTCTTTTTTAACTTAGCTGTCACAGAATCATTGCATATGGAAAACAGTGCTAAGTTCAACAGCAGTTAGTTCAGGATTACTAAGTAACACTCCATAAAATAGCCCCATTAATGACCTGTGTGGCAGTCTTTTTGCTACAGCTATCATATTTATTTATACTATTCCTTATACCTATTCTTTATACCAAAAAAACTTATTATGCCTTCAAACATGATTTAAAATACCATAAAATAAAAACTAAATTAAAACAGAGACATCAGAATGGAAAAAATATGGAAATAATGCTAAAGTAAAGCCAGAGTAAAAAAAAGTAGGATATAAAAATTTATTCTAGAAAGTCCAATCCTACACAAAAGCTAATGGGGGTCAAAATTGCCTCTGAGCTTATAGTCAAATCTAAAAGAGAAAAACAATTCATTATAACATTTATAATTGTCCTATAAGATCAAAAGGTACTAGATGCTTTGGAAAGGCATAAAATTTCCTGGTCCTATGGGCTGAAAAATGTTCTCTTTTGGCTCTTTTTAAAAGAGACAATGTGTGATTTAGCATAATGATTCCCAAATCCAGCTACATATTAAAAATCACTTGGGAAGGAGCATGAAATACAGCTTCTCAGTGCCAACCACAAAGTTACTGAAGTAATATTTTTAACATGGTCCCTAGGTGATTCTCCAACCAACCTGCAAGATCAGAAGTCAGGAGCTCCTATTTTAATAAACAATGTCTTACAAATGGCTATGTTACAGTTGTTTGAGAAGTTACCTTGGCCCAAGATTTCACCTCCACAAGAAAACATAAACTTGGTCAATATTTTACTTGAAATTATTCTTTTAATGTATTTTCTGTTGTCCCATTGTTCAATAGCAGAGGAATCTTTTATAAATAAAAATTATATTTGAGCCCTACTTCTCTGAAAGCCTGTGATTCCATTACCCAATTGAAGTATTCAATAAAGTCAGTGAATATTTATTTGGAAAACACTCAGCTACAATAAAACACAACTTAAAAAACAAAAACTTTCATTTATAAGCAAACTCTCTTCTCTCTAACTCGAAACCATCAACATTAATTGGCAACAGAATTCTCCACTTCTGAAAGCTATATAAACAAACACAGATGTCAAACAAGAAACAAATTGATAGGGTACACAAAATTATCTCAGTTGCCTTACAAGGTGACACTGAATATATTAAACAAAAGTTGGAATGAAAATTTAATTTACAAATCTCACAAGAATATTGGTTTTATATTATAACAGTTAGTTCTTATACTGTGAATTTTCCCTCAAGGGGGGAACACCAATGGAGTATAATCTCTAGAGATTTCACACTGTAGTACAAAACAATAAACAGATCAGAAATTATCTAATCAATGTTGGAACAAATGTCAAAATAAAAGCACAGATTTAAATTCCTTTCAGAGCTGCTTAAAACTGCTTAGTTTTGAAAGAGGAGAAAGTGAGGTTTTTGTTTTTAAAGAATGTGTTCAACAGACAGTTGTAAGGATGGCCTCAAAGAGTGGCAAGACATCATTTGATCAACTTAGGGTCAGAGGCCTTATCTTCACAAATTGCTGCTGTTGGTTGAAAATGCTAAGGACCGCAAGGATTTTGTTTTTTTATTCATCTCAAGTCCAAAATGAGCAAAACATTTAAAACGCAGCAATGGTGAGAGGGGCAAGGAAATAAAATGTTGCCCAATCAGTGGAAGACCCCTAGAGCAATCAGAAGCAAGACTGACTTGCCCAGCACTAGACTTAAGTCACGGAACATTGGACTGCAATGTTGTGGAGAAGTGGTTCTCAGGCTCCAGTGGGTATCCAAATCCCCGAGAAAGCCTGACAAAACAGTGTACTAGGCCAGATCTCCAGAGCTTCTGATTCAGTACACCTGGGCAGAGGCCCTAGAATTACCATTTCCAACACGTTTTCAGCAATGGTAACTCTGTGGGTCTTGGACCACACATTGAGAACTTCAGTTGTAGAGTATGGGTGACAAATTCACATTCCTGTAGGATCTGGAAAAGGTTACTAATTGCTGCACTGGGCATACATAGGTTAAGTATTCTGGTTTCTCAACTTAAGTCAGAATCCCAAATTTTTATGTGAAATTGCTTGGTTTTTAACCATTGACAGCTGGTTTTTTTTTTAAACACTGAGTGAGCTAAACAATACACATCTGTGGGCCTGATTGCACCTCAGAAAGGTAATTCTGTTTTGAAAACATAGATTCAGTGTCCTTCTAAAACCAAAGGTCAAGTTTAAAGACCCAAGTTGTCAAAAAATAATAAAACATCAAGAAGTAAAAACTATAATAATAAATATCTTGCATCTTTTCCAGTTTACTAAATACTTTTTAGATAATACTTCAGTCTATCCTTAAACCCATAAACGAGGTAAGGATTTTACTCTTATTTCTGCTTTCCAGATTGAGAACCTCAGAGAAAATCAGAGAAATTAAATTTGCAGTTTTAAGACTCTATTATGAAAAACTAACACTATTTTTCTATAGCAATAGCTTTATACTTTTAAGGGTAATTCACAGCCACGTTTAAAAAATCTCCTTATAACATTTGGGACAAAAATCCTTTTAAAAGTCTAACAAACGTAGATTTGGCTTGGGTTCCAGGCTGGCCCAGAGCAGGTCGGATGGGCAACCACCAAGAGAACTATCATCAACAAGAATTATTGAGTGGCACTAAATTCAAAACACGGTGCTTGTTAAAATAAAATCTCCTGTGGAACTTATGGAAAATGCAAATGCCCAGCCTTCACTTCTGAAGACGCTGATTCCAGAAGGCCAAGGTCAATGGAAAGAAATGGCCTTTTCCACTGGCACTTGTCATTTATACTTCGAAACTCCCAAAGAAGATGAATTTTGATGGGAAACGTTTTTATCCCACTCTGTATTGCAGTTGATCAAAAATTGTGACCATAAAAAGAAAAAACAAACTTATTATGGGAATCTTCAAGGAAAAAAGTACTAAACTGTTTCAGTGGATGAAAATCTATTTTGTTTTTTCAAAATAGCCAGAGAAAAAGATGATTCAGTTCTTTTGAGACATTCTATATCCAATAATTTTCAGTCCTAAAAGTTATTCTTTTCTGGCTTAAGCTTTTAGTTGAGCATCTGTAGTTTATGTGTTCTTAATTCATGACCCACGGCACATTGACCTCTCCTACACATTTTTCTGTAATATATCAAACACCACAGCCCAAGATCTAAGTGATTGGCGAAGTTTCTTAAGGAGATTTTTTAAAAAACAGAAAAGGAAGAATGACCATATTTTTCCAAAAGAAACATCACGATACAAATAATAGCTTTCCAAGTGTTTGAAGTTAAAACCATCCAAAAAAAATGATGGACATTGGTTATTTGATACAATATGAGCATCTACCTGTATAAATCTATTGGTAAAGTGTACCAATCCAGCCTCCATTCTCTCCACTCTGAGACCTGAATGGATAATTGTCTTCCTGCTCCCAGAGAAGAGAAACAGGAAAGGCAAGGGCTTCAGAATTACACTTGCTAAGACATGTGACTTAAAGCACATCACTTACCTTCTCTGGGTCTCAGATTCTTCCTTTGACAGAAGAAAAAAATAAAAGAAGAAACAATTATACTTACGGGAATTTCTATGAGGATTAAATGAAAGAAAAGACATATGCGAATGTGTATATATCAGGCCTGCAGTAACTTCTTGATTTATTTTTATTTTCTTCCTGTCTTCTCTCCTCCTGTTCCTGCTTTCAGCATTTGCTACTAAATCTGGTTAGCATAAATCAGGACTTCTCAGCCTCCTCAGCACTATGGACATTAGAACCAGAAATTTTTTGTTGTTGGGGCTGTACTAGGTATTATAGGATACTTAATAGCATCTCCAGGCTCTCTACCCACTAGGTGCCAGCAGTACCCTCCCATACACAGTTGTGACAACCAAAAATGTCTCCCAACATTGCCAGACATCTCATGGAGGGAGTGGGGAAGAATCAGTCCCAGATGAGAACCTCTGGAGTAAATACAGGGTCAGCTGTAAGAAACAGACTCAACTTCTGCTTGCTAATTTTGACCACTCATCTGAGAGGAAAGAAATAAGTGAGTGAGTAGCCTTAAATGTATCTATCTTTAAGTCCTGGCATTAGAGGGTATAAAGTAGAATTGTCAAAGTAATAGATGACCAACCTCTTCACTAAGGTGGTATGTATTTGAAAGATAAAGACAGAAACAAAAGAGCAAATCACATTTCTGAAATGCTTTCATCTTCAGACTTTTAGATTATAGCACCATTAAAATGGTAATTCTCTTTCTCTCCATCTTTCTCAACCTATCTCTCTCCTTCCCTGCCCCTCAACAACACCAAGTACACTTTGGGTCTCAATTAATTAGTGTAGTAAAAACAATGCTAAAATGCATACTTTATTGAGAACATTTCTGAGGTATAGTATTGTGAAGAGAGTATCTTGAATAAATAGATTGTTGTTTTAAACTGAATTCATGATACTATTAAGTTTTCAACTTCATAGTCTGGAAAGGAGCATTTCAAAGATAAACTATCTTGATATTTTCATTTCAAATACAGGTAATAAGTGGAATACAACAATTTCCAGGGGGCTCCAGACAGGCATAATCTACTTTATGCAACCAGTCACCATTCTGAGGCTTCTCAAAGAGGTTTATTTTATAGTCAGTGTGAGCAGCTGCAGGATTTGTGGTGACGGCACTGCCTACACGGTAAAGATGGATTACTTGATTAATAAATTCAGAGGGAAGGAGATAAGGGGGGACGACAAGGTGAAGTGCAGAACTGAAATGAAAAGATAAAATAGGTAAGGAAAAACACAGTCAGGTGAGGAGAGAAGGAAAAAGCAGTTAGGATGCTGCCTTTTTGTGTGTTGAATATTTGGATACACTATTTCTGAGAAAATGTGATTACGAAATATGAAATATTCTCTTCTACCTAGGATATATTCCTCCTCCCTCTCATATCTTACTTTATAGCTAACAAATGTACTCGAAGATATAAAACGCTGATCTATTCCGACTACTGTTTACGAGACACATGTCTTTTCAGAGCCAGTAACAAGGAAGTGTCCCTGTACCTAGGGAGTCCAAAGTAACAAGAAGGAGAAAAGTGTTTCCATCACCCAGTATGAATAAGAAAACTGAAGATTAAACAGAGCACTGCTTGTGCTCTAGAACTTGTGGTTAATTTAATCAGACATTCTTGTGATTCTGGGTCTTAATGAGAAAAAAGCAAGTTTTCTTGATAGCTGAACTTTTTTTTTAAGTTAGAGAATTACAAGCTTGAAAAATGCAGAGGAAAATGCATCTCATAGGAGAAGATGCCATGTGAAAAGGTAGCAGCTGCACTTCAAGAAGATTTAAGAGCATCACAGAGTTTATGAGGATTATGCAGCATCTGACAATGTGAGGACATCTGCATACAATGCTCTGGCCTGAAAGACTGCAGGACATGCCCTTGTGAAAGCCTCTCTCTAGGTGATCGGGAAGGACAAGAGTCTTTTCCTACCACTGGTCCTAGAGATAGAATAGGTATCTGTACACCCCGTCAAGCCAGAGCTGCTCAGTGTTCCAGAGAAAGAGCAGTAAATAAGCAAGTGTGTTGATTCACAGGCCCTGAGGTATATGGCTTGAATATAAAGATTAGGGAAGCAAGCCAGGAGAGCAAGCTTCCGCACAGCACTGGGGCTGCCTCTGCCCAGGCAGTGGCTTCTCTCTGCAGTGCCTTTCACGGTTTTCCTCCCCACTCTGCCTTCCCTCCAGGCTTGGGCTTCTGTCCTGTCAATCAAGCCCTCACCAACATTTGACCCATCACCTCCTGTCATGTACATGAGGAACAGCATTTGAGTTAAAAAATCATTTGAGGTGCAAAGAGTAAATGACTCAGTCACAACCACGCTTCGAGACCCCGCAAAAAAATCAAAAAAATAAAACAGATCTCTCCTGACCATTTTTCCACTCAGGACTCTCTCTGCCCTCTACCCTCCAGTCAAGACTTATAGAGTCCCACATGGAAAAATATCATTAGCAACCAAGTTTGTCAGTGTGAAATCTTCACCACAACACAAAAGACAACTGATTTGATATTCAAAACAAATAAGGGCTCCTAAAGTTAAGTGTCCTGAGTCACTGTCCTTTGCTTAGCTTCTGATCTCTCTGTTTCCATCATAGGGAATGAAATGCAGATTCATACTGCCCTGAGGCTCCTCAAACAAGCCTGGATGGCAGAACTGCCTTGATATGCTGTCAGATCCAACAGAGGCTACACACACGGATTTCTTTCAATCACCAGCTAAATGAGGGATTGTCTTTAAAATGCCCTCTGTGTCTTTAACTATGGATTATATTATGGAACTGTCCTTTTGAAAATGATGATATAACAGCCGGACATGGTGGCTCAGGCCTGTAATCCCAGCACTTTGGGAGGCCAAGCCGGGCAGATCACTTGAGGCCAAGAGTTCAAGACCAGCCTGGCCAACATGGCGAAACCCCATCTCTATTAAAAATACCAAAACTAGCCAAGCAGGGTGGTGAGCACCTGTAATCCCAGCTACTCGAAAGGCTGAGGCGCAAGAATTGTTTGAACACAGGAGGCACAAGTTGCAGTGAGCCAAGATTGCACCACTGCAGTCCAGCCTGGGCAACAGAGCAAGACTCCATCTCAAAAACAAAAATAAAAAATAAAGAAAATGATGATTTCTTTCATGTTCTATGAAAAAATTCACCATTTAAATACACCTTAAAATGAAGGCATACGGTGTCAAGATATAGGAGAGTAAAGCAAGAAGTGCTAAAGAGAAGCACTCAAGGTTTTAACCAGTATTTTACAACCAGACATATTCCACTGGGGTCCCGCAGAGCAAAGGCCTAAGCACTACCCCCAAGGAATCATAGAACCATAGTTCTTCAGACTCGGAGGGCCCTTACCAGTAATCTGACCTAGACCAAGTCCTTTTACTTACAAAATATATAAAATAAGAGACTCGTGGCGGTTAGGTTCGTTTCCCAAGATCATCCAAGCTATGTTCTATTTTCTCATTGCCAAGAACTTTGAAAGATGTCCCATTTTACCCTACTTAAAATCTAACAAGTTAGCCTGCCACTTTATCATGAATGCTAAAAGAAGTCTTAATGCAAGTCTCCTGGGTCAGAGACAAAGGTCTTTATTACTCACAGCAACAATAGCAGCCAGAATATCAGCACTTTCTTGTGCCAGTTCCCCAAGCCCCACTTTCCACGGGGAGCTTTAAAGAGGACAAGGTGGTACCCGCACACACAGTGGATTGAGTTATAGGATGAAAACCCTAAGGTTAGGAGATCTAATTCTTCTACAATGGACACTAATCATGACTGCTCTTTGCTCCAAAAAGACATCCATGATCATTAGGAAACCAGAATCAAGACAGTCCAGAGCAAAGGTAGTCAGTGCCTCTTCTTGCATGCTGTGCAGAAATGTTGCAGACACGTAGAGAATTTACTTCCAACAACATGCACCCTCTTTTCTACATTGTGTTCACTTTTGGTAAATTTTTCTGAGTATATCAATCACTCAGTCACTCTGATCAATCTTGCCAATTGAGGCAGGGACCAAATCTGTCAATTTGCCTTGTACAATATTTCATGAAGGCTGCTATCACAGTCGGCTGAACAAACTCCATTAACCATTGTGATCTACCTTAAGAAACAAGGTTGACTTTATTATGCTTTGATATGATTCTCCATTTCATCTAAGTTATCAATTAACCTAGGGTACAACACAATGTATTTGTGATTGCATGTACACTATCATGGCCTACAAGGAGAAAATGTAGGACAATTTTATTATCCAACATAATTCTGGCAGTTTGTGAAAGCTGACCTGAAAATAACAGGCTAAAGACAACCTCCACTGTGAATGACTCCATACTAAGGATAATTTCCCAGAGCATGCATAAATAACTAATCAGTTATATTTCTGGGAACAGTAGAAGTGGTTTGTGCCAATTCAACCTAGAGTTTATAAGAGCGAATGTGTCTCCTCCATGCTTTCTTTCCACTTCCTGCAGGTGCATGCAGGTCATGAATTGCCCAGGAAAAGATGGAGACACAGTTGGAAGACAAATAAGTCCCTGAGTCACTTCACCGAGGAGAACCACCTTGTATTACTCATCGTTCTCCAGAGAAACAAAACCAACAGAACAGATAGATAGAAAGATAGGTAGGCAGGTAGATAGGCAGATAGTTTAGATAGATAAATGATAGATAGATAGATAGATAGATAGATAGATAGATAGATAGATAGATAGATAGATAGATGATAGATAGGCAGACAGACATATACAGAGAGATGCAGATGTATTGTAAGATATTGGCTAATGTAATTATGAAAAGGAGGCTGAGGCTATGATCTGCTGTGTGCAAGCCAGAGACCCAGGAAAGCCAGTAGTGTCATTTTAAGGCCTGAGAGCTGAAAAGCCCATGTTATAGATTCCAGTTCCAGTCTCAAGGCCTGAGAATCAGGAGTACTGAGGTCAGGAGAAGACTGATGTTCCAGCTCAAGCACTCAGTCAGAGAACCAACCAATCCTCCCTTCCTCCACCTTTTGTTCTATTCAGCTTCTCAATGGGTTGGATGAAGCTCACCCGAATGGAAGAGGGTCATCACTTTTGTTCAGTTCACTAATTTAAATGCTAACCTCTTCTATGAAGTCTCACACCTCACAGAAACACCCAGAAATAATGTTTAACCAGATAATCTTGGAATCATGTGATACAGTCAAGTTGACACATACAATGAAATATCACACACCCACTGATGTGAGCACCTGTTCTGGGATATTATGAGAAAAGAAATTAACTTTTTTGTGGTATCACAGGTTTTCTGACTTTCAGGAGCCTACACTAAATCATGATGTAGCAATTCCACTTTTAATGTGCTCCTCCCAAAGAAACATACACACATGCAAAAGAAGCCTCAGTGATAGCAAACAGAGCTTAAAAAAACCATGATTGACTCAGACAATAAAATACTATACAACAGTTAAAGTGAGTATACTAGATTCACATACATCAATATGGTTAAATCTCAAAAACATAATGCTGACTGCAAAATGCAAGGTGCAGTGCAGTGATATATACATTCTAATGTCATTTATATAAAATCATAAACCACATAAATAACAGTATGTTTTGTTTCTTGATATCTACATAGCACGTAAAAATTTTAGTATTCAAGGAAATAACATAGATCAACCAACTTCAGAATAGCAACTACTTCTAGAGAGCAGGGAGTGGAAGTAATGCAAAGGAGAGGCATTAGCTGTATTGATAACTATTCTATTTCTTTAAAAGAAGAGAGAGAAAGAGGTCTGAGGCATATATATATATAATATATATATATACATATACATATAATGGCAAAATATTGACATTTATTAAATCTACGTACAGGGTGCATGGTCTTTATTACATTATTTCGTATACTTGTTGGCATGTTTGAAATATTTCATAATTAAAAATAATCTTTAAAGCAATATAGGGATATTTCTCTATTCCCAGAGGTCTGTCACTGTGAACTTCTAGAGTTTATCTAGCCTACTTACATGTGAAAATCTTTGGAGAGAAAGAGGCATAATTTTACTAAAAGCAGGATGTTATAGAATTCATGCTCTCTAGGGAAATAAACAACACACAGTAGCTGCTTCAGATGCATAGTCAACAGGGAGTCATCCAATTTCACTCATCTTCAGCAAATGCAGGGAATCAAATGCAAAATTTAACCCTCTGGGGCCATGTTGTGAAGCCATGGCATTCCCTGGAGATCTTCAGGTACATGAAATAATTAATGGACTATGCTCACCCATAACTAATTTTCTCATCTCTAAAAGAACTTATGGGAAATTGTCTTCATTTAATAACTAATCAGAGTATAACTCAATATGAAGCAAAAATATTTTTTACATTTTTTAATCACCTCAGACCACTGTTCAAATAGTAGTTTAAATGGATTGAAATTGTTTATTCAGACATGGGAGTGAAGTGGTAGCTGTCAAGTCAGCACGGGACAAGCCCTACCACCTCTACCATGGGACATTCCCTAATCATCAAGTCCCTAGGAAGTTCCCCCTCTTCTAACCTCTCAAATACTATATTGAGTCGATCCTTAATTTCTACTTATGTCATTAGCCAACATCTATCAAACATTGTTAAATCAGTTGAATATGCCTTGTTTCATGCCATAGCACCCAGTACAAGTCTTACACAGATTAAATGTAAAAAAAACAGAACTTGTTTTGTATAGATAGACCACTAGCCAGACTAATAAAGAAGAAAAGAGAGAACAATCAAATAGACACAATAAAAAATGATAAAGAAGAGATCACCACTGATCCCACAGAAATACAAACTACCACCAGAGGATACTATAAATACTTCTACACAAATAAACTAGAAAATCTAGAAGAAATGGATAAATTCCTGGACACATACACTCTCCCAAGACTAAACCAGGAAGAAGTTGAATCCCTGAGTAGACCAATAACAAATTCTGAAATTGAGGCAGTAATTAATAGCCTACCAACCAAAAAAAGCCCAGGACCAGACAGATTCACAGCAGAATTCTACCGGAGGTACAAAGAGGAGCTGGTATCATTCCTTCTGAAATTATTCCAAACAACAGAAAAAGGGGGACTTGTCCCTAACTCATTTTATGAGGCCAGCATCATTCTGATACCAAAACATGGCAGAGACACAACAACAAAAAAATTTCAGGCCAATATCCCTGATGGACATCGACACAAAAATCCTCAATAAACTACTGGCAAAACGAATCCAGCAGCACATTAAAAAGCTTATCCACCATGATCAAGTCAGCTTCATCCCTGGGATGCAAGCCTGGTTCAACATACACAAATCAATAAACATAATCCATCACAAAAGCAGAACCAAAGACAAAAACCACATAATTATCTCAATAGATGCAGAAAAGGCCTTCAATAAAATTCAACACCCCTTAATGGTAAAAACTCTCAATAAACTACGTATTAATGGAACATATCTCAAAATAATAAGAGCTGTTTAATACAAACCCATAGCCAATATCATACTGAATGGGCAAAAGCTGAAAGCATTCCCTTTGAAAACCGGCACAAGACAAGGATGCCCTCTCTCACTACTCCTAGTCAACATAGTATTGGAAGTTCTGGCCATGGCAATCAGGCAAGAGAAAGAAATAAAGGGTATTCAAATACGAAGAGAGGAAGTAAAATTATCTGTTTGCAGATGACATGATTGTATATTTAGAAAACCCCATTGTCTTGGCCCAAATTCTCCTTAAGCTGATAAGCAACTTCAGCAAAGTCTCAGGATAAGAAATCAATGTGCAAAAATCACAGGCATTCCTATACACCCATAATAGACAAACAGAGAGCCAAATCATGAGTGAACTCCCATTCACAATTGCTACAAAGAGAATAAAATACCTAGGAATACAACTCATAAGGGTTGTGAAAGACCTCTTCAAGGAAAACTACAAACCACTGCTCAAGGAAATAAGAGAGGATACAAACAATGGAAAAACATTCCATGCTCATGGATAGGAAGAATTAATATCATGAAAATGGCCATACTGCCCGGCATCTACAAGGAGCTTAAACAAATTTACAAGAAAAAAAAAAACAACCCCATCAAAACGTGGGCAAAGGATATGAACAGATACTTCTCAAAAGATGACATTTATGCAGCCAACAGATGTAAAAAAAAAAGCTCATCATCTTTGGTCATTAGAGAGATGCAAATCAAAGCCACAATGAGATACCATCTCATGCCAGTTAGAATGGTGATAATTAACAAGTCAGGAAACAACAGATGCTGGAGAGGATGTGGAGAAATAGGAAAGTTTTTACACTGTTGGTGGGAGTGTACATTAGTTCAAACATTGTGGAAGACAGTGTGGCGATTCCTCAAGGATCTAAAACATTTCCAGAAATGCCATTTGACCCAGCAATCCCATTACTGGGTATATACCCAAAGGATTATAAATCATTATACTATAAAGACACATGCACACGTATGTTTATTGCAGCACTATTCACAATAGCAAAGACTTGGAACCAACCCAAATGCCCATCAATGTTAGACTGGATAAAGAAAATGTGGCACACATACACCATGGAACATTATGCAGCCATAAAAAAGAATGAGTTCATGTCCTTTGCAGGGACATGGATGAAGCTGGAAACCATCATTCTCAGCAAACTAACACAGGAACAGGAAACCAAACACGACATGTTCTCACTCATAAGTGGAATTTGAACAATGAGAACATATGAGCACAAGGAGGGGAACATCACACACCGGGGCCTGTCGGGAGGTGGGGGGTAAGGGGAGGGATAACATTAGGAGAAATACCTAATGTAGATGACAGGTTGAAGGGTTCAGCAAAGCACCATAGCACATGTATACTTATGTAACAAACCTGCACGATCTGCACATGTATCCCAGAACTTAAAGTATAATTAAAAAAAAAACAGAACTTGTTGATTAAGTAATATCTGCAATAAATAGTCCAAGTTTAATTTTAAGATTATGTGGCCAGGTATGTTGGTTCATGCCTGTAGTCCTAGCACTTTGGGAGGCCAAGGTGGGATGATCTCTTGAGCCCAGGAGTTTGAGACCAGCCTGGACAAAATGACGAGACTGCATCTCTACAAATAACTTAAAAAAAATTAGCTGGGTGTAGTGGTATGCATCTGTAGTCCCAGCTACTTGGGAGGCTGAGGCAGAGGATCCCTTGAGCCCAGGAGGTCGAGGCTGCAGTGAGCTGTGGTCTTCCCACTGAATTCCAGCCAGGGCAACAAAGCAAGACCCTGTCTCAACAACAAAAAAAAAAGATTGAATTATGTGACCCTTAGATTGAACTTCATACTCCCACCTCACCTTACTTTCCAATCCAACATTCAGCCTTTGGCATGTGATCAATGTTTCCTGATAAATCAGTCAATCAAATAAAAGAATAAATAAATTCAAATGTCTTACACAGTTATGGGTAAGGACACATTTTTTTTCTATTTTAAATGATGAGTTTGGAGGTGGAAACTGATCATTTTGCTTTTAATCTTCTTTTTGTTTTTCCTCCATTTCTTCTACAAGGAGAATAGATTGACCATTTGCTAACTATGCTCCAGCACAATCATTCCTGAGCTGTATACTTAATGTGGCAGGAAGAGCAAATCAAAAGCTAACAGCATGTGTTCCATCCTTTACCTGGAAAAAAAAAGATGTAGTCAAAGGCCAAAACTTGGTAACAAGCTAGGCTTCACAAGAAGGGCATATATCATCTCGAAAATTATGTCACCATAATCTATGGCAGGGAAGAATTTCTCAGGCAGTTGAGACATATTAACTTTGACACATCCATTATTAGCCAATGACAAAATAACAAAATGCTTATAAAAGGAATTGAAGAACTAACACCTCTGGACTAATGAACACAGCATCTGTAGGAAACATCTAAACAAGGCCAAAGTCAAAATCTCTACTTCATCATGGTATCAAAACCACAAACCAAGTTTTCCCATGTTAATTTAGAATATGGATAATGTGGACAATGGATTTAAATATGCAAATAATTATAATTGTGAATTTTAACCCAAGATTTGCCCTTCCTTTGTTCTCCCTGCAAATCACAAGCTGAAATTACTGAATATGTTGATTTTAGATTGGCCAGAGACACTCCCCTCTAGAAGCCATCAGTGGATTTCTTTTACCTAGGAATAATGTTCATGCTCCTTAGCAAGACATTAAATGTCCTTCATGTCCAGGTGCTGATTTATATTTAGAGGCCTGTATCCTATGACATCCCTCCATTGACCTTGTAGTTTTTACTTGCCAATCTATTTACCAACCCAGGAATAGAACACTGATATTGTTTGACTGTGTCCCCACCCAAATCTCATCTTGAATTGTAACTCCTATAATTCCCATGTGTTGTGGAAGGGACCTGGTGGGAGATAATTGAATCATGTAGGCAGTTTCCCCCATACTGTTCTCATGGTAGTGAATAAGTCTCGTGAGATCTGACGGTTTGATAAGGAGTTTCCCATTTTGCTTGTCTCTCATTCTCTCTTGTCTGTCACCATGTAAGACGTGCCTTTTGCCGTCTGCCATGATTGTGAGGCCTTCCCAGCCACGCGGAACTGTGAGTCTACTAAATCTCTTTTTATTTATAAATTACCCAGTCTTGGGTATGTCTTTATCAGCAGCATGAGAATGGACTAATACAAACACATTCTTCTTCTACTTGGTGTCTTTCTTTGGTGTCTCTTCTTCTTGGTGTACCTTCAGCCTGGGTGGTTCTTCCATACCTTCTCCCCCATTGAAACTTCTAATCATCCTCTAAGACCCAGTTTAGTTGTTGCCTCTTCTATGAAGCTTGCCCTGATTCCTCCAGACAAATTAAATATTCTTCCATGGAACAATAGCAAACTTCTTGCACATTGATTTAGCCCCATTAACAATGACAACTTGTGTAATTGAAGACTATTTGAATGTCTTTTTCCCTTCCTATATTATATACCCCTATGGTTAGGATCTATTCCCAGAATCACAGTGCTTAGCACACTGCTTTGCATTCAAAGGGACAATGTATATATATTTTTTTGATGACTAAATGAACAAATCAAAGTGTAGAGTTGTTTATGGTACATTTTTAACTTGTGATATTATAATACATAGAGCATCCAATAAGCTATAAAACCATTACAACCAAAGGAAATAGGAAGACAGGTAACCTACAGAGTAGACTTTAAACAGAGAAGAAGAATAGGATAGGAACATGAGGTGTTTATTGCTATAAATTTCTCTTTTAAGATATGAGAACCAAACTTCAGTGTAAAATTAATGCTGTAATGCCATATAAGGAGAACACTCATTTGGGGACCATTACACCTGAATTCATATTCTGACTCTACTATTTAAGTCATCAGGATCTATTTCCTCTTCTACATAATGGAAGCAGAAAGCTTTATCTGTCAGTGCTATTGTAAGGACCAAGTGAGATAAAGTGTGTGGTAGAAATGGGGAGTGGAGATGAGAGAAAGGTTACTATTAGGAGATTAACCCATGTGTTTTTCCTGAATTACTATAAACTCTGGTCAGGTAGGATTCTATTGCCTCAAGGAAGGCATCAAACAGCAGAAGAAGAGTAAACAGGAGCCAGTCCTTGGGTTTGGAATTTCAGGAGCCTAACTTGAGAGGGAATGGAAAAAAAAATCATGTCTATCTATCATCAATTTGGAAGAGTATGTTATAAGTAGGAGCTAACTTTCCTTTTTCTTACCCCCACTCCAGTCTTCAACTTTTAATGACACAAAATGTTCCAGGCTGGACAACGGAGGCATCAATTTAGATGCTGCAGGGCAAGGAAAGTAGAACCTTTTATGGGTACCCAACCCCCGCTGAGCTCTGGGGAGAATGGAGAATCACTGTGTACGTTTATGGGATTTGAGAGTAAAGGAGGCCTATGCCTCATTTCTCATGAGGCAGCAAACCCCTAAGAAGAAATTATTGAAACGTATCTAGAGAAGAAAGAACCTTAAAAATTCTCACTACATCCCTGTGGCTCGGTGTGGCCAAAAAGTAATAGAAACATCAAATGAACCTACTGTGACACAGAAGCGGATGAGGCCTCCCACAGCCTCCCAGAGGTCCTACAACCCCAAGTGGGAAATATATCACATTTTCTGTAAATCCCAAGGGGGCAGAAAAGATGCAAAGACAGGCATATCCAATGGGACTTTCAGGATGGGAACAAGAAACAATATAGCAGGTCTTCATAGGTGAGTGACAATTACATGACAACAGTGAGGCTGATGACAGGGATCTGCCCATCCAACATCTCTGTACTGTGCACTTCCCCTCACCCAGAGAACAGATAAAATCCCAGGGAAAGAAGACAGGGAAAGACTGAATTAACTGAACTAACAGGGATTTAAGTTTCTGACATCCAAGAGGATGGTGTTTCATAATAGAAATTACATTAAGTTTTAGGAAAAAAAAGAAGGGAAGTTACATCATTTACTCCCCTGAGTTTATAGACCTGGGCTTTACTCACACAAAGTGTCCAGCCCAGAGTTGACATGGAGTTCTCAATGAATGTAGTTCCTTCCTCTCCTCGTCTTACCTCCTGGATGGACATGATCAGGATTTTGAATGGATATTTAGTATCTTATACAAGACACAAGGGTTGACACACTTTTTCTGTAAAGGCAGACCATAAATATTTCAGGTTTTGCATGCTGTAGGCTCTATTGCAATGACTGTATTCTGCCCTTGTAACATGAAAGCAGCCACAGACAATACATAAACAAATGAGTGGAATGTTCCAATAAAAATTTATTTCCAAAAGCAGGCAATGGCCTAGATTTGGCCTGCAGGCCATAGTTTAGTGACCCCTGGACTAGAGGAAAGGAAAGTGGCTGAAAGAGGCTATTAAAATAATTATGAGATAATATAGACCTGAGTTAAGATAGCACCTGTAGGAATAGAAAGGCATAAATAAATTAGGGAAGAGCAGGCAAGCAGCTGCAGAAAGAAGGATCAGTGAACAATTCAAGTATGATTTCTACCCTTGTAGACTGAAAAAAATGATATAGTACTGAAAAAAATGGAGCAGTTTGAAAAAGTGTGGAATCCTAAGAGAGAATATAAATACCTCCCTTACCACAAAGGGTCTTAGTGCCCTTAATTCTACATATGTAGAATTCAAAAGCAGAAAGAACAAGAAAAACAACTGTTTCTGCAGGTTCAAGCTGCCACACTTCAGCAGTCATAATAGGATAATATAATATTTCACAAGTGCCGTCTGGACTCAGTGCTGAAGTCATGGTTGAAAACTCTTCAATTCCTCATGCAGGCAGTTTGCTGTGCCCAAAACCCAACCACTTTTCTTATCAGACGTCCACTCTCCAGAGCAACTAGGCACATATCCCAACCTCCCCAGGGCCAGGTACCAAACAAGCAGGGACAGCATCTATGCCCCAACTCCCGGGAATTATGCAAATTAGCTGATCCCCAGGAAGCCCCTGAACCTAACTTCCTCTCACTTGCCACACATAAGTCACCTGCTACATTTTCAACTTGCTGTTACCCCATCTCCAGGAGCAATCCTCTGTGTGGCCCTTCATGGCAACCTTCTCTCCTTTGGAGCTGTAAGTAGTAAAGTGTTCTGCCTTTCATCTATCCAATTTGTCATTGTGCTGTATCGTACTATCAAAAGAATCTTTAAATCTTTAAAGCACATAGTTACCTTATAATATTGATTTGAGAGGTGATTGGAGAAGAAAACTTTTCCAAATCTGATTTTCCTCCAATTCTCATTTTAGTCAAACAGTTCCGTCAAACTGAACACTACATGTATAACATAGTACTTGCCCAAACATTTCCAAACAATTTTCCAAAGCAGAAGCAAACATTCAGAGAGAAAATTGAGGGAAGGGACTTGCCATTTGATTATCACAGTACATCTGTTTTTAAAAGTCAGTCCCACAATGTTCCTAACAGGAGGTTATTTTGCTACCCCTAAAATGCAGTCAGCAAATGACATCAAGGAATGAACAGACTCTCCTTGATGAAAACTGGAGGAAGCTTTGCTAGTGGGTGCCTCCACCCATGACTGTCACATGTAAATCACTGATAGGGATTGTGAAGTTCCCTGGTAGTGGATTTGAGTGCTGTCCCTTCAGGATGTCCATTTCACAGGCATTTGTAATTTGCTGTCTGTAAGACTTGCTTCTTGCCATCTGTTCTGAATTTGTCACCCTTAGTTTACATTACCTAAAGCTGTAAACTAGATTGACATTAAGCATGCAATTTGAGATTTTACTTCTATCAATAAATTCGCTCGTAACCACCAGTTTGGGCTTTATGTAGCTTCTCTCTGCTCTCCAACATTGGTGCACTTAAATACCACTCTAGATGCCCTTCACTTCTGTTTCATAGCCATTTCTTGAATTCCCCTTCATACCCCGTCCTGTCCTCTACCCTCAACATGCTGCTTTCCCCCCATTCCCAGCTTATCCAGCTCCTCCTTGAGTTCCTTTTCTGAGCCCTCTTTTTTCCCACCTTCTTGGCCTTTTCTTCATTTCTTATTCAGTACCTCCAAGAAACTTCTCATTGCTTGATCTCTTTATTAAAATAATTCTCCAAATACCAATATCTAGGGCCTCCTCAAGGCTTTGTTCTCTAGAAATAAAAGATTTTGTCTCAAAAAGTAACAGAAAGAGTATGAACTTCAGAATTTGGACCCTATATTTTATCAGCTTAGTTTCCTGCCAAGTCACTTAAACTCTCCGCTGTGGTCTGAATGTTGGAGTCTCCCTCACATTCACATGTTGGCACTGAACCCCCAGTGTAACAGTATTAAGAGGTCAGCCTTTAGGAGGTGATTAGTACGAGGTTAGTGCCCTTATAAAAGATGTTAAAGGGATCTGCCCTCCCATCTGCCATGTGAGGACGCAGTGAGAAAGTTCCATGTTTGAAACAGAGCAGGCCCTCACCGGATATTGACTCTGGTGGTGCCTTGATCTTGGACTTCCCAGCCTCCAGAACTGTGAGCAATAGATTTTTGTTGATTATAAATTACCCAGTCTAGGGTACTTTGTTATAGCACCAGGAATGGACTAAGACATTCTATAAGTCTCCGTTTATTTATCTATGTAATGGGGATAAAAAAGTTACTATCACACAGGATTAATGTGTGGTAGTAACACACATTAAGATGTAAGACATCTAACATAGTGTTAGATGCAAAGTAGTGCCCAATAAATGTTATCTATTGTTTTTAGCAAAGGTTTATATTCTAATTAATGTTCTAGTTGAGTTTAAGTTATTGGCTTATTTACTGTCTATACATTGGATTCATAATACTGTTTTTTCAAAGTATGACTTAATTATTCCATCACATTATTTTATATTTATGGGTATACTTTGCAAATCTGTTGAAAGAATTTTAATTATGAAGGCTGAGGTAGAATAAAAATAGGATCTTCAATGTAAAGAGATAACCCACTAGTTGGACCAAGAACTAGGGTCTTTATTTTAACAACTATCAACTGAAAGCTAATTTTAGAAATCCCAATAAGTTATATTGCATTTTGACACTCCTTGGGAAACTTTGATCTGAGCTCAGAAGTTTCCAGTTCTACCACAGTGAAGGTGTTAACTTATACTCAGTTTGAAGAGGACAAAACACCACCATATTTGGGGTTATTTGTACAATTGTTTGGGACTAATTTTATTTTATTCCTTTTGCCCTTTCTTTATATTCTGACCTCAAATACTGCCCCTAAAGAAGAGAGCCATCACCTAGGACCCTGGATCATGGCAATAGCTAGGGTTGTCCTGACTTTCACCCAAGGCAGAGTGCATACAACCCACAAATATCTAATCTATGAATTCTCTTATTGTTACACAATAGGAAAAAAAATTATTTTAAGCCCAAGGCCTATTTACTGCCTAGATTTACTCAGGACTGAAGCTCTAATTAAGGAAGAAGAAGGAGGAGGAGGAGAAAGATGCAGGAGGGAGAATCGCAGTCATTTGTTTTTTAAAAATATATATACAAAAGAATTATGAAGGAAGAAGGAGGAGGAGGAGAAAGATGGAGGAGGGAGAATCACAATCATTTGTTTTTTAAAAATATATATATAAAAGAATTATCATAGAAACAAACATTCAGGTAGAAAATTCAGAAAATGCAAAAATATGCAATGCACATAAAAATGACCCAAAATATACTACTAAATGATAACAATTAATCATTGTTAATAATTTGATACTTTTTCACAGGGTTTAGTATACATATTCTCACACACCAGCATAGTATGAATTGAATTATTCATGCATTTTAGCATTTAACTTGCGTACAGATTTCAGGACCTATTTATTGCTTTTCTCAATATGAATCATCATACCTCATTAAATTCCTATAATAGCAAACTGTTCTATTTAACTGAATTAATATTTAGAGGCTTAATAATAGAAAGAGGGGAATCATTCTTGAAGAAAAGCAGGAACATTTCACAATTCTTGACCCAGCCATCTTCAATGGATTTCTAGGGATCTGATAGCTAGTTTAAAGACAGAATGGTTTGAATTTCCAAAAATCTACATATAGGCCTTTCCTTTAATTCTTTCCTTTAGTCTAACCCAATGGTTTTCAAATTTCAAAATGTATAAGAATTACTCAGTAGTTTGTGTATACATAAAACTGTGTATTATTATTTATGGGTGAATTAAAATACCTCTAAGCATAATTTTCACTATAAGTGATTTCCTAATTAATAGATGACTTAATTTTATGTAATATAACTTTACTATATGCACACATACATTACTGTTACACAATGTATGTTATTAAATAACCTACTGATTTAAGTTAATACAGACATTTTTCCATGTTATTAAATATTTATCTACAACATTCCTATTAATGGCTGCATATTATTTCAATCTATGAATGTACCATACTTTAATCAATACTCTACTTTTGAAGTTCCTAAGTTGTCATTAAGCAATTACCCCTCTTAACATGCCAAAATGTGAGTTCAGCTCGATTAAAGTGAAAATACCCACAATAATTCAGAAGGAATTAGCACAGCTCTATAGCCCCCTTCTCCATCTTATAACAAAAACTCAGATGGAGACTCCAACTCCAGGAAAACATAAACAAATTAATTATGTTTGGGGTTATTTCATGTTCCTGAGAGAGATAATTTCTCTTCTCTGGAGTGTGCAAATATATACATAAGTCTAATCTTTCTTTCTTGGGGGAATCAGAAGAACAAATGACATCATTAGATGGAGGGTGAGAGCCCTAACGTAATAATTGATCTGGTAAGGACCATCAACAACTGCTAACACTGAATGAAAGGCTGTTAAGAAAAATGATATCCATACAATTTCATAATATCATCCACAGATGACTTAACATTTTCTCAACATTTTCAAAGAAGAGAGGCTCTATTGATCACTGCCTGTTTCATATGATTAAATGTGACACCACCAATAGTGGTAAACCTGATATTATGTCATGTAAAAAGACATAGACAAGGAGGAGTGACATCAGTAAGATAGCAGAATGGAAAGCCCAAGTCCTGCTTTCCCAGTGGAGAAGACACTGATTCAAAAACAATACATGGACCAATTCCCTTTGTCAGAAACCCAGAAATGAGCTAAAAGACTTCTGCACCGTGGACAAGTGTAAAATCAGCCATATCAAGCCAATAGATGAATCTGTGGCATCCAGTTACCGTAGTCCCTCCCTCTGGCTCAGTTTGATGCAAAATGAGAAAAAGTGCCCAGCTCTCAGCTTATCTCTCAGCGGGGGGAAAAAAGTCTGAAACACAAGTTTCAGGCTCTTTGTGGGGCTATTGGAGGAACCAGTTTTTCTCTTGCCTGAATCTAAGTGCTGACAGGAAGAGGTGCCAGGTGTGGCGCTATTGAGAACAAAAGCAATAATTTAGACTAGCACACACTTACTGGCCCTAGTCCCTTCCCAGCTCAGCATGAAATAGGAGGAAACAAATCCACATCTCCTGGTTTCCAGCTAGGAAGAGAAAGAGTTGGAACATGCATACAATATTCCAACTTTTCAAGAGACTGCCCAAGAGAATCAAAAAAATAGAAGGAAATTACCTCAACATACATGTAAAGCCTACAGTTAACATGCTGCTCAATGGTGAAAAACTGAAAGGTTTTCCTCTAGAATCAAGAACAAGACAAGGATGCTTGCTCTCACAATTTATATTCAACATAGTACTGGAAGTTCTAGCTGGAGCAGTTAGGCAAGGAAAAGAAATAAAAAGACATCCAAATTGGAAAGGAGGAAGTAAAATTATCTTTTTTCAAAATTGACATGGTATTGTATGTACAAAACCCTAAAGATTTTACTTTAAAAAATCTGTTAGAATCAATAAATGAATCCAGCAAACTTGCAGAATAAAAAATCAACATGCAAAGTCAGTTATATTCTTATACATTAAAAACAAATAATCGGAAAAGGAAATTTTAAAAATAATCCCATTTACATCAAAAAGAATATGATATTTAGAAATAAACTTTACCAATGAGGTGATATGCTTGTATACTGAAAACTAGAAAACAAGGGCCTAAAGAAATAAATAAGATAGAAATAAATGGAAAGACATCCTGTATTCATGAATTGTAAGACTCAATATTATTGAAATGTTCATACTTCTCAAAGCAATCTACCGATTCAATGTAATCCCCATCAAAATCGTAATGGCTTTTTTTGCAGAAATAGAAAAAAATACTAAAGTTCATATGAAAATATAAAGGACCCTGAATAGTCAAAACAATCTTGAGAAAGAACAAAGCCACCTGCCTCATACTTTTTGACTTCAAAACCTATTACAAAGCTACAGTAATCAATGGTACAGTGTAGTACTGGCATAAAGACAGACATATAGACCAATGGAACAACAGAGAGTACAGACATAAAGCCACATATACATAGTCAACTGACTGTCAATGAAAATACCAGGATACACAATGGGGAATAGATAGTCTCTTCAACAAAGAGTGTTGGGAAAACTGGATATCCACATGCAAAATGATGAAATTGGACTTTTATCTTATACCATACACAGAAATCAACACAAAATGTGTTAGAGGCTTAAATTTAAGACCTGAAACTATTAAACTCCTAAAAGAAAATATAGGGGAAACGCTTCATGATATTGGACTTGGCAATGATTTCTTTTATATAAAACCAAAAGCACAGGCAACCAAAGCAAAAATAGATAAGTGGGACCTACATGAAATTAAAGGCTTCTGTGCAACAAAGGAAATAACAGGGTGGAAAGTCAACATATGGATTGATGGAAAATATTTGCAATCCATACATCTGGTAAAAAAATTAATGTCCCAAATATATACAGAACCCCTCCAACTCAATATCAAAAAAGAAACAAGTAACTTGGTTAAAAAATGAGCGGAAGTATTTGAATAGGCATTTCTCCAAAAAAGACACACAAGCGGCCAAAAAGTATACAAAAAGATGCTCAATATCACTAATCATCCAGGGAATGCAAATCAAAACCACAATGAAATATCACCTTCAGCCTGTTAGGATAGTTATTATCCAAAACAACAATAATACCAACAACAGAAAATAACAAGTGTTAGAGAGTGGAGAAATTGGAATCCTTGAGCACTATTCACGGGAATGTAAAATGGTACAACTGCTATGGAAAATAGTATGGAGGTTCCTCAAAAAATTAAAAATACAACTACCATGTGTTCCAACAATCCCACTTCTGCGTATTAATCCAAAAGAATTAAAATCAGGATCTTGAAGAGGCATATGCACTGTCATGTTCATTGAAGCTTTATTCATGATAGCCAAGAGATAGAAACAACCTAAATATCAATCAACAGAAGAGTGGAGAAAGCAAATGCGATATATACATGCAATGGAATACTACTCAGTCTTAAAAAAGAATGAAATTATTTTATATGTTACAGTGTGGATGAACCTTGAGAGCATTATGCTAAGTGAAATAAGTCAGTTACAAAAGGAAAAATATTGCATGATTTTCTTATATAAGGTATCTGTAGCCAGATTCATAGAAGCAGAAAGTAAAATGGTGATTGCCAGGGGATGGGGGAAGGGGAACTATTCAATGGATATAGAGTTTTACTTATGCAAGATAAGAAAGTTCTTAAGATCTGATGTACAACAATGTGCATTTAACTAAATATTTGTACTAAGTGCTTAAAAAGTCAAGAGCGTAGAGCTCCTGTGTGTTTTTTAGCACAATAGAAAAAAAGAAATAGACATGATTGCTATCTCACATCTCAGGATTGCTATTTTACTGTTAACATTTAACCATAAAATCTCAGTGGCATACAACAAATAAACATTTACTTTTTGCTTGCACATCTGTAGGTTGGCTGGGGTTCTGCTGATCTAGGGAAGGCTTGGCAGCAAGCTAAGTTTTCAATTCAGGTTGAGTCTGGAGATCACTCAATTTTCTGAGAGCCAGAAAATGTTCCTCTTATGTAATGGCAGGAGCACACAGGATAATCCTAATTGCTCTACTAAGTTCAACTGAGTTCCCATTGGCCTTAGCAAGTCAAACTTAAAGACTTGGGCAGGAAATATGCTCCACTAAGGAATGCTGGGGAAGAAAAGGGGAGAAGAGTAGTGAAACTTTTTTGGACACTAACTTCTATACCACAGTCATTTTTGCAATATTCCTGCCAAACAAAGGTCTAACTTGATTCTAATCAAGAGTAAACAATCAGACAAATCAAAAATAAACAACATTCTACAACTGGCCTAGATTTTTGAAAAAAGTCTTTGACACAGAAAATAAACAAATGAAAAAGATGAGGAGAAATTATTTAAATTTAAAAAATACTAAATGCAGAATTAAAACTTGATTGGATCCTGGAATTATAATAAAATAGCTATAAATGGCATTTTAAAGCAACTAGTAAAATTTGAAAATGAACTGTATGTTAATTAATAGCATGTGAGTCTTTTTAAATTACTTGGGTGTAATAATGATATGGTGGTAAACAGGAAAACATCTTTCTTTATTCTTAGAAGATCAGCGCTAAGGATTTATGAGTGAAATGTCATAATATCTATAATCTATTTTCAAGTAATTAATCAAAAAATACACGTATTTATATAGAGATTGAAAAGGTATATTAAAATTTGATTAAAGTTAATAATCAATTAATCTAGGCAAAAGAAAAATAGATAGTCATTGGACTATTCTTTCCCCTTTTTTGTAGTTTCCTGATTTTTTTAATGTTAAAAGAAAAACAAAGGGTTGAATTAATTGCCTGAAGAATTCAGGACAATTTGAAATCACATCGAGGAAAACCTAGGGGTTTTACATTGAATTAAACTGATTGAGGGCTATAAGAATTGTATTCTTTGGAGGATTGCTTAGTGAACCATTTCAGTTTACCCCACACTGGTTGTAAGATGCTCAACAAGCCTAAAACATTGAGGGCTTGATACAGAGCTTGGCCAATTAGAGTGCATATTTTAATTTGATGAAATAATTAATAATGATACAGATAACTAAAAATTAGGGAAATATTTGCAGGTAGAAGGTAGGGATCCCAATAAAGGACAAACTATCTTCTAGGCCAGGGGTCTCCAACCCCCTGGCCATGAACCAGTAGTGGCAAGCGGGCAATGCTTCATCTGTATTTACGGACACTTCCCATCTCTCACATTACTGCCTGAGTTCTGCCTCCTCTCAGATCAGTGGCAGCATTAGATTCTCATAGAAGCACAAACCCTATTGCGAACTGTGCGTACTAGGGATCTAGGTTGCACGCTCCCTATGAGAATCTAATGCCTGATAATCTGTCACTGCCTCCCATCATTCCCAGATGGGACCGTCTAGTTGCAGGTAAATAGCTCAGGGCTCCCGGGGATTCTACATTATGGTGAGTTGTATAATTATTTCATTATATATTACAATGTAGTAATAATAGAAATAAAGTGCACAATAAATGCAATGCACTTGAAAAATCCCAAAACCATCTCTCGCCCTGATCCATGGAAAAATTGTCTTCCACAAAACCAGTCCCTAGTGCCAAAAAGGTTGGAGACCACTATTCTAGGCCAAAGAAGGCCCAGCTGCCAGAGCCAGGGTGTTTCCCCACCCCTTAGTAATTCTGGAAAATCCATTTATATGATCATGCCTCCATCCCAAACCACACTTTCTGGAAATAAAATCTGCTTTGGTTTCTATGAGTTACTTCCTCAACAAATGCATCCTTTAGCCAACTCAGAGTTTCTCACCAAGAACCACAGCTCATGTTTCTTGAAAATAAGTTTGATAAAGCTCGTTAAGAATTTGATCTTCTTCGAGCATCAAATTCTCACTTTGCTTCTGATCCCAAAAGATTTCCTCTTGTGGCCCTGGGTCCCTGTTCAGGGAGGAGCAGGTACAAAACTAGAGAGAACAAAAGTAAATTTGAACTTGGCTGTTATTATGCATATCCCCTGAGTGACTATTTTCTTATCTACATACAATAAATTCAGCAAACGTTTTCTGTTCCTCAATCTCTTTGGGGAACTGCAGTCCATCCTGATGAGGAGTCTGCTTATTAATAGAAAGGGGAGTTTAAAGATTTAGTATTGTTTAATTCCCATTTTTCTACAAAACAGAAAAAGCCAGTTTTCTCAATAAGGCCAGTACCTGGTAGAGAATAAATTTTATCTCAGGGAGTCACCATATTTTGATTTATTTAAGCTCTGGTGGTAATATCATTTTAAAGTCATTATTTAGCACTTACTTAACATATTTTTCTGTTTCAAAAGAAGTGCAGTTGTATAATCAACCTCTGAGAAATATCCGTGTGGTCAAAGATAATTTTATCCATAAGGTGAAGTTGGAAGACTTTTGGATTTTTCATTTCTTTACTCTTTTATTCCCTTATTTATTCATTTCTTTATTACACATCTTCTCTGTCCCAGTTTTATTAGTTTCAGGTTGCCTCTGATGGTGATTCTAAAACCACAGCTTTCAAATATAAATCAGGATTTCTCTCTCAAATGGGGCTAGAATCAACAAAATCCCCAGCTCCCACCCACACACACCCTCCACGGCCTTCCTTGATTGGGAAGCCAGTACTGTCTCTACGCACAGGTCTCCCGAGGCAAGTATGTTTTTTCAGACCAATGCCAAACTTGACCTCAAACTGCCGGATTTCAGGGTCTTCACCACTACTTTTGGTCCAGGGAAAGTGAACTAGGCAATTACACCTGGTGTAGTCAGCACTTAACCTGACAATGTTTAGCTTCAGCTGAGAAATCTAAAGTGCCCTACAGAAGACCCAAGTGTCACTCCACATCTTAGAAAAGTGCTTTGTGTCTGTTTGCTTTTTTGGACAAAATAAGCCTGACTTCTCAAGGCCAAGAACAGACATATCGAATCTTGGTAGATTTACAAAGAACCTGGAAATATAAATCATCTTGCTTCTACTGTGCTGTCTTCAATGGCTCTCTAGTGCATCAAGAAGGAAACTATAGCCAGAGGGACCCTGGGCAAGGCAATTGTGTCTAAAATAACCTGAAGAAAAGTGTCTTTGGGCTCAATTGTTCTTAAGTTACAGAGGAGAAAGGCCAAGGGGCTTCAGTTCACAAAATTACTGGATGACAGAGTTAACATTAGAATTTACAGCTCATATTGCTAGTCCTTCATCCCATAGTTCCTACTATTCCTACCTTTTCAGACTTTATCTTCCATTTTACATATATATATGGCAAAATTCAAAAAGAAATCTCGCATAAATAAATAGGCAAAAGTTTGACCTTATGCCCCCGTAAGTTTCTTTCTATTACTTACAATCATTTCTTAAAATTATGAACGCTGCCTGAAACATGTATAAATAAAAGGCATGATTTGAACTCTTCTGATTTCTATAATAAACTTCTGTTGTCATCTATCTCTGAACCAAATGTTGTCCAGCTTCTTCAGACCAACTATTGATGTTTTGCCCCTCTTTATTTAATACCATCAACAATGTTAGCCACAAGAAAATAGTATTTTCCTTAGCTCTTCAATTTTAGGAGTGCCTGAGATTTCATACATGATTAAAATGCCTTGTTGTTTTAATAATATTACTAATTCTTCTTAATAAAGATGCTAAAAGAGAGGGAACTTTATATAAATATCAGTATATGTATGAAAGGTATATATAGGTACTATAGATACATATATACACATATACATATATATTTAAAAAACACATTTTAGTAGATCTGTGGGTAAAAATGTGCATAATAAAGGCAAAGAGGATGTTATGGCATTATTACTTTCTTGCAAATTTTAGCACACAGAATACCACAAAAAATAAATATCTGATTAAAATATTGAGCTTTTAATTGTTAATTGCTATATAGTACCACATATCTTTAAAGTACCTGGGTGTATAAGAAACTGTTCGTAATGTACCAAATGTACTATAACTCATAAAACTGCAGCATAAACTCAGCTCACCAAGAAAATATTGTTTTGAGGCCCTGAGTTTCCTGATTAAAAACTGTAGGTAGTTAAAGTCATAGATGCTTTGAGACTCCTGAAAAGTAACTACATGTGTGAAAAAAAGGACAAAGAGGTGTTCCAAAACAAAAGAAGCCCTCTGAAAAATAAGTCTCTAAAAATATATGAAAAGTATTCCAGTCTTATGCAGACAATGGAATGCTGATTTGGAAAATATAAGTGTAAGAACGGACAATGACAGATTAAAACTCATTAAAAGTAAATCAGCTCATTGTGTATCCTTACCTGAAGGAAAATGATTCTTTTGTAAAAAACATGCATGCTCCTTTTTTCTTTTTATATGCAATAATCCAGCAAGACAGTTCTCAGGTATTTTAATGTCTACTCCTACTCCTATGGTGTTGTATTCTACAAGAAAAAAAGAAAAAAAGACCAAGCCATCCAGGCATCCAGGACATATGAGAAACTTTGTTGAAGAAACTTTATTTGACCATCAGCCACTAGGCTGAAACAAAAAGCAGACAATACTGTCATCATGGTCTCTGTGGGGGTTTTATGTGGAATTCTAATTAACCAACCCTCATTTTCTTTTCAGATATCGAAAAAAAAGCTATCTGACTAAAGTTCCTAAGGAATTTGGAAGGAAAATATGAATTTATATGTGGCATACATTAGAGGGGGCTCCCTGCAGATTCTTCAGGAGACTACTTGAGCATCTGTTGAAAACATTTCTGTAAGTCTTGAAATTGAAATGCCACTCATCAGAAATTGAAACCCCCAGAAAATATCTACTTACAAAACAGAAAACTGTAGCATTCCAGTGTCTTGGGGTTGAAGAATAAAGTTTAGATGATAAATTTCTGGCACACAAATTCCCTTTGTAAGTCTCTATTTAATGGCCAGCCCATCTTGGACTATCAAGCCCCATGAAGGACATGACAGGGTGACTTGTTCATTGCTCCATCCCAAGGGTTAGGGAGCACAGTGGCTAGCACAGAGAAAGTAGCCAATAAACATTTGTTAAGATTTTTTTTCCAGTAACTTCTTTCTCGACACGGAAGAAGCAGAGAAAATGAAGAAGATCAGCAAACCTCAATTGAGAACCAGGAGGCTTTTAACAAAGGAGCAGAAAGAGAATGCAGAGAAGTAAATCTTCATCTCTCTCTTACTGTTGCTGGGACTTTTCTCCCCACCTTTTGAAGAAAAGCTCGTGACAGTAACAATAGTAACAGTGGCATAAGATAAGAGCATGCACAGGTATTAATAAATCTGCCAGGTTTTCTGTGATCTTTAACAAAGCATCATATTTGCATGATTTGGCCCAGGAGTCAATAATCTGCTGGGAAATCTGTGAACCACCGATGTATTTTCGAAAAATTCTTAATCAATCAACACAATGTTGGGCATTAGAATTCAGTATTTGTTTTTGAATTATTGATCAGTACTCGCATTTTAAAACCTATAAAATTTGCTTAAAAAATCTGAAACCAGTACAGATGTTCACTCATATGATGAGAACCATACAATGTAAAACTCAATATATCCGATATAATATTTTGGTTTCAGGTACCTGTTCATTTGGGAAACATCTGTGACATGTTTGGAAACCAACATAGGTGAAACACAGAAGACCTATAGACTCCCAGACAGGCTGGTGTCTATTGCTGCCTGTGAATTATTCTGAGCCAGTATCTTGCTGTTCATTTGCTTCCTCTGACTTTCATAATTATTCCACTAGGCTGCATAAAGCCTGTTTTCACTCGGGACACAATTACCATAGGTAATTGCGTGTGGGCAAATATCTGCCCTTCCATTGGGTAGTCACAGCATCACCCGTGTTCCAAAGCACCAAGCCCCCTTTTCAGGGATGCACTTGACATGTCATCGTTGAAGTAATTAGCATGCTTAGGGTTTTTAAAAACTGTATAAAAGCATCAAATTTTCACCAGAGACTTTTTGTTCTTGTCAAAATCTCTACCATAACAACCTGTGAATTACAATAGAAGGTAATTGGAACACAACGTTCCATAGGAGCATGTTGAAATATGGAGCTATCTCCCTACAGCATTAGCTAGAGAGACAGGTGCAAATATTTCCAAGCTCTCGATGCCATTTTCATGAGTTTCTGTTCACACTGTAACTAAAGAATTTCAAGTGCATGAGCCTGAACTAGTGACAATGGAATGATGGCACAAACACATTAAAAGCAAGGAGTGTTCTGTGTAATGCAGACAAAGTAATTCAAAGCACATTACAGAATTCAGAGATTTTCGGTGCTCACTTGTCTGCACTGATAGCAGCAATAGCAATATCGATTTTATTTATTTACTTGCATCTTGATCCAAAAGCTGTAAATGTACCTTATAAAATACAAACAACACCATAGGGTTCCTTTTTTAGCAACTTCAGAACTCCAGGAAAAAAAGAAAAAAAAGAGAATAAAGTCAGAGGTGAAATTAATATAAAAAATGCATGCTATGATGTCCAAATTTGACACTGAGCTTTGTAGTAACACAAGGAGAGAAACATAACAAAATTCAAGATGTCATTTTTCAAGAGAAGCAAAACAATTCCTGGTAAGCAGACTGGTAATTCTCAAATTCTAATTCTATTTGGTTTTAAAAGGTACCTTGTGATTTACATTCTCCACTGAATTTGCTTTCCTAAATATTATTGATTTTTAGTTATAATGAAAATAGCTGTATTTATGAACACACATCTTCTAAACTGACATTATTGAAATTTTGAATTACTCGAAGTATATTATAAAATCAAACATTTTTATTATGATCAAGAACATTTTAAGAACAGAAATGTTTAAAATGTAACGCACATTGGATAATTATTGTTTCATGAAAATTTTGCTTTAATTTTATATATACAGTTAGCTCTTCATACCCACAAGTTCCACATCCATGGATTCAACCAACCACAAATAGAAAATATGTGGAAAAGAACACAATGCAAAAATCACAGTACAATTAAAACTATTATAACTTTTTAAAAAATATATATAATGTGGACAAGTAAACAGTTAGATAGAAGAAATAAGACCTAACGTTTGATAAATCAGCAGAGTCACTATAGTTGACATTAATCTATTGTACATTCCAAAATAGCTAGAAGAAAATAATTCAAGTTTTCCTAGCATAAAGAAAAGATAAATATTTAAGGAGATGGATATCCAAAGTGCCCTGATTTCATCTTCACACATTATATGTATCAAATTACCACATGTACCCCCAAAATATGTACATCTCTTATGTGTCAATAAAAATAATTTGAAATACTGTACAATAACCATTTACATTGCATTTATATTATACTAGGTATTATAAGTAATCTAGAGATGATTTAAAGTATATGAGAAGATGCGCATAGGTTATATGCAAATACTATTCCATTTTATATAAGAGACTTGAGTATCTATGGACTTTGGTATCTTTGAGGCAGAGAGGTGGGAGGGAGTAAGATTGTGAAATTTAAAATATATTTTTTATTATGAGTGGTTGTTAAAAAAATTGTGAAAGCCCCTGAGCTAGTCTGAAGAAGTGTCTGCTTGCGTTCATTGGACAACCACAGGAAAGCAGACATGAAAAATCCACAGAATAGAGATGAGAGAGAGGTCTGTGCTTCTGCGCCTTGTGCAGCGAGAGTGAGTAAGGCAGCTGTAGGTAGAGGAGGCAAGTTCTCTGGAGGATTCTAAGTAAAGCTTTATAACTGCAGAAAGTCCCAAAAGACAATTATCTTCAACTACTCTCTTGCTATTACTTTTGATGATGAATTTTAATTAGTAGTATTAAGAAGAGGAGATAATAGATATTAAGGTTATCTTTAAATCACAATTCAAATGATAATACCACACCTGCTTCAGGACCTAGTTCAAGGGAATCTGTGTCTGTGTGACTCTTCTACCCTCAACACTCCTAGGCGCAATCAATGGCTTCCTCATTACATGAGGATGCTACATGCCTCAGCTGGAGTCCTGACAACGTTCTCATAGGCCCTCACTGGACTCAGAACCTTAAAAGAGAGATGGTGTCTTTCCAGCAGTAATCACACTTCTCAGCACTTGGTAGACACTCAAGGCATATTTCTGGATAAAATGAATGCATGAATGAGTAACTGAATATTCACATTACTCCTGTATTTCTACGATGCAATCAAAATTTGTTCTCACAATGAACACCTGACATTCCATGATTCTATAAGGGTTTAAGAATTAAGAGAAAAAAGGGGGGCTTTAATGTTAATTTAATACATTCTAATTTTTCGAATTAGTGTTTGACACTTATCAAAGATGGCAGATCAGTTTCAACTTATGCACTGACACTTAGGGACTGGCAGCAGTTCCCCGGAGTACCATGAGAGAAAACATTCCAAGGCTGGCTCTGAGCTGAACTGGCAGAAGTGAACACCAAGATTGTTGAATGGTGCACACAAGAAGTTGACATTGGCTCACAAGCCACCTCTATGATCTCCAAATACTTAATCAGAAGACCAGAATATTCACCTGCAAGGGTACTGAAAATTGATTTTGTTGAAAGCAGCACTCCCAATTGTCCCAGCTCTTCCTGAAAAACAGCTGACTATAAGGAGTTTGGGAATGAGCAAGTAACTCATGCATATGTTTCATTCACTTCGGTTTCATCGTTGACAATAACAGATAGTATAATCATTAGTTCCCAGGAGGGATAGACATCAATGGAATTTATTATACAATATCTCTTCTCCTTGGGGTGGGGCAGAGAAAGAGAAAGAACAGCCACATAAACACTGCAACTCCTCAAACAGGTATTTAATAACTGCTATTAATATTTCACGGTAATTTTTTTAAAATGAAGTGAGCAGCTGTGGTAATTATAGTCAAGTTGTCAAAACTTTTCAGTGTTTGTTATTTTTTGATAGGCGGCTATTCCCCCGTTTCCTCTAGGATCTGCGGGGTTGAAATAGGGTAAGCAGCTGTCTCAAATGCTACATGAGGCATTCATTTCAAAGAAGGTCTTCTTTTGTTTTGTTTCTTTTTTCTTAGATCCATGTTTATAACCAAGATCTCTGTGAAGTAGAAAGCAATGAACTCTAGAGGAAATTGTTTGCAAACCAAAGATAGAATTCAAAATTACAGGTCAGAGCCATTTGCTTGCAGTTATAATGAAAATTCTTGGTTAGATTTCAGAGCACTACTTGATCATTAAAGCATTGTTTGTAGTACCTTACTTGGGAAATTAGATAATGAGCTCTTAATCTCACCCATACCTCCAAGTAGTTCTGAATAAAGGTAAGTCACCAACAGTTGGAAAAGTCCCATTAATGTCCTCTAGTTTGAAGAAAAGCTTCCTGATGTAGAGTAGGCCCATGGAACCCATTACCTCCCACTAAAGTTAAGGAGAGCATTATTAGGGAGAGCAAAGTTAGGGAGAGCATTATTACAGAACTGATGAGCTAAGCTGGAGGAAACACGGTGAAGCCCACAAAAGGGAATGCATCCTGCTCTGGACAGAGAGGGATTTCAAACAGAACATTTAAATAATAATAAAAAAAACTGAAAGAGCCCAGTTAGGGCTGCATTTTGTGCTAGAAGAGCTCTCCATCTGTCCCACCTCCATATCCTCAGACCCCAAGGAATGTGTAGAAGGCAACTCTCAGGCACAAACTGTAGCTGAGGGAAGGAAGGCTAGGTGGTTCTGAGAAAGAGAAAACAGGTAAATAAGAGACCTGGGTACAGCCACTCAGGTTAAAAAGGAGCAAGATAGAAAGGAACAACATGGAAACTTTGCAAACAGACTATAATCAAAAGGAGAGAAAGAAAGAGGGAGAGAAAAAGAAGAGACCATAGTATGCAAAGAGAAAGTAAAAACTCAGACAGCCAGTGTAGAGAAGAAAAATCATAGTACTACAAATGGAAGCAGTTAAAATATGCATTATTTAAAAATTAATAAGAATACAACATCTGTAAAACAAATGCCCAAACTAAAGTGATAAACAGCAACAACAAAATGAAATGAAAGGCAACACACTAATTACATTTGAAACAGGAACAAATGGATGCACATGATTAACAATCAATCACTTAAAACGGGGGTCTTCAGACTTTTCTGTAAAGGATCTAATAGTAAATATTTTAAACTGTGCAGGCCATGAGTTTCTGTCTGTCACAGCTATGAAACTCTGCTGATGTATCCAGGAAGCAACATGTAAACGAATTAGCATGGCTGTGTTCCAATAAAACTTTAGTTAACAAAAACATGCAGAAGGCTAGATTTGGCCCATGGGCTCTAGTTTGCCAACCCCTGCTATAGAGAGCTGAATATATATGAAATAGAAAAAATATTCAGAGATAAAACTCAGGAAAATTTCATAAGACTATATAAAGAACTGAATCTCCAGGTAACAATAGGATGCTGGACACCAGGAAACATTATACAGATCGTTGGTGTGTTGCAGTATGACACTACTGAGAAAGGAGGCATAGTGATTATGGCCACACTGTGGAGCTGTGAGACTTGGGACTAAATCCTGGTCCTGCCACCACAATTAAGGTTCTTCACTTACATGTGCATTACTTTACTTGTCAGAGAAATATGAATAACATTACCTGCTACCTCAATAAAATGGTCTGAGGGATTAAAAATATTAATATACGTGAAATTCTTAGAATAGGACCTAGACATAGCAATTTGGCTATGATTATGATCAATAGCAAAACACATCCAAGTTAAATCATCAACCTTTAAAAATAAAGAAAAATATCATGCAGGAATCTAGACAGAAAAATTACCCATAGTAGGAAAACTCAGATTGGCCTCATGCTTTTCCACAGCAATATTTCATTCCAGAAGTCAACAGAACAATGTCTGCAACATACTAAAGGGCAGCCTGTGTAACCAAGAATAGTACACCCAGTCAAGTGTTGCAAGCATAAAGGCAATAGGCTGGCATTTTCAAATATGAAAGAACACTAAGAAGGAAGAACTTATAATCCCCTTGCTAAAAAAATAAATTAATAAAAAAATTTAAAACTACATGACAATAAAATCCAACCAACCAAGTGATAAATTAAAAAGTAAACTCAGTAATGGAAAAGTTATGGTAAAAGGACTAGCACTGAGCAGAGCTTCCATTTAAATAGAGAACTCATAATGATCAACAGAGGGAATTATGTTTGCAGAACAAAATGTAATGCTACAATGCTGACCAAAAAAAAGTAATTTGAAACAAAAATCAGGATGTAGAGGGAGGGGAGGAAAAGTGAAAAGTAGAAGAGTCCTTATCATCCTAGCAGGTTGCCTATACATATGATTTAAAGAAGAAATATGTAATTAGAAATTTTTTTGGCTTCAATCTTGTAAAAAGTCTTTATGTCCTTAGTGGGATAACATGAAAATTACTATTTCTTATTGATGAAGAAACATTGGCAATCCTTTAAATGTCACTTCAGCTTCTTTTTCTTCTAAAATTTAAATTAGTTTAAATAAGCTTTAATCTAAATAAAATTAAACATAGTATTTTTATGCAGAGAATGATTGCACTATTTCAACATTATTTTTCACTTTTATATTCAATTATTTATCCATTCACTCTCTATATGTCTAGAAAAGACATATGGAATGAACAGAATGATGTTCCTCAAATAATTTTTAGATGATAGAATTTAGGGTGATTTCTTTTTCTTTGTATTAGGTGGGTTCAAAAGTAATTGCGGTTTTTGCCACAATTATTTTCAATGGCAAATTAAATTACTTTTAATGGCAAAAACCACAATTACTTTTGCACCCACCTAATACTTTACTTCATCATGTTTTTTGACAAGCAACATATGGAATTTCAAGCTGTCTGCCAAAGTCCTTTCTTCCTTCCTGCCTACAGTCACAGCTATATTGTTTCCCGCCCTCTCTCGTATCCATGCATGTCTATGTGACTAAGTTCTCTTCCACAGATGGTGAGGAGCAAAAGTAGTGTTCAACTTTCACCAGGCGTGATCCTTGACTTTTTCTTTCTGCTCTCTGCTTGGTGAGTAGACCCAACTTAGAAAGCATGTATTATAAATGGCAGATGTGTCAGGCCACAAGTGTGAAAAAGTGTGTGGAAAGAGCCACTCAACAGCCACAAATGTTTACTTTCGTTGTGTTGCCTGGTAGAGCAACAAAGGTTGAGTTCTTATGCCATGTTATTGCGATTCTTCTTATAGACCATCCCATTCTTTTAGTATAATTAACAGAAGCATGCATTATTTTATTAGAATATATAGTAAGCCAATAATCTAAAAATAGAATCAAAGTAGTCTAAAAAAGTAAACAAAATGGATGAGAAACTCTCCGCACATAAGCCACAGATTCTGATTAGTCTGGCAGTAGTGTAAGAACACATGTGGCCACCCCATCATGACTGAGGGTGCTCTCACAGGCTGGGGGGCCTACTGGTAATGACATAAGAGGTCTCTCAAATCTTTTGAATTTTGACTTGTTTTGTGTGTCTACTTTTTAGAGAAAGTCAAGTTTATAATGCTTCAGATTATTCAAGAGAGTATGCTCCCCCTGAGTGCAGAGGATATTAGTCTTGAATATCATTAACCTTGCTATCCAATCAGACATTTCACTTGGTTCTAAGGCTATCAGCTGGATCTAGACCAAACTGTCTTCTCTAAGCACTCTTTCATACCATTTAAAAAATTAATTTTGACACAGAACCCTTTTTCATAAATTAATTTAATTCCTTTGTCCAGAACACAGTTAGTAAGGGAAATATTGCCAATATTCCATCTATTGTGTTTTTGACATGTAACAAGAGATTATGACCCTATAGCAGTGCATAAGGCTATTGAAAGCCAGTGAAATTCTTTGGATCATTTGGATACTAATCCTGGAAGCTAAGTATTTATAGGAAAAAATTATCTGAAAACTAGAAGGGACCTCAAGAGATAATTTGGTCCAGGCCCTTTCTGAGTAAAGTATCAGATATTTTTCTAAACTTTTTAATTATGCTGCAAGATGACAGGTTTCCAGATTTTATTTATCACCACTGAGATAAATGGTTTTCAAATAATCACTGAGGAGAGGAACGTGGGAGGTTAAAATAAAAACTCTCATTTAGTTCCCTTCACACATCTGCCCCTGGAAAATCTTTTTTGAACTCCAATTTTTTTTAATTTTATGAAAGAACAAATTGGAATATGAAAGGCATGAGAATCCTAAATGTCTGGCTCACTTCCTCTCAAGAAATAAAAATCTTTCAATGATGTGTTTATAAGTTAGAAGCCAGACACAAACACTAATTTTTCAGTCCAGAGATATCCAATTTCCATTATAATGAATTTAAATCTCGGCAAACTAGAGTGTTTTTAGAAACCATGCCAGTCAAAGATGTCTAAAACAATGTTGCTTGATTCTTTTCCTAAGTTAGCTTTGTACCAATTAGCTATTATTTCTAGTGAGTAGTCAGCCCCCTCAAAAATAACCATTCTATTCTCTTTATTCTTGACTATCTTATTAATTTTGACATTTTTCCTTTTATACATTAAGGTAGCAATAGCAGCACTATCAAATTCATCAAGTAGAGAAAGATACTTCCAACTTGAAATCTAATTAATTTTTCATGTTCATTATCTTTTAAGAGTGTTTCTTGCAAAAGGACATTATCAGCTCCTTTTTTCATGATAATTGATGCACTGCTTCCCCCACCCTTTTATTTTTTTCTAATAAGTTAGGAAAGACCTTTAATACTTATACTTACAATTCTTGCCAGTGACTTTTTAAAGGATAAGTATTAAATATGTCATTCAAGATGCATAATGTGTTACAAAAATTAGATCCATTAGAATAAGAAACTCATTAAGGGGTAAATTTAAAGGGTTTACAGAAGTACACCATAACTTTATGAAGTACTGAGTTGTTAATACAAAACATGGTAACATTCATTACCTTTTGTTAAAGAAATCCTATAAACAAGAAAACTCTTTAAGTGAAAACATAAAAAATTCTATAATGAATATTTTGAAACACTGGCTCTCAATTACATATAATAAACCACCCTAAAGGAAAAAAAAAATGAATGTTAAGAGAAAGGAGTGAGCAAGTGTGTCCATCTGCTTGTGTTTCAGGAAAGAAAAGGGAAATAGTCAAAGCTACTTCAAGTACCTAAAGTACTAGCTGTGCACTGAAAAAAAAAAAAGAAACCAATATTTTATGTAAAAATCTAATAATTTTTAATACTGGCAGTAAAAATGTAGAACTGAGTTAACTTTTTTTTTTTCATTTGCCATTGGGAAACAATTCCCTATAATATACCTACCTACTAAGTCTGCTAAAGGAATGTCTGAGACAGTGAAAAAGGTCCCAGTCTCTCTTCCTAGTTGTTCTACCCTGATGAGCCATAAAACTACTGGTCACTAATAACTACAGGAGAGTCATCAATTGTCAATTAAAAGAAAATGCATATAGACTTTTTAGTATTCAGAGAGAAGGGAGAAAAGTAGCGTTAAGCCAGATGAAATGTAAGGGAATCCTAACTAGTAGGCTAGCAGGTTCCTTAAAACTGCACCTGCGTTTAAAAAAAGTGAGGGTGGGGGGCACGCACCAGAAGCCATCTGCTTTTCAAACTTAACTTGTGACAAAGGATTTGTCTCTTCAGGATAAAGATAAATTGAGTCTCAGATAAACTATTAGTGCTGATCAATCCAGGACTGCCTAGCACAACAAAAAGAGAACAGAAGGTCCAAATCCGAGCTACCAGTAAGATTTATTAAAACATACACTAGAGTATTATTCACTGTCCCCTCCTTTTTTAACCAACCATGATGTTGTAGATGCTAATTCTATCCTTGCTTCCATAGAATACCCTGAGTTGTCTTCTCAGCAATGGAAGCATACTCTCTCACTTGGAATCAACAGAACATATTAGCAAATTGAAGCCATAGCTTTTGCCTAATGAAGGGCATTTTTCTCTGTGAAAATCTGGCTAGTTCATTAGGTAGGATCGAAACCATATACTCAGTTTCATCAGGTACAT
The DNA here is from genome assembly GCF_000001405.40 of Homo sapiens. Taxonomy (NCBI): domain Eukaryota; kingdom Metazoa; phylum Chordata; class Mammalia; order Primates; family Hominidae; genus Homo; species Homo sapiens. Next base: position 53,364,626 of record NC_000013.11, on the reverse strand, counting down.
GTCTATGCAACTGAACTATCCAGCCCAAGAAAACATTAGAATGCATGTAGCATGGACAGAGAAATCCCGAGGATTCACATATACATACACCTTTACTTCTCTACTCAGGCATAGATTCAAGAATATTAAAGAGAATATTTAAGGGAATAACAAAACAGCTAGCAGTTTATTTTTAAAAAGGAGACATGACAGAAGAAAATTAGAGAATTGAAAAATTTTACCTGAATGATTCCATGTCTCACCATTGGAAGAGAATGGGGTTTGGCAATTTTTTGAAGAATTTACATGGCAAAGCCCCTGCTGGGTAATCCACATCCCATGCCTAAGAATTCACACCAAAAATAAAGCAGGCTCTCAGCAGGCATAACTGCCTTTTAAGTTGACTTAGAACATAATTTTAACACTTTCTGAAATTATAGGATTTTTTTATGCATTTGTCCTACTTACATCTCAATTCTTTTTTGCTATCATTAAAAAAAAAAAAGATGAGCAAAATTCAGAGAGAGGCTAAAAGGTGAGCTGTTTTATAGAGAATAAGAAGCTAACATTTCCCTGGTCATGACATATAATGCCATATAATTTGAGAAGAAAATAAAATGAATCTCATCTTCAACCTATGAGTCTTCAAATGTGTTCTGAATAAACCCAATCATGACACCATTATCTTCTCCATTTAGTTTTCAATTAGATATGCAGGGTTTAAATGATCACCTTTCCTTAGGAATATGCATGCTCTCTCCCTATAAGAAATACTATTTCCTGTCAATGTTTTGTTGATACCTTCTTCAGGAGAGCTCATTTCTGTGTCGTACAAAAGTGGTTCTGCTGGCATGATCATTATCATCATTAAGCATTTATGAAGCACTTTAGAGTTATTTACTAGAACTCATGATATGCCTATAAGATAGATTGGTATAATGGTCTTCTTATAAATGAGAAAATGGAGGTTAAATAACAGCCAAGGTTACATAGATAATTTGGATAAAAGACTCAAAGTCCCTGACTTCCTGTTTAGTATATAAATGAAAACCCTTAAGTGGCATAAAAAAGTCATCTACTTCAAAACTTTACACCTTAACAGTTAGTGGGCATAAATAACTAGAGAGATGGTGTTTTGCTCTAACCCTGTGGCTGACAGAATTGTTTCAGTAGATCTGTGATGTCAAGGCCAGTGTCTCTGCAGTTCTCTTGGTGGTCCCTTCTTGATATCAAGATGTTAGCTCCAGCTTCAGGCAATATGCCTGCGTTCGAGTATAAAAGAAAGAAGCTGTGTTACCAACCCTGTAGATCCCCATCAGGAAAGCAAAAACTTTCCAGAAAATCCCCAGTGCAATTCTACTTATAGAGCTTTGTCAAGAGAGGTTGATCATATGAACATTTAACTTTCTATTGTTCATAATAGATCAAGAAAGGCAGTTGTGCTGGTCAACCAACGGTATCCACCAAAGTCATTCACAGAATTTTATTTTGGATATTTATTTGCTAAGCATTATTTGGTTGCATTATATGCTAGCATTTGTTAACAAATCAGTGGGAGCCAGCCCCCTAATATTTTTAAATTGGGATAAAACTTCTAAATTGAGAACATTTTATTCACTGACTTAATTTAATGGGTGGAAAGAAATGATACAAAGATAGCCATAAATTAATTTTAATGGATTAAATCCAGGGTCTAGTTTATTGTGTTCTAAGGAAATATAGTTCAACAATTACTATTTTAGTGTAAGTAGCCACACATTTTCTAGCCTCCATGCCTTTCCTTTCCTTGTATCAGCCCCCAGCAGATATATTTTCTTCATCCTCCTCCTTTTTGTTTATCTAAATCCAATCACTTTTAAGATTTGGTTCAGCTCCCACCTTTTCTATGAATGTTCTGCATCCATTTAACCCATGATTCAATCGCTTATTCAGCATAACACACAACCTTATCTTGCTGAGACATTCAGTACCTGCTATGGGAGCATTTACCAATTATAAAGATTCATTATATAATTTTTTATTTACATTTGTCTCACATCCCCAAGGAGTGTGGTCTCTCTTCTGTTTTGCATACATCTACACAGCGCAATATATAGAACAGCAGCTAACATTGATTGAACAGTCAGTATGTCAGTTAAATAATTTCCACATTTGATCTTAATTCTTTCAACAACCCTGTGTGACTGGTACTATCATTATCCTTGTTGAATAGATGAGGTAATCCAAATTCAGAGAGGTTAAGCAACTCACTCAAAGACACACAGTTAAGTAATGCAGCTTTAATGTCAATTCAGGCAACCCATCTTAATCACTATGCTTCTACTCATTCTTCAATGAAAGAAGGAAGATGGAAGGAAGGAAGAGAGGGAGGAACGGAGGGAGGGTGGCAGTTAGCGAGGGAGGGAGGGATGGAGAAAGGGATGGAAGAAATAAGGAAGGAAAAAGAAAGACCTGGAGGGTAGCAAGAACGGAAAAGGCAAGCAGGCAGGTAACAGGAAGAGATGGACTTACCGTAAGACTAATGAAACTTAAGTGTCAGGGCCCTGCAATCACACAGGCTTTTCCCAGCACTTGAGAGGGGCTCTAGCAATGTGCTTTTGTAATTTTGTGAAATTATCAAGAGACATTTTAACTGCAAGTAGTTAAGACATCTTTCTCTTTTCATTCTGACTCTACCTCTGTTAAACTTGCCCTCGTGTTCAGGGGCATTGGAGTGGCCATGGGTAATTTGGGATCCAATTAAAGTAAGTTGAGTTTAGGATGTATTTGGATCTGGCAGAATATATGTATGTAGTTTGCAGTCACTTGCTATATAGCTGCTATTTTCAATCATCCTAGTATAGAAATGGCTTCCAGGAAAATTCCTATTGCCCTTTGTGTCAACTCAACAGCCTCGTTATATGAAGGTACCATATATCCCAAAGATAACCTCACCAAATGAATGTGGGCTATGCTGCCTGGCTCCAAAAGTAGATGGGAGTGCATAAGAAACAAAGCTTGAAACACCTGGAGCCAGAAGCTAGTCTGTAGAAAACTCTTTCAAGTATTGGATATGTAAAATTGTAAGCAGGGAGTCTGCCTAATGCCGAGTCAAAATGGAAGTTCTTGCCTCTCAGGCTAATGCATTCTAGCTAATGCAGATTATTCCATTATAAAGATTCTTATGTTTATTTTCTCTGTAATGGGAATTGTACCAAATAGAATTTATCAGTATCCCTGTGTTTGTAGGGTGCAAACCTGTAACAGTCTACAAACAGCAAATACGTCTGTGAGTGAATCCACATTTTATATATTCTTATGTGCCTTAGCATGACACTACCAATAATAAAAAGTGTAGCAAGAACACACTTTTTTGAATTGTCAATAGAAAGACAAATTCCATCAATTGTAATAGAGGAAAGAATGGATTTTATTTTTCTCTTGATATATATAGAGAGAGTTACAAAATCTTTGCCCTATAAATAGGCAATTAAAAAGCACATAACCAATAATATAGAAAAAATGTTGGTGTGTCAAGTGGTAAATTAATGAAGGGATACAATTTTTTTATAAACTGATGATTGTGGTTTTGTCAGCTTTTAAAAATTGTAAGTTGCTGTCGTATATTTTTATTTTAGATGAATATTAATTTTATATTTGCAACTTTGTATTCCTTTTCTTAAAGAGGTCCCAAATATTGCCTAAGCTTCAGGATTGCTCATAGCATGGTTCTGCCTCTGAAAGAAAGAAGAAAGATAAGACTGTCTAATCAGCATGTAAATGTTTCCTTAAGAAATAACACAATGTGTACACTCTTACGAAAGACTACAGGTGTGAGCAGCGAAGATGTTCCTCAGGGTGGTGAGAAAAGCATCCTTTCCCCAAGATGATAACTATGGAAGTTCGTTTGAAGCCTCTGTTAGAACTCAGGATTATCCAGATCCTTTGAGGGGAAGCTGGGTTGCCAAAAGTGGAAACAGTATTTATCAATATAGCTTTTGAAGATATTCAATATTTGTTCTACATACAACTTTTAGTACAGAATCAAATACACCAATTTAGTATAGTAATAACTACATGCAGAATAAGCAACAAAATTTTTAAACTAGCTAAGGAAGAGTTCAGTTTCTGAAGCAGAAAGGATGGAAGCAGTTGGAGAAGGCTCTCAGCAAGACGAAGTTGCGCCAGTGACTGGAATAGAGAACCATGTATGAAGATGAGAACCAAAAGAAAAATGGCAGCAAAAAAGGGTTAGCAAGGAGAACTCAGAAAAATGATGGAGGAATGAGAGCCCAGCACTGATGCAGCACAGCTCAGTTAAGAATTGCTTCTATCCACACTTCCCCAATTTGAGGGTTTATGGAGCTAAATAAATGAATGGCCGTGTCACAGGGCTAATAGCCCAGTTGGGGTGAGTACATTGTCAGCCCAACTCTCACTAGCTCAGGCTATTACTAGAAAAGAAATAAGAAATAAATAGAACTAAATAAGAGAGAATGGAGAAGGCACTGAGAATGTAGGAGAGAGATAAAAGAAGAATGACCGAAAAGAAAGCCCCACCCATTGTGGAGAAGGGAGGGGCCCCCCACTTAGACTTAAAGATGTCCCAGATCCACAGGTTGTCCATGCTCTGACTCTATCCCATACCATAACGCCCCTTTCTCTGCTTTTACCAAATACAATTTGTTGGTGGAGAAGAGGATTCTTGAGGTAGGGCTCAACTAGAGCCTCAGGGCAACCAGTGATTTTCTAATAGAAGGCAGGGCAAAAAGAACCAAGATATCTTGGAATGAATTGTCAGCTGCATTTTCCTAGATATGCCCAAATGGTAAGAATAAGAGTAAATGCTTGTGCTGAGTATGAGCAGACCAGACATTAGGCTACGCACTTTGAAAACATTTATTGTGCACAGCAACACATTGAAGTGGCTGTAAATATTATTTTCATTTTATAAGTTAAGAAAGTTCAGGCCTAGAAAAGTTAAGAAATATGCCCAAGTTCACATAGATACTAATTGGTGGAATTTTAGGGTAGTCTTCCTGAATACAGAGTTGAGGTTCTTTAAAACTACATCATAGTAACTACTATTAAGTTAGACTCAACTCTAACTTAGATTAGAAGTAACTTCTGTTTGTGGTTTTGCTCACTTAAAGCTGCAGATAGGATGTTATTTCAATTCTTTTCATTTTTCTGCCTTTTACATTCACCCACGTACATCTGTGTCTGCAGAGAAGGCATTTCACTGCCTTACTTCCTCAAGTAAAAAATATTAGAAGAGTATATTTTGAATCTCTCTTTTTTCTTTCATGTTTCTTGATAGAAAAAAACATCCAGTCTCTGGTAGCAGTCTCCTAAGGTAGCACTCCAGCCAAAAGCTAAAGTCAGATTTTTGGCCATGTTATGTATCCCACCGTCAGAGGGTAATGAGCTTGGGTTCCACCAAGAAACACCCAATGACTTTCAGCATTCCCTTAGAATAGAATCTCTGTTATCAAGTCATTCATTATAGACAGCTCTTTTGCATGAAGACTGATGATAACTGTGCTGTTCTTTAAATCTCAGTATCTTACCAGTTTAGTACATTTATACACTTACAGAAAATAGCTAAGGAACTAATGGCCCACAAAATTTCTTATCTTAGCTTGAAACTGTGTTTAAGTTAGAAGCCACTAGTTTTCCCTTTACCCTTCTATAACTTAAAATATCCAAAGTTGAATTATACTGTTTTACAATATAATATGTAGATTATTGTATTCATAAGTAGAAAACATTAACAACTTTTAACTTTAAAAGAAATTTAGCAAATGTGGCCAAATTATAAATCTTTGAAGCAGAGAGTTCTCCAAGACTCTGGTGAATTCTAATGTAGATATTATAGTCATTTAGAATATATTCAAGATTTCACTGAATGGTAGTGTATTTTCTAACATGTGATTAACAAATAGCAACCCTGGGCTCCAGTGTTATTTCAAACATTCACACTGTATAAGCTCATTTTAAAGATATAATGTTTAAAGGTTCTAGGTCTAGGACAAAAGTATGAAATATGTGTCCTGAGTGAAGAGCCATGGTCCCTGGCTGCTTGAATCTGTACCAAAATGTCTGCAAAATTTTGGATATTTAGATTTGGATCATATATATCAAATATTGACTTTGATATTGAGTAAGCCACAAAACTTCTGTGAATTCCAGCCCCTCCTTTGTATAATTGGGACCGTAATGCCTCTTCCATTGTTAGTTGAGTGCTAAACACAGCGTGTATAAAGCACAAAGCATGGATAAGCACAAGGCATGGATCAGCCTATAGGGCATCTCTTCTTGAATATCTTCCAGGCACTTTAAACCCAACACATCCCAAAAATGAACTTATGAATTTCTCTCCCTCCACCATCATGCCTGTCCCATTCCAATGACTCAAATCAAAAATCATAGGAGGCATCACTGACTTGCCTCTTCTCCTTGAGTTTCCATATCTAGTTGTACCTCCAAATGCTGTCAAAACTGTCCCCTTAACAAATCTGGTCTCTGTCTCCTTTTATTCTAGCTGGAGTCTTCATCCTTTCTTCATGGAATCATAGCAAGAATGACTGGCCTTCCTACTTTCTGAGCTTTTTCCCTCAGATCCAAACTCCCCATTACTGGTAAAATGCTATTTCTAGATTGAAAATCTGATACTCTTGCTCCCCCACCTAAATCCTTCCACTGGTTCTCTCATGACTCCAGCATCACCAAGTCCAAGCTCCTAAAACAGAATAAGACACTTAGTGTCCTCATGTCCATGATCATGTTTTATTCTTCTCTGCTAACACTGCTCAACCCACATGCACTGTAACATTAGCAATACCGGGCCACTTGCAGTTGCCCAGAATTCCCCCACCCACTTCTCTTCCTCCCCTAGATCGTTGCCACTTCATCTAGAGAGTCCACCGCAGCAGCTTGTTAGAAATGCAAATGCACAGGCCCCTTCCCACACAGACAAATCAACATCTCAGGTATGGGGCTCAGGAATCTGTATTTTAACATGTTCTCCATGTGATTCTGATACATGCTAAAGTTTGAGAAGCACTGACCTAGATGATTCCTACTTATCATCTGAAATCTAAATTAGGCATCCTCTCCACAGAAAGCCCTCTCTAAGGCTCACAACATGAATGAGATGCACTGGATGCCCTCTTATGAAATCCCATAGCGTTCTACGCATAGTGCTCATCATTCAATAGCAATTGTGTGTTTGGATGCTTATTTCCTTCCATGGATTGTGAGTTTCTTCAGGGTGCAATAGATATCTTAGTTTGATTCCCCATCACCTAGCCCCTAATATTTTTAATAACAGTAGATAACACTTATATAGTGCTTATGATATGACTTGCCTTTTCCTAACTCTACATACATGAATTCACTCAATCATTGCAATAACCCTAAAATATAGATACTATTATTATTAAACCCATTTTGCAGATGAGAAAACTGAAACAAAGAGAGATTAAATGAAATGTCCAAAATAAGTCAGTGAAGAAGTACGATTTGGAGCCGTGCAAGGCTGACTCCAGAGTTCATGTCTCCAACCACTGTAGGGCACTGCCCCTACAGAACAGAAAATGAATGAATACATGAATTGTCTGGAACATGATTGCTCAGTGAATGAAGCAACCACTCTGATTACTGTCACCACCAGACTCCCACAAACCATGTTCCTTGCCTAATCCTCCACCATCAGCTCTACTCACTGCTGCCTATTCATTGGCTCAAATACTCTCCCTTCAGCTCTCCTACTAAGATGTAGCAGGGGTTGACGTAGTGTCAAGTTTACCTGGGAAAAATATAACATCGGCTTCATCTCTTGGCCCCCTTTTCTTACTTTTTAAAAGATCAGGAACCTCATGTAGCAAAGGGTTTGCCCCTTCCAGTTACACCCCAGTCCAAATCTTCACTAATAGAGTTATTACCTTAGAGTGTCAGTGACAGTATAAGAAAATGCTAAGACAACTTTCAATTACATTTAAAGCCATCAAAGGCAATCATCCCCAGAGTACTAACAGCATTCTTGCTCCATCCTAATGTACAGATTTAATGTGATGGGATAACAGAAATATTGTGAAATGCTTACCAATGTATTTTCCCTTCCTGGTAATTGTTTTAGGTTGAAATGTGACCTTATTTGCAGATTAGGTCTTTATAGAGCTAATGAAGTTAAGATGAGGTCATTAGAGTGGGCCCTAATTCAATATGATGAGTGTTCTTATAATAAAAGGAAATTTAAACACAGACACATAGACAGGGAAGATGATATAAAGATACAGGGAGAAGATGGCCATCTACAAACCATGGAAAGAGGTCTGGAACAGATTCTCCCTCCCCACCCTCAGAAGGAACCAACCCTGCAATACCTTGATTTTATACTCTGGCCTTCTGGATTGTGGTACTTATTTATATCAGCCCTAAAAAAAAAAACACAGTCATCCCTTAGTATCTGTGGCAGATCAGCTGCAAGACCTCCCTAAGGATACCAAAATCCACAGATGCTCAAGTCCTTTACATAAAATGGCATAGCATTTGCATATAGGATATGCACATCCTCTTATATACATATACTTTAAATCATCTCTAGACTACCTCTAATACCTAATACAACATAAATGATATGCAATAGCTGTTGTACTATATTGTTTAGGGAATAATGACCAAAAAAATCAGTACAGATGCAATCATTCACTTTTTCCTTATATTTTCAATCTGTAGTTGGTTGAATCCACAAATGCAGAACCCACAGTTAGCAAGGGCCAACTGTGCAGCAACCCAGATTTTTTTTCCTTACAGCCTTTTCATAATCCCTGCAGCCAAGGAAGGGGTGGATGAGGCCCTTCAGAGGATATAAAGAAGATAGGATATAGGAGCAGCTCTTGCCAGCTGAAAAGTAGCACAGAGCCCATCAAGAGTCAAGGGAAAGAGCCGAGTTGGGGGAGAAAGAAAGGGAGAAAATGAGAAAATAGAGAAGAAGAAAAAATACGAAAAGAGAGAAGGCTCAGAAGTGTCTTAAATTTCTGCCATCCCTAACTATAGAGTTGATGTTCTGAGAAGAGGTACAGTAGAAACACCCCTTAGAGGTATTGCTTCTCATTTATCCGGCAGTTTGCAAGCCCCTTAGAGACATTCTGAGTTGGTCAAGATGCCAGAGCATTATGGTTCCAACTTGCATGGGGGTAGAAGTACAATTGTCTGGGGGGACTGTCTAGGTGGATGGATGGAGACAGTACCCATGTTTCTCCCCAATCCAAGGATATAGAAGCCCCATGTGCTCCACTGGGGGATAAGTGAGTGCTGAGGGAAGTTGTAGGCTAAGAGAAGCATGAGTAAGAACAGAGGCCACAGGATCAAGTCAGGGTCAGGATGACCAGAGGTGATGGTACCTCTGACTCTATCAGTGCAGATACTGATACCAGTACAATGCTCAGAGCACAAGGCAGGACCAGCCACACATCAGTGGACACCCGCTAGCTTGCTCAGTGACCAGATAGGGTGAGATATTGCAGAGAATGCAGGCAAAATCCCAGAGGACAGTAAGTAAACAAAGGTCTTTACTCCCATGTGAACACTTAAGCATCTGCTTGCACCCAGAGGGCATCTCACATGGAACAGAGACAGGCGAGGCCCTCTATGATGGGAGAAAGAGAAAAGCTTGAACTTTGAATGGATTAAATGTTTACCGCAATATAAATCTTATTTTATACCAGAAGATACTGAGCTACAGGTACTTGGTAAATGGAACTTTTTGCAGCCATCATTAGGAAGGGGCCTCCCAGGTAAGGTAAATTTGGCTATAAGATAGTCATTATTTTTATCTTGTTTATCTGAAGTGCACTGAGTAAATTCCTAACCCCATCCCATTAGATAATGAGTCTGAATGACAGGTAGTTTAAACTAAAAAACAAAACAACAAAAAAAACTAAAATAATTGACATTTTATTGTGCAAGGAGGTGCCACACTAGGCTCTGCAAGGGATTAAAAGATGCCTAGAGAAGCAGATCCAGAAGGCTTGCCAACTCACAATTGTCACTGTTTAGTGGGCACTCAAGTCAAAAGTTTCCACTGCCTAAGGTGACATACTTCACACTCCAACTTGTCCTTCTGGTGTGCAGTGCTGAATCCTTCTTAAAGGCTTTCAAAAATAGGCTGGAAAAAGAAATATTATGGTGGGGTGAGTAGGGTGGGATAAGTCATACATGGAATAATCTCCACTTTCAGAATCAATGAAGCTTGTGGTTTACAACATTGTGGTTTAACACTCTATGCAGCAAGCCCGCATCTCCTAATCTACATTCAGGTAATGATTTTGAGTATTATGCAGCTTGAAAACTTGAAGTGAATTTTCTGGGTGGTTAATAAGTGATCTGTACAAGTATTAACGAACAATGACCTTGCACTGGAACCAATGCTGCCTAAGTGTTTATCTCGTCATTACTTCTCTAATATCACAGTGTTTTGCCTCCTTACTTTCCTGGCTCTTTACTGTGAGCCAGTGTTTCTACCTTGCAAAATCAGGCATGCTAAGTGGGGACATTGGATGTGTATCCACATATCCTTCAGAAGTCATACCTGAAAGATGTGACCAAATCTCTGAACTGTTTTCTTTAACTTTCACTGGTGTCCAGTATGGACTCATATAGCCTGAAACACCTGTATAGGTATGAAGATTTCAAATAGATCAATCTGATTTTTTTCTTCAGCAGCCAGTATGTGCTATGTACTGTCTTGAATGACAATATACTGAAAAGATGGAGACCATATAGTTTCCATCTTAAGAACTGTTTACAGAAAATTCAGAATAGTCTACATTTATAAGAGATTCACATGTAATAAAAACATTTAAAATGTGATACACCATAGTCACTCCTTATCCATGGGGGATACATTCCAAGACCTCTAGTGGATGCCTGAAGCCACAAATAGTATCAATCCCTGTATAGGCTGTGGGGTTTTCTTCTATAAAAACCTACCTATGATAAAGTTTAACTTATAAACCAGGCACAGGAAGAGATTAACAACAATAACTAATGACAAAATAGAGTAATTATAACATTTACTGTAATAAAAGCTATCAGGCACTGTGGCAGGAACTCCTGCAGTTTGAAGTGCAACAACAAAACTAGCATGAATTTCTGTTTCCTTCCTTGCAATTTCATGGACAGAAGATTCATTCTTACCATAGATCTTAGCAACCGTGGCATAGAATTTTTTATTTAAAAAGTGGAGAATTTTCACTTTGCACTTAAAGCAAGCACTTTAAGGCTTCTCTTTGGCGTATCTGAATTTCCAGCATCATTACTCTTGCACTTTGGGGCCATCATTAAGTAAAATAAGGACTACTTGAACACAAGCACTATATTCCAAGATGGCAACTTAGTGACTAACTGGCGGGCGATGTAGACAGTGTGGATATTCTGGACAGAGAGACGATTCATGTTACAGGCAGGACAAAGTGGCATGGCATGAGGTTTCTTCGTGACAGAATGGTGGCAACTTAAAACTTATGAATTGTTTATTTCTGGAATTTTCAATTTAATATTTTTAGACCATGGATGACTGCAGGCAACTGAAACCTCAGAAAGGAAAACTGAGGATAAGCGGGGGAGTACTCTGTGTGTGTGTGTGTGTGTGTGTGTGTGTGTGTGTGTGTGTGTATGTGTGTGTGTGTGTACATTTCTAACAATTGCTCCCCACAGCAATTCTATTCATTAGGTAATAGTATTAACTCGTTAGGTAATTTTGTAGATGAGGCAAATTGCCTAAAGTCCTGTTGCAGCTGAATTGTGGCGAATCTACTATTCAAACCCAGGGCTCTCTAACCAATATCAAAAGGAACACTCTTATCTCACATACATTTCTATTTTTGAAAATACTGCACAAGAAACTCCATAGTATAATATATAATATAGACTCTGTATCAGCTAATTATCAAAATTACCTGAGAAGCTTTTTGAAAAAGAAAATTACATATGTATATGTATATGTGTATGTATATGTATATGTGTATGTATATGTATATGTATATCTGGGTTTCACTTCTAGAGATTCTAACTAGGTAGATCTGGACTGACTTACAAATCTGGATTTTTATAAAGCTACCAAGCCAACTTTAACAACCAGTCAGGTTCAGCAGTTACTGCCATAAGAGCTCTAGAAGCAGGTCTACACAGACCAATGAGAGAAAGTGCTGAAAAATATTCACATTATTTATTGTACTTTTAACAATTAATTCAGAACAAAAATGGGGGGGAAAGTAGCCAGGAATCCTAAAACATCTTGATTAGTCAAATTTTTTAGAAAAAGGAAGTAATCTTTCTTTATGTGATAATCAGAGTGTCACTGGAAACTGGCTCATGGGGTATGAAAATAGTTAACCTCTTGTCCCTTGAACAGTAAAAGCTACGGTCTTGCCAGATAGGTGTTTTTCCCCTAAATTCGTTTCCCCTGGGATTTTTCTGCTAAGTTAGTGTATCCACAGACTGGGATTAACTTTAAGACAGTCAATAAAGGCAAGACCCTGCCTTGAGTGATAGACACACAGGTACGTGGGTTGTCTGTGCAAACCTTCAGGGAGAACAAGCATTGCCTTTTCAGGCTTTTGCTTCCCCCCTGGGGCCTCAGGTCATGCCCTATATATGGTGGGCACTGAAGAATATTTGTGGACTTAGGGTCTCATCCTTTCTTGCTTCTCTTTGAATTATTTCTCTTGAATTCATAACTTCTCCCATCAAAGAGTTAAACCTTATGAAAAAGAATAATTGATTATGCAAGATTAACATAACATGATTCTTCTTTAGTCTTAATATCTGAGTTCTCTGGTTGATTAATTATGTCCAGTCCCCACCCACAGTATTGCCCTTCAATCCCAGAATAACTTGCTATGGGTTCAAGTCATTTCAGGAGTAGGAGGCAGTCTCCGGGTGCTTAATTATGTATGTAGAAAAGAAATCAAAAGTTCCTCAGTGTTGTCTATCACATATATGAAAGTAAGAAAATGAAATGAGTTTGTTGTCATAGATACTGCCACCAAGAACAGATTTCTCTTAGTCTGTCCCTAGAAGACAAGATAAAAACGAAAAGGTATAAAGGTATTTTAAGTTTTTAGTTGAACTTAACTTAAGCACTATTGTTTCTCCACTCAAACATCTCATTAACAAAAGCACCATAAACCTCAAATGTCAACTTTGAAAACTGTTATACCGGCACTAGTCATTGTTGTTTTTGCTTTACCTCTGCCTGTCAAACTCAGAAACTCTCTCACTTACTCACTCATATTTTCTCTCCGCTTCACTTGTAATTTCTTGGCTAAGGTAGATGAGTAACTGTGATGAACCAAACTCCCAAGTGTCAGAAGGAGACTAGAAAAAAAGCTATTGAGCACACACAAATCACTTTTATGCAGTGTGACTTGTCACAGTAAAAGGCCTCTCTTCCCTGCCCCCTCCACTTACATAGACTTTCAGTTCTGTCCCACCTCCTATTCCCAGTAAGATTGCAGAGGTCAGGGAGACAGAGAAAGCAGAGTTTATCATAGCAGAAAGTGAATGTGCTGAGACTAGGTAGCTTGGAATGTAGGTAATGGGCTGTAGAAGTAGCTGTCTGCAGGTCACCAGGTCTATTCCAGCCCAATAGAGGAGTCTACACATCCACATCTAATGTGAAGTCTGGAGATGAAGTACTTTTCTGGATAAAATAGTTGCCTCTTTGGATAAAAAAAAATATATTTTATATTAGAAAAATTCTTGTATTAAAGCGTAAATATCCTATTTAAGTATAAATATATTAGATTTACTATCCCATTTTTTTTCTTTTTATGAAGCAAGAATTTATACGAGGGTATTGCCTTTGGGTGATTCTATGTTAATTGCTCTTGTTCAGACATGCTATGCATAGAGGTATCAATAGACTTGATCCCCTCTCCTAGCTTTATGTGATATGGGAGAAAATTGGCCACAGATGAAGCAGCTATAATTCCATTGGAAAAGAGAAGAGTTACAATTACCTCTTGCCCTGATAATATTTTAAGATTCACGCCAATGTTTATTCACTCAGCAAACATTGATTGAGTACCAAATATGGCCAAGAAATGGACTATGTCCTGGAGTTACAGTGGTGATTAAATGTAGAGGAAATGCCTTCTTGTACTTCTGGAGCCCATGATCTCGCAGTGGAGAAAGACAGTTCTATAACTAATAGCAATCAAGTGCAATGTATGTTGCTATGGGGAAGTTTAAGGAGCTACGGGCACAAATAGCAAGAGGAGCTAACCAAGGCCTGAAGGGAGGGATGCCTCCCGGAAGAAGTGACACCTAAGAAGGACGTGAAGTTAGAGTTTTCTTGGCATAGCGAAAAGCATCTGTGAAGGCCCGGAGGTAAAATAGAGCTTGATATATCTGAGGACCCAAAGAAACCGAGGTTAGACACGGAGGGCGAGAGAATGGACTAAACGAGAGGCCCATGAGGTCGGCAGGGCCAGCAGCACTGGTGGAGCCAGCACCACCCACAGGAACGCCTGTCCTGCTTCAGGGCAGTGCTTTCAAGATCTCTGGTTGAAACTCTCCCTACTTTCCATCCCAAGGATTCCACATCATTGCCACATTCCCTCACTTTCTTCTTACTCTCAGAGGGGGGCCTCACCTCCTCCTTTAATGAGGTAATTCCCTCCTGTATGGCTCAAAATGGTTCTGTGTGTTCATTCAACTTCTCCTTGCTCCCATTTCAGAAGAGGAAGAGCCAGTCAATATGAGAAGCCAGCATGGAACATCTATGGGGCTTAAAGCTTTGTGCTGGGAATTGAGTGGATACAGTTGTGAGAGAGAATGCCAACAAATAAAGCTAAGAATAATAACCCCCACAGCCCTCTCTCCCCTGTGGTGTCAGTAGACTAGGTCAGGGGCCAGGAAGGAGAGTCTTGGGAGGAATAAGTGAATAAGGGGATCATGACACTGAATTTGAAAAGGGCAAGGCTCTGGACACATATCTGTTTCTTCCTTTCCTATCTTTCTTCTTTCTTCTTCTGAAGCAGCATTTGACAGGAGAGTGAGGGGACAGAAAAATAACATGGAAGGAGGTGTGTGTTTTCTGCATGAAAAGCAACAAAACAAAAAAGAACAAGAGTCAGGCCTAAGACAAAGGGCATGAGGGATGACCATGCTCTGGCCTCTGAGAAAAAGGATAAAATGTGAATCTGGAGTCCCTCCTGTCCAGCACATCAAAGTAGAAAAGCAAATAGGAGTTCAGGGAATAACAAAAACAATTACCAAAGGCAAAAATAAAAGAGCCAGGCTGCTTGGTGCTTTCAGGAACTGAGAGATATTGACAGAGGAGAATTAAAGAAGTCACAGAATCACCTGAAGCTAGCAAGCAAGACATGCACATCAAATTGAAGAGATGCATTGCCTTCAAGAATGTCGTACTGATTGCGAATCTCCCATTACAACTTACTTACAAGCCAACTCAAATTTACTTAAGTGAGTCAAGAGGTGTCATCAGGAGTCAGCATCTCTCCATCATTCAGTTCTGTTCTCCTCCATGGGGCTTCATCTTCAGGGTCCACGTGGTGGCAAGATGACCCCCAGCAGCTCCAAGACTGTAGCATCTTGGCTTCGAGTTCCACTGAAAGGAGCACTTCTCTTTCCTCACCAGATGATAAAACTTTTATAGCTCTTACTCTGTGACAGACACCAGTCTAAGAGCTTTCTCAGTGTTAATTACTTTGATCTTCACAACAATCCTGTATTACACTGAGAGAGAGAGGAGTGAGATAACTTACCGAAGTCACTCATCTAGTTAGTGACAGAGGTAGCATTTGAGCCCAGCTGTCAGGATCCAGAGTCTGGACTATTCATCACCATGCTACAGCCTGATGTCAGTGGGGGGAAGTGGATCAGGTGTGTATTCCTGCGCCAATCCCCTTGAACTTGATGCTTTGACTAGCCAGATCTGAATCACATGCCACACAGATCTGGGAGCAGACTCACTGCCACCTGAACCCTGGGCTGACAGTAGTCAGGATGGTTATCCAGAGGAAATCCAGGATACCACCAGCAAAGGAAAAGGAGTGAACAGATAAACAAGATGTCCACTACAGAGTAGAAGCAAAGTGCTGCCTACCCACACCTCTGATCCCATTCCGACCCATCTTCTTCTCTCCTGCTCTTTTCTTCCCTTCTGCCAAATACACAGAAATGTTATGTACACTATGTACCAGACACACAGATGGAACATTACCTAGAACAAAGCCCTTGCCCTCAGAGAGCTTATGTTCTAATGAAGGTAGTGACACACAAAATATAAATATGTAATATTCATCGGTGCTCTGAAGATAAAGCAGAGCAAGGGGCTAAGAATGACAGCAGAAGGAAGAAAGAGTGCCGTTCTATATAGAATGGTCAGCGGAAGCCTCTTAGATGGGGAATATTTGAGAAAAGATCTGAATAAATTGAGAGGCAGTGATCTGTGCAGATTCTGAAGAGAGATCTAAGAATGAGAAGAGCAAGCCCAAGGGCCCCGATGTGAGAACGTGCTCAATGAGTTCCTGGAATGGCAGGGAGCCAGCCTGGCTGGAGTGGAGGGAATAAGAGAAAGTAAGAGAGAATGATGTCAGAAGAGCTTCTCAGTCTGCTCCTCCAGGGTCATCTTGCCCAGGCTATAGCTCCTCTCTGTGAGCAGATAACTGGGAACCTAATCTCTTGCCAAAGGAGTAGCCCCTATTTCCAACCACCTCAACATAAAAATTCCAGTAGCATCTCAGACTTAACATGTTGAAACTAAAATCTTCTTAGACTCAGACCTGGTTCTCCTCCCAGCATCTTCATATTTGCTGGCAACTACATAATTTCCTAGTTGCCCAGAAATGAAAACCTTGAACTTCTCCCTTTCACCCACCAAGACCCATTCAAATTGTTTTCATTTTTATCCTCTTCCTGAAATGCCTCTCACATCTGTTCCTGATTCCATTCTAGGAAGACTTTCATCATTTCTGATCACAGACAATTGCAATAATTTCTACCTACACTCACAATGTCCACCACACTCCTTCCCAAGATGGACATTACACAGCTGGGAGACTAATCTTCAGAACACACAACCCTAATCACTACTGGGTAAACCTCAACATATTCTAATGCCTTCCTGATCAAAGTAAACTCTTAATGTGGACTTATTAGTACTCAAGGTCTTCAATAAGGAAGATCCCAGAATAACATTATAGCCTTGGCTCCTACTTCCAATCAGCCAAGCTGAAATCACTTGTCATTCTGGGCTTCTCTACCTTGCTGACTTGGTTTAACATTTTCTTCTGTTATGATGTATAATTCCAACACCACTAGTGACAAAAATCTTTTCAACCCTTCAAGGTTCCGTTTAAATATCTCCTTTCATGTGAGCCTCTTTATTCCTCCAACTGGAAGTGATTTCTCCCTAATCATTTCTCAAAACCCTATTTATCCCATTTCATCTTGTTTGACAATATGGTCTTTTATTTCTCTAAACTGTGTTCTTAATTTCCTTCTCCAAAGCTGTTTCTCCTCTCTCCCTTCTCAATAAATAGCATGGACATTTATTTATATTTTTTCAGGTGAAAAATCTAAATAACACTCTTGATTCTTCCCTTTAATCTCACATGCATACCATCAGTAAATACTGCTGGCTCTTGTTCTGATAGCCTCCTATTCACCCACTGGTGAGGGAGGAAACCCCCTCCCTAAATAGTATGAAGATGGCAAACACACAACACTGGGCAAATGAGAATGACAGCAGTTTATTAGTCACATATATTCACAGCCCAAGGAGGAAGACACTAAATGCTCTGTAGGGCCACACTGGGGTTGCATTCAGGAACAGAGTAAACAAGAACAGGCTGTGGGAAGCATGCTTTGTAGTAACAAGAGTCTGGGGTGAACCCTGGTTCCAGTGGAAGGATATAATTGGCTTGTTTGAATAAGTTTTCAGACCAACAGAGAAGTGAAATCCATTAGGTTAAGGACTGGATAGGGTAGAGCTGGTCCAACTGATGTGAGAGCTAGCTGGGTGGGGGCATATCTGAGGAGAGCAGGGGACTTGGGCTTGGGGTTGGGGCCCTGTGAAGCACAAAGTTGTCAAGACAGCACTTCATATTGCATCTTAATTTTAACCCTTATACCACATTCAGTACCTTGATAACTTGAGGTTAATTTAAACCTTGTTGATAACTAAGATTTTTAGAGAGTGAAAGCATTCCCCTTGGAAGGGTCATCAGCATTAACCAGGAAGGATAGGGCCACATGGTGGAGTAGACATCAAGAACATGAACTTAGAGGTAGCTCCCTTTATGGCCACTGAAGATAATTGATAGACCCATGAGGCATAAGTGGAGGAAGTGCCCATCCCTAGGGGTGTGAACTGAGATTAATCAACACCTATGGCAATAGCAATACCCAGTAGGGGGTCCATTTACCACTTGATAATTTAAACAGGAGTTATTTGGGGAGCTCATTAGGCCTCACAGTGAAACCAATTGCCTGGTTTATAGTAAAAGTGGAAATTCCATTGAATATCTTCTTCAAGAGCCCAGCATTGTATATTCTGAGAAGTGAATGAGTGTCTTGTCAACATGGGTGATGTCTGGAACTACTTCACAGGAGCTAAGGAGTGTACTGGTGAAGCCTCGTGTTGTGGCCTTAGTATATGTAGAGACATCTCTTACCTTGATTTATATTTTGGGCATCTGTGAGGCAAGATATTTCCAAAGTTCTTTATCCTGAAGGGGGCAACCCTTAGGCAGTAGTCCAAGAGTACGTAAAAATGTGCAGATGGGGCCATTTATTGGGCAGAACACCCAGTAAGGTAAGATGACTGTGTAAAGTTTGGCCAATTGTCCTTATCCTTGGGTACCATCCTTTATCATGGCTGTCTTGGTTAAGAGATGGAAACCAGCAACATTCCACTGGGCTCCATCACATAGGATGATGGCAATTCCATCTGTGAAGTGTACAAAATCTCATTGCAAATAACTCCATTAATTCCAGCGAGTTTCCTGGGTAGCCAAGGGGTCTGGAAAAGTGGTGTCTTTCTCCAGTGCCAAAACATGGCAAGAAATTGAGGACAGAGAAGGCCATCCTCTCCTGCAAGTAGAATATACAGATGGCCCAGATTTGGCCCCATCCTGTAGCAAAGAGACCTTGGTAGCCATACTGAACCTTGAGGGTGATGTAAGGCATAATGGACAGCTGGATATGGAGGGTAACAGGTTCACAGTCTGTTAAAGCCTCTTTCCAGGAGAACCCAGTAAGTGGCCAGCTATTACCGCTCTAATGATATATAGCACAGGTCTGAGGAAAGGCAACTTCTTGCATTAGAAGTCCGTGGACAACTAACTGTGGCCATCATAAGTAAGTCAGCAACTCCAGTGGCATAAGGAATGTTACTAAACGCTCTAAAACAAAGGACTCTCTAAGGGCACTAAGGGGAATTCCTGATTATTTCAACTGGACAGATTCTAGAATCTTTTGTTAAGAGGGGCTCATTTAAGGTGGGCTGATTTCAAGTGACAGCCTAAATATGTCAAGTAAAAATTTAAAATGTGGACTATGCTGCCTTCAGAATCCCAAAATTACTAAAAACAATGGACTTGTATTAACATTTGAAAAGGTCAATAGCTGTTTGTTTCTTGATACTGTCAGGAATGAAACATCTCTTGATTTACCAATAATTTTCAAAAATGTAGCCAAGGTGGCAGGGCTTTATACTATGTGGGGCAATTGCCTATTCCCTTTTTATAAGCTATTTTATATTTTCATGTCCTTAATTAATGTGTCAAATGACCTCAGGAGGATGTCATCAATATAGTTTCATAGCAGTGCTTCTGGGAAATGTAGATGCATTGAAGACATTCCTTGCAAAGACTGTGTGCAATGGCAAAGCTGCTGGTGTACTCCATGGGCAGCCTGGTAAAGGTGTGTTGGGTCCCTTCAGAGGGAAAGGCAAACTGCATCTCAGAGGCTGCCAAAATAGGCACTAAATAGACTGCATTAACTAAACCTATAATAGCAAAATATTTACTGATTGCTGATTAGATTTTTAAAAAGTAATTTCAATAATATTTGGTGTTGAGTATGGGGACCTTAGCAGATGCAACCACAGGATTAAGACTGTAGTGATCTACAATCTTCTATTATTCTTTCTAGGTATAAGAAAGCACAAAATTGGGCTGTCAAATGGAGAAGCAGTGGAGATAATCATCCTGTTACTAATTAGGTCTTATATAATGAGGTTTGATACTTTAAAATCCAAATTTATATTGGGCCATATTAATGATATTAACTAGGGGGGTTATGTAGTTCCATTTTGTCAAGCCAATTTTTAGGTGCCAAAGACTTAATCTAATTTTTATTTTTATTATTTACTGATTGAGTCAGATTATCCATGCTTACTGTGAGACATTTTAGAGCAATGGGTGCTATGACCATGGGAATTTATTTCCCAAAGCAATAGCTTTGATGGTTAAGGTGAGGCATACCTATTTGTTCTTTATTTTATATTCAGTAACTCTCCCAAGATTATAGCGGTACCTTGTGTAAAGTTAGTGGCACCCCACCTCCAGATATAACAATAATTTGAGCCCCAGTGTTGAAGTATATGAAGGTCCATGAATTGTTAATTTCAACAGATGTTAAAGTGAATTCAGAACCTATATCATAGAGACACTAAAGCCAATTAACACTTCTTTATCTTTTTGCTGTTTAAATTATTTCTAGTAAATTTTGAATTTCAAATTGGGCCAAATTGTGGACCTATGATTTAATTTAATTACATATATATAAATTACATAAATTTAAACATGTATATGCACATATGTTTAAATTTTCTCTCCTCCTGTATCCAGGTTTCTTTCTCTCCCTCCTTTTTTCTGTTTGTCACTGGATATACTTCAATAGGGAGGGTCGCCTCTACTCTGCCTATATTTATAAAAAGTCTTCTTCCAGAGAGCCTCAGTATTGTCAGGCTTAGGTGCCTCCCAGGTGGCAATTGTTATGGTTTAAGGGCCCTAGGTTTAAGTCAGGTTTGCATAAACACCTTTGCTATGCCACAGGGATACCATGAGTGTTTTGTTGTTTGGGGTATTGTTCTAACCCTGAGGATTAGCCTCTGTTGTGACAAAGCCACAGGCAGCCCAGTGATGCAGCAAAACAGTGCTGGCCCACAGCCCAGAGGCTGGGGAATAGAAACCAGCCTCTGCTACAACACTGCCTTTTCCTGCAGGGTGGGCTCCCCTCACCTACTTATTTTCTTTCTGTACAAATTTCCTCACTGTATTTTGGTTTCTGGCTGCATTAAGCCACGAATTTCAGTTTCTGTCTCCATCCAGTCACTTATAGTGCAGACATTCTGGCCCTATCCAGAACCAGCTGGTTAGCAAAGAGCAGATAACTAAAGCTACAAGTTCTTGGTGGTGGTTGGGCCATCCTGCTTTTGCCATCCATTGTTCTGATTGCCTCCTATTCACTCCATTGGTGAGGGAGGGATTCCTTGCTTCAATTAGCACAACATGGACAAATACAAGCAACCCAACACTGGAGATGAAAGTAGCAGCAGTTGATCTGTCATACATTCTCACAGCCCAGGATAAAGTACCATGCATACCATGCAGGGTCCCACAGGTTGCATGCTGGAACAGAGTAAACAAGCAGGGGCTGCTGGGGAGAGACTCTGTAGTAACAAGAGGGTGCAGTGACCCCCGTTTCCCATAGGAGAATATGATTAACTGGTTTGAACAATTTCACAGGCTGGCAGGGAAGTCAAACCTGTTGGGTTGAGGACCTGTTAGAGTGTAGCTGGTCCAACTGCTGCAGGGACTAGTGGGTGGGGAGTGTAATAGCAGGGAAACTTGCAGTGAAGACTCTGGGGCACTGTGAAGCTTAAAGATGTCAAGGCAGCAACTGTAACTTCATTTCAGGCCCCAAAGCTCTATCCCCTGGATCCATCCTGAATTTCATCCACTTCTCACGCCCTCCATGTCTCTATTGAGTGCCAGTTCTCACCTCCCTCACCTGTTCTACCCCAATGGCCTCCTGTGCAGTACCTACACTTCACTCTTCTCTCCACTGCCCAACACCACCATAGCCCATAGACTTTACCCACATCTATGATAAATGTCTGCATTTTCTACTCAAAATGCATCATTATACTCACATCACACTTTGAATAAAATAAAAACCCTTGGCATGGCCTATAGGATCCTATGAGATCTGGGCTCCACTTCCTTTCTTTCCCAACATCAGTTCCTGACTACTCTTCTCATTGAACACTCTGCTCCAGCTACACGGTCTTCTTTCCTTCCCTCCACTATGTCAAGCTACTTGTAATCTAAGGGCCTTCACACTGTTTCTCAACATGAAGTCATCTCCCAAAAAATATTTGCAAAACTGCCCCTTTTCATGATTCAGGCATCAGCTTTAGCATCACCAGGCTGTTCTTACCATGCTTTATCTTCTTCATAAAACTCATCCCTACTGGATTTTATATTACACATTCTTTTTGTTTGTGTAGCTCCTACTGCGATATACATTACAAGGCAGGAGATCTTTTCTGTCTATTTTCTACTATATTCTCAGCATCTAGAATGTACCTAATATATAATAAGCATCCAATGAATATTTGTTAAATGAAATAATAAATGAATAAAGGATATGTGTAAAAATGAACAAATGAAATTATCTGTATCATACTTGGCACAAAATAGAGAAATATTATCTACCCTCATTAGTAGGATTATTAGCATTATAGGCTGACCTTTTCCTAATTATGAGCATGCACTGGGGGTCATATTCTGATTAAGTTTACTTGTTATTATGACTTAGAAGCCTCCGAGGAATGGCACACTTCTTAATGTCAGGCATATCTCATCTTTATTCTTATTTCTCCCCAGCAGCTACACTAAGCAAACACTAGGTGCTTAATAATTAAGAAGCACACATACCATGTGTCAGTTCCCAGTCTAAGGACTTTATATTTATTAACTCACTTAATTCTCATAAAAAGCTTGTGAGATGGATACAGATGGACACTCTTGATATCTTTATTTTACAGATGAAGAAATTGAGGAACAGAGAGGATAAGATATTTTCCCAAGGTCAATTCAGTTAATAGATTTGTCAGCCAGGGTTCTACCAGAGAAACAAAACAAACTGAGAGACAGACAGACATAGAGACAGAGATAGAGAGACAGAAAGAAACAGAGAGTTCAAAAAATTGTCTCATGTGATTGTATAGTCAGCCTGGGCAAGTCTGAAGTCTGTGGGGCAGACGAGCAGCAGGCTAGAAACTCCCAGGCAGGAGCTGAGGCTGCATTCCACAGGAGGGATTTCTTTTTCCTTGGCGAAACCTGTTTTGCTCCTAAGGCCTTTCAACTGATTAGATAAGGCCCACTCAGATTATCGAAATAATCTCCTTTACTTAAAGTCAATTGACTGTAGATGTTAAGCACATCTACAAAAATGCCTTCACAACACCTAGATTCATGCTTAATTGAATAACTTGGCCTAAATAACTTGACACATAAAACTAACCATCACAGTAGATTTGAATCCAACCTTCTGACTTCAGGCCTAAATTCTTAAGCATTGTGATACTCTGTGTTTCAACCAGTATTTTTTGAATGATTAAAAATGAAAGAATGACTCCATCATGACAAAATGGATGACTGTTGTACTTCCTGAAATAACTGTATTCTCCCTCTTACCTGTCCTCAGCCTTGTTGAATACTTCAATTTGTAACTTGTTTCCAGGATTCTTTGAGCAGGGCCATTTAAAATATATTTGAAAAGAGATTTGATGTGTGAAGCTTACTCGTTTTCTAGCCAGAGGTCTCTCTGTATGTTAGGGATTTGTAGTGGAAAACTCACAAATGGAATTTCAACACATCTGAATTCAAATATCCTGGTTGCCTGACAATAGGATTGGCAGCCTAACAACTTCCAAGCTGACACCATCTTGCTTTCCTGGAGACAGTGTCTAAAAGCAATTTACACATTACAGAGGGCTGAGAGTGTCTTTTCTTTATCTGCCATAGAGAGCACAGTAACCAATATCAGTATAGACAGTCAGAAAGTTACCTCTATATCCTCCTTAGACTGACTCAAAAGTTGAATTTTGAACATCAATCTCCTTCTTATCACTCCTCTACTTGCTTAGAGGCTGCCACCTTGCTTCCTAAACCACCAATCCATGCCTTTTCCTACGTATTGTCAGGAATTCATGACACCTAGGAAGTATTAATTAAGCCTTGGAGGATGCGAGAATTTTCTTTTGCTCAACTATTTTCCAGGCCTACTTCATTTCCTTTTGAACCAATCAACTGTTTGCAGCTTCTGCAGACTGAGCTTTTGAATAAGAGGTCTGAAATGAAAGCATATCTGAGAATGAACACCTGGAAATGAGTACGCTGAGTGTAGTCCTTGTTTGAGGCTGTTGTTAATTCTTTTTAATTCTCTCAGATACTATAGAATGCTACTTAAATTTGTTACTCAATTTCCTTTAATAAAAACGGGATAATTGAATTCAGTAAATATTGGCTCAGTGTTTACTTCACAAAAAGTACTCTGAGGGAAAAAAGGTTGAGTAGAACACAGTCCCTTGAAAAACTTTAACTATAAGAAGGGAGGAAAATACACAAATCTAGGGTAGGTGCATAAGAGAAGTTAAAGCTATGAACATTCATGAAGGCAGGAGCATTTCAGACTCTTTCTCTCAGGGGATCGATATCTATAGGCTGGCCTTGAGCTGAGCACTGGCAATCCAGTGAGTGCTTAACAAAAAAATTAATATCCCTCTTTATGTTTGAGAAGCCAGATAATAAACAAATGATAAGTACATGAGAATTTCAGCGAAAACTAGACAGACCAACGGATATGGAATTTCTCAGGGAAGGAATTATTTTCTACATGATAATTCAGGACATCCTCTTTGCAAAGGTAACATCTGAGCTCAGTCCTGAATTTTAAGAAGCAGACATTTGGGGCTAAGTAGATTCTACACAGATTGAGCCATACATGTAAACTCTCTGAGGGATATATATACTTCAGTTGTCCAAGGAACAGAAAGAAGGCCCACAAAGCAGGAATATATAATATAATAATCCAGGAAAGAAGAGTAGGCAGTGAAGCTGAGGAGGCACCAGAGACCCTATCACCTGGAACCATTGCAAGCCACTGTGGGGTTTTAAGCAAGGACTGAAATGATCTGATTTATACTTTTACAAAATCACATTGGTTTCTGAATGGAGAATTATTCATGTGGGTCATAAATGGAACTAGAGAGACCACTTGGAAGGCTGTCTGCTTTGGCCATCCGGGCCAGGTGCTGGCTTGGATGAGAATAGGCACTGGGGAGATGGTAAGTTCTTGGAATCTGGGTAACATTTTTTGGTAACATAATCGATACTTGTTGACAAATAGTGGAAGAAGGGAAAAGAAGAAATCAAACAGACCCCTATGTTTTTTCCCAGGCAACATGGTGCTTGAAGACGCCATTCACTGAATTGGGAAGTGCCCTGAGATAAACGGATTCAGCAACATATAGAAGCACATTTTATACAAGATGAGAAACATGGACAAAGTCCTGGAATCAAGAAAGGAAGCAAAGCTTTCAGGAAAGTCAGTGAACATTTGGCTGGAAAGCAATGTACATGTCAGGAAGCTAGGGGGCACTAGACTGAAGAGGCCAAGGTTGTATATCGAGGCTGTATAATATTGAAGGCCATGGATGCTGTGGTTAGGTTGAAGGGGGTAAGCATTAGACAAGGAAGCCACAAATAATTCAAAAAATAAGAAAAACTGGAAGATCCTTATGCACAGACTTATTGCTGCCTTAGTAAACCCAGAAACCAAAGGGACCCAAGTTGGCCACTCAAAAACCACACAGGCCAAGTACAGAAAGTGCCTATAGGCCATCAAAAACTACCCAAGCTTTGTCAGGACCCTTGGAGGTGATTTTTATGGACCCACTTCCTGTGAATGCTGCTCTTCATGGCAAGCAGATGGGCACCTACTTATTGAACAGTGGCAGAGTAGACTCCCTTCCTGACAATCCCATTGTGTGGGATCCAGAATCTTAGTAGCCATCATTAACAACAAAAAGGCTATCAAGAATAAGCTATCTGAAACTCTCAATACCTCTATAAAGTACATCTAAAATATCAACTTAAAGAGAACTTGGGGTTATCTAATTCTCTTTCCAAAATGCACTGTTGAAACATTTTCCCCACCTAAACAAGGGCCACGATTTTCAAAGAAAGGAGAAACCACACCCTCTCCTCACCACCAGGCTGCATCAAGATGGCCTGGAGACCATTCAGGCCAAGCACGGTGGCTCACGCCTGTAATCCCAGCACTTTGGGAGGCCGAGGAGGGCGGATCGCGAGGTCAGGAGATTGAGACCATCCTGGCTAACATGGTGAAACCCCATCTCTACTAAAAATACAAAAAATTAGCTGGACGTGGTGGCGGGCGCCTGTAGTCCCAACTACTCAGGAGGCTGAGGCAGGAGAATGGTGTGAACCTGGGAGGCAGAGCTTGCGGTGAGCTGAGATCACACCACTGGACTCCAGCCTGGGTGACAGAGCAAGACGCCGTCTCAAAAAAAAAAAAAAAAAAAAAAAAAAAAGATGGCCTGGAGACCATTCAAACCACACATCTACCTCCCGGAATTGCTGAAACACCTGCCTGCCCCACCTCCTTGCTCAGGGGTATGTGGCTCCCCACCTTTAGAAGGATCCACATGGAAAAACGGAAAGCTGAGACCCTCTGAGTCAGGGTGCTACAGGCACTTGCTTTTTGTCCATTTAAGTCACTGATATGCAATTTTATATCAGAAGGCAGAGTCTAAGGAAAAGAAAAAGGATCAGACAGCTTTTTGAAACCAAATTATTGCCTCTCTGACAGATACCACTGTGCTGCTTACAAGTATTTTTCCTATTAAGTTTTAGCAAGTACAAGGGCTATAGTAAATAAGCTTTCATCTGCAGAAGCTTTTCAAGGAACAAATAAGGAGCAATGCAAAGTAATCCTGGGAGAAGTTTAAAGAGAGATAGTATCACCTGAATTTAGAGTAATAGAATAGAAGGAAAAGTAGAAACCTATATATCATTGCTTTGGGGAGGGGGGCAAATCATTCTTCTTTCTAATATATAATTTATATGCAAATTGTTGCTATTATAAAAATAATTACACCTATTTGGATTGGAAATATATATATTGGAAATATATATTATATACATAAATATATATATATAAGATTACATATATATATATATGAGATTACATTTGAGGCAATGAACAAAATCTGACATTAAGTAACAATACCTTGAGACATTTAGGAAGGTTTTGCCATCAAATAGTTAATAGAGAATTCAGTTTTTACTTTCTTATTTTGAGTTTTTCTTTTTTTCTCTCGGCTAGAGGAGAGAGATGATTTCTGTGGCATATGATGGTAGACTTGTTGCGAGGTAATATTTTTATTTTTTCAAGGCTCAACTAAACTTTTTATGCAGTAATAACCACATTTCCAGGCGAAGTTAGGAAACCTCATAATATTACACATGAAAAAGAAACAACAAGGCCAGAAGAAAGCTGGAGTTTGCACTGGTTTGAAACAAGCCGTGCATAGCTAATCAGTCAGAAAACCCTGGATTACAACCAAACCATAACAGAAGAATATAAATGAACACAGGGCATGTGAATGATTCTTGCTGGGGAAAAAAAAAAACTTGAATTATCAAGTAGTTTTCTGAAAATTGAAAAATAGCAAACACTCAATTATTGGCAGCACACGTCCTCAATTAGGCAAATCTGTGTGTCAGTCAACCAGAATATACAATAGAATAATTTAGGTTCATTCTCTCTCAATCTACAAACATAATCATTTTCACATGGAAACTTGGCAATGTCACACCTCATTTCTCAGCAGACTTAAGAACAGTGTGCAGTCCTGAGGTGTTTTGGATCACCTTTACAAAATGAATCCCAGTACATTTCCACTCCCCTTACAGATTGTTATCACGTACAATTAAATCTAAACTGCACTTGTCAAAACAAGATAACAAATCACAGTCCCTGGTGCAGTAGCCCTAGATTTCTTTTTAATCATCCTTTGTCACCTGCTCTCAAAGTTTAGCAATTGAACCATTTGCAATACAATCCCAATACTTACCAATAAGATAGCCACATTTAAAACTTTACACCTACAAATAATTAGTACCTAACAGCTTTATAGGATGTTTAATGAAGTGGCAGTAATTTTCCAGAAATAAAACTTCAGAAAAGTGACAATTTTTTTTCTTTGTCTTTCTGTTTTGGAAACTTGTATTATGATAAAATAAAACCAAAGCCTAATTTAGAATCTAAGATCTTTAGAGGAAGAATACAGTTTTACATATGCATCAACAGGCTGAATGACTTTGTTCTTTTCCAGTTTATCAGTTAAGATGGGCTATGGCACCAAATCTCAGTGGCTTAACATGACAAAGATTATTCTTCGTGCATGCTAATACCTAATATAAGGTAGCAGTGGAGGCCTTGCCCAGTGTATTCATTCAGGCAGGGACCAAAGTGAACAGAGGCACCATCTCAATACATGCTTCCAAAGTATAGAAAGGAAAGCCACACATATCACTTCTGTTCAATGTTCACAAATCTTTGGCAAAAGCAACTCACAGAGCCAAGCCTATATTCAAAAGGAGGATAGATGTATTAGTCCATTTTCGTACTGCTATAAAGAAATACCTGAGACTGGGTAATTTATAAAGAAAAAGAGGTTTAATGGACTCAGAGTTTCACGTGGCTGGGAAGGCCTCACAATCATGGCAGAAAACAAAAGAGGAGCAAAGGCATGTCTTACATGGTGGCAGGAAAGAGAGTGTGTGCAGGGGAACTGCCCTTTATAAAACCATCAGATCTTGTGAGACTTATTCACTATCAGGAGAATAGCATGGGAAAAACCACCCCTATGATTCAATTACCTTCTACGGGGTCCCTCCCCATGACATGTGGGGATTATGGGAGCTACAATTCAAGATGAGATTTGGGTGGGGACACAGCCAAACCATATCAGTAGAGATGTACAATCCTACCACATGCCTAGAAAGCTACCTATTTCCAGTATTGAGGCAATAGTTTTATAAAATATTCAATATTCCATATAGAGAAAACCTGAAATTATCAATAACAAAGTAAATAAATGAACCACAGAAGAAAATATTCTTCTATTTTAATTAGAATCATACATATTCATTTTCCCCTTTAGGTCCCCTACTTACACATCAATCAATGAACGACTATAATAATAAGTGACAGAATGGATTCTTACCCTGCCAGTGTTGTGTGGTCGATGCTGGTATCCAGAGACCTAGTCTGGGAGCCCAGAAATGAAATAGGTTACTGACCATTGTAATACTAAAGGGAGCTTGACCATGTTGTTCATAGGAAGTTTTGCCTCTGCCCATTTGACACAGCCATTCTGATGCGATTGTTTTATCCAGGGAGACATAGACAGCTATTTTGACACATCTACTTTGACACAATCTTGTCAAAATTGCAAAGGCCAGATGTAATAATATTTTTTATTGTTGTTAAAATATGTAACAGACATTTCTAACCTTCCGAAGCCTTCCTTAACACCAATATACACTCTGGCAAATCATAGCAGAATGAAAACATTCTTTGTGTATTATGTTTATCATGTAATAGTTATAAATTCTTGTCACTGACCTTCATCCTATTATTGAATTTCTCTCCATTCTTTAATGTCAACTCCTCTCATGCGTTTGCTAGCACTTTCAAACATTCTCTACCATCCTCATTCCATCCCAGAGTCAGCCCCTTCCTTGCTTCTCTTCACTGATGTTGTCTAGCCTCAGCATGTACAATCACTGAAAATTATTCATAATATATTTTTATCATCTGTAAATCCATGTTTTGCCTTGACAGGAGATTTTGTAAAATATTCATAATAATTGGTACTCATTAAGTGTTGGACCAAAGATTGACAAAATAATTTCACAATTAATCCACAGGAACTTGAGAGCTACTCTTCTCAGATACTTACAGAGAGTTTTATTTTTGTATTCCTTCTTTACATTTGAGATTTTTCTATCACTTCTAACCATCACAATGGCAACCTGTTCTTTCCTTCTTTTGTAATGTATGTGTCCTTTATCTTTTCAATGTTAGACTGTGAGTTCCATCAACAAGTTCCCAAATGAAAGTATCCCTTTTTAAATTTTCTTTCTTTCTTTCTTTCTTTCTTTCTTTCTTTCTTTCTTTCTTTCTTTCTTTCTTTCTTTCTTTCTTTCTTTCTTTCTTTCTTTCTTTCTTTCTTTTTCTTTTTGAGACGGAGTCTCACTGCTCTGTTGCCCAGGATGGAGTGCAATGGCGCAATCTCAGCTCACTCTAACCTCCGCCTCCCAGGTTCAAGTGATTCTCCTTCCTCAGCCTATCAAGTAGCCAGGATTACAGGCGCGCACCAACACGCCCGGCTAGTTTTTATATTTTTAGTAG
The DNA here is from genome assembly GCF_000001405.40 of Homo sapiens. Classification (NCBI taxonomy): domain Eukaryota; kingdom Metazoa; phylum Chordata; class Mammalia; order Primates; family Hominidae; genus Homo; species Homo sapiens. Next base: position 53,334,113 of record NC_000013.11, on the reverse strand, counting down.
ACACGGGGTTTCACCATATTGACCAGGCTGGTCTCGAACTCCTGATCTCAGGATCCACCCGCCTTAGCTTCCCAAAGTGCTGGGATTACAGGTGTGAGCCACTGCTCCCAGCCTGTTTGTTTGTTTCTAAAGTTGATAGATGCCTTGAACTAGGGGATCATTTATTATCATTATTTATTGAGTTACTATGAAATGACTTAAGATGGCATGAAAATAATGGAGCCTGACATTGTCCTTGATCTTGTATGTACGTGTGGCTGGTGAGTATGCACATAAGCAGCTCATAGATGGATAGATATATAGATAGTAGACTCAACCAATTTTAAATTGGATGCAGTCTTTCAATTTTGTTGCCTTCTGAGACTTTAAATGTACATTTTAGTTGATAATACAGCATTTTTATTCTTTTAAAATGACCCTAAAAGAGTGTTACATGTGGGGTGGTGGTCAGAGGTAAGTATCAGAAATACACATCTCAAAACATTACCTAATAATGAATAATAGAGTTTTAAATAAGGGGAAAAATAGCAGTAGGACAGAGGCCAGGAATGAAATGTATACCGCTTTTGTGTACATTACTCATAAGTATATAAATGAACTTAGCAAGTTTGTTCTTTCTTATACATTAAAATATCTTAAAGTCAAAATTTCTGCTTCAAATTGTCAAAATGTGGTTTATATTTCCCAAGATTGTATATCTGAATAACAATTCTATTTATTTCAAATGATCTGCAGACTAACCTCAATGTGCAATGCACTGTGCTTAAGTGTTTTAGAATAGATTAGAAAAAAACACAGCGCTTGACCTAAAGATCTCCTCAACTGAAAAGATAGGTATAGTAAGTACCATTGAGGGTAGAGAGTCACTAGCCCTGGACGATGGCTCTTGGACTTCAGAGAAGGGAAAGCTAATTTAACAGACTTAGGCCAATGATTTAGAAGTCCACTGTTTCAAAGAGAAATGTATATACATTCTCACATATGGCTATCCTTTGGAGGTTGGACTTGGGTTCATTATTCAGAAAAATTTGAAAGCTGAATCCACCAGGCAAGTTTAAGTGTGAATTACCCCAAATTTATTTTCTGAGCATGCAAAATTTGATCTTCAAAATATCAAATGTGTGCAGAAGACACTCTGTGCTGAGATGCACGCATCTGTTGAAGTGCCAACTGGTCTGGCCAAAGAAAGAACAGCTGCCTGAGTCTTGAGGCAGAGATAGGTCGGAGACATCTCAGCCTCCAAGGCTAGTTGACTTAAAACATGGTCGGTAAGAAGAAAAGCCTCACCCTTATCCTGTGCCTTCAGCATCAACATCTGTTTCCTAAGTTCTCAGTGAACAGCCTGCTCCTGTTTCTTCACAGAAAATATAAATAATCAGCATTTTTCAAATAGCAGCCTCATGGTACCTGCCAAACAGAGGCCATGTATTTAGCATGTATTTACTAAGAGAAGCTTTCTTCCCATCATGGGCCTCAACAGAGTGTTCTACTCTCCTAGGTAGACACCTGGAGATTAATGCTTCAATTGCATTGCCAGGTATGCTACTTTTTGCTGTTATTCTCTTGTATGTCATTGTCTAATATATATATATCATATGTTACATAAGTGAAGGGTGAGTTGTGGAGAGAAAGAGTTTCAACAGTTCCTATAATTAGGTTTTCTATCTATTAGCTTTTATTAGGTTATAAAAATGAGCTCCATAATTAAGATTCTGTGGTCCCCCCTCTTAAGGACTCAGTATAATATTTGTTGAATATGGTTGAAGTCCACCATTTGTATCATGGAAATGCCTCCTTGGAAAAGTATGTAAATAAAGTCATTCTAAACATCTTAACCCTAGGCAAAATTGTAAAGTAGGTTCATGTTTTATCTTCAATGATGTCTTTTTTCTCTAAATCCTTTCTTCATTAGATTCTAATTTTTTGAATTCCCACACCAATGGGAAAACTAGTGCCTCCTGATGCCCCATCCCTCCAGTCACAAGGGAAAAAAAAAAAAGCTACTCTGATAAATTCTCACATTCAGCAAGTTTACTAGTCCTAAACAATGGGAACACAATGGATTGCTTCTGTCAAGTTGCCTATAGTCTAGTGAGGGCAACAGATATGTAAACAACACCTCCTCTCTACAATTACAGTCCTACAATAATAATAATCAGTCTTACAATAAAAGGAAGCTCAAGTTGCAACTGGAATACATGGGGCATCCGTCACCCAGACTCTTTAGACAGCGTTCTGGAATTGGTGACAATTATTTTGAATCGTGACGAAAAATCAGATGATATCAAAGCAAAAATGGGTTTATTCCAAGCAGAGGCAACAGCATGTGCACAATCACAGAAATGAAAAAGGGGATGACCATCAGGAGTGTAACCCCTCCCAAGATGGGTTCACCTAAAGCCAGGTAGAGCCAGCTGGAGCCGAAATCCCAGATTCTGGCCTGTGGTTTTGGGCTCCACACACTACAGACAGGCCAGACACATAGTCCTGACCTCAGTCACTCTAACACTCCACAGTTTTTGTCCTAGAAAATCCACAAATTCTTCATGCTCCACTTCACTGATTAAATTAAAATTAAGCCCACTATTAGCAGTCATTTGAATTCTTTGTATGATCAGCATATCAAAAATAGGAAAATTGAATAATGATACAACTATAATAAACATTTCCGAGTACCACGTCAGGCACTGTTTATAGAATGTACACGTATTAACTATTTTAATCCTCACAACCCTACAAAGTAGGTGTGCTGATTATCCATTTTGTGAGGCGTGAAGAGATGGTGCTGATAAGCGGTGTAACTGGCATGCTGAGCCCAGCACCAACCTCCCACATGTCAGAGCACACATCATTTCTCTGCTTTGAGCTGAGGTTTACGGGATCATATGCTGGGATGCTGCTCCTGATCCCCAAATCCTAACTCTAGACTTCCTGATGGCAACAGAAGGAGCAAATTATAGACTTTAGAACATTTAGTTTTTATTCCTATTTTCAGGAATTAACCCACGCCAGCCTCACAATGTCCCTAGAGAGATATGTACAAATGTCCCATTTTATAAATGGAAAGCCACTGCAAGGTTTCTAAGCAGGAGAGGAACAAAATCAAGTTTGCACTGTGCAAAGATCATTCCAGCTACAGTGTACAGAATGGATTAAAGAGAAGGAAGGGTGAATGTGAGGAGAGGGGTTAAGAGGCTATTGCAGTGAGGGGGGTGAGAGATGATGGTGGCTGGGCCCCAGGTGGGGGCAGTGAAAAGGAGAGAAATGAGCACATTCAAGAGCCCTTTAGGAAGGGAACCCTCAGTTCACCCTCCACACAGCAGCAAGATTTGGAAGGCAAGTCAGATAAAAACTGTCCTCAATTTAAATCCTTTCAAAGGCTTCCTGGTGCCCTTGGGATGGAATCTGGAATCATTTCCAACAAGACTGTCTCCGGGCCTCTCTCTGCTGTCCGCATTGCCAGCCCCTGGCTCTCTGTTTCCATGTTTTTCGCATGCTAGTTCCTCTGCCTGAAGCCCTCTTCCGACAACTTCCACACTGAGGGCTCCTCCTTGTTTTTTAAGCCTCAGCTTAAATATCCCCTCCTCCCAGCAAACTTCCTGGACCATCCCATCAAAGTAAGTACCACACTATTACCTACCTCAATGCATCATCCTTTCCTTTCCCAGGCCTTGGAGCAATTTTTCATCATTTGTCTGTTTCTCGTTTACTACCTTTTGTTTGTCATGAAGAATGTAAGATCATGAGAGCAGGAGACCTATCTGCCTTGTTCATCTAGCACGGTGCCTGCCCTGCCATATAGGGAGTTCTCAGTAAATAAACTTACCAAATTCACAAAGCAATACCTATGGACAGCTTGGGAAGCTCCCACTTTTTAGCAGGCAGAGTTGGCTGGGTGATGGTGACCTTCTCCAAGGACCAGGTTTGGTGGAAAATAATCAGATTTTAGGTCCAGAAGCTACGTGTTAAACATCCCCAAGATTTTTCCAAGAAGGTAACAAGAGCAAATGGCCTATAAATTTTCAGACAATATGTACAGCTTGCTAAATTGTCTTTTTACTGTATTGTCTGTTATACCCATATTTTGTTTCAATTTCTTAAAAGTTGCCAGCACAAGGAGAGGCCACCATATTTAACTAGATGATCAAAATAGTAGAAGGTCAAATTGAGCTGCATTTTGATTACCGAGGAGATTTTTCTGATTACTAAGGGAGAGACCCTAAGGGATAGGTACAGTTTTAATTAGTTATTAAATTATTTCCTTTTACATTCTGGAGAATTTTCTATTTGAAATCCCACTTCCAGTGATTAATCTTTATCATTCTCCATAGAAGGCAATGTTTAGAAAATTATATAATCCCTATATTCTAACTCAGGAAATTGAAGTAGGACGAGATTACCCTGGCCAAGAAAGAGAGTGATTTTATGGCTGAGTTGGTTTCAAATTCAGAGTATATCCCAGGCTTTCAACACTCTACTAATGAACTGTGTACTATTTTCATTTCTGTTTGCTTACATGAGTATTCACCGAGCCACCAGCACCATATAAGATCAGTATCCAAGCTACAAAGTCTTCTCAAATTGCTAACACCAGACATAGTTCAGATTTTAAATACCAGGAAGAAACTGGGAACAGCTGCTTTTGAATCAGACATAAATCTAAGCAATGCTGCAATATAGCAAAAGGGGAAAAAAGACCTTGTCTCATTAAATAGCTAACAGGAGAGTGTATCTGATAGTAAAATCTTGGCAGAACATAAAATACCTGTTTACTGCCAAAATCTAGTCACACAACATTAAGGTTACCTATTTAAGCACAGAGGACTGGCTTCTCATCATATATAATTCTATCAAGGAGTCTCCCTCATTGCCTTTAAAGCGGGTAGAAACATGACTGCCAAGATAACCAGGACCCATCCTCACAGGAATTTATAGATAAAAATTAATTTCTCAAATGGTGTCCAAAAGCAAATCAGTGACTAATGGAGACTATCGAGCAAAAGCATAACCAACCTCCTGGAGCCTGTAGCAGCCAAAGCTTTTGAATAATTTTCCAGGGCAGCTCCTTAGTAGAGCACATAGACAAAATCCCATCTGGGTGTTATCAACAGGAACTATACAGACATGGTCTGTTTATTTTTCTTCTTCTTCTTTTTCATGGCCGTCCTCCAATTATTGTATTTGGGTGTCTTCAGTTTGTTATAGGGCAACCAACTCATGACCAGAAAAAAAAGGTATGTGTATATATAGGTATGTGTGTGTGTGTGTGTGTATACATATATATGTGTGTGTGTGTGTGTGTTTGTGTGTATATATATGTGTATATATGTGTGTATATATACATGTGTATATATGTGTATATGTATACACATGTATATATACGTGTATATATGTGTATATATGTGTGTATGTATGTGTATATATGTGTATATATATGTGTGTATATATATATGTGTATGTATATATGTAAAAAAAGCTATATGTATGTGTGTGTGTATATATGTGTATATATGTGTGTATATATATGTGTATGTATATATGTAAAAAAGCTATATGTATGTGTGTGTATATATATATACATATATATACACATATATATGTATATATATGTATATATATGTATGTATGTATGTGTGTATATATATATATATATATATATATATATATATATATATATACACCCCTTTTTTTTACTTGCACACAGCCAAAAGATAATTTCAAGAACAATCCTGGGGAAAAATATCCCATGGGATATTTTTAATCAAGTAGCACAACATTGCTGATATAAATATTACATAGGGACTGCCATGAAAATAACCCATTAAGTAAAATATTCCAAAATCGAATCTAATAAAGCTGGATAGAAAAACCCATTCTTCTGCTTTGGAATAGAATGTATAATAAAACTAGGGAAATGTTCACATGCCATTAAACTCGACAAGCCTAGGGTAATCCAGAGCATTCACAGAAAAGCACAGTAAGAAATGGGAAAATGAAAGGGTGATAGCATTCTGCCATGGCCATGACTAATAGATCTACCTTCAAATAAAAGAAAAAGAAAATCAATTCAGTTAGAAAGATGTCAGGATGGAGCAATTATTCATGGCTAATTACCTCTTAAAAGATGATGACAATGGGTTAGTTTTCCCTGATATTGATGAAGGAAAACCTTTGGGGAAATCATTTGCAAAGGTTAGCAAGGATATGAATTATTCTCTGGTATGTTGGAAGGTAAAGCAGAGGGAAGAATAAGTAAAATACTACTACAGCCTAGTGAAGGTCATCAAGACAACTGAGCTGATACTATGAATTACCGTTTTCTAAAATCCGAACCTGTCATCAATGTGTCTCACAGTGAATTATTTCCTAGAAAAGATGATTTGTTATGAAATGTTCAGTAACTCACTAGACAAATGACTTTAAATAATTGTATTCAGTAGTACATTGTGAAAGCAAGATTAGATGTAGTTGTTCTACCTATAAATTAAGAATCCTTTTGAAACAATTACTATAGTACTATTTTAATGTGTGTTCTTGGCTTTGGCCTTAGAAAAGTTGGTGGTGTGTTTATTGACACCTGCTCACAGAATTCACCTGCAAAAAATAAAAAAAAATGGTGGTTTTTGCAGGCAGTCTTTGAATATAGGTTAATTATAGATTATAGCCTAGAGCTCTGATCAAAGACCATGCATATTTGTAAGAAATGAACAGACTGTGGCATATTTGGTCCATTCATTTTCATCATCAAAAGCACCTATAACTAACAAGAGGAGATGTATATCAAAGAAAACCTTTCCCCTTGGTATGGTGAAGCAGGTGCTGCCTACTGTACACCAAGATTTTAAATCAACCACTATTTAAACTCTCTGTCCAAAATACATATGCAGTTGGCTCTCTGTAGTCATGGGATCCACATCTGTGGCCTCAACCAACTACGTATTAAAAATATTCAGGAAAAACACAGACGGTTGTGTCTGTACTAAACATGTATGAATTTTTTCTTGTAATTATTCCCTAAACAATGAAAAAAACAACTATTTACATAGCTTTTACATTGTATTAGGTCTTACAGATAATCTAGAGATGATTTAAAGTGCATGGGAGGATGTGAGCAAGTTATATGCAAATACTACATCATTTTATATAACAGACTTGAAGCATCTGTTGATTTTGGTATCCTCAGGGGATCCTGGAACCAATCCTCCATGGATACTGAAGGGCGACTGTATATGTATATAAATGGATTTGCATATACTAATGTGTATCTATGAGCTCATATTTAAGGTCATGTGTTACCCCCAGACAAAAAGACATGCCACTGAGAACCATTAATAATGGCTGATGTACAGACACACTTTGAGCAGAAAACATGTGTGTATTTGCTCTTGTCTAAAGCACAGTGAACAAAATAAAGATCATTAGGTAGTACTCTTTAGTCATCCGGTCTTTGACACTAAACTCAAGTCAGTTACTGAGACAACAGGGTTAATTCCTGCTTGCACAGAAATTTATTTTTCCTGACTTGTTGAAACCACAGTTGCAAATCCTAGTTTGAAAAACAGTTAAATGATTTCATCTTTCATTGGGCATTTTACTAGTCTCCCCTCTGTTGTTGTTTTTTTTTAATTTATTATTATTATACTTTAAGTTTTAGGGTACATGTGCACATTGTGCAGGTTAGTTACATATGTATACATGTGCCGTGCTGGAGCACTGCACCCACTAACTCGTTATCTAGCATTAGGTATATCTCCCAGTGCTATCCCTCCCCCCTCCCCCTACCCCACAACAGTCCCCAGAGTGTGATGTTCCCCTTCCTGTGTCCATGTGTTCTCATTGTTCAATTCCCACCTATGAGTGAGAATATGCGGTGTTTGGTTTTTTGTTCTTGCGATAGTTTACTGAGAAGGATGATTTCCAATTTCATCCATGTCCCTACAAAGGACATGAACTCATCATTTTTTATGGCTGCATAGTATTCCATGGTGTATATGTGCCACATTTTCTTAATCCAGTCTATCATTGTTGGACATTTGGGTTGGTTCCAAGTCTTTGCTATTGTAAATAATGCCGCAATAAACATACGTGTGCATGTGTCTTTATAGCAGCATGCCCTAACATCACCATTAAAAGAACTAGAAAAGCAAGAGCAAACACCCTCTGTTGTTATTTCCCACTACTCCAGGTTGACCGAGCAGTTCCCAGACCTTCCCAGCTAACCCCAGCACTCTGCAGCTTTTGCCTGAAGCAGTTTTAATTGTGTCAGTCCCTCTACCTGCAGTGCTGTCTCTCCCTGCTCTCCCTTATATATCTCTTATAGACCAATACATACCTCTACTCTTTGTTACTGTAGCTTATTTATACCTCACTTTTCTAGCACAACCCAGGAAGCCTTCTCTGACTGCAGCAGCACACAGTGAGCCCACCATTCTCTGGCAGTCCATACTGTCAGACTTCACATTCTCTTACTACCTCATGTGATTGTTTGTCTTTAATAATTATGTCAGTTATAAACCACTTGAAAGCAGGCCAGTGCATAACACATCTCTGTGTCCTTAAAAATAATAGCATCATATCTCATTTATAGTAGGTGATCACAATACATTTTGATTCATGAATGGATTGATTTTAAATGGCCTTCAATGTTTCTCCAGATTTTATGTGGGCAAATTAGCCTATAAGCAGATGGCATGCATATAAGCAATTGGATGAATTTCTGTTAACCGTAACATACACACCAAAATTCTACATCTTGATGTTACTGGATAATAGAATTACTCTTAATTAAGTCAATAATGTGAAAAACAAAATGTAGAAAACAGTCGTTATTATCTTAGCTAAAATTTGCCCTTGTTGAGATCATTATTTTATGTTCAGAAATTCAGTGATCAAAAAAATGGCAACTCCAAGTTAATTTTCCTTTCATTGTTCTTATTTAAGAATGTTCATTCATTGCTTTTCAGAAAAGCTATTAAGAAAGAGGAAAAGTTGAAGACAGAAGCTGAATAAAGAAATCTTTCAATGGAAGATACCTGCAATGAAACAACTCTTCCCTTCTTTTTAAAAACACTTCTAGAAATGGGAAAAAAAAATGAAGAAACAGATCGAGGAGGTGTCAGACTCTAACACTCTCAAACCTGAATATGGAGTACAGTATAATGAAACAACAAAGTCCCCTTGCTAAGTCTTATCAAACATTTCTGAAAACATCCATTAGCCTCTTTTTCCTTTCAATATGTGACTGTTCTGCCAGAGTGTTGCTTTTTAGCTGGACATTTTAATTCAACAATGAGAAAGAAAATCCTCCTTTTACCATCTTAACAGAATCAAGACATTAATGGGATCAAATTGTCATGGTCCAGAGGGATTCCAATAGCTGATTTTCTATCCTCAGCTGTGTAAGGGAATTCACCATGTCTATTTGTTCATGCGTATTATAAACATTTTCAATGTCTTTTGTGAAAATTTCATTATAACCAGCTAAGGGCATTGGTTTTTCAAACCTCTGGAAGTGTTAAGAAGAGTTTGGGTAGACTGTCTTCTGAATAAAAGAAGGATTACTCTGATTGTTCTTCCTAAGGAATATTTTAAGATTATGAATGCATTGTATCATGTGCATTTAACTCAACTCTACTTTTTTATGAGCATCTAGTGGGCTCTTAAAAACACAATAAAATTTGAGACAAAATTCCACAAAAACTCAGATAAGAGAAAATTACCTATTTCTGAATCCTCCTTGGAGAATGTTTTAGAGAGATTGAAAAAGGACATTGATGGATTCCTGCAGAAGAAAGTTTAAGAAGTAATAATATCTGAGCTGAGTCGAAAAAAAAACAAAAAGATGCTGAAGTGTTTCCAGTGTATTCTGCTGATGCTTTAAGTTCTACACTGTAGTAATTGGAATGGGATTTCATTACGAGAAGTTTTTACCCAATCACACCAACTGCATCCTTGTAAGAGCGATGGAGACTAAGCGTACCTGTGATGACCATTACCATCAAGTCTCCAGGGAAACAACTCACAAAGTTATCAAATCTATAAAAGTATAGAGGAAAAGCATAACATGCTGCCAACAAGCCCAGCACTCCAAAATGCTTGAAGCTTTGAAGCTTTAAAATAAAATAAACAAATAAGTTACAGAATTCCACCTAAACAATCATGAAGAAAAATACTTTATTTTGAAGATTTTAATACTACAAACAACACATTTCCCTTGAGAAATATTACTCATATTTCTTTTTTCTTCAAAGAATATACAGATTTAGTAAGATTGTCAAGTACAGTGCAGTTGAAAGTTTAGGTAAAGTTAAAGTTAGCCATCAATGCAGATAATTCTATTAAAAGTTCTTTAAATATAATAATTATCTGTGCTTCTTTCATGTTTCTATTTTTGCTTCCAGAGGGGTGTGTCTAAATAATACTTGGGCAAGACATTTAATAGAAAGCTGTTATATATGATGGCAAAATTCTCAACTCTAAGCTCTACACCTGGGATGCACATTTTCCATCTTGTCCAGGGCTGTCTTTGAAATTCATGGGCTCTTAATGCAATGTGATAAGTGGTTTAAAGGCAAAAGGTGGTGTTAGCTGGTGGATCTTTTTTCTAGTCTTTTTAGTGGTCCTCATTCCAGCTCAATCTGAGAGGCAGTCTCCTGTTTTAAAGTTCCTGCTTAGTGAGGAAAGATGGAGTGCCCTAAATCTTTACTACCATAGGCAAGAGGATGTGCACACCAGTACAGCAGCCTCAAGCCTGCCTTCTTCAGAGCTGGACTTTACCAGCTTCTGCCATGTTGCCCTCAGGGCTTAATGGCATTGGTCAAGCCTAAACCACTCTGGTTCTATCTGGAATTGACCAACAGCGGACCAAGAACATCTGGTTTGTACCTCCTAACTTGACTTACTATGTGAGGTAAGAAAACCAAACTTAACTATTGCTAGCAGAGTCCAAAGACAAAGGAGAGAACAAAGGTGAGAGGGGTAATTTTAAAAACTTCAAATAGCAGGTGGTTCTGAGTATTTATTTTATAGTAAATACAGCAGACTCCTGTTGTCTGCCTAGCCCTCATCTTCAGCAGAGCTGAAGCTCTGCTCCTGAGGGTCAAGGAAGGCAGGGGCCCTCTTCTCTCCCAGAAAAGAGAGAGAACCCTCCTAGGGAAGAGGGAGGAGGACAAGGACAGATTTGTACATCCCTGGAACTCTCTGAGCCCAGAGTTCATTCCTTCTCCATTTTTAGAGTATTAGTCCTCTTTAAATATACATATTCTATCCTCGATTCTTTTTTCCCACTCCAATAACTCTCCTCAAATAAGTCTGGACACTTAGCTCCAATGATCAGGGAGGATTCAATTTTTTTGAAGGCAGAAATTTATGCAATTTTGAAGAAGAAAGCAAAGTTGCAAATACGAAATTAGGTATGAAAGTGAAGGTTTACTAAGAATAAGAAAAGAAAACACAACACATTGGTGGGTAGGTCATTGCTGGTCCTAAGTGCTACCCACCAGGCCCCTTCTACCGTCAGAAGATTTAGACCGGGGCTGCCACTGCTACCAAAACTACGAGGCCTACCCTCACTCCCACTCTGTCGATTTCCATTTTTCACATAATTGTGCTTTAGAAAATTTCCCCTTTTGCAAATAATGTGCCTAGTTAGTTGAGAGATTTCACTAATGCTTATGGGTCTTTTGTGCAATATTTCATTAAGCTGTTGTATATCCTGTTTGATAACTACGAAAGGAAATGAACACAGTTATTACAATTTAAAAAAATCTTTCGGACAAATCTTTAGTTTCTTTTTTCCAAGAGTTCTATTTTCTTTTACATACATTTCTAAACCACAACCACATGTAAAAATGAATTTTATTTTAAAGGCTCACCATTGCTCTGTAAAATGCACATACATTTGCAAGATAGATAAAATATAGACTACAAATTGCTCTCAGTAGTTAAAATTCAATTGCATTGATGAAATATGGGAAAAGGTTCATTTTCTGGTGCTGTCTTTGGGTTTTTTGAAATCCTGGTTGCTGGCTTACTCACTAATTTGGTAATTTGCAATAGGCTTCCCAGTCATTAGTGCAAATTAGCAAGGTTTAGCTATAATGTGAATATTAATATCTTCATTTAGAACCATTCCACGTGCTTTCTCCTGGTTTCTAAGGACAAGTTGTTTTTTGAAACCTTGGAGAAAGGCTATACAAAATACATGAATATGATGTTTATGAAAAGGCATTTGGTAGCCCATCCATTATTTTTCATCTCCTATGAATAAAATGTCAGTGACTTTGGTAATATTGTATTTCCAAAGCCCCAAAGACTGACAGACAGCCTCATGCACATATTGTGCTATATTAAAGGAATATTGGTCCTTGGCTAGAAAAGATTTTCTAACCCAGTCTGAGCAATAACCACTTGATCACACATCTCGCTGGAGTCTAAGCTCCTGATAGCAGAATATGTGCCTCTCATTTGCTGGTTCCAAGCCCTCACTCAGCATTCTGCACAGTCACTGGGGCTGTGTGCCTTCAGCTACATGACCTCTGGGGCATGCTGGAGAAATGTTGCCTTCTGTCCATGACCCTTTTAAGACCCTTTAATGTCTTCCAAAGTTGTCACCATGGCGCTCTCTTGCTTTCATAATTCTCCCTGACAACCACTCCTCCTCAATGCCTGCTTTCACTGTAGTGCAATAATTTAAGTGCATGCCACAGACTTCCACTGTCAGTGTATTTTTTTCTAATAGAACAACACTGGAATTTTTCTTACAAATACACCAAAACTAGTAACTCATGAATTTCTCAAGGATAACCTTCTCAGCCTAGTACCTAGTATGGCTTCGCCTGACTCAGGCCTCAGAGAATTCCAATGCTTTCTTTCCATTTCTTTCCTAAATGTGGCATTATTTAAATTTAACACTTGTAATCAATCAGCTTTCAGGCAAGAATGATCACATGAAACAGTATCCTCATGAAAAAGAAAGATAAATGTACTAGCTGAGACCTCCAAACAAGACAGTAAGATGGATGGGGGCATGAGAAATCAGAGTTCCTTATTTTTCTGAATTAAATCACCTTAAACTTATGGTTCTAATATTCCTGAAAGAATATCGAGGTTTAGATTTGAATCTCTGCTCTGACACATCTCAAAAACTCAGTTTCCCTTAGTTGTAAAATGAGGATAAATAATATGATTTCACAAGGCTATATAGTAAGCCCTAGGAAGAAATATATGTAAAATACTTAGCACAGAGCCTGGTGCATAGTTGAGCCTAAATAGATAGTGATGTTATTGTCTTAATTGAATGTTTTATTTACGAGGTATGTGCCTGATTGTCCACTCTGGTCCTTGCTGGGGCCCTGGGGTTGACTACTAGTGAAATAGTCATTGACAAGGTTAGGCTCCTAATCCAAGAGGGATTCTGAGTAGCACGTGTACAAAGAGGCAGAGAGGCAAGCCAACTCAGGATTCTTTCAGAAATTCTAAGACTCATAAAACAAGAGATTGTCCATACTGAATTCAAAGGGCCCAGTGCAGGAAATGTTAGGGCCAAGATTTCAGAGTTGGGATGGAGATGAAGTCAGAACAAGAACAAATGGGGCACAGGTGGCAGCCATCCTGCACCTTAAATGCAGGTGCCTATTTCCAGCTCACTCCTCTGAGCCAGTGAACATGTGGCTCTTGGATAGGTAGGGCAGGTGTAAGGGGTCCGAAATGGGACAGAGAACATAGAATAGAAGGGATAAGAATGCTTTCAGCCCACCTGAGCTACTTTTTTTAAATGTTGCATAAATACATTTCTAATACTACCACCTTTGGAAAATACCTGTCTTCAAAGCCTATCTTCCTGAAAGACCACATTTTCTATAGACCAGCAGTTCTATTTCCTGAAAATCCCACACCTGCTACCCAAAGTCACATTCCCTGCCGTGCAGAGGCAGCCAACAGATCCAACAGCTGTGTACACTTGAACTGCATGGCAAAGTGACCCTGTTGGGGCAGAGGGCTCTGTAGGGCATCCCTCAGAATCGCCTTGGCGTGCCCTCTCCAGCTGCAGTCAATCTGTCAACAGCCTTTATTGGGCACTTGTCCTCAGGGTTGTGGACAGTTGTGTGAACCAATGTGGGGTTCTTTCCAGGAGAGAATGAGATGTGACCTCCTCTACACAAATGTTTGGGCCACCCCTTCACATGGTTAAAGGCCCTTCTCCCCGCCCTATCTCTTGCTATTGTATGTCATAACTTTCCTACAGCCACCAACCTGGTGCATCTGTAAATGTTTAATACTTTAACACAACATGCCTCCTCTTTAGACTCCTCATGCCTGTTCTTGAAATTCACTGAACTCTTTCCCCGCAAGTTATCACATGCTTCCTGCTGGTCAATGTGCACCCACTTCAAAACTTAATTTTTCAGTGTAGTGTTTAAGGGTTTAGTCTAGGGAAGGAAAAAAGAAAAAGAAAAAAGTGAAAATGTGAGTCTCATGAAAAGGGAAAATCAGAACAGATTGCAATAAAGCTAAACTGTCTATTCATTTGAATCAAATGCTATAAATTTCTAAGCATAATGTTTGAGAGTAAACTGTCATCAAAGACTCATTATAAAAATGCTAAGGGTATATAAATCTCATTGACTGCTTATCATTAACTGCACAGGGTGCTGATAGGAAATGCCTGGTTATAATTTATATCTCACTAATAAGGTCCATTTTAGAGTATAGCTGTCAAATCTATTACTCACCTTTCCCCAGTTTTATAGTTGTTCTGGACAGCACTGAAATTGAATGTTAAAAGTGTGGTTTCGAGCGTTATCTTTTCCTCTAATATCTCATCCTTGCATATTGAAGCATGCTTCACCTTTAATCAGAACTCAACAGCCAGATTGTTTTTCAGAAAGTAAACCAAAAGGTGGGGGGGAGAAACATTCTTTTTAAAAGGCAAGACAGAGCAGAGTATTATTTGCCCACTTTCAAAATTTAAAAGGTAAAATGCAATTATAATATATCCCAATTATTTTATTCTTCAACATGCTATCCATATTAATAATTTTGGGATGAGGGTTTTGGTGGTCTGGGGGAGGTGGCTGTAGTGACAAAAAGCTGCCAATAAGTTACTACCATGTGGCAGGCACAAGACTAGGTCCTTCCACTTAGGTCATTTTATTTATCTTAAGGCTGGTTCAAGGACTTCAAGAAGTTTAATCAAGAATTATACCACATATTCATAACCTCCTAATAAGGAAAAAAGTCATTCATCCCACAAACGATGTGTAGAGCATGGTATGTGTCCAAGGAAAATATAAACACAAATACCAAAACAAAGCAACACAATGTTTAACTGCCAGCACACTTTAGGGTCCATATTCTTGGTATGCAAAACACTGAAAAAGTCTCAGTAAACGTTAAGTTTTCATATTTTTGGCATGTGATAAATGGAGTTACATGTTGAATCTCCAGTGCACCAGTTATTGTTCACTAGACACTTCCAAGGTATCAAGAAATAGAAAGAAGAAGATTCTAGAATGTATCAAGCTTATGCATTAGGCAAGGATATAAATTGAAGGCCACAGTGGGAGTTGAGTTTTGACAAAATGTCAAATCAGTGAAGAATAGGTTTGAAGTAATGAAATCACAGAACTGCTAGGTCAAGACCAGCTCTGAACTGAGGAGTTCAAATGTGGCAGGTCTAAGATAAAGCCCGCTGGACAAGGAGTTGTCCCCAGCCAGTTGGATTTGACTGTGAAATGCTTCCCGTTTGATGGCCATACCCTTTGTGTATTTAATGCAATAGTGCTTATGAGCTCTCCTAGACCCAAAAGATTGTAAATTTTAAGAATGAAGTCACTGAATGGCAATACCACTCCACAGTGGCACTATTCTCAGAGTCAGTGCCCTTGGAACTTCTGATGTTTCTAAAAACTAATGCCACTGTCTAGAGGACAAGTGGGAACTATGTTACACCAAATTCAGCTCCAATGGGTCTGGGTTTCCAACCCTCCAACTAGATCATTCAGGTCAAAATCAACATGATAGATTATGGAGAAATTAGTTGTTCATGTCATTGATGCTTAATGTTAGTATCCTACTATCACTCCCTCTGAACTCTGCTATAACTCTCCAGAAACTTCCCCTTAGGCAACAGCTCTTTAACCAAAAATTGTGTAACTTCTACTAGATGCCCATCTTGCTGTTTTCCTAAATATTTTGAGAATTCTACATTTCCTCTTAAGATCTTGTTCCCTTTCCATTCTATGCAACCAACTAGCATTCAGCTTGTCCTCCCTTTGTATTGAGCCATAAATCCTTATCTACTCTGTGGCTTCTAGTCTCCCCTTCAGCCTTTTAGTGAGATGAAAAGAGTGCTAGTGTATTTAGTCAACCTGAATGAAATCCTACCTCAAACATCACTAGATATTTAACTTGAAGAAAGTCATTTAACCTCTCTGAGCCTTTTTCCTCATTATCAAAATGAACATGTAAATCTGATCCAGTGTGCCCCTGCTCAAATGTGTTCAATAGTTCACAACTGCCACAGCAGTAATCTCAGCTCTTTTCCACTTACATTTGACATATTCTCAAGGGCACACCTAGCTTTTATAGTCACTCAGAGGAGGTTACAGATAGGGTATTGGAGATGTGTAATTGCTACTCCCCAACTGCCATTTGTCACAACTTCTATGATAAAAATCTCTTATAGAGTATAAAGGCTAAGTTCCTTTGCTTGGCAACCAATGTTCTTCATAATCTGGCTGCCTCTGCCTGCCTCTGCCTGCCTATGTGTAGTCCCATCTAGCCCAGAACATCTCCCCTCCAAGTGCCCCCACCCCAACACACACACACACACACACACACACACACACACACACACACACAAACTCTTTAATACCCAGCAATACTGAACAACCGTGCTTTAAACAACCATGCTCTCTTTTGCCTCCAGACCTTGGTATATTTTCCTCCTCCTGAAGTGTTCTGTTCTTTTTTGTTTGTTTTTTTTTTTTTTTGGTATAAACTTCTAATTGTCCTTGAAGTCTCAATTCAAATTCTATTCTGACCAAAAAAAATTTCCCTAACACCGCCCACCCAAGCAAACTGTGATTCTTCTACATCTATCCTCTTTCTATAATTTAAACCTTCTCTTACAGCAGTTATCACTGGTGCCTATTTGCAAGGCTAGTAGCCCCCTAGATGTTAAACTTTCCAAAGGACTGTGCCGTTTGATCTCATTTCCAGATGTGCACAGTACCCAGCACATTGTAGTTGCTCAATAAATATTAGAAGGATAAATGAATGTTACCAATCCTTCTACAAAACCTAACCAGAAACTTCAAAAAGAATAAACTATTGTTCAATTTTGCAGCTCCGTAAATATGGCATTGGTCTCATACATCCTCCTGGCACTGTGTTCATAATGAGAGCTGAATAACAATTTGCTCAGATCATCCCAAGCCAAATGTAACTTCATCTAGGAACTTATCAAAATTGACCACATATATGAAGTCATATAACCCTTATAGAGTCATACAGGATCAAACTGTGCAACCGTCACACTCACTGGAGCCACTGACTCTACAGAGTGGGGAATGGAGGTAAAAAGATGAAGACGGCAATTTGGTGCTTCTGAGGATCCATGAACATTACACAAGGAAAAACTGTGCTGTTTAATGTTTGGTTACATACCTAATATTAGCCAGATATTTCACTAAGGTGAGAAAGCACATACCATAAATCCACCTCCATAGGTGGAAAAAAATTCAATGCATATATATCATGGATAGATAAATGATGATATGACTTCCTTAATGGAAGCAAATGTGTGTGTGTGTGCGTGTGCATGTGCATGTGTGTGTGTGTGTGTAAACTATGCAACTAAATGCTTCTAGCTAGTCTAATCTGGCCAACAAGACAGTCAGAATCAAACCTGCGTGTGACAAGCAGAGTAGTAGAAGAAATAAGGCTATCCTCCTCCTAATTTAAGCTCACCTTCTTATTACCATAAACCAGTGAGAGTATGCAATTCAGCTAGAAACACTGAGTTAACAATAGCCTCAAAAGTGCTCCTGAAACTCCAGACATGCTAAGCAAAGAAAAGCAACTTTTATTTTTTGCTGATAAATGGTTTAATCAAACCTAACAGATGAGGCAATATACTTTAAGAACACTTTGTTGTTCAGATCATGGGGTCAGTAATTTTCTTTGGTTGAAACACATTACGGTGTAACTGAATATGTGTTGTTGGGGGGTGGTGAACTAGTGAGGGGGGATGACATAGATTTCCTGCAATAGGTAGTGTATTATATTCTATCTAGAAAATATTTTATAATTCTTATATTTCAAAAATGTTATAAGAGGAGAAAGGCATCAGAATTGATAGGTTTCCTGTGATTTTGCAGAAAGAGAATAAAATAGCAATGCAACATTATGTCTCTCAAAAAGAACACAAAAAAATAAAAACTAAGGTAATAAAAGAATAGATGTTAAATTTTAATACAGCTTTCAAAATTCAACACATCTTGTATATGGTAGGAAGCCAACTTTGGCAAAAATAAATGATCACTAAAAATAATGATCAGGTCATCAAATTACTATCATGTAATTTATACAATTTAATTCCATAAAAGAGATGATCCTAGGCTGTAACGTTAGAAAGACACTGCTTTTCATGGCCAGCTATCCCTATGTCACAGCCAAGAACTTCCAGCATTCGAAGCTGTGTATCATGTGCTTATAGATTTTGCTTTATGTTTTTGCACAGGCTTTTTTTGTGCATATATATATATTATATATATATATATATATATATTATATATATATAATTTCAATAGTTTTAGGGGTACAAGTGATTTTTGATTACATGGATGAATTGTATAGTGGTGAAGTCTGAGACTTTAGTACACCAGTCCTGAGTAGTGTACATTGTACCCAATATGTAGTTTCTTATGCCTCACCCCCTTCCCACCCTCCCTCTTCTGAGTCTCCAACATCTGTTATATCACTCTGTATGCCATTGTAGGCCCACAGGTTACCTCACTTATAAATGAGAACATATGGTATTTGGTTTTCCATTTCTAAGTTATTTCACTTAGAATAATGGCCTCTAGCTCCACCCAAGTTCTGCAAAAGACATTATTTCACTCTTTTCATGGCTGAGTAGTACTCCATGGTGGAAATGTACCATATTTTTTTCATCCACTCATCAGTTGATGGGCACTTAGGTTGGTTCCATATCTTTGCAATTGCACAGGCCTTTTTTTTTTTATTTTTTTATTTTTTATTTTTTTTTGAGATGGAGTCTCGCTCTGTCGCCCAGGCTGGAGTGCAGTGGCGCAATCTCGGCTAACTGCAAGCTCTGCCTCCCAGGTTCATGCCATTCTCTTGCCTCAGCCTCCCTAGTAGCTGGGACTACAGGCGCCCGCCACCACGCCCGGCTAATTTTTGTATTTTTAGTAGAGACGGGGTTTCACTGTGTCAGCCAGGATGGTCTCGATCTCCTGACCTCATGATCCGCCCGCCTCGACCTCCCAAAGTGCTGGGATTACAGGCGTGAGCCACCGCGCCCGGCCAGGCCTTTTTATATCCCTGAGAACAGACACTTCTAGAACCACCCTGACTATAACTTTTAATGGAAAAACTCAGCGTGTGTTTGTACAACATTGCTATGGAATAATGAAAGCTCTTCCATTTGCAGAGCACTTATGGCTTTCAAACTACTCTCACACACACTGTCCACTGACCTTTCAAATTTCCAACAAACCTGGGATGCATACAGGAAAGCACTATTTCATTTTACAGATGAAGACACTGAGGCTAAAGTCAACTAGCTTTGGAGAATCTCTAACTAGATTTCCCAAGGTGTTCCAACTCCAGCCCAGGACTCCTGCCGCCCTCACAGCTGCCAAGAAAGGGAGCTTTGCAGATGTTCCATCGTGGATTTGAGTATCAGCTTCATCAGTTCCAACACTGGACTACTGTGAGGATATTGCCAAGCCTTCTACCTCCTGGCCTCAGCTCACACTCCCTTTAGATTCTCATTCAGCTACATCCCCTGGAGGTGCTAGAGGTTTCTGCAACTAAATAGGGCAGAAATACTAGGAAGATAACCTCTAAGACATAAGACTTCTAGGGCAAACAACTGCCCCAGTTTACCCAGTTATCCCAGGACTGAGGGATTTCCTAGTACATGAGACTTTCAGAGCTAAATCAAGAGTGAGAGCTTTCCTGGGAAGCAGGATTTAAGGAACAGTCCCAGGAAAATCCGGACAGTTGATCACCCTAATTTTCAAAATTCTAGTTTAGTGTTTTTAGAAACAAGGACTTGACTCACCAAAGGTGTTTGGAATGCTCTTCCCTTCTATTTCCAATTCACCCATCAATAAAATTTAGGAAGGACTCATATAAGATGAGCCCATTTATGAAAGGCCCAGTTTAGGGAAAAATTGAAACTGAACTCACCCTTTATTGAGCATTTATCTTACTTTCAGTCATTTGTTTAACATAATTGTTAAATGTTTTGTGCTTCATGATAAGCTAAGTATTAGAGAATATATTGTTAAACAATCAAGACTTAGAACTTGCCATCAAACAACTAGAAAGATAGATGACAAGAAATGAAGCATCTATACTTTAGTATGGAAAAGACAACGGATGCTATGAGAGGACAAAGAAATAGGCTGGGTGCAGTGGCTCATGCCTGTAATCCCAGCACTTTGGGATGCCGAGGCAGATGGATCACCTGAGGTCAGGAGTTCAAGACCAGCCTGGCCAATATGGCGAAACCCCATCTCTACTGAAAATAAAAAAAATTAAAATAAATTTTAAAAAAATTAGCCAGGTACAGTAGCACATGCCTGTAGTCCCAGCTACTTGAGAGGCTGAGGCAGGAGAATTGCTTCAACCCGGGCAGCGGGGGTTGTAGAGAGCCGAGATGGAGCCACTATACTCCAGCTTGGGTGACAGAGTGAGACTCCGTCTCAATTTAAAAAAAAGAAATGATGCGAAGCACACTGTGTTTTGGAAGAAAGAAAAAGGGAGTGGACATTCAAGAAAGGAATTTTGAATGAAGAGATGTTTTAGCTCATGGAACTTAGTTGAGTATACAGAGGAAAGGGCGTGGGGCTTGGGCTTGGCTGGAACAGGATACTCCCAGCAAAGAACAAGACGCACAAAACCTAGGAGGCAAGATAGAACATGGTGCATTCAGAGTCTTAGGGCAGGGAATTCAATAGAGGAGCATCAGGAGATGGTTCTAGAGAGGCAAACATGATGGACTTTGTACACCATGCTAAGGAGTTAAGACTTTATTTATCCTGTGCACAACTAGGAGCCACTGATGGGTCTTAAGCAAGGCACACTCTGGTTTCAATTTGAAGAATAGATTTGAGAGAAAAAGGAGTAAGACTGGAATGTAGCAAGACAGGAGCAAGTGCTAAAAACTAAATGAGGAACCGCGGTGGCTTGTACTAAGGTAGTGGCAGTAAGGATAGAGAAAAATGTACAGATTTTAAAAAATATAAAGGTAGTAGAATAAGTACAACATAATAATTGATTGAATATAGTTTGTAAGGTAAAGGAAAGACTCTAGGATGCCCAAATATGTTGATAGAGATAGAGATAGATATATCATATCTGTGTGTATATTTAATGAATTTATGTTTCTCATTCTTAAAGCAATTGTGTCCCATACACACAAATTTTAAATTTTGCCTGCGTAATAAATAGAAGAGCTTGGGATTCTGTAGCCAGCTCCTGCTATTACCTCTTTAAAATATTCAGGAAATACATGGTTATATTAGTGAGGACTTCTGGAGGAGATTCTCTACAGAGGCTCTTGCAGAGTTGGTTATATATTTCCATCTCATCCCATCTCTCTCTTCCAGTGAGTTATTTACAGAAAAAGACTGTTTCTTATTTATTACAGAGCCGTGCACAGTAGGTGCTCAATAAGATGGATGGATGGATGGAAGGATGGATGGAATGAAAGGAATAAATGGATATTAACCTGACCTCAAAGGATTGAGGAAGAATGGCCATCAATTCATGGAAATTAAAGAGTAAATAGTGCTTTATGGTGAAAAGAGATTTATGGAGAAGGTACTGGATTAAATGGTCTATTGGTTCAATTTTGTTTTGTGGAGTTTGACCCTTATCAGTTGATTCTCATTGCTTAGTATTTATTGAGCCAGATTTTCTCTGTACTTAAGCTACTCCCTGGGAGAAGGTTAGGCACTTCTGGAAGCTGCTTTAACTCTTTCAAGCCACTAGGGTGCTATTCAATGAATTACTTTTCAGTAATTAAAGATGCTGCAACACAAAAACACAATGTGCCGGGAAATTGAGAGCTAATCTCTCTCCTGCCTTCCCCAGCTGCCTATTTCTGATTACTGAAAAGATAGGGTGCAAATATGTGGGGATTACACAATGACAGTCATTCCTGGTTTCACATAGGAACCTACAGTAGTCTCCTCCTAAAGCCCATGAATTTTTCACATTAGAGAACAAAGATTAGCAGGATCAAGTGACTAAAGCACTTAACAGCTTTAATCCTTATTCCTGCACAAATTCACTCTGTGGTTTTGTACTTATCTCCTTCAAATTCTTTACCTTCTTTGCTCCTCTCTGTGCCTCTGCAGGATGATAAGAGCAGTTGTGAACCCAGGACAACCAATATCTCTAATCTTTTTTCTTCTAATATTAAAAAAATATATACAGCTAGGTTTGAATGACTGCCTCTCTTTCCTGGTGCCCATATACATGCCTGAAATCAGTTCATTAAACAGGAATGGTTTGCCCTCCCCCGCACCTCGCTTCTTTAAAGCCAGTGATATTCACCTTCCATTGTCAAACATCTTGTGCTGCTAGTTTGCATCTTTAATTACCCAGATCACTGGTCTTGTTTTATATAACTTACAACAAGCAGTTTTGTCCTCAGTTCATTTAAGCGAAATCATCCCTGGTTTGAGCCAAGACATATTCAATACACAATTACCTGGTGGGTCAGGGCGCTGCCGTTTTGTCATTTTTACTGGCATTTTCTCCATTATTGCTAAGTACTAAGCAGTCTAAGCTGTCAGAGCTACATGGCTGGCCTGAAACTTAATTTTCCTAAATTGCACAATTCTTCAGAAACAGCTTACCCCCCAAGCACAGTGTCCTTGACAAGGGGCAAATAGGGTTAAATTTCAAACTGAGCTATACAGAGCTTGCCAAGAGCAATGGTAGAAGGAAGCAATTAAGCAGAATTTGGGTTTGCAGGGTGAATTAGACTTTTAGAGACAATGCAGATTTCTGTGTCAAAGTGGCGGCTCAAAAGCCTTTGAGTAGCAAGAGGTTTTAGATTATGTAGTGCTGGAGTAAAAGGAAGCAGGCAAGGTGAGGAAAAGAAATGCTTACCGAACACCCATTATGAAAAGACAGTGTGTTCCATTTTTATATGCATTATTTCATTAATTCTGATAATCTTTAAGATAAATATTTTTATTCCCGTTTTACAGATGAGAAAACAGAGGTAGAAAGTGTAGTGGATTGACCAAGGATTGCACAGTTAGTAAGTGAGGCAGTCTTATTCAAACCTAGCTCTTCTGAATCCATGCACAATGTTCCTTGCACTGAACCACCTTGGAGATAGTTTAAAAGAAGTTTTCTTGTAACAAAGGACTAATAATCCAGCATTATAGGCTCCCTGATTAAAAGTCCTGAGATATAACCGAGGAATACAAAATGCCCAGAGTTAATCTTTCCTTACCTTCATCCCATTATCCTCAGTGCCACTCATCTGCTTTCTGCCTTGCCTCCAGGTGATCTGAGAGAAGCATGTCCTAGGAGAGAAGAATCTCCTATTCCTATTCTGGGTAACATCTTAACTCCCTGTACTTACTTCTCATGAGGAGAAGCCCTTTGAAGTCCAATAAGCTACCCAGTCCCTAGCACCTGGGGAATTTGAGAAAACACAAATCAGCTTAGCCACTTGCATTGCATTAGCCTCAAAGACAAACTGTCTGTTCCAGCTTTTAATGAAGAGCAAAACAAGATTACTATTTCCTAAACCAGAGTGTCTCTGTGAGCAAGTGCACACCTCAGAGCACATTGAAATCCAAATGCTAATTATTTAGAGATAACCTGACAATTTCCCCAAGTCTTTGCTCTCCGGCCTGCTACCTCGCTCGCTTACTCTCTCTCTCTCTCTCTCTCTCTCTCTCTCTCTCTCTCACTCTAAAGGATTGAGAATTTGTTTTAAGCAACATTTATTACTCTGTCATCATCAGATATTTCTGTTTTTGTTGTGTGAAGATAGAAGCTTAGACTATGAATTCATAGCCACTAGTGGTCTACTTGAATGTAAAAACTGGGGCAAGCCTAGAGATTGGACTGTTCTGACCAAATATGTGCAATAGCTGCATTTCTACTCAGGTAGCCTGTCTCACCTGGTCTCTTGGTGAAGCAGAGTTCAGCCCATGCAGTTCTGGACCATGGCAGGTGGCCACGAGTCTCCTGACAGCATTTTGTCCCACCACTCATGCTCCCTGCCCACCTGCTTGCCATACCTTTTTGCAACCTGACAAGTTCACACATACATGAGCTTTGGGTCAACCCACATTGCCAAACAGTGTGGTGAAGAATTAACTTCACCCAGTCAGAAGTCTGGCCTTTTTCCTGGCTCCTTAGACGTAACCTCTAAACCCTTGGAATTGCCCAACTGATAGTGGCGCCTTTGTTATTCATCATGGTCCCTCAGACCATACATGACCATCTGTGCTAACAAAGTGACTCACAGTGGGTACGTGACAGTTTATGCTAAAGAGATGATATGTGGTGGAGCCAGCCACATGGATAGGTTTAGGATGGGGTCATGCCACAAAGAGCAAACATGCGATTAAAGAATTGGAACTTTAGGTCAAGTGAAATCAACCTGACCTCTGGAGACGAAAGGGCTGGAGACTGAGCTCAGCCATGTGGGGAACAACTCAATCAATTATGCCCATCAAATGAAACTTCAATAAAAACTCCATAAACTAAAGCTAGGATGTGTTTTCTAAGTTGGCAATGTTCTGCACATTGCCACACATTGATGCCAGGAAGGTGCTGTGTCCCTGAGAAGATGAAAGTTTGGTGTTTAGGACCTTCCCAGTCCCAGATTCTACCCTATGTTTCTCTTCCATTGGCTGGTTCTGATTTGCATTGTTTGCTATCATAAAACTGCAATTGTAAGTATAGCACTTTCCTGAGTTCTATGAGTTACTCCACCAAATTATCAAACCTGAGGGATTCCACAGGGATCTCCAAGTTTGTAGCCAACTGGTCTAAAGTGAAAATAGTCCTGGTGACCTCCACACTCAGGATGGGTGTGAGAAGTCTTTGACAGGCTTGACACTATGGAGGACATTGTCCTTAAGCTAGATTCTGGCTGATTCTGGGTGCAAACCTACTTTCTGAAAGCAGTTGTTTAAATCTAGTTCCACCTGCTTTTTCTACTGGCCCTGAGTCAAACCTAGTATCTTCCTTATTTTCTAACTCAGTCTCATTGTAACACTCCATTTAGTGTCCTGAGATGTGTCTTTCACAGGCTCACCCAAAAAGTCAAAGGTCAAAACCCTTAATTTATGATCACTACTCCCTCTGTCAAAAGAAAATTGTTTAAATGATTCCAATAGAGATTAATGACTTCATCCAGCCAATGTACATCAGGAAACCTCTGAAGACCAGGGACCTCTCTGAGTAGAAGAGAAGCAGGATTGGAGTTTTATAGTGTGCGGAGATAAGAGAAGTATGTGTCCTTGTGGTCCAGCTCAGGTAGCAGTTTCATCTTTTTTTTTACATTTTTTTTTAGTTTTTTTTTTTTTTTTTTTTTTTTTTGAGACAGAGTCTTGCTCTGTCGCCAGGCTGGAGTGCAGTGGCGCAATCTCGGCTCACTGCAATCTCCGCCTCCCGGGTTCACGCCATTCTCCTGCCTCAGCCTCCAGAGTGGCTAGGACTACAGGCACATGCCCCAGTACCTGGCTAATTTTTTGTATTTTTAGTAGAGACGGGGTTTCACTGTGTTAGCCAGGATGGTCTCGATCTCCTGACCTCGTGATCCACCTGCCTCGGCCTCCCAAAGTTCTGGGGTTACAGATGTGAGCCACTGCACCAGGCCCAGTTTCATCTTTAACTGCTCTGAAATTTGAATTTAGAATGTTGTTCAGGCATTCATGCAATCTCATCCCCAAAACTGTCACAACAGTGCTCTCAAGAGATGCTTTTACAAGCGTTGCCCTTTGCAGCTTAGTTAGGATTTGGGGATGGGGTGGTAGCATGAAGGGCAAAGGGAGAAAAAGAGAAAAGAAACAAGGGTCAAAGGTAAGAGAATCGGGGAAGTCTCTCATGTCTGTTTCAGTCTTTTCTAACTTCCTCTGCATGGATCCCCACCATCTAAGTGTTTAGAAGCTTAGCGTCCCCCGCTCCGCTCAGTATTCTTTACCACTCCTGCTTCTTCCAGGCAGGCATCTAGTCATTCCCCCTGCGTGTTGGTATTACTGTTGCAGGGCCAGAACTTCCCACTGTGAGATGGATACCACACTTCCTGTAGATCTACATGGAACATAAAGAGATGCCTAGCTTCTCTTCTAGGATCTCCGATGTGACATGCAGTATCTTGCTGGCATTTTACTTGGTGCCTTAGAAATGAGTCTTGTTGACTGCTAGGCTTTCTGAGCCTGGTGATTCTGTGTTTTTGTACTTTCTGGAAAAATAGACCTATTGCAATGCCAAAAATACTACTCACTCACTCACTTACTCACTGCAACACTGCTCCTCCTGTAATCCCCAGTCCTCTGAACACTGCTTCTTCCTGCCTCTTCCTCTCCCATGACAATCAGGGAGGGGATGTTTACTGAGCTGTTGGAAGCTTGGAGCACTGAGGACCCCTGATATCCCTAAATACTTGTGCTACTTGCTTTCCACTGTTTATTTTGTGGGAAATAGTCAATTCTCTGCACAGAATGTCAGATTATCCTTCCATATAAGAAAATGGGAGAACTGGGAAATTTTTTTTAACATCTTTGTAAAACAAGAGAGAAAAATCTTAAAAGAAAGTCTCGCTATTTTAAAATGCCACATGGAATCTCTGATGCCTCTACTGTCCCTTTCTAAGCCTAAGAGAAGGAAAAAGTCTCTGGAGTGGAAGTCAAAAGACCCAGAGTCCAGGTCCAGCACTCCCCGCACTAGCTGTGTGACCTCAAGCAGGTCACATGACCTCTACAGTCCTCAGCTTCCTCATCTATGAAACGTACAGATGACCTTAGAGGTCCCTTTCAGTTCCAAGTTCCCATGGTAAAGAACACACATAAGAACACACGCTCCCCCAGGGAGGAGAAGTGAGGACAGGGAGTCAAACATGAAGAGTAGGCAATGGAAAGGAGGCCGTTTATGTGTGGCTGGAGCCAAGAAAGAATCAGATCCCCTCTTTCTTCATAAGAGACTGCCTTGCCTGTAGTAACCCTGAACACCTTGGCTCTGAGAAATACATTAAACATCTGAGAACCGCTATTATTCCAAGTGATTAAATGAGCCACTGAGACTAAAGTGGACATTAAACTGAAACCATCCTGACTGGTTAGACTGTCCTTGATTGTGTGCCGTTAAACAACCACCTCAGTGGGTGTGCTGGGCCCACAGAAAGAAGAGGATTTTTACTTAACAATGAAATAAACCATTATAAACCAAAGGAGGTCATTTTAATAGCGGGAGGGAAGGTAATTTGAGATGATTCTATTAAAATTAGTTATCCTACTTCACTTACTTTTTTTTTTTTTTTGAGACAGTCTTGCTCTGTTGCCCAGGCTGGAGTGCAGTGGCGCGATCTCGGCTCACTGCAAGCTCCACCTCCCGGGTTCACACCATTCTCCTGCCTCAGCCTCCCGAGTAGCTGGGACTACAGGCGCCCACCACCATGCCCAGCTAATTTTTTTTTTTTTTTTTTTTGTATTTTTAGTAGAGACGGGGTTTCACCGTGTTAGCCAGGATGCTCTCGATGTCCTGACCTCATGATCTGGCCGCCTCAGCCTCCCAAAGTGCTGGGATTACAGATGTAAGCCACCGTGCCTGGCCCTTCATTTACATTTTAAAGCACAGTTGGCAGGTATTAAATAGACATGAAACATGTCATTTGTTATGCCAGTTGCAAATATTATTGAGGCATAAAAAAAATGAGGTGATATAGTTTGGATGTTTGTCCCCTCTAAATCTCATGTTGAAATGTAATCCCCTGCATTTGAGGTAGGGCCTGGTGGGAGCTGTTTGGGTCATGGGAGCAGATCCCTCATGAATGCTGATATGGTTTTGCTGTGTCCCCACCCAAATCTCATCTTGAATTGTAGTTCTCATAATCCCCACATATTGTGAGAGGGACCTGATGGGAGGTAATTGAATCATGGGGGCAGTTACCCCCAAACTGTTTTCGTGATAGTGAGTGAGTTCTCACTAGATCTGATGGTTTCACAGGGGGCTTCCCCCCAACCCTTCACTTACACTTCTCCTTGCTGCCACCATGTGGAGAAGGACATGTTTGTTTTCCCCTTCTGCCATGATTGTAAGTTTTCTGAGGCCTCCCCAGCCATGCTGGACTGTGAGTCAATTAAACCTCTTTCCTTTATAAATTACCCAGTCTCAGATATGTCTTTGTTAGCAGCATGAGAACAGACTAATACAAATACCTGGCTGCCATCCTCACCATAATGTGTGAGTTCTTGCTCTGAGCTCACATGAGATGGGGTTGGTTAAAAGAATACGCACCTCCCCACCACCCCCTTGCTCCCTGTCTCACCATGTAACCGCCTGTTCCCCTCTTTGCCTTCCACCATGATTGTAAGCTTTCTGCATACTCATCAGAAGCAGATGCCAGCACCATCCTTCCTGTACAGCCTGCAGAACTGTGCACCAACTAAATCTCTTTTCTTTATGCATCATCCAGCCTCAGGTATTTATTTATAGCCATGCAAAATAAAAGGACTAATGCGCAAGGTTTGGAAGTTTTCTTTGTAATATCTTGGTTGTAAAGTCTATTGTAATTTTCCTGATTAGTAAAGCCATTCCAGATTGAATCTATATTTTTGTGCATTCTGAAAGGCAGCAAGAACATAAGATCTTTGAAATATAAAGAATAAAGGAAAATAAAAGCAATTAATACTTTATGCCAAAAATGCTGAAAAATTTAAAGCTTGAAAGGACCATTGAGATCCATCCAACTTCCAATTGCAGATGGACATCAGCAGTGGGAAGCATTTACACTGTGGAAACATGTATCTTTTTTTTGTTGTTATGGTTTGCAGCACAGTATTGCTTTGCTTTTTTCAGAAATAAATAGGGTTTCTGAATTTCTTTCCACTTGAGCATCATAGAGACTCAGTTCTAAATCTCGTTTTCACATTAGCAAATATTCTGCATTTGACATTTTTTCAGATTTTGCCATATTTTAGTCTTCAGCCCCAGTATAGGGTGGCAGTTAATTAACAAACAAAATCACCTACGATGTGCCAGACACTATGCTAGACCCTGGGAGGGAAGCAAAGATGGTAGGGATGCCTGCCCTAATCAAGGAGGCAAATATGCAAACAACAGAGCAACATTGAAAGGGCAACAGGTATACGCAGATGGAAAAAAGTATGCTTAAAGGAATTGGATAAGGCTTTCTCTACAGAACTCTGTACTTTTATATACACAGAACACTCCAGATATTCAATTCCTAACCACTGAAGACATATAGCTATGGAAAGTCCTATTAAAAAAGAGTTGTTGCTTATATGTGCTGCACAAAGCCCTTGTGACCTCTCAGAATGGGTAAAGTGAAAAATTAGGAAAAGTATCCATGCTGAGAAGTGATCCCAAAATAAGAGTTCACCAGGGCACATGATGCATTATAGAAGGCTGAGTATAACACATTACATACCTACCAATCTTTCTGCAATTAATATCTCACACAAAAGCAAAACACACTAAGAATTTCCATTTTGAAAACACACTTCTCCCTACCTCCCAGTGGTACAGCTTGCCAGGCATCAAAGGTCCTGTCTGCCTCCTCTGGCTGTCCTGCCAATAACAGAAGCATAACAGACCTAAAAGGAAGAAAACAAAAGGTGAGAATAAAACATGATGTTTCTGTCGGCCAGACAGCACAGCTTTCCCTAGAATCTACACAACTGCTGAGGCATACTGGAGAACATTAAAAATCAGGTTGACACTTGCTATTTAGAATTGCAATAAGAAAGTCCATTATACTAGTTGTTAACATTCTGAATAATACTTAAAAACAGTAATCTATATATAATTTATCTCCTAGTATAGCACTATTATTTCTGGAAAGCTTGCAGCAAGACTGAAATGGCCTTATTCCAACCACCAAAATCAATTCTTTTGTACAAATTTGATATAGGCAGCCCGTGTACCATTTGAAAAGACTCACTGACCTGTGAAACCTGGCATTTACACCATAAAATTTAGATCCTATTTGATGAAGTTATTGAACACTGTACTTACCTCCTCTAAGGTTTGAAAGCAATCATACATACTTTCACTTTTTCTCTTTAGGAGGAAGTTTTGGATAAGCAGCAAATCAAATTGCTTGTGCTTTGAGTTTGGGTAAAGATACAGTCTAGACTGCACTTAATGAAAACTGTAACTTAATTTTGATTGTCATGCTGTAGGTTCATTGCCAAGTTGAAATGATGGAGATTATTTTTAAAAGGCTTTATAAGTGAAGAAAAAAGAGACATACTGCAATATTGGGATATGAGTCTATTTTCTTCACTAGATTGCTAATTAAAAGTTTATTTTCATATTCTCTCATCTTAAAATTCAAGGAAAATGAATGATACACAAAATCTATATGCTGTGTTAAATGGGGACAATAAAGAATAGGAATATCCAACCTTCTTAATAATCAGCTCTACAATGATCCACACACAAATGAATGGCCTGATTTTTCACTGCTAAATCACTGCCAATTATGGACGTCAACTTTTAACAGTACAGAAAAAGCAGTCCAAAACCAGCTTGATCCACTTTATTCATAAAAAGAGCAAGCTTAGTAGCTGTGAACACTCTTGTACATATCTGGTAGAAATTTGTACTCAATTTTCTTGGATATTCCTGAGAGTGAAATTACTGAGTCGTGAAATTATATGTTTAGCTTTAGTAGATACTGACAAAGAGTTTTCCCTAATGATTGTACCAGTTTGCACTTACCTGGGGTGTGTGAGAGTTTCAGTTGATCTGCACCCTTGTCGACACTTGGTACTCTCAGTCTTTAACTATTCTAGGTATATAGTTATATTGTTGTGGTTTTGATTTGCACTTCCCTCATGAGTAGTGCAATTCCATACCTTTTGGGAATTTGAGGAATATTTGTATGTCTTCTTTGGTGAAACACCTGTTCAACATTTCTGCTCATTTTAAAAATGGAACGTTTTGTCTTTTACTTAATAATTTGTAGTTCTTTATAAATTGTAGATATGAATTCTTGTTCAATATATATATTACGAATATTTTTCCAGACTAAAACAAAAGCTAGTTTAGTTGTAACCATTCAACAGTGTTTAACAAGACCATGAAAATATCAGTATTAAACAGACTAAACCATGGGTGAAAACTGCTATGCATAACTCTAATCTCACCACAGGTTCACATCACTGATGAGAGTTTCCAGCATCCAATTTAGACAACTTCATAGACGATAATCTATGATCACAAACCCAGAAGGGCCCAAATATTGGCTTGATGGTGGCAAGAGTCAAACTTTCCAGGATTATTCTGATATGCCTTGTATAGTGGGCATGATTTTCTTTAAGTATAATCCATTTATTTAGAAATTTGACCAAACCAATACAGCAGACACTTGATAATTGGGATAAATCCTAAGGTTTCAACTCAATAGGCAACCATGGAAATGTAATTGCACTCAATAAGATCCACATCATTTCTGAAATTGTGACTTTGTTTTGCAAATCTTCACACTGAGTGATCAATTCTTTCAAGTGTAGGTTGTTTGCTAATAGAAGTCTCAGTCTTGTCTCTTCAACTCACAGATATACTTTGAGTCTAGATACATACATATCTCATAGGAGGTAGGTATGTGGTAAGAACAACAGGAAGAAGATCTCTGTGAGTATAGAAATAAAGTTGCCCTCTGAGATCTACCCTCTAAAATCAGCATAAAGGGAGTAATTCTTTATTATCCTCATTTTAACATATAAGCATGCAGAGTCACCATAAACAGGCAGGATATCTCTCAGGACAGCAACTCTGGCCCATAAACTACTGGAATCTGTTTGCCAGCTGCATCCATGAAACTGACAGAATGCATCATGTGGTCATAACCTAGTGCTATAAAGCATAAAGATAGAGGTAACTCCTTCCAACACCGTGATTGCCAGGCAGCTGCTGATAATTTGGCTTCCTGTGGAGCTTACCCACGAAGTGAGATAAGCTGATCAAGCCAGTTTGAAAGTATACTCCACTTGACATTGCATTTATCAGTGTAAATTATAACAGCTGACTATTATGCCGTGCCTGCTCCACACCAGTAACATTCTAAGCACTTTAAACTCATTTTCTCATTCAATCCTCACAACAGGACTTAGAGCTAAGTCACTTAGCCAAGGTCATAATGGAGAAGCCAGGATTTGAACCTAGGGAACTTGCATCTAGAACATGTATTCTTCACTGCTGTGCTCTAGATAATCTAATTTTAATTATCAGTGTTGTTGGGAGCTTCAACATCACTTGCTCCAAACATATGATCCAAACATATGATCATTTGTGAAGCACTAATAAGATACTGTTTTCAACGCCGAAGAGTACAGCTAGACCCAGGACCATAGAGAATTCCCCAAGGAAATGCCACCCTGTGGGTGAGGTGCCACACATGGCTCCCAAGAAACATCTCCATACATTGCCATCCCTGTGCACCTTGATTTTTAAATTCAACACTTGAAGAAATTAACTATATTTCTGTTTTCTTTGTTGCAGTTTCAATTTGACTGAGTACAGATTATTTTGTCACTTGAATAAGAAAGTGCAGTCTTCTACATCACTGGGAATCCAAAAGCTGGACTCCCAGTGATACAGAAAGCCAACGGCCTGGCCTCCAGTTTATGTAAACCAAATCTCCAGGCTCTTCTTGAGCTTTTCCAAATATCCAAATTGTACACCATTAAAGACATAGTCATGAACAGGATAGGAATTTACATGATCGGTGGCTCCAACATGTCTGCATGAAAACTGGATTCAGTGTCTTCTATTTTTAACATGAATAAAGAGTCAAAATCTTTGTCTTCCATCACTTTTATTTCTGACTTTTTATCTGGAGTTAAATTAGTTTATCCTCACATGGATCAACTCTTGAAGGTATGTGACTAGGTACTACAACTTTTTAATATCCTAAATAGTTAAACACACACATTCCTGAATATGTAATATGGCATCATGTTTGGTGTGTGGTATTTACCCACTGACTTCATTTTGAGTAGTTTTTTAATAAGATATTCCTGTGCATTCAAAAATATAAAGTATGCCCAGACTGGAGTGCAGTGGCACAATCTCAGCTCACTGCAACCTCCACCTCCTGGGTTCAAGCAATTCTCCTGCCTCAGCCTCCTGAGTAGGTGGGACTACAGGTGCACGCCACCATGCCCAGCTAACTTTTCTATTTTTAGTAGAGATGGAGTTTCGCCATGCTGGTCAGGCTGGTATGGAACTCCTGACCTCAGGTGAACCACCTGCCTTGGCCTCCCAAAGCACTGGGATTAGAGGCATGAGCCACCATGCCCGGCCCAAACTACTTTATGAACATTGCTTATCATAATTTAACAATCCCCAAGATGTATTCTGTAAAACATGAAATACATAGACTATTAATAGAGGTAACCCACAAGAAAAAAAAAAGATTTCTGAGGCCTCAGAAGTATTTGGAAACACTGAATTAAATGAGTCTCTTTACTGTGTGGCTTCTCAGAATCTTTATTATATAGCAAATGCTGTGAATCTCTAAGAAAAAACAATAGTATATAGCATTGTTTCTCTGACTATCTGTGGTGAAGGATCAGTTTTGGGTTTTTTTTTTTTCCCTAATTCATACTGGAGCATTATTTTAGTAAAATATAATAGAAGTGATTTACTAGAAAACTGAAATAAAAATAGTCCCTAATTTTTAATTATTAGATTTAACAGATATAAAATTATTACATCAAGTTTCTATTCAGGTCTCTGCACAGTCTCATTTTTGTATGCATCACATCACAGACAGGAAACAGTCTGGGGACAGGCAGCAGTTAATGGACCACCCTTAAAGTAGCAGCAGATACAGCATTTGCCACACATACTTAATCACAAATCTTTGCTTTCCAGATAGTATGAGTCTAGTGTTCAAGATAACATGTGATGAAAAATGCTTCTCCATTTTCAAAACCTGTTTTATTGCTTTTCCAAGTTTAATTACCACAATAGGGAAATTATCTCAATTAATTTTGAAAGAATCCCAGTTACTTGGGAAGCCAAAGTGGGAGGATTGCTTGAGTCCAGGAGTTTGATGCCAGCCTGGACAATATAGCAAGGCCCTGTCTCTAAAAATAAATAAATAAATAAAATAAGGTTGAATTCTGTTTATTTTAAGTCTAATGAGCATGGCCAAAGTGAAAAGCATGTAGAATTAATTAATGGTTGGGCTTAGCATATGAAGATGTAGAAGATGGGGCAGGTTGCTAAGGAATGAAATGGTATCTACCTGGTCATTGTTCCCTGCTGATATCTGCGAAGTCCAAACAAAGTAAAAGCTAGTGAGGAAAAAGAGGAGAGAAAATGTGCAGTGTTTGCTTGTATTTGGGTTTATTTAAATACATTTCCATGGTAAGGAGACAGAGCCTCCCATCCTAGATATAATAGCTTTCTGTACAAACCCACAGGGTCATGCAAATTTCAACTAACCTAATTACAGTTTCTCCTCTAATCATTTTGGATCAATCAATCACATTTTTCATTGATTATTCTGTACCTAATAATGTGTCAGATTCTATGTCTTTTCTGATTCTGAGCCTGTTTTGTAATATAAAAGTCAATTCGAAGGTTTCTTGAGAGCTCTTGGTGTTTGCCTAAGGTTTTCTCCTCATCAGAAATGTTAAATTATAAAATCATAAAACACAGGTTTAAGAAATATGCCTTTGTCTAGGAAAAATATATATATTAATTTTGAAATTTAACTCAAAGTTTGAGCCAGTGGAAGCGTTCTAAAAGAACAAAAGTAAATAAATTCTGTTAATTCTGTACTTTTGTTACCAGAACGGGGTACCAAGAGAGTGTTCTTGGATCTCCTGCAAGAAAGAATTTAGGGCAAGTCCATAGAGTAAACTGAAACCAAGTTTATTAAGAAAATAAAAGAATGAGAGAATGGCTACTCCATAAGCAGAGCAGCCCTGAGGGCTGCTGGTTGTCTATTTTTATGCTTATTTCTTCATCATATGCTAAACAAAGGGTGGGTATTCATGAGTTTTCCAGAAAAGGGGTGGGCAATTCCAGGAACTGAGGGTTCCTCCCTTTCTTAGTCCATATAGGGTAACTTCCAGATGTTGCCATAGCATTTGTAAACTGTCATGGCACTGGTGGGAGTTTCATTTAGCATGCCAATGCTTTATAATTAGCATATAATAAGCAGTGAGGACAAGCAGAGGTTACTTTCATTGCCATTTTGGATTTGGCGGGTTTTGGCCAGCTTTTTTTTTTTTTAATTATACTTTAAGTTTTAGTGTACATGTGTACAACATGCAGGTTAGTTACATATGTATACATGTGCCATGTTGGTGTGCTGCACCCATTAACTCGTCATTTAACATAAGGTATATCTCCTAATGCTATCCCTCCCCACTCCCCCGACCCCACAACAGGCCCTGGTGTGTGATGTTCCCCTTCCTGTGTCCATATGTTCTCATTGTTCAATTCCCACCTATGAGTGAGAACATGTGGTGTTTGGTTTTTTGTCCTTGCGATAGTTTGCTGAGAATGATGGTTTCCAGCTTCATCCATGTCCCTACAAAGGACATGAACTCACCATTTTTTTATGGCAATAGTATTCCATGGTGTATATGTGCCACATTTTCTTAATCCAGTCTATCATTGTTGGACATTTGGGTTGGTTCCAAGTCTTTGCTATTGTGAATAGTGCCGCAATAAACATAGGTGTGCATGTGTCTTTATAGCAGCATGTTTTATAATCCTTTGGGTACATACCCAGTAATGGGATGGCTGGGTCAAATGGTATTTCTAGTTCTAGATCCTTGAGGAATTGCCACACTGACTTCCACAATGGTTGAACTAGTTTACAGTCCCACCAAAAGTGTAAAAGCATTCCTATTTCTCCACATCCTCTCCAGCACCTGTTGTTTCCTGACTTTTTAATGATCGCCATTCTAACTGGTGTGAGATAGTATCTCCTTGTGGTTTTGATTTGCTTCTCTCTGATGGCCAGTGCTGATGAGCATTTTTTCATGGGTCTTTTGGCTGCATAAATGTCTTCTTTTGAGAAGTGTCTGTTCATATCCTTTGCCCACTTGTTGATGGGGTTGTTTGATTTTTTTCTTGTAAATTTGTTTGAGTTCATTGTAGATTCTGGATATTAGCCCTTTGTCAGATGAGTAGATTGCAAAAATTTTCTCCCATTCTGTAGGTTGCCTGTTCACTCTGATGGTAGTTTCTTTTGCTGTGCAGAAGCTCTTTAGTTTAATTAGATCCCATTTGTCAATTTTGGCTTTTGTTGCCATTGCTTTTGGTGTTTTAGACATGAAGTCCTTGCCCATGCGTATGTCCTGAATGGTATTGCCCAGGTTTTCTTCTAGGGTTTTTATGGTTTTAGGTCTAACATTTAAGTCTTTGATCCAACTTAAACTAATTTTTGTATAAGGTGTAAGGAAGGGATCCAGTTTCAGCTTTCTACATACGGCGAGCCAGTTTTCCCAGCACCATTTATTAAATAGGGAATCCTTTCCCCATTTCTTGTTTTCATCAGGTTTGTCAAAGATCAGATAGTTGTAGATATGCGGCATTATTTCTGAGGGCTCTGTTCTGTTCCATTGGTCTATATCTCTGTTTTGGTACCAGTACCATGCTGTTTTGGTTACTGTAGCCTTGTAGTAGTATAGTTTGAAGTCAGGTAGCGTGATGCCTCCAGCTTTGTTCTTTTGGCTTAGGATTGACTTGGCAATGCGGGCTCTTTTTTGGTTCCATATCTTTACTATGTCCTGTTTTATCAGCAGGGTCTTTATGACCCATATCTTCTACCAACCTGCTATCTCACCCAGTGACTAAGAATGTGTAACCTGGCCGGACATGGTGGCTCATGCCTGTAATCCCAGCACTTTGGGAGGGAGGCCAAGGTGGGTAGATCACCTGAGGTAAGGAGTTTCATACCAGCCTGGCCAACATGGCAAAATCCATCTCTACTAAAAATACAAAAATTAGCCAGGCGTGATGGTGGGCACCTGTAATCCCAGCTACTCAGAAGGTTGAGGCATAAGAATTGCTTGAACCCAGGAGGTGGAGGTTGCAGTGAGCCAAGATTGCACCATTGCACTCCAGCCTGGGCAACAGAGTGAGACTCCATCTTGAAAACAAAACAAAAAAAAGAATGTGTAACCTCCTGGGAATGCAGCCCCACAGGTCTCATCCTCATTTTACCCAGCCGCTATTCAAGATGGAGCTGCTCTGGTTTAAACACCTCTGATACTTTGGCACCATTGTTAAAACCAAAACCAAATTACTTGAACATAGACTCAGGTGTTAAAAATGAACCATCTTACAGCAAAATGTTTTCACCAGAATTTAAAAGTACAGGAATGGTGCTTGTGGTGTTCTCTCACTCTTTACAATGGTTTTTAAGAAAAATGGACACTCGTGCTATACATACATATAAAAAGCACTTGAGTGATGATCATTACAACAACTGCAAAGGTGTCATAATAGATGAAATGGATTATTCAGTTTTAGAATCCTTTTAAAAAGATAAAACATTATTGCAAATAAAGAAATGAATCTGAGACAAGGATAGCTCTGCCAATATTTGAGGCCACAATTACCATTCGTTATTCTTTTACCAAAGGCTGCCTCCATAGGTTACAACTCAAAGCCAATAGTAGAGTTAGAAGGAAAAAAAGATAATATTTCTGAGACTATCTCCACTCATTTCATAAGTGAAATGTTGTTGGTTTCAGCTGACCTTTTCTCCCCTGTATTCTTCTTACTTTTGCTAATGTCCCATTTTAACACCTGAAAAGGTCATTGTTTTACTGCAGTCAGATACATGAGAATTGATAATGATGATGGAAATTTTGCCATCCCCATAGAGTCAAACGATGCCACAGGTTGCTTGACATTATGATATAAGCAGGGTAAGCCCTGTAGAAAGATATTACAAGTGCTGTCACTTGAGAATGAGCAAAATATCCACTTCGTCCTCCAAATTTCTCTCCCACTGAATGCTGTATTACCTGAAAATCTCAGCTTTGAAATTACTATTTGAATTAAAATGCAATGTCCTCATGTCAGTATCCTTCACTAATTCCTTAATGGGAATGGTATTTTTTATATACATGAACCTGACACATAGCAAGATACTAAGGCAAGGAATGCAGAAGGTGTGGAAATGGAAAGGAGTGAGGTGAGAAATATTGAATCTGTTGAACACTGTTGTGAGAGTGGTGAGAAAGGACAAAGAGGAAATAACCACCTGGAGTTTCCAAGAACATCACAAGAGGAGGCTGGAACCAAAGACTAGATGCATCACCTATAGCTCTGCCAAGAGATTGAAACTATCCCCACAAGGTTGGCAAAAATTGCATGCCAGGTTCTGGACAGAAATATCATTATAATTAAGCATTAGCAAGGCTGTACTTTTGCCCCGCTTTCTTGTTGCTAAAAGTCACCACAACACTAGATACTGACCATTTGCATCCCCATTGTTCCTATAGATAGGATTTCTGATGTTAGACTCATAAGGCTTTGTTTAAGAATTGCTTAAGATATTTTCCAGACCCAAAGTCCAGCAAAACAGCTGACACCCACTAGTTTGATGACCCCCCACAGAGAAATGGATTCAGCATGAGAATACTGCTTCTTCAACTTCCTGTCTCATGATCTCACCCTGCACTCTTCAATCAATCAATGATCTCCACACTTCAGCCCTCTCCAAAACCCTTAAAAACCCTAACCCCAGACTCCTTGGAGAGATTAATTTGAGGTTTCCTCCCATCTCCTCATTTGGTGACCCTACAATTAAGCCTCTTTCTCTGCTGCAATTTGGTGTCTCTGTGTATTGACTTGCTCTGTGCATGGAGTGACAAACATATTATGGTTACAAGATCTGCATATGAAGTAGCTAACCCATGCTGGTACATAGAAAATGTTCAATAAACAGTCCTCCCTCTCCCTTCTCTTCTATTGGGGAAGGGCCTAGTTTAAGGCATTGGTTTACATTATAATAAACCTGAACAGAAGTTTCCTGTTTCATGGTTCGAAACTGACGTGCACTTTATAAGCTTTACCCTGAAAGTCTCAAAACCGGAGGAGGAGAGGGGAGATTTTAGATACTGTAATACATTTCAGTTGTTTTCTTATTTCATCTGCTTATTTACATTTTCAAACAGGGTGTGTTTGAGCTTGTTTCATATCTTGCTTATGTAGGCATTACCTCCCTTTGTCCTCCCAACCTAGTGCAGAGTAAGAAAAGATAGGTGACACAATTCCCATCTAAGATGTAAAAAAAAAAAAAAAAAAACCTAGGTATAGAAGGAATAAGAAATATCAGGGTCTAGGACTGGAATAAGAACCCCTGGTCTCTGTCATCTGTACCCAATATTCTACTAAATCAAAATTTCAAGACTTACACATAATGTGCAATGCTTTGAAGCCATTTATGTAGCATTGGGTCAGGATCTGAAAGTTGTGAAGCTCTATGAAAGGCAGCAACTGGGTCTTATCACTGCTGTATCACAGGACCTATCAACAAAATCTCATGTGTACTAGGTAGTCAATATTTGCTTGTTAAGCCTTTGAGTGTGTGGAAGAGAAGCTATTGAGAAAGAATTGGAGAAGAACATGAAAAGCATGAAATTTAGTAAGTCATCCATTAAATTTTCAAAAAAGCTGGGTTCTTGGTGGTACTATATCATGTGAAAAATACCTCCGGTGCCCTATGTCAAATTTTCTCCTACCATATGTTAGCTGCACCTTCAGT
Source organism: Homo sapiens (assembly GCF_000001405.40). Taxonomy (NCBI): domain Eukaryota; kingdom Metazoa; phylum Chordata; class Mammalia; order Primates; family Hominidae; genus Homo; species Homo sapiens. Next base: position 53,293,882 of record NC_000013.11, on the reverse strand, counting down.
GGAGAGTTGTGTGCAAGCGTAGATTCACACTGCACTGATTTATGCACCCCCTCAGACATGCATTGGGTGCGTTACTGTTTTCTGTCCCAGGACTTTTTCTGATTCTGACAAGTCACCTCTATTTATACACACATGCAATCCAGAAGTGCAAGGGAGTGAATGCTTCCAGCAGAGATCCTCAGCCCAAGGGGAATGGGTGCCTGGGGAAAAGTGCTCCAACCTCCCCTTCTTGAGAAGAAAATTTTGGGAGGAATTCTCTCACAACCAAGAAGATGAGGCAGCATTCACCCTTATTCCCTATAGCAGTGACTTAGAAACCACACCCCTGACTTGGATTTTCTTCTTTCTCCTCTCACTCTCCCCAGTCTTTAGTCTGCTTTCTGGGATCAATTCCCGAAACTCTACATGAAATGAGTTCTTGACTCAGACTCTACTTTCAGGGGAACACACTTAAGACCATCCTTAAAAGGGTATATTGATTAAGACTCAAAGTTTGGTGGAAAATATATATAAGGAAATAGACCACTAGAATTATTTAATAGCGTGATAAGTGTGTTGCTAGAGGAAGCATAAAGGGTCTCAATCAAGGCTGGTCTTCCACTGGTAAAACTGCCATGGGCTCAGCAGTTAAGCCATTATAGTAGGCCTGTACCATCTGGTGTGTAGCTGTTGCTCTGAGCTCCCAGAATGCCTCTCTTCATCACCCTAGCTCCCTCAGCCTCTCTGTACCTTCAAGAGTGCCTCTCAACTCAGCAACTAAAGGAAAGATGCCAGAGGTTCCCAAGACCCCACTCTAGTGCCATGACAGTTGTAAGACCATATTGATTATGCCAATGCTAGACTCATTATTAAATACTTATAATATCATCCCTGACTGTAGTAATTCATGGGAAATACACCTAATTTTAGGAGTGAGGAAAGTGATTATCAGGGAAGACACTCCCAAAGAAATGATACTAAAGTTGGGTAAATGTATACCAAGGGATTGCTTGTATGAAAGCCTGAAGATGAGATAAATTATAGCACTTTACAAGGGAAGGAAAAAAATTAGCATGTCTGGCCAGAAATATAAACAGAGGCCAGACTATAAAGGTCTCCTACATTAAGATTTAAAGAGTTTCCCAAAGTCATTGAAGGAAGAAAGACTAATCACAGAGATTATCATAGTGGTTTCCACCACATCTAACTCAGGGATATGAAGTCCTTGCTCAGAATGGAATGAGTCCCTAAATAAACTTTTCAAAATGGCATTCCCTCAATAACAGCAGAGAATGTTTATTGTCTGTCTGCTTCCAGCATGCCAGACACTATTCTAATTAATTTGTTTGTAATAAGTCATTTAATCTTCACAACAAACATGGAAATTAGCCTCTATTATTACCCCTACTTCATAGGTGAGGAAGCTGAGTCAAAAAGAGGTTAAGTAATTTGACCAAGGTTACAATGCTAGCAAGTGGCAGAGCTGGCTCCTTAATTCCCATGTTTTACACATTAGAGAGACTAATCCAATTTCAAATTAAGGACATGCAATTCAGAAGCTACTCCATACAGTGTTTTTTCTGAGCTGGAGCTGGGTTTCAGCACAGCATTTCTATCCAGATTAATAATAAATGAACAGAAACCCAATGGTCAATTATAGGAGTTTGAGTCTAAAAACACATCGTGTTGGGTCACCAAATCCCAATGCCAGTGAGGAGTTCCACAATATCATAAATATATAACGCGCAGAAAATAGAAGAAAACTCAATGGTCAGTCAATGATTGACATCATAAAGAACATATATGGGATTTGGAGAGTAAGTGTAGAAGAAAAGGGTGAAATATTTATAGCTATCAACTTCTCATTTACGAGTGAATACAAGTCTGAGTGATTCAAACATCCTTAGTGGGTATCACAATTGTGGAAGGTACAAAAACATAGGAATTATGCCTCCAAAATATGGGAGACATACTTCCCACTCTCTAGGAGCTTACAATTTCTCAGAGAAAGACAAGATAATAAATAAATAACCACAATATGAGACAGGATGCAATAAATAAATAAAGTCCAAGGACCCTCCCAGTGCAGGGAAGGCAAGATGCAGAATATAGAATTAGAGTTGGGTCTTAGCAGTAAAGGTGGAGAGAATGTAACTATTCCAAAAGAGCAGAAGACAAAAGGAGAGGGTAGGAAATATCATTTTGTAATTGAGAAAATAATAATTTCAATTGATTCAGCATAGAATTACAGAGAGGAGTAAAGAACATTTATTCATTCATTTATTCAGTGTATTGTTATTCAATACTCCTATGTCTCAAACATCACGTTAGGCATTGTGGATAGATACATCAGTTGACATGGATGGAAGTGTCTCTGCCCTTATAGAGTTTATTTCCAGTGTGAGTGACAAACAGTAAAGACAAATAAATAAACAAAGCAAGTAAGTTGAAATAAGTGGCCTGAAGACTGGAAAGGTACACTGAGCATTGCATGTGGACAGCCTGCCATACCATGCCACACAATGGCATTAGGACTCCCTTCTAAAGGCAACAGGAAATAACTGAGGGGTTTTGGTCCTAAGCATGAGAGGGGAGTGACAGTCAAACTAGATTTTTAAGACATTTAATACCAGGATGGCATGTAGGAGGGAACACTAGAGCAAAAACACTAGTTGGGAGGGTGCTACACTGATTCAAAAAGGAGAACTAAGGTAGCAGATGTGGAAATTTAAAAGTGTATTTGTGGGAAAATGCAAAGAGAGTCAACACAGGTCTTGGTGGACAATTAGATGTGCCAAGCAAAGAACAGGGAGGAAGCTACAGCTAACACCTACTCAACCAAGGAGGACAGGGTGCTGCGAGCAACGTGTAGAACCAGGAGAAGGTGGATTTGAGACTAAAACAAATGTTAAATTGCAATATAATGTCTATTTGAAAATGTCTACTAGTACATCAAGATCAATATCTAAATACCTATTATGTACTAGGTACTGCTATAGGTGCTTCCAACGAGTAACCCTGCAATTTGGGTAACAAATCTGAGCTGAAAAGAGATCTGCCAGGAATTATTAATATAGACATGATGGTTGAAGCTATAAGAAAAGATGATCACACTGAGACACATCTAACACTGTACATGTCATTAGGTTCTCTTTTTATTCCTAAATGGAATTTTTTCTTTCTAGACCAGAGACAAAAACTAAGGGTGCGGGGATGTCAGTTACCTTTGGAAACATTTTCTATCAGGACCACACTTGGCTTTTCATGGGAATCCCTGAGACACTGGTTTTAGGAGCTTTCAGCTAGCATTGAGCTTGCATACTCCTGACTCTTTCTTATTCCCTCCTCCTGCATGCAGTACTAACCGCCCAGAGGAAAAAAGGAAGAGAATCAAATAACAGTTCTACTGCCAGAGTATGAGAAGCAACTTTATATATATCTTCTTTGTTGTTGTTGTTTTGTTGTTTTTGTTTTGTTTTGTTTTGTTTTTTGAGACAGAGTCTCGCTCTGTTGCCCAGGCTGGAGTGCAGTAGCGCGATCTCAGCTCACTGCAGCCTCCACCTCCCAAGTTCAAGCGATTTTCCTGCCTCAGCCGTTAGTAGAAACAGGGTTTCACTCTGTTAGCCGGATGGTCTCACTCTCCTGACCTCGTGATCCGCCCGCCTTGGCTCCCAAAGTGCTGGGATTACAGGTGTGGGCCACCACACCCAGCCTGTAGATACCTTTTTAAAGCCACTATATTCTACTTAACTACTTCTTGGTATTTGTAAATATTTACTGAGTCACTTACCTTTTAATAGAAAAAATACATTACAGCTGGGGGAAAAAGTTTATTGTCACCTATTGCTTAATCTATCTAGGCCCTGGGGAACAGTCCAGACATCAGCAGCTGCCTGAGTTCACTCACCTGATAGCAGGCACATGACACAGAAGAGGCAAACCTAACCTCAGTAGTCTGGCTTGAGATTTTATTCCCACATTGCTAGCTTTTATTTCAATGTTTCAATGTGATGTCTAGGATTAGCTTCAAAGTAATTCAGTGAAAGGAGTAGAGTGAGGAAAGATAAAGAGGAAACAAGGTTGCTCAGAGGTATTTGTTGAAGCTGGGTGACAACCACATTGAGGTGCATCATACTCTTCTCTCTACTTTTGCATATGCTCAGATTTTTCATAACAAGAGTATATTTTTCATTTTAAATATATTCCTAGAAGTAGACCTAGGCTTTCATGCTGCTCCCCTCTGAAAGAAGCAGGAATAAACTATAGAAAAGCCAGTGTTCCCAAAAGCTACAGCCTGAGATGGTCATAAATCATATCTGCCTCACAGGGGGCTTCTGAGAATAAACTAAGCATGTATCTTTACCCCCACATTCTCAAGAGGAATCACAATGAAACAACATGAATGTTGCACAAAACAGAAATAAATCCAAGAACGCGTGGTGAACAGGTGGTCAATCTTCATTTGTTAAGAGACATTGCTGAATTTCTGAAAGATAGGAATCAACAGAATCATACTGAGGTTTACCCTGAGCAAAGGAAGACTCAGAAGAAAGCTTCAGTGGAAGTGGGAGCCACACCTCCCCATAGAGCCTTAGGAAGGCCTCGACTCTGAACCATCTGTACTGAGAAGGAGCGGAACACCACAGAGGAATCAAAAGTCTGTACAGCACACCTGTCTCCCTACGACTCTGTGCAAAGATGCTAACAGTTGTGGCATTGGCCCTTGGGGAAGCAGGCGATGAGCTCTCTGAAGAAGCTGAACAAGCTGTCTGGGGAGAGCTAAGGCTGACATGCCTGGCCACACACACTGAATTTGCAGTCACCTGTTTGTAAGAAAAAGCCCTTTTGGAAAAGCACACCCACACAATGCCAGAGGAAGCCCATGCCAGCTATCTGGAACTGAAGGCATTGATATTAACAATCAAGGGACTCCAAATGCTGTAGGAAAAGACAAAAGTCTACAAGCTGGAAAAAATTATCCTGGAGGATATAGAGATAGTTTAGGAAACAAAAGATAACTTTTAAAATACAAGTAGTAAACTCAGAGAGATTTGAAAGATAACCCAGCCATAAATTAGAAGAGGATGCTATTTAAAAAATAAAAATCAGAGAGAATCCAAATGAAAACTTTGATCATCAGAATGAAAAGAATACAGTGGAAGACAGAAGATAAAAGGGAGGCCAAAAAAAAAAAAAAAAAAAAGTGACGCAATCTCCCAAAACACAGAGCAAGATTATGAAAAGATGAAGACTTCACTCCAGTATATTCAATATTCACCTAATGAAAGTTCCAAAAGAAGAAACTAGAAAAATACGGGAAATAGAAAATAATTTTAGAAATTAAAAATAGAAAATTCTAAACACTGAAATAAAAAGTCCACTTTGAAACAACCCATTGAATTTAAAGAAAAAAAAAACCCTACACCTAAACACAACCTCAGGAAGTTGAAATGTTATAACTATATAACCATATAATGTAAAAGCAATAGTCTAGAGCTGATAGATGTTTGGAAAAGAAAAATGCAAATCTCATCTTACATAATAAGGAGTGAAGAGACATTGTTTACATTTGATATATCAAGAAATAGACTATGAAGTTATGATTTGAAATCATAAAGGTAGTCAGTAGAAGGTCTAAAACTAACAAACAAGTAATCATTAGTAGGAGTAAAGGGAGAGAAAGGCATAAGTAAGCTATATTCCTCATCTTTCCCAATAATGATGATGACAGGGTGGCAATAGATACATGTCCAAAATCAGTAAATCAAAGAATTGAGGTGTGAATGCATGGTATTCAAAGTTTTACAGAGAACCACGTAAGAACTAGAAATAGCCAGAGGAATGATTAATAGAAACGGAAACCGTTAGAATCTCAGCTTTAATTCTTTCCAATGACTTATTTGGCTCCTTTACAGAGCTGAGTTCCTCCTTTTGCCTGGGTGCCTATACCACTACGGTTAGTTCTTCTGCCTCAACTTATGGGGAAACCATTGAAAGTAGTTACTTCTGAAGAATAAACTTGCAAGTGGGGAGACAGGCATAGGGTGGGAGAACACAAGATCATATTTTATAATCAGATTTGATGTGCCTGAAATATAAGACATATTTTTATTTAAATTGAAAGACTCTTACCACTGGATCAAAAAAATGTGAGCCTATGGACCTTTTCACGTAAGTGAACATATCACTGACATAGGCTGTGCCAAGCATCATCAAAAGGACATGTGATAATATTGCCATGAGTGAAGAAAATGCTAAGCCCATGAAAACAATGACTACAACCAAGGATTGTAACCACTGCGATAGCTGAGAATCTCACAATGGAGACTAGCATTGCTGATGGTTGTGGGCTAGTATCATGAGTCGTTCGGTTGGATATTTGCTAGTGCTTTTTGGCTGTTTGTTTCATGAGTAAATTTTTATATATTAAATGCATAGAAATAAGTTATGCTGAGAAAATAAAACGTGTACATTTTAACTAATAGCAAACATCACCATAAAATATGTAAATATATAAAAATGCAGTGACAGCCTATTAGTAAGAAGAGAAAAATATACATATGCAAACAGAAACAGATTAATACATTAAAATACACTGACCTTCTATTATTGAGGAGAAAAAATACATGCATATGCAAATAAACAACCTCTAATGAAATTATATACCATATGCAAGAGACAACAATTAGCAGCTTATAAAATATGAGTGCTGAATTACGAAGACACATCTGAAATAAGATTGCTAACCTTGAACAATAAATGCTTTAGAGGGACAATCTAAAATGTTAGTGGGAAGAGAAAAGCAATAGCAATATTAATGTCAACATATTTGATTTTCCAACACTAGAGCTATTGATTATTTCCTCTGGCACATTGGTTGGAAACAACCATTTGTCTGATATAATTTTATTTCAGTTATTATTCCCAACAGCTACTTTTTCAAATAGAAAGTGAAAAATAAACCAGATTTGAAAAGTTTTGGAAGGTTTTTTCCAGTGGATTGTAGTAGACGAAAACCTCAAAATAGAAACCCATAAGGAAAGGTCAGTTTAGTCCAATAAGGCCACTGCTTTCAGAAAATCAGACTTCACATTTGGGTTAGTATTTATTTAAGCATCTCTAAGTCCAGACTGTCTTAAATTGGCAACTGAAGACCACAAAAAACAGCTCCTGGTAACCATAAAAAGGGTTGCACAGTGAGAATTATGACAAGCCCCTAAGAAGGCACTTTATTTGTCTGGGTCTACTAAGTTCCACTGGAGTCTGAGCAATCTTTTGAAAGATGAATGCCTTATTTGAGATAGGGAAGCTGGCTGATCGAGGTTTATAGAGATGACAGGTCTAGACCAGCCATCATTTACGGTGTTAGGACAGCATCAAAGCGTCACTAATCCCAGCAGCTTTGAACTCCCAGCTTCTGCCTCTCTCCCTCCCTCAAAGGAGTGGATGTTCTAGAAGCCAATAGCCTGCCATGTAAATTGACAAGATCGGTCTTCTCAGTGGATATCCTGCACTTTCAACGAGTTGTGGAGCACAACTTACCATTTGCATATTTTTGAGAAAGGGTTATTTTAGAGCTTCCTGAAGGTTAATATTCTTTCACCCATTAAAAAGAATGCTGGTGTCAGTAATGCAAGCCAGGCAGCCCACACTGCTATTTGCTGCCGATTTTAATAATAGAATCACGCCATAATGAAACCTTTTTAATGTATGGTAATTTAATTGCAGAAACTCTGTCTGTTTCAACAAAAACCTTCCATAAGTAGCTTTAAAGATTAAGTTATGGGAGGCGACTCTCACGCCATCTCCCAGTGGATATGTATTACACTGCATTACATTCCTGCCATTCTACAGTGGCACAAAGGCAGGCTCAGATCTCCTTAACTCAGCTCTGAAATTAAAACTTAGATTTGTAAACCTATGTATCATTCTGCACAGTTGCGGGAGTTAGCTTTCAACCAGCTTCAGAACTTCACAATCTAACTGTGTTTAGAATCAGAGAAGGTGGAGTATATTCAGACAGATATAATGATAGGTATAATAATTGGGTAATCACAACAGCCAAATGTATTCAGCTTCAAATGTGTGTCATGAACTGTGCTAAGTATTTGACTTTATCCTTCAAAACAACTCTGGAGTAGGGGGTCTTTATTGTCCCACTTTTACAGAAGGGTTTGGCATTGGTACCTGCTTTAGTTTTCTAGGGCTGCTGTAACAAAGTGCAACAAACTGGGTAGCTTAAGGAACAGAAATTAATGGTCTCACAGTTCTGGAAGCCAGAAGTCCAAGATCAAAGTGCTGGCAGGGTTGGTTTCTTCTCAGGGCTGTGAGGAAGAATCTGTTCCATGCCTCTCTCCTAGCTTCTGATGGTTTGCTGACAGTCATTAGTGTTCCTTGGATTGTAAAAGCATCACCCTGATCTCCGGCTTTTTTTTTTCATGTGGTTTTCTCCCTGTGTGCATGTGTGTGTCCAAATTTCTACTTTTTATAAGGATATCAGTCATATTGAACTAGAGCCCACCCTAATGACTTTATCTTAAATGATTACATCTGCAGTGACCCTATGTCCAAATAAGGTCAAATTCATAGGTACTGGGAGTTAGTGTAGGACTTCAGCATGTTTATTTTTAGGAGACATAATTCAATCCTTAGGCAGGCTCTATTTCAGGCAGTGGAGTGACCATTCTAAGTTCCTTTCTTTTCCTTAATGTGCTTTCCCTATGACTTGCCAGTGCTTATATTTTGAGACTTCCTCAAGAGGTACACTGCATCCTACTTATACTTTAGACCCACTAGTACTAGGTGAGGGGAGTCCTTGTGGCTCTGAGTGATCCAGCCTAAGTCACCAGGAGACTGTGATTTTTTTGAAGTAGCCACAAGATAACTGTCCCCTTTGAAGCTCTGAAAGAGGTATGCAGAGCTGGTCAAAGATTCCTGGAGTCCCATTTTCAGCAAACATCAACTCCTCATCCATTCTCCCTAGCATGGGTTATGATCTGGCATTCTATGTTGTTCATGGGAGATCTGGTTATGAATAGAGTGTGTCCCAGGGGGCTCCTTGTGATGACAGCATGCCTTGAGAGTTCCTTAAGATCCAACATAAACTACAAAGTGTAACACACAAGGAAACCACAGAGACTGAGGATGAGAAAGCAAATGTGGGTCAGCAGGGGAAGTTAGAAAATAATATGTATAAAAGTAAGTAACCTATATGGAATGAGAAACATAGTGCAGTCATTGCCTTTCCCCTGTAAGGCAATCATTTAACAACTGAATTCTCCTTAAAAATAGTGAAACCTCAGCCTGGAGCTGTGGCTCACACCTGTAATCCCAGCAGTTTGGGAGGCCAAGGCAGGTGGATCACGTCAGGAGATCAAGACCATCCTGGCTAACATGGTAAAACCCCGTCTCTACTAAAGAACACAAAAAATTAGCCGGGCATGGTGGCGGGCGCCTGTAGTCCCAGCTACTTGGGAGGCTGAGGCAGGAGAATGGCCTGAACCCAGGAGGCGGAGCTTACAGTGAGCCGAGATGGCGTCACTGCACTCCAGCCTGGGCGACAGAGCGAGACTCTGTCTCAAAAAAAAAAAAAAAAAAAATAGTGAAACCTCACTTTTCCCTCATCTGCAGAAATCTAAAATGGAGTTGGGCTTCTCAATGCATGAATGTTTGGATAGGTACCTTCCAGGACATGCAGCCTCTGGAGCAGACTTTGTGATCTACAATCATCATTACTGAGTCTCCACACAGAAATGTCACAATCAAACAACAATCTTCACAGCCTCCCCTCTGGACTGATGGAGAGCCACTGGAAGTTTTAAGAACACAGAAAGCTGTAATCTTGCTATTATCCACAATGCATCAGTGTGAGGGCTTCACAGCAAAACAATATTCCCACAGGGTTGCCTGATGGTACCTTTCCAAATCACCAGGACCTACTGGGGTAAACATTTTAAGGAGATAGCCTCATTTCCCCTTACGTATTGGTCACTGTTCTGCTAAATGTATCATGGCATGGCACAAGTCTCTCCCAACATTCCCCCAAAATTATCAGCATTTAGTAGGACTGTTTCAAAAATGATGAGATTGTTTCTTCTGGACTTAGAATCCCTAAATGATTTGCCCAATATTATCCAAACCACTGTGATCCTTGGAAAGGCTCAGAGTCATTAATTCCCAGGCCACTGCTGGAAACATTAGCCTCTGCACTCCATCACCCCTGTCAGGACTCGGCGTGCCTGACTTTTGTCCCATGATATGCTTCCCTATTGTGCTGAGTTCAGTTCCATTTGCTGTTCTTCAAGAATGAATTGTTTCAATGGTTGATACCTTATGATTATAATTTGGCAGGGCACTGTTAACTTATTAATTAGGTGAGCACTGTGTAATTTATTAGCACAGGAGCCCAGGGTGTTTTTTTTAACTTGTAATTGCTCCAAGCACACCCAGGGAATCTAAAATTAAAGGGGCTGGGGAATCAGTAGCCCTGCCCGAGGAGAAAGAATGTAATAATCTCATCTTGCTTATTCAAAACAATCCTCTAGGCAGAACGGGTACCTAAAGAAGGACAGAAGCCAGCACAGCATCCAGCAGTCCCCTAGCTGACCAACACCTTTCCCTGCCTCCACCCCAAAAGACTCAAGGAACTTAAGGAACCTTGCTCAGCTGTTGAAAAAGTAATTGCCTTTGCTAGCTTTAACTGACTTTTGGGTAGCCCTGAGAGTTTGAGGTAAAACAAGTTTCCTCGCAACCTTCACAACTTTTCTCACTCAGGAAAGAGGCTAAGTGGATTCACATCCTGAAAATCAAGCAAGTCTTTTATAAACTTTGGCTTTTTTATTGAAGAGGAGACAGCTAATAGCAAAAACTCTACCTGAAAGACTTGAGTAGGCAAGGTGGTGCCTACCTTCCCTCTCTGGCCAGAGGCTTGTGGTCAGGGAGGATCTAAGATGACAGGCAGAAGTCAGGAAGGCAGGCTTGTAGGAGAGAGTAGCCAGGGGTTCTGAAGAGCTTATGGGAGGGCAAAGAGAGGTGGGCATAGAAGCATGCCCCGAGAGATCTGGTTGGCTTACAGTTAGCTTACATAGAGATTTTTTTAAAACTTGATTAAATTCATACTTATTTCCTACACCGCCAACTCTGCCAATATCTCTGGTTTCTGGACTTGCTGACACAGGAGAATAACTGCTTTTAACTCAAGAACATGAATTCAAACCACGCCGATAGCTGTTTGACCTCAAACATTTCCCTAGCTTCCACATAAGTGGTTGTTTTCTAGAAGGCTGTTGAAAACCTACTTTTAAGGCTTTAATCATGTGGGCCAGTCTCATAAAAGATGTATATATATATTTTTAAGTCCCCTTAACATTTTTGAGTATCTACATGGGCTAAACCCTGTATTAAGTGCTTTTATTTGTAGCCACTCAAAAGACCTGTATAGGATAGAAGTTAAATGCTTGGGTTTTATAGTCGGACAGACAGGACTAAGTTCATACATCTGCATCTTGCAATCTCTGTGAACTTGGGCAAATGAAATTGGGATCATAATTATTTCTACCTCCTGGAATTTTGGAAGGATTAAGTAAATTAGAAAAGCAGGCCAGGTACAGGGGCTTGTGCCCATAATCCCATCACTTTGGGAGGACAAGGCAGGAGGATTGCCTGAGCCCAGGAGTTTGGAACTAGCTTGGACAACATAGTGATACCCCATCTCTACAAAAATTACAAAAAGTAGTCAGGTATGGTGGAGAACATCTGTAGTCTCAACTACTCGGGAGGCTGAGGCAGGAGGATCACTTGAGTCCAGGAGGTCAAGACTGTAGTGAGCCATGACCATGCCACAACACTCTAGCACTCCAGCCTTGGCAACAGAGTGAAACTCTGTCAAAAGAGAAGAGAAGAGGGAAGGGAAGGGAAGGAAGGGAAGGGAAGGGAAGGGAAGGGAAGGGAAGGGAAGGGAAGGGAAGGGAAGGGAAGGGAAGGGAAGGGAAGGGGAGAAAAAATAAAAAAGAAAAGGAAAGAGCCAAGTGCTTGACACATAGTAACAAGTTCTTAAGCAATGCCTGGGGTTCTAGGGATGGCCCCTGTGTCACAGGCCAAAGGGTAGTGGACAAAGTCCAGGACAGACTGAAGGTGATGAAATGAGGCTTGTCTGTAAACCAAATAGCTTCTCTGTCCATCCCTCATTTCCCCAAGACAAACCTGAAAAATGTAAATGATCCCCAGGAATAAAAAAGAAGCAATAAATCTATCTTTATTGGGGGCAAGTGAAAAGGTCCAGCTCCTGTAAACCTTTTTCAGCCAGTTTCTGATAATCTTCTAAGACAGGCTCCTTACCTGTGTGGGCTAAGTAGCACTGCAGTGATCTCTGCCCCTCTAGATATGACCACATGGCACCAACATTTTCTGATGTTTCTAGTGTTAGCCTTCTCCTAATTGCTGGAGAATTCTGGAGGTGAAGTGAGTCACCTCCACACCCATCCCATCACTCCTATGCCACGAAAATGCATTATCCTCTGCTGCAAAGCTCTAGAGCAGAGGGGAGCTAGGTTCTTGGTTCTTCCAAGCCCTGAAGGTAGGCTTGCTTCTGATTGCTGCTGCTCTCCTTAGGAGCCTGACATGTATCTTCAAGTTGCCGGGACTGCAGACAACTTGAGGGATGTTCCCTGGTTATACACAAAATCAACCATTCATCAACTGCAGACCAATCTCATGTTTTTAATTCTCTCTCCACTAATGTAAATTCCTTCTTCCTCTGATACATCACTTGAGAGACTAGGTAGTGCACTTGTTCCCCCAAATGCTTGGAAATCCTGGTGCTGAGAAGCAAGATATCAGTCTTATTATGTTCTTCCTACTTGATAGCAAAAAAACCTCAGCTGGTCTATCCATCCAACTTCCAGACCTGTCTTAGTTCATTTGTTTCTTTTTGTTGCTTGATTATTGCTGCTGTCATGGACGTTTGTTTCCTGAGTTCCTATTAAAGGATTCTTTGAAATGTCTTAATTTAAAATCAGAAGAATTCACATTAGGAGGATCAACGTGGTCCCTGAGGCCAAGGTCTGAATGACAGAAGACATCCCTGCTCCATATTCTGTAGCATCAGAGTGGGGGAGGAGGAGGAGAGAACCAGGGATCAGGGAGAATTGGAATAGAGATTGTGGATCTCTTCCCACCAGCGTTTCTCTCCTCATCTTGTCTTGATATATTTGTCAGAAATGATTTGGAAGAATTATCCAAAGGGAGTACCCCATTTCAAATCATGTACAGTCTTTTCTAGTGTTTGCCAGATACTCTGCTCTCCAAAGCCATTACAGAATTCATGCAGTTTGGACTGATTTGATCGTTCCTAAATTAATAATAGCTCACAAGATGCTGTGACTTTTTAAGTCCTTTATCCATTGCTTAATTGTCTTACTGTCTCATACTTCCAGAACAGCTCTTCTCTCTGATGCATTGATGTACTCTCGGTGATAGAGTTACAGAGTACTGAGAGGGAGGAGATTAAGAAGTAAGAGGGAAACAATGAGATTTCAGATGAGATTGGAAATTAGATGGAAAGCTGGTGAGAGAAAGTTGATGAAAGGAAGCCGGGCACCAATAAAGGGAGTCCAGCAAGAAAAAAGGTTTGTAGGGAAAGACAGAAGGAATGTTTTGGCAGCCACAGGAGCAAGAAATAGAAAAAGCAAAAGTTCTTCAGCCACATCTCCTAAATTGCCTTCCAACTTTGTGATTTTCGAGCAAGTTAATATGCAAACTCTCATGTCCTTTCATTTATTCAATGCCTTTAAATTAAATACCTGCCATGTGTCAGTCAGTTCTCAGTGTTAGGAATACAGCAATGACTGAAATAGACAAAATCTTATCCTCATGGTGCTGAAATTCTAGAGAGGAAGCAGACAACAATGAAGAAATATAAAAGATCAGTAATAGCAAGCACTGTGGAAAAAAAAAAAGCAGGATAAGAGGTTGCAATATGATAAACAGTGATCATTTAAATAAGATGGTCAAGGAAGTTCTTTTTGGGGAATGGACAACAAAGCAGAGACCCAAAAGAAGAAAGAATTTGGGAGAAGAGCCTTCCAGACAGAAACAATAGCAAGTCCAAAAGCCCTGAGGCTGAAACTCCATTGCCTGAAAGCACTGTGATGAGAATCAAGCAAGGAGAGGGTCAGAAATGAGACTAGAGAGTATGTTACATCAGGCCTGTAAGCTATGGAAAAGCTTGAATTTCAGTCACCCCGCAGTGAATTGGGCAGAGCAGCTTCATCCCTATTTATAGCTGAGGAAACAAGTTCGACTTGAATTCAGGACACCTTACTACAAGCTAGGGGAGTTAGCAGACAGAGCAAAAAGAAGAGATGGCGATTGAGAATGCCACCAAATGAGCTTGAACCAAAATATAAACTTTAGGAATCTACCATAATTTGAAAGGGAAAAACAGGAGCATCTATATCTTCCCCCGTACCACCATTGTGTCTGGAATTTATTCCTTCTCGTGGGTTCTTGGTCTCGCTGACTTCAAGAATGAAGCCGCAGACCTCGTGGTGAGTGTTACAGCTCTTAAAGGTGGTGTGTCCAGAGTTGTTTGTTCCTCCCGGTAGGTTCATGGTCTTGCTGACTTCAGGAATGAAGCCGCAGACCCTCGCTGTGAGTGTTACAGCTCTTAAAAATGGCACGGACCCAAAGAGTAAGTAGCAGCAAGATTTATTATGAAGAGCAACAGCACAAAGCTTCCACAGCATGGAAGGGGACCCGAACGGGTTGCCACTGCTGGCTGGGGTGGCCAGCTTTTATTCCCTTATTTGTCCCCACCCATGTCCTGCTGATTGGTCCATTTTATAGAGTGCTGATTGGTGGGTTTATAATCTTTTAGCTAGACAGAGAGTGCTGATTGATGCGTTTTTACAGAGTGCTGATTGATGTATTTACAATCCTTTAGCTAGACACAAAAGTCCTTCAAGTCACCACTCAACCCAGAAAGTCCAGCTGGCTTCACCTCTCACCATTATGCATGAAATTCCACCATTAGTAATTTATTTCTTTAAATGTTGCAAGTTTTTCCACAAACACAGATCTGACATTGGTGACATAGTTTGGATCTGCGTCCTCACCCAAATCTCATGTCAAATTGTAATCCCCAATGTTGGAGGTGGGGCCTGGTGGGAGATGATTGGATCATGGGGGTGGAGTTCTCATGAATGGGTTAGCACCATTCCCTAGGTGCTGTTCTCATGATAGTGAGTTTGATGGTTAATATTGAGTGTCAACTTGATTGGATTGAGTCAGTGGACTGGGAGAGGCAGGCCCACCCTTAATCTGTGTGGGCACCATCTAATCAGCTGCCAGCACAGCTAGGATAAAAGCAGACAGAGGAACGTGGAAGAACTACACTAGCTTAGTCTTCCAGCCTACATCATTCTCCCATGCTGGATGCTTCCTGCCCTCAAACATCAGACTCCAGGTTCTTCAGCTTTGGGACTCCTGAACCTCCAACCACAGACTGAAGGCTGCACTGTTGGCTTTCCTACTTTTGAGGTTTGGAGACTTGGACTGGCTGGCTTCCTTGCTCCTCAGCTTGCAGATGGCCTATTATGGGACCTCGCCTTGTAATCATGTGAGTCAATACTTCCTAATAAACTCCCCTTTATATACACATCTATCCTATGTGTTCTGTCCCTCTAGAGAATCCTGACTAATACAGTGAGTGAGTTATCATGAGATCTGGTTGTTTAAAAGTATGTAGCACCTCCCCCATCTCTTTCTCTTCCTCCTACTCCAGCATGTAAGACATGCGTGCCTCCCCTTCACCTTCTGCCATAATAGTAAGTTTCCTGAGGCCTCCCCAGAAGCAGATGCCAGCATTATGCTTCCTGTACAGTCTGTGGAACTGTCAGCCAATTAGATCTCTTTTTTTATAAATTACCCAGTCTCAGTTATTTCTTTGTAACAGTGTGAGAATAGACTAATACAATTGGTTATCAAAAAATTGAGAAAATCCCGGCTAAAACGGGTCACAAAATAGTACAATGTCAAAAAGAGGTAGGAGAGTGCTGAAAATAAAATGGATAAATAATAAGCATGTGCCGACAGAATATTCTGAGCCTTTGCTCTTATATGTAACAGGGTATATGCTTGTGCAATAATTACCAAGTTGGTTCTTACCCCACTTTACAAAATAGAGATCTTTTCTATCTTCATGGTGTACCACTATTAATAATAATAGCTAATACATAGATGATGCCGACCATGTGCCAATGTTCTGAGTACTTGCATTACTAATTCATTTAATCCTCTTAAAAATTCAATGATTTATTTCCATTTTACAGATGAGAAAACTGAGGCACAGAGAGGTTACTAGCAAGGTGACTTGTCATTCAGATAGTACATGGTAAAGTCAAATTTCAAAGCCAGCCAATATCTGGTTTCACAACCCACACTATTCACCACCATAATATGCTGCTTCTGAGTATTTATTGAATTATATTGATTTATAAATATATTTTCCCTTGGAAAGAAAACATTGTATTAATATAGTTTAACTAACAGGTAATATAATCCAGGGGTTGGCATGCTTCTTTAATAAAGGATCGTATAATAAATATTTTAAATTTTGAGATCCATACCATCTCCCTTGCAGCTACTCAACTCTGCCACAGGAGAGGGAAAATCACCATAGACAGTGTGAAAATGAATACGCAAGGCTGAATGCCAATAAAACTTTATTTACAAAACAGGGAGGGGCCAATTTGGCCCACAGATCTAAGTTTTATGGCTTCTTGACATAAACAATTTCAAAGGGAGATACACAACTTGCGACTATATTACAGTTATGTTTGTGTTGTCCCTAAATTACAAAGCTCAGAAATATAGTGTCAGAAATGTCTGTGAATTGAAAGTCCCGGATTTTACCTAAACATCCTGCATCATTTCATTTGAACTTTCATGCCAAATCCTAGAGAAATCTCATCAGATAGCTCAGCAGGAGAGCATAAGCATGCTGATCCAAATGTCTTAGAGAAAACATACATTTAAAAAAAAAATTCATCCCCAACAAGATGGCCAAATTTTATAGTCTCTTAGTATCTTAAATGAGTTTTCCGACGTTTACCTACAGTCCTCTGAAAGCAGTCTCAAACTCGAAAGCCTTTACCTCAAAGCTGTTCACCACCCCATTGATGTGGCCACGCTATGCCACATTTTCTTAGCCTCATTCAGGATCTTATCCTGATATAAAGGAAAAGTTTCACTGGATACTTATTACGAAAGGCAGGGAAGACTTCACTAAGACTATTACAACAGGGGAGGAGTCAAACTATTGTAATAGGAGAGAGAGATTAAGCTCAGCTCCACTGAAACAAAAGGTGGGAAGATTTTTAAGCACAGCTTTGAGCTAATGGAAAGGTGGAACATTAGCAGGGAGGGTGGTCTATGTGATTGAGTCATCTTTATTTGCCAAATGTTAACGAAGTCAGGTTCCTACTTTCCCATAGAGACAGGAAAAGTAAGGCCCTATCTTTCCTGATGATTACATTTCAAAGGGATGGCTTCCAGGTCTTTGAGAAAGGCACTCCTAGGTTGTAGAAGATTTACATCTCAAAGAGGCACAGAAAGAATTTACAACTGAAAGTTTTCTAAAATAAAAAGAGGTTGGGGCCCATAGTCAGGAAAAAGCTTATCTAAAATTGAGTCAAGCTAAGGGGAATGTTAAGGTTGTCTTGGTCACTTGTAGGGAAGCCTCAGAACCTTCCAGTAAGCTTTCTCCCCTAAAAACAGACACACAATCTGGAGTCCTTTCACTCTGCCCACAACACTTCCTTTAAAATCATACTTTATCATCTCTGTCTTTCACATCCTAGTTCCCCTACTTATTCTATTCTTACAGTTTTTAATAAAAGTTTTATTTTAAAATAGTTTTTGATTTACAGAAAAGTTGTAAAGATAGTACAGAAAGTTCTTAGATATACTCTCTCCCTACACACAGTGTCTTCAATTGCTAACACATTAAGTATGGTATATTTGTCCAGTAATGAGCCAATATTGACATGTTACTATTATTTCAGATTTCCTTAGTTTTTATCTAAAGTTCTTTTTGTTTGTTTGTTTTAGGATCCCATCTCTCTTAGTCAGTTTGGGCTGCTATAACAAAAATACTGTAGACTGAGTGGCTTCAACAAATTTCCTTTTAACAGTTATGGAGGCTGGTATATTCCAAATCAAGGGGCCAGCAGATCTGGTGTCTGGTGAGAGCCTGCTTTCTGATTTGCCCTTGCATGACAGCAGACAAAGACAGAGCATCCCTCTTGAGTCTCTTCTTGTAAGAACACTAATCCCATTCATGAGGGCTCCACCTTCATGGCATAATTTCTGCCCAGAGATCCCACCTGCTAATGTCCATCACATTGAGGATGAGGATTTCAACATACGAATTTTTTGGCTCAAACTTTCAGTCCATAACACCTTCCAATACACCATATTACATTTTTTTTTTTACTGTGTTTCCTTTTGTTTTTCTTATGGGTTTGCAAATCTAAGAAATGTTGGGTTTTTTTTTTAATAAGTCCTACCAAATAAGAAACTTCTATATATGTTCAAGAAAATTCTACTTTCTGGTTTCTATACTGGCTAGAGCCTAGGGTTGATATGATAAATATTGAGAGAACAAAGCTAAAAAGCTTAGAGATCTAATAATGCCAAGCTCAATAGTTTGAAATTTTATTCTGTAGAAAATTGAAAAACATTGGAGATTTTTTTTTTTTTTTTTTTTTTTTTTTTTTTGAGACGGAGTCTCGCTCTGTCGCCCAGGCCGGACTGCGGACTGCAGTGGCGCAATCTCGGCTCACTGCAAGCTCCGCTTCCCGGGTTCACGCCATTCTCCTGCCTCAGCCTCCCGAGTAGCTGGGACTACAGGCGCCCGCCACCGCACCTGGCTAATTTTTTGTATTTTTAGTAGAGACGGGGTTTCACCTTGTTAGCCAGGATGGTCTCGATCTCCTGACCTCATGATCCACCTGCCTCGGCCTCCCAAAGTGCTGGAATTACAGGCGTGAGCCACCGCACCCGGCCCATTGGAGATTTTTAAGCAGAAGAATGACATAAAGTGATAATTTGATAAAATTAATTCATCAGCAATGTGCAAAATGGATTTGATCAGGAAAACTCTGGAGGTAGAAAGATGACTGCAGAGGTCATGGCCCCAGTATATGTGTAGTCAATATGACCTAATTTTTGTTGCTGCCTATAGAGGTAGCAAGAACAGACACAAATATAATTTAGAGAGGCAAAATTGCTAGGAGTTGTCAAATGATCAAAGAAAAGAGGAAAGAAGAAAAGAAGAGATATTAAATATTAATTTAATGTTTCTTATCTCAAAAGTGAGGAAGGGAAGTTGTGCTATCTTCAGAAATGCCGAAGTTAAGAGGAATAACTTAATTCTAAGATACAATAGTGGATGTGCACGTAGAACTCTTAAATTTGAGATGTGGGTAAGACTAATCTAGCATGTCAGTGACAATACCTTCTCTTTTTTCCCCGTGGTGGGGCTATAAAGCATTGTATAAGCTGCAAAATTCTATATAATTTAACTTTTCTATCCTAACTTTGGATTGATTGTTCTGGTCAAAAACTTTCTAAAAATTGCCATATCAAACAATCAACTGAAGGGGCAGCCCTCTCTGTATGGGTGAAAATTGAAGAGATCTTCACCAACATGTCAGATTGCTCATGTTTTAACTCAGTAAGTGACGTTATTGAACATTGGATGTTCAGCAATGTCATCAAGAGTCCATATCAAAAACAAAAGAAAAACACCTATGTCACTTTTCTCTCTTTCACATGAAGCTGCAATACTGTTAACATTTTCTGAATTGATGCTAAAATAGTATGCATTTCTCCATGTCAATCTATCCTTATTGTAAAAAAATCTATATAAGAGAAAATTAGCTTTTTAAAAGCTGTCTGTAAGACTTATGATGTGCAAGTAAAGATAAATATCTTTATAGTAAAGGAAACTCCAAATATAAGGAACTTTAGTACTTCTCAGGTTAATACATTTGGCCAAAGTTCAAGTGATATGACTTAGCTGGTGGTGGGCCACTGTACACAGGTAATTGTAAAATGCTTCGTTCCTGGTATAGATTCAAGCATTTGCTACAATCTTTAAAACGGGATGCTGCGTCTAAAAATGCATTAGGCTAGAGCCACAGCCTGGAAAATTTTTACCAAGTGCCTTGCCTGTATTTCCTTTCCCTTCATTGCTGATTACCTAGACACATATGTGTGTAGATAAGAGCATTCTCATCTGTAATTATCTTGCTCCTTCTGCTTAATTCAGTTGGATGCATCAATTCAAGTTTTGTGACATCACAATTTCACTAAAATGAAAAGAAATGTCGCATCTCAAGCTGTGGGTTGTAACATCACTGAATGAATCAGACAGCAGGGGAAGGCTTAATTTTAAAAAGGAGTTTTTATTTACACCAAAAAATCCTGAGTCATAGAATGGAAAAATAAAAGCCAGAAAAGGCACAAGCCATTCTGAAAAGATTTTGGATTGGCACAAAGTCCAACCATGGTTGTTTATTTGAATATTCTGGAAATTCATACAGTTTTGCCAGGAGGCATTTTCTATCTTCTTTTTGAGAATTACAAACTAATAAAATCATAGAATCAGAACAGACCTTAGAGGTCATCCAATCCAACTCTGATTTTATACATGAGGAAGTGGAAACCTAGAGAGATTAGGTAACTGTCTCAACAACTGTCAGTGAACAGAGCCAGACCTGACCCCAGACGTCCTACTGGCTCATTCCAGTAATGCCTGCAAACTTCCACTTTACCTGGAAATGCAAGTTCCTCTGGACAGAATTCACTAACTTCTCAGTACTAGAGATTCTGCATCACCTGGTAGCTTAACCGAAGGGCTAACAAAATCCATGCTAAATAAAGGAAAACTTGTTGTTGTTGCTGTTTTTAAGGTAAAGAAGTTTACACATGTTTTCTCCACATGTTCTGAAATAAATTTCAGTAGTTATAAATTTGCATTTCTGTATCATACCCCTTCATATAAATTCTATTCTATCTGGGTGTGATTTCAGTAATTTTCTCAAAAGGATACTTTAACTAACTCAAGTCGCATTTTCTAGAATTACAACCCTGCTCCACTACCGATCTGGGTTTTGATGAGCACGTTCTAACCTCTGAGCCAATGGCTTCCAATGATTGTGATGGTGTTCTCTGCAGAATATGGAGACCTTCAAGGGCAAACGGGAGGTTCTCATAGTTGTCCTTTAATGTTTAGTATTTTTATGCGGAGAAGAAAGGGGCTAAAAAATGGATAATATGTACTATATACTCTGATAGTTTCCTTTTTCTTCTCTGTAGATGAAAGAGATTCTCTTAATAGACTTCTTGTTCTCCTGGTGTATGCAAGTCTCAACATCTCTGATTCAAAGATCACAAATTGATCTCAACTCTTTTCTTTCCTTTACTTTTGAACTGGGTTAGTAGCCAAATTCTGCTTTATCCCAAAGCAAAATATCCTTCCTGTGTAGCTCTTTCTACAACCTTCTTCACTGGTCCACAGAATAGGCAATCTTCTAAATGGAATATTCAGGACCCAGAAAGGCCACTATGATCCCAAATGTCTTTTCTCCATGCAGATACCAAGATCTAAAAGTCAATCTGTACAGGTATAGAAGCTCCAAGGGACCAAAGGCATCCATCTACAGGATAAGTGATTTGTCCAAGCCTTTGGCAATGCACAGTACTCCCAATTTGAGACGTATGCCATGATCTCTCCCACTTCTTATTTCACTGCTACTTCCCAAGTTGTCTTCTCCATGCATTGTTTTGAAAACCCCAGAGTCAAGGCTTTTCACCTAGCCTCTAAACCTTTTGCCCAAGTTAATACTCACCCCTCCTTTCCTCCTCAATTCTAGCTTGGTTTGTTCAATCTATCCTTCTCCAAATTAGCCTTTCAAGGCAATAATTCATTTTTAACCTTCAACCTGCCACTCTACCTTCTATTTGCATAATTAGCAAAACCTTGCATCTACTCTTATACCTTGTGTGTATACCCTACATATGTCACTCATGTTTCTTGGCAGTTTGGCATTATAACCTCTCAGAGCCCAATTTCTTAAATACTAGATCACAAAAGTTATCAGGAAGATAGAGAAAAAGTAAGGGGAATACAATAGTTTTTCATAAAGCTAAACGTATGTAAAGATCTAACCTTCCGTATAAGATTATATGCTTCCCATGTTTTCTGAGTTTTCAAAATTGTACAATCCCTGAATTTTCTTGTATAAAATGACAGTGATGACAAGTAGTTAACAAAATAAATGATATGCAACCCTATGTGAACTACACACTCCTCAAATTAAAAAAAAAAATCTATGAAGTCTAAAAGTTTGGGAACTATTGTCTTAGAAGACATAAAATACAATCTATAATTCTCTCTCAGCTATGCTCATGACAGAGCAACTATAAACATTCTGAAATAAAATTAGATAGTATACGAAAGTGTTGATAGTCATTATTGCTGCTAAACAAATGTCTATTTTCTCCCTGGACACATGATAGGATTGTATTTTTGTTACCTTTAATATTACATGTGCCATGTGGCATTCTTTGGCTAATAAAATTTTAGTGGAAAGGATTTGTAGCCCTTCTGAGTGGAAGCTAAAAGAGCTATAACATTAATTTGCCACTCCTTCTTTCTCTCTCCTTCAGGGACTGGCCACACTTCGGAGGGTAGCCCAGAGTGAGGATGACCGAGCTCAGACACCCCATCCAATCTTTGTAGTGTCAGCATGAAATAAACCCTGTTGGTTTAAGCCACTTAGATTCTGACAACTACAAATGCACTTTGAATGAGTTAGAAAAAGCATATCAGTGCAAGGTATTATATTCTTTTCCCTAAAACTGAAAGCTAGGAAATAGACCCCCAAAAAATTAGAAGGAAGTAAAGGGTTCATCTTATGCGAGAGCCTTCATTTCACATATTTTCACAAGTGGGAGATCTAACTGACTATTGGCAGATCAATTAACACTACAACAGGGGTGGACACTGCGGAAGGACAAGACAGAGTTACACTATACATATCAGGGCTGTTTGATCTGTTCAATGAGATGTTATCAGAACCCCCCCCCCTTCTATGAGTCTAAAAAATCTCAATCTGAAGAAAAATAGCTTTGTCCGCTCAAATGGCTGAAACTTAAATGGCATACAACACAGAACTATTGACACAAAGTTTTACATTGCCCTGGCTTTCCATCTAAACAGAGAAATCCTGAATTCATCCCTTCATCTGCTGGCTGTGGTACCAAAACGTATTCCTCTAACTTGATAGGATGAAAATATTTTCGTGCTGTTAAAAGTTCCTTTATACCCCAAGCTCAAGTTACAGCTAGAAACACTAATTTTGGATCAGAAAAGAGCAAAGAAGACAGAAGAGAAATCTCTTCAGCAGTTGTCCACTACAACTCCCACATTTCCCATAGTTGTGTGGTCCAAAATACTGCCTTCCAGCTCACATTTCATGATGGCAGTTTGCTAAGTGAAGGATGCTTGTCTTTTACAGCCAGGCAGCTTCAAAGACAGCTCTAACCAGACTCCTGCCCAAGGAGTACCCCAAAAAGTTAAGTTTGCAAATGTAGGAGGACACTGGCCAGGACCACTGCATTTGTTTCTGCTCTGACATCTCAGATGCTGGTGTTTTTAAGTATTTATGAATACATAACACTAATTTATTGAAACTTACATGCTAATTTTATTAAAACTTTAACAACGACTTCCTCATTATAAACCGTTCAAAAATCCTCATGTACTTTTCACCAGAATGAGCTTAGCACAATTATGAGACGCGTGGATTGCCAAAGCCCAACGACACAGAGTTAATGAAATTGTCATCGGTGTGTGCAGTGAGTGGCAGCTCCATCTCCTACTCCGTGGTTAGCATGTGAAGAGCAAAAGCAAAAGCAAAAGGAGCCTGTTGGATTTTAAACGCTGAACAATGGTATGCCCAGCCTGAGCAGGCACATCAATCCAGACTCCCAGGGAGATAAATGGAAATTCAAGCAGGTATAAATCATCATAAGAAAGTGCAGCCTAGTAATGTGAGTGGCAGGGGAGGCCTGGGTTCCAGGCACAGCTCTGTTACTGAGCAGCTGTGTGACCTTGAGAAGGTCGTATACTTTTTCTGAGTTTGCTTCCTTACCAGAAAAATAAGGAGACGGAACTAGGTGATCCCTAAGGCCACTTTCCTTTCTAACACTCTGTGATTCTCTATGAAATATGTATTGAGTAGGGTTGTATGGAGAAGCATTCAAATGGCGACTGCTCTGCCTTAACTGTGAGTCTCATCCTTATGCAGTGAGCACATTCCCATAAACACAGTACTCATTCCCCAGGCCCCACAAAGAATAGGGTGGGTAGGGAGTATGCACTTAGAACCAAGAGCTAAAGTGAAAATCCAAAAGTCATTTGGCTTGGCTGGATCTCTTAGCTTCAGGCATTACTCTTGGTCAGAGAGAATTAATTACCCATAGTCCTTTCTATCGCTGTCGTGGTCAGGATCACCCATCACACATCTCCAGTTCGATGACATTACCAGCCCCTCACCTATGCCTGAATTCCTACTGGTCCCAAGATGATCTAGAGTCCTTAGCATAATCCTTGATAGTTCTTCAAGCTCCAACTTCCCTCCACTTCCTTGTCACCACAGCCAGCTCCATTTGCATCTCTTGATCATCCCAGCTCTTTTGGCCTCGAGTTATAAACTCTCCCTTGGAGGATGACTGCTTTTTGTAGGTCCCAGAGGCAACTGTTCATAGATCTTTTTGGTAGCCAACAAAATGTTGTCTCCAGTATCAGCAAGGATATGGACAAGATCTAGATCTAGAACCAGCTCAGGAGCTGGCCTGAAATATATCAAAGAAACTGTCCTCTAAGTTGTGCTATTATTTCTCCTCAATTGGCCCTGGCCCTAACTGTGCCTTACAATGGAGTTTACGGCCTTAGTTCTCTCTTTTATTAACTTTTCATCCAAGGTTCATTCTTGACCTTTCCAGAGAAACTTCTCCAAAGATTTGAGGGCAGCTTTTCTCTCCTATCTTGGTGTAAGACCCAAACCCAGATCATCTCATGTAATTATAATTTCTGGTGGCCTAAGGTGACATCTCATAATTCCTGGGTTTGGTGAGCCAGTTACACATTGCCAGAGCCTTCAGTTAAAAACACAAATAGTCCGAACGCAGTGGCTCACACCTATAATCCCAGCATTTTAGGTGGCCGAGGCAGGTGGGTTGCTTGAGTTTAGGAGTTCGAGGCCAGCCTGAGAAATATGGCAAAACCTCATCTCTACCAAAAATACAAATATTAGCCAGGCCTGGTGGTGCATGCCTGTAGTCCTAGCTACTTGAGAGGCTGAGGTGAGAGGATCACTTGAGCCTGGGAAGTGGAGGTTGCTGTGAGCCAAAATTGCACCACTGCACTCCAGCCTAAGTGAAAGAGTCAGATCCTGTCTCAAACACACACACACACAAATGGAAAACTAACAATACGATTTAAGCAATATAAACAGCCAGTTGTGTCACATAGATGATAAACTTCACTATCATTTCAGCGAATAAGAAATAACTTGAAAGCTGAAGTAGCCTGTGTTATCTTTCCAACTAGATCATTGAGAAGGAGGGTTAAAAAAATGGTTTTTGAACCTAGGCAGTACCATTCAGGACATAGGCATGGGCAAAGACTTCATGACTAAAACACCAAAAGCAATGGCAACAAAAGCCAAAATTGGCAGATGGGATCTAATTAAACTAAAGGGCTTCTGCACAGCAAAAGGAACTATCATCAGAGTGAACAGGCAACCTATAGAATGGGAGAAAATTCTTGCAATCTACCCATCTGACAAAGGGCTAATATCCAGAATCTACAAAAACTTAAACAAATTTACAAGAAAAAAAAAACAACCCCATCAAAAGGTGGGTGAAAGATATGAACAGACACTTCTCAAAAGAAGACATTTATGTGGCCAAAAAACATGAAAAAAGCTCATCAATGGTCATTAGAGAAATGCAAATCAAAACCACAGTGAGATACCGTCTCATGCCAGTTAGAATGGTGATCATTAGAAAGTCAGGAAACAACAGATGCTGGAGAGAATGTGGAGAAATAGGAATGCTTTTACACTGTTTGTGGGAGTGTAAATTAGTTCAACCATTGTGGAAGACAGTGTGGTGGAAGACAGTCTGGTTCCTCAAGGATCTAGAACCAGAAATACTATTTGCCTCAGCAATCTCATTACTGGGTATATACCCAAAAGATTATAAGTCATTCTAGATAGTCATTCTACTATAAAGACACATGCACACGTATGTTTATTGCATCACTATTCACAATAGCAAAGACTTGGAACCAACCCAAATACCCCTCAATGATAGACTGGATAAAGAAAATGTGGCACATATATACACCATGGAATACTATGCAGCCATAAAAAAGGATAAGTTCATGCCGTTTGCAGGGACATAGATGAAGCTGGAAACCATCATTCTCAGCAAACTAACACAGGAACAGAAAACCAAACACCACATGTTTTTGCTCATGGTTAGGAGTTGAACAATGAGAACACACGGACACGGGGAGGGGAATATCACATACCAGGGCCTGTCGCGGGGTGGGGGGCCAGGAGAAGAATAGCATTAGGAGAAATACCTAATGTAGATGATGAGTTGATGGGTGCGGCAAACCACCATGGCATGTGTATACCTATGTAACGAACCTGCACATTCTGCACATGTATTCCAGAACTTAAAGTATAATAAAAAATAAAATAAAATGAAAAATTTTTAAAAAATAGATATTGTAAAATATCAGGTAATTTTGGATACGATTATAGGTTAAAATGACAATATTTTAAATATATTGGATTAAAATATACTATTAAAATTTAAAAAGAATAAAAATAATCATTAAAAAATTGGTTTTTGTGTTTCTAGAATATTCCAGGAACTGTGCTAGTTTGTATCTCATTTAATTCTTACAGTCACCTTATGAGAAAGGCACAAATGTCATAGTTTTATAGACGAGTAAAGGTTGCAGAATGTGAGTATCTTGCTCCAAATCATTCAGCTAGTAAGCAGCAGAGGGGGTCTTTAAACAGCAGGTCTTTCTCACTAATGAAAATGTTAGGTCTATCTTACTACTGTCTTTTAAAGTCTGAGTCATGAATTACCTGAACCAGATCCACCTGGTTTACCTCTTAAACTGTAGATTCAAGAGCTTCCTCCCAGGGCTACAGAATCAGAATCTCCAGGCACAGTTCCTGTTTGACAATCTCTGCTGGAGGCTCGTATACGCTAAAATTTATTTACCAGCTTTCTATAGCATGCTGGCACCCTCTAAAGTCAAAGCCTGTGTCTCATAAATCTTCCATATCCCTGGCAGCATCAAGCACAGAATTGGGCACCTGGTAGGTGCCTAATTAAACTCATGTAGAAACAAATTTGTTCAGATGCAACCTTTTTCTTCAACTGAGCAACAGTGTCTGTGCAGAGGTTAAGGTGACAAGAAGACAAACACGGTGCTACAAAATCAAATACAAATTGAAATGCCTGAAAGAAAAAGATTCAAGGAAAGTCCTGGGGACTTCTCACTTTGATTCCTTCCACCCCACCCATCCTGGTGTCGGGGGATGGGGGTTGCTTCCTGAGCCCCAGTTTGGTCTAAAGTAGCTCTCCTTAGCTCCTGTGCACTCATGCAGCTCACTCAAAATTTCAGAAATAACTTCACCAAATAATACTCAGAAGTACAAAGAAAATATTTACAGAAAATACAAATAACAATAAAAACAGTTCCATATCTAGGACACATATCTATGACATTATTGACCTTCAGATGTGACAAACACAGTGACAGTGAAGAGCTTCCTGAGCCCCAATGCCCTCTGAAAAGTAACTACATCTCTACCCAAAAGGACTAATTGGCATAACATCAAAGGACTCTGCCTTCCTCTCTGTTGTTTGCTTCTACATGAAGTAAAGTTTAAGTATTTTTTTCCAAAATAAATACTCCTTTTTGCAGAAAAGAGAAACGTAGGAAGATGGTTTAACACTGCCTTCCTATTCAGGAAAGAGAACAGAAAATGTGGGAAGGAATTGCAAAAGCCAATCTTTGTGCCATCTCCTGGAATGGAAGTACCCACAGAGGGAAATCACTGATTTCTCTAGTGAGTCGTTTTTTAAATTTACATGTCAGCATGGCCTTAGGAATATATTCAATTAAAATTCAGCCTGATTATTTATTGATTTTACATTTTCCTGCCCTGCTACTGTCCAGGCAATTTGCTAACCATTCTCAAAATACCTCTCAGGCTTCCTGGGAAAAGACCGATACAAACCAAGAATTCCCAAACAAGAGCTGCAGTATAAAGCTAATTATTTCAGGCATGCCTCTGCCACTATAGCAGGTCTTCATGGGTTCAAGACAAGTCTTAGGTCTGCCACAGAGGCCAGATTTCAATTTGGGTAATTAGACTTTGCCCTACCCTTGAGAGTTCCCCTGACATAGTTTTCTTGCTTTTCTTCCTGAGTCTCTACACACATCTGTTTTTTTAAATATTCTTAGTTCCTCTACACTTTACTGGCCTTCTTCAAGCAGATGGCTCTGAGTGCACATTCCTGAGTTTCTCCAGCAGGATCAGAAGCAACTGCCTCAAATCTTCAGGACCAGTGCTGATGTTGGCTGTCCCCCAAATCCTTCCCAACTCACTCCCCAGTAGAATTAATCATGGCTTTTTTTCTCTATCCTTTTACATCTCTCCTTTATTAACACAGTTATTTCATTTAGTCTCATATTACAGTTAGTTGTGTGCATGTCTTTCATCCCCAATTGGAATGCAAACCCTTTCAGATCCCAAACACATCTTACTTCTCTCAACAGCCCCCATGGCCCCTAAGTAGACAAAGGAGAAAAGGCTAACATTTATTAAAGCTTTTTATGTACTAGGCAATGCAAATAACATAATCTCACTAAATCCTGAAAACAACAATTGATCCTAATTTTACAGATGAAAGAAATGGATAAAAACAAGATGCATTATCCTACTCAAGGCTGCAGTGTTGATAAGTGTTAGAGCAAAGCTGGTTTTCCAGAACTTTGGAACTGGGGTGATTTCACAGCCCAGCAGCACTTACTTCACTTTACCCAGAGCCTGATCTACAATGGAAACTCAAGATTATTCATCAATAAGTGAACAAGAGCTTCCATTATATAATCCCTTTCTGCACCTATCTCTCTGTTGATGATCTAGTCCACTAACCATCTGTGGGGCTGGAAGTCTCTCCCTGTAGGGTCCTCCTCATGGCTATTAAGGCTTTGATAGAATCCTATCTTCACCCATGGCCATTTGAAGGATCCTTAAGCAATGGTGTAATCCTCCTTTTTACTTTCTCCCTACTGCTACGTGATTGGTTCTGATCCAATCACGTAGTAGTAGGGAGGAAGTAAAGAGGAAAATATGATTCCAGTATTGTATGGGAAAGCTCTCCCACGGTGGCCAGAAAAACAGACTGATAATTCTAACTCATTTTTAGGAGGAAAAAAAATTGTGATTAAAAAAATGACATAATGACAAAATTATTCAGTACCATGAAGTACTCATGTCAGAGATTACAGCAGTCGTCCTGGAACTGGGTTGTCATACAGCTCTCTCCAGATGTTACTTGGGTTGAAAAATAAATTTTTTTTGCCACCCAGGTTTCAGGCTTTCTGTTTCTGGAAACAGAGCCAATAAAAAGGGCTGGATTTGTATGAATTTGGAGGTATTTAAACAACCCAAACCCAGTGGTTCTGAAATTTCTTTCCATGATTCTCTTTTTATTGTTTCTATGAGGTGTGAGATTTTGAAGTTTTTTATTGGGGATCATCAGCATCGGAAGAGAAATATATTAGAGTAGTGAACTGGAGGGAGGTGTTATACAACAATCCCCTATTGATTGAGACAAGCAGGCAGAAGATGGAGGACGCAAGAAGAAACAAGATTTCAGGTCAGAAAGCAGGAGGGTGGGTCCCAAGACAGGCAGCCAATACACTTTCCACCTGGAATAGTCTGTTCTCTTCTGTCTTTGTTGTCAGTGGCTGGACAGACTTTCCTGGACAAAGGGGCTTCGTAACTCCCTGGGAGAAACAGTGTCTTTTATTCCATGGTAAACATCCAGAAAGGGGAAAGAGCTTCATGTGATCAATGATAGCTACATCTAAAAAGGCAAACTGAACAGACTTATACCCTGCCCTTATAAAGAATGATTGACATTGGTGATTAGTATATTAATAATGGCATAAATACTCAGTTACAAATATATGGCTGTGACCATTATCTGAACAAAGTGAGGACTATGGTTCAACTTAATTGTTCTATAAATTGCATGTTTGTGTGTTCATTTTATAACAACTCTCAGATGAGCCGACTAATTTTGACAAAATTTGGTGCATTTATAAAGGGAATAAATTTACATCACATGAAACTTATGAGTCAATGCGTCAAATGACAGCCAATAAAAGCTTTCAAATAGCTCAATTTTCTATAATTTGTAATGACTTTCAGAGCCTTTATACTCTTACCCTCTTTAACCACACTGCAGAACACCACAAGATAAATCTCCCAATTTCAGCTTAGTTCATCATTTTCTATACGCCACTCTCCTGCTTAAAAACCTAGCCTCTTAAAATCTAAATTCCTCCACCTGACTTTTGATTGACTGATTGGTAGGCAATTAAACAGGGTAAGACCTACAATTCACAGAATCACAAATATCCAGGCATTTTTCACCAGGTGATGGGCAGGAAAGGTCATGAAATATATATTTGGGGGAGGGTCACAGAAAGGGCCACCTGTCTCTAGTTAGTCAAGGAAACTTTCTAGAGGCTTTCAGGATTCTGAGAAGTGTTTGAAAGGTGAGGCGTTAAAGGTGTCTCAGGCATATGGTTCTTTTTGGGACGAAGTTCTGGTGCAGTTGGGATAGGTATTTAGAAAGCCATCATGAAAAGGAGAAATGTGATCTGCTCTGTGTGCTCTAGAGAGTAATCCTCAACTTTAACATGCTCATGGATCACTCTGGATCTCACTGAAATGCAGGCCTGATTCAGTAGGCCTGGAGTGGGGCCAAGTGTTGACTTTACAAACCACAGGTGATGCCTATGATGCTGGTCCCAGGAACTATGTTTTGAGTAGCCAGCTCTGGACAATAAGGAATAGTTTGGGGTGTGTTTGTTGGTTGATTTGTTTTAACAATTAGAACTGTCAAAAGATGGGGAGGAGAATCTGTCAAAAGAGACAGAAGTGGTTTCTCAGAAAGTGCCAAATATGGCATGTAGACGGAATAAGATCTTTATCCTAACTCTACCACTTAGTAACTAAATGTCTTGATTTAACCTCTTTAGACTCAATTTCCTTATCATTAAAATGGGGATAATAAAGTCCAACTTGTAAGAATGGTGATAAAAATCAAATGCACTAAGGGACCTAAAGTGTCTCTCACAGATTACGTGCAAGTCAACTACTCAATATAGGTAAGTTTCCCTCCCTGACCTCAACCACCCCTTCCATCACTGGAGATGTTCAAGCAGTGTTTCTAACACCAGGCATGGGTCAATGAAACCTGAAGCCAGTCATTTCCAGGATATCAGCCCCAGATAGATACATCAGTATCATTCAAATCTGTTATTATTGTGAACACATCTATTTTGCCCTTATGATAGATCAATGGTCTGGAATTAGAAGCTAATGACAACTAATAACTGAATAAACAGTTCAATAATGAAGTCCGTGTGTGCATAAAGATGTTTCCATCAACATTCTTTAGAAAGGGCCTTTATACTAATACCTTCCATTTTATACAGTCTTTTAAGTTTTTTGAGAGCTTTCAGTTCTATTATCTCATTTGAGCCTAACGGGACTCTAGGAGTGAAGATTATAATCCCCATTTTCAAACAAAGAAGCTATTTTGTGATTTGCCCAAGGTCCCCACACCACTGAGGCCCAGGACCAATCCCAGAACCCCGAGCTGACTTATCTCTTCCGAGCCCTGCTGCCTCTTTGAACAAGTTGTCAACTCAATTGAATCCAACAAATATTAATACCTTCATGAACAAGCTCTGCAAAAGAAAGAAAAAGGCACAAATAGAGATTTTAGGGCATACAAGAATATTTGCTTTCATCTATTCCAACTCCTTTATTTTATAAGTCAGCTCACTAAAATTCAGAAAAATGCAGTGACTTGCCTAAGGTCATGGGTCAGTTCCTGCCTACTAAAAGAAAGTCCATTGTAAACATTTTGTGAATCCTGAGTAGCCGTTTTTAATATTCCACAATCCAGGACACCCGGGTTCATCATTTTTTTGTTCCAGATCCTTTCTGACCCGGGTTTATCGTGTTTTTGTTCCAGATCCTTTCTGACTTGCCATCATTACCATTTAATCTGGGGCTATAGCATATTTATTTTAACAAACATGTAAAAACCTTGAGATTATGGTCAGGGGGAAAAACAATCCTCCAGTTTTCTTTGCCCTCTTTAAGTCAAGTGTTCTTGTGAGATTGTGTGTTCACATTTAAAGGTAAGATATATGGCTAAGCTGCTAAAACTAACAAGGGCTGGTGTTGAAAACTTTCAAATCTGAACTGGTGTGAAGGGTCACACTCTCATCTTCCCAAAGACTAATTAGCCAAGTCCTGGCTATTCTCCTTCCCATTGCTGCCACTCCTTTAATCAAAGCTGAACAAAATGAATTGCAAATAAAAAGGGAAAAAAGAAAACATTAAATATGAAAGTTCAACTTGCTAGCCTATATTTTTAGTTCAAGTGACAGTTTTAAAATTACAAAGGTAAAAACCTTTTGCTAAATCAGGTTTTAAATGTGCCACTTGTCAAACTAGTACATTTTTACAACTTTTAAAACTACAGTTTTATCACGAAAGGTAAAAATACAAAGTGGTGGTATTATTCTTCATTTCTACCACCACCCCACACCACCCCTCTTTGCATTGGAGCGGCAGGGAGGCGGCAGGGGGTGGGTGTTTTTCTCTGCGGGAAACCGGGCTTTTCTCAGCAAAACTCTTGGAAAGACACATTTTCATTCATGTCGCAACACTGTTAGATCACTTTCCAACCCCAGAGCTGTTATCATTGCACAGGAAGGAGGAAAATAAGCCTTGCAGCAATCACAAAATTTCATCGCTGAGAGGAACCCCAGACGTCATCAGGAACAGATGAGAAGAGAGGAGAGAAAGGTAAACCCACCTGCCCATGTTGCTGGGCCCCTCGGGGCAGAACCTGGCTGAGATTCCATTTCTCTTCATACCTGATGAGTGGTTTTGCATCATGTCCCAATGCCCTTCCTAACACCACCCCCCTCACATGGCCAGTGCCTCCTGGTTTTGCACCTCAGATCTCTCTCCCTCTACCAGCCAAAGTTAATAGCTTTGCTTACAGAATGACCCTCATCTGAAGACTTGTAGAATCTTTGTAGAGTTAGCCAAGAGAAAAACACCTTTCCTGCAAGGTCAAGAAAAGGCCCAAATCACTGTTTTATTAGAAATGAGATGTGGTGCCTGGGAATGAGAGGAAGTAATGTTACCAAAAAGAGAGAAGAGGAAGCTACATAGGGAGCACAGTGGAACCTCTCCTGCAAAGACAACTCTGTTGTCCCCAGCCAACTCTGCCTTTTCTTCATGATTATATTCAAAAACAACTTTGCAAATTTTCCCTAAAAAAAAAGGGGAGAAGAAACTGATTTCAGAGGCACTCGAAGGCACTTTCCTTACAGCTGTGGAATCTGTGCCTCTGAATATAAATAGCTCTGGCTGATAGGAAGTGGGCTGAAACCGTCATCAAGCAGGGAAAATAGCATCCCAAAGGATTCTCAGACCAGGTTCTGCCTCCCATCTTCTATGGACTACTCATCAACCCCCCTCGCTTTCTGCCATTCTCCATGCTTACCCCTAAAATGGAAGCCCCAGTAACGCATTTGTAAAGAATTTTGCTTAATCCCATCCACAGAACCCAATATAGTTGTCCATTTCCACCTTGTCCTCTGACGACAGCCATTCTGAGAATAAGACAAGCCTCAGTCTGGGCATGAGGAGACACCAGCAGATGAACACCAAGCACTGGCTGAATACAAAATGCCTCATAATGGAATTGCAGCCCTAAGTCTAAAATTGAAATTTGTATTTTGCTAAAAATGGGATATTAGCATGTGATTCGTTATTAATTAAAGAAAAAGCATGTATTCACATTTGCTAATTATTTTACTCACTTATGGCAAAAAAAAGAGCTTTAAACCCTATAATCTGGTCACCAATTAGTCTTTGATTTACCCTCATGTACTTGGAGGATTTTTTTAATATTAAAAAAGGCTTGCAGCTGAAAATTTACATTTAAAAAGTAATTAATGCCAATTCAGTGAAGAAATCCTCAGTTTCCTATAGAATTGTATTGAACTTCAAGTCCTTTATAAGGCCAGCAAAAAATGATCACCAGTAAGAGGTGTTTCATTGGTGCTCTGCTGGACATAATGCACACAGTGCCTTACTCAAGGTAGACTGATATCAGACCCCTTCGCTCTTCATACCTATGGGCATTGTTACTCAGAAGACACAATTTGACTAACAGTTACGTGTGAAGTTCTATTTCTTTTTGTTCCAACTGAGTGCCTCTTAGGCATAGACCAGTTCTGCTGCAGAGAAACCCAGGACCAAGATAGCGGATTCAGACAGAACCACTCATCTCCTAGGCCAGCTGAATTCCCCCCTCCCCCATCTCCTTTCTCCCCTCCCAGGTTTCCTGAGACCTCATATACCTATTTATTTTCTTAGTGTGAAAAACTTACCATCTCATCCATCATTTTCTTCCTGCACCCTCCAAAACGAGAGGCCCTCTTCAGCGTAGGAGGGTGTGGTGACCAGAAGCAGCTGCTATCCATAGAGGAGTAGCCTAGCTTGCAATTATCATTCTGCTGTCATAAGAGCCACAAGTGTTAGAAATTAACCTCTGCAAGGTTTTCTGAGCCAGATAAAAGAGGATATTTGGCAGTCTTTTTACTATTGGACCAAGGAGATGTTTCATTTTTTCTTTTGAATAGACTCCTTCTGGCTTTTGTGTTGGCATAAACTTGAGCAAAATGCAATTTACTGAATGTTTCCCTTAAAAGAAAAGTAAGTGGGGCTATAGTATGTCCTGGTGTTTCCAGAGAGTGCAAGCCATATCAGTGATTCTCAACCTTTCATTCTATCACTGCCATTCAGATGTAAACACTCTGTCCTTTATAGTTCTCCTTAAACCAGTGATCCCAACTGGGGGTGAGGGGACAAGTTGAGGGATGGGAATCACTAGTGCCTGCAATATGTAATATATTCAAAAAAAAAATGACATCTACAACAGAGAGGGTCCATATGATTTTTGTCAGTATCAAAAGACCAATATTAATAAAATTATTTTATTTGACCATTTCTTTTTTAAATTTTTTTAGAGATAGGGTCTCGCTGTGTTGCCCAAACTGGAATGCAGTGCCGATTCACAGGTGCAACCTCACTACTAATCAGCACACTTTTGACCTGCTCCATTTCCCACCTGGGCCAGTTCACCCCTCCTCGGGGAACCTGGTGGTCCCCAGCTCATGGGAGATCAACATATTGTTGCCAAACTTAGTGCAGACACCCAATCAGCATAGCACACCACAATCCAGAACTCCTGGACTCAAGCAACCCTCCTGTCTCAGCCTCCCAAGTAGCTGGGACTACAAGCACACACCACCATGCCTAGTGACCACTGTTTCTGATATCCCCAATTTACTACAGGTTTAGTGCAGTGCTCCATGACAAGGCTTTGGGCCATGCATGTATGCATGTATATGCCATTTCCATTTATTAAACAGTAACTCTGTGCCAGGCATTTTGCATACATTATCTCCTATATGCCTGAAAAGGACAATCTTATGACCATTGTATTGATAAGAAATCTCACATTCAAAGAAACTCTTTGGACCAATGTCATTAGCTAATGAGTGACAGAGCTCAAATTCAAACCAATTCTATCAAACTCCGGATACTACATTACATAGAGACTTGCAAGTAGGATGTATTCAGAGTTACAAAGTTTACATCTGGAATTGGAGCATGTGGCCAGTAGCCTCTGTATAAATTCTTTATATTTAAGAAATCTGAATGCCTAAGCTATCACACATCATCCAAAGACATCAGAAATATAAAGGATTCAGATGTTCCTTCTGGCATCTTCATCTGGCAGCTGTTTGCTTGGTACCTTGATGGATAGCCAAGCCCTGGGGAGTGGAAGGGGCAGGCTTTATGGGACATGAAAGGACTATTACTAGCAACTGGACAACAGTTCTCCTCTGTGCCCATCTTTGTCTCCCCAGCTCACAGAAGCTTGAGTTTTAGGAAAGGTCCACCCCTGGCCTGGCTCCCCATGCTGCTGTGCCTGCACTGGCCAGGCTGAGAGGCATTACAGTGGCCTCCACTCCATCAGCTCTTAGTGGCCTCCAATCAAAGCATAGGTTCCAGACCTGAGATCTGAAGAGTCTTTATCATTGTTAGGTTCCCATATTGCCCTCCCAACAAGTGTCTTTGAAATCCAACAGTCTCAGGATGTGCAGAGTCTATGATGAGCCCTGGGCATCCAGATATTTCCATTTTATAGTCCTGTAAGCCCCTCCCACATTGACCCTGTTGATAAGACAGATCTTCCTCAGTAATTTCCTCTGTCAAGTCTAGTCCACACCAGCTTCCCAGGCTAGGTCTGGAGACACCTGCTCGATATCCTGGTATGATAGGGGTCCCAGTGGCCCACCTTGCTCCACCAGCCTTCTTTGCCAGAAGCTGGAGCTTTTTTCTGGTGCTCAGGGTAGCTGGAACCTTGCCATGTGTGAACAGACCCTCCAGCCCCCATCTCCCACTTGGCTAATATGTGTCCAGCCTTTGCACCTCAGGGCTCTGCCTCTAGGATTGAGCTAACCCAGACCCACTAGTTGTTGCATAACAACAGACACTGTCCTTGGATAAGCCAGCAGCTCTTTTTAGGTGGCCCTGCTAATCCCCCATTCCCAGCCTAAATGAAAGGTTCCCTCCTAGGGCCAGCTCACTCCCAACCCTCAGGCTGTGAGTTGCTATCCAAACTGCCCCAAACACTTGGCTTCAGAGCTTGTCCAATTTACAACAGTTTCCATCTGGGGACAGGATTTGGTGCCCCTACCCTACTTGAGCTGCCTTTTCCCCTCACTGCCACCAAAACAAATAAAGGAAATGGCTATTTTCCTCTCTTTAGGAAGCCTGTTGTACACCAAATAGCCCATTACTAATTAGAGCTATTCAAAGTGACCCTGGAACCAGGTCAGCTTCACCGAGTCACTCTAGTTGAATATTGGATAGGCTTCTAATCTAAATACTTGGGAAATATTTTGAAATATCCAAGTAATGGCCAATTTCTTAATGATTTCATTTCAGTGATTGTCACCATGTAAACCCAGCAAGAAGCTCAGCCAAGAGGACTCAGGTGTGAAGGTCCTACAAGGGTCTCCTCAAGCCTCAGGACCCTGTGCCCAGGCTGGTAATGTAGAAAGAACAGGAGGGCATCTACCCAGCCTAATCCAGGACACACAGATAGGAGCAGCACCAGCAGCAGCACAGCTTTTGCCTCTAAGAGAAACATGCACTATGGAAATAACATTATTTCTCTAGCCATTCCATCGTCTGCTAGAATAAAAACCAGTGCAGCACGACGCACCACCAAAAGTAGATTTTTCAACCTCTGTAAGCCTCACAGACAGGAACCTGATTGCTTAGGCTGGCTTCCAGATATATGCAGTGGCACCTAATTCTAATAGCCTCCTTCCCAAGGCGGAGGCTGCCTCCCACACAGCCAAGCTAATAAGTGATACTAGCAGTAGTGTTAACTATGTCACTTTGTTAATTGCTCAATCTAAATTAGTCAGATATTCTGAAATTTCTCTTGTTTTTCCAAAGGCTCCTGTTAGAGCAGACTTAAAAGAATCAGGGTCTCTCTTAATGAGGGCAATAACAATATTCCGTTTTAATGTGTGGCCCTACCACCTACTAACTCAAAAGTTTACCATGTCCACACAGGCAAAAGGAGTACAGGGCCAAGCAATTGCCCGTAAATATAATCACTATAGATATTTAACCTAGTTCAACCAGGCCTAAGGAATATTTTTCTGCAAATAGCAATTTAAAATCTGAATTATATTCATAATGACCTTGGCTCTCAATGCTTTCCTTGTTTCATTATATCTCAGCACCCCAGAATGAAAATGCCAGAGAACCATAATGCTTCTTTTTAAAAGTCCCTTTGCTGCTTGTGTGCCAGCCAAAATCATATCTCCTGGAAAATTTCTTTTCCCAAAAGTGTGGCAAAAGAAAAAGATAGGCCATCTTTCTTTAAATCTGGAAGGCTACCCCTGACTTTTTCTTTTGCCTGAGATGGGGTTTAAGAGTAAGCAAAACAGGTGACCCTTCATTCAATGTGATGTGAAGGAGGCCAAGCAAGAGCTCCCAACCAAAACATCACTTCCCTTCATTTAATTTGATCCTGAAATTATATAATTACTGCTTTTATGTTATGAAGGTGTTTCAGTTTCCTAGGGATAGAACATAAGAGGAAAAAGCCTAGGGTGGGAATCAAAAGACCTTGATTGAAGTCTC
The DNA here is from genome assembly GCF_000001405.40 of Homo sapiens. NCBI lineage: Eukaryota > Metazoa > Chordata > Mammalia > Primates > Hominidae > Homo > Homo sapiens. The sequence continues at coordinate 53,255,165 of NC_000013.11, read as the reverse complement.
ATCTCTGTCATTTACCAGCTGTGTGACAGTGGCAGGTTGCTTCACTACACTGAGCTCTAATTTCTCACATGCAAATTGCAATAGTACTAACCGCATGTTAATGCTGTTGCAAGTGGTAGCTGAAATCGCATTTATAAAATTCTTAACTAAGTTCATGGAATTTGCTAAGCAACCTATGAATGTTAACTCTTTTGTTTTTGATTATGATGTCAATATTATTATTATGAATATTACATATTAACATTACAAATAAGGGTAAGAAAGTAATCTTTGTTAACTCAAAGAGGAGATTAAGAATAAGGGATAGGGTTAAACAGATGTATACTTATCCCCAAATTCATCGAGTTGTATACATTATATATGTACAGCTTTTTACTTGCCCATCATCCTTCAATGAAGTGGTTTAAAAAAAAAAAAAAAAAAAAATACGGTCTTACAGGTCCAGGACCATGGACAGCTACCTTGCACCTTGGTTGGCAGACGGGACAGGTCCGGAGAAGGAAGAGTACTATCTGCAGATATTTCCCACCTCTAAAGCTTTGCTCAAGGCCTAAACTTTCTGGATCATTTCTGGGACAGGGTTGAGTTTTTTCTGCCCTAGGTCCTCTTTTTATCCACTTTCATCTTCCTGTGGCCTCCTTCAGTAACAACAACACAATCAACAGAGGGGAGGCCCTGGTGAACAGAGAATCAGAGATCCGGAGGCAGTGGAAGAAGCAGTAACCTAGCGAGTGGTGCACCAGGGAAAGCAGAGGAAAGCACGACAGCTTTTGAGGAGCTTGTGGGGCCCCATAGCAGAGAGCTGCAGGTGGAAAGTCAAAGGTGTGCCTCAGCCCCCCTCAGGCTGTAAATCAACAATGTATATCTTGGGTGCTGACCTTCTCCCACCAATACTCTCTCATTATGGTCAATTTAGAGAAAAGAAACCCAGTGGCAAACAGGGAACAACGTAGGTTTAAAAATTCCAGATTCCATTCACTTCACTAAGTACCCTCTTCTAATGCTCATGTTATATTTTAAATATAGTGTTTATTATTAGCTATACACTAGGGTCAAATGGTAAAGATACAGGAAAACGTCATACATAAAGACACACCAGAAAAAGCAATTACAATGCAGTGTTTAAATACTCTATAAAAGTGGCAAAAGCTGCTTGGGAGCGTAAAGAAGAGACAATCCAAAAAGTCCAGGAAGATGCCCCAGTAAAAGTGATGTTTCAGCCAGCATCTAAATGATAGGTAAAAGACAGCAGGAAAAGAGGGAAGTTGAGAATGTTGTGGCAGGCAGATAGACCATATATGCCAAGGACCAATAAAGGTTCTTCTTGTCAGAACTAAGAGAATTTTCTTATTCAAAGGCAGAGAAATAGGTCTGAAGAAATCATAAAGACTGTGTGATATAGGGCCTATAAAACAGAAGTATGGCATTGCCTTGAGAGTCTACAGAAAATAAATCAGAAAGCAATTCCTGTGTATCAATCAGAAGAGTCTAGGTTTTGCAGTAATAACAAATAATCCCAAAATCTCAACAGCTTGGCACAACAAAAGTTCACTTCTTACTTCTACTAAATGCCCAACATGAAGTTACATATACAATATGAGTTGGAAAGGTGGCTTTGCCCATTAAGATCACTTCAGGGACTCAGGCTGACAATAGCTCCATCTCTAAAAATCTTCCAGAGTGACCTAGGTGGGGAGAACAGAATACAACCATTCAGACCAGATTCTTAGAGCTTCTGCCTGAAAGTGACACATAATTCCTTTCACTCACATTCTCTGGCCAAAGCAAATCATCTAATGTCAAGAGAGCAGCAAAAGGGGGCAGGAAGGAAAAAGAACCAGAAATATGCAGTGAATTGCACTAATGATATCAATGCCCCCTTCCTCCTTCCTCATGGTTAATTATAAACTTATGTTTATAAGTAAGTAAACATGTTTAAATGTTTAAATGTAAGTAATTAGTGCTCCCTTACATTGGGCATACCAAATAGTTCTTGTCAACTTATTCTCACAGATTTACTTGAACCACAAGCTGCCTCTGTTGAGACAGCAAGTATTACTGTGCCCCTTTGATTAACAAGGAAAATGAAGAGAAAAGAGATGGAAGAATCCTTGCCAGTATCATTCAGAAGTGGAATAGAAGGAAACTCCTTGGCCTCTACCTGTTGATTTACCCATTTCAATCCTATCTCACCACTACCTAGAAGAAGTAAACAGAACCAAATAAAGCAAATTCCTGCAGAAACCAGAGATGCCTGTTTTTCCTGGGTCCCAGCAATGACGAAGGTAACTAGAGCAAGCCATCCTGTTCTCTTCCTTTGTGCTAGGCAAATATTAAATCCCTGGGTCTGAACCATGCTAATGAGATGAAGTTCTACAGTGCCACTGGGAAAGTTCTGAGTCCTCCAGGAATGAATGCGGTTAGAAAAGTTGATTCTTTGTAGGTTCACAACTCTGAAAGTAATTCACTGGAGTTTTCCTGTCTGCTTATAATTGCAAAGTCTGAAATGGAAGCATTTGCAAGGATAACTAAACCACACCAATATGATTCCCTAAAGGTAGCACTTTGCTAGTGAATGTTATAGGCTAACTAAGCTAGCTGATTGGAGGACTGAAATATCTTCCAGACAATTCAAGAAAACTCAAAGAACATCAATTTCAATGGCTTGGTTGTATGATGGGGCTTATAGGCCCAGTGCAGATAATGGACTTCATGCTTCACAAGTTAGTGACTACCAAAGCATTTTCTGAGCCTTTTTTTCACTTCTTTGATCACAGATCCTCTTTGTGGGAAAGCAAGTCCAAATACCATAAAGGAAGGATATGCAGTAACATAATATAAAATATCTTATATTGTAGAATGGGCCACTTTCTTTCAAGCACCAGGGTTTGTTCTCATCATCCTAACAATTATTACTCCAAACTATTAAAATCCTGCTGCAGTAATGATTAGCTTTAAATAACAAAAAAAAAAAAGTACAAGTAACCCAAAAGTCTATGTGGTTTGGTAGGCACATAGACTTTCAAATATGTGAGTGGGCATGTGAAATGTTAGAAAAGGAAATAGATACATGGTTTTCCCAGGAACAAATGAAGCTGTGGAAAATGCCACAATCTCCTCTCCTTTTTGCTTTTTGCATAGATTTCAGATTCTAAATCCAAATAAAATCTAGCAATGTTTCCTAAATAAAACAGAAATCAGAAGCTTAGCCTAGACTTAAACACTGACTGAGGTTTCCATATACTGACTGACCCTGAACTCAGTGTGTGACTCAAATTTTTAAAAAAGAAAAAGAAGGAAAAATGTACTCAGCCGGTGGCCTGCACTCTGAAATCTCATGGGTGACTTGGAGCAGTCTTCATTTCCTGCTTTCTTCTGAGGGTGATTTAGCCTTAGCTATTTCTGAAGGCTTGGGAACAGAGATAAAGATTATCTCTCTTCCTGCCCATTTCTCCATCAGTTCTGAGCTATATATCTGGGGTCCAAGACATATATGTCCTCGTCCTGGATATTGAATTCTGTGCTCACCTTGTATATCACTCACTTGCTGCATTTCCTTACCATCGTTTCTTTCTTTCTTCCTTCCTTTCCTTCTCCCCCACCCCACTCCTTTTGAGAGAGGCTGCCAGGCCATTTTAGAGCATAAAGATGAAAATGAATCTAACTTCAGTATGTAGGCCACTCTCTTTGGAATATTTAAATGAGATAAATGATCCTGGTCTGAGCACCAGTTCCCTGAAATATTGCAGTGCCAAGAGCCATGTAGAGCTGTCACTCTGAAGAATGACTTCCAAGCCACCATCCTGCTGTCCTGCAGTCCTTCCACCCCCAGCACCCTCACACCAATGTGTATTTCCTGCAGGAGGTGGGAAGGCAAGCCCATTCATACTGCTTGGGGCCAAAATCAACTAAGAAACAGGTATTCCCTTAGAACAAGCTAGCACACACTTACCCACACAAACCCAAGGTTTGAAGTGAGGAACTGAAACTGCAGTAGTGTCTTCCACAAAATGGATGCGGATTTGTATTCATTGCAAATGTCTCCAATAGCCAGCAAAGCTGTGAGGATGCATGATCCCTCTAAATTGGACTATTGTATTCAAGCTGTCATTTTTCATTTTTAAAATCCAGGTCCCTTAAGTAATCAGTAACCTTGTAAAAAAACTGAACACTGAAGCACAGGTCTGCTGAAAGTCCTCTGAGAAACTAGAAAACTTGGTGAAAATATATAAACATCAGTGCCCACACTGCACCCCTCCGCCTCCTCCAGTGTTCCTCATCCTTTCCTTCTGTCTTCACTTTGAATGTTTCACAAAGTTGAGACAGGTTTAGGTTATCACTCAAATGCTGTGACTCGAACTCGGGGAAATTGTTCCTGTAATGGAGTTCTCAATTTATTGGTCAATTTCACCTTGATTTTGTGTCACTGTTAGCTTTGCTAGCCCTTCAGCTTGTATTACATGCTCGAAAAATGTGAAACATTTTCAAATATTTTAAATATCACAGATAATTTTATTCAGCTCATAATCTCCTTCTGGAAAGATAAATAAAAATAATTAAAAAAAAAAAAGGAGATTCTTCGCCTCTGTACTTGACTTTTCATAAATAGCTAAAATCTGCCACCTTCTGGATTTTCCAGGATAGCTACCACATAAAGTAGCCTCCTATTCTTTATCACTTGCCCAGATAGTCTTTAACTATGCAGTGACACTGCCATCTAGTGGGCATTTTCTAGACTATTAATTCAGCAGAAATGTATAAAAGAACGTGGTTTTTTTGAGGAAGCAAATATTCATTTAGATCAATGTACTCGAATTACAATGACCAAAAGAAAACAAACTTTATAAAGTTTATTGAGAGTTGAATCTAAAAGTCAGAATTTATAAAATACATTTTCAGCATGGAAATAAGAAGATATTTATGGTCAAATTAATACAGCCTCATGAAAAATGCATTTTTACTTCAAATGACAATAAAGAATACCCTCATTAGAACCATGGTAACTTCATTCTCCACCTAAAAAAGATGGAGAAATTGAGCTATTTTTCAGTGTTTTTACTTTGTCAGAGAAATAGATTAAATCATATGAGTGGTTTAAACTCAGTTCTTATGTTGCAATGAAAATAAGATCAATACTTTTTTTTAAAACAATTTCTAGGCACTGCACTTTAGACCCATTCTTGAATTTCTTCCGTGCCTTTAGGAGAAACCATTTCAAAGAGCATCAGAGGCCAGCAATGTCTGACTTACTGGTCATTACCCAGTTTCATCCCCAGGAATCAGGTCACAGTGAGAGCAGAATGTAGGATCAGATGGGACCCCTATTTGTGATGTTTCAAGGATGTAATTTCATTGCTTTCTCCTCTCATATGTTTTGAAATCTCCTGGGAGTCCTCCTTTGGTAAGATGAAAAGGTTTCAGGGGATCTTTGCCCCCCATGTCAGAAACTGTGACTGCAGCTGTGCACTCTGGTTTGGTGAGTTGTCAGGAATTTAACAAACTATCTCGGCTGCTGTAAATCTACTTTGCGCTTGAAACACAGTAAAGCATTTACTGTATATTCACAATCTGGCACCAAATTTAGTTTCAGAAAATCAAAATCAATTTAAAGTTTTTACTGACAGAGAGAAATAAGCACACCATCCTCATCCTTCTTCATGTCTTCTTTCCCATATATGGGAGGGCATCTGCCTGGCCTCGTCTTTTCACATGCTGCAGCCCTAAACAATTCCCTGGAGCCTTTGTTCTTCATGGTGGTCACATGATGCCAGCCTGGGAGCACTGACTGGCTCAACTCTGTGGAAGTACAGGTAGCCTCAGGTCACTTGTCAACCCCATCAACATGGTCACAGAGAAACCTTCACCCTGGTGCCATCTCATCTCTCCTTCTTTAGCTGTTAGTTGGTTTGCTGTTTGTGGAGAAGGGGTTAGGGTTAAACACATAAAATAAGTTGAGTTGACCACCCAGGAAAAGAAACACTGCATTGAAGCCAGCCCCAAACCTCACAGTATTTTAAAATTTGGAAACACAAGCAGCAGAAGCTTGATCTGGCTGAACTCCCAAGCCATTTGGGAATCAGAGGTAAGGATTTCAGTAATGCTTCTGCTCAGGGTATTATTAGCAACACCATCTCTAGGCAGATATTGATCACAGAGGAACTACTACATGTTTTAATTCCTCTCTCCTTTCTCTCCCCCAACTGCAGGTGACCTGCCCGCATAGCCCATTTTCAGGTCTGCTTTGACGGGGGATGAAAACACACGCAGATTGGGGTGAGGGGCTGAGAAGGGGATGCTGTGGCTAGACAAGCAGCTCCAGGGCTTTGGTGACATTTTGACTGCACATAGATGAGACTTAGATTTTGAGTTTCTGCCTGTTAGTGCCCTCCATGAGATGACCCTAGCTTTGTGATCTCTGGGGCCGTAAGCATTGTCCTCACAAAACTCCGTATCTCATCACCAGCCCCCTTCAAAGGGAAAAATAAAGTAGAGGTCAGGAAGATTATTTGCACTGGCTAACCGTGGGTGCTACTCTAGCTCTCAGCTGTTGGGTAACTTAGGTATTGTAACATGTTAGGGACCCAAGATGGAGGCATGAGTAGGTTCTTTGGACAAGGTATCACAACAGCAGCTACCCACAGTGGGCTAGGCTGGTGGCAAGAAGAGTTGGGGGGTCAGAAGATGCTTTTCCTGGAGATTAGGCCTCAGAGTGAGGGTTGTCCATTTCTAATTTATTACAAAAGTATATCCCGATAATTCTTCTATGCCAAACAGTGCTAAACACCAAGGATTCAAAATGTCTCCTGGATTCAAAGGGCTCTCAGGCTAGAAGGAGAATCAACACTTTTATAACTAACTGTACAACAAATTGGCAAGTGGAAAGAACAAAGAAGTATGGGAGTGAAAAGGATGGAGTAACTAACTTTTCTGGAAAGAGTCAGAGAAAATATCACAGAGAAGGTGTCATCAATAAGGCCTTGAATTTTAAAAAGGGAGGGATGGAGGTGCTAACAACTCAGGAAAAGTACATGTGCAAAGGCAGAGAGGCCAGGGCACTCATGCAGGTCTGGAGAGCTGAGGCAGAAGAAGCCTGAGTTGATGTGATGGGTGAGGCCTGCAGAAACCAGTGGTCCCTCTCAGCTAGAAACTAAATATCTTACAAAAAAGTGTGGCAATAGGGAGCTGGCAGAATTCTTCAAGCAGGAAAGTATATTTGAGATTAACTTTGGCAGTAGTAATGAGAAAGGCTTGGAGTGTGTATTAGTCCATTTTCACGCTGCTGATGAAGACATGCCAGAGACTGGGCAATTTACAAAAGAAAGAAGTTTAATGGACTTACAGTTCCACATGGCTGAGGAAGCCTCATAATCATGGCGGAAGGCAAGGAGGAGCATGTCACGTCTTACATGGATGGCAGCAGGCAAAGAGAGAGAGCATATGCAGGGAAACTCCAATTTTTAAAACCATCAGATCTCGTGAGACTTATTCACTATCACGAGAACAGCACAGGAAAGATCCACTGCCATGATTCAATTATCTCCCACTAGTCCCACCCACAATGCACAGTAATTATGGGAGCTACAAGATGAGATTTGGGTGGGGACAGAGAGCCAAACCATATCAGAGTGACAAGCTGGGGGCCAGTAGACCAGTAAGAGGCTATTCCAATGGTCCAGGTGAGAAATGATAAGATCTTTAACCTTAGACAAAGAATTAGAAATAGTGAATAAAAGAGAGTTTTAGGAGCAAAGTCCAAAGCAAAATCGAAAAAATCTTATTGGAGATGAAAGTTAAGGGCAAGATGGTTAACTTACATAAAACTAGGGGGTGATGGTGCCATACCTTCAGAGAGAGAGAACAGTTTTGGGTTCACGTAATAATGAATTTGGGTTCAGAGGTGCTGCACTGATGGAGCTTTGGGGATGTCTGGCAGGCAACTGCAATTACAACTCTGAAGATCCTGTGAGAGGCTTATAGCACAGATTTGATCCCATAAAAGCCTGAGCTCCATAACTGTTTTGTTCACCAGCACATCCCAAGCCTAGAACAGTGCTGGGCACCTATTAGAAGCTCAATGAGTATCTGTTGAACAAATGAATGAATCTGATGATCATAAGCCTGTGGGAGACAGCAGAACGTACTGGAGGTGGGTAGGATTTCTCAGAGAGTGGAGAGCCAGGGTTTGGTGAACCCGTGATTGCCCAAGGCATCAACTTGACTGGATTGAGGCATGGCTGGATGGCTGGTAAAGTATTGTTTCTGGATGTGTCTATGAGGGTGTTGCCAGAGGAGACTGACATTTGCGTCAGTGGACTGGGAGAGGAAGACCCACCCTCAGTGAGAGTGTACCATCCCACAGGCTGCCAGCATACCAGAACAAAGCAGGCAGAAGAAAGGGGATAAGCGACTTACTGAGTCTGCTTGCACTCTCTCTCCCTGTGTCAGACTCTTGCTTCCTCTCCTCCTGCCCTTGGACATCAGACTCCAGGTTCTTTGGCCTTGAGACTCTGGGACTTACACCAGTGCCCTCCAGGGAGCTCTCAGGCCTTCGACCTCAGACTGAAGGCTGCACGATTGGCTTCCCTGGCTTCAAGGCTTTTAGACTTGGACTGAGTCACACTACCAGCTTCTCTCCTTCCCCAGCTTGCAGATGGCCTATTGTGGGACTTCACCTTGTAATCCTGTGAGCCAATTCTTCCTAATCAACTCTCTTTTATATGTCCTATTTGTTCTGTCCCTCTGGAGAACCCTGGCTAATACAGTGGAATTGAGGAGGACATCATAAAAGTCTAGAGGACACTTTTAAGAAGTTTGCTGTGAAGAAGAGGAGAGAGAAAGGATGGTAGCTCATAGTTTCTTTAAGATGGGCACAATTGCAGAGTGTCCTAGCTGACAACAGAATTTCATTCAGATATTTCATATGAAGAGACTTGATGATGAGGTGGTTTTTAGTGATCTGGACACAGTTAATAGGACCATAACAAGTGGCATGGCACTGATGCCATAACAACATCAGAGACCGATGGCAGTAGGAAGCCCTTATTATCCCTTGGTCCGAAGGGGCAATGGCAGGAAATAGTGTTACCAGTGCCCAATGAGAGATGATAACTTGAAGCAAAACCTTCAGGCAGAAGCTGTGGTTGCAGAGGGATAAAGCCATTGCCAGACCATGATGTCAAAACAGGGAGTCAGTAGGAAAGAAAACTCCTGACCTATCTCTTCTAACTTCTGATCTCTTGCCCATGCCTCCCATTAACAGAACCAAACTGGAAACCAAAGGGCAAGAGAGTGAGGCAATGCATTGTTGGGAACCCCATCTCCTGGAGCACAGAGCAGGGTGGAGAAGGGACAAAAAGTGATCTGGTGGGGTGGGGCAAATGGAGAATTGGAAACACATTGACCCAAGTAAAACAGCATAAAAATAGTGGAAAGCTTGCAGATGCAAACATGAGTGGAGCTAATTGCTGGAGTTAGGGGACCTGACTATGAGATGGCAGAATATAGGCTTAAAAGAACTAGTATTTCAAGACAAGTAGATTTTGATGACACCAAGCCATTCGATGACCCTGAGTGCCCCCTCTCTAGGTGCCAGAAATAAGTGCTACATTAAGATCTCCCTTCCTGTCTTCCAGGATGACACTGATGCTGTGAGTTTCAGGGACTTGGTTCAGCTGGCTCATTCCAGAGCCACCTCTGGGCATATCCTAAGGATCTCTCTTTCCTCCTGATACCACCACCACCTGCTATCTCTCCAGAGGCCGCAGATACTGAAGCTTTCTAGTGAGACATGAAGCAGAGCCCTCCAGAAGCGTCATACCACTGCAGCTCTTAAAGCTGAGTTTTTACCAACACATCCAGCCCAAACAGCTGTCCATGAAACGCAGCCTGCCAGATACAAAAATAGCTTTAGTTGCTTTAGACGCCCTCCCAAGAACACTGGAAAGTCAACTGTAGTTTAAGGATGAAAAACTGGCACTTAGGATTCTTAAGAAACTTGTTCAAGGGTATGCTTTACTATCTGACTCCAGAGCCCATGCTTGGGACACTTTTTTCAGATAACACATATTCACTGACCATCTAGTATGCACCAGGGATAGTTCTAGATGCTGGGAATTGAGAAATAAACAAGGCAGAACCCTCACTCTCCTGGAGCTCACATTCTAGGCGGAGTGGCTGGACAGTGAGTACAAATCCATATGATCATCTTGGATAGCAAGAAAGCCCTCTCCCAGCACCTTGTTGTGCAGCTTTTGGATATTCTCCAAAGCTCAGCTCCAAAAATCCATGATCATAACATAAAACCTTGATTGTTAAGAAGGCAACACACCCACACAGCAGGTCTGTCTGCTGTTTGTGCTGCATCTTCCCACCAAGCACTTGAAATGTGTTAAATAATCATTGCCATCCTACTGCAAGTGCATTTCTCTTTTATTTTAATCCTATTATAGAATTTTTTGATGGCAACCTGCTGTTAGAGTACATCTAACTATGTTAAAGCTCCCCAGGCCCTGAGCATGAAAGAACCTCTTCAGAACACACGCTAGGATAGGTCTACCTTGTTAGCATGGAAATGAAAATAAAAAGCACTGCTTTGGGGCAAGGAGGAGGAGAACGGATGTTCTAACACCAGCGCTTAGGAGGTGATCTCTCCTTGTTCTCTCCTTCGTGCTTCAGGTGGTAGTGGCTTGATGGTGGGAAGGATTCTTTTCTGTATTCTACCCCGTGCCTGGTGCTTGGTGTTTAAGCAGAGATGACAAGTAATATAACTTGCAACTCTTTAGCTAAAGGTCATCTCTGATGCTCTTTTGCTCCAGTTGCTTTTTGGTGCAAGGGAATCAGTAGTCAGCATAACCTACAGGCTCACTGCTGAACTTTGGTGATATTTCACTAACAAAGTGGAAATATATATCATTTCGATATGCAGGCAAACTTCCTCCACCTGCAAATATGCAAGTAGAGAACAGCCCTGGCGTGGCACAAATAACAGCTTCCTAGAGACGACTGAGTTCATATTCCTTAAACAAAGCTATGTTTATGGGTTGCCACAAGAAGTTGTATTCTAATGAATTATTTCACTTTAAAAAATAACAACACAGAGGTAAAGCTTTACTGGCAGTAAAAATTAGAAAATATGTAACACACTCAGACTTCTGAGTGGCAACCTGTATGTCCAGGAGAATATTTAATGGATGCCGTGAATAGTTAATAATCAAAGCTTATTTGGAGAAGACATGCTGGCTCTTGTTTGTGGTGGTAGAGGAGAAGGTGACAATCATTAACCACTCTTCATGTTCTGAAAGGCCAATTCCTGAGAAAACTGTTTATAACAAGTAGGTTCCCCTGTAAGGATAATGACTTACTCTGATCTTTTTGGCCCACAATACATTATTCTGTCTCAATATATATTCGAGAGTCAATATGAAGAGTTGAAATTACTAATAATGCCTTCTGAATGTTGCTCATGAATTCTTTTCTCACTAACAGCCACAGTTGTACCAAGGAGATAGGAGCAGATTATTTTAAAGAGAATTTGGCCAAATTATTTACATGTAAGAGTGTGCTTGTGTGTGTGTCTGTGTGTGTATGACAACTAGATTCCTTGCTGATATGGAAGTGTGACATACAAGTCATCTCCTTAAAAACAGTCTAGGAAATCATATTGAGCGAATCCCTCAACTTGGGGGTGACAGCCAACCAGGCATGAAGCAATCAGAGCAGACCTTGGTTCTACCCATGCATCGCCACAAACATGAGTCCTCTCTCAACCCATGTGAAGCTCTCATTAAATGAATAGAAAGGAGCATCTATTCACTTAATAACAAGCTCTAAGTTCGTTCTGTGGGGATCAGGGATCCTGGGCTAAATGATAGTGATTCATAAAATAAAAAGATGTAGCTCCTGCCTGCAAGGAGCTCAGAGTCTATTAAAAAATATAGGCCAGGTGCGGTGGCTCACGCCTGTAATCCCAGCACTTTGGGAGGCCGAGGCGGGCAGATCATGAGGTCAGGAGATCAAGACCATCCTGGCTAACACGGTGAAACCCCGTCTCTACTAAAAATACAAATAATTAGCCGGGCGTGGTGGCGGGCACCTGTAGTCCCAGCTACTCAGGAGGCTGAGGCAGGAGAATGGCATGAACTCGGGAGGCAGAGCTTGCAGTGAGCCAAGATTGCACCACTGCACTCCAGCCTGGGCGACAGAGCAAGACTCTGTCTCAAAAAAAAAAAAAATAGAATGTATACAAAACTCATAATACTTAATATACATAATACTAGGAAGAAGGCATAACTGTCCTGAGAAGGATATGCATGAGGAGCTAAGGGATTTGAGAGAAGGGAAAACTTGCCATAGCCGGAGGAAACAGGTAGCTCTTCACGGAGGAGGTAGTATATCAATGGTGCTTGAAGGGTAGATAGGACTCAGACATGAACAGTCAAGGAAAAGAGCATACCAGGGGAAGGAAAAACCTAAGTGTCAACTGAAAGGTGAGAGACTGTGGGGGCAGATTCAGAGAATGTTTCAGCTTGTCTGTATCACAGGAGTCATGAACCCTGGTAAAAAGAGACACAGCTAGGAAGGGAGACTGGGGTCAGATCATAATAAGCCATGAACACCAGAATAAGGAATTTGGACCTGATTCTATAGGACTTGGAGCACACTCAAAAATTATTTCAGGGGGAGAGTAGCATGATCAGAGCTTCATCATCAATCAGCTCAACAATATTTTAACCTTAACAGGTAATAGTGGCAGCAAGCTGGCTCCAGAATGCCAAGCTCAGCTGCATAAGGTCAGGCACTGGGTTACATGTGTCTCTCGCACCTGAGCCTGGAGAAATAACTGCTTATTCGGGCTGTCAGTCACCAACTCGCTGGAAGCACCCTCTGTGCAGGGACAAAGATGAACGCTTCTCCCACTTAGTACTTAGCAGCAGGATTTTGCTCTGCTCCACAGCTGTCACCTGAGACCAGGACAAAGGAGAGGCTTAAGAGGATCTGAGAGGGAAGTCTGTGGGCACGCCCATTTTTACTGTATATTTCTGTAAGCTTGGCTGACAATGCTGGTCAATGTTGATTTTTCTGCATGAAATAGAAAAGCAGAACTCTGTTGATTTTATGTTTTATGGCTGATCGATGGGGGGTCAGGATGAGGCACTTGAGAGGTGCTGAGTGGGAGGAACTGTGATGTTTTTGATGACCTCATTTGTGTTGTTTCTTCTTCTGGGAAAGAGGAAGGTCAAGGTGAATCCCTCTTTCAGACACACATGGCTCAGGCAATGTCACCCCTGGGCTGAAAGGCAATGGTGGGGGCGTTTCCAGCCAGACTGAGCAAGGAGAAGTGACATTTAAGGGCTTTTGAAGAAATACTGCACTTTTGGCAAAGAGACCCCAAGCTGCACCTGCGTTTCTGCAGGCTCTTCACTTGCTTTTTATATCCTCACAGTCTGTATCTGGAATTGCTGAAAGGTGGAAAATCTGCACACCCCTTAAGCATTAAGACAGACCGCAAGGGCAGGGCAGAATGTGATGAAAACTCAGGAGACCTGACTCTCCAGTAACCAGGTATGTATAACTCCAGCCCTTACCATGGTGCCTTCAGCCAAGGCTCATAATCTTTATTTCTGCAATACTACCACTAATAATAACTAACAATTATTGAACACCTTCTGTACTGAATGCTTTACATGTATATTATTGCATTTAATCCTCACAATAACCTCAAAGGAAGTTATTATTGTCCTTATTTTAGAGAAGAAATTAAAGTTCTGGCAGGTTAAGTAGCTGGCCCAAGATCACATAAAAATAAGCAACAAAACAGAATTGATCCCAAAATTTCCTGTTCTTAATAATTTGTCATGCTGTCTCCTCTACGTTACTTTGCTTGCCTATGTAATGGGGATAACCAACATAACAATCACAACCAAACTAATTACACAATATGGACAGACAGGCCTTACACACCATGAAAGTCTGGGCAAATATAAGACTTCACTGCTGTAAAGTCCACTCTGCCTCTCTTTTGTTAGGAATTTGTGAGATATAGATGTGAATGTGCCTTCAAAAGCCAAAAAGATAATGCAAATTGTGGTGTTACTGTTGTAAAAAAAATTTTTTTTTGCTATATTATACAGCACATATCAGGAAAGCAGAGAAACAGGAGGGGCTACCTGGGATCCTTGGGAAGCATTTGACTAGGGAAAGAGGTTAAATGGCCTCTTGAGCCAAAGCGAGAGGAAACAGACAGTGCAGAGACACATCTGCTCTATTCGACAGAGCAGGAGACGTGGTCCCTGACACAGCATCGCTCTTCTCTCTTCTGCCGATTTAGGTTTTTTTTCCCATTGTTCTGCTCCCACTTGGTTTGCATGTAAAAGCAGCACAGTATGGACATCATTAAAACTATCATGACTAGAGGCTGAAATGAGACACTGATTGTCCTATTAAGCAACGGATTTCATAAACAAATGCAGTTCATTCTGCCCACAGCCTGACATCGCTGTCTGAGGAGCACTACTGAAAATAATTTATCTGCTAGTGTTCTGTTTAAAGTTTCAGATTCCAAAGGGCCCCACTAAGTCAAGAAGAAATAGGTCGGCAAATGATTTGCTGCAGCCGCACAGTGCTTAGTGAGACCCCTCCCAAATCGCCCCCGCTCCTGCCCCCAGAAAGCCTCCCAGTGTCCCTGTTGCTGTTAAACTGCCATGGCTACAAAGCCACCGGTGCAGCCAACCGAAGCTATGGCCTCCCGAGAACTGACAGATTTGAAAGAAGAAATACTGTGCACTTGCTGGAAGCAAGTTATTTTAATATAATGCCAAGATGACAGCTCTCCACATTTAATCATCAGACTCCTGATTTTTTGCTACGACGTTAGAATTTCTCACAATTTGAGAAAAATGTTTCTTTTCCATCCAGGCCTGACAGTTGCATGTTTGCAAGAAATGTCTGTAAACTCCAATTATTTTTAGTAAAATGTAAATGATTGTCTACATAAGCCCGCTCGTTTCCAACAGCCCTCACCTCCAGCAAAGGGTAGCAGTTGGCCTTGCTTTGGGGAGAGGCCTCTGAAGCTTTGTCACTTTCCTAGTGGTACTAAGTTGCCACTCAGAAGGCTTGCCTCTCTCTTTGTCACCTGTATTATGACCATTTCTTTCTTTAATAGTGTCTGTGATCAGCAGCTGTCAGAGAAGCTGTGCATTTGATTATCTATGCTTAAGTGGGTTGAAGCAGCCTGGCTGGTTCCCAATCATAAGCTCAACTACATCTTCAGGTTTGTCAGCCATTAAAATGGACGTCTGCATAATTCTCTAGTTTGCTAATTCATACAAGGTCCCTTAAGGTAGATCTGTACTATTCTCATACCTGTTTCCTTTTTAACAGATGAGAAGCTGGAATGGAGACTTGTTATAGCTTCATTAAAGATACACAGCACAATAGGACCGCTGCCAGGACCCACACCCGGCGCACAAGCGACTCCATTCATTTCTTTTGGGAAACTTTCGGTAAATGTCTACTCTCTCGAGGCCCTGAGGTTGTAAAAATAAATAAGACATGGGTTCTTCTCTAGAGGAGTTAACAAGGTAATGGAATAGATAGAGAAGAAAATAAATAATTGTCGCACGTTGTGAAAGGCAGGGCAAGCCAGGTAAGCTCAAAGTGTCACGGGGATGTTTCCACGACTGAGCCTGCCTGTGGGTTGGGGAAAGACTAACAGAGATGGTTAGGTAGGGAAGGGAGGGGGACCTCCGCCTGCAGACAGATAGAGCCAGATCTGCACAAGCAAAGGCAGGAGACATGAGGAAGCACAGAGTGTTTGAAGACCACGGCACCCATGGCAAGAAGAGTACAGGTCACTGAATGGAGGAAGCATCTGGAAAGTAAGCTGCAAAGGGAGACTGGGGCCACAGAGATGACATTGGTGGCCTTTTAATTCCTGAGGGTCTAACGCCCATCCCAAAGCAGTCTGGTATAAGTTTTTGCACATCAGCAACACTTCTATCCCTGCCCTCAAGAAAGGGCAGCCCAAAACCTATGGCCCCTCGAGGGAACACCAACCCACTGAGTGAAGTTCCCTCTACCCGCTGTGATAAACCAACCAGGGTGCCTTCCAAAAGACAAAGCAGGTCCTGAAACTAAAGAAATCATTTCTGGCACCTGAGTAAATAGGAGAGAACTTTGCTTTCCTACAGTAACCTAGAGAAACTCAGCCTATTCTTGAACTCCTGTTAAATAATTCCTCACCTGCCCATTCGTGCTCAGCCCACTTCATTTACAGCCTTCTCCACTGGCTTTGGCCTAGCTATACCTTATTAACTGGAATGTGGGTCTCCCAGAGAGAATGAGGCCATCATTAATACCCTTTCCCTGTCACCTGAAAGAGAAGTGTTGATATGCATTCCCCTGGAAGCATGATGAATTGCAGCCTCCACCTTTCTTTGATCTCATTGTCACCTATTTCTGAAGTGCAAAGCTGGGACTTGAGAAGTGGTGCTCCTGCTAATAACAGGAGGCATCTTGCAGATCTGGGTTAACTTCCGGATTGTATCCTGGGTAAATAATGAGTGCTTCTCTGTAGCGCTCTGTGCTCTAAATCGCTACTCTCCAGAAACAACAAGTGAGGGACTTTCGAGTCCTACTGAGGATGCCCCTGGAGATAAGTCACATTCCCTGCTCCATTACCTGCTGTGTTTGCCACTGGGCACCTCGCCCAGCACCACTGACAGCGCTAATGGGATAACTCGTGTAAGCAGCCTTCTCAGAATGCCTGGACAGGCTGCTGCTTTGTAAATGCAAAGTGTTGTTCCCAGCGAGGCAGACGCCTGATTCTTAGCAATGTACAAGATCCGGTTCTGCAGCCACTAGCACTTGTGCTATCTTTGCAACCTCTCTTCCTCCTCTTTCAATGTGCTAAACTGAGATACAAATGATGCTGAAAAGGAACCCAAATTCTTTTACAAACTATACACTCCAAAGGGGAGGAAAAACATCTCTGGAGGTGACTGTATTTATTCTAGCACAGCTCAGTATAACCGCCACCAGACCACCTCACCACAGGTTCCAAATGAAAAATTTTGAGGGCTGTTGAACACACTGCAAGTTTTCAGAGCAGATCCGTGGAAGATTACTTAGCACAGTTGTCTCCGTAATTGTGACACATTAGGGAAGTGTGTGGTGTTCCTTGGCCCTCGGCCTCACGCTTGCCCGGGTGGTAGGACAGCCTGAGGTTAGGATTCTGCACCACAGCCCGTTAACACCAGCAGGGAAACTGCTGCCTGACAACCACATCACAAGCTGGGCTTTGCAGCTTAATCCTGTTTGGTTTAATGGATTTGTTTCCTGAATCAGAGGGTCATGAATAGAAAGAGGATAAAACTGGTGCCACGGTGATGCCTTTGAACTGGCCTGGTGTGCCTATCAACTGGGCGCTTTTTCTCTGATATCCACATATCCAGAGTGCTAAACTACAGAGTGGAGATACCCTCCAGGGTCCTCCTTAGCCTAGAAGCAACTAGATGGTGTCTTCTCCTCCACTTCCACTGCCTCCCACCCCCATGCCCAGCCCCTGCCCCCGATATCATAATTCAATCCAATGCAGTTCCGAGGCAGAAAAGAGATTTAAGACATTTTAACACATGAATTTTTTTCTTTAGATCTTCTTTCAGCTATATGTGATTTTGTGCTTTCTAATTTTACTCAGTGAGGGACACGGCATGGCATAAATAATCATACAAAGTTAACAGAAATCCCAGGCTAACTATGTGCCAGAAAGACACTGAGGACATAACTTATCATTGCTTTTTTACTCTTCATAAAAAGCCTGTGAAATAGCTGTGATTATTATGTCCATTTTGCAGATAAGCCAAAAGAGGCAGGAAGAGGAAATTTTTAAGCAGACATTATTGACTGCAGGATTCTATGTATTATTACAACAATGCCATAATAATGATGTCAGTGGTCGCCAGTCGAAGGACTGAAAATTTCCTTCTGAAGTGGAAGAAAGAAGAAAGAACTCGGATTTCAGAATCTAATCTGGGTTAAAATCCCAACTCCACTACTTGCTAGCTGTTAAGTTTTACACTATTTTCTTAATGCATCTGGACTTCAAGATAATTGCACCTAAGTTTGATTTTTGTAAGAGTCGAATATGGAAAAAATATATGATGGGTTTAGCAAAAAGTAGGCCCTCGATATATGCATCTGCCCCTTCTTTTCTCTGCCTACCCACCTCAGTTCTGCATCTCATGAACCACAATATTATCTGTTTAATTGCCTATGGTAACTCACTGTCACCTTTTAGGTGTTTTATATATCATTAAGATGTATAAATGAAAGTGGTGGGGTAATATATCCACCCTCATCCCTACCCAGAAAGGGCATAAAATAAGGGTGTGAATTACTAAAATGCCTTAGAATGATTATCTGTGCATAAAAAAAATTACAGAGGAAAGCCTTAATTAACCAGACCCCAACAATGAAATCAGTTAGAATTTCTAGCTATGAGACAGAATTATGAAATAATAACAACAAAACAGTCTTCAAATACAGTGAGCTGCATCATTAAGTAATGAGCTCCCTGTCACTGGATATTTTCAAGCAAAGGTTGGACAACTAGCTATGAGAGAGGTTGTGTTAGTCCATTCTTGTGTTGCTATAAATAAATGCCCGGGGGTAATTTATAAAGAAAAGAGGTTTAATTGGCTCGCAGTTCTGCAGGCTGTACAGGAAGGATGGTGCCGGTATCTGCTTGCCTTTACTCATGGTGGAAGGTAAAGCAGGAGTAGGCATGTCACAGAGCAAAAGAGGGAGCAAGAGAGAGAATGGGGAGGCCCCAGACTCTTAAACAACCAGATCTTACATGAACTGACTGAGTGAGAACTCACTGATCACCAAGGGGATGGCACTAAGCCATTCATGATGGATCTGCCCCCATGATTCAATACCTCCCACTAGGCCCACCTCCAACATTGGGGATCACATTTCAACAGGAGGGGACACACATCTAAACCCTATCAGAGATTATAAAGGGAATTAATACATGGGCTAAGGATGCAATGAGATCAGTGATTTTTCAAACTGCTTTTAGCAGCAGAATAAAAATGAGGCAATGGTAGAGCCACTTGGGCCGAAGTGAGGTGAGAAGCTCTGATCCCCCCAAGAAGGCTCTAAGGCATTCTTATGATGTGTTGGGACTCTATGAAACTCTTTATAAAACAACAGACCAAGATGATTTCTAAGATTCTATAATTCTGTAACTCTAATTCCATCAGGAATTAAGCCAAGAAGAAAAACCAACATTTGCATAGTATCTTCCAGTTTTGCAGTCTTCCCATTCATGGACATTATCTTGCAGAGTGTGTTATAATGTGAGTTCAGACTAATATACACTGTGATTTACAGGCCCATACACATGATAGCCCAAATAAGATAAGCACAAAATTGTAACCACAGTGCTATTATGGAGACAAGAAAGAAGGATGCTGGGGGGTTGGGGGAAGGGGTTGGCAATGAGACACAAGAAATACTAGCATCCTTCAACTTCTAACCAGAAAGAGGGACATATTTTCAGGCACTACTCTTTGAGACAAAGGAAATATAGCCTTTAAATTACCTACCAGTTCTGAGGCCTAAATTAGGGAAACAGCCTAGAGGAAAAAAAGATGGAAAGTAGAAGGCTTTTTTTTTGCCGTGAACATCTGCAACTAGAATTTTGCATTGTGCACCCCTTAGGAAAGTGATGACCTAAGGTCTAGTATTATTACTCACAAACCTGTGCAATAATCAATCTGAGTAGCAAAGTGGCAAGAGTTATAGCAATGTGGTTCATGGAAACTTATCATTGAGATGGAGATTTTGTGCAATCACCAACAGATAGACTGAAGTTTTTCTGTGATTTAATAACTTAGCTCTTACTTTTAAAGAGAGCATCTCATTCCTCACAAAACAGGCCTAAGATTATGAGCTGCTTGATCAAAGTTCTTAATTGAAACTTTGTAATCTAGTAAGTTTAAAGAAAAATAAATTCAATACTGTGGAATATTATATACAGGAGGTGTGTGGGTGTGTATGAGTGTGTGTGTATATTTGTGTGTGTGTGTGTGTGTATGTGTAGCAGAATCATTAAAGGGCTGAAGAAACAGGTAAACAGATGATTCTAGAATGAGGTTTTAAGAATTCTTCTCAAGAATCACAGCCCAGAACTGACCACCAAGGAAGCTCCTGCCAGAGCAACTCACTCCTAAATCATGTAGGCTCGGCCATGATCTGTGACAGCAAATAGATGTGTTCCAAATGAAAGTGTCCCATGCATGCATCTGATTAGTGGAACCTCATCATGTACACAGTCCCAGCTGCAAGTGAGCCTAGGAAATGTGTTCGGTTTCCATTATCTTAAGGACAAAGAGACAGTTCTAGGAGGTGGATGGAACAATGCATAGTGTTCTCAACTGAACCATTGCAAAAATACAAAAGATGGGTAATTGGAATTAACAGAAAGTCATACCATGGATTGTATCTCATTTGCTGTATTATGTATGTTTGCTCAAATTTTGATCATAAATTAAATATTTTACTCTAGAATGTAGGTTTATTAGTTCCCATCTTGTCCTTTTGCTGCCCTTATAAGATCCTGAATTGAGAGTCGTTCCAGATGGAGACAGCATGGTGAGTTTGAAAAAATAAGGGCTTTCGAATCAGAGAGCCCAAATCCTGAATCCTAGCTTCAGTACTTACATAACCAAACAACAGTTTGTTATTAAATCTTTTGAAATTTCTATTTCTCTTTCTGTAAAAGCAAACATGCTGCTACCCACCTTTCAAAGTCAGTGTGATCACTAGGCCGGGTACACTGTCTCACACCTGTAATCCCAGCACTTTGGGAGGCTGAGGTGGGTGGATCACTTGAGGTCAGAAGTTCGAGACCAGCCTGGCCAATGTGGTGAAACCCCGTCTCTACTAAAAATACAAAAATTAGCCGGGCATGGTGGCATGCACTATAGTCCCAGCTACTCAGGAGGTTGAGGCTTGAGAGTTGCTTGAACCCAGGAGGCGGAGGTTGCAGTGAACAGAGATCGCTCCACTGTACTCCAGCCTGGGAGACACAGCCAGAGTCCGTCTCCAAAAAAAAAAAAAAAAGTGTGATTACTGAGTGAGATCTTATCAATAGTTTTTAAAACAGCCTGGCACAGAGCAGGTTCTCAATGACTGTTTGCTTGTTTTCTTCCACCCTTGTTTTTATCAGTTAAACAAAGGACTCTTAACTAATAGTCATACAAAAGTTCTGTGGCCGCAAATAAGCCAATCTGGTAAGCAACATCCCTTATGCAGTCCTAATAAAGTCTCCACCAAGCCATCTAACAAAGTCTTAGCCCACAGAAACTCCAGATTAAGGATTTCCTTTTAGAGGGACATTTCTTGTGAGTGGTGATCTGTCTTAGGCAGAACTAAACCTGGTATTCCCCTTGGTTGGAGCCTGCCCCAGAAGAGTTGGCCTCATTTTTCCAAGCTGACGTTAACCTTGATGGCAGTAACAATGGAAGCTGTCAGCTAACTGCAGCCCCTGCAGCTGAAGGGCAAGTTCTTTCTTGAAGGGAAATCCAAGTGTCCCATCTCCATGACTGCCACAACTTAAGAGTAATTGAAAACAAATTATTCACACATATTATAGACAAACACTATCATACTCAAACACTAAGATATAAGAACTGAAGGTTTACTATAATTAAAAGTTGTTAATTTTGTCATCCAATAAATATTATAATGAGTATTCACTCTGTGCCAGGCTCTAGTCTAGTGTCAGGGTTATGACAAAGATTAAGAATGATAAGGTCCCTATTCTTGTGACCTTAACACAGGTTTTTGTGAGGAAGAAGCAGAAAAACAAATAGTGCTATGTCGTAACAAAATTATAGTGGAGTGCTGTGATAAACAGTCGCAATGTGAATACTTTCAATTAGATGATTTTAAATTTGGTGATGGGGGAAGTTCTTCCAAAAGCGGTGATATTTGAATAAGAAAAAGATGCCAACCTTGCAAAATTCTTGGGGAATCTTACTGTAAGCAGAGTTAACAGCTGGCACAAACTGCTAAGGTGAGAATAAGCTTAGAAGAATCTAAAGACTCCCAGATCCAAGCAGGCAAAGGGATTGAAATTAAAACCAAAAATAGCATCTAGACTTTTGGGTTGAGTAATTGGGAAGATGATGGTTCCATTATTGAGATAAGAAGAAATGACAGGTTCAACGGATGAGAATCAAAAATTCTATAAAGATATTAGGTACGATGCCTATTAGATACTCAAAAGCATAAATGATACAAGACATAAAAAGAGTATGGAAGGAGGGTGGGCAAGAGATGGAAAGTTCCTTTGACCTAGTTTTTTTTAACCTGTCCCTTCTTCCTTTTTTCCCTCCTTCCTCATTTTTAATCATGCTTATAGGAAAGGGTTTTGGGTGGGGAATAAAACTCTGGAACCATACACCAAGTAACTCTAGAATACACTCTGATACCGCAAGCAAGAATTATTCCTATAGATACAGGCATCACCAGGAGAGGGGGTAGGTGCTTCGTTGAAGACTTCAAGTCTACTGAGTCTTCCTAAAACTATTCCAGTTCTTCAGAAATTCCATTTCATGGGGGAAAATGTCAGTTACAGAGTTGCTAAACCTTTGGCAGTCACTCATCCTATGAATCCATGAGGCGAAGTTGGTTGGCAGGCTCAAATGTCAGCTTCGGCTTTGTTCTTTGCAGAAAAGTGTAGCAAACCCAGCTCAGAAGACACATCAGCCATATCCCTCCCCACTGTTCCCTGAAGCAGTGTGCTACAAGATTGTCTGCCTAACCCTTGAGATCATGAGGAAGAGATGTGCACGTGTCCCATTAATAGATCACCCTGAACTCATCACTTAGAACATGAAAATCTGCCTGCGAATTGACCAAAGGATATGTTTTTGTGAATAAGAAAAAGATATATGTTATTTTAGGTATTTGGAGAGAGAGAGATATTTGGAGTGTGTAGCATTCCCCGCCTCCTTCTTCTCTTTATGCTCATTTTCATAATGTGAGACTGTATGAATGAAGAGCCCATAATGAAAGCCACTGATGAATGAAGATTGGTGCTTCTAAGGTGCATCATCTCCAAGAAGCTCTGAATTAAATAAACAGGTAGAGCCTTTAAGGAGTAGAAATAAAACATGGATATGTATGGGTTTAAATGATTCATGGGGGAGAAAAATACTGTATTTATTCCACTCTTAAGAGAAAGACTTGACTGGTTTGTTGAAATACATAAGCCCCACTAACATAAAAGAAATCTATTTTTGTGGTTATTTGTAGTCAATTTGAAGTTATTCATAAGACAGATCAATCCAACTGATGACCAGACTTCTCTTTTCAACAGCAATATTCCAGGTTTCTTCTCCAAGATGTGAATTCCTTAAACTCCTGTGTGTTCGGGTTACCCGTGACAGAGCATTATTAATTCTGATCCCTTTACAATTTGGAACTTCAATGAAGTCTTCCCATTTGTCACCTCTTTAACCCAGCACAGATTTGACACCTCTCAGATTAATTTTGGTGATGAATCCGATTTCAAAGAACATTCATCCAAAGTTGAACCTATGCACCTGTTAATGTATTTCACTACTTTTACTAATAGCTTTAGAAGGCTTTTTAATTTATATTTCACTGTATATTAAGATATCCTCCTTCAGTTCGCCTGCCTCTCTGTGAGAACATTTTTCATATTTCAGATAAGGACACCAAACACTAGAACTAAATGGATGAGATCATTTTAAATATTATGCAGATACCCACGCAGGTCAGGTATTTTAATATTTTCTCATCTCTAATTTATTTCTGTACTTATTGAATGTAGCTTCTCATATGTCCTTTTAAGTACCTTTTTAATTTTAATGACATTTTAGAAAATTATTTGAGTATGTTCTGTGTGTAGAAGTTTTAATATAATGGGAAAAGGCCATGGGGGTAATGAAGTAGCAACTATTCTTGTTTGGAGTTTCTAGCACAATATGAACACATAATGCAGCTATCAGTATGTTCACTGACCTTGGACAAATCACTTAACCTCTATGTAAAATGGGTCAGTTGATGCCCATCTCATCAACAACCACCCAACTCTCTCAAGACAAACTTCACAGTCACCATCTATCCTGTGCTCTCCTGAACCGAATCTGTCTCCAACTTCTCCTGCCCCTATAGTTTATTCAGTTCTGTCCCCATCACTGCATCCCTACCAATCACTTTCCTAGCTTAAGCATCTATCATGCCTCATCCTGATGGCCGCAAAGGCTCCTACTTGGTCTTCCTGCCATACCTCTCTTTTAAAATCCACAGGTTCCTCTAAGATCTGATTACACAATTCACCTGACATCAAACAAATGAGGCTACCCTTAGCAGCCTCCTTTCCTACAGAAGAGTCAGTTATGTTCAATAATTGTTTCTTGAATGTTGGAACTTCTCAGCTAGGCAATGAGAGACCTTGCAAAGCTGCTGGCTGGGCCAAAATTGAGAACCAGAAGGATAGGACACGAGGCAGACATTCCCTGACCAAGTATCTGTTTTCATTTCTTCATATGCATTCAGGGATTTTTTGGTCATTGTTGACAAAAACAAGAGGAAGATAATGGTGCATTAATAATGATGCCTGTGTATCAGTGGGAGAGATAAAGTCAGAGAAGACAGTGGAATGGTAAATGTCTTCCCTTTGGGCCTGGAGGATGACTTTAAGTCCTAATAAGGAAAGAGAAGTGTATTCAGGAGAGAATATAAGATTCCAATTTCGAGAAATACAACCTCACAGGACTCTCCCTCTCTCTCTCTCTCTCTCTCTCTCTCTCTGACACACACACACACACACAGGTGAAGGAATAGAGGAGACAGCTTGATCTATCCCCACGACCCCATTTGCAGTCACAGATCTGGTGCCTTAAGAGTTGAAAGAGGCCACCAAAGAAAGTACCCTGGGCTAGGCAGAAAACATTCGGTGGAGGCCACAGTCAGCAGTGGTGAACTCAAGGAAACTCAATGAGGCCACTAGGGTAGAAGACTGAGACTAGTTGATCCTGGGTCTAGGCAAAACAGATGCCTCTTGGGGAAAGGGAAAGTTCCCAGAAATATCTGGGAAAGACTTTGGGCATGGGATACCCTGAAGGATTAGAACTTCTTTGTGAACAACCATCAGAATCAGGACATTAAATGTTAACATAACACCATTACACTCATCAGCAGGTAAGTCCTGGGATTTTCCCATGAGAGGCTCACCTCCCTCTGCACTCTATCACCAGTGTCTCGTGAACAACCTGTATCCCAGGTATCCGGAGCCCTGCGCCCGCATGCTTCTTGGGTGTTTGCCTAGATTAACTGTCCCTTCCTTCTCTGGGTAGAGATAATCTCCTCATCCTGCAAGACTTACCTCCTTTGTCAGCTCCTTGGTTAAGCCCTCTCTCCAGCCATATCATCACCCCTCCCAAATGCACTTCAGGCAGAGTCAATCACTCCCTCTACTGTGCCCCTGGCATTTGATAATGCACACTGCACTTTCAAATTCAGTTCTCAGTTGCTGTTTATGGGGTAATTATCTCACTAGGTTGAAAGGCAAATGCCAGGCTTACTCAGTTTTATGCAGACAGTAACCTGGGGCCTGAACACATGCCCACTCCAGTTCCCTACACCCTTCCTGAACCCACAAGTGTGGGCTAGGCACCTCTCCTCTTGTCAGTCATGCTCTCTGTGGATTCATCACCACTGGAACACTTAGCATACTTGCCTGTCACCTCCACATGACTGTTAGGTCCCCATTGCTCAACAATGGTTGTCATATGATAGGCACTCAATGGTTATTGAATGAAGGAATTCATTGAATGATTAATTGACAGAACAAATTAACAAGATATTTTTTAAAAAAAGAGTATTTGCCATGTTTCTGCTAGGCATGAGTGTCTGTGAGCATTCATAAATGACTTGCAAAGTTCCAATGCAAGAAAGATGATTGTTGAAAATAGACCCCTCTCCTTATTTTTTAGATATAATTCAAATGCCAACTTTGTGGTTTTGTCTGTTTTGTCTGTGTGATCATAAGAAAGTCACATTTCTTTCTGAGGCTCAGCTTCTTTATCTGTAAAGTGAGAAGATACTACTATTAGCTAGAATTTATTGACTACTCACTCTGTAATAGGATGTTGTTAGCCACTTTAGTTGCATTGTCTCATTTAATCCTCAGTAACTCCATGAAGGAGATGCTACATTTTGTATTCCAGAATTTAAATAATCAGCTCCCGGTCACACAGCTAATGAAGCTCTGAACACCCGAGCCTAGGTGTACCTGATGCCAAAATCCAAATGCCCAGTTCTACCCTTACCACCTTTAAAGTGCCTTTCGCTTCCAAAATTCATAAATGTTAAGAAATGTCTGTGGCTTTGAACATCAAGCGCCAGACCAGTTGTAAGTCCCTTTTCTCACCACACAGCTGCATCTCACCCCACAGCTGTGTAAGTTTGTGAAGACAAAGCATCATATTGCATTAAATTTGTAAAACCTCTGTAACACTAGGATCACGTAGGCAACACTAATGATTCTACTGTTTTATTGTGAACACTTTGAAACTATCTGTGCACATCCAAAATGGCTAAACAGGGAATAGTAGGAAGCAACCCAAGTGTCCATCAATGGATGAATGAATACACAAAATGTGGTATATTCATGCAATGGAAAGTTATTCAGCCTTTAAAAGGAAATTCCACCACATGCTACGATGTGGGTAAATCTTAAGAACATTATGCTAAGTGAAATAAATGAGTCACAAAGAGACAAATACTGTGTGATTCTTCATATAGGAGGCATCTAAAGTACTCAAATTCATAGAAAAGGAAAGTAGGGGAAGGAGAATGCAGAATTGTTTAATGGATACAGAGTTTCAGTTTTGCAAGTGAAGAGTTCTGGAGATTGGTTGCACAACAGTGTGAATGTACTTAACACTATTGAATGGTACACTTAAAAATAGTTAAGATGGTAGATGTTCATTGCCATAAGCAATTACCCCCAAAAAACGTTGAGAGAAATAAAAACCACTTCTGAAATTTCAATCATTGACAAATATGTCACAGATGCGTTAGGTCTCAGTTGACAATTGTGAAGGCTGGATACAGGGCGGGGGAGGTTTAATGGGCAGAGAGACTTGCTATTCAGACTCCATGCAGTATGAGTCTGGGTAGGGGCAGGAGCAGCAGGAAGACCTCAGGGAATAGGGACACAATTTTCCCAAGTGTTGTTTGGGTTTATTTTTTTTTTTAAGAGTTGGGGTCTCGCCATGTTGCCCAGGCTACAGTACAGTGGCTGCTCACAAGGCAATCATGACAGTACACTGCAGCCTTGAACTCCTCCCACCTCAGCCTCCCAAGTGGTGGGGACTACAGGGGCACCACCCACTTAAGTGTTGTTGCTGTTGTTTTTAAATCGAGAATAATCAGTCATTTTGATACTATGTACACACAATCTAAAACAATTAATTGATTCAAGAACTAGGTTTTCCTTCTACTTTTCTAGTTTTCTCAGTAAATAATTAGATATGTGATCCTGAGCAAGCCATTTAACCTCTCTAGATGTTTATTTCTTCTAGTAAAATGAGAGGTAGCAGGATTTAATGGCATCTAATTTTCCTCGCAACCATAAAACGCTGATTCCATGCCATTTACAGTTTTCACTCCCCTTCACCAACTAACCAGCCCCACCACAACACATAATATAATTTAACTTATCTTTCCTCCATTCAGTATCTAATATTTTCCTCATGCAAATTATCTCATTAAATTGAAAATATTTTTCTCCATTGCAAAGGGTATTTTTTTAAGAGACACATTCTCTTCATTAATACAACCACACACTTTGTTTCCATTTAAATGATAAAGAAAAAACAACAAATTATCTTCTTGCTCCTATTCCTCTTCCTCAAAACTCACCAGCTGTTTCATTACCCTGAATACTTCCTTCAAGAAAAACAAAGAGTGTGATGAGGTAAAATGTTTTCTTTCTAAATTCTTTTTTAACTTGAAAAGAAATAAATTGTATTAAGACAGATGTTCATTTATGGCAGCTTCTGCTTTAAACATCTTGGAACAGAAAAATAAAATAAACATAAAAAGCCATCTATTTCATAATGATATGATCTAGAAGGCAACAGACTATGGGAATAGGAGAATTGGGTTTTAACTTCTTACTTCCCTACTTTTCCTCTGTTAAAAAAAAATAACCATAATGAGAGCTGGTATTTGGCTACTATGCACAGGTACAGCCATATCTGTTTTTCATGGTTGGCTTCTTTTCTGATTGATTAAGCAGCCTTTCTGATTGGTTCATGTATTAGCCCATTCTCTTATTGCTATAAAGAAATACCTAAGACTGGGTAATTTATAAAGAAGAGAGGTTTAATCGGCTCACAGTTCTGCAGGCTATATACAAAGCATAGCAGCTTCTGCTTTGGGGGAGTCCTCAGGAAGCTTTCTATCATGGCAGAAGGCAAAGGAAAAGTGGGTCTCTTACATGGTGGGTGTAGGTGTAGAAGAGAGAGGAAGGAGGTTCTACACACTTTTAAATGACTGGATCTCATGAGAACTCACTCACTATTGTGAGGACAGTACCAACAGGGATGGTACTAAACCATTCATGAGAAACTGCCCCCATGATCCAATCACCTCCCACCAGGTCCCACTTCCAACCTTGGGGATTACAATTCAACATGAGATTTGGTGGGGACACAGATCCAAACCATGTCGGTTAGGCACCGTTCTGATGGATGAGGCAGCTGTTCTGATTGATTGGCACCCATGCCAAACAGTTGTCAAATATTTTATCATTGCCCAATGCCCATAATTCAACAATAGAAATACTGTGCTTTCTGACCTGTTTATTTGGCCCAAGCATCAGAGTGATACCCCATGAGCAATGGAAATGAAGAGAAGTAGAAAAACTGAAGGGAAGGCTCAAAGGAATTGCTACCGGCATAGTAGCTTATCGCATAAAGATTACTTATCACATACAGATTACATGAATTAAATTTTGAAATTATCATGCTTTGTAAGCTACTATGCATAGAACTCTATTCCTTAGACATGCTTTGCATTAGATTTTAAAATTAACATGCTTTGTTAGCTAATCATAGGACTCTATTCCTCAGACAAATAAACTAAATTAAACAATACCTTGTTATCATTCTGTTTATACTGCAGTTTAATATATTTGAATTAGTACAGGCTGGTTGTCAAAACACCTAAACAGCAGAGTGCTAGGGATAGCATGAATCTCCTCCTGTCAGTGAATTAAGCGTTTAGCCCTTATATTTAAGCATAATTTTCCAAGTCATCAGTGATATTTTTAGAGTCTTAGAGGAGATCATTTATTACCTGAAAATCCAGGTTTATTCACCTTCCATGGATGAATAGTTTGTATTTAGGGAGTAGTATAGATCATTTATCAAAGGATCTGACCAATGTTACCCTCATTTTGTTTGAAAGATTTCTCATGATGGTTAAAACATCAGCTTTTTTTTTGTTTTGTTATTGTTATTGTTCTGTTTTGTTTTTTCAAGACAGGGGTCTCTGTCACCCAGGCTGGAATGCAATGGCACTGCAGCCAAAACCTCTCAGGCTCGAGCAATCCTCCCACCTCAGTCTCCCATGGACCTGGGACAACAGGTGTGTGCCACCAAGCCCAGCTAATTTTAGAAACGAGATTCTCCCTATGTTGCCCAGATTGGTCTTGATCTCCAGGACTCAAGGAATGCTCCTGCCACAGCCTTCCAAAGAGCTGGAATTATAGGTGTGAAGCCACCATACCTGCCTATAAACATCATCTTTGACACATTGGTTAACCTGTAAAAAAAAGTCCTCTGTAATACTAGCTAAACTTCTATTAACTTCCCACCTTCCAAATCTGAACATTTATCATTGTTTCTTAATTTATATTTGTATTAGTCTGTTCTCACGCTGCTAATAAAGACATATTCAAGACTGGGTAATTTATAAAGGAAAGAAGTTTAATGGACTCACAGTTCCACATGGCTGGGGAGGCCTCACAATCACGGTCAAAGGCAAAGGAGAAGCAAAGGCACGTCTTACATGGCAGCAGGCAAGAGAGCATGTCCAGGGGACCCCCTGTTTATAAAACCATCAGATCTCATGAGACTTTTTCACTATTACAAGAACAGCATGGGAAAGACCCGCCCCTGTTATTCAATTACCTCCCACCAGGTCCTTCCCATGCCACATGGGAATTATGGGAGCTACAAAGATGAGATTTGGCCAAACCATATCAATATTCTATCTTATTCAAAAGCAGACTTCTAAAATACTCTAAAAGTATAGTGTAGTGAATAAATACATGAGAAAGGCCATATATGAAGCTAATATTCCCCCAGGAAAAAAATATATATATCTACTAAAATCCCATATGTTTGTTACAAATAAAACAGAAATGCAAAGTGGATAACATAACAATTACACAGTTAATTTTATCTTTTTTTTTTTTTTTTTTGAGATGGAGTCTCACTCTGTTGCCCAGGCTGGAGTGCAGTGGCACGATCTCAGCTCACTGCAAGCTCCATCTCCCGGGTTCACGCCATTCTCCTGCCTCAGCCTCCCAAGTAGCTGGGACTACAGGCACCCGCCACCACGCCCGGCTAATTTGTTGTATTTTTAGTAGAGACGGGGTTTCACCGTGTTAGCCAGGATGGTCTCGATCTCCTGACCTCGTGAACCACCTGCCTCGGCCTCCCAAAGTGCTGGGATTACAGGCGTGAGCCACCGCGCCCAGTCTATTTTATCTTTTTAATAAAAATACACTGGCTAATTAGAAGCAGCACTCTTCTTGGTACTGAGACTAGAGAGAAATTCTTTTTTAGATCCTTCAAAAAATAGCATTGCATATGAGGGCAATGCTCTCAAAATAAAAACTTGGATTGCTTAAGTATGGAGGACGATTGCTTGAACTATGTAGCTTGCATTACACCAAGCTTCCTACTAAGAGCAATTACAAAATGAGTACAATGCAAAAAATTAGATCAGCCACAAAAAGATTCTGGACAAAAAAGAATTGTAGGGAAGTGAGTCAACATTTTGTATTATGTTCCCCCTAAAATCTTTGCTGATTTCTGAATTCCCCGTAATGAGAAGCCAGGCATTTACATCAGGCCTGAATATTGACAAAGTTTGTGAAGTGCAATTTCCCAGATGCAGCTTATACTCCTCTTGAGTACAGTTCCTGTCCTTGTGAAGACCTGTGAACCAAAGACACAAGTTATCCGCCCCCACACACTCAACATAACAATGGTAGTACCAGGATGTTATAACTGCAACCGACAATGCCATTCAAAAGCTGGGGATGGGAGTGGAGGAGATAAGAGGACAAGAGTCACATGACAGTCACTGGTCCAAAGCATTTCTGAAATCTAATTGGGCTTATGTTGCCAGTTCCTTGATTAGGGTTTGGTTCTGAGAGTAGTTTTCCATGGCTTTTATTTCTATCCTCAGGAATACTGTTGTCTCCCTCTTGTTTATTAATCCCAATCTTCCTTTGCCACAGAAATGGTTCATGTTTGCAGCTAAGTAAATGTCTCAGCCTGATCCTTGCTGATATAAGATTAGGAACCCAGAGGCATCTTTTCATTTCAAACTGACTCTGACCCTTTTAGTCCAAGCTTATGATGTTTCTGTATACACAATTCCCTTAAAGATTGTATAGGTTTCTTATGAATAGTAGTGGGGTTCACTTCACTAAACAACAACTTCACTCAGAAATCTCTCTGATACAGGCCCCAGTTCGCCTCGTGCTGAAGGTGAGAGTGTTGAGACATAACACTCTTAAGATTCTTAGAAAACTTTTTGTCTAATTCAAATGCTCTGTAAGGCACACTCTTAAGTCTTCCTGAAATCTTAACAATGTGTCTTACAGTTGCACTGTCACCAGGCTGGAATGCAGTGGCACTGCATTAATAATCATCTGAAATAATTTTTATCCTGAGATCAGGTGTTATGTTGACATCCTTTGAAATACAGAGTGGCTAAGTCTAATATACAGTTTCACTTTTACACTTAGTAAGCCCTGAGTTCTTTATATCTTCTCTAATTTCTGCTTTATATTAGAAAATGTCTTCCTTAGCGCTTCTCTCTCTTCCTCTTTACCTTATTATACATGGCTAAAAAATAACCAATTTTCCTTGTGACATATCCATACATAGTTTCACTATTTCATTAGGTATATTTTCTATTGTCCATCCTATATCAGAGACAACAGTTCTCCTAAATTTTCTGACACTACATAGCATGTGTTTTCTTTCCTCCAGCCTCTAATTACAGACTCTTCACTGTCCTTCAAGTTTCCATGAACAATCCCTGAGCATCTTCCATCCTCCTCCTGCTACTGGTCCCAAAGCAGACGCCACATTTTTTAAGATGTGTTACAACCACACCCAGAAAATAATATAGATATTATTTTTGTTCCATTTATCTATTTCAATGTAACTAACCACACCATAACTTACGGCCTTAAAACAATTATTATAACAGCTCTCCTAGTTCTGTGAATTAATCAACTTCAGCTACACAGTTCTTGCTTGGGTCTCTCATGCAGCTGCAGTCAGTAGTGCCAGGGCTATCATTGTCTGAAAGCTGGACTGGGCTAGATTTCCAAAATGGCTCAATCTTGTATCTTTTATCTCAGATTTTTTTTATCTCCCGCATTCTCTCTCTCTGCCTATCTTCCCCTCTCTCGCTCCCCAGTAGAAACTTATGTTCTAGTATCTTTCAGGGCTTCTCTATGTGGCTTGACTCTCTTGCAGCACAGTGGTCTCAGAGGAGTTGCACTTCTCAACAGTTTCCCACAGGAGCATCCTAATAGTGAGTGTTCCAAAAAGCCAAGCAAGCAGCAAGACTTCTTATGTCTGGGCTTTGGAAGCAATGCAGTGCGAAAGCTGGTGTAGTTTACTAGTCAGAAGTGTCACAGCTATCCTAGATTAAAGGAGAGGCACGTCGTAAGGACATAAATACTACGAGGCATAATTCATTAGAGGAACATCGTTGGAAACTAACTATCATAGTAAAACCATTGAAAAACAAAGATGAAGAGGAAACTCTGAAAAGCAGTCAAAGAAAATATGACACACTACCTTCAAAGTTGCAATAATAGGACTGACAGTAACTTTTCAAAAATAAAATAATAGCATCCAGAAGATAATGGAGTATCATTTTTAAGTGCTGAAAGAAAACAACTGCCAACCTAGAAATCCATATCTTACAAAAATATCTTCCAAAACGTGTAATAAGATATTTCGCAACAGCATCAAAGAACATCAAATTCTTAGAATTAAGTCTAAAGAGGTATAGAGGTCTTCAATATGCTCAAGACCTCTACACTGATGAGAGACATTTTTTAAAACCTATAGATTCAATGCAATCACAATAAAATTTTAGCCCATACTTTGACAAAATTTACTGATTATTCTTATAAAAATAAAGAGTCAAAAATAAACAGAATAATTTAGAAGAAGAACAAAACTGGAGTCTTATTCTATCATATACTAAAACCTATTGTAGGGTCAGCAAGGTAATGATGCAGTAATAGACAAACCTACCTATGGAAGAGAACACAGACCTAAGAAACAGAGCCTCACATACATGGCCACCTGGTTAACAATAATGGCAAAACCACAGTTCAGTGCATAAAAGTTTATCTTCATACTAAATGGTGTTGGGTCTGTTGGATATCTATATGGGGAAAAAATGTAACTTGAGCTCTGTTAAGGACTACATTGTGTCCTCCCAAAATTCATATGTTGAAGTGTCAACCTTCAGTGTAACCACATTTGGAAACAGGGTCCTTAAGGAGGTAATTAAGGTTAAATGAGATTATAAGGAAGAGGCCCTAATCCAATAGGACTGATTTCCTTATGAGAAAAGAAATTGACACTAGGAGTACATGTGCCCAGGGAAGAGATTATATGAGGACACAGAGAGAAGGTAGCCACCTGCATGCCAAGGAGAGAGGCCTCAGGAGAAAGCAACACTACTGGCACCTTGATTTTGGACTCCACCTCCAGAATGATGAGAAAATAAATTTCCATTGTTTAAGCCCAGGCTGTAGTATTTCATTATGGCAGCCTTAGCAGACTAAAACAGATTTTGGTACTGTGCTGTACTGTGCTGCTAAAGCAATTATCTAAAAGTATTGAAGTGGCTTCAGAACTGGGTAATGGGCACAGGCCAAAAGAGTTTTTGAGACAGGTTGGTGGGAATATGGACATTAAAGGTGATTCTAGTGAGAACTTGGAGTAAGTAAAGAATATGTTATTGTACAACAGAGAAAAGGTAATCTTTGTTATAAAGTGGCAAAGAACTGGGCTGAATTGTTTTCTAGCGTTTTATAGATGGTAAAATTTTGCCAGCAATAAAATTGGATATTTAGCTGAAGAGATTTTTATGCAAAGTGTTGAAGGTGTGGCCTGGTTTCTCCTTACTACTTAAATGTGAAAGGAGAAAGATCAATTGAAGAAGTTGTTAAGCAAAAAGGAATATGAACTTAAAGATTTGGAAAATTCTCAGCCTGTTCATTTTGCAGGATAAAAAAGTATAATGCAAGTTGTAAACACCAAGGGTATGACTGGACAATCACCCCAAAAAGAGATTGTCAGTGGATCCAAGCAGCCATGTCAGCAGAAACCAGAAGTAGAGGTGAGTCTGTACCGGTAGAAACACTGCCAGCATGGACAAAATGCAGGAAGACTGTTGGATTTCTGGGATTTCACAGGATGGAACAGTGAAGCTATTTGGCTAGAAACATGCATCATCCTTCAAGAAAAAGAATAAATGACGCTGAAGGCTATTCAGAGATTAGCAGGGGTGCCACTCCCACCACAGGCCCAGAATACACAGGCCGGCCCCAGGGGCAAGTGTGCTCCTCCTTGGTGTCAATGGCCAGGCTGCCACCACCCAGTGCCTCAAGCTCAAGGCTGCCAACCAGAGCCTTGGGGGCAGTGCTGCTGCCTGAGACCACAGGGGAGAAACATTCACTCCAGTGGGCCCAGAAAGCAGAGCATCAAGCCAAAGAGGATTGTTCTCTAGCCTTAAGGCCTAATGGAATTTTCCTCCTGGGTTTTGAACTTAGCTGGGACCCATCACCCCTTTCTTCTTTCTGATTTCTCCTTTTTAGAATAAGAATGTCGATTCTATGCCAGTCCCGCCATAGTATTTTGGAAGCACATAATTTATCTGATTTCAGAGGTTCACAGCTGGAGAGGAATTTTAATTCAGGATGAATCATACATCAAGTCTTATCCATACTTGATTTAGATGATATTTAGATGAGACTTTGGACTTGGAGTTGTTGCTGGAATGAGTTAACACTTTGAGGGCTGTGGGGATGGGGCAAATGTATTTTGCATGTGAGAAGAACATGAATTTTGTACTAAAATTTCATAGCAGCACTATATGTAATCAATCAAAATTGGCAACTACCCAAATCCATATCAATAGTGAATGGATAAATATCTGTATATCCACACAATGGAATACTACACAGATAAGCACCAACTTTATGAAACTACATGCAACAATATCAGTGAATATCACAAGTTCACATATAAAACTGATAAAAGAAGTCAGTCATAAAAGAGCATATAACATATTATTCCACATATGCAAAATTCAAACATAGGCAAATATAATCTATGATGTTAGGGGTCAGAAGAATGGACACCCTTTGGAAGCAATAGTGACTGGAAGGAGCATGAGGAGCTCCTGGAATGCTAGTCATGTTCTCTTTCTTGAGCTTTTACACAGCGCTGATTTTCAGTTTGTGAAGATTCATTGAGCTGTATGTTTACGAGGTGTGCAATTTTCTGCATGTATGTTGTAGTTTGATGACGTTTTGTTTTTAAATGGAAAAGAAAGAACAATGTTTTCAGATAAATTAAATACAGGGAATTCTCATCCAGCAGGTTCAGAGGAAAAGAATTATTAAAATGAGTTCCTCAAGCAGAAGAAAATGACCCCAGATGGTAGCATAGAAATGTATTAAGAATAACAGAAAATAAATAGGTGGGTCAAACTAAACAGATATTGACCATATAAAACAATACAAATATTAGCTTATGAAGTATCATGTATATGTGAAATTAAAATACATGACAAAAGCACAAAAGATAAGAGAGGGGTCAATGCAAACTGTTCTTCATTCTGACATTTTTCAGGAAGTGACAAAAAGTTATAATTCATAATAGATTATCTTAAATCTAGTGTGCATGCTGTAATCTCTAGGCTAACCACTAGAAGAAAAATGAAACAACCTATACAGATTATAATATGTAATCTATAAAGAAAACAAACAGCAAAACAATAGATGTAAGTACATGAAATAATAATTACATAAATATAAATAAGCTGTTCTCAGACTAAAATTTTCAGGATAGTTTTATTTTAAAAAACTATGCTTCTTCTAAGAGACATACCTTTAATGTGTGGACACACAAATACTGAAAGTAAAAAAGATGAAAACAGATATGCCATGAAGACAATAAACAAAAGAAAACCGATAAACCAATATGCTATACTATCATTTAAAGTAGATTTTAAGAAATAAGAATTACTAGAGCACAACAGTGTTAATATACTTAAAACTACTCAGTTATACACTTTAAAATGGTTAAGATGTCATATTTTACATGTTTTTTGCAATTAAATTTTTCTAACTTTGTAAGGAAAGAAAGAAGCATCACTAGAGATAAATAGGGATTTTATAATAACGAAAGGGTCAATCTAGCAGAAAGATACAACAATCTACCAGAAAAATAAAACAATTCTAAATTTGTGTTTACATAGCATAGCCTCAAAATACAGAAAGCAAAAACTGAAAGAACTAACGGGGGAAATAGGCAAAAACATCCTTACAATAAATACAATTGTGAGTTTCATAACTCTTCCTCTTACACTGTTACCCCCAAGTTGGCCCTCTGGCTCACATCCAAAGCCAAGTGTAGCAAAAACAAGTCTTTTGGAGGGCAGAGTGATTCATTCCAGGTATATAGATCAAAAAACGCTTGCCTTGATCTATAGGTACATTTTAGGGTATCTAGAAGAATGCATGGGCTGCATATCCATCAGATAATCCCCTGAAAGGAGAAATGTACATATTAAAATGAAGCACATGCAGCTTGCCAGGGAGATTATTGATATATAAGATTTTGTTTGTTTGTTTTTTGACACCTAACCACTAAAAACACAACTGGCTGTGGTTCAAGATAAGAACCTTAGTCACTGGGGGCATATTGTGTTTAATAATATATGTGTGAAAAACTGTGCTTAGTGGCTCACAGTCTCCATTTAACTGTGTTTAGTGACACGTGTGAAACACCTTGTTTAATGGTGCATGATACATTTGCCACTGTGTTTATTGATACATGTCTGAAACATGAGCAGAACCAAACAATGTGACTGCCAGGTTTACCAAAAAAGGCAGCAAAATATAGTAAAACAATATTTGAACTCTCAAATCAGACTTACATAATTAAAATTTCAGTTTGACAATTTTATAACTTGTGCCCTTAGGTAAG
Source organism: Homo sapiens (assembly GCF_000001405.40). Lineage (NCBI taxonomy): Eukaryota > Metazoa > Chordata > Mammalia > Primates > Hominidae > Homo > Homo sapiens. Next base: position 53,217,561 of record NC_000013.11, on the reverse strand, counting down.
TCACTTAACTTCTCTGAGTCTGGTTTCCTCATCTTAAAATGGGGGTGATAATATCTACCTTTCAGAAGTCTGCAAAGGTTAGAGGTATGCAACAGAAAGCCTCAGTCCTATGCCTGGCACACATACTGACATTCATAGCCTGAAGTCACTTCTCCTTGTGGAAGGCCTCCAGGCTACCAAGCCACATTCATGCAACCCAATCTCAAGCACATCTAATCATTTCCCAACACAAACTCTATAGGTCTTCAGAACAAGATCTTCTGCAAGGAGATGAATTTATGCCTAAGTTTTTGCAACACAAACAATAGACTTAAAATATGCTGATACTCAGAGTGGCTGAACTATATATAATGCCATGTAGATTTTCATTCATCCTTTACTAAAGAAGTGGTAAAGCTTGACTCTATTTCATCCAGGGCTAAAAAAGGAAGAAACATGCCTTCAGCATGTTCATATGGAGTTTAAAATAAAATACAGACATAAAAGTATGCTAATTCTATTTAAATGAAATTTTCATTTACCTAACACTTTTCTCGGCTTAGTCATCTCATTATTTAACAAGTATTTCCTGAAAGTCTACTGATGTCAAACAAGATAATTACTAAGGCCTTTATCTTAGCCAGTTCAGGCTTGCTATAACAGAATACCATTAACTGGATGGCTTATAAGCAACAGATATTTATTTCTCCCAATTCTGGGGGCTGGAAGTTCAAGATCAGGATGCCAGCATCACTGGGTCCTGCTTAGGGCCCTCTTCCAGATTGAAAACTGTACTGGCTGCTTGTTGTACCCTCAGATAGCAGAAAAAGGATGAAAAAGATCTCTAGGGCCTCTTTTATTTGGGCACTAATCCCATTCATGAGGACTCCACTCTCATGACCCAATTATCACCCAAAGGTCCCACCTTCTAATACCATCATATTTGGAGTTAGGACTTCAACATATATATTTTGGTGGCACACAAATATTCAGTCCATAACAACCCTATACAGGGAGAAGGCAAAAGCTTATCTGCTGTCACTCTGGACTGGCTGCATAGAGATCAGACTTTTAATACTTCTAACTTGATTAGATCTTAAGCATAAAGAGAAAATGGAGAGGGAAAAATGAATGAAATAAGATTGTAGTATATATTTTCCATTTCCCAAAACATCCCAGCCCAGGTTTCTACAAAACTGAAGATGGGAGGTTATCTGAATCATCAAGGACAACCATCTCAACCATCAGGGACAGCAGTAAATCCATCACCTTTCCAAGCTGCTGTGAACTTGGGTGTTTGATGGGGAGCTCACTAAGCAAGGAGCAGATGGCTATAGAAAAGAACCCTCCTTCCAGACAGCTGGGCCCCAGTCTGTCCCCAAGCTCAGCTGTCTCCTTCCCTTCTAGACAGAGCAGGTGCTTAGCAAGAAGGAAAACTCTATAAAAGGGGCTCACAAGTCCAGCTGAATATGGACAACCTCTAAAGCTGGTAGGACATGCATGTATGACTTTTTCTCCTAAGGTCATCTAAGTAACTAAAATTACTAACCTTCAGTCCATGAAAAATGTTTTTTCATTGAATCTCTTCTTTGGTTTGCTTTAGAAAGCATGGATTTCAGCTATGGCAACTGTTTAAAAAATTATCATTGCATAAAACCGGATTCTTTCACTTTTCTGTATATTTATGGCTAAGTGAAGTCTATAAATGTGACTCTTGTAGTCAATAATCTTGAAGCTTTTTTAAAACAAGAACTTGGATATCTAACTCAATTATTCTCCAAGTTTTAGCTTAGTCTTTCTGAGGAAATGTGGGCAATGAATTGCATGGAATTATAAGTATGACTGTGTGGGATGCCAGAAAAAGAAAAGTACCCTTATGGGATGAAGCTGATAACAGTTGCAGAAAGCTAGTATTCGTATCCACTCCCTACTCCAATTTATTCCATGTATCTAGAAAAATATTAGTAGAAACTGAAGCTCTAAACTTTGTACTGGTTGCTTGATTTATTTGATCACTTTTCTAAAACACCTGATGGGCCAAATCACAAAAAAGTCAAATATATATGTTTGACTTTCCTCACTCTTCTACTTTAGCTCTAATACTAGAAAAACACTAATGAGTAGGAAAAAAATAAACAGTATCCAGGAGGTAAAAAAATTAAAGCCACAGAGGAGAGAGAAGGAAAATATTCAGGTTATTGACAAAGCTGACATAGTCACAGAATTAATGAAAATTATATATACATGGAGCTAGGTAAAGACTGGGGCACTGATTTATATCTACATAAACAAGGGCACAGTATCATTGGAGGCATTATAGAACTGTTCAGGTGTATAATGTGCTGTCTTAACATTAGTTATTGTGCACTGAGCACTTTCAAAATGGATTTTCATAGTTTCTCAGCTTAGGGTTTTCTTCCCCTTTAGGGAGCAATATAAAAATAAGTCAGATGACATTACCATAACCATATAGAGGAGGGCAAAAGAAAGTTAAATACTTCAGAAAAAGTATTTATTATTTTAAAAAGTAGTTTTCTTTTATTTTAAAGAGTAGTTTTAAAAAGTAGTTTTATTTTAGAAAGTTAGTGGTTTGTGAATTACAGAACAACGACAACAAAATAGGTTGCAAACAGGTTAAAATCACCTAAAAGAATCATTGAATTACAAGTATAAACCCCGGACCAGGCCACTAACTGTTTTCTAGTGTTTTATGTAAAACTCAAAATTAAATTTGCCAACAGACATGGAAAATTAAATTCCCTTGAGAAAGTTCCAAGAGCCTACATTTTGCTACAGGAGAAATAGAACATTAATGGAAGTTGCACAATATCTGTCTTTTTTAATCAAAATCTCAACAGGGCCCTGAACAGTAGCATGCCTCAAAGGAAGTACCACCGAGAGAGGGAAAAAAGCTCCTCTTTGTGCAAGACCTGTCATGTCTATCAGGAGCATGCATGATGGATGAGCGGCACTCAACCAGGGACCCGATCACAGCTTCAAGTGGTTGAATGTGCATTTAGACTGTTCATTTGCTCCTGGTGATTTAAGCAAAGAAACTACCAAAATGGGGTTTTCGATACTTTGATTTCCAAGCCTATACACATAATAAAATGAAGAACTAATAAGCTAGAGGAAAGGCAGGAAGGCAGTGTGGAATATGCGCTGAACCCAGAAGACATGCCCAGGCATTGAAACTTCACCACACACTGGTTCTGTGACTTTGTTAAGTGATTTAACCTCAATTTTCTTATATGGAGGAGAAAGATAATCACAGTACCTGCTTCACAGGATTGTACTAGCACTGTACACAGGAGGAGCTCTACTGATATTAGTTATTACTCCATCATCGTGACTGATAGACATAATTAATTAAGAAAGGATATTCCACACTCTGCCTTGTCCAAGGTTGGGATCAGGGTAGAATACTGCCTAAAGAAGGACCTGTGGGCTGTCCCCTAGGAAGCCTTAGGGACTTGCATTTATTGTCTTTGTCAGTTGGACATAATACAGGATCCAGCTTTCAGATATGCAGACTCAGAACCCTGGTTATTCAGCAATATGAATGAGATCCTTCTCTGAATAGCAGAATCACATCAACTCAACCTCATGGAACTAATGTATAAAACCAAAACACAATTTAATATACAATGAAAATTCTAATTTGCACAAGAACACAATGCATGCTCTTACATGTCCAGCCCATTCTCCCCCTAAAGACATACCTACACAGAACACTACGTCATAGGCAGAAGGAGGAAGGTTGCTCAGGGACATGGACTCAAATGAACCAGTTATCCATGCATTTCAGGTACCTATTTCTCTAAAGACTCTTGAGTGGATTCTGGTCTCAGGGCTGAGAAGTGGGCCTGGCTCCTGGGATCAGAGCTTGACTTATTGTCTCTGTGGCTGCCCTTTCTACGGTGACACTTAGACAGGAAGTGCAAGTAAGAAGGTGACCAGAGATGAAGCTGAAAACCAGCAAGGACCAGTATGCCTTTTATAAACATGTCTGCAAAAATGTCTATAAATGTCTGTGAATGTCTTCTGGGTTATGTAGGAGATGTTCTATAGGTTTTCCTGGTTTTAGATGGAAGAAAAATACCTTTCAGATTGAGTCCTACCTGGAAGACTCTCTTATTATGTAGCAATGCCTCACTATCAATAATCTCCCCAGTTACAGTGGCCTGAGCTAGAAGCTGATCATTTACCCTTTTATTACTTAATGCCTCTTGCAGGGTATTACAACTACACCCTGATGGGAGTATTTGGGATACAGAGCAGGTAGCCTTACAGGTTCAATTAAACGGCACATTAACACGTGTCAAAGTAAGTAAAAGGGGGATACCTACTTTTGTGAGATTATTGTATAATCTTTAAACTAAAGTATCAGTATATTTATTATTACTGAACTCTGATCTTTCCATTTAAATACCTCATACATCTGTCAAGATTGCCACTGGCTTGAAATATAGCTGTAGACAAAATGACCAACTGATCTAACTTTATAAGAACTATTGTAAAAAAAAAAGTTTCTACCAAGGAATATTTTTAAAATCAGTCTCATACTGCTGTCAAAAATATTATGGTCCCCAGGGATTTAAATCATTTTTGGTCACCTATTTGAAAAGTTAGTTTAAAAAATAATAATGGTAACCAACCAAAAAAGATGGAAAGTATTAATTGCACCAAGCAGAAAGAAATAGAGAAAAAATGTAGGAATATTTAGAATATGATGCCAATTTAAACAAAGGAAGAGAAAAACGAATAATATTAATGACATTAAAAACATTTTTGGCCAGGCATGGTGGCTCACGCCTGTAATCCCAGCACTTTAGGAGGCCGAGGCAGGTGGATCACCTGAGGTCAGGAGTTCGAGACCAACCTGGGCAACATGGTGAAACGTCGTCTCTACTAAAAATACAAAAATTAGCTGGGCATAGTGGTGAGCACCTGTAATTCCAGCTACTTTGGAGGCTGAGGCAGGAGAATCGCTTGAATCCAGGAGCCACAGGTTGCAATGAGCTGAGATTGCATCACTGCACTGCAGCCTGGGCAACAGAGCAAGACTCCATTAAAAAAATCTGACATTAATAATAATAAATACTTATTAAGTTATTACTAGGTGAAAGGCATTGCTGTATGCATTTTAAACATACTGTCTCATTTAGCTAGCATAAAATAGCAATGAAGTAGGTACTATTCCTCCATTTTACAGGTGAGGAAACCGAAAACGAAGAGATAAAGAGGTTGTGATACTTCTTTTAAGAAAGAAGACATTATTTCACTGTTATTTCAGACAATTTTTTACATAAGCGGTAGTGTTCAGATATAGTTAAACATTACATCTTCTGTGTTGCGCCAGGGAAAAAGACATTGCAACTTGTCAAAGACTATACAAATCCTGTATGACAATGGCAACATGAATTACTCTCTAAGAAAACCTGGCACACTGTGGAAACCTATTCTATAACACACAGGTCAAGTCATTCCCCTAGAATGTAATGCTGCATTGTCAAGAGTTCAAGAAAGCTTGAGAGAGTTCAGTTAGCCTGTAAAGTCCATTTTAGCTTTGTCTTCCAACACTACATTACAAAAGGGCTACTCTGTACAACATCTAACAATAAGAATCAATGGGCATTAAATTAAGATGAGTACCAGTCTGAAAGAGGGTGATAGAGCAGGCATCTGGCTGAGGTTTTTCCTTCCACTACAGCTAAATATTTCATCTTCCTCAAACAGTGAAATGACTAGACCACACCTAATTAAACGGCATAGCGATCGTGCTGTGCTACCTTTAAAGAATGACAGACAGATTGCCTCACCAGTAGTAAGTTACAGAAATCAATAGCTGACATTCACTCGATGAAATACAAATTGAGATAAGCCAGCTTCATTTTTTATTCAGCAAATTCAAGTCTGCAATCAATTCCTGTGCATGTGTAGCCTATGGAAATTGGTTTTAAATTGATTTGTTTCTTCCTTGGCTAATTACAGTATACAAGTAAATGAATGATCAATTGCTAACTCTACTCTTACTGTATACATTTCAATGAATAAAGCAAGTCTGTCAAGATGGATATTATCATGCTGTTTTCAAAGAGAAGCTACTAAGTGTTCCACATACATTGTAATACATCAGCTATTTAATAATAATGTAAAAGACTCTCTTATTTGTTGAACAAATAGAAGACTTCCCCCTGCTGTTATTAGTTAAGCTTATAGAAAGTTCTCTACTGAATCAACACCCTACTTAGAAAATGAAAGCTTAAAGACCTCATAGAGAGCTCTCAGTCTTTATTAGCCACTATTGATGTAATGAGTGTTACACAATGGATAATAGTGGAGTCAGAAAACTCAAGGTTCAAGCTGGGTGCAGGGGTGCACACCTGTAATCCCAGCTACTAGGGAGGATGAGACAGGAGGACTGCTGGAGCCTAGGAGTTCAAAATCAGCCTGGGCAACAGAGTGAAACCTAGTCTCAAAAAAAAAAAAAAAATTCAAGGTTCAAACCCTAGATACATCACTCTTTGACACAACAATTCTACTCCTGGGTATATGGCCAACAGAAATAAGTGTTTATGTCTACCAAAAAATGTGTAAATTAATTCCTTATTCACAAAAGTCAAAAACTGAAAATTGCCCTAATCTCCACCAACTATACAATGGATAAATTGTGGTAAATGCATACAATGGACTACTATACAGCAGTGAGAATGCACAGACTATGATATACACAGCATGGATGAAGTTCATAGACATAATTTTGAACCAGGCCCCAAAAGTATAAATTGTATAATTTATGTGAAGTTTAAACACAGCAAAAAGTAATAGATAGTGAAAAAGATTTGAATAATAATTACCTCTTTTAAATTTCTTAATTGAAATTTTATATATTTAAGCTGCACATCATGATGTTCTCATATACATATACATAGTGAATTGATTACTATATTCAAGCTAAAAATCAGATAGTTGTTTTTTCCACATGTGGTGAGAACATTTAAGATACATTCTCTTAGCAAATCTCAAGAATCAAATTCAGCAATATAGTCACTATGCTGAACGTTAAGTCTCTAGAATTTATGTATCCTCACTGAAACTTTGTACCCTTTGACCAACATCTCTCAGTTTCCTCTCCCCCTCACCTAGCACACCACCATTCCACTCTTCTATGAATCTGACTTTTTTAGATTGCACACATAAGTGAGATTGTGCAGTATTTTTCTGTGACTGGTTTATTTTACTTAGCGTGGTGTCTTCCACTTTCATCCATATTGTCGCAAATGGTTAACATTTTCTTCTTTAAGGCTGAATAACACTCCACTATACATACATACGTATGTATGTGTGTGTGTGTGTATATATATACTGCATATATAGATATAGATATATAGATATAGATACTGCCATTTTTATCTACTTATCCATCTATAGACACTTAGGTTGATTCTGTATCTTGGCTATTATACATAATGTTGCAATGAACATGGGGGTGTAGATACCTTTTCAAAATAGTGGTTTTGGTTTTGTTTCATTTGGGTTTACATCTAGAAGTGGGGTTGCTGGATCATATGGTAGTTCTATTTTTAATTTTTTAAGGAACGTCCATACTGTTTTCCGTAATGGCTATAATAATTCTTACATTCTAAATAGTAGTTACTTCTGGAAGAGGTATTGCCCAGGAAGGTATATGTGGGAGCCGTCTAGGGATCTGGAAATATTCCAAACCTTGATCTAGGTGGTGCTTACAAGAGTGAATATATATAAAACTTCATCTGGCTGTAAACTCGAAACTCATGCACTTTAGTGTTATACCGTAATTTTTTTTTTCTGAGACAGGGTCTCCCTCTGTTACCCAGGCTGGAGTACAGTAGTGTGATCACAGTTCACTGCAGCTTCAACCTCCCCAGGCTCAAGTGATTCTCCCACCTCAGCCTCCTGAGAAGCTGGGACTACAGGCACATACTGCCATGCATGGCTAATTTTTATATTTTTTGTAGAGATGGGGTTTCACCATGCTGCCCAGGCTGGTCTTGAACTCCTGGGCTCAAGAGACCCACCTGCTCGGCCTCCCAAAATGATAGGATTACAGGCGTGAACCACTGCACCCAGCCTATACCATAATTTTTTAAACTCTAAGCTCATTTGCTTACTGTGTAACCTCAAGCATATTACCCTCTTTAAACTCATTTCCTCATCTATAAAATTAAAGTAGTAATATAATTACCTCCTAGGATTGTTACAAGGTGTAAAAACAATAATTCATGTAAAGCATTTAGCACAGAACCTTGCATATAGTGTTTGATAAAGATTGCCTATTATTATTCTTAGGAATGCAATCATAAACAGACAAGATTCAGGAGTTATAAATTGCTTTAGGAATCATAATTAAGGTAGAAGCTAATATCACAAACACATGAGAGCCTCATTTTAAGAAAAGTAAAAATATCTAATTCTACATTTGTAAATTTGAGGAAAAGTTTTAGATTCTCAGCTTTTAAAAAATGTTTCCCACAGAATGCACTTACACAAAAAATTACTCTAAAATTTTCAAATATTATTAGATGTAACCCAAAAGACAGGTGTCCAATTTACTTTTAAGATATGTATCAGATAAAGCAAGGAACATTCACATTTGCCACAGTCTCTCTGGGGCCTAGACCACCCGATCTGGAAAGCTCACACTTCAGAGGACACACTGACTCTCGAAGATAACATGGGACTCAGAAACTAATTTCCAACAGCAGTAATTTTCTATGGCAGACCAGTGGCCAAAGGATTGAAGTTCTTCCTAGCTTCTTGCCTGAGCGTGGCTAAGGAATAAATTACTGGTTTTAAAAACTGCTGAATTATTTTTGGGAGAGTTTAGGAGTAAGAGCAGTAGGTTTTATCTGACTATTGCTACAAAATCTCTGAAGTTATTGGAATGAATATGAGGACTATAAATTTAAGGCACTATAGCAGAGGAGCCTTTAGAAATTCTCCAGCCTACAGAAAACCTTCTACCATTGAGAATTCTTGCCTTTAGACATTTTTTCAAAGATTATATAATGAATAATGTGTCAATTCATTTTAAAATACATGAAACATTAAAAGGCTAACTGTCATGAGCTAGTTAGTTCTCCACATTTGGAAGGGTGGAAAACAGACAAAAACACACATTTCCCCATATATGTGCTGAGCAAGGACAGTGGGTCATTGGCTACCTTCAATTCCCAGCCTGTGAAGGTAGACCTCCGGCTCATCCCTTCTTCCAGACCAATGCCGTCCATCAGAACGTTCTGTGATGATGGAAACATTTTATAGTGACTCTGTCTGAGACTGAAGCATTTTTCATTGTATTCAGTTGTAATTCATTTAAACTTAAACAGCCACATGTGGCTAGTGGTTATAGTATTGGGCAGCACAGTTCCTGCCCATCAAATCTTAATGACCCCCAGGCTCTTCTAGTTGGAGACACAAAACATCCTGCAGTTTGCTGACTCAATTCTTCCCACAGTCCGAGCCAATCTTACAGAAAACAAGACACAATCAGATGCTTCCATCTCATCACCCAGCCTTGCTGCCCCTGGATCTGGTTGGACCCAGATGAAGCCCAGCTGCTCAAGTAGCTTTTAAGTCACTACATTTGGGGCCCAACTCTTCCTTTAATCCTTGCTTTTATGCCTCAGTTTTCTCCTAGCATCCTGTTCATAGCTAGGAAGGAGTTCTGCTAGGAACTCTAGCCCAGATGGCTGAGGCCATAAGACACTCACTCTCTCTTGCTCTCTCTCTCTCTCGCTCTCTCTCTCGCTCTCTCTCACCATGCTCCTCCCTGTAGCCGCAGCCTCTGATTGAGCTGATGCTGTGAATGGGATAAGTGCCCAGAAACACATCATCAGCCACTGCCATTTGATTTTCACCCACTGCCATAATCTGCCACTGTTATACCCATGAAACACTCAGCAACTCTCTCAGAAGCCAGGCTAGAGAGACAATTTGAGTAACCCCCACTCAAATACTGCCTGCCCACAGCTTCCTCTTCCTCCTCACTGGGTCTCATGATTAAGGTCCGGGTCCAGGTTCTTAATTCAACTTAAAGTTATTCTGAAGTTGAATTGCATTCGCAGTAGAATCACATACACATTCAAATGTAAATGAGTAGCTAGACTGAATATTTATATTCATAAAAGGTACTAGAATATAAAATTCATGATCATTTATTATATTCATGGCAATAAAGACCACTTTTAAGACTTTTTGGTAAAATATCCTAGATTCTATAAAATCATCCTGTGCTGTGTCACGGATTGTCAACTTAATTTAAGAAAATGTATATCAAAACTAGAAGGCTCATGCATGTAACCTGGCTTGTAAACACTTGACAGAAATGACCATCTATGTGAATTGCAGCTTTTTAGAATGAAGTGGCATTTTCTGAAGTATGTGAAGGTGATCCATCCACTGAAGGATGATTTAATTCATCATTCTGTCCAACAATGGGGAAGTGGCATTGCTGGTCTGCAGTTTTGAACTCTGTCATAGACACTTGGCAGCCCTTCACTTGGGAGGCACAGACTTGAAAAGAACATCAATTGAGTTCTGAGTGTTCTGGTTGGAAATTTGTATTTTTCATCTGGGAAATGTGAGGGTAAAGGGTACTTGAAGAAAGTTCAACCCTGTAGCTATTTTCATGACGTGATGAACAATTTTTGCTGGTTTGAGATTCCTGGTTTAATTTTTCAGGATCCTTGAATGTTTTTCATCCTGAATAATCTGAAAAAAAAACTTGGAAAAAAGAGAATAGTTTAAAACTGAATGCTACATAGAAATATACTTTAAAATGTAAACAATATTCAGTTGTTCCCGGGCTGGTTTTCTAGCTGTTTGCTTTTTTCTTCCTCTGGATTTTCTGCCAATGACTTGCACCTCCACCTGCTGGTGTACTGAGGAAATGAAGTGGAAATAAAATTCAAGCAAGTCAATTAAACTATTTGCTGTAATCTTTAATACAGGTTTGGTGGGAGGAATGGGTGAAATTACAATCTAAAATGAAGTTTCTGAGGGCTGGTAGTATATTTATTCATTCATTTATGCTCTGTGTTAACTATTAAAAGATGCAAAAAAATTAAAATATTTTCATTAAACTTCTTATCTCCTTGCTATCAACATGTAATTCAATTATCTTGCCATTACCTATGTGTCATCCTTTCAATAATCCCACTAAAAGTTTTATAAGAAACTGCAGCAGAGAGTTGGAGGATAAACCAAACCATAAATCAGAGCATCTCATTCAAACTCAAAGACAGAAACATCCTCAGGAATGTAAACTGGCCCTAAATCTTTAAAAGACTCATAAAATAAGTGTTTAAGAACCTGCAGAAAAATATGCTACAGCAGAACATTAAAAGCATGAACTCTAGAACCAGACTTCCCAGGTTGGAGACCAAGCTCTGCCCCTCACAGCTGAGCGGCCTCAACCAAATTACTCGAACAGCTCTGTGCCTGAGTTTCCCATGTGTGAAATGGGGTCAAATGATAGTACCTGCCTAATAGCATTGTTGCATGACTCAAGTGAGTTTAATATTTATAAGGTACCTAGAACAGTTTCTGGTACATAAGAAGTCCTCTGTAAATGTTATTAAACAAATAAAAGGTTTTTGTTGAATACAGGTAAGAAGCAACGTTGTGACTATTATTACTAAGAAGAAATATTCTCTCAGGTTGAATGCATTGCCTTGATCACATTATCGTTTGCCATAGCAGCACTTTGAGTTATCATGCTTATTATTAGGAAGAAGAAACTAAGACAAGAATAAGCTGGTAATTTCCTAAATAGAAAATATAAACAATAGGAGTTCTGGTCCTTTGATTCTTTCGAAAAGGCTAATTTAACGCTAAGTGACCCGGAAACATAAATTCACTATAGAATCTTCAAGTTTTAAGATGACACTAAAATTTTTCAGAAAGTTAGGGAGTACAATGGAACTTCCAAAAAATACCAATACAATTTTACACTAATCTAAAGTGCAATATGATCATAAGAACTAGTCATACAAGTTTCAATGTATGCGCTGGTTAGACCACACCTTTCATTTATCCACCCAGTAAATTTGCTGATTTTTGTTTAGCTCTGTTTTTTTGTTTCGGTATATATCTGATGGTGGCCATTCAACATGGAACAAGAGACAAATAATAAACAAATAAATATACAAATAATGCCAGGGAGTGATAAATGCCAGGAAAGAAAATAAAGCAGAGTAAAGAAGATGGAGAGTGACAGGGAGGAGGGGCAATCTGAGGTTTGGAAGACCTCTTTTGATTAGATGGACATATGAACAAAGGCCTAAATGAAGGTGGGAAGCAATATGGGTATCTAGAGAAAGTTTACCAGGTGAGGGAACAGCAAGACCCTGAGGTCTGAGATGGAGAGATGCGTTGTGTATTCAAAAAACACAAGAAGGCCAATAAGATGATCTAAAACATCCTGGAGAAGAGGGGTAAGAAATCAGGTAGAAGAAAGAGCCAAGGGCAAGATAATGCAGGACTTTATGAGTCATGTGTGGCTGATTTACAAACATGAACCTCAAAACTCTTTGACAATTTTCTAGGGTAGGCACAGGGTCTTTGTCCCTGCCACTTGAATCTGGATGGGCTTAAGACAGCTTGGACTATAGAATATGACAGAAATGATCATGTAATTTCAGAAGCTGGGTCATAAAAGAAGATGTGACTTCTGTCCTGTTGGATGAATCATTCATGTTTGCAGCCCGAGCTGCCATGTGACTTTGCAGAGGCTGCCACGCTGTGAGAAGTCAAGCCACGTGTAAAGAGAACATGAAGCTGCCCTTTTTCCCACTCCACCAAGTCAGCTCTCCTAAACTTTGGCTCATCCCAGCCCACAAACCTGGCATGTAACTAAAGAAGTTTTCAGACGGTTCCAGCCTCCAGCCATCATATCATCCCAGCTAAGGCCCCAGATACTTTGAAGCAAAGATAAGCCATCCCTGCTATACCTTGTCTAAATTGACCACAGAATCCACGAGCATAAAAAAATGGTTGTTTTATGCCACTACATTTTAGCCTGGCCTGTTACACAGCAATAGTAATTAAGACATCATGATAAGGATTTGGGATTTTATTTAAGTGACAAGTATTTGGAGAGTTGAGTAATGTGACCTGATTTATGAAGTAAGAGACCAGTCTAGTTCTCATATGCAGAATGGTCTGCAAGAGGGCAAGAGTAGAAGCAGAGGAGCCAAGTTTGAGGCTAGTGCCATTGCCGGGCAAGTGATGACAGTGCCTGGGGTAGAGTGGTAGCAATGAATGTGGTGAGAAGTGAATTGATTGAGAATATATTTTGAAAGAAAATTCCACAGAATTTGCTGATGGATTGAAAGTTGTGTGTAGGAAGAAATAAATCAAGAATAACACCAAGGATTTAAGCCAGAGCAAGCAACTAAGTGAATAGATGTGTCATTTTTACTGAGATATCGACACTAGAGGAAAAACAGGTTTGGAGAATAGAAACCAAGAGTTTAGTTTTGAACATATAGCGTGTCCATTCAGAATCCAAATGGAGATGTTGAGTAGGCAGTTGTGTAAACGAATTTGGACCTCAGAAGAGAGGCTGGTACCGAATCACTGTATACAACTTCATGTTCCTCATTTTAGGAAATATGTTGAACACTAGAGAATATTCAGAGGAAGGTAACCAGGAGGTGGATGCTTCTGGAAGCCCCTCATTAAAAAAAAAAAAAAAAGTCAAAGGAAATGAACATAGATTGTGCAAAAACACCTGTTATGGTGAAGAGGCATTTGAGTCAGTAGGACATACCATTAGGACTCCTCTTTAAGTAAGATATTTTCTTTTAGAGATTAAAGATCTAGTGCCCATTTTCATGGAGACTAACACAAAATACCTCATAATTGATAATGTCTTCACCACAGGAGCTATCACTCCATTACCAGACACCATTACAGAGAATTGGGCCTAAAGCACACCCCCAAATGACACAGCAGATGGACTGGATAGAATGAGGTTGCGTTGGTGCAGCATTCTGTAAACAAAGCAAAGCCAAACAAAATCACATACTCATAGGTTTCCAGCAAATGGAATCTTAGCCTATATAAAATTCATTATCTATTATGAGAAACAGATGTTTGTTGTTTAAACCACCCAGTCTATGGTATCTTATTAAAGCAGCCTGAAATGACCGAGACACTCCCTCTATGAATATATAGTTGGGGCCACTTATTTGGTAGTGTAATTAAGTCAGGAATGAGTCTTATGATGCTTTGAGAGGAAGAGCTTCAAAGCCACAGGTTTGAACTTACCCCCTTGTTTTGCAATCATTTGAAAGGATGTTTTCTTGAAACCCTCTCTGCTGATATCCAAATGGCTGTCATTCAATTCACTGTCTCCTTTTCCACTGTCCTTCATACTGAATTCATCTAGATTTGAATGTATACTGAAAGTGAAAAGGAAAGAATTACTTTGGTATCCATAAAAATGTATAAAATGTCAAACACATTGCTTAGAGATAACAACATATATTCTGAAATTACCTTAAACTTGCCGCAGATTTATTTTCTCCATAAGGGGATGAGGAATGAAAAGGAACTGAGATTGAACCCTATTTTTAAAAAGGGGTGAGAGCAGCAGTTAATAATATTTCACCGTCTAATATCAAACCCGACAGAGCAGGCGCCGCATTCCTCATCCGGAGTGCTTCAGAAACAGCATTAACCTGAGGGTCGACTGTATCCAAATTGTACGCAAAGGAAGTTATCATAGGCAAAAACAGCAGAAACAGACATGGGCCTACATGAATGAACATGTGATAATCAAGTCTCCCCCTAACCTTGCCTGTGGATAATTTTTCCTTTCCAAAAAAAAAAAAAAAACAAGCCCGGAAATATCAGCCATTTGAAGTCCCAAATCAAGCACTGAATTTTCATAAGGCTCCTAGCATGAAAAACTACTCCAAGAGAATGAGGACACTAAGAACGGCAGGGGTGCCCTACCTGGGCCCATGCAGTCCTGCTCCTCTCCCGACAAGAGGAGCTCCGAGACACCTCACTGACCTCAGACTAGGAATCCTCCACAGACTCGAACGCCTGGGCCCCTGTGGAAATGGAAACTGTCCGTGTGTCTATAAAGAACCTGGAGCAGAAGCCCCCAGAGTCAGCCCCTATGGCTCTGACACGTGGACCAGCATGGTCACTCGTTGCCTGAAATCTGCTTGGGGAGTGCTCACGGATCTTCTTCACCAGCGTCCTAGCCTTGCCTTGGCAAGAACAAGTCACAGTGATGATGGCCACTAGCAGAAGGATGCAGCCGCTGGCCAAAACACCCACCAGAACAGGGAGGGTTCAAGCTGCCCTCCCATTCGCTGCCTGATGCGTGGCTCTCCTCTCTCGTGCGGCGGCGGCATCAGCACCACTTCTGCGCCAGGTGGCGCCCGGCCCGCGGGCACGAGAAGCAGTGTGGCTGTGCACTCAGAGTGGGCCGGCCTCAGTCCCGCACCGCGATGACCGCCGTCAGCGGGCCGGCGGGCTTCGGGGACAGGCGGCGCTGCAGAGACAGCTCACCCGAAGCCGGGTGCAGCGCCAGCACCCCGGGGCCGCCGTCGCTGTCGAGGACTAAGTAAGTCGGCTCGACGTCGGCGCCCTAGTCCTCGTCTTTTGCCTGCAGACGGGTCAGCAGGTAGCCCAGTGGCGCATCCCAGGGCAGAGGCAGCTGGGCTGAGCCGTGGGAGAGCAGTGGGGCCACCAGGCGGGGCGCGTGGTAGTTCTGGTCCTCCACCTGCAGCCACACTATGGCCAGGCCCCATAGCGGCTGAGAGCAGCCGTCTAGCGCCTCCAACCGCAGCTGCATCTCCGCCAGCTCCTCGCAGTCAAAGAGCCGTCGAGCGCGCAGCTCCTGGTGGTTGGGTCCACCGAGACCTAAGTGGACACAGCGCCCCCGGCGCGGCCCACCTCGGCCTCCAGCAGCCGGTAGGTGACCTGGCCGTTGGGGCCCAGGTCCGGGTCCAGGGCGGCCACCGTGGCCAGGTAGGCGCTGGGCGGGGTGTTCTCACTCACAGATACCTCATAGACCGGCCGCGTGAAGAGCGGAGCATTGTCTTTCTCGTAGCCCACGCGCACCGTGTAGGGCCTCCTGGTGCACAGCGGGGGCGCGCCGCGGTCCGCGGTCACCAGCGTCAGGTTGTACTAGGCGATGGGCTCGCGGTCCAACGACCCCGCGGTCACCACCAGGCAGCTGCCCGCGTAGGCCCGCTGCAGCCGGAAGTGCACCTGCCAGTAGAGGGCGCAGCGCATCTGCCGGTTGGCGCCCGAGTCCCTGTCCGAAGTGCTGACCAGAGCCACCAGACTCTCGCGCGCCGCCCACTCCGGCACCAGCGTGGCGGCGCCAGCCTCGGGCGTCCTGGCTCCCGCCGACTAGCTAGCGTCCGCTCCCCCGAGGGCAGCGGCGGCGGCGGCGGCGGCGGCGGCGGCGGCGGCAGCGGCGAAGGGCGAGGCAGCCGGCGCGCCTGGGGCGGCCAGCGGGGTGATGGCGATGTCGGGCGCGTTGTCATTGACGTCGCGGATGCGCAGGATGACCTTGCAGGCGGCAGCGCGGTCCTGCGCCCGCACGTGCAGCTCGTAGGTGTCCTGACTCTGGTAATCCACGGGCCCGGCCAGAGTGAGGCGGCCAGACCGCGGGTCGAGCTGAAAGAGGCGGCGCGCCTCCCTCTGGGTGCAGGCGCCAAAAGCGAACACCACGTCGCCGTTAGGGCCCTCGTCGGGGTCGGCTGCGTCCAGGTCAAGAAGCAGGGAGCCCACAGGCGCGCCTCCGCCAGCTCCACTTCGGCCACCGTGCCCTGCGGGAAGGCCGGGCTGTGGTCATTGGCGTCCAGGACACACACGTTGAAGACAGCCGTGGCGGAGCGCAGCGGGCGGCCACCGTCCAGGGCCACCAGCTCCAGGCTGTCGGCGGCCTGGCTCTCGCGGTCCAGCTCCTGCAGCAGCACCAGGTCCGCACACTGAGCGCCGTCCGCGCGCTTCTGCAGCTCCACGCGAAAAGGGGCTGTGCGGTTGGGCCAGGCGCACGCTCTGCAGCCCATTGGTGCCCACGTCCTAGTCCACCGGCACCTCCAGGGTGCGTGCACACGGCCGCACCCTCAAACATCTCCACCGGGATCTGGGCCCGGGGGAAGCGCGGCGCGTGGTCGTTGACATTCCTCACCTCCACCTCCACGTGCACCAGCAGGAACTGTTCCTGCGAGAAGCTGACCACGTCGAAGACCAGCACGCACTGCGGGGCCTGGCCGCACAGCGCCTCGCAGTCCAGGCCGGTGTCCCCGACGGTCAGCTGCCCGTAGCCCTCGCGCACCCGGAGCAGAGAGCTGTTGAATTGTTTCATCAGCTGAAACTGACTTGGCACCTCGCGCTGCGAATTAAACTGGACGTGATCAGACAAAACACCGACGCTGGTGCCAGGGGTGTCTTCCTCACAGGTGAGGAAATTGACAGTATCGGTACAAAATCCTGACACTAGCAGCAGCCACAGAATCAGCAAGGACTCCAATCCAACCCTGCATGAAGTGTCAGCAGGAAATCTGAGCCTCCAGCGAGACATTTATTCCTCAAAGAGAAAAGCCAATCGCAAGCTCTGCACTAAGACTTTCAGGCTTCTCAAGCCCTCCCGAGTGCCGAGTGCTCAGTCAGAAAACACTTTTCCCCTTAGAACATCCCATCACTAAGTCCTCTCTGCTATATACTTGCTTTTCTCTGCCCCAAGCCTAAGCATGCCTCTTCAGAACCCTACTGGGGGAGCTACATACAGAAGAATATGCAAATAATCATCCATTTGGGCCAGTCCACAGTCTCTGGGCCTCTGGGCCATGCTGTTTCACTAAAGGACCCACAGAAGGGCCTGAAGAGCTGACCAGTGGCCAGGGTGGTGCAGGTGGTTATTAAGATCTCTGCACTATAAAAACACATCCTGCTTGCTTTTCCATTGTACTGGCCTCGCTTCGACAATAAGAGCAGGAATCCACAGCCACTTTACTCCTTCCTAAGCAGACTCACATATTCCCCACACAGAGGCACATTTGACCCTCTTTACCATTTTAAGATAAACGTATACATGCTTAGTGCAATGCATCCTCTGCCACCTACAGTTACCCATCTATGTTGGGTTGTCATTTCCTATATTGAAAGATTTTTGGGAAACATCTTCTAGAGTGTCAGGCAATGTCTAATTAGGGAAGAACTGTTTTCCAAAATAATCATTTCTAAATAGTTTTTTTCTACAGCAAAGAAACCATTAATGATGAAATTTCAGCCCCTTCATCTCCTTTTATGTCAGTAATTACTTATATGTGAGGAACCAGTATCAGACAGAGAAGTCTGTCAACCACAAACCACTGTAAGGGATACTTAAGGGTAAGAAAAAGATTTAGAGAAATATATTGCAGTCAGTCTTGTTAGAAAATTGCTGTAGACCAATTATTTTTTAAAAGCCCTTGGCTGAAGGAAACCACGGGTGGTCTGATAGGCTGAAGGCTAAAAAAACATTAAACCATCTGTCTAAAGCCCAATAAATAGTCCTGTGTTAAGTTCTTTTTATGTGTGAAGTGTTCAAAATGCTAAACAGTCTCACATGTTAATGATGACATTGTTCCTCGTGCCATGGAGTCCTCATCAGTGCAGAATGTTATTTAACTAGTCATCTCAAATCAGTGAGTAGGCGGAGTTATTAATATGCCCAGGCTATTCTTGTCTCCTCTATGATCTGTAATGTTATTGATTCCTGCAGGGACATGTCAGTAAATGACTTTTTTTTCCTTTCATTCCGAGGAGGCAGTTGGCATTTATTTCAATGCCAGGACATATGAATCCTGTTCTGAAAGTGAGCCATCTTTGATGAGATAATTAATTTTCAGGGGTTTTCATTTAGTGAAGCATTTGGCAATGACTCTAATTACAAGTACCGGTGACCGGTATTGGGGAAGTATACTGGGAAGCATGAGTTCATTTGAGCGGGGTACTCTGAGATCCTAAAAAGAAAAAGTACTCTATTTTCCTAGATTTTTAATTTTGCCTAATGAGGCATCTGTCTGAGGAAGAGAAGAGCTCTACTTCAGCCTGGTAAGAACAGACTTCTTTTAAGCCAGTATCCTCAATGGCATGTTGGACAGCTTTCTTTCTTTCTGAGAACCAAGTATCTCTGGAAGTTCCTGGTTATTCAGCCTCTGGGTCTCAGGGAAGACAAGAGAATCTGGTTCTTCCACCGAACATCATAATTGCTATATGTCCCTTAACTGAAAACTGAATCTGCTTTAGCTGATGTCTTTAAAAGGTGCCTGCTTCCATATGTATTAGCCAGGAGAGGGACCCATTTAACCACAGTCCAAGTCTCATGTCTTCCTCTTCTCCTTTAGCTCACACAGTTCCTGCCAGGCCTACTCTCAGCTAGTCTTCAGCATTACTGTTTTTCTGATTATCCATGATCAGAAAAATCATTCAGCATACTGAAAATGAAGAACAGTCCATGACTCCACCTACAGAACATCAAAAGATCCAGATAAAATATTTTAAAAAGCAAGCAATCAAACATATTACCTCCACAAAACTAAGCATCTGGATACTTATGTTTGGAAACATCCAGCTATGATATTCAAATGCTTGATTGCATTTTCCCCCACGTTTCCTCCAGCTGTTTGGCATAAAGTAGACCATCCATGATAAGAAGTGTGCCATATTGTTAGTGATTCATTATTAGCGCTATCATTGTTTCATACTAAACAACCACCTTATTAAAACACCGTTTTATGAATGAGAGACAGCTGGAGTTTCAGAAAAGAAACATTTTTCTGAAGCAAAAATCAGTTCTGTGCCAGTAGAATAACAAGCTGAATAATATAGAAACTGTATGATCTGTCCCCCTAGGGATATGTCATCAGGAAGCTGTGTTTACAGCTCTGGGCTGCTGGTACACTCATGTTACATTCTGTTGACTCTGTTAGATAAAAATCTGTCTGAATATTAAAAGCATTGTGGAAAAAAATTTGCTTTATGTTATGTGTTTTCCCATTTGCCAGCATATTGCCAAACTATAATTCAAAAAAAAATGTGTTTTGATCTCTGTTGGAGTCAAAGATAAAGCAAAACAAACAATAGACTGAAGGGGGATACCATACCACAGGAAGACCAAAATGTGAATGAAGCAACAATTTGTTCCTCTTAGTTTGGTTTTAAAGGGTGAGGATTTTGGTGAACTCCCTACAGAGTTTACTTTTGTTCCTAAAACAAAAGCAACAGATATGCTAGTGTTCCCCGCAAATGTCAAGAAATCAGATCTGAAAAACAGGATTTATATTCCAATCATTTAAATAAAAGATTTTCTGTGTTATTGAACACATAACACCAATGTATCCACACACTAGAGCACACTGTATGTAAAGAAACGCAACTTTCATCAAAAACATGGGAAAATATTAGCACCCTAATGAATACTGTCTGTGCCTTTGCATATTTCCCCTTTCCTATTACAGAAAACCAACAACATATGTTTGGGGAAAAAATTAAGCCATAAGAAAGTTTCTAATTTGCAAATTTGGCTGGATTATTGCATCCATGTGTCAGAGTAAGCATCAAGTTACACAGGACCCTGAACTAATACTTCCCTAGGCCAGAAACAGTTTAGTGCCATTTAGAACAAATCACTGTATGTACTATACTGAGACCCATTTTCATTTCTCAACTGAACAAACATTCTGGAGACGAATGAGCAAAATATTATCAAGTGCAATGTTACTGTCTTCAAGAAGTAAGTTCCAGAAATTGAAGCTATTAAGACTGTTTGAAAGAAAACAAATCAACCTAACAGCTTTTTTAAAATTTTCTTTTTTTAAATCATTGCTTGAAAAAACTGAAGTCAATCTTCAGCAGTATGAGTCTCCAAAGCAGAGAGAAATTGTTTTAAGTTATTTCATAACAAGTATCATTATCTCACATTCTTGTTACCCCATTGTATAATCAATTTGTTATTAGGTCTTGACTATGCGGTTATTTATAACAAAAGTTGTCAGCAAATTGCTGGTCTTTTTCCTGTGAAATCATTTCAGAGAAAATAACTCAGCCCTGAAGTCAGCCAAAACACCCTCTACAAGAGTAGCATAGAAACAAATGATATTTTATTCACTACTTAAGTGCTTTAACCCAGATAAAATCACAGAAAACCTCTATAAAATATCAACACCAATCACAAGTTCCCCTCAACATAAAACAAGGATTTAAATGATGTAGTCTTCATTTAGAAAAAAAGTTTCCCGTAAAGATCATTATATTAATAAAAATAATAAAAATATTATCAAAACTGTGAATCTTAAATCCTACATAAAATTACTTCTTAAACTACTGGTATTATTAAAATCTCTGCATGAAGGAAATTAAATCAATGAATAATAAAAAAACATTTTACTGGCTGGGCACAGTGGCTCATGCCTGTAATCCCAGCACTTTGGGAGGCTGGGGCAGGCGGATCACGAGGTCAGGAGTTCGAGACCAGCTTGACCAACATGGTGAAACCCCGTCTCTACTAAAAATACAAAAATTAGCTGGACATGGTGGCACACACCCGTAATCCCAGCTACTCAGGAGGCTGAGGCAGGAGAATCGCTTGAACCCAGGAGGCAGAGGTTGCAGTGAGCCAAGATCACGCCACTGCACTCCAGCCTGGGCAACAGAGTGAGACTCTGTCTCAAAAAAAAAAAAAAAAAAATTACCATTTTGGCTCATTAATCCAAAGTGAGTTAGTGAAATTGACTTTGGTACTTGACTTTCAGTTACTGGTTCATGCTTTGTGTCCTTCCCACCCTGCAAGCAAGAGGCTTTCTCCTTCACCAGAGAATGTATCAAAGCAAGATGAAGGATAAAAATTAAAGACTGAGGGGCCAGGTACAGTGGCTTATGTCTGTAATCCCAGCACTTTCGGAGGCCAAGGCAGGAGGATTACTTAAAGCCAGGAGTTTAAAACCAGCCTGGGCAACATAGCAAGACCCCCTCTCTACAAAAAGTCAAAAAATAAAAATAAAAATAAAAAAGCCAGGTGTGGTGGTGTGCACTTGTAGTCCTAGCTACTCAAGAAGCTGAGGGGGAGAATCTCTTGAGCCCAGGAGTTCAAGGCTGCAGAGAGCTATGATCATGCCACCGCACTCCAGCCTGGGCAACAGAGTGAGACTCTGTCTCTAAAAAAGAATAAAAATTAAAAATTAAGACTGAGAAGCAATTTTTCTTCTGTGCCTTATTTTGTCCTCATCTCTTTTCCTCTTAGCTGAGTCCCTCTATTCCTACTCTGCACAAAAGCTCATGTCCACCAGCAATTAGAACACTTTCAAGCCCTTTATCAAAAGATGTTTAATCACATATTGGTAATGCAATGAAGCAAACAGCCTTGTTAGAAGAAAATACTTACACATTAAAAAAATTAACTCACCATAGTTTAGAGAAGGTCACAAGTGCCAATGACACAGACCAAGTTATAGGAAGTACAAATGAGAAGCCATCTCAGAGTTTACAGATAAGTTTACCATCAGGCCGCACATGGTGGCTCACACCTGTAATCCCAGCATTTTGGGAGGTAAGCAGATCACTTGAGGCCAGGAATTCGAGACAAGCCTGGGCAACATGGTGAAACCCCGTCTCCACTAAAAATACAAAAATTGGCTGGGCGTGGTGGTGCCCACCTGTAGTCCCAGCTACTCAGGAGGCTGAGGCAGGAGAATCACTTGAACCCAGGAGGTGGAGGTTGCGGTAAGCTGAGATCGTGCCACTGCACTCCAGCCTGGGTGACAGAGGGAGACTCATCTTCAAAAAAAAGTGAAAAAGATCACAATCAGCCAAAATTTCCAGTAATGGAGAGAACCTAGGAATGATGTGAACAAGATGTGGAGAAGGGCAGGCACAGACCCTACAGGGACTGAGTAGGCCAGTTGGTTGCAGTGCATGGGTCAAGAACAATATGCAGAACAAGTATGAATGGATGGCATAGCTGAGGAAGACCTTGATGCTAAGCTAAAAATTTTCAACACTTTTAAGACAGCAGTCAGAAACCATTGAGGTTTGTGGAGCAAAGGATTGTTGATGTGTGTTTTATTAGGAAAATATGGATGATTGCCTTTCTAAACATTGATGAAATCCTTAAAAATGATTGTGCTTTATGTGAAGCTTTAAAGCAGCATCCAGCACAATGACTGCCTTGTAATAAATATTTATTAAATAAATAATCAAGGCAGTATTGTATGGTGTACAACTTTTGCCAACCTCAAAAACCCACTTAGTAGCAGAATGAATTAAAGACAGACCGAAAGTAAAAAGAAGGTCATTTAAAGTGCCCCTGCCATCTAGGTACAGGATGTTGAAAGCCTGACCCATGTGTAGCAAGAAGTATAGGGTGAGACCTGAGAAACATTACTTAGGAAGAATTGGTAGGACTTCATGACAGATAAGCTCTGCAAGATGGAGATGAAAAAAATAAATGGTCCCAAAACTTGTGGATGGCTAAAAGAATGGTCATGCTTTTGTAGTATTCCCAAATACTGAGAAATAAAGTACTTCCAAATAGAATTCCCAAAACTTCCTTCTACTCACTAGCTGGTTGACCAAAAAGACTTCATCTCTTCAAACCTCAATATCTTCAGGGAATAATGCCTACCCTGAGGAGCTGCTTCGAAATTTAAGGAAGAAAATGTGAGAGGAGAAAAAAGCCCAGTGCCTAGCAATCTGTGGGACTTTAGAAGACAACTGTGTCCTTTGTCATAGGCATTTCACAATACACTGTGATTTATTTATTTAAAGTATATGTCTTACCCCCCATTCTGAGTCCTTCTAGGGTATGAACCATGTCTTCATCAAATTTGTATCCCAGTCCCTAGTTCAGTGCCTATAGCATAAAAGGGGATCATTAGTATTTGTGGAACACTGGTGAAGTTCCCACCATTTCATACGATTTCTGTGAAATACTTACCACATAACATCATCTGAATTTGAAACCAGAAGACTGACTAAAGGATCATAGGCTTAGTATGTGGAACTAGTATATTATATGAGGCTTCACCAATAAGTGGAATTTGCTGAATAATATTTCAGAGTTGCCCCAGCCACATGTGATAAAATTGGTTTTTTAGAATCTTTATATTTTTTCTATATTTAATTTTTTGACCTGCAGAGTTTCTTTGGGTATAAAAACTGGTTTCTTGGATCAACTTCAAAACTGACCTATCAGGACATGAAAGACATTTGTTGTTTTTACCTGCTCAGCATCTAGTTTTCTTTTAAGAATCCATCCCTTCACCAAATTAATCATGCAAGTAGGGTATGATAGACCCCCACCCTTGCTGTTAGGATGGCCACATGACCCAGGCTTAGCCAAACTAGAGCATTCCATCCAACTAGCTGCAGTGACTTATCCAGACAGGTACATGTGTCCCAACCCAGGTCCTTCTTAGCCATTGGGGATCACCTCCAGGATTATTGCTGCAACGACTATGAAAGAGATATAATTCTCCCCTGGAGTTGCTGAGTTTAGAAGATAAAGGCTGGGATGTGAAACTACCAGGTTGGGAATGCTTGCCTGAGAATAAAATCAGTGTTTTGCAAAGAAGAGCTGAGATGGCTTTTATATCCAACCATACCTGATCTCCAAATGAATTTTTCATTTAAGTGAAATAAGTTCCCCCAATATGTTTAAGCCAATTAGTGGTTGGATTTCTGTCACTGACTCCCTAAACAATCAAAACAAATTCCAAATTGGGAAAGAAATTGTAAGTAAAAGACCCTAACAAGAGTGATTAGCTGAGAGGATCTAGGAGGAGGTTCATGGAGACCTACCAATACTAAGTTGAGAGGCTGATCTGCATTCTTCTTAGGTGATTGCACAGCTGCTGGTAAGCTGCTGCTCATATTTTGAGACACGGATTGTGTGTCTGTTAAAGCCAGAGACCAAAGAGTCAGGAATTGGAAGGGATCATATATATTTATAAGAAAAATTTAGTCTTCTACTGAACATAGTCCCTCAGAAAGCAGAAAGAGAAGAAAATATAATATCACTAAAATAGACCCTTTCTGACTGAGGCCAACAAACCAGGAGAGCTGAAAGTCAGCAACCTGGCAAATTTTAAGGACAGAATATGCAAACTTTTCTCCATCAAAGTAAAGTTAGTGCAAGAAAATGAAAGGAAAACATAATCAAGGAGATAAGAGTGAAGCCTCACAGAGTCTTCAGCCCCACGTCTCCTCCAAACTCTCCTTAAGTCTGGCATATCTAATTGAAGAAAAATGGCAGTCAACCTTCAGCAAAAACCATCCCCTGAGATGCAACCTGGGGGCAAAAGGGGAATATTAGCTGTGACCTCCACCCCAGGAAATTCTGAATGGCCCTGAAGAGGCTCAGGGAGAAGTCATTTAAGCTGAGGGCTAAGGGCATGAACAAATCATCAAGATCCATACTCGAAGATGAAAATCGCTAGGCTCTGAGTAAATTTGAATTATCTCCAGCTTTGATTGTGGAGTTAATCAAATGCAAATAAACACAAAACTTTTACCTGGCAAACAAGGGACTGTGACAGCTGAACTCCCAATTATAAATGGCCTGTTATGTTGGCAAAGCCCCTGAAATATCATCCTTAATGACCAGCTTAGTTGTGGTCACAAAGGACAAAAGCTAAGAAAGACCACTTTTGCGACCAGAATCTGGGGAGGCCACACTAGGAACACACACCTCCGGCAGGGTAAGGAGTTCCTGCATCTTCTGGCCAACAGGATATTCTCATGGGCTATGGATAATGGCATAGCCCACCCCACCATGTGTGGGTTTCCCTTTTCCGGATGAGATTAATTGCATTTATCTGTCATTATATTTGTTGGGGAAGGTTAACTATATCATACATATAGTCAGATTTTGAGCAGCTATGCCCAGTCCTGATTGAGGGCAATGCAAATCTTCCCAACATCTGACTTGTAGGACCCAGCAATTATATCAGTCTCTGAGCTTCCTTAAGGGAACTGGTTAAGTCACCAACTGGTGGGAACAAAGAATGTCCTAGTTAGCAAGGCCCAAGGTACAGGAACAGAGATTTTGATTTTTACCTTTCCCCTTTTCCCTCTAACTCACCCTCCCTGAGAAATGCAACTGCTCCTGATATGAGGCATCCTGTGTCTAGCTGCACTTATCCCTTCCTTGTCTTTGTTCCTCAACCAATCATTGGGTGTCTTTGTTGACTCATTTTGTGTCTGTAACGTGTCTGTCAGCCTGCAGACGAAGATTCCATTCAGTTGACTCACCCACCCTCCAAAATCCTCTTTCCTTCTCCTTTTAATCCAAGGCAGACAAGGCTCCCCCTCATGCCTGAGAATGTACCTCTTATCTGTTTCTCTTATTCCTGGCTGCCTTATTCAGGACAGCTGACAGCTTTACAAAATAGCTTCTGTCTCTTACAGATTCCTCATCAAAGGAGCCTGGGGGGATTTGGGAGCCCTTCTCAGAACGAGAGAGCAAAGGAGAGCCTGACCCATGCAAAATACAGAGGGACAATATACATTGTCTGCTTGTTCTATCTACTCATGAAGGACAAGATTGTGTGGGTTTTTAAATCCCGTAGGTCAGTTTAACCATCAAATCCCTAACAGTAAATGCATGATAGGTGTAGAATTCGGAAGTGTTCTTTTTGCCATCAGGATTCACTTCATTCTCTTTTAATAACCTCCATAAAATTAATACCTATTAATAATAGATTTGTTTGGTGATATGAAGGCTAAAGGAAATATGTGGAGTCATGTCCTACCCAAAGGTTATGTTCTGAGTGTATCACAAAGCTTAAGTATTTTATAAATTTTAAAAGTCTAGTCAACAAAAAAATTACATCACCTTCTGACCAAAAACTTTGGTATTCCCATTACCTTAAGAACAAGATGTAGTTCTTAAGCCCTCCATAAATTCCGCCCTACTTATCTTCCCACTACTCACCATCTTTCATTCCAGTTTGTGCCACAGCTCAACCAGATATGATATTCCCCCCAAATGGCTTTATTCATTCCCACCACTGTGCCTTTGCTCTTGCTATTCCCTGTACCTACGGTGCTGTTCCCTCTGTATATGCTGCTGAAATGCTATCTGCTCTTTAAAGCAGTGCTTTTCAAACATCAATGTGCCTGCAAATCTCAAGAGGATCTTGTTAAAATGCAAATTCTGATTCAGTACATCTAGGGTAGGGTCTAAGATGCTGCATTTCAAACAAGGCATGCCATTGCTGCCCCTCCATAGCTGCTCTCCGAGGAGCTAGGCTTTAGAGCTTATTCCAAGGTCAGCTCTTTAGGGAAGCATCCTCTCACTGCCTCAGCTGTGCAGCATCTCCCCTACCATGATTATTAGGCTTATCTCATTTAGCCATTCTGCCTTACTTTAGAGCTAGGCTTCAAAATAAAATTATGATGTGGCACAATTATTCTTGTAAGCTTAGTTTTATACTTTAATGTCATAACAAGGGTGCATCATACTTTGAGAAATCACAACAGTGTCATGCTCAAAGTGGTTGTTGTTTAATGAGTGTAGATGATTAAGGCTAGACTGGATGAACCAGCATTGCTACAGAGTATTTCCCTTAAAGGTGCATGTTTATGATAGACCCAGACCGGGTTTCATGGCAACCACCTGGACACTGGATAGAGCAGTGCTTATGAGTGTGGACGGATGACTTGGGTTTGAATCCTGGCACAATCGTGTCCTAATGATAGGGCTTAGAACAACTCACCTAAATTCTCTAAGTCTCAGTTTTGTTCTCTCTTATAAAATAACAATAATACTACTTTTTAGAACTACTGTAAGATGTAAATGAGATGGTGTTAATAAAGCGTTTAGCACTGTGCCTGTTGAATAGTAAGTGCTCTGTAATAAACATGAACTTTCATTGTTAGCTGCAGTGACAGTTCTTTAAGGTTGTCATGAAAATTCTAACACAGGTTTTAGATCCTTTAATCATTGTAGGGCTGCTCTTGAACACTTCCACTGTGACTCCACTGCTCTCTATAGGCTGAACAGTTATCACAAATACAGCCTGTAAGGGTTAATAACTGCAAGTTATTGCCTTGTTCTTGTATGTTAAAGCTAAGAATATGCCAATTTCAACTCTAGAAACTGACATAAAAGATTTCTAACATGTAGTCTATAAGGTTACCACAGCAACCACTAGATGTCATCTTTAGAATGTCCCTCTGCTTTTTGAGCAGTAGGAGCTGTAAAGTATATACATTCGCCCATCTACTAAATAACTGGCTCACATACAGTCTTAAGAGTAATTATAACCACTTATGCATCAACATAACAACTACAGCATATATTTTTAAATGCAAACAGGGACAAGAACTTTCTCAATATTTAATTTCTATATTTTAAAATTTATCTGTTAGTATGGCCTTTTTCTTTAAAATTAGCGAATTGCAATTAAATTTGCTTATATATACATACATATATGTATGTATATATTTTAAAAATAAAAATATTTGCAAATATTGTTTATCCTTCTTTTGAATGTCACTTATTTTTTTCCTCTTAGCAAATTTTTTCATGTCATTTGAGCAGTTGCTTGGGATTCTACCCTGTGCCTATATCACAATTTTACTCTCCCTTTGCTGTTGAACACTGCATTTGTTGGGATTCGATTTGGCTGTTTGTGACAGGAAATTTAAAATACAGTTGCTTAAACTAGAATGAGGTTTAAATTTCTTCATGTAAAATAAGACTCCAGGCTTGTATGGTTGATTCCCACAGTGTCAGGACCCAGAGTCCCTGTGTCTTGCTGTTCCATCATCCTTAGAGTGTTGCCCCATGTTCCAACATGTGTGCTTCAAGTCCAGCCATCACATTCACAATCCAGTAGGCTGGAAGAAAAAAGGTCAAAGAAAACCTCCCTGTAAGGCAAGTTCTTAGAAGTCACACAAAATATTTTGAATGACCACAAATGAGCTGTAAAGGAGGGCCAAGGTATGAAATGCATTACTGGGCAACAATGTACCCAACTACAACCCAGGATTCTTATTGCTAAGGAAGAAGAGATGAGAATGGAAGGAAAACAACAGTCTCTGACACAGACATTGAACTTGTTTTCAATTTTTTGCTATTGTGAATAATGCTACATCCTTGTGCACACATCCATACACACGTCTCTAATAATTGCCTTGGGATAAATTCCCAGAAGGAGAATTGCTCAGCCCAAGAATATGCCAAGAGTTTTGATACATATTGCCAACTGGCTCTCCAGAAATGTTGTACTAATTTCTGCTCTCATTAGAAATGCAGGCTGGGGGGAGAAAATGCTGTTATAAGATTTAATTTAATTTGACTGTTCAAAGATTCCAAACTTTCTGCAAGGAAGATAAAGATCCCCACATCTTCGGGAAGCTAGTGATTGAGAAGATTTCAGAAAAAAACTCAGTGCCAACTGAAAAAGCCTTTTTCTATCTAATAGCATCAAAGGAAATGCAATTTAAGGCCTAGCAACAGAAAGGACATTGTTAGTTTTGGTTATTGAAAATATTTTCAAAGGGGTAAATAGGAAGAGAAACAGCATAGTATAGTGGAAATGTTATTGGATTTAGTGCCAAAATATCTGAGTTTTGAATCCCAGTTTCCACCTTACTATGACTCTAGACAAGATATTTAAAACCTCTCTGAGGCTCTTTTTCTTTAATACGAAGATGGGGTAGTTAATGCCTTTCTCTCCTGCCTTTGTGAAGCTTAAATTTGTTAATGTGTAAAGGTTTAATTATAGTTGTATTTGAGCTAAAAGTCACATTCTCCTCAAATTTTATGATATTTTTATTCAATATTTCATATTCCTCATAACTGATTGGAGATGAAAAATAATTCCTTTTTTCTTCAGTAAGAGGACCATTCAGTGAGGCATTCCTGAAGGCTTTATTTTTCTTACTGCTGTTTTGTTATTTTTATTGATAAAGGGTGTTTATTTTTTAACCAACTTTTACATACAATAAAATGCATATATTTTAGGTGTACAGCTCTGTGAGTTTTGGCAAGAGTATACACCTGTATCTATTGCCACCACGGTTAAGATGTAGATAGAACACTTCCATCATCCCAGAAAGTTCCTTTAGTGCCACTTGGTAGTCAGTCCCACTCCAAGCAACTCCTGATCTGAATCCTATCACTGTGTTACTTCTACCAGTTTTTTAATTTCATATAAATGGAATCATACAATATGTTCTCTTTTGTGTCTTTCTTCTTTCACTCTGTATAGTATTTCTGAAATGCATCCATGTTGTTCCATGTATTCCATTTTTGTTTGCTTGTTGTTTGTTTTGTTGTTGAGTAGCATTCTATTGTATGAATATACTACTTATGTTTATTATTCACCTGTGTAGACATTTAAATTGTTTACAGTTTTTAGCTCTTAGGAATAAAGCAGTTATGAACGTTTGTGTACAAGTGTTTTTGTGGACATGTTCTTTATCTTGAAGACGGGGGGTAAATACCTACAAGTGCAATTGCTGGAGTATATACTAATTGTATGCTTAATTGTATAACTGTGAAACTATTTTCCATCATGGTGTGCAATTTTACATTCCACCAACAGTGTGTGAGGCTTCCAGTTGCTCCACATCCTCACTGGCATTTTCTATTTACAGTCTTTTAAATTTATTACATTCAGGTATGTGTAAAGTGATATCCCACCATGGTTTTAATTTTCATTTCCCTGATGGATAATGATGTTGAACATCTTTTCATGTCCTTATGAACCATCTCTATATTTTCTTGGTGCAGTGTTTGTTCAAATATTTTTCCTGTTGTAATGAATTATCTTCTTCTTAACCTCTTATTAAAGTGCAAAAGTTCTTTGTGTCTTTTGTGAAGTGCTAAGTCTTTTGCCATTTTTAATGAGTTGTTTGATTCTTATTGTTGAGTTGTAAGGGTTTTTTGTATATTCTGATCACAAGTTATTGGTCAGAAATATTCATTGAATTTTTTTCAGTCTATGATTGCCTTTAATGATGTACTTTGAAGATTTTTATTTTCATAAAGTTCAAATTATCCTCTTTTAAATTGATTATTAGTCCTGTTTGTGTCCTATCTAGAAAATTTTTTTCTATTCGAACTTGACACAGATTTTCTTTTACTCTATTTTCTAGAAGTTTGATAGTTTTAGCTTTGACATTTAGATCTATGATCCATTTTAATTTAATTTTTCTGTGTGACATAGAGTATGGGTAAACATTTATTTTTTCAAAAGGTTATCAAGTTTTTACACTATCATTTGTTGAAAAAAGTGTCCCTTTTCTATTGAATCATCTTGTTGCCTTTGTCAAAATGGATTGATCATATATGTAGGGCTCTATTTCTGAATTCTGTTTTATTCCATTGATTATATGTCTGCCCTTCTGACAATTTCATACTTAATTCCAATAGGATTGATTACTGTTGCACTTATAGTAAGTTATAAAACCAGATAGTATAAGTCCTTCACCTTATTTCTCTTGTTTAAAATTACTTTGATTATTCCAGGTCTTTTGCATTTGTGTGCAAACGTTAGCATCAGCTTCTCAATTTCTACAAAAAAAAAGTGGTTGGGATAAAAAAAAATGGTTGGGGTTGCATTGAATCTATATTTTAATTTAGAAAAAAATGAATGTCTTAACAATATTGAGATTGTCAGTCCATAAACATGATATATCTCTTTATTTAGAATTTTTTAAATTTATCTCAGAGTTGTTTGTTGTTTTCAATACGAAAGACTTAAGTCTTTTGTTATATTTATTTAAAAGCGCTTTATGTTTCTGATGCTATACTAAATACTATTTTTTAAATAATTGTTGTTGCTAATATACGGGAATATAGGGTTTTTTTAATTGGATGCATCCTGGGGCATTACTAAATTTATTCATTAATTCTAGTTTTGTTTTTTTTTTTTTTTTGTATTTTGTAGCCTTCTTGACTTTTCAAAATAGATAATCATGGCATTTGTGAACTAAGACAAGCTCACTTCTTCCTTCTCATCTTTATTTCTTTTATTCCTTTGTCTTGCTTTATTCCACTGGCTAGCACTTCCAGTATATCATCAAATAAAAGCAGTGAGAGCAGACATCCTTGCCATGTTCCCAGTTTAAGAGAAAAGCATTCAGTGTTTCACTATTAACTATGATATTTGCTATAGATATATTGAATAACATCTGTATTGGTTTTAGAACATTCCTTTTTATTCTTTATTTGCTAACAGATTTTATCATATGTGGGTGTTAAATTTTGTCAATTTTTTTCAGTATTTATTGAGAGATTATCATATGATTATATTCTCCTATATTTTTTTAGGGTAGTTAATTACATAAATTAGTTTTCAAATGTTAAACTAGTCTTGTATTCCTAAGACCAGCTTGATTTGTGCATGATATCCTACCTTTTTTTTAGATACCACTTGTTTTGATTTGCTTAAATGTTTAATTTTTGCATCTATGTTAATGAAAGATATTAGTTTATTAATTTTTCTTCTTGTGATGCCCTTCACAGACAATTTAATTACTGGATAGTAAATTTGAACCTATTAGCCTGTGAAAAGCCCTATTGTTTCTCATTCCCCCAACTTAGTGTACTCAACCTCCAAATTCCATCTCTTGTCAAATCTTGTCAAAGCTTGGTTTTCTAGGCTTTATCAAGGTAGGTTCAGAGTAGGGCCTACCGCGAGACATGATCCTTTATTCTAAAGTGTGACATTTCTGTTGCCTCAGATGAATGCCTGGGGTGTTGATATGGTCTGGCTCTGTGTCCCCACCCAAATCTTATCTTGAATTGTAATTCAAATTGTAATCTGGATTGTAATCCCCATGTGTTGGAAGAGGGACCTTGTGGGAAGTAATTAGATTATGGCAGCAGTCTCCCCATGCTGTTCTAATGATAGTGAGTTCTCATGAGATCTGATAATTTTATAAGGTGCTATTTGTTCAGCACTTCTCCTTCTGGCTGCCATGTGAAGAAGAACCTGTTTGCTTCCCCTTCCACCATGATTGTAAGTTTCCTGAAGCCTCCCCAACCATGCAGAACTGTCAGTCAATTAAACCTCTTTCCTTTACAAATTACCCAGTCTCAGATATGTCTTTATCAGCAGTGTGAGAATGAACTAATACAGGTATTCATGAGAACTCTCTCCTCAGGCTGGGTCAGAGCTCCAGCATCTTCCAGTGATGTTCTATCTGGTATTTCTGTTCTAACTCTCAGCCCCACAGTAGCATGACCTGTATGATCTTGCCCCACACCTATACATCTCAGTCCTCAGTCAAGAACTCATGGGAACTCCTATAAAGATTTCTTTCTCGGGTAATTTTTTGTATTTTTAGTAGAGACGGGGTAGTCCCAGCTACTCGGGAGGCTGAGGCAGGAGAATGGCGTGAACCCGGGAGGCGGAGCTTGCAGTGAGTCAAGATCGCGCCACTGAACTCCAGCCTGGGCGACAGAGCGAGACTCCATCTCAAAAAAAAAAAGATTTCTTTCTCCATCTCTCATGACCCAGCATAGTTCTTTCGTCCTTACTGCCCTACATGCAGCTACGCTCCACTTGAGTAGGCCTGATCTCTTATCCTGCCTCTTCAGCTCAGCTGGACCATCGTGTTTTGCATGAACTCCAGCTTCCTGTGCCACAGCTGGAAAATTAGGCAGAGAGTGAAGTGAACATGGAGAGAGTGTCTCTCCCTTCTCTTGGGAATCGTGCTGCTTGTTTGATACCTGAAAACAGTTGCCTCATATATTTGTCCAGTTTTAGAATGATTTATGACAAAAAGTGGAAGTCCTCAGGACTTTGTTTTATATGAACTCTTTGACCTGTGGCTGCCAGAGGGAAGGCTTCAGAAGCTTTAGTACGATTATACAATTGATTTTTTATTGTATCAAAGTAGTGTTGAAAGCAGGAAGGTTGCAGGTCTTATATGGACATTTGGGAAAAAATCTTCCATGTTTTTCAGTCATTTTTAGATCTTATCTTCTTACCTTTTCCCAAGAACTCTATTTATTCTCATAGTATTCCATGAATTTTTTTGCTGGTAGCCACCTGCTGAATCAACAAGAAAAGGCCAGAACAGTTGTCCCCTGTCACATTCTGAAAGGGAAATGGAAGCAGGAAATCCACCCATGTTTCTTCACTGAGAGTGATTAGGACTCAACTAGTTAGCTGAGTTTTTCCTGGAACTAAGTGTGCTTGACCAGAAAGATGAGTATGAAGGAGCTCCTTGGTAAATCTGGGAAGCAAGAGACCTGTTCATAGGAACTAGACACAAATCCTTGGTTCCAACTTCAATTAGGAAAATGGTGGAGGATATCACCACTGTCTTTCCTCCCATCAACTTCCCCTTCAGAATGTTCCTCCCCAACTTATAGATCTTTTTCTTGCTGTGTCAAGTATCTGTTGCAGTGAATCAAACCAACATTTCGTGGCTTAAGTAACCAACATTTCATTTGCTCTGATTCTGTGGGTCAGCAGTTTGGGCTGAGCTCAGTTGGGTGGTATCTTTTCTGGTCTCACTTGGGGTCACTCACGTTGCCACAGTCATCTGTCAGCTCAAATGGTGTTTGTTAGTCTAAGCCTCACTCGCAAGTCTGGTGGGTGGTGCTGGCTGTCAGTTGGGCCATATGTCACCAGCAGGCCAGAAGTCTCCTAATAGTGGCTATGATCCAAAAGTAACAAAAGATAGGGTAAACGCTAATGAGCAAGCATTTGTTGAGCCTCTGCTTGTGTCACATTTGCTAATGTCCCATTACCATCAAAACAAGTCACATGGCTGAGCCCAGAGTTACTGTGGGAAAGGATTAATAGAGGGTGTAGATACAAGGAGGTGTGATTCATTAATGCCATTATTATAATAATCTATCACATTTATTGAGATATCTATTCATGTACCTAAGCCTTCATGCATTTGTGTCATCCTTCTGCTGCAATTTTTCAGTATCACAATGTTCTTCTTTAACAGAGGTTGCAACAGTGTGTAAAATCAGGCAGATGGACTGGTGAGTCCTAAGGTCTTTCTGCTTAAACAGTTTGAGTCCAGGGCTCCATTCCCAAAAGTGTAGTTGATATTTACCTAGCACGCACAGGTGCAGAGCTACTGGCTGTTTATAGCAAGCCTCCATTTTGACTGTTGAGTACTTATAAGGTTGGTAAATATTTAGAATATCAACCCTGCCTATATAGGTTGGTTTCTTGTAACACCTAATCCAAGTCTGATAAATACTTTAGGCGTAATTCACAGACTCATGGGCTCTCTAACATGTTTCCAAACCCTTCAGATTACACATGAAGAAGCAGGCCCAGAAAGATCAAGTGATTTTCTTTAGTGACATCATAGGACAAGAAGACAGGAGAAGCAAGCTTGGAATTCAGACCTTTCTACTGTTAGGCCAATATGCTCTTTTTTGTTTGTTTGTTTATTTGTTTGTTTGTTTGAGACAGAGTCTTACTCTGTCGCCAGGCTGGAGTGTAGTGGTGTGATCTCGGCTCACTGCAACCTCCACCTCCTGGGTTCAAGCAATTCTCGTGCCTCAGCCTCCTGAGTAGCTGGGATTACAGGCACGTACCACCACACCCAGCTAATTTTTTTGTATTTTTAGTAGAGACGGGGTTTCACCACGTTGGCCAGGACGATATGCTCTTAGTAAAGCATCCCAATTGATTTTCATGAGATTCAGTCCTGCCTTTATGCACTTGAGTCTCTCACACTGCTGTTTTACTTTATATATTTAAGATCTGCATTATAGTCACAGATTTTAAATGTGAACTTTCCAAATTGATAAATAGGAGGCAGAAGATATTTGAGATTTCGTTCCTCTAGTCTTTAAAGAGTTTGATAGGAAAGGATTTTGTCCCAGTAATCCTACCCCATGGCTTAAGAATGTGTGGGAATGAGGAGGGAGTGTTATTCTAACGATGGATGGAAAAACTTATTTCTGAATTCTCTCACTCATTATTTCATCCAGAGCATCCCTGAGCCCTGATTCCACCAAGTGACCCTGATACCAAGGAATTTCAGCACCTCCATCATTGCTTTAACATGGCGGTCATCTTCAGAAATGTTTTCATTCTGATTTAGTTACCTACTAATATGTGTCTCAGAACCACTTCAGTGTCAGCATTTTACAATCTGGGATGTTTTCCCCCAAAAGCAATCACTTTAAAGTAAGTTTGATCTGTCCTCCGAAAGAGCATTCAAATTGGGTTCTATAGTAGGTTAAAAGGCAGGACACTGAAAATAGAACTGTCTTTTGCATCATATAAAATCCAAGTGAGTCTTTCAGAACAAACCAAAGTATACCAGAAAAAGAAAACTTGCTCTGGTGTCAAAATCCTAGGGACATTTGGGGCTGCTCAGACCAGGACCTTATGATTTAATGTGTTCTAGCCTAACCACAAATTTTACAGTTATATAGTCATGAGAACTCTATACAACTACAAATCACTAATAAGTCTATACAGGAAGACATTAGAAATCCAAATTCATCTTTAGCAAGTGAAGAAGAGTGTGCTAACAGGAGGAAATATAAACAGAGCATGGAGAGAAATACATAAGAAAGGTACTAACACACCAATTCAAACTCTTGTCAGATATCTCTTTAGAGCTCCTGTCAGCAGGAAGCCAATTACTTGAGAAAGAATGAAGTTTGTTTTATGAGCACAATATTACAAATGCAGCCCCTTCATCCTAACATCAAGGAAACATTTTGCATTTCTAATAGAAGCCAGCAGTGTTTTGCAGCTGATGAGGTGGTAGTTTGCCTTGGAGGTTAAAGCTATGGTAGGGATATGGGAGGAATAAATGAGCTCCTTAACTCCCTAAATTTAGCTCTTGTGATTAATCTATGACATTTAATTTGTGTTAACCTGCTATGTTAGACTATGGTCCTCAGAGCACAGCAATTAATGCCATCACATAAGTCTTGACCTCATGGGCTTCTTAAGGTCTCTAGTATGACAAACCTTTAATGTTTTTGGCATTGGAAACTTATGATCTTCATCAGAGGGATGGAAAGAGAAGCAAAGAGCATCACCCTCCATTTCATTACTTACTGGCATGATTACTATTATTTAATAATGTAATATTTTCTACAAAGGAACAACCTTTTGCAAGTTTGCCCACTTAAAAAAAAGTTTTCATTAAAAGACCATCTTTGTCCTTATTCTGCACACAAAAACATCTAGTATCTAGTTTGTCTCATTTTGTTCTATCCCTTTCCTTCACATTCAAGGAAACAGATAGCAGGATTCTTAATTATTATGCACAGTGTGCTTGGTTAAATACTGGTGTGAAGTGCTTCACTGTGCTCCTAAAACTCGGCCAAATTGTATCCACAGAAAAGTAACATTTTACATCAATTAGAAGAGGAAAAGGCCAGGGATCCCAGTCCTTAGGGAGGCCATGGGGTTAGGGGGGGTCGCCTGAGGTCAAGAGTTCAAGACCAGCCTGGCCAATGTGGTGAAACCCCGTCTCTACTAAAAATACAAAAATTAACCAGGCACGACGGTGGGTGTCTATAATCCCAGCCACTAGGGAAGCTGAGGCAGGAGAATCGCTTGAACCTGGGAGGCGGAAGTTGCAGTGAGCCAAGATCACGCCATTGCACTCCAGCCTGGGCGACAGAGGGAGACTCTGTCTCAAAACAAAAGAAGATGAAAGGACTCAGGCCATTTTACAGATCTTTGGGGTGATAGAAATAATCACTTTTACACCTGAGCATAACAGTCAATGTTTTTAATATTATTATTATTATTTGTCCCAGAAAGCTACTCTAAATTGGCCATTTGATCTATAATACACTCAACCACAAAACAAACACTTCAAAAGCCCTACCATGACATTTCTGCACCACAGATACACAATTCCCTGAAATTTTAACAGAAAGAGAATGAAAAAGAAAGAATCTACTTCATTTCGTTGGGCTAGCTACTTGACTCCTACAGTATTCATTTTAGCACAATATTCGTCATCTTCTAAAACCTAAATAAGTTCTCATTTCTATTGTGATTTCTTCTTTGACCCATGGTTTATTTAGAAGTATATTGCTTAATTTCCAAACACCTAGGGATTTTCTAGTTACCTTTTTTATTATTAATTTTCAGCTTAATTTTACTGTGATCAAAGAACATGCCCTGTATAAATTTAATGTGTGGAAATTCACTGGGACTTGTCTTAGGTTCCACTGCAGTTGTTGGATGTAGTGTTTTATGTATGTCAATTGAGTTAGTATGTTGGATATGTTGTTAAATTATTCTATATCCTTAATAATTTTTTTCTCTGCTTATTCAGTCAGTCATTGAAAGAGGTATATTAGAATTATCTAAAACTATCGTGAATTTATCTTATTCTCTTTTTTTGTTCTGTCAGTTTTACTTAATAAATTTTGAGGCTTGTTATTACATCCACGTAATATTGTCATGTCAGTATTACTCCCTGGCAAATTAACCACTTTATTGTTCTGAAATATTCGTCTACTAATTTTTCTCACCTTAATATCTATTAATATCTCAATATTTATTAATATCTTAATGTCTATTGCCTTAATATTTATTTGGTCTGCTATGAATTTAGCAAAAAAGCTTTGTTTTGATTAATGTGAGCAAGAAATACCTTTGTCATCCTTTTACTGTCAACCTTTTTGCCTTTTCACTTTTGAAGTTGTTTAATATAAGCAAAATAAAGTTTTCTAATCTAGTTTATACTTGTCTTTCAACTGGAATATTTAGTCTTTTCATTTAATCCATTTACTGATGTATATGGGTCTAAATCTACCATCATGCTGTACATTGTCTATTTTCCCCCAACATGTCCCGTGTTTCCTTTGCTCTCATTGTTGCCTTATTTTTTTCATTAAATATTTTGCATTATTCCATTTCCCCTTTTATTATCTTGTTTGTTATACTCTTACTATTCTTTTAGGGTTTACCCTAGAATAAAACATGCATTATTGACCTTTCCCATGTCATAATGAAAAGACCTGAGGATAATTCCATTCCATTCCATTGATCTGTTCTCCAGCCTTTTCTGTTTTTCTCATGTGTCTATCCCATAGATATGTAAACCCCACAAAACATTATCATTGTCATCATCATTATCATATACTTTCACTATTTATCTAGACTTACCCATATATTTATTTTTTGCATTGCTTTTCATTTTCTCCCTGTTTCTGGCTGGATCTGTCTCAAGAACTTGCTCTAGTATTTACTATCATACAAGTCAGCTGGATAATAAAATTATCTCAGTTTTTGTTGGCCTAAAGTTATTTAGTTTGCTTTATTTTTTAAATGATTTTTTACCGGGATGGAATCCTAGGTTAACAGTTTATTTTCTTCAAAAGTTTAAATAAATAACTTGAAGCAATTTTTTAACTTTGAATAATTTGTTAGCTTCCATTTTTCTTTAGAGTAGTCGCATTAGTTTTATTTTGGCTTCTGTCTGCTTTTAAGATTCTTTTTTCTTTGGTTTGTGGCAATTGTACTATGATATGGCTAGGTATGGTATGTTTTATATGTATCCTAGTAGAGAGTTGTAGTGCTTCTGGACTCTGGGTATCTTTCGTTATTTTTGGAGACTTCTTAGCCATTATCCCTTCAATCATGGCTTCTCTAGCAGAAATTTTATTGACAGGTTCTAAATGTACATACTGTTTGGCCTATCCACCATATTCCATATTTGTCTTATGCTGAGATTTTCTTCTGCTTTATTTTTCAGAGTGCCAATTCTCTCTTTAGCAGGTTTTTGTTGTTGTTGTTGTTGTTGTTGTTGTTGTTTTGGTTTTTTTGTTGTTGTTTTATTTTTGGTCTGCTATTAAACCTATCTAGGGAGTTATTAATGTCAGTTGTTATTTTTCATTTCTAGAATTTCTTTTTGAGTTTTTAAAAAGTTATTCTCTTAAATTCTCCACCTTGCTTTTTATTTTCATCATGTTTATTAAGTTTATGTCAGATAATTTCAATACCTGCATCTCCTCTAAGTCTATTTTTACTGTTTTTTTTTCTCCTGGTTTCCAGAAACATTAAGCTTTCCTCTAATTTCTTCAAACAGACTTTTAGAAAGTACATTTTGTATAGATGGTTTTAGTTCACCATTCTACTAGTGCCCTGGTAACTTTTTATTAAATGCCACACATAAACTTTCGTTTGAGAAGTCGTTTGGAATTCTGGATAACGTCAGCTTCTTCAAGACAGCATTTACTTTTGCTTCTGACAGGGTAAGGAAAGATCATCTTACTCTGACTTGAGAATGAACTGATTTAAATCTGTGCTCAGCTTTGTGTGGCTGGTCTATTACTAGTCCACCCTCACTCCTATGGAGTAGCCGATCCAAAGTCCTAATTAAAACCCTGGAGGGTTTGCCAAGATCTCCGTACTCGAGCGGGCTCTGAATTCCAATTTTTGTCCACTAGCCCATGAGACCACCAGGAGCTCTTTTGCCTTCTTGACCTTTCAGCCATCAATTTCTGCTCAATTTCTCAGCCTCTCTGCTGCTGCTCTGGAATTGGCAAATGCCTTAAAGGGAAAAAGCAGCCCTGAAAATCATTTCCTCTGTGTACTTCTCTTGTCTCCAACACCTTGGCCACTAAAGTTCTAGTTGATTTGGTAGACTTTTTAGAAAATAATATTTTGTTTAGCTGTTTTTAGTTCACGATTGCCAGAAATATACAGCCCCCCAAAATACTTCTAACATTTTTAACATCCTATGCCAGCAGCAGCAGAAATTCGACAATTCCTGTAAAATACTAGATGTCTTAGGTTTACTAAGGCGGCATTCATAGCTTCCTGGGTGAGATGGCTCCTATTTGGCCAAGCACAATTCTCAGCAGCACAGGAAAGCTGTGAGCTATTAGCAGAAACCACTTATAGCAGCTGCCAGACTGCTGTATTAGGTGAAAAGGAGGTCTAGAAGGGCCTCAATGGCATTGAGTACAACAGACAACCTGATCATTTCAGTAACACAGCTGCTATGGGGTATATGTGTCCTCCAAAATTCATATGTTGATATTTAATCCCAATGTGATAGTATTAAGAGGTAAGGCCTTCAGGAGGTGATGGGTGCTCTTAGAAAAAGTGGTATGGGGGAACTATTCCTCCTTTTCTGTCCTTCTGTCATGTGAGGACACAGCATTCAAAGCATCATCCTGGAAACAGAGACAGAGCCCTCGCTAGATACTGAATCTCCCAGTCCCTTGATCTCGGGCCTCCCTGCATCTGAAAATATGATAAATAAATTTCTCTTATTTATAAATTACCCAGTCTGAAGTATTTTGTTATAGTAGCACAAACAGACAAAGATAGCAGCTTTTTAGCTAGGTCTTCCTTATTCCTTTGCCTGTCCCATGGCTAACTTCTTTTTCTTTCTTTTTTTTTTTTCTTTGAGACGGAGTCTTGCTCTTTCACCCAGGCTGGAGTGCAGGGGCATGATCTTGGCTCACTGCAACCTCTGCCTCCCTGGTTCAAGCAATTCTCCCGCTTCAGCCCCTTGAGTAGCTAGGATTACAGGTGCACGCCACCACGCCCAGCTAATTTTCTGTATTTTTAGTAGAGATGGGGTTTCACCATGTTGGCCAGGCTAATCTCAAACTCCTGACCTCAAGTGATCCACCCACCTCGGCCTCCCAAAGTACAGGGATTACAGGAATGAGCCACCAAGCCCGGCCCACTAACTTCTTTTTCTAGCTTCTCAACAAGTAAGATTGAGTAAGTCTGAGAATGGGACCGTGTCTAGAATTTATTCCTTCCAGTGGGTTCTTGGTCTCACTGACTTCAAGAATGAAGCCACGGACCTCGCAGTGAGTGTTACAGCTCTTAAAGGTGGCACATCCAGAGTTGTTTGTTCCTCTCAGTCGGTTCGTGGTCTCACTGACTTCAGGAATTAAGCCGCAGAGCCTCCTGTGAGTGTTACAGCTCATAGAGGTAGTGCGGACCCAGTGAGCAGCAGCAAGATTTATTATGAAGAGTGAAAGAACAAAGCTTCCACAGCGTGGAAGGGGACCACAGCTGGTTGCCACTGTTGGCTGGGGGTGGCCAGCTTTTATTCTCTTATTTGTCCCCACCCACATCCTGCTGATTGGTCCATTTTACAGAGCACTGATTGGTGCTTTTACAATCCTTTAGCTAGACACAGAGTGCTGATTGGTGCATTTTTACAGAGTGCTGATTGGTGCATTTACAACCCTTTAGCTAGACACAGAGTGCTGATTGGTACGTTTACAATCCTCTAGCTAGACAGAAAAGTTCTCCGAGTCCCCACTCAACCCAGGAAGTCCAGCTGGCTTCACCTCTCAATCTTCATTCTTGAAGTCAGCAAGACCAAGAACCCACCAGAAGGAATAAATTCTGGACACAGGACTATGGGGAAAGACCTCAACCCAAAACATACACAAACACATGTGTGCGCGCACACACACACACACACACACACACGCACAGCATCTCCAACACCATTCCCAGACTATGCACCTCACTTCCCTACCCCAGTAGAATATGCCATTCAGCCTGACTATTGAAACCATCTTGTACTGACCATCAGATCTCTTAGGCAGTGGACTTTCAAGATACCTCTAAACTTGTCACCATGTCCAGTTAGCCCATGAGAAAACTTGCACCTCTGCCTCTTCAAAATCTGGATGTACACGACGCTCCCACTGTGGCCTTCTATCATTGGTCTGCCTTTGGGGCTTCTCCACAAGCCTCTTGCTTTTAAGATTTTCCAAGCTACAGCCAGGGCTTGATCTCTAGGTCCAGACTCTAGAGGATGTAGTTTGACTTCTCCCTAGCCTCTCTGCCCTTGGCTCTGCTCCCATGGTGTTGCAAGAACAGATGGGATTCTATAGCTCAGCTAACAGTCAGCCAGGGTGAGATGTCAGGCTTCCTTTCTGACAAACACTGTACTTTCTCTCAAGTCCTTCTTACATGGCATAGAGTAGGAGGAAGCACTCCCTTGATCTTAACCCAGGAGGAGGGGAGGGGATACAAAATTCTGATTCATTTGACTGTGAAGAATGAAAAAACCTCACTACAATGGCTTGAAAAGAGGTTTGGTAGGTGAAGGACAGAGAGACATATTCTAACTCCTTTTGAATTAGTCCCTATTTTAAAAGTATTTCTATCTTAAACAATAATGGGCAAAGTATTACTATTCTTGTCCTTTATGCTTCCACCAGAACTCAGGAATTTTATACTTCTATCTAACACAAATTGCCATAAGATGCCATTAATTATTAATTACTTGATTCTGAAACATTATTTTTTTAAAAGCTAAATGTTTAACTTAATAGAATTTTTTCTCCAGAGAGGAAGATTTTCAAGTTTAGAAAGGACATGTAGAATATAGGCTATTACCACACAGTTGGCATTCCCCTCCTACTGAGTGACATAGAATCAGCATTAAGGTCTGACTTTTAAGATAATTTCATGTTAGCAGACCACACTGGACAAAGCTTTCTTCCTTCTGCTCTTTCATGGGCCATGAAATCAGAATATTTTAAGTCACTATCACTACATCTGAACTTCAGGAAGCCATGTACAATGTACGTCCTCTTAATTAATTCATTTCTAAGCATTTACTGAGTGTTTGACTCTGGGCTCAGTGCTGACTTACAAAGCCAAATAAGAGATGGGTCACTTCTCTCAAGGAGCTTACAGACTAATAAGGGAAACAGAAAAATAGATTATTAATATATGGCTGAACAATGATGGAGATACGTACAGAGTGCTATGGGAACCCAAAAGAGAGCAACCACCCTGTCTTGGGTGGTCAAAAGGTGCTTCCTTATGCAAGTGATATTTGAGTTGTCTTAAAAGACACTCAAGAATCAGCAAAATGATCCTCAGTTTCCTATCTTGGGTAATTGAGTAGATGTTGGTGGCATCAATGAAGACAGAAAATGTGTGAGCAAGATTTAGAAGGAAAGATCATGAATTTAATCTTGAAATTCATGGGCTTGTGCTATTGGCCCAAAAAAGCAAAGATGGCTGGTAAACATTTGGATATATAAGAATAAAACTCAGGAGGTTTAGGCTAGAAATACAGGTTTAAAGTCATCAACATTTAGTAAGTATTGAAATAATGAGAGTGAATAAAATTACGAAGCGAGAAAATATGGTAGTTTTACATCGTATGGTTCATAAGTGTTTTTGAGAATCTGATGAAGAGAATGTGCTCTCCAGAGAAGAGATCCGGACATGGTGGCTCACGCCTGTAATTCCAGCACTTTGGGAGGCCAAGGTAGTAGAATCACTTGAGTCAGGAGTTTGAGACCAGCCTTGCCAACATGGTGAAACCCAATCACTACTAAAAATACAAAAATTAGCCGGGTGTGGTGGCAGGCGCCTGTAATCCCAGCTACTCAAGAGGCTGAGGCACGAGAATCGCTTGAACCTGGGAGGCAGAGGTTGCAGTGAGCAGAGATTCTGCCACTGCACTCCAGCCTGGGCAACAGAGGGAGACTCAGTCTCAAAAATAATAATAATAAAATAATAACAGCTGACCGGGCGCGGTGGCTCACACCTGTAATCCCAGCACTTTGGGAGGCCAAGGCAGGCAGACCACTCGAGGTCAGGAGTTCAAGACCAGCCTGGCCAACATGGTGAAACCCTGTCTCTACTAAAAATACAAAAAAAAAAAAAAAAAAATTAACAGGGCATGGTGGCAGGTCCCTGTAATCCCAGCTACTCAAGATGCTGAGGCAGGAGAATCACTTGAACCCAGGAGATGGAGGTTGCAGTGAGCCGAG
Source organism: Homo sapiens (assembly GCF_000001405.40). Classification (NCBI taxonomy): domain Eukaryota; kingdom Metazoa; phylum Chordata; class Mammalia; order Primates; family Hominidae; genus Homo; species Homo sapiens. The sequence continues at coordinate 53,172,821 of NC_000013.11, read as the reverse complement.
ATCGGGTCACTGTACTCCAGTCTGGGCAACAGAGCAAAACTCTATGTCAAAAGAAAAAAAAAGTACACAGAGAGATTTTTTTGCATATACTTACAATGAGTACATAGGTTCCCTAAAGCTCATCCATGTATTCCAGGTTAAGAAAATACAATATTTAAAAAGAAGGGAAATTAATGGATGAGCAAAACTTCTGAGCCACAATTGAAAGTATTGATGTCTGAGACAATATACAAGATAAAGTCATCCAAACAAAGGAGACTTGAAAAGGTTGGTTTTTCTAAACTACTTTGCTTTCTCATAACTATTTAACTACATACTACCTGCCTTTGGAACCAGCACAGTCTATAAAATGCTTCACCACAAATATCCAAAACCAGAGGCAATTTTGAAATATACATGTGAAATGAAGCTGGATCTATTCATATTACAGCCCCAGAGAATATATATCAAGCTAGAAGTAATGAGTTCCAGTTTGTAAGGATTTTTACAGCTCAAAAGAAATTGGCTTTTCCAAAGCTTTCCTTTTCTCTAGGTTGCCAGAGCACTGTGCTTATGCTTCTACTATAAAAGTATTTTCATTCCTTCTTGTTTATAAGTCAGCATTTCCCCTTCAAAATATTAGGATTCTTGTAGACAAGGACAGATTCTTGTTTATCTTTGCCCATAATGCTATTGCCTCCACTTCCCCAGCCCCTACACACCTAATACAGAGTCTTACACATACATTTGATAAATATTTGTAGAACTAACTTGAATTGCCTACCCAATCACAGAATTTTGTACATTAGCAAATAAGAAATCAAAAGCGTGGAAGACAATGGAAGCCAGTGACTCCAGATGCCTCTTTTCAGATAGGGTCTGATGTATCTCATTTCTGCAGCAATTGACAAGAAGAAGTATCACAGTAAATAGTATTAATCAGTCCAGAGTTTGCACACCACACTTCCTGTGCTTATATTACACTATGGAATTAAAGAAAACAGAGGAAAAAACATGAAAGTTCTCAAGAACCAAAAGGATAGAAAGAACTCTATTCTCACACCATATAGAAAAATTACCTCCTAGACAAAAAGGAGATTATCATTTATGCAACACAAAGGACAAAACAGGTGTTAGTACAAGAATAGATCATTTCAGGGGTCATAAGCTGAACCCTTGCTCTACATAAATCAACACAAATCAAGAACACACATGCAGGAATTAAACCACAATTTGGCCTTGTTTGCTATGTAACATTGTAACTAAAACTGGTACTATATGACATCTGCAAGCGTTTCATATGAGCCTGAAGGGAAGCTGCTTTCTGACCTTTGCAGATTTACAGTCCCACCTAGTATGAAACAGAACAGAATATGGTTGCTGTTTTCAGAAAAATATTTGCTCTAGCCACTTGTTGATGCCTTCATTACCGAACTCCAATAAATCTTCACTTGCTGTTTACTAACGAAGCACATTTTACTCCACAAAAGGCTAAATGTGTTGCAAATCAGACAAGGCACTTTTGGGGGGTTTGTGTTCTTTTGTTTTTTTGTTTTGGTCTGGTTTTATGGCTTGTCCATTTTAAGAAATCTAAAGGGCACTTAAACCCCAATGACTCACAATTCAAAGCATGAAATAAAAAGCAAATGGAGACCAATTTCAAACTAGCCTTGACTGAAAGTGAGCCTCTTGAAGTTACACAACCCAGGATAAGCTCTGGCCAGAACTGCGGGCTGCCCAAATTATTTGTCTTTCCTATGGGAGTAGAGGGTTTGTCCTTTTTCTGGGCTGTTACATAGAGGCTGGAGTAGCTTTGGGGAATATAAAGCATCATTTTGGCCACCAATCTTCCCCCTCACCCTACTGCCAAAAAAGTTCTAAACCAAGAAATCAGTTTGTCCTAGACAAAGAAGGCAGCATAATAAACTCAAGGAAGGAGAGAGTTGCTCTTTGTTAGGCTAGGTGTCTTATATTTTTATAGTGAGTCAAGTGCTTGATTCAGAAGATTTTGGAAGAGAATCAGGCAAAGGAGAGGAGAGAAAATGGCAAGACTAGAATAGTGACTGAAAAAGGAGGAAAAATAATAAATAGGTCTTGAATTGTGACTACTTAGCTCTGAAAATGGAAATTCGACAGTTGGGTTTCTTTTTATACATCCAGGACTTAACCTGGAATGTTTTCTCACTACCCCCCTACAATATCTGTCACATGACAAACTCATATCCATCATTCAGGCCTCAGCTCATGTATCATTTCTTCTGTAAAGCTTCCATAATGCCAAGAAAAGAACTCCCTTGTGTTGTCATCTCACTTAATTAGGCTCTTTCTTAGAGAATGCCTCCCCCACCACTCCGAGAGCACCTTGAGGGTCCTAGATTATACTCATCATTTTCTCCCCAGAACCTGTCATTATAGATGACCCAAAATTTTCTTAATAAATGCCTGTTGAATAAGTCTAAGTAGCTAAGAAGAAAAAAAAATTAAGTCTCCAGATACTTAAATTAAAAAGACATCTAATGGAGTTGCACTCACTGTATGTCATGAAGACCCAGTCTCAAATTAGGGAAGCACACCAGAACACAGCCATTATGAAATCAGCCTTTGATATCACAGCCCCTAAAAGGAGCGGGGACAATTCAGAGCATAATTTTGTAAGAAAAATGAAAAATAATAATCTATCCTTTTGGTTCATTTTCCAAAAGGATTTTAGCAATAAACACATTTTTTTCTTGAGAAAAAAATGAAAATATTTATTCTAAAATATCCCCATGTAATGTATAATGATATTCTGGGCAGAAATGTTCTACACCCACGTCAGTGTTACAAATCACATGGGTAAAGAACTGAGGAATCTTCTCCCACTCAGAAACTGCTCAGTCCTGTTTATGAGCAGCCATTTAATGCTATTCTTAAAAAGACCAATTTAAAATGAATGCAGCATGGACTGCTGCACAGATTACCATGGACACTGTCCAAATGTTGCCTCATAGTATGATAGAACCTAAAGCTTATTGAAAAGGGTCTATTTCTTTTCAATAAACCCCTTTTCAAAACTACATTTAGGAATGTGCTGGGTTACTAAAATTACTCAACTGCTCTATAATTTGAATAACTTTCTCCAGAAGAGTCTCTCAATTCTCTGTAGGGCATCAAGAGGCCTATGATGATCTATATTACAAGCATTCTGAAGACAGACATTCACACACACAGACACACCCACATACACTCACATATATGCATGTCCACACCCATTATGCACAAACTCACACATGTTCACATACATGTTTGCCCATACATATTCTCTCTCTCTCTTCTCTCTCTCTCTCTCTCTCTCTCTCACACACACACACACACCCACACACACACACACATGCACAATTAACAAGCTGGGAGGGAGCTCAGTGAAGAGAGATCCTTTTCGGAATAGCTATTACCTGGTACTCACATGATGAAATGGGGGTACCTAGTAAGCTTCAGCTCAGTCACCAGTTGGATGCTGTGATCACTATCTAGTAGCAATCCAAGTCCTATAAATCGAAGTCTCGTTTGATACTAGCACATACTACCACACACATCCAAATGTCTGCTAAATACTAAGGATAACCGGCAGGCATTATCAAAAACAACCTTGATATTTTTAAATCTCAAAAAAGTATGCTATCCTCACAACATTGGGACTGCTAAAAGCAGCACTTCGTAGGCCTGGAAGTTTCTCGGTATGGCTTCTCTAACTCCAGGGAGTAAATAAAAACTGTTTTTCCCATGGATTTCACCTCAGCTACAATTGAAACTCCACTGCATCCCCATGGCAAATGAATGAATGACTGGATGAATATGGCAAAACTCTCCAGTTCACATGAACTTTATCCAGGATGAGTCAATATGTGGATGTTTTCCATGACATGTGGTCCGCTCCTTTAGAGAAACCAAGGGGAAATTAGAAGCATGCCCAAGGAAATTTGGCCTTTCCCAGGTGTGTCCATGCTGAAAGATGCATTTATCTGCATCCTTCTCCTCCAGGTGCTTGACTTCATTGTGGAAGCTTCGTTCATTTAGAGGACACTGAAATCATGCATATTACTTTCCATACAAATTATCTTTGTTTCTTCCAACAGTGACATGGGAGAGAAATGACTCAACTTGTACCTATGAACAAAGAGAGCTGAGCAATTGTCCAATGACACTAATCAGAGCAACAGAAAATATGTATTGTTCATAGCCTAACTTTTTCCTTAGTTGAAATGTTTTGACCAGAAAATCAGATAATTATTTCAGATTTACACCTCATTTGTCTTATGTAAGCATCATTTCACTTATACTAAAGATAAGAGAGTTAACTCAAAGTTTTTGTCTAATCATTTGTACTAAATGAATGAAGTCCTAGACTAGATTTCCAACAAAGTTTGAATGAATAGATGCAAACCTCTCCATAAGTTCACATGACACTCTTTAGCCAAGTTGAGACTGAGAGAGACTGAATGAATAGAGAAATACTTATAGTATTCAAACTAAGAATAAGATCAGATTTGGAAAAGTGACAATATACATTCTGCATCTATTATGTGTGTGTGTTACATGTACATATTACATATATATATGTATGTATAAAGATTAAAAGACATATACAAATCTATCTTTACAGAGTATCACACCCCAATCATGCCTGCTATATTTTTAGTAGTTGTGGCATCTGCAAAGCTACAACAAAAATTCAAAAATTAAAAGAAACAAAAAGACAACAAATAGGTCTTTGAAATCCATGCCAAAGAAGAGCCTTTTTAGCTTGAACTAAGCCAAAGTGTTCAATTTGTCTCTGCCCCAGATGAAACAGTTTCCATTTGGAATGCTATATGAAGATGTTTTGCTTTTGTGGAGATAATTGGCTCTAAGCAGTCATAGTAATTAACAGCATCAGGTAGCTCAGGCAGCATTTGGTTGCCCATTGCCTATTTATTTGTGAGCAAATGGGAGGGGGTACGGGTGATGGGAACAGATGGGGAAGAGACACAAGTGCTTCATTGGCACCTTGCACGGATGCCTCATGCTGACTTTCTCCCTCTGGCACCATCATTAGTGCCTCTGGCTTCAGAGCCAGGTCTGAAGAGCCCGTGGGCAAGTGCAGATGCCACCAGCTGTGCTGGCTGCTTTTCTCTATATCCTGCTCTTTGCCCTCCACTCATCTGGCATAAAGAGAGAATTTCTGTGCTGATAACTTCAATCTCTGCACACTAGCTGAGGAATTTTTTAAATAACAACCCAGTAGAGCTGTAGTTAGAGGTTAATTGGGCATAAAGACAAAATGTGAAAAGACCCAGCTGTTCCTCTCAGAGAGGATTCCAAAGAGTTATTATAACTGATTGTTATCTTTCAGTGACTTTTTCTAGTCTGGTGGCAGTACCAGCAACCAAGGTGGGATCAAAGTCATGGGGAAGGAATGTCAAGATGAGATGCCTGTGAAAAGGAGGGTGAAAGTGCAGGGGAGAAATCATAAAAAGTGACAAGTACAGAAAAGGAAATAAATACAAAGAGCCATAATAAAATTCTTTGGCTAAACGTAGGGTAAGTGATGTTTATTGAGCAATTACTATCTACCAGACACTATTGTAAGCAATTTGCAGGACACAACACTGTGAGCTTGGTATCAGAATTATCCTCATTTTACATATGAGAAAACATGGGCTTTAAAAATGGTTGGATGCCATTTAGCTGTTAAGTACCATACTGTGATTCAAACCCAAGAAGTCCCTTCTGAAGGCTCTCCTGGGAGTCCGGCAGCCTGGCATTCTGCTCTGGACCAGCTTTTGTGTAGTGGAATAATTTCCAGTGGGTCACTGAATTTCAGCATCTATCTCTATAGGTAAGAGCAGCCATTCCAAGTATGGTTGACCACCTCCTGCATTGGAATCACTGACAAACTTAGTAAAAGCATAGATTTCCGGGTCATTTCTAAGTCTAATAAATCAGAATCTTTATGGCAAGGTGCTCAAAACTGCATTTGTAATTCCTCTGAGAATTTTTAAGTTTGATAAAGTTTAAGGATTGTTCAACCAGATGACCTCAAAGTATCTTTTGAATCAAAAATTGTAAGGCACTGGTGGTTGCTATGGCACCCAAGGAAACCATTGCATTCAAATTTTGCTTATTTAAAAGAACACTCAAAATAGTAGCTCTCATTCAGCAGTTTTATACAGTATAAAGTGTTTTTACATACAAGAGGTGATTTTGATGACTTTCCTTTATTTCCAAAATTCAAACCCATCTTCGAAGGTTTCTAAATATTGAGGAAATGAAACACCTCAGGTTTAGGACTATTCTAAAAATGTCCACAGCCATGGCAGTATATTTGGAATTAGACCACCTGGTACAGTTTTAAAGGAGGCAATACTCTATTGGATGTATGAGCGCTTTTTAAAAAATAAATAAATAAAACTTGATTACCCTGATCACACCTCCCAAACAGTAAATTGTGTTCCATTGAGACATCTGAAATTACTTTTTACTTGCAAAAACAGTGATTTCCTGTAGCTCAACCAAAAATGTGTGCATATGTTTGTGAATGTGTATCTGTAGGGGCTGGATATAGGTCCTGTGACAACAGTATTTAAATATCAACTTGCTTGGTCCTTGTAACGCCATGCTGCCCTCTTAGTGCATTCTCAACAGATGTTAAGTGATGATATTAATGATGAAATTTCCCACTCAACTTCCCAGACTGTGTCCTAAGTCCTTAGATCTTAATAAAAAGGTAAATCTTCACAACCACAGTGGACCAATAAACAATCAAACGAAGAATCTACTAACTTATTTCTTCCCATCCTTTCCCAAACATAATCTAATACATGTGCCTCCAGCCCATAAGAGCCATGGCATTTTCCCCAATTACTCTGCATATGTGAATTTACTGTGTCTTTTGAAAGGCAGCTTATCCTCCAACGGATTTTGTCGGCAGCCTATTTCTTCACACTATTCAGGCCATTTTCTTCCAACTAAATATTCAGTTGTTGTCACTAAAAATATATCAATAGGATAAAGAAATCTAAAAGTCAAAAATTAAGCAAAGTGACATATATTTGCATGGATTGAATGCTTCAAGGAAAAATAAAAGCAACTGAGCTCACTCTGCTACATAAAATATTTGTGCCTTTTTCCCCTTTTGCGTCTTCCTCCTTGGTGCCCAATTCTGGGTGCCAGTGGGACTATTTGACAGCAGTGAGCTCTAACTAAAGCCTCTAGTAGCTCTCATTCAACAGTAAAATTGTTGTCTTCCTCTGATCCTCAGATTATGGAGATGAGGAGATGAATGTACAGCACTAAGATTCCTTACCGAGATAGCTTTTCACTCTTTTCAGTGAGAAAAAGATCAAAAGGAAACTGGCTAATTAGCATACCAAAGGAGACAAAAACCCCTAGAGCTTTATCGTTGTTGCAATCCAATAATAAACACCCGAGTACAAAAAAGATTATTTGATAATGACACACAGAATTGAAAGCCTTTGAAACAGCAGCTTCTAGAAAAAAAAAATATTTTTGGAAGGGAAAATATCCATAATTATACAGAATAATGGCTACACATTGGGGAGCGGCTCTTTAGTCCTGTGAGAGCTGCTTGCAGAACTACTTTGCCTAAGAACAGCAGTGTGGATTGCCTTTATCTGCAAAACTCAAAATGACTACAAAAGGTTTCAAATCCCTTCCCCAGTAAACATTCTACTCTTTCATATTCCCAAAAATTAAACACAGAATTTGTGTCTTAAAAATAAGCATCCTCTGTTTCCAGACCAGCACCCAGCCAAAGGCTTGTGCTCAAAACCACAGATATTTGCAACTCTTTGAGACTAATTATCCTCTCTACAGCCTTTTCTGGTTTAGAAACTCTGGTACTCTCTGCAAATATGGACTTTTTTCAAGGGAGGAGAACAAAGCAACTGTTTAATTATAAACATGTTACTCTAGGACATGTGCATAGGAATCCCCCAGGCCTATAGAGAAACAGCCTTAAAAGAAATGCAGACCCAATGATATGGTTTGGCTGTGTCCCCACCCAAATATCAACTTGAATTGTATCTCCCAGAATTCCCACATGTTGTAGGAAGAACCCAAGGGGAGGTAACTGAATCATGAGGGTTGGTCTTTCCCGTGCTATTCTCGTGATAGTGAATAAGTCTCACAAGATCTGATGGGTTTATCAGGAGTTTCTGCTTTTGCTTCTTCCTCATTTTTCTCTTGCCACTGCCATTTAGGAAGTGCCTTTTTTCTCTCGCCATGATTCTGAGGCCTCCCCAGCCATATGGAAATGGCTCTTTTTGTTCCCAGTTTCAGGTATGTCTTTATCAGCAGTGTGAAAACAATCTAATACAGTAAATTGGTACCAGAATTGGGATGTTGCTGAAAAGAAACCCGAAAATGTGGAAATGACTTTGGAACTGGGTAACAGGCAGAGGTTGAAACAGTTTGAAAGGCTCAGAAGAAGACATGAAAATGTGGGAAAGTTTGGAACATCCTAGAGATTTGTTGAATGGCTTTGACAAACATGCTGATAGTGATATGAACAATAAGGTCCAGGCTGAGGTGGTCTCAGATGGAGATGAGGAACTTTTTGGGAACTGGAACAAAGGTGACTCTTTTTATGTTTTAGCAAAGGGAATGGTGGCATTTTCCCCCTGCCCTAGAGATCTGTGGGACTTTGAACTTCAGAAAGATGATTTAGGATCTCTGGCAGAAGAAATTTCCAAGTAGCGAAGCATTCAAGAGATGACTTGGGTGCTGTTAAAGGCATTTGGTTTTATAAGGGAAGCAGAGCATTAAAAATTTGGAAAATTTGCAGCTGACAACGCAATAGAAAAGAAAAACCCATTTTCTGGGGAGAAATTAAAGCTGGCTACAGAAATTTGTATAAGGAACCTAATGTTAATCCCCAAGACCATGGGAAAAACGTCTCCAGGCCATGTGGGAGACCTTCACGGCAGCCCCTCCCATCACAGGCCCAGGGACCTAGAATGAAAAAGTGGTTTCCTGGGCCAGGCCCAGGGTCCCCATGCTGTGTGCAGCCTAGGGACCTTGGTGCCCTGTGTCCCCCTGACTCCAGCCATGGCTGAAAGGGCCAATGTAGAGCTTGGGCTGTGGCTTCAGAGGGTGGAATCCCCAAGCCTTGGCGGCTTCCACGTGGTATTGAGCCTACAGGTGCATGGAAGTCAAGAATTGAGGTTTGGGAGCCCCCACACAGAGTCCCCACTGGGGTGCTGCCTAGTGGAGCTGTGAGAAGAGGGCCACTGTCCTCCAGACCCCAGAATGGTAGATCCACTGATAACTTACATCATGCACCTGGAAAATCCTCAGACACTCAATGCCAGCCAGTGAAGGCAGCCAGGAGGGAGGCTGTACCCTGCAAACCACTGGGGCAAAGCTGCCCAAGACCATGGGAACCTACCTCTTGCATCAGCATGACCTGGTTGTGAGACCTGCAGTCAAAGGAGATCATTTTGGAGCTTTAAAATTTGACTGCCCGGCTGGATTTTGGACTTGCATGTGGCCTATAGCCCCTTTGTTTTGGCTAGTTTCTCTCATTTGAAAGGGCTGTATTCACCCAATACCTGTACCTCTATTGTATCTAGGAACTAACTAGCTTGCTTTTGATTTTACAGGCTCATAGGTGGAAGGGACTTCCCTTGTCTCAGATGAGACTTTGGACTATGGACTTTTGGGTTAATGCTGAAATGAATTAAGACTTTGGGGAACTGTTGGGAAGGCATGATTAGTTTTGAAATGTGAGAACATGAGATTTGGAGGGGCCAGGGATGGAATGATATGGTTTGACTGTGCCCCACCCAAATCTCAACTTGAATTGTATCTCCCAAAATTCCCACGTGTTGTGGGAGGGGCCCAGGAGGAGGTAATTGAATCATGGGGGCCAGTCTTTCCCATGCTATTCTTGTGATAGTGATTAAGTCTCGTGAGATCTGATGGGTTTATCAGGGGTTTCTGCCTTTGCTTCTTCATCATTTTTCTCTTTCTACCACTGTGTAAGAAGTGCCTTTCACCTTTCGCCATGACTCTGAGGCCTCCCCAACAATGTAGAACTGTAAGTCCAATTAACCTTCTTTTTGTTCCCAGTTTTGGGTATTGTTTATCAGTAGCATGAAAATGAACTAATACACCCTTACTTTTTGGGTTAATATTAATATTGTGGTGTTTATCTTCAAACATTGAGGGGACAATAATGACCAACCATCAGAATGGATTTTCCAGTAGTCACAGTGAGTTTGACTAAGTTGTGAACCCTCCTGTCTCTTCCTCTGAGACATATGTAGACCACAATGGTCAACATGGGGCCATAGGTAACAGTGGGCAGGTGATCAAGCCTTGCTTCCCCCTATAAAGCTGACCCTCATCTAAATCAACTCCAGGATCTCACTAGGACAGGAGATGATGAAACTCTGAATTGACAGGTAGTGGGTGTTGCTAACAGAGAATTTCTACATGGAAGAACGGGGATTGCCCCTCAGCCAAGTTCCAGTTTAAAATGCCTACTGGGGCCAGGCATGGTGGCTCATGCCTGTAATCACAGCACTTTCGGAGGCTGAGGTGGGCGGATTACTTGAGGTCAGAGGTTCATGACCAGCCTGTCCAACATGGTGAAACCCCATCTCTACTAAAAATACAAAAAGTAGCCAGGCATGGTGGCAGGCACCTCTAATCCCAGCTACTCAGGAGGCTGAGGCAGGAGAATCACTTGAACCCTGGAGGCAGATGTTGCAGTGAGCTGAGATTGCACCACTGCACTCCAGCCTGGGTGACAGAGTGAGACTCTGCTTCAAAACAATTAATTAATTAAAAATAAACAAATAAATAAAATGCTTAGTGGCCACAGGAAAGGTATCATTTTGCATGGAGATCAGCCAGGTGATTATAATGGACTTGCCAGAGGCCCCAGGCTCTAAGTCCTTTGCATTAAAAAGCTCAGAGGTCCAAGTTATTAGTAATATAATATTCTATCCTAATCAAACGAATCATTGTTAAAGGGTCAAATGGTAATGTATGTCTTTACAAATCTGAATTTAAATGAATAATTCCTCTCCTATTTCATAGATTTTTTTTTTTTAACAATAAGTGGATGAGAAGTATGTCTTTGACTGGACAGCGAGTGGACTACCTTTCTCTCTAGGACTTAGTTCCTTTTAGATTAGATAAGATCATTTAGGATCTTATTTTGTTAGTTTCATACAGAATTTTGTCGTTGTTGTTCCTCTTTATAAATCATCCATTTGCAATGAAACAAGCCCCAAATCAGAACTTTACTTAGAAAATGTGCCTACAGGAGTAAAATAAATGTCATTTACCTACCATTCCAAAGTATTAATTAGACTTAGCTATTTGCCAGCTAAGTACTAGAGGAGCCCATGGTGATTAGCTGCACTAATTGGAATTTCAAGTGGTGCTGATAACCACACAAAGATAATAGGATTATACCTTTTCTCCCTGAAAAAAAGAAGTAGCTTTGTCATAACTATTTAAATGATGGTTTTAAGCTGTTTCACACCTAACTACACCCAAAAAAAGGGAACATTTTTAGATTCTATTTTTATTCCTATAAGAAAGAAAAAGAAAATTCTTCCACGTAGCAGTAAATGTACAAAGGAATGTCCCTCCCTGTCTGGGTTTCATCTTGCTCTCAAAGAAGCACAGAAAAGCAATTTTACTTGCCCACCAACGGGAACTCAAGCTGAGTCAGAAAGTCAGAGAGACCTGCTCTTCCCTACAGGAACATATTTTTGTTTTGGTTTGCAGAAACTTTCTCAGAAATTATGAACATCTTCTTCCCCAGGATGGTCAGAACTGTAAATATAATTCATCTTTGGGAAGGCTGGGCAGATGTTACTATCTGCATTTTATATTTTAAGATAAACTATCATTGAAGACTGCGGGCGGTGGTTCACTCCTGTAATTCACGCGCTTTGGGAGGCCAAAACAGGACCCGGATCGCTTGAGCCCAGGAGTTTGAGACCAGCCTGGGCAACATAGTGAGACCTTGGTTTTACAAAAAATAAATTTTTTAAAAAATTAGCCAGGTGTGGTGGCACATGCCTGTAGTCCCAGCTACTCAGAAGGCTGAGGTAGGAAGATTGCTTTAGCACAGGACGTCGAGGTTGTAGTGAACCGTGATTGTGCCACTGCACCCCAGCCTGGGTAAGAGAGCAAGACCCTGTCTGTCTCAAAACAACAACAAAAAACAAAGAAACTATCATTGAAGAGATTAAGTGAGGTTTTCCCATTCTTCTCTTCACTTGAGAACATTCCACATTTATAGAAATGTATTTGTTTCCAAACCCAATAGGTCCCACAAGCAGCAAGAGGCAGAGTCTGGCTGCAGCACCTTCAGGCCACCTCCTCCCTGGGAGCAGGCTCCGGGGCATCCCCCTCAGCCCAGCTGTCTTCCTTGCGTCCTGACACCTCACTTAATCCTCACAGATAAAAATCCCAGGCCGGGCGTGGTGGCTTATGCCTGTAATCCCAGCACTTTAGGAGACCGAGGCGGGCAGATCACGAGGTCAAGAGATCAAGACCATCCTGGTCAACATGGTGAAACCTAGTCTCTACTAAAAATACAAAAAATTAGCTGGGCATGGTGGTGCACACCTGTACTCCCAGCTGCTGGGGAGGCTGACACAGGAGAATCGCTTGAACCCAGGAGGCGGAAGTTGCAGTGAGCTGAGATCCTGCCTCTGCACCCCCACCTGGGTGGCAGAGCGAGACTCTGTCTCAAAAAAAAAATAAAAAATAAAAAATAAAATACCCAATGCGGGTAAAGAGCTGAAAACCCTGCCAGAGGGTCATACCCCCTGTCTTGTGAACAAGAGGTGGGGTCAGAAATCTTTTTCTTCAGATCTTAAATACACAGAAGAGATAACATAGATTTATTTCAAGTAAATATGAAAAGCAAATGCTGGTCACAAAGTTACTTACACTTGCTGTCAAAGTTCTGGTGGCCACAAAGTACAGATTTTACTATGTGGCTAATTAGGTTCCTTCGGATCCTTGAGGAGCCATAAGATGTTTTCTTAAGTAAGGGTGTAAAGCCAGACCTACATTGCAAACCTCTTTGGCCTGAAAATAAATTGGAGAAATTTAATTGCACAGCCACTGGTTCTATCCACTCTTGAAAGCATGCCTACTCCAGCACAAGGGCCTGGTCACATGGAGAATCCCAGGAGGAGAGACAGAAGCCACATGGAGTTGCCATGGCAACTTAAGGAGGCCTGAAAGGCCAGTTTACCCCTACATATCTTCCTCACATGCCTAGTCATAGTTTTAGACATTCTTTAGGTTCACATGTTTCATCTCTAGAAAGAAAAGTATCTGTCTAAATGTTACCATTTTATCAGAGAAAGCAATGATGCCCCAATATCACATTACTGGGAAAAAAAGAAAAAAAAAAAGCTTGGGAAAATTTAGTCAAGACCAAGGCCCTGGGGAAATCAAAGAAGAAGGTAGAGATATATATGTATTTGTGTAAAGAAAAGCAGGAAAACTATGGATAGATTCTGAGGCCCGTTCTGGAAGAAATCAAGCAAAGGACAAAGGCTTCCTAAGAAAAACATAAAAACAGTAGACCTCAGTGACTAGATTTCCAAAAGTGGAGAAATTTTTGCCAACAAGTGAAGTGAGGTAAGCCAAAGACAAGTTTTGTTTACTTTGAAATTTTCCCTTGGGTTATCCAATAACCAAAATAGGTCTTCTGGTTAATATATTTTTTAGGATAAATGACAAGTAAGTTTCTCACTAGACAGTAAGTATCATGCAAGAAAAAAATGTATTTACTTCTGCACCCTAAAGCTAAATACTATGTACCTGGATAAAAGGAAGGAAGGAAGGAAGGAAGGAAGGAAGGAAGGAAGGAAGGAAGGAAGGTGGGAGGGAGGGAGGGGAGAAAGAGAGAAGAGAGAGAGGGAGGGACAGAGGGAGGGAGGGAGGAAAAGGAAGGAAGGGAGGGAGGGAGGGAGGAAGGAAGGAGGAAGGAAGAAGGGAAGGAGAAAGGAAAGAAGAAGAAGGAAGGGCAGGGAGGAAGGAAGGGAAAGAAAGACAGGCAATTGTTTGCAATCTTTCTAAGAAAACTGAATCTTAGGCAATTGAGAAATTTTAATAACTGCAATTATGACTTTACAGTGCTGAAAATGATGATCCAGAAGATATAGGGGACCAAATTAAATGTGTACTTATTCCCCTAAGGATATAATTTAAAAGAGATTTTTGTTTGAGTTTTTGTATTAGTGAAGAATGGAAGGGCAGTGATAAAATAGCTATCAGACACTGGAGAAAAGAAAGCTTGAATCATGTACTGGCAGAACAATTGGTAAAACAGTCCCTGAAGTAAACTGGAAGTTAGAAATTGATACCCAAAGTGGAGTACTCCTACAACAAAAAGCTAAGACATGTGGGATTTGGAATTGTGCAATAGGTGGAGACCTGATAAATCTCAAGAAGACACTTAATGTTAGTTAAAAGAGCGGAGAGGAAATTGCTTTCTGGAAGCTGGAGAAAAGAAAACCCAAGTTATGGATGTGTAGATTCATTAGCAAAACTATCACCAACAGTAATGTGCAAAATAGAAAAGATACCTAATTAACTTGTGGATCCAGCTATGAAGATATCCACACGGGATGTTTAAAGTAGCACCTTGCATCTTTTAGTTGCCTAAGTTAAGTTATGGGAAGTGTAAGATGAACTAAAGAATTAGCTATTCTGTTTTCAAGCAGAATTTGAAGAAAATGCAAAGGCTTTGGGGTTCAAAAATAAATTCTCATCCCCAGTGTTCCTTGGAAAAATATTCTCAAAGTAAAATCTGCCTCATATCAAATCCAGAACAATACCAATAAAATAGGGACTCAAAGTAAAGATGAAATCAAGGATACTGCTTGTGAGATCTCAGAAAAGATTTAGGGCTCTGACCCATAAATTCCCTTGGATAGAAAAAGGGGCTTCTAGGAATCCTCACAAATTGCCTCAAACTCTCTCACCAAAAAAAAAGAAAGAAAAGAGAAGAAATAAAGATCTTCTAAAAATAGTAAAGGTATTATCCCATAGCACCCTGACTTGCAGGCAAAATTAGGAAGGGATCAGTTTTAAAGAGCTTTGTGGGTATAACTTTTGTCTAATGAAGTTAACCCCTAATAAGATACCTAAGAAACCCACAAAGTTTTAAAGAGAATTGTACTAGCACAAACATTGCCAGATTGAACTAAAAGAGACAGAAGCATTTCAAAATAAAAAGAAGCCTTTGTGCTCTCAACCTTCTATGAGCAAGATGAAGACTGAAAGCCACTCAGTTGTAAGCATGAGCCATGGAGAATCACTTCCAGATATCAGAACTAGGCCCTAAGATCTGAAAATATGTACCCAGCTAGATTGCAGGTTGCTTAAGATTGGTGACTGCTATATTTTTCACATTTCCCCCTTTTTGAATGGACCTTTTATTGCCATTTTTCAGTCCTTGCTTCACCATTATATGTTGATGGTTATGGGCATGAGGGAGAATATAACTTATCTCTTCATCTCTTCAGTTCACTGGTATTCAAATCAAAAGTGATTATACCTAAGAAGCCTCATCTTTCACCTGGGCCTGATTTAGATGATGAGATTGTAGACTTCAAGTCCAAATCTCATGCTGTAACAGAATGAGATTATGGGGGTCTCAGCAAAAGCAGAGGGTATTGCAGGAGGAATGAGAATTATTAGAGGCCAGATTGTTGACAGTGATAAACAGATATTTTGGTAGCTCTCAATGAACCATTTCTCTTATCATGCCCTTGTGTAGTTCTCTGCCAGGTTGACTCTAGGGTTGGCCATGTGACTACCCTTAGTCTATGGGACATTAGTAAGTGTGATGCAAGCAAAGGATTGATAGGGCCCTGAGCGTATTTTCCTGGAATGCTCCGTCTTGAAACCCAGCTGCAATACTGTGAGGAACCCCAAGCTAGCCATTTGGAGTAGACACATGGAGATAGAGATGCTCAGATAGTCTCCATAATTTAGACATTCAACTCAGTCAATAGTCATGTGAATAAAAAAGACATTCTGGACATTCCAGCCCAACAGATATGGAGCACAGATGAGGTTTTCCCACCAAGCTTTACCCAAATCACAGAATTCTGAGCAAATATACAATTACTGTTGTTTTAAACCACTAAGTTTTGGGGTGGTTTATTCTACAGCAATAGATAACTGAAATAGAGTGTGTGTTTCCATTTTTAAGATTTTTTTCTTTTCTTAAATATTTTGTGTGAATTTATTTTCCCATGACTAATTTTCTAATAGAAGACTAAGATTTTTAGAACATACTGGCACTGAAATCACAAGAAAGTTATTTTGTGCCATATTATCCTGTTCTACTTTCTTTATGGCATTTATAATTGTATGCAAATATCTCATTTATTTGGCCACTCCTTTTTTCAATCCTTGTTCAACACAGGAATGTATCCTCTAGTGTGTCTTTTTCACTGTTGGATCCCAGCATCTACAATACTGCCTGGTACATAGTTAAGGGCTCAGTAAATACTGTACACAACAGTAATATAGGATACTTTTTTTTTAGGGAAAAAGAAAAGGTCCCTGAGATTGACATTTCACATTTCTGGCTTGCTTAATGCTAAGATGAAATTGTCCAGGGTACTTTGCTTCCACATGGAGGACTAACAGTTTAAGGAACTGCCTGGACTTCTACAAGATTTTTGCCTCAGCAAAAAATAAACTTTTTTGTATTAAATCACTGAGAATTTGGAGTAATTTGATCCTGCAGTACAACCTAACTTATCCTGACCAATATAGTGCTTAACAGTGAGTTTATATACTTTTTGAACTCTGGCCTATAAAGTCTGGACAGCCATTTATGGATTCAATGATAATTTATTGAATACCGATCATGTTCAAGGTACTGTACTAGGTCAAGAAATAGAAACAAAGATGGATTAGATACTGCTTTAAAGAAGTTTATAGTTTGATAAGAGAAATAAATTATGCACATAATAAACTGCAGTACAAGGTAGAAAATTATGAGTGTCATAGATAGGTACAAGTAAAGTGCTATAGGAATTTATCTGAGATGGATATGAAAAGGTGCCTTAGCTCAGACCCTTATAGGTATGACAATTTATGAAAGTGAGAAGAACGACGTCCTGTTTATATATGCCATAGTGCGAAAAGTCTAGCTGTTAGGCTTTCTTTTTCCCCACATTTTCATTTCTCCGTGCACCCTCACTCTAGGCTGTTATGGGTCAAATTGTGTTCCCCACAAATTTACATGTTGAAGTCCTAAACCCAAGTACTTCAGAATGTGACCTTATTTAGAGAAAGAGTCTTACAAAGGTAATTAAGTTGAAATGAGATTATTAGAGTTTGCCTTAATCTGACATGACTGGTGTCCTGATAAAAGGGGAAATCCAGAGGCAGACATACACACAGAAAAAACAGCAAGTGAACATCAACGCAGAGATCAAGGTGATGTGTCTACAAGCCAAGAAACAGCAAAGATTACCAGCAAACCACCAGAAGTTAGGGGAGAGTCATGGAACAGATTCTTCCTCACGTCTTAAGAAAAAAACAACCCTGCCAACACCTTGATCTTGGACTGCTGGCCTCCAGAACTGTGAGACAATAAATTTCTGTTGTTGAAGCCACCTCGTTTGTGGTACTTTGTTACAGAAACATTAGCAAACCAATACAAGCCTTAAAAAGATGTATAAGACAGGGAAAGGAATAAGAGCCTGTGACTAGCCAGCTCTATCTTCCAGCTGCCCATTATCTAGTTCTCTTTCCTCTTCCAGACAACAAACAGGTTCATTAGAAAATGGTGGAAAGTAACCAAAAATTTCTGACTATTGTCACCTGAGGTGGAAGAAAGAAAGAAAGAAACAACCTGGGAGAGGGGGTGGTCATTAGTTGGTTTTTCAGAACATTTGATTAGACTCCTGGAAAGAGGGCAGAGAGGAATTGTGTGTGTGTGTTGGGGGCGGGGGGTCGTGGAGGTTATTCTCCCTGTTTGCCTTCTTTCCTTCTTTGGTGAATGTCTTTTAAACATGATTTTGATTTTTTTTTCCCACGAGATCCAGTATAACCGAAATTTGAAATTTTAAAATGCTTTAAAAACTTTCAATGTTTGTGTTTGAAATTTTCTTGAGTTTATGTGGGTGTGTATAGAATGATTTGCTTCATATTAGTGCAATGAGTTTCTAACTCATTGACTTTCTGAGCCTTGCACACACCAACACAGAGCATTCCCTTTGGATATATTTTTCACTTTTGGTCTCTCATGTTCTTTTCTGTGTATCAGATGTGAAATGAAGTAATGGCACTAGCTTTTAATATGGTTTTCACAAGTGGTTTTGAAAGCAATTCCAGATGACAAGAACCAAAATATTTGGAGTGATGACAGATCTCTGATAATGTAGACTCTATAGTCTCCCCGGTAACCACTTTAAAATGCAAATATTTTTAGTTTATCTAAGTTCTGTTATTTTTAAATCTCACTAGTTTGTAGTCCTAGCTAAGATTCTTTGGGGTTTTTTCTGTTGTTGTTGGATTTTTTTTGTTTGTTTTGAGACAGGGTCTCGCTTCATCACCAAGGTTGGAGTGCAGTGATGAGATCACAGCTCACCGCAGCCTCGATTTCCCAGGGGCTCAGGTGATCCTCCCACCACAGCCTCCCCAGTACCTGGGACTACAGATGCATGCCACCATGCCTGGCCCCAGATAAGATTCTAAATATACATTTTGCTTCTTCTTAAGGCAAGCCAGCCATTGCCAACATAGAGCAACAAAATGCACATTGCTTTGCTAGGGACCTTACAGAGTAGATAAATGACACAATGTCTTCCCTCTAGGGAGGATAAAAAGAATAATGAAAGATGTGTTTTTTCCATAAATGCATATATTAACATTTGACTTCACAAAAAGTGCTCATGTAAAGAACAATACTTTCCCTTGAAGTTAAGCAATTTTATGATGGATCTAACAGTACAGGGAAAAAGGTCTTGGGGCTAATAATAATAATTAGCACTTATGTTGGTACTTTCTGTGTTCAAAGCATTTTGTGGAAGATTAACTCGTTATTCTTCCCAGCGTTCTTGTCAAGTTTATAAAGCTTTAGACTGTTCTGATGTCCTCTCCAGTACAATTCCATATAATATGGGAACATTCATTTGATTTTTACATATAAATACTACTGGAGTTCTGATTATCCCACACTGTGTCTGATACCCAGTAAACTCACAAACTTTGGTGGAAAGAATGGATGGTACTTCCTGGATCCTTATTTCAAAGATCCATTCAAAATTCAAGAGTCTGACCAAAGAATGGATTATCACTTTAAGCATCCAACTATATTTTATCAAAATGGTCTCATTTACATTTTTCTTCATTTAAATCATGAGTTCCTCAAGGACAGGAACTGTGTGTTTTTCATGCTTGTTCCAAGGATCACCTAGGCATGTGTTGGCTCAGAATGATGCTTAGTAAGCCTGTGTTGAACAATAAAAATGAATTCTTTATTGATAAGTTCTTATTAAATTGTGAAGAATAAATAGCATGTGGTATCTGTCCTGCCCTCTAGGAATAAGTATGAAAGAGGAAGCAGGACTTATATACAGAAAGCAACTGGACACAAAATAGAAAAATACAAAATACAACCAAGTGCTACAATGTGTGGTTCGAGAAATGAGCGCTAAGGAAAAATTACACTTGTTTTGTTTTGTTTTTTGACTTCTCAGCCCATTAGCTCCACCTCCTTCCTTTGGGTATATGTGTATATATACAGAAAGAGTGAGACAGCTTTTGGCCTGCAATAAAATGTAACAGCCTGTAAAAATATTATATTTTCTACTCTGTTTAATATAGAAAGTTCATTCAGTTGGAAATTATATACAGATTTTTAAGTTTCTTTCTGTACAAAACAACAACAAAACTCCAAACACAGAAACACACGCACAAATACACTGAACTTTAATGGTGATCTTTATTCAAATTACAGTTTCTGTGCACACCTGTAATCCCAGCTACTCCAGAAGTTGATGGGAGCATCCCTTGAGCCCAGGAGTTCAAGTCCAGCCTGGGCAACATAGTGAAATCCCACCTCTCAATCTTTTAAAAAATTAAATTACAACTTCCCATATTATAAAAAAGTACTGCAGCTCCAAGCTTGAATGGAAATTCATTAGATTTTTATAAATTTGAAGGAAGTTTATTTCTGAAAATAAATTTTGTTGAATTTCTTCTTAAGGTGGAAATTTGTTTTTCATTCCTTTTCTTTGCATGTGAGTTTTGTATCAGTTGTGGAACTCTATAGCTCCACTACATATTTGGGTATTTGAATATTTGAATCTGTTGTGCTTTTTCCAGGAAATTCTGAATTTTAGGATAGTCTACAGGTACCATAAATTGAGAAGTCCAAACAATTCATTATCTTCCTTGAAGCCCAAACCTGCCATTTTTCTCAGATAGGAAAGCCACCAAACATAGGGAGCATGCCTGCCACTTCCCTCTGGCCCGTCTCTGGCTCATCCGCCACAGAGACCTATTTATTACATCCCCTGAGTATTCTTCTAATTCCCCCTCCTTTCCATCCCCACTCTTTCAGCCACACTTCAGGACCATGGTCTGTGCATCGCTTAGTCTCATCCTAATTTATCCGCAGCTCCACCCACTCCAACCTCCTCTCCCCTCTCTAAGACAACCTTTACTTCCCCACCTATGCCTGTTCCAATTTACTGTCTCTGAACCCCACATATGCCCTTTTCTGCCCTACATTATGATAACTGGAGCTGGACCTAATTTCTTTCGTTAGCGGGCACAATGTTAGACCTTGTCAGTAGAGGGCGCTAGAGGGACACTGCACAAGGAAGGGGCTTCTCTTCTGGTTCCAGCTCTGTTCTTAGAAAACAATGAGCTGTCTCCTTGCCAACCAGCAGCTCCCTTGGTAGGGGCATGCAGAAGACCTGATGACACAAACCCTCCAAAGAGTTTCACCCTCACCACAACAGGTGGCTTCCTGCTCGGCAGCCCATCCTGCATCACTTCAGTGGACTTCTCTGACATCTACTAGACCACATTAAATGAATCACAGCCTTGAAACTGAACTGGAAGGACTTCCTTCAAGGTTATACTTTCTTTGAATACTGTCTTTCAGCCCTATGCCTAGTGACTGCTCCCTGCGTCTTACCCCAGTTTTCTTGAGAATTCCCTTTATACTTCTTAGTAGATAATACCCTTTAATTAGTTCCTTATTTTTATGTGGTATTAAGTTTTCCCTGTCCAAACTATTAGTCATGTCTCACTTAATGATGGGGATATGTTCTGAGAAATGTGTTGTTAGGCAATTTCATCATTGTGTGAACATCATGGCATGTACTTACACAAACCTAGATGATAGTATAGCCTATTACAACCCTAGGCCATATGGCATAGTCTATTGCTTCTAGGCTACAAACCTGTACAGAATGTTACTGTACTGAATGTGGTAGGTAATTGTAACACAATGGTATTTGTATATACAAACATACCTAAACATAGAAAAGGTACAGTAAAAACAGTGTTGTAATCTATGGGACCACCATCATATAGGCAGTCTGTGTTGGACAGAAATGTCATTATGCGGCTCATGACTATACTATTGTGATTTCTGTCTCCTGACCAAACCCTGACTGCTTTACCACTTTTGTTCTTTCTTTATTTTCTTTCTTTTTTTTTCTTTTTTACAAGGTCTCACTCTGTTGCCCAGGCTGGAGTGCAATGGTGTGATCTCGGCTCACTGCAACCTCCGCCTCCTGGGTTCAAGCGATTCTCCTGCCTCAGCCTCCTAAGTAACTGGGATTACAGGAGCCCACCACCATGCCCAGCTAATTTTCGTATTTTTAGTAGAGACGGGGTTTCACCATGTTAGGCAGGCTGGCCTCGAACTCGTGACCTCAGGTGATCTGCCCATCTCAAAAGTCTAGTTGGGAATGGTAATCACACAGTTTGGCTATCTCCTCAGGTCAGATTACTCAAATAAGGATTAAACTGCTGCTTATCTTTATGCTTGGCAGCATGGTACCTAGCCACGTGGTACCAAGAGTGACTCAGACATGCCTTACCCTCTCTGTGTTACACAGCTCACCTCCAGCTAGAGCTGTTGAACTGTAACACAGAAGCACCCATTTCTCTGCTCACAAAGTGTCATGGTACCCAGGGGCAAAACTAACTCAGACACAATAGTACTCAAGTGTTCTCCATCATTCCAGCTCAATCCAAAGACCCTCAACACATTCCCTGAAATGAGAGATGAAGTGCACTGACAGAATTCAAGGCATGTTTGAGACAAACTTTTCTCCTTGCTTAAGTCTTCTCGGCAATGGTTGGCTCTACCATTTTAAAAGACCTGCAATTGTGTGCAATGAAAGTAGTTCCAGGCTGCTGTATCTTGCTCCCTTTCCCACAGACATCACCAGAAGCCCAATTCATCACATTCTTAACAGCACTCTTCAGATTTATCTGTCAGGGCAAAGGATCCAGATTAAAAATGAAACAACCATTTCACTTGCTTGACAAGGGGAGACCCAGTCTGCCAAATTTCCGTCCCTATCACTGGAGAACAGGACTTTAGGAAATAAATAATAAATGCTTTCTGACCTAGGGCCACCTAGCCTGGAATACTTAGGGGCGTCTTATCTTAGTGCAACAATTATTCCAGTTAATAGGTTAAGGGATATATATAAGATTACCCGTAATCCTTTCACACTGTTGTTCAGGGCTTATTTGAGATGCAGGGCACACATATTTAAGGATTAGCTCCTTCTCTCCGTACTCATACCCTTAGAGTGATATTACTTCCTGCTATCTTCTCTTGTGGAATAGAAATGAAGAATAGTTACACTAGGGGAGTTATTACAATCAGGCTCTTTTATATCTTTAAGGCAATTACAGGCAAAGACAAGAGTGCCTAATGCACAGCATTTCCAGAATTTGTAATTTTGGCATCTCATCTTGCCAAGCCTTGATAACATCCAGATGTTGCCCTATTGAAAGGTGTTAAATAGAATAAACCTCAAGCCAAGAGTACTTCCATGTTATATTTTGGAGACTTCCAAAATGTAAAACATTTTCTCTTTGAAATATCAGAACTTCGGTAGTTTAAGCAATAATGTTCTAGTCTGCATAATGTTTTAATGTCTAATAATAACAATAACAGCAGTAACACTTTGTTTCTCCATTTAAAAAGACTTATATAGTGTTGACTATGTGCTTTTCAAATATTAACTTATTTAATTTTCTATGTGCTCTCTCCTGGTACAACAATCTGCTCCACAAATTTCTCCAGATTTTTATCTAATTCCTGTTGGACAGTGTAAAATGCCACTTCTTCCAGGGTTGCCTGCATATCATCAAAAGGGAAATAGTACTCATCGAAGATGTGCCTTTGCTAGGAACTAGGACAAGGGTGGCCTTTATAAATTCATGAAGAGAAGGTATTGTGTTCATTCACAGACTTTGTGTAGGAATTAGGGAGAAAAATGTAAACCCTAAAGTTAATACTCCATGGGCACATTCTGGGCACAAGTTACCTTGGAGACATTTTGAGGTGGCAGGGCTTTTCCTAGAGTGGACCACCTGTGCTATAAAGGATCTGCCTAATATACTCATTCAGCAAGTCCCCAGTGAATGCCCGTAATGTCTGTGTGACATTACATATCTGCAGGCACATGCAGGAAAAGCAGCAGCCCCTGCATTCAGTACTGTTACGGTCTCACAAACATGGGCCTTGGATGGGCTGGGGGCTGGCAGAATTGTAGGCACAGTGTGTTAAGGGGGCACACAGAACCCAGCATTTGGGCATCTAGAAGCCTTCCCAAGGGCTAAGGAGACACCTGAAAAATGAGAAAGAGTTACAGAGCCAGGCCCTTAAGTTGGCCCTGCCAACCACTCTCCAAAACCCTTAGATTTTTGCTGCCTTTGCCCTTGACACTGTCCTTTCCCTGGAGCTGAATGTCTGGGGGTAGAGGAATGACTTTAAAAGTCGAGGATCAGGCCTGGCATGGTGGCTCATGCCTGTAATCCCAGCACTTTGGGAGGTCAAGGCGGGTGGATCACCTGAGGTCAGGAGTTCGAGACCAGGCTGACCAACATGGTGAGACCCCGTCTCTACTGAAAATACAAAAATTAGCTGGGCGTGGTGGAAGCCACCTGTAATCCAAGCTACTCTGGAGGCTGAGGCAGGAGAATCGCTTGAACCCGGGAAGCAGGGGTTGTAGTGAGCCAAGATCACGCCACCACACTCCAGCCTGGGTGACAGGGCCAGACTCCGAGTGTTCCAAAACAAGAAAAAAAAAAAGTCTAGGATCAGATGTATCTCCTTAGATCTGTCCTGTTCTAGAATCTTTTTAATAATGAGGCAAGCATTCTCAATAGTTTCTAATCCCAAAAAAGTTCTTTATGGCATTTCCCAACTTTTCCCTTCTAGGAGCCAGCATATGAACTTGCTGCCTATCTTTAGCAAGGAGATGCAAATGACATCCACAAACCTCTTCTGCTGTATACCTGGATGAAAGCAAGGCTAGCTGTGTGTCCTGTGAGTAAGAAGGAAAGATGCTTACCTTAGATCCACCCATAATCTTCCCCTACTCCTACACCTCCAGTTGAGAAAGCTGTACTCATTCTGAACATCAGCTCATCCTAGGGGAATCACAGCTTTCTCCACAGATACAGAACAAGGTGAAGAGCCCTAGGCTGTTCTATTCCCTGGACCAAAGATGAAACTGGGGTGAGGTACCTCTGGGTCACTGTTAAGAAGTAAAATGTAGAGGCTCTTCATTGCAGTAGTATCTTAAGAATTCCAAAATCAGGCTACCACCTCTAAACCAGGCAAGAGGACAATGAGACAAAGTGATAAGCCTGAAGGGTTAGGAACCATGAGGAGCTTATGTCAGGGAGATTCTGAGAGAAGGAAGGGAGGAGAGACCCAAAGAAACTTCATGGAGCTAATGAACAAGCACCCACAGAGGATTTATATACAATATCTGCAACCAAGAGAGGGGTATGCTAATTTAGAGGAAACCAGAAGGTAGCCAACACCTTCATTTCACAGCTGGCAGAAGGAAGAAAAAAATGCTTACTTAATTGTTGCTAAGAATTGGTCTCTGCAGAAACGCTTCAGAGCAGAACACCCAGAAACACACTGCCATGCTTGTTCATAATGTATGATAGCTGCCACCACTCACCCCCAAAACCACGCTTTCCAAGCTACGCAGATCCACTGAGATCCACACTTTATATGTCCTCACAACAATCCCACACCCAGTGTGTTCGGGATGAGGGCCAGGAGAAAAGCATCCCATTTTTCACCCAAAAAGGAGGCATGAAATTAAATGTAACTCCAAGAGATTTTGTGAGCACATATTATTTGGGGACACAAACATGAGAAAGACATGGCCTTCTCTTCCTGAAAGAGTTCATAGAGTCCAAAGTAAAAGACAAATTGATTTTAAAAAGTAATTGCAAAACAATTCAGGCCCTCATGCATGCATGCATTTAACAAACATGCCCTGGTCACAGTTTGGAAGTAAAAGTATATGCAAAGTGGTATATGAGTACAGAGATGCTACCACTTTACCAAGAACACAAAACAAATAGGAAGAAACCTGACCATTTAAGATAAGAAAGGATTCTAATGAGTGTTTGCCCACTGTCCTTAGAAAGTCCTTATATCAAGGTAAAAAGAAGAGAAGTGACATTTACTCAGCACTTTCCTCATACAATCTCTGGAAGGTCCATGAAGACTGTGAGCTCTTTGAGGGCAAGAACCATGTCCTACTTACCCCAGGATCCCTGCCCTTCATCAGTACCTGGTACATAATAGTTAATAAATATGTTTTAGACTGAACTGACCTGAGGATTTTCTAAGTCTTGTTTTTCTAACTTTATAGATGGCACCAAGGACTGAAAGATTGTAAGAAGTAAGAGTAAGTAAATTTTTAGCTGCTATATTCCCTAATAGCTAGACTTTAAAAGTATTTTTAACTCTTTTCCTCTATTCTTGCTAGGTGAACAAGGCTAAAACCTGGGTTTAGTTTTCATTTTATAAATTATTCTTTAAAAATAAATTATTTCAACTGTCTTGAAGAGTCTGTAAAACAAGGTCTGTGAAGTCACAGAGGGAAAAAGAATCAGAAATCAGTAGACAGCAGTTAGACCACGGGTGTTTGTTATACATTCGTTCTAGACATTCATCAAAAGCTCAGAAAGGGAAAGTCAAGCGTGCCAAATCAATAAAGTTTCTATCGTATTTCATCTCTTTGGATTTGCAGAATGCTTTGGTAATTCTGTTTCTCAAGCCTGCACATCACGAGCAAACAAGTATGCTTATGGGTGTCTTAGCCCAGTAGGCTGTTTATCAGAAAGCTACCAGTCCCCTGTGAGAAGCTGGCTTTCCTCCAAAATGTAGAAGGTGTTTAAGGGGACATATTTCTTTGGTACACCCTAAAGCAAGCTTGTCCAATGTGCAGCCTGCAGGCCGCATGTGGCTCAGGACAGCTTTGAATGTAGCCCAACATAAATTCATAAACTTTCTTAAAACATTGTGATTTTTTTGTGTGTTTTTCTTTGTTTGTTGCTAATCATCTATTGTTAGTGTTAGTGTATTTTATGTGTGGCCCAAGACAATTCTTCTTCTTCCAGTGTGGCCCAGGGAAGCCAAAAGATTGGACACCCCTACCCTAATGGCTAAGGAAAGTTTAAATCCTGTCCCCACCTACCTCAGGTCCATGTTGCTCTCTAGCTGAGTCAGCTCATAGAGCTCACTGTGGGCTATGCCTTGGTGGTGACAGTGTCAACAATGGACAACACCAAGAGAGGTAACTTTAAGTATCACACAGATCCTGCTGTAGCCTTGGGAGCAACACTCCATCAGAAGAGAAATCAGCACTTAAGGCCCAAACTGAGCTTCTCAATGACGACCAAAAGTATTTGAATGTGCTGCCCCAGTAACACTGGCTGACCCTGGGGAGCTAGCTGCCTTGATTCATTAATAGCTGTTCCTGAGTCTTGCCAGTTAATTCAAGACACTCTCCAGAGACATGCTCCATCACTCTTTATTTGGCTTCAAGGATTTTTTTTCTTTTTTTTTTTTTTTTTGAGATGGGAGTTTCACTTTGTTGCCCTGGCTGGAGTGCAATGGCGCGATCTCGGCTCACTGCAACCTCCGCCTTCTGAGTTCAATTGATTCTTCTGCCTCAGCCTCCCAAGTAGCTGGGACTACAGGCACATGTCACCATGCCTGGCTAATTTTTGTATTTTTAGTAGGGATGGGGTTTCATCATGTTGGCCAGGGTGGTCTTGAACTCCTGACCTCAGCTGATCCACCTGCCTGGGCCTCCCAAAGTGCTGGGATTACAGGCGTGAGATACCACGCCTGGTTGGCTTCAAGGATCTTGATTGCAACCCAGAGACTTAGAATTTAAGAGGAGAGGAGAAGGGAGGAGGGAGAGAGAGAAAGCAAAGAAGGATGCCGGGATGAGGTGGTGCTCAGGGAGAGGAAACGGATGGACCTACTAAGGAGGATGGACAGACACAGAAAAACACAGGCACAAAGAAAGGCATAAGGAGAGAGGAAAACAAGGCAAAGACAAAATAGAGAGACGGAGAGAAGGAGAGGCTGAGTGAAAATGACATTTTTCAAAGCAGGGCTCATTATTCTCCTTTCAGACACGTTAGTTACAGTTCTCTAATATCACTGACGTAGCTTGCCTCATATTCTAAGGGCTGACAATGGTTATTTCCTGAAGGCCCTGCTGAGTGGAGTGGAGGCGTGGGTTAGGTCAGGAGAGGAACTGAAAGGGGAGAGGAGCTGCTTTTCAGTTTGGTGACTGATTTCCAGGAAGGGAGGCTGTTATGCAGGGAGAAAGATGGACGGCCCCTCCTCATGGAGGCAGCACACATTTAGAGCTGACTGTGAAGAAGAATTGTCTGATAAAATGTTTGAGAGAAATAATTTGAGGGTAATGGAGAGAAAATAAAGGCTTATATCCATATTATCATGCCGGCGCTCACTAATTAAGTCCTTTTTTTCAATTTCCCTCATTCTTGTTTGTGCCTCTATTTTTGGCATAGGAAAAAAAATAAAGGCTCACCATGTTTTCAGCAAAAAGAGAAAAATAAAGATGAGTGATTTCCATACTATATTATTACATCACAAAAATTTAAATTTGGTGTTATAAATTTTTTTATTTACTGAATACACTGTCAATTTGAAGAACAACTGTTTGGTTCTCTCTACTTTATCAAGTGTGAGTTTAATTAATCACAATGGAATCCTATTCAAACTATTTTCCAACCCAAGAGGCAATTGTTTCCTAGAGCAGGCTGTTTCCTTCTAACTAAGGACAGCACTAAACCGGAGAAAACATTAAAACCCTGATGCGCATCATAATGAACTCCACGCAAAGTAGTTATATTAATGTAATGGAGTCGAGATCTTAATTGCACTGGTGTTTATATTTGCAACCTCCTTTTTTAAAGCCTTTTTATTTTACTAAATGATTTGAACAACGAGGTAGGAGAGGTTACATGGCCTGCTAAATAGAGATGGGTTTCATCGCACTAAAGGAGGAAAAATGAATCTGGGAGGGAAGACTAGCTAATTTAATTTTGTAAAGTAGGTTTTATTCTCAGTTGATAATGGCTAAAATTGCTCTGTGAAAGCAATCTTTCCAGAGCCAGAAAATGTTCCCTGGACGCTTAAAACAAAGCATGTCCAAGAGCCATTTTTGTTCCTCCCTATGACAACCATTAGCTGCCACTGAAAAACCTCCAGCCTGAGTGCTGAATCCTTAAAAAGCAATTTAGGCGATGCATCCTCTGGCCTCTGATTTGAAAGAGCTGATATGTGGTAAGATAATTTCCAGCCGAATTTTAAGATAGGAGAGATTGCGCAATAGGGGTATAAGGGAAATTTCCTATAAAGTGGTCATTTAATTAAGAGTTATTGTTTGATGAATGAATGAGTGAATGAATGAATCTGTCAGGGCTTTTAGTCCAAAAATGGTGACTCTCTCCTCTCTACTCTTTTTTTCTGTCCCTGCCTATCAGACACAGACTAGAACAAAATATATTTGTTTCCTCATTAAAACTCATTAATGTAGAGACTGGACAAATATTATACGATTTTTCCATAGCTCAGCCAGGAAATCAGAGGGAGAAGATGGCAGTGTTCACTAAATCACATATGCCCTCATGAGAAACTTCTCTCAGGTCTCAGGATTTAGAGTGGTTGCTGTTTCCCAGAGAAATGAGTTATTTTGTTACATAGATACTAATAATTATATAAACTGATCTTGTACCCTCTGTTTGTGCTGCTGGGAAGCTCAAAAAAAGTTCTGCAGCCATCTCTAGTGCTGGGCTACTCAAGACAGGCAGGAGATACACTAACCCCATCCCTCACTTGATCCCACTACCTTTTTTTTTTTAATTTGATTTTCAAATCTTATTTTTTATGTGATTGTATTTGTGGGGTAAAAGTGCAATTTTGCTACATTGATACATTGAATTATGATGAAGTCAGAGCCTTCAGTGTCTGCAACACTACAGCAATGCACACTGTACCCACCAAACAACTTCCCATCATCCAGCCCCTTCCCACCTCACCCCCACTCCTCCAAGCCTCCACTGTCCATCATTCCACACTCCACGTCCATAGGTACACATTATTTAGTTCCCACAGGTAAGTGAGAACACATGGTATTTGTTTTTCTGTGTCTGACTGGTTTCACTTAAGATAATGGCCTCCAATTCTGTCCATGTTGCTGCAAAAGACAGGATTTCATTCTTTTTTATGGCTGAGCAGTATCCACTGCCACCACCTTTTTTAAAACCTCAGCTAGTTTGTTTTTTGATAGTTTGTACAATGTAGATTTTGAAACACTATCTCAGATTTTTCTCTAAGGGGAGAAAAAAAGAAGGGAAGGAAGGTAAAGAGATAAAAAGACATAGAGTTGAGTTACATTCATGGCTTTCCTGTTGAACACCAGGCACTGTGTACTAGCTGTTGGTGAGTGAATAGTCTAATGAAGGAGGCAAAGGAAATTATAAAGTACAGAGTAGTACCATGCAACTGTGAATAAAGTACCATGGGATGCCGTACAGAGGAACATCAACTCTAGCAAGGGGGATTCTATTACTACTATTACCAAGAATTTAACATTGCACTAGGTCTCAAAGGCGAGAAGGAATTTGTCTGGTAATGAAGGGAGGAAAGGGCATCTCAAGCAAAGGAAACAGTATATGCAAAAGTGCAAAGGCATGAACGGTATGTTGTTTCCAAGACACAATGAGAGGCTTGGTTTGGCAAAGTTTCGTACGCTTGGGGGTGGAGAGAGAGAGTAGAGGGCCAGAGCTTGAAGAATGAGAAGGTCAGAGTCAGATTTGAGAAGCCCAGAATGACAACATATGGAGTTCAGAGATTGATCCCAGGCAATGGGAAACCAACAGAGTTTCAAAGAAAAAACAGTTACATGGTCAACTTTACTTTTTCAAAAGAAGTATACTTGAATTGGGATGAAGAGGGACTGGAGAGGAAGACTGGTAGAGATGCTGGAGTTCAGTGAGAAATGTTGAGGAAGAGGATGAGAATAAAACAGAAATACAATAGAAATAGTCCTCCTCTGCTGGAATGGTAGGGTTCACTAACTGATTAGAGACACGACCAGGGATAATGCTGTATAACTTGGGAGATGGGGGATGTGACTGAGGCTGGTAACCAAAATCTAGACTACAAGAGGAAGAAGGCAGCAGGGACGGAGGAATGCTAAGTGTAAAGTGCCTTCAGGACACCCAGGGAGATGACAGAGAACTAAAAATATCGATCTGGAGCTTGGGCAAGGTATTAAGCCAAGGGAATTAGATTTGACATTTTCCAGCACACATATAGTACCTAAAAAGTGATAAAGAAGATCAGATCAATCAGAACATAAGTATGTACAATACAGCAGAAGAAAATATGGGGCCCTGAAATTGGGGATTATTTTTAATCAAGGGAGTTAAACTGATTCTCCTTTTCTGGAGGTTTTAAATATAAGCTAGGTTTTCACCTACCTCGGGTACTTTAGGATAGTTATTCTTTCAGGCAGAAGTATCAGCCAGGTAATCTTTCAAATGAGTTCAAGTAACTCTCCCAGGAAGGGCACTAAGCTTGTTAAAAGAGCAGCCAACTAGACTCCTTAAGTTTTGTTGAAAAAGCACCATGCCATAACATTAGCAAGAGGGCACCTCTCAGCGCTTGGGAAAGAACAGGCAATATCCCCCAGGGGACCCACGTCGTGTTTGGAAGAGGCAGCAGAGGTAGGAAACTGGGCTGTGTTCCAGTATAAAGTGGTGTCTTAAGGCTATTTAAAATACACTGGAAGCTATGTGTGTTGCTTTGAAAAAAACAGAGGAGTGTCAAGAAAAAGTGGTAAAGAATTGTGCTGATGTATAAACAAAGAAGATGGAAATTACCAGCCAGTTTTCAATATAGGTAAATGATATCAGGGACCAGGATGCTGCAGTGTTGAAAGAATTAATAACAAAGAGAGTGAGATGGAAGGGAGAAGGGCAAGGAAAAGAAATGTCCTTGCAAGGAAACAAAAGAGAAGAGCAGAGGAGAAAGCACCCAGCAGGAGCCAAAACTGCTGGTCAGAGAGTGGGGGCAGAGGCCAGAGTCACAGAAATCCCAAAGATAAAGACAGAGGGACCAGAGAATGTTGATGGAGGGGATAGCAAGGACACACAGGATTTCTTAGGGTTAAGGTAGAGAGGTTAACAGTTGAAGAGAAAATGAAGGTCGTTGCTGAATCAATACAAGTTTGCCCTGATGAACAGACTTGAAGTAAGAAGTCCTGAGCTCATATATAACCAATATCTCACAATATGACCTTATTTGGAAATAAGGGCCCTGTAGGTGTAACCAATTTAACTCTAGGATGAAACCAAATCCAACATAACTACTATCCTCATAAAAAGGAGAAATTTGGACACAAATACACACAGACATAACATAATGTGAAAACACAAGAATAACACCATGGAAAGACAGAGACACAAGGAACACTAAAGATCGAAGGTCACCACTAGAAGCTGGAAGAGGCAAGAAGTTATTCTCCTTTAAAGACTTCAGAAGGAGCATAGCCCAGTCTACACTGTGATTTTGGACTTCGTCTCCACAACCATGAAATAATAAATTTCTGTTATTTTCAGCCACCCAGGTTTTGGTACTTTGTGATCACAGCCCTGGGAAACAAACATAACAGGAAGAGAACTAGAGGGAGGTGGGAATCCACAGAGCATGCTGAAACCTGCCATCAACAGTTTCCACCACAGCAACTCTAGATCTTAAAATCCTACACACTGGCATTACTCAGGATTCTTTTGATTGCAGTTAGTAATCTGCTGACAATCTGGGGTCTGCAGGATGAGAGTGTGCGAGGTGGAAAGAACAAGAAGGCAAAATGACAAGGCAAGTCCACGGTAGGACAGAGGTTAGGTCTGCAAAGGGCAATTCTCTTTTTATTGAGATGGAGTCTCACTCTGTCCCCCAGGCTGGAGTGCAATGGCACCATCTCGGCTCACTGCAACATCCGCCTCCTGGGTTCAAGTGATTCTCCTGCCTCGGCCTCCAGAGTAGCTGGGATTACAGGCGCCTGCCACCACACCCAGCTAATTTTTGTATTTTTAGTAGAGATGAGGTTTCACCAGGTTGGCCAGGCTGGTCTTGAACTCCTGACCTCAGGTGATCCACCCACCTAGACCTCCCAAAGTGCTGGGATTACAGGCATGAGCCACCGCGCACAGCCGAGCCACTTCACCCAGACTTCAAAGGGCAATTCTCAATGAAACAGAAATTCATTCTCTTTGTCCAGCTGACAGAGAAGCAGCAACATAGGTCAAGGACGAACAAGACAAATATGGAATATGGTGCCATAAGCATTCTTTAAAAAACAAACAAACAAAACCATGGCATTCACATTATTCTGGCAGAAAAACTCAAAATAGAAACATTTATGTCATGTGTACTTACCGAGTTGCTAATAAGTCAGAGAATCAGGAAACTGAGCAACGTAAAGAAATAAACATACACAACAGAGAGATATTTGAAAACTCAATAAGGAAAAGTTTAAATTTTTACATTCTTTGAGAATGAGTTTATCCATCAGAAGGGAAGGAGGATAGGGATCTAATTTACGGAGTGCCACTTGGTGCCAGGCCCTTCATAAGCATGGAACACAGGTACCACTTGGTCCCCTCACTAACTCTGTATTACGAGGGAGGAAACTGAGACTCAGGAAAGCGAAGCATTTAAACTCTAAAATGCCTGAGTTCAAATTCATGCTGTGTTCCCCTCACCATGTGGGTTTAGGAGGATACAAATTAGAATTAAACTTCTCAGGAACCTAAAAAGTCAGCAAGAGAAATGGACTCAGATATGTTAAAAGGAGACCACGAGGGGATCATCCCAGCAATCCCAGCAGCCTGTCCCACTTGGAGCCTGGAGCCCAGCTTAAGCACTTGCTCAGCTCTCGCTCTCTTGCTGTCTCTCCCCTCTCTCTCTCTCTCTCTGTCTCTCAGGAGCTGCCAGCTCTCCACTGTGCCAGTGCACAGCTGGGGGACTTCCAGGGGGAATCTGGACTCCACTGGAGACAATTTTATCTCTGCATTGTCCCACTGCAGAGATAAAAGCCCGAAGACCCGGCTCCACTCCCTGAAGACCTCCAGCCCCGCCCCCAGCCAGGTGTATGCTCCCCCACATCCTGAAGTAGCTCATTGCAATCAGGGCCTGAATAGTAAAACAGAAATTAAATTGACACTTTGAAGCATTAATCTAAGCACAAATTAATATTCATCAACATCTGCTATTTGTTCAGGTGAATATTCAGCTTAAACAAAAAATAGCCTTTCTACCCAGAGACAGCGTGTACCAAAGAAAATGGCGTCCGCGTGCAGGCCGTCTGCGCGCAGCAGTGGGAAGAGGCGGGCTCCCTGAGGAGACAACATCCCTGACAGACCTCCCAACAAAGCCCTGCATATTTTTCAGTAAATCATGTATATTTGGTCACTGTTTTCTTTCTGACTCTCAAGACATCACCGTTCCTTCTCAAGAGGGAGGGAAAAGGAAACTGGGTGATGTTTATTCCGTCTCGGTGCTTGGCAACTGGCCTGCCCCTGTTGTCTGCCATGTGATCATCATTATCTGGGCAGGAGAAATTTCTTTGCTGGAAAATTACCAGCTAAATTTCAAAATGTGCGTGGAGAGAAGTTTGCAGGGGGACTAGATGGGATAGTGGAACCGTACGGGTAGCTCCACATGGATGGAAAATGAAGCAATTACACAGTAAAACTCTGTACTGTTAACAGCCAAGGGGGGTGTTTGATGGTGTAACACAGAGAATATCATTGAGTCAATAACATCTTTAGAGCAAGGGAGTATTTTTTTAGGTCATAACCAAGCTAGCAGTTGTTCTCTTCCTGCCAAAAAGCTAGAAAAACTTCTGAAAGCCCTCTTGCGATTCCAGGCCGGGGCAGATCTGAGAGATATTTAGAAACATAATCTGTTCCCTGGGTAAAACGATGGCTTCAAAGAGCACTTTGGAGAATGTATCTCTTTACGTTTCAACATTTCTCCTCTCCCTATCCCAGATAGTTGAAACACAGGCACTAAAATGGTAGAAATATAGTTAAGACAATAAACAAATTTAAAAACTACAGGTTCTGCATACTTTGGGGGGGAAATGCCTTCCAGTGACTAGTGGGAATTGCATGAATTTGGCAACCTGCCTATTCCTGTGTTGAGTAATGATGGAGGGATGTTGCAGAATTGTACATGTCACGAATGGGAGGAAAGTGTGCTCATTAAGAGCAAGAACTGCAAAGTTAGATCCTGAGGTCATATTCCAGCCATCCTACTTACTACCTATGTGATCTTGGGCAACTTACTTACCCTCTCTGTGCCTGGCTTTCTTTATCTGTAGAATGTGGATGTTGTGATGATTAAATGAGCATTTGAAACAGTATTTGCCACCTTATAAGTATCATATAACTGTCAGCTATTGTTATAAACTTAGTAATGAAAATTTTGTAATAGTAGTACAGAAAATTGTATAGAAATGAAAATTGTGTAGTAATGAAAATTGCCAGAAAGTCCCTGGCAATTCTATTAATAGAGACTGATATTACTAAAGGTGTAGAGTGAATGACCCAAAGTTGGAACTGGTCAACCCATTAAATTCATTCTACTTGTGGGAGAGAAGGGAGGAAAGAGACTGATGGTAAGTAAATTAATGAATATAGGAATAAGAATAATATAAATAGGAATAAGAGCAATGCAGAGAATGAAAGAGGTTAATGTGACAGAGGCTAGAGATCCACCTTAAGCTGAGCAGCCAGGGATGTCTCTCTGAGGAAGTGACATTGAAGTGGAGACCTGTATGAGAAAACCCAGCTATCTCTATATAAACAGGGGAAAGTGATCCAAAAAGGTGGAACACCTAATGTACAGCCCCAAGGAAGGAGCATACTTGGAGAATTCAAGGAACAGAAAGAAAAACAGGAAGGCTGGAGTGAAACTGATTAAATAAAGCATCGTAACATTAGAGGTGAGAAAAGCAGGCTACACATGTGGGGCTCTGCAAAACAATGAGATATTGGATTTCATTCTAAAATGTAGCAAAAGCTATTGGAAGTTTTAAGAAGGGGTGTGATATGATTTAAGGAGGGGTGATTTATGATTTTAAAAGATCACGCTGGGGCCATGTGGTAGGCAGCTTCTGACATGGCCCTCAGTGATTCCCACCTTCTGGTATGCACACTCTTGTATGAACCCCTCCCCTTGAGAGTGGGCCAGACTGAGGGACTTGCTTCTAACAGAACATGGCAGTAGTGATGGGATGTCACTTCCATGATTAGGTTACAAAACGCTATGACTTGCCAGTCCTCCTTCTCTTTCCCTCTCCCTCACCTTAATGAAGCCAACTGCCATGTTGTAAGCTGCCTGAGGGAGAGTCCCACCTGACAAGGGAACCGCAGGAGGATTCCAGCCAACAGTCCATGAGGAAGCTGGGCTCTTGGTAAAACTGAATCCTGCCAACAATCACATGGGTGAGCTAAGAGGCAGCTCCCTCCCAGTCAAGCTTTGAGATCATTGCCAGAGAACCCAGATAAGCTGTACCCAGACTTCTTACCCACAGTAACTGTGAGATAATCAATATTACTGTTTTGAGTTACTGCATTTGGGGGTAATTTGCTACACAGTAATAAATAACTAATATAGGCTACTGTGTAGAAAATGGAATTTTAGAGAGCCAGAGTGAAAGAAAGAAAACTGGTTCAGTGGATATGACAGTAGATGAGAAGAGAGATTATGATAACTTGGATTAGGACAGAAGCAGATGAGATGGAAAGAACGGGACAGATTCTAGGTATACTTTGATGATTTTAGGGGTAAAAGGCAGAAATAAGACTAACAGTTTTGACTTGAAAAACTAGATGTATACAGAAATGGGGGAGAGAGAAGAAATAAGCTCAAGGGACAAAGGTTAATGTTGAGCTTTCTGTTTTAGTCATATTGCATTTCAGATAATGCTTACTAAATACCCATATGGAGAGATCAAGTAAACATGTGGATAATTGGATTTAAGAGTCTGGAGTTCAGGGAAGAGATCAGGGCTGGAAAGTGGGTTTGGAACTCATAAGCTTTTATAGGCGGTACTTAAAGTCATGCTACAGCATGAGCCCCCTTAGGGAATGTATCAGTTCTGTTGCTGCATAACAAGCCACCCCAAAATTTAGTGACCTAAAGCAACCATTTTGCTATGCTCATGGTGGGTCAAAACTTTGGCAGAACACAACAGGGAAGGTTTGTCTCTGCTCCGTGATGCCTGAGTCCTCAGCTGGAGCACTACACATGGCCCCCTGAAAGGCTTGGGCTTCCTGTCACTGTGACCACCTCAGTGCCGGAAGCTCAGGATTCCTAAGACTAATGTCCCAAGGAACCCGGTGGACACTTCATGGTCTTTTAGGACCTAGCCCTTGGTGTTACAAATTATCTCTCCTGCTGCATTCTAATGATTACAAATGAATTACTATGTTCAACCCAAATTCAAGGGGAGAAGACATAGATCTCACCTCTGGATGAGAGGAGTGTCAAGGAGTTTGCACACATGTTTTAAAGCCACCACATAGAGTCAACACAAACAGAGAAGAAAAGAGAATTCTAAGGGGAGCCCTGGGGCATGTCAACATTTAGATGTTGAGGAGAAGATGAATAATTAGCAAACGAGACTGATAGGAATGTCAGTGAGGTAGGAAGGAAACCACTGGGTGAATATGAGGTCATGGCAGCCAGCAGGAGAATCTATTTCCAGAAAGTAGGAGTTGCCATTGTGCTAAATGCTTCTGAAAAAGTTAAATAGGTTAGAGACAGAGAAGATTGGGGTTTGGTGACTGAGAGTTGCTGGTCGCCTTGACAGAAGCAATCTCCATGAGGTTGCTGGAATGGAAGCCAGCTTAGATTGGGTTGAAGAGACTGTTAGGAAAGGAAAGAGGCATCAACCACAGCTGGCAGCTATACATGGACTTGTTTAAATAAGTCACTTGCAAGACTCCAGTAAATCAGAAGATCACAGAATCTGTGATGTAGGTCATCTGGTGCATACATTTGAGCATTTCTGATGTTAGGGAGCTCACTACGTTTACAGTAGCCCATTTTGTCGTTGTTAGAAAAGTTATTCCTTCCATAGAACTCATTTCTAGAATGCATTTATCTTTGCCTGAAACAGCACACAACCAGTCTACCCTGGGTGTCAATGTGCCTCTTCAGGCTCTTTCCTGTAGATGAAGCATCTGCAGTGCCTCCGGTATCTGGGCACTTCCTGTCTAGTTTTCATTGCCCTCCTCTGAATGTGCTCAAATGTGTTCCTGTCACTTCCACAGTGTGGCATTCAAAACCAAACTTAACACCCTGGATGTAGTTGGAAGATGCCACACTCTGGTCCAACCATTATCCCTAAGGCTGTTTCAGGATTTTGTCAGATTGCTGTCACACATAGTGGAAACCAAGAGCCCCCAGCTGTCATTCACATTGAGCCTTAATCATCATTATTGTGACTGATGAATGTTCAATACTATTTGATGCAATAGTCTCAACGAATTGTTCTTCCATAGCAAAGCTAGATGTTGACAAGTCCAGGTACACTGAAGAAGAAGCTGGAAAGACGTCTTCAGCCTTACCTCCCATACATTGTTGCTGTGGCCTTTTTCTTTGCACTAAATAAGGTGAAACACAAAGGAATAGGAAATGGCTCCTGAGGCTGCTGGTGACCCAGGTCTGCCTCTAGCCGAACAGGAGCCTCCGAAGAAGTGGAATGGGGGTTGTGCATAAGTGGAACCAGGGAAATCCTAGACCTGTGCCACAATTTACTAGCTAGCATACCCTCTAGGGCTTTTTCCTCTCTCCTTCCTAGATACATAAACCTTGTAAAAAATCAAATCAAAATTCTCTTTCTAAAAGAGAAATTTGAGCTAGCTTTTTAAATTCTCTTTCTCGCGGTTTTTCTATGAAACTGTTTAAAAGTATTTCTAAATCACTTAAGTGAATATTTCTATCTCCAGATTTTATATATATATATTACTTAAGAAAAGGTTAGGAAAGCTTACCTGGAACTAGAGAGAAAAAAATCCTGGAGATTAACATAAGAAAACTTTGAGCTTATTCTAACAGCTGTGTCAGTGTGGCACTAGTATATGCACACACACACAAACACACACACACACACACCTGCAGGGAGGTGAGAAGAAAACCCACTGTGCCAGACTACTCCAAAAACCATTGCTTTGTTCTCTACTGGTCTCTGCCGGCATGGTGATTCTGGGCAAAGCAGGTGGCTAAAGTGTTCTGAATAATTTGGAGCAGGAGAGTCTCATTACCCTCGTCATGACTTGCCCACCTTTTCTCCCTTCCCTTGAGAGCTTAAAAGACTCTCTTTGGATAGGAAGAAATAAAATATAAAAATTTACTAGTAAAATATTCTTTTTCAGAGTCTTTGTTCCAGCTGTTCTGGTCGGGAGCTAATAGATCAGTTGAGGATTAAAGGATATGCTTTAGAGCCTTCTCCACCCCTATCAAATTCTCTCCAAAATTCAGAAGGCCAGAAGGATAGAGATTGGACTCTGAATAAATTGCGCATTTTTATCTCTTTAGTATCTTGGCACATGTGATATAAGCATAATAATTATTATGAGCTCTCTGTGATGCCAGTCCTTCCTCATGATATAGACGAAGTGGTCAAACCAAGGTTTTTGAAGTCAGACAGTCAGGAAAGCTATTCCAGGCACTTTCACATACTAGATTTGAGACTTTGGGAAAGACTCATAAACTTTTTGAACCTTAGTTTTTTTCTTTAAAATAGAAATAAAAATGCCTCCTATAGGTACATTCCTGAGGATTTCAGTGAGATAACTTCATAGAGCATTTTTTAAAATATCATTTATAATGCCATTTTATTTTTTGACATCAGAAAATATTTATTACTGGTTTAAAAAGACAGATAACTTTTAGAATGCAATAAGTGCAGTGCATAGCAAATGGATTATGTATTAAAACTGAATATTTAATTACAGCACAAGTTCAAGAAATTTCCCCATAACTTAGAGTGTAAGAGATAAAGGTGATAAAGTATTAAATAAATGAGAAACACAGGGGGAATGATCCAGAAGATCTAGTACTTATGTGTAACAAGAATTCCAGAAAGAGAGATCAAAGTATTCAAAAGATCAATAATCAAAGAAATAAAGTCATTCCTGGACTAAAAAAGACAAGAGTCTTCAGTTTGAAAGGGTTCACCAAGTATCATACAATGAATACATCGATACACACATCAAGACATATCTTGTTTGCATTCCTTAAAATTCAGGTATTAGGGGAGAAAATCCCATAAGCATCCAGGTTTTTTTTTTTAACATCACAGTGCTTTGTATATAACAAGTAGTCCATAAATTTTAGTTTCTTTGCATTTCTCTCCTTTTAATTCATCCTGCTTGAGTAGAATATCTAATCCACCAAAACCTTTCTTTGATCATGTCATTCCACTCATTGCATCCTGAGGTCACTTCTCACTGTACGAAGGATAAAACTCAAATCTTAGCATTGCCCATCTCACCCTAACTTACCTTTCTAAGCCATATCTTTCCCAACTGCCAAAAATGAAGCCTCAGTTCCCGCTAGCAGCATGACTTGCAGTGCCCGGGTTATCTCGTTTCTTGTTCATTTCTGTGCTCTGGTTTGCTTACAGCCTTGTCTCCTCTGGGCTATTCAATTTTCACCCCCCTGCCAATTAAAATCTTGCAAAGCCGTTAAGAACAAGCTCAAATACTTTGCCTTGAAGGCCCCAAGATGGGATCACTCTTTTCTTCCTAAAACATGCTTTAGGACTAATTGTATTTTTCATAAACTCCTTGACAGATGCTATCTCTTATTGTTTATATACGTATCAGAGGCACATGTCAAAAGATACGATTTCTATCTGTTGGCTGTTTATTTCCCAAACTAGATGGAACTCCTTAGCAGCAGCAACTACATCTTGTTATCTTATATCTCTAGCATCTGACACAGTGCCAGATACCAAACAGGTGCTCCATAAATAATCACTCAAAAGGTTTATCCAATAAGCTATCACCCTATACCTAAAAAGTTCAATTGCAAGATGTTTTGCTTAAAAAGTGGTTACACATTCAAATCTTACAGCTGCCAGGCATTTAACGTAAGTGGCTGACACAGCCTATGTCAAAGAGAAACAGGGAATGTGGGGACTGTGGCATTTCAGAACAGGGCATCCTACCTCTAGATGGCTGTAGGAATGTGGTCCCAGTATCATCAAGTCATTGATATTTCAAGAGAAGCCAGAAACTCATATTTTTGTGTGCAATATCTCCTGATTCTTAACCATTAGAAAATAAGGCAATCATCTGTTTGTTGAAATATTGTGCAGGTCCATCATAGAGGCCAAGCCAAATACAACTATGTTTTCAAGCATAAGATGGATAGATGT
Organism: Homo sapiens; assembly: GCF_000001405.40. Taxonomy (NCBI): domain Eukaryota; kingdom Metazoa; phylum Chordata; class Mammalia; order Primates; family Hominidae; genus Homo; species Homo sapiens. Next base: position 53,131,761 of record NC_000013.11, on the reverse strand, counting down.
GGTAAACCACAAGAAGCAAACAGCCCTTTAGAGGTGTGGATTGACCTTGCAGAGTTACAAGTGGAGCCAGGAGAAATCATGTTGAGTGGGACTTCTCATCCTACCTAAGAGAGACTAACAGATGGAAAGCTGGGTACAGAAGGGAGAGAAGGCAGTAACAGTCAGATTTCAATACGCTGAGACTGTGACGTGGGACTTTTGAGTGAGTAACATCTGCTCCTAGAACTGAGTTGAGTGGGGATCCTCCCACACCACCCAGGCAAGAGAACTAACAATTGATGACTGCTCCAAATCAGTCGCCAGTCTACCTAATACTTCTACCTGGTAGGTAGCCTGATACCCACTAACATCAGGTAGGTTCTATATGATTAATAGTTCATAAGATAAATATTAATCATTAGCAATTTTCAAAGCTGAGGTACAGCTACTTCAAAAATGAAGAAGGAATGCAGATGAAGAGTCTCCAGACTCTTCAAGAGACTCTCTGCAAGCAAAGTCTCCAGAGTTCTGAGGGAAAGAAGCAAACAAAGAATCACAGCCATTCTTTGAGGGAGCAACCTACTCATTAAAGAAATGCAATCATGATTATGCTGATCAAATGAAAATCTCAAAAATAGAGAGGCCATGGGAAAAGGGCTAGTTATGAGCACTGAATTCATTTACATATAAAACAAGGCAAAATAATTGTCATAATACTTTGTAATGGTTATAAACACCAAATAAATGTTATATAGAGGTGAATCGCATAAAAATAGTAATATAGCAGTTTTCCCAGTTTTTCTTAATATTTAATAAATACTGCCTACACTTGGTGCATGAAGTTAAAGAGTATAATGACACCAATCTTTTAATATTCTTTTATACCTTATTTTTTAAACTTTAGAAAATATTTTGGGAATTAATGTTTCTTGTACTTAAAATGAATAATTTGCTTTATTTCACTTTTTAGGATTTTTTAAATTAAGTACAGTTAATTTTTTTATTTTAAATTGTGTTACAGAATATTCCAAATTCAGTTTTTCTGTATTTTTTTTCCTGTCTTTATTTCTATAGAGAGAGATACATAGGATGATATTGCCCTTTGTTAATGATAGTTATTTTTGTATAGTGGGATACGGAGTGACTTTTTTGCTTTCTTCTTTGTACCTTTCTTTGCTGCTTGACTTCTTTATAATGAGCTATATTGTTTTCATAAGTTCAGTAGAGTTATTCTTTATGAAAATATATATAGTAATTGAAAGAAGCTTAATATTTGGCATCTCTAATTTTTAAAAAGTAGTAAACACATATTATGCACCTCTTATGTCTTCTTTTTCCTTAAACCTTTCTACCTACTGACTTTCTTTCTTTTCTTAAAGACAGAGCCTCACTCTGTCACCCAGGCTGGAGTGCTAGAGTGCAGTGGCATGATCATAGCTCCCTGAAGCCTTGAGCTCCTGGTCCCAAGAGATCCTCTTGCCTCAGGTAGATCCTCTTGCCTCCCAAGTAGCTGAGACTACAAGTGTGTGCCACCATACCTGGCTAATTTTTTTTTAAGAGATGGGGTCTCGCTATGTTGCCCAGGCTGGTCTTAAACTCCTGGCCTCAGGCAATCTTCCTGCCTCAGCCTCCCAAAGTGCTGGGATTACAGGCATAAGCCACCAAACCTGGTGCTACCTACTGAATTCCAAGCTCTGTGATCCTAGAGGGTAAACATTAAGCTATGTTAAAACTGTAAGGGGCCCTCAGAAAAGCCACCTACCTTCTCACATTCCTTACCCCTCAGGGGATACTTCACATAATCAATTCTCAGGAAGGCTGCATAAGCCCCAGACAATTCTTTAGCTTTTACCTTCTAGAAAAAGGCTTTTTACATAATGTTAAAAGGTCGTTAATACTGTCCCCACACTAAACAACATCATTCATAATGCAAACAATTGTAGTAAATGGGAAGTTATCCTGTTATGCATATATAGCTTCTTTGGATGTTTGAAAAGTCTTGAGACCCCCAAAACCCCCTAAAAACAAAGATGCCAAGAAGGAAGATGGCAATTATTTTCTGTTTAATTTTTACCTACTCCAAAGTTCTCTGAACCAATCTGACCCTCTACATCAATCCCAAAACGACTATATGACTGTGACCCACACTCATTATTAGTACACTGAACCTATGTGCCCTGACAACTAATGCCATGTATAGACCATTGAAAGGCAAGGTGTGGAGAACCCAGACAAGCTAGAAGTGTTCAGCAGGTAATTCCTGAATAAATATGTCTAAAAATAGACAGCAAAAAGCCCAAATCTGTGAAATCAAAACTAGATGAACACCTGCCCAGAAAGATTCCAGAAGCTAGAACCAATGAAAAGGCAAGTCAGAATAGATGAACTAGTCAATCCAAGAGACCAAAGCAAGAAACTAAATCTAGCAGAGCTGAGACAGGATCAGCACCGAAACAGGTCTCCAGCATCCAGAAATGAGTTAAAGTCAGAGGAACCACGGTGGAAACAAGTAAGTCAAGGATGGGAGGGTGCACAGGCCCAGAGAGAGTTCTTCAGATGACTAACTACTGCTTTAGGAGTCTTCAACTGGTCCAGTCCAATCACACCTCCTTGATAAATGTTCCACAATTTATACAACTGACTTAGGAGCCCCTATAGCATGACTACAGTACCCTGGGGGTAACTTTATCAAAGCACCTGCCACAGCTTCACCTACCACAGTGAAATTGATTTACTTACCTCTCTCCGCTAAGAAACTGCAAGTCCCCTAAGAAGAGATATCCTATCTTATTTGACAGTGAATCTTCAGCATCTAAGATGGTGCTTAATATAAAGTTCAAAAAAAGTCCAGGTGAATGAATGAATGAATGAGTTTCTGCATCTAAAATTTAAATGCAAGAAACATGGCTACTAACAAATAAGAGTGAATGTCCTATAACAAAACTCATGCAACATTACTCCTTTTCTCCTGTCACCTAAAGTCTCAACTTTGCAACACATCATGCCATCTAATTAAGTGTTTTCAACCTTCTTTAACAGAAATCTCTATTCAAAATGATGAAACAATGAGGAAACGTTTTATTTCACATAACAAACTGTCCTAAGGGAAAGTGACTCCAAGGCCCCAGCAGCTTTTCATCTTTCTGCTCTATCACTCTCAGCAAGTCAGCTTGTCTTCAAGCCAGCCATCCTCATGGTCACAAGATGGCTGCCTCAGATGCAAACATGACAACTTCTAGCAGGAGAGTAGAGCATCTTTTCCTACAGGACTCTCAACACACACACATCTCTTTGCATCTCTTTTGCCTCTGCACAAATCTTAAAACAAGCCACTGACAAGAGAAATTAGATCACTGTGACTGGCTTAAAGAAGTCTACAACTGTGTGGGGGTGGATCACGTGAACAGAATTAACAAAGTGGGAAAAAGTGTTGGGTAGGTGGCCAACGGCTATTTCTACAATTTCATACAATGCCATTCACAACCTCTCTCTCATGCCCCTTGCCTCCATCCTCCTCTCCTACCATTCTTTCTATCTCAAACTCTGTATTCAGACCATACCTGTTGTTCCCTAAATATACCAGAAAGTTTCTGCTTGACCAGATCATTTTTTGTCTCTGTGCTTTTGTTCTGTGTTCTTAGCTTTGCCAGAAGTGCTCTTCCTCTCTGTCCAGTGGGCAAGCACCAATTCATTTTCAAACTCTCCACTGAAGCATCAATTTTCTGTAATGCCTTTCTTGACCTCAGGTAATTAACTTCCTTATTAATGTTCATTCCCCACACCTTGTCTACCACTTCTATTACAGCATCCCTCATACTGAAAAGTGCTCCTTTGTTTACATTTTCATCTTTCCCATTAGACTCAGAGCCCCTAGTGAGCAGGACTATGCTTTGTCCATCTTCGTATCCCCAGCCTCTAATTCAGTGCCATGTGTTTATAGAAATGTCATGTAGGCTTGATACATTGAGTGAAACTGAATGAGCTGAACTGAATCTGGCTGTGTGTAATATTTCCAACAGTTTCTCAAATGTAACTCTGTCTGCTGTGGGGTAATCTTTCTTTGAAAGAACAATCACTGGACAATTCAACAGGGACTGTGCTCTGAATTGTCCTCTACAGTTGAGGCTGGGGGAGGAACTCTGAACTGTCTAGAGTCCAGAAGTCATGGAGCTCAGAGTCCTCTCCTGGAGAGCTGTCCATGTCCCTACTAGGGGAAGCAACCGTTCTGGCTTTAGCACTGAAAATCCTGCAGCCCAGGAAACTCCTGAGTCATGGGCAAAGCAGGACAAATATCACGGAACCCCAAGTGGTTCTGCCATGACTTATTTTATCTCTGCCATCTCAACAGAATCTCACATAAGAAGAAGAGGATCAGTCCCCACCAAGTGCTTAATCTCTAGGGTGATAAGAATGGTTGTTTGTTACAGTCCTCATTGGGGAAAGAGATTAAGAATTCTTACCTGGGGTTAAAGGTTTAGAAACTGTGGGTAGAAGTGAGCAAATTATAGAGACCCTAAATGGTTGTCCAGGGAAGAGAGTTACACAACATTAGTTGTTTCTAAGGCAACAACTTCCCAGATTTATGCCAGAGTTTTGGAACCATTTCCCCCTAGAGCAGATGATGCTCATTTATCTCCAGAGAAGCTCTTAAAACCTCTTCTTTCTCAGAAAACTCATTTGGCTAAAAAACACAGTGTTTAAGATGGAGGGTTACTCTGAACATTCCCAAATCCCCAGAGGAATGTTTGTGGAGATTGCTATGCCGTCCTAGCATTTGGCTCCAATTCCACATGGCTCCAGTTCAGCACTGTTTCATCACTGCAGCATGATCAGTTACTTTGGAAGGAAATTCTAAGGAAATATCCAAATGGTTATTTATACATTGGGGTCTCCTCAGAGCAGTTCTTAACAGGCAGTGCAGTGAGTCTATACCACAAAATTGCACTGTGCACTTACATTCACTGATGATGATGAAGCAGAACAAAGGGAAAATTCCTAAGGGAAGGACCAGCCTCCTTATGCAGTAGTGCTCCCAGTCCCGTCTGATGGACAATGCCCTCTGCATAAGGATTCACAGTTTAATGGGGAGCTCAGGCCAGCCCTTCTTGACAACTGCCTCTCTTTCTGAGGCATGCTAAGACAACCACTTCTCAACACTTGTCTCAGCTGTGGCCTTGTCCAATAGTCTGTTAACCCAAAGCTTACACTGCACTCCACTGGTGGTAACATCCAGGTCTGTGAAATGTGTCTGGGATTCTGAGACTGAAAAAGAACCATACTTCCCTTTTGGTTACAACCCTCAGACTATAAGCAGTTGAAGGCTAAAGGACTACGTCTTATTTCTCTTGGAGCAAGACTGCTTTGGTTCAAATCTCAGCTGTGTTACTTACAGCTTGTGTAACCTGGGTAACTTGTTTAACCTCTCAATGCCTCTATTTTTTGGGGAAAAACATAGAGATAATAATAGCATCAACTTCATAGCATTGTTCTGAGGATTAAGTGAGTAATAATAGCTGTAAAGTGCTTAGAACATGGTGTGATGTGCCATAATCATTGTTAACATTACAGTTATTATTATTCTTTGTATTCTCAGTATCTCACATCATCTTTAGCTCATAGCAAACATTAAAAATAAAAAAGTTGGCCAAGCGTGGTGGCTCACATCTGTAATTTCAGCACTTTGAGAGGCCGAGGGGAGCAGACCACCTGAGGTCAGGAGTTCAAGACCAGCCTGGCCAACATGGTGAAGCCGTGTCTCTACTAAAACACAAATACAAAAATGAGCCAGGCATGGTGGTGTGTGCCTGTAATCCCAGCTACTCTGGAGGCTGAGGCAGGAGAATCACTTGAACCCGGGAGGCGGAGGTTGGGCTGAGCCGAGATCACACCACTGCACTCCAGCCTGAGCAACAAGAGTGAAACTCTGTCTCAAAAAAAAAAAAAGTTAAACAAGTGTACTGAACTGAACTCAAATTTCCACTCACAAACAAGGCATAGGTAAGAAAAATTCACCAAGGACTTATCATTACATACTGTTATTCCAGGTTGGTTTTGCTTCTTTATTGGCTAGTTGGTGACATGTCCCTTTTTCATGGGTTGGATACCCAGCCACAAGCTTGAGAGGGGCTTAGAGGAAAGAGGACAAGTGACAGGGGGCTCTGCACAAGTTCTAGTCCCAGTGGGTCCATTGAATGTCAGCACTTTGAAAGTTCAGAGGAGAGAAAAGCACACCTGGTTGGGGAGCTCAGGACAGGCCTCATGAAGGAGTTGTCTCCTTAACAGAACCTTGAGGAGATTTCAAAGAGACAAAGAAGGAGCACATTTCTAAAAGAGAAAGCAGCATGCGATGGTGGAAAATCATGAAGTAGGTTCAGGAGATATTGCACAGTCCACGTGGTCATGGGCTGTGCGGGAAGCCAGAGCACTGCTTTATGCCACATTTCTAACCCCTTTCCTAACTATTTAGGCCCAACAATGGCACAATGCTGGGAGTAACCCAGATGTCAGGTTAAGAAAGAATTCATTTCTGTTTTTCAGTTCCTACCAGGATCGTGTGGCTTCAAAGCCCAAAGAATGAGCTAAGTAGCTTTTAAAAACCATAGAGACTTAGTCTGTTTGAATTTGGAATAGAAAGCAGAGACTTTTCAAACAGTATCACCACACACCTGTTCTTCCACAGAGCACATAGTAGGTATGTGAATAACTACTCCCAAAGTGCTCACTAGAAATGCCAAGAGAGTCTTACATGGGAAAGCCGGTGCATTACCAACAAAAACCAGCCACAGCTGCTGGGGGATAGTAGAGTCAGTACACACAAAATTGTGTGAAGACCAGGCTCACAAACCATACCACCAGTAGGCCAGGGAGGGGTTCTTAAAAGAACAGAAGTGTGATCAATGAGATAATTCACAAGGCAGCTGTCTTGCCAGACTGTCATTTTCAGTTTCTCTGCATAAGAAGTTCCCTTTAAGCAGTGAGTCGCAACTCCATATCTCGTGCCTGAAGCTGTTCTCCCACATCCCATCAATCACTCAATCATCTGATCTCACCATGATGGATGACATTAACATGTTCACAGACACACTTCTATTACATTGTTCCACCTGACCTCCAAGCTAGCCAAAAATCTTATGGCCTGAAAAAAATAGCTCATCCGAAGTCATCCCTGATTCCAAAGAAGAAATAATCTAGTTTCTTCAAAAACTAAATGGTGTTAAAATAGGGGGAGGGGAAGGAAGAACTGTTGTAATTAAAACATTTTATAAGAACTAACAATCAAGTGCAATGTATAGCCTTTGATTGGATTCTGATTTGAAGAAACTCACAGGGTTTGAGGTAATCAGGCAAATCTGAACTTGAAATAGATATTAGGCTACATTAAGGATTACTACTAGTTTTGTTAGGTATGAATGGGTTTGTGATTATGGGTTTTTTTTTAATGTCCTTATCTTTTAGAGATACCTGCAGAAGCACTTAGAGAATTTCTTCTCTGATCTTTGCTTTAGAATACTGTGGTAACAAGTGAAGCAAGGAAAGAAAGTGATATGGCAAAAGATGAAATAAAATTGGCAGCATGTTGAAATCTTCTGACATTGTGTGGTGGGTTCATGGGTTCATTTGTACTATTCTCTCTAATCTTGTGTATACCTGAAAATTCAGTAATAAAAATTCTCTATTTTTTATTTTTTATTGTTATTTTAGAGATAGGATCTTGCTTTGTCACCCAGGCTGGAGTGCAGTGGCATGATCACGGCTCATGGCAGCCTCAACCCCTTGGGCTCAAGCGATCCTCCCACCTCAGCCTCCAGAGTAGCTGAGACTGCTGGCAACATGCACCACCATGCCCAGCTAATTTTTTTTTTAACTTTTTGTGGAGACAGGATATCACTATGTTGCCCCAGCTGGTCTCAAACTCCTGTTCTCAAGCAACCTTCCCACCTGGGCCTCCCAAAGTGCGGAGATTACAGGCATGAGCCACTGTGCCTAGCCAAAATATCTTTTTTCAGGCTTCCCAGGCCCACTCATGTTGACCAACTAAACAGTGCATTCCATTACACCAGGCACTTTGACAAAGAAATTGCTCCACTTACTCGGTGCAGCAAGCAAAGAAGAAGTAAGGGCCACTGTGCATGCTTCACCTGTTGCCCCACTGCTGCACCCAAGGAAGTGCAGTCTCTCAGACTCAGCATTCCCCAAAAGTAAATATGATGGACAGTAGATACGCCACTATACATGATCACTGTTAGTCCATGACTTAACAGTTACTGGGCAGACCCCTCCATTTGCTTGTCCCGGGGAAAGTCAGAAGAGTCCATTCTGAACAAGGGAAATGTGTCCCAGAGCAGCTCTCATCCTTGACTGGGGGCTTAACTTTTTCATGCCACTGCCCTGCATCAAAATAGGGCCTGGTCCCCACACTTCTCTCTCCTCAAACATTGTTAAAACAGAAGTAGAAGTAAGGACATCAGTCCTTAAATCCCTCTGTCAGAGAAGTGAGATCCTGATTATTATTGGCTCAATTCTTTATCTTACTTAAAGAGACAGATATAGTGAAGCCTGATAATCAAGACATTGGAATGCCACGTCATCCTGACCTGTGCAAAACATCCTCAAACTTTATATATTCTAAGGCAAAATATAAGCAGCACCCAAACCTAAACATGTTCAGTATATGTGTTGCCTTAAAGCAGATGATCATACCCAGATGAAAAATCTTACTCTTTTCTTCGTCTGTCAAGGTATCTTAATCCTAAAATAGATAGATAGATAGATAGATAGATAGATAGATAGATAGATAGATAGATGTGTGTGTGTGTGTGTGTGTGTGTGTGTGTGTGTGTGTGTGTGTGAATGGCATATGCAATTTTAGTAATATTAAAGATAGCAAAAAACAAAGTAGGGCACCAATGTGGTAGAGATAGAAAAAGGAAGACAGAAAGAAAAATTGTAATAGCTGCCATTTATTGAAAATTTACTAAGTGCCAAGCACTTTACAGACATTATCTCTGTCCCTACAAACACCTTTCAATCCAAGTAACATTATCTTCATTTTGCAGAAGAGGAAATGGAGACTTATGCCACCTAGATAGTAAGTAGCAGGGGCAGAATTCTGCCTTCTATTGGATCTGATTCCAGAGTATAGACATTTAACTATTACCCGTCAGAACGCACAGGGGAGTAGACCCAAGAAGATTATAAAACTGCACATGCCATATGAAGAAAACTTTTTGTAAAATATATTCCCATTGGATTAAACAAGAGAAGAATTGACACACTCTACTTCTAATTAGTGACTGTTTCTCACTAGTTGGATTATTCTATAGATTCTTCTTTTTGCTTCTTTATATTTTTTAAGTTTTCCATGAACATGTATTGTTTTTACAATGAGAAAGAAAAGAAGTTATATTTAATATTTTTAAGTACAGAGGAGGTTTAGAATTCTGAACGCTGTGCTTATGTCTCCAATAATTATGTCTTCTATGAAAATGTAAAGCCCTCCACTGACTTGGCAATATAGTATTTACTGCAAGACAGCAAGGCCCAAAGGACTGGAGACTATGTCCAGAAGAGCTGTCAGCCCAAGACTTAGGGCAAAAGAGCAACATCCCCATAAGCAGGAAAACGATCAGCCTCAGATCTGCTTGGCTGTTATCTCTCTCCTGCGATTTCTCTTCCTGTGAATTATTCCACTGCTTGTGTATTTATTTTTTAAACACATAACAGTGGAGTTATTCTCCAAGTCTCTATCAGCTGAAGTATTAACAACTTCCAGCTGAGAAAATATCTTTTCACTTTGCTTAAGCCTAATCATTATTTTCTCCCTCCTACAGGAGTTTCAGTATCATACAAAGGATCACAATACAAAAGGCCATGTGGATGCTATTTTATAAAGTTGCTTGTAGACTTACAATGTATAATTTGGGTGTAAATCTATTTAAAGTTGTCAGTTGTTTGGATTTTCTTTCTAAAAAGAAAAACCTTGTCCCCTTGTTCCTTGAAAGCCTAAATATAAAGTACCTAGACTAAGAAAAGGAAAAGAATAAAAAGGCTTCTTTTAGAACTTTCATTTTATGTCTTAAAGTCTCTCTTTTGAAATTGAAATTATAGACATAGAGAACTTTGTACTGAAAACTTCTAACTATCTAAAATGTAAAACTGTGGCTTACCACCTGCAGAGAAAAGTGCACCCTCTCAGATGTAAAAGGCCTTCTAAATAGAAGTACTCAGAGTAACGAACTCTTTCCCTGGCTCAGGAGTCCTATAAGAAATGGATTCTGCTCTGATACTGTGTTTTCTTATGTCAGTTTCAAGTACCATTTACAACTTACTGGGCTACAACTTCTTGTTAATGAAACAAGTCAGGAATTCCTTCCTTTAGAAACCAATTTCCTTTACTCTGAGGCACAAAAACCATCTATGCCAGGCAGCCCAGACAACTATCTTGCAAATGCCTACCATTTGCCTTTAGGAGATTAAAGGATGGGAATGGTTTCTAGGCACTCTCTCAATACCACCAGTTAGCTGGTAGTAATCCCTGGCTCCTTATTCTATGTCTTTTTCTAACTTTGGGGCATTCCTTTTGGTGCTCCTTAGGCACCCAGCAATCTTTTGCTCTCCTCTTTTTCATTTTACCTTTTTTTTTTTTAACTAAAAATAGTTATCAGAAAGTAACATGAAATTTAGCCTTATTTCAGTGTAATTGACTGATATCCCAAAGGGTTTTCCACTGCCCAGACCACTCTCCCACCCACTCTCCCCAAGTACACTAAATACTATGGAATACTCAGAAAAGCCACACTCTACAGAGGAATGCTATCTTGAACTGCAGAATTTTACGAATCAGTCAGGCTGAAAGAAGACTGTGGGTCCAGGAAGGATCTTATAGTCCTGACCACAGCAAATAAGTGACTACCTAAAGTCAGCACCAGCATCTTCCCCATAGGAAGAGCAGGAAACTCCTTATGTTTGGGGTATAAATTCATTTCCTCCCCTGTAAAATGGTAATAATAATAATAATACAGGCCTCATAAGGTTGCCATGAGAATTAAATGAGATAATGAATGGGAAGCCCCTGGCACATAGTAAATAATAAGTGTTAGCTTGTTAGCGCCCTTCTTTGTCTTCCCTTCATTTATTCACCCATTCAATTAATATTCGATGAGCCAGCTTCTTCCCAGATTTGAATCACTTCCCAGTGGTGATATGAGTTAGAGCTCCGGGACATACCTGGTCTCCTCCAAGCCAGTAGGATACAATTTAGTACCCCTTAGCATAATGCACTAATTGGTCCCTAAGTGGCCTGAAAGAGTTAATGCATTATTGTCGGATTTAATCTACCACTTCCTGACAAAATGAGTTTTACCATTTTTATACATAAATCCCTAGAATTATAGAACACAAATTCTCTTTCTCTCTTTCTCTCTCTCACACACACACAGACACACACACACACAGACACACACATGTACACACACACAGTGCAACTCCCCAGAGCAGTGAGACAGGTGAAATAATAGAATTAAAAACGTTCATTTAGAGTTTACAGAGTACTTTTTTCTCATCATGAAAGCAACACATTGCAGGAAATGCATAAATCTAAATGAGACACACATTTTCCATAATCTTACAATCCTCTAAAAAATGGTTCTCAGAAAACACTATAAGCATTTTGTTCTATTTTCACCCAAACTTTTTTACTCTTATATAATACTTATTCCATAGTTTATATTATCACATATCACATATACTTTATGTTTTGTGTTGCTCTTACAATTAAAATTGTGTCATGAACATTATTCAATTAAACTCATTAAAATATTTTAACAGTACTTTATATTCCATCATATGGACATTCCATGATTTGCTTAGCTGTGGGTCTATTGGGGGACATTTAGGTAATTTTCTTTTTGTTTCTACTATAAATGATATGAAGACACACCTTTTTATACATATATTTTAAGCACATTTCTGTTATTTCCTTAGACTAGACTCCTATAAAGGAAATTATCAGATAAAAAAGTACAAACATGTTGAAGGCTCTTGGTGAAGACTGTCAAATTTCTTTAACTAGCAGTGTTAAATAATCCTCTTTCACCACAACCTGGCCAGCCCTGAGATTTTTGTGTGTGGTTTGTTTTTGTTTTTTTTTTGAGATAGAGTCTCGCTCTATTGCCTAGGCTGAAGTACAGTGGTGTGATCTCGGCTCACTGCAAGCTCCGCCTCCCGGGTTCATGCCATTCTCCTGCCTCAGCCTCCTGAGTAGCTAGGACTACAGGCGCCTGCCACCACGCCCGGCTAATTTTTTGTATTTTTAGTAGATATGAGGTTTCACCGCGTTAGCCAGGATGATCTCAATCTCCTGACCTCGTGATCCTCCGGCCTTGGCCTCCCAAAGTGTTGGGATTACAGGTGTGAGCCACTGAGCCCGGCCCAGCCCTCAGTATTTTTATTAAACAAGCTGTGTTACTCTGATAGATAAAATATTAAGTTTTGTTTCTGTTTTCATTTGTGTCGGTATGATTACTAATGAGGTTGACCATCCATTCCTGTTTATTAGCCATTTGTTCTATCTCTTGTATGAATTATAGGTTTATGTTTTTGCTTATTTTATTAAGAAAATAGACGCCTTATTATCAGTTATATTCACTTATTACATATTAACATTGATATGGTTTGGCTCTGTGTCCCCACCCAAATCTTATCTTGTAGCTCCCATAATTCCCATGTGTTATGAGAGGAACCCGATGGGAGATGATTGAATCATTGGGGCAGGTTTTTCCCATGTTATTCTCATGGCAGTGAATAGGTCTCATGAGATCTGATGGTTTTAAAAACAGGAATTTCTGTGCACAAGCTCTCTCTTTGCCTGCTGTCATCCACGTAAGAAGTGACTTGCTCCTCCTTGCCTTCCACCATGATTGTGAGTCCTCCCCAGCCACATGGAACTGTAAGTCCAATAAACTTCTAAACTGCCCAGTCTCGGGTATGTCTTTATCAGCAGCATGAACTGGATTAATACAGTAAATTGGTACCAGTAGAGTGGGGAGCTGCTGAAAAGACACCCAAAAATGTGGAAGTGACTTTGGAACTGGGTAACAGGCAGAGGCTGGAACAGTTTGGAGGGCTCAAAAGAAGACAGGAAAATGTGGGAGAGTATGGAATGCCCTAGAGACTTGTTGAATGGCTTTGACCAAAATGCTCATAATGATAGAGACAATGAAATCCAGGCTAAGGTGGTCCCAGATAGAGATAAGAAAATAGAAGTCTTATTATCAGTTATCTTATTATAAGATAAGAACTGGAGCAAAGGTGATTCTTATTATGTTTTAGCAAAGGAACTGGTGGCATTTTGCCCCTGCCCTAGAGATTTGTGGAACTTTGAACTTGAGAGAGATGATTTAGGGTATCTGGCAGAAGAAATTTCTAAGCAGCAAAACATTCAAGAGGTGACTTGGGTGCTGTTGAAGGCATTCAGTTTTATAAGGGAAGCAGAGCATGAAAGTTTAGAAAATTTGCAGCCTGACAATGCAATAGAAAAGAAAAATCCATTTTCTGAGGAGAAATTCAAGCCAGCTGCAAAAATTTGCATAAGTAACAAGGAGGAGCTGAATGTTAATCTCCAAAACAATGGGGAAAATGTCTCCAGGGCATGTCAGAGGTCCTCATAGCAGCCCCTTCCATTAGAGGCCTAGGAGAAAAAAGTGGTTTCATGGGCAGGGCCCAGGGTCCCCATGCTGTGTGTAGCCTAGGGACTTGGGGCCCTGTGTCCCAGCTACTCCAGCCATGGCTGAAAGGGGCCAATGTGAAGCTCAGGTCGTGGCTTCAGAGGGTGCAAGCCTTAAGCCTTGGCAGCTTCCACATGGTGTTGAGCCTTCAAGTGCACAGAAGTCAAGAATTGAGGTTTGAGAACCTCTGCCAAGATTTCAGAAGATGTATGGAATCGCCTGGAAGCCCAGGCACAAGTTTGCTATAGGTGTGAGTTCTCATGCAAAACCTCTGCTGGGGCAGTGTGGAAGGGAAATGTGGGGTCAGAGCCCCCACACAGAGTCCCTACTGGGGCACTGCCTAGTGGAGCTGTGAGAAGAGGGCCACTGTCCTTCAGACCCCAGAATGGTAGATCCGCTGACAGTTTGCATCATGCACCTGACTTTTCCTCAGACATTCAACACCAGCCTGGGAAGGCAGCCAGGAGGGAGTCTGCACCCTGCAAAGCCACAGAGGTGGAGCTGCTCAAGACTATGGGAACCTACCTCTTACATCAGCGTGACCTGGATGTGAGACATGGAGTCAAAGGAGATCATTTTGGAACTTTAAGATTTGACTGCCCCATTGGATTTTGGATTTGTATGGCCTGTAGCCCCTTTGTTTTGTCCAATTTCTCCCATTTAGAAGAGATATATTTACCCAATGACTGTACCCCCATTGTATCTAGGAAGTAACTAACTTGCTTTTGGTTTTATAGGACCATAGGCGGAAGGGACTTGCCTTGTCTCAGATAAGACTTTGGACTGTGTACTTTTGAGTTAATGCTTAAATGAGTTGAGACTTTGGAAGGCATGATTGGTTTTGAAATGTGAAGATATGAGATTTGGGAGGGGCCAGGGGCTGAATGATATGGTTTGGCTCTGTGTCCCCACCCAAATCTTAACTTGTAGCTCCCATAATTCCCATGTGTTGTGGGAGACACCTGGTGGGAGATGACTGAGTCATGGGGGCAGGTCTTTCCTGTGCTGTTCTCATAATAGTGAATGGGTCTCACCAGATCTGATGGTTTTAAAAATGAGAGTTTCTCTGTACAAGCTCTCTCTTTGCCTGCCGCCACAAACATAAGATGTGACTTGCTCCTCCTTACCTTCCACCATAATTTGAGGCCTCCCCAGCCATGTGGAACTTAAGTCCAATAAACCTCTTTCTTTTGTAAATTGCCCAGTCTTTGGTATGTCTTTATCAGCAGTGTGAAAATGGACTAATACAAACATATTCCTACTGTTTTAATTTCTACAATATTTACTCCATAGAAAAGACCCATAGACCTCAAGCAAAGGGAAGGCATTTTTCTTGCTAATAAATATATCCCGTTCAAATATCAATAATGCATAATATTTTCATTTCCTTTTAAGGTTTTATGATGTTTTGACACAGAGTTTTTAATTTTAAATATGAAAATCAATCTTTTCTTTTGCTATCTGGTCCATTGTATGTATGCTTAGATAGTCCTTCCCCATTTTGGATCAGGTAAATATTTACCACAAGTTTCTTCTGATTTCTTTAAGTGGTTCCCTTTTTCATGCTTCACTTTTTAATTGATCTAGAATTTACTCTGTTGTATAGCAAGAAAATAAATGGATCTTTTAATAGATTTTTTCAATACCGTTTCTTTAAAAATTTATCCCTTTCAATCTTAATTTCCTATGAATTAGGATCTATGTGTGTACTATATATTATTTCCCATTCATTCACCTATGTATTGGTTCACCTTGCATTTTGAAGTCTAATAGGTCTGGTCGTTTCCCTGTTGTCCCTCAAAAAGCCTTTTTAACAATTTTTGTATCTATCTAACCTTTTTCAGATAAACTCTAGAATTATTTGGTCAAGTTCTCAAGAACTCCATACAAATACCTGAGATAGTTGCCTTTGCAATATTCTTTCATTTTGCTAGTAGGCCCCTGTTTTGTTCAAGGGAAGAATGGGCATAGCCTCCAATGATAATTTACTTCCTAGGTACTACTGTAATTAGACTGAAGAAGTGAATCCATTTTGGTCAATAGGGCAGTAGTGGTTTAAAAATATGTCCACAAATTATTTGGTTCTTCTCCCTTCTATCAAAAGATAGAAGTAACTGTCTTAGTCTGTTTTGTGCTGCTGTAACAAAATCACCTGAGACTGGGTAATTCATAAAGAACAGAACTTTATTTCTCACAGTTTTGGAAGCTGGAAGTCTGAGATCAAGACACCAGCATTTAGTGTCTGGTGAGGGCCTTCTTGCTATGTCCTCACATGGCAGAAAGCAGAAGAGCAAGCGAGTGTGCTAGCTGAACACTGCGTGAAGCCTCTTTTAAAAAGGCCTTAATCCTGTTCATGAGGAAGAAGCCTCCTTGGCCTAATCACCTCTTAAAGGATCCATCTCTTAATAATATCACATTGGCAACACCTGAATTTTGGAGAAGATACACTCAAAACATAGTATTAGTCTTGTAAGGCTAGTTCATAAAATAATGTGATTTCTGCCTCGCTGCCTCTCAGGTCACTTGCTTTGAGGCGAGCTAGCTGCCATTTTGTGAGAACACATCGGGAAGCCTGTGGTAAGGCTCATCTT
Source organism: Homo sapiens (assembly GCF_000001405.40). Lineage (NCBI taxonomy): Eukaryota > Metazoa > Chordata > Mammalia > Primates > Hominidae > Homo > Homo sapiens. Next base: position 53,115,467 of record NC_000013.11, on the reverse strand, counting down.
GGCAGTGAACCATTTTAGAAGTGGATTCCCGGACCCCAGTCATGTCCTCAGATGATTGCAGCTCCTGCCAACATCCTCACTGCAACTCCATGAAAGATCCTGAACCAAACTCACCTAGCTAAGCCTCAGTGAAATTCCTGATCCATGGAAATTATAATAATTATTTGGTTTTTCTTTCCATCTGTCTTATTCCCTGCAGTATTGTTGTTGTTTTACCACTGATTTTGAGGGTTATTTGTTCTACAGAATAGATAATTCATACAGAGATATAAGCAGAAGTCTTCTGGAGGCTCTTTTCTTGAAAAATAGGAAATATACAGCTGCAATCACCCCCTCTTTTCTTCTTTTACTTCTTCAATGCAGATGTGATGCCAGAAGTAGAGCAGCCATCTTGCAACCACAAAGCAACAGCATGAGTATGAAAGTTAGTGCATTAAGGATGCTGGAATAGAATGATTGAAAGCCAGATGCCTAATGACGTTGCTGAATAGCTGAAACAATACCAGCAACTAGCTGGTAAATATGTCTTAAAACCAGCAAATATGTCTCTCTCATTATGTGAGAAAGATAAGCGTGTTGCTTGAGCTACTCTTAGCCAATTAATTTGTTATTTCCACCAAATGAATTTCTGACATTTGGTATCAGATCTTGCTGCATGGTCAGCACAGGGGAAGGCACTTTGTGAATATGTTCAATGTGATTTTTAAGTAATGGATGGCAAATTTTAACAGCTCTAATACCATAATACATGTAGACTTCCTTCCAAAACTTAAAGTTTGTAGAAATCATAGAAGGCGAATTAATAAATGACAGCAGAATTTAGATTACCTCAGGGAAAAATGCTTCAGAGTATTTAGCATATGAACAGACTCCCTATTGCAGCACTTTTTTTGTGTGCTGATGTAGCTTAACCAGTGATCAAATATCCTGCAATCAGGTATTGATCACAATTCTTCAAAATGCCCATGAAACATGAAACAGAGTGAAAAATGTTTTATTGTTATTAAAATTCTAAAATCCCACATTTTAAAGCAATTCTGTACATCTTTCATAGAATAATTTAGACCAGCTATCCTCAAAACATTGTTCGTACAGAAATTCTCTGTCACTAGTATTCCCCTGTGAGGTCATCCATGGATTTGTCTCTCTCAGGACATTATTTAATCTTTAAAACACAAATATGTATAGCTTTTTAAAAAAGTTTTTAACTGTTGTGTTTGACAATATATGTTCTCAAAAATTGAGCCATTTGTACAGCTACCAGAACGGCTAAAATGTAGAAGGCACAACATCAAGTAATGGTAAGACTATAGAGCCAAACTCTTGAACCAGAACATTAATTGCCACCATCACTTTGGAAAACTATTTAGTATTTACCAATGCTGAACATATGTGCACTCTTTGGCCCATCAATTCCACTCCTAAGTATATAGCCAACACTAATGGTACATATGTTCAGCAAAAGATATGTGCATTGTAACATTATTCATAATAGGCAAAAACTGTCAACATTCCACATGTTCATCTACAGTAGAAAGGATAAGTGAACTGCGGCAAGTTTACCAGATGAAATACTGGAGCAATGAGAATGAATGAATTTTGCTGCAGCAACAACATTGACTCCCACAACCATAATGTTGAAAGAATCTAGACACAAAAGAAGACAAACTGTACAATTTAATTTAGTCAAAGTAATTTTTTTATTTATTTACATTTATTTATTTATTTATTTATTTATTTATTTATTTATTTATTTTTATTCTGAGACAAGGTCTTGCTCTGTTGCCTGGCCTGAAGTGCAGTGGCATGATCATGGCTCACTGCAGCCTCAACCTCCCAGGCACAAGTGATCCTCCCACCTCAACTTCCAGAATATAGAAGCTGGAACTACAGGTATGTGCCACCGTACCTGGCTAATTTTGTTTATTTTTGTAGAGACCGGATTTCACGGTGTTGCCCAGGCTGGTCGTGAACTTCTGGGTTCAAGTGATCCTCCTTCCTTGGCTTCCCAAAGTGCTAGGATTACAGGCATGAGCCACCTCTCCCAGCCTAAAGTAGATTTTTAAAAAGTGATATGTAATAGAAGTCAAAACAGTGGTTATCTTTCTCAGAAAGAAATTAGAAGGAGGCACAAGAGGTGGATTTGGGGGTTCTGGTAATTTTCTATTTCTTTACCTGGGTGGGGCTTACATGGGAATATTCAGTTTGTTGTTTGTGAAATTTCATCAGGGCACATTTTTTAATGTATGTTATGTTATACTTTACTTAAAAATGGTGCCATGTCTTCCCATTTGTTCCTGCAGTATAATTTTTAATATAATTTTTAATATATTTATTATTATAAAATATTATTTTTAATATATTTAATTTAATTTTGTAATATAGCTAAATGGCTATGTAAAGCAGGCAAAGCTTGTGACTCATAGCAACTTTTGCTTCAACAAACCAAAGGCAGAAAAAAAATTGATAACCACTGTTTTAAGCCAAATAAAACAAAACAAAAAAAACACTTGTGTCAATTGATCCAAAAAGGATGAAAGGCTGAAGCAGTATGTTTCTGGGTGGAGGTCAAAATAAATAATATCAGCAGTCTCACTTTTCTTACCCATCTTGGGCTAAATTGGGCCTCAAAGGAAGGTCAGTAGCAGAAGAAATAGAAGAATTCACCACTTGCCCCAGCTTCCTACTCCTGAGTTAATGTAAGTTGAGAAAGAGGTAGCATAGCAGTCTGGCAAGTAGCCAAATCTGGGTTTTCTCTCTACCTTAATTTGAATACAGTTGGCTTGGGTGGCTCTGCTTCCCAATATTAGCACCCATGAGTTGCTCACTAGAAGTGTGGGTAACCGTAAGAGCATAAAGGCCAACAGTTGCTTTTTGACACCTATCAAAATTCATCTCCACACGCAAATTCTGACTCTCAGGTAGAAAAATTTAAGCCTCTGTTCAGTTCTGCTCTGCCTCTCACATTAGCCATGGGCATATTTTCTCTGAGAGAGTATGAAGAATGCATGTTAAAGATGACTTCTCTGGTCCTTAGGGCTTTTCTTTTTTTTCTTTTTGGAGGATTTATCTGGAGGTCAGATGTCCAAGATGGCGAGGTTCTATCTTTAAGGATTATCCTGAAACCAAAGTGCCTCTCCAGAGTCCAGGGGTCCTGTCTCATGCTTGATCATTTTTTTCCTATAAAAATGTGCCTAGAATTTGGTCAGAAAAAAAAAAGATACATGATGAAACAAATATTTTTACAATTAAAAAAACGTAAGCCCAGAGACATTCACACAGACTATATGGTGGAAAACTATTATACGTTTATAACAGCTTTCACTATTTATGAATGGCAAAGCTGTTTATCCACAAGAGGGAAAATGACATGCACCTCTACTTCTTCAGGTGCCCTGAATTTGGAAGTTTAAAATAGTTCTTTGTAGCACCTGCCTGGGATTTTGACAGATGCTTCAGGCTATTGGTAAACTTAAAGAGATTTAACAAGAAACTGCATTGCACCATTTTCTTCTAATCTGTGTACATAGTTACTTAGTTATGGCTGGCTTTAAACCATCCAGAAGCTGGAAGCATTTTAAATCCTATTTGTTCCTTGAGTGGACTATTCATTAATGAGCTTATTTGCCTGGTTGCTTCTGAAGTTAAATCTTATTTCTACATCTACTTTTTCTAATGACTTATACTTTTTGCTTTGATTTGTTGGGCACAATTTGATTTGTTGGCTTCTTAACTGTACACTGCCCAGACTTTGCAGTTTGTTTTTTAAAACATGTTTCAAATGTCCAAGGCTCAAGACACCTTTAACTTGCCTCTTTTATGAGGTAGATGCTCTAAGCTTAGAGTTATTTTTCCTTCAAGATACCATTAAGGGCTAATCACATGCACCCAGCCTTACCCCTAGTTCTCCCTATCACTGTATGCCCCTCTCCATATCCACAAAAATGGGCCTGTTCTTTTTATTGTGATTAAAAAAACTCTAAAAGTCTTTGAGAGCCCATTCATTAGACCATTCCTCACCAAGAATTCTTCTACTATGCCTTTCCTGGAAAGTACCCACTCTAGATAGATCCATAAGCATCTGTGAATTTGCAGACCCCACTCTCAGCTCACAGTTCCAGGTCTGCCTCAAGGCCATCTTCACACATCTCCAGGGAGGTCACTTCTCAACTCGAGAGCCCAAGTCCTCTCTGCCCTCTACCTGGGCTCTCTTTATCAGTTCTGCTCTCTGATCACTCTCCTGAGCAACTTCCCAGAACTAATCCCTCCTGCCTTTACATCCAGGGATGAGGAGATCATGCTCAGTGCGTGAATCCAACAGTCAAATTCTATCTTAGTCGAGTGCATTTATGTAACAAGAATGATAGACACACAGTAATGGCGAATTGGGAGTGGAGGAATGGGAGAAAAGGTTTGAAGGTGATTGAAGAAGCCCACCCACAAAGAGCAATGTAATTAATACTATTAGGTGACAATGACGTGGGGAGAGAGCTAATTAGACTACCAAAAATCCTTCTGTCCTTGCAGTGACCTACATCCAAAGTGAAAAGTTATTCAGCCTCTGAAGAGAAGCATTTTGTTTGGGGATCTTCAAGTATGCTTGTCAGGTACGTGCCCATCACTGGTAACATCTTCAGAATATACTTGTCGTCTCCCTGACATCAGTAAATCCATTCATTCCCAGCTGTAATTTATCTCTTGATAAATCATGCTATCAAGTTGAAGTGTGAAAGCAATACCCTTAGGACAAAAAATACCACTGAATCTGCTGTTTGGTTAATTTATTACTATTATTAGGGAACTGACAGGATTACTTTAAAAATCGAGTGCCCAGCAGCCCCAGATTTTTATCAGGTCTCGATACTGGAACAGTGTTCAATCACGCCTGGCTGACCCAGCCACTTCCCCCAGCCTCCTGCCACCAGTCCCTTTGGAGAATTCTTGTCAGAAGGGAGGAGCAGCTGAAGACAGGCACAAGCTCCTCTGCAACATTCAGACAGATAGGTAGGTCTGAAGATCAAGAGAATACAGCCTTGGGGCTTTTTCTCAAGGAAGCTGTTTGCTTTCTTAAGAGGACTGTCTCTCTATTCAGTCCATGACAGCCTGGCATTATAGATGTTGTGGCACAGCACTCAAGACTGACAGGGTGCAGTGACAGAAGCCCCAAACAAACCAGGAGGCAGCAGAAGTGACTTGAAATCTTAGCTTTGGCATTCCCTAGCTGTGTGACCTTGGACAAGTCATGTGATGCTTCTAAGCCTCGGTTTCTATAGCTGCAAAACGGTGTTAATAACAAGATTGTTAAAAGAATTCATTCAGACATGTAGAAACGCTCACCTCATAATAGCTGGCTGACAGTGTCTGTCACTTCCTCTTAATACTACCGTTTTAAAGGCAGAATTTATATTAATAGAAATGTATCAATAGTCTTAATTTGTCAGCCACTTGTGAGTATCCATTTCTCTGTCATACTGACATTCGTTTTAATTTGGGATTCCACTCACCACTGGGCATTAAGATAGATGGTAAATAAAGACACTATTATAAGACTTTTCACACCATAGAAAGCTAATAAGGTGTAGATTAAATCTTATTACAACAAATACCACGATCAACACCAATCTTATTTAAAAAAAAAAAAGGAGAGAAGGCATAAGAAAGAGAATCAAAGCTACAGTCAAATGAACAGTATTTCAAATAGTATTTAGCATTTTCAACAGTCTAGCATGAACTTTGTTGTAGGAGGAAGTGCCCAGTATAAATTACCAGGGGGCTTGTCTAGGCACATGTGGGTGGCAAATCAGGAACCTACTCCAGCCTCTGCTGTTGCCTTTCCTACTTTTCCAGCTGCTCCAGGCTTCTTCTTGACAAGCCACTTAAATGACCACCTCAGGACCTTTGCACTTGCCAGTCTCTCAGCCAAGGGAACCTGTCCCTGATCTCAACTAACATCCCTTTGTCACTTCATGCAGATCTGAGATCAAATGTCATCTCCCTAGAGTAGCCTTTTCTAAACACCTCTCTAAAGTAGTTTCCACATCCCCTGGACATCTACCACATACTCCCTTACCCTGCTTTTTCTTCATAGCGCTTAGCCCTACCTGATATATTACTTTTTGTCTCTCACTAGAATGTAGTCTTATGAACACAACAGATATTTGCCCATTTTACTCACCACTGCTATGAATGCCTAAAATTATTGCTAGCATATAGAAGGGAGTAGAAGGAAGGAAAGCTGGTGCATTCCCCCATCACATAGGGATAAAATGCCCTTCTGCAGCCCGCAGGTGTTCAGTTCCGAAAATCTTGAGTCCCACAACAGAAAAAGAGCAGAGTCAACTGGACACCACCTACCCAGCCTCATTCAGACTTTCATAAGCCCTACTGGCCTTCTGGAGTAATCTCCTAATTGGTATCTCTTTCACAAGTCTATGCTCTATTTTTTTATCCACCCACATACCTCTTTTCTTGTTTGTTTTGGTTTTGTTTGCTTTTAATTAATTGAGATATAAGTGACACACAATAGACTGCCTGTACTTAAAGTGTACAATTTGATGAGTGTGACATATGCATACACCTATGAAAACATCATTTTGATCAAGATGGGGAACATTTATATCACCCCCAAAGTTTCCTCATGTCCCTTTGTAATATCTCCCTCCCACCTCTGCCCCACCTGTCCCCAATCTTCATCCCCAGATTAATTCATATCTTGTAAAATTTTATATCAATAGAATCACATAGTATGTATCATATTCTTGTTTTGGGGGCTTCGGTTCATTCACTCAATATAATTATCTTGAGATTTATCCATGTTAGTGTTATTAATGGTTCCTTCCTTTTTATTGCTAAGCGGTACTGTATTGAATGGACATACCAAAATTTGTTTACCTATTCACCTGTTGATGGATGTTTGGATTGTTTCCAGTTTCTGGCAATTATGAATAAAGCTGCTATTAACATTCATGTGCAAACCATTGTATAGACATGCTTTCATTTCTCTTGAAATAAATACTTAGGAGAGGAATACATGATCATATCCTAGGTGTATGGTTAACTTTTGAAGAAACTGCCATATTATTTTTCAATACAATTGTTCCATTTTATAATCCTAGCAGCTGCTCATGATTGTTCCGGGTGCTCCAAATCCTCGTCCACATTTGGTGTTCTGACAGCAACATCTAAATGAAAGACAAATCTTTCCATGAGTGACCATGCCACTCCTTCACTTAAACTTATCCATGATTTCTCAGCCAACCTTCCTTAGGGCTGTTTGCAAGCTCCTGCCTCCCAGTACAAATGCATCTCCCGTCAGGATTCCCTTTCCACATTCCCAGCCCGTAGACCTTTTCTACCTATATCACAATGCTTCCTCGGGCTTCCATAATCACACGGCACCTTTGCCTGACTCTGGGTCTTTATACAAGCATTTCTGCATTCCCTCACTGTTCTGGGCTACACTGTGTCCCCTGCAAAATTTGTAAGTTGAAGTCCTAACCCGCAGTACCTCAGAATGTGACTGTATTTAGAGAGAGGGTCTTAGAGGAAAGTTAAAATGAGGTCATTAGGGTAAGCCCTAATCTGATTTGACTGATGTCCTTATAAGAAGAAGAAATTTGAACACAGCCACATACAGGGGGAAGACAATGTAAAGACACAGGATGAAGGTGGCCATCTACAAGCCATGGAGAGATGCCTGGAACAGATTCTTCCTTCAGGACCCTCAAAACGAACCAATCCTGCTGACACCTTGACCTCAAACTCCCAGCCTCCAGAGCTGTGAGAAAATAAATTTTCATTGTTTTAGCCACTCAGTCTGCAGTACTTTGTTATAGCAACCCACACAAATAATACACTTACCTCTTTAATGACGGACCAATTCAATGGTTGCTTTCTCTGTTAAATTATTTTCCTAACTCTCTTGCCCAGGTTTAATTGCCTTCTTTTATCTTTCTCATGGTATTTTGTTTATACTTCTATTGGGAATTTGATCTCAGTGTAGTAATTATGTGTTTAAGAGTCAGTCTATCTACCCTACCAGGCTAGAGTTTTTTGAAGATTTATTTTATCTTTGCATCTCAAGCTGTCTAGATTAGTCTCCTGACACAATATAGGTCTCTATGCATTTTTGTTGCATAAATTCTCTGGAACTAGGCTGCTAACTCAGCTTTCTCTTCCTCATGGCTTCCTATCGTCCTTTTTAAAAGAAAAAAGTTTAGTTGTTTTCCCCTATGGGAATTTATCCAAAGGAGATCTTTAAACAAGTACATAAAAATGGATGTAAAAGAAAGCTCTTCAGAGCATTGATCGTAATATCAAAAAATTGTAGTCAGCATAATTGTTGTTCAATAGAGATTAGTTAAATAAATTGTGGTATGTCTCACAGAGGAATATTGTGCAGTCAATAAAAATGATGGTGTGGATCTATATTTATTGACACTTGAAAAAAACCCACCACCTATTATTAAATGAAAAAAATAAGATACAGCACTGTTTGTATAGTGTACTATTTATACGCAGTTATATAGGGGTATAGCTGCAGATACCTACGCATATAGAAACATATGAAAGGGTGTTTACCAAAATGTTACAACAGTTAAGTAGGAGTGGTAAGATTTCAGATAATTTTTCCTTTTTCTCTATACATTCAAGAATTGTTTTAATTTTTAAGAGTAGGCATGCACTAATTTATAACCAGAATAAAATAGTAAATATTTTATTTTGAAGAAAATATAATTAAAAAGTGGAGAATAACTGGGCTGCACAATTCTGCTTGATCAGCCCCTTCCCACGAGCATGGGAAGAAGGCAATTCTCCTTTTGTTAATTAGGCCTCCTGAAAGCAGGTCAGCCCTGGGCCCAGGCCGCACGGATGGGTATCTGCAAGGCACCATCAGGTGCTGTCGAGCAGCTTCACCTACCTTGCTTGGTCTTATTCCCAAATGAATCCTTCAGTCAGCTTTTAAAACTGAAGTTTCTCCCTATTAGTTATTCCCTTTAGGTACTTCAATTAGGCAGCTGTTAAAATGCATGGGCAAAAGCAAAAACACAAACTATTTTTGTTAGGGACATGGTAACTCCAATTAATTCCCCAGCAAAAGGCTAGATTGTTTAATTCTGATATGGGAAAGGAAAGAAGGAAAAATGAGCAGGACCTGGTGACAGGGTTGGGGGAAATTCAGCATAAACAAACTCGGTCACTGGGGAAAGTAGAGAAAGGGCAATATATTAGTCAGGGTTCTCCAGAGAAACAAAATCAATAGGCTATATAGAGACATATGAGGAGGAGATTCATTATAGAAATTAGCTCACATGGTTGTGGAGGCCAGGAAGTTCCACCGTCTGCCATCTGAAAGCTGGAGAACCAGAAAAGTCAGTCGTGAAATTCAATCTGAGTCCAAAGGCCTGAGAACCAAGAGTGCTGCTGATATCTGACAGCAGGAGAAGATGGATGTCCCAGCTCAGGAAGAGAGAGAGAATGTGCCCTTCCTCTTCCTTTCTGTTCTATCCAGGCCCTCCCTGGGTTGAATGATACCTGCACACATTGGTAAGGTCCTGCCCACACTGGGATGATGCCTGACCTCAATGGACTGTATGATCTTCTCTACTCAGTCTACCCATTCAAATGCTAATCTCTTCCAGATATACCCTCACAGGCACACCCAGAAATAATATTTTACCAGCTACATGGGCATCCCTTAGCCCAGTCAAGTTAACACATAAAATTAGTCATCACAGGCAACAAACAAAAGGAGTGGCTAGGGAGAAAAAGCCTAGCTATTTTGTAAATGTGCTAGGGCAGACCGGTTATAGTAGGTAACTAGTCAGATATGAACAGAGCAGGGGAGGGCTCCCCTGCCACACACACACACGCCAGGAATCTCAAGCAACCATCAGGTGATGGTCAGGTGGCTAACTGTCTTTCTAAAATAATAATTGGTCACAGCCTGCACCAGGGAAACGCAGTCTCCCAATAGATAGAAAAGAACTGAAATGTGATCTGCAGCTTCCAGATAAGATTTCAGGAGTTGGGAGAGTGGGCTCAAGCATGCACATTAAGAGGCAAAATGGCAGAGGTTAACTGGTATATGACCTCCTAGGGGCATTCAACTGGTAAGGGAAGAACACCTCAAGCAAGCATGTGTACAACTCCAGTAAACACACTGTGCATGCTCCCCTCCCAAGTGCTAGCAGGCCACTGTGCATGCGGACAGCCCACCCCAAGGGAAGAATCAGGGGAGAAGTAATACAAGACCCCAGAAGCAGGCCACCATATAAAACCCCAAGTCAAAGGTCAAACAGGGCATTTGATATCTCAAGTCACCGGCTAGGCCCTCTTCCAAGTGTACTTTACTTCCTTACATTCCTGCTCTAAACTTTTTAATAAACTTTCACTGCTGCTCTAAAACTTGCCTTGGTCTCTCCTTCTGCCTTATGCCCCTCAGCTGAATTCTTTCTTCTGAGGAGGCAAGAATTGAAGTTGCTGCAGACCCATGCAGATACAGGTCCACTGCAGACCTGCAGTTCCTTTGTGGGACACAAATAACTGAAAAGTGTCTTTTACCCCCAAAAAGAGAGATTAAAGACACAAGGAGAAAGAGAAAGGGAGAGCTTGATTCTCCATCAATGTACATTTTACTTCTTCGGGGCCACATCTGCACACATGGATGATGATTATCAGTTGCAGTCACTTATGTGACAAAATAATATTATGAGATATATATTTCTTGCCAAATCCCTTTGGCAGATTATATTTTCCAAAGATGGCCACACCAATATACACTATTTCATATGCTCACAAAGTGACATGACCAAAACTCCCCATCCAGACACAGGGTTAATATTCCCTCCCCTTGAACACACCAGTGGATCTTTGCAATTGCCTTAACTGACAAAAGAATGTTGGGTGATTGATGGGGTCTCTCATAAAGGGCAATATGGCTTCCATCTGGTTCTCTCTCTCTGTCTCTTTTCTCTCTTTCTTCCCCCTCTCTCTTCTCTCTCTCTCCTCTCTCTGTTAATTTTTCTCTTGGAACTCAGCCATCATGTTGTGGAGAAGCCCACAGCACATAGATGGAGTGGCCATGTGAGAATCTTTCAGCTGACCGCCTGGCTAGGCCCCCAGCCAACAGCAACCTCCAGAAACCACATTTCCAAGCTTTAAGATGATTCCAGCCCATCATCTTTGATGATTTCCAGCTGAGGCCCCAGATATGGTGGAGCAGAGATAACTTGTCTTCACTGTGCCTCATCTGAATGCCTGACCCACGGAAACAATGAGGCATAATAAATGAGTATTACTGCTTTGAGCAATCACTAACACAGAACCCTACCCCTTACCACTGCCCTCAGGTTAGGTTGTTGAAAGAAAAATGTGTCAACTATTTTTTGAGTTTCAAAGCAGTTCGATACTTATCTCTATGACAATGGCTTAAGGGAATTAGAGTTGCAGTCTAAAAATCCTAGCATTTGACTATCAAAAGACAAAGCCTTGAATAACTTAAAGGCATAATACTTATACCTAAACAACAAATTTGGAAGAAGGCAAGTGAATTTTCCATTCTAAGATGAAATTTAAAATAAAAAAAAATTTTTTGAAAAAAACCTTTTTCTTTCTGTAAAGAAGAGAGAGAGTGTCTGAGGAGTGGACCTGAGAAGCCTGGAATCCCAAACCAGGGGCTTTGTGGCAGGAACCCAGGTAACATAGACCAGAGGGGGTCCATGGGTATCAGCAAATGCCAACGGGCATCAATGACAAGTGTCAGGGATAAGGGAAATCAGACATTTCAGCAGATATTGCCAGCACTGGCAGATGATGACCTAGAACCAGACGGGTCTCCTCAACAATCCATAAGTTCCAGGGGGGACTGAAAACCAACCGTGATGAAGAAGGAAAGAGTGAAAAAATGGTATGAACATGATTCACCTGGAATTGATCACGTTAAATGATCTGCCATCAGCAAGAGGATGTTTGCAATACTGTTTAAATTTACTTATTAAAAAATTAAGTGACAACATTTATAGATCTGAGTTATGGCTTAAGGAATTTGTATTTTCTTCACCATTTTGATGCTTAGTTTCCCTGCGGAAGTGTAACCCCCAAGAGAGAAGGAGGTGAAAGGCCCAGAGTAGGCACTCAATAGGTGTGTGTTGAATGAGTAAATAAATGAATGAGCAATGAATTCTCAAGAGCTCTGTTTTGGAAATCAGAGGACCTGAATCATCTCAGCTCTGTCTCCAACAAGTCAAGTCACCTTTAACATGTCCCTAGCTCTCTCTGGGCCCAAGAGTCTTAAGCTATAATATTAAATGATCTCTAACTACACCTCCAACTTTAATATCCCACTGGACAATAAACTACTAAAGAACAGGGATCAGGACCCAATCATTTTTACAGCCGCAGAATCTAGCATAGTGCCTAGTAAATAGCAGGCCCTCAATAAATATTTGTTGAAGGAAAGAAATGAACCTTATACTATGTTTCCAAACCCTAACCAGGACAATGTGTAATTTGGGTTGCCTTTTCAAGTACATAAATGTTAAATGAAAACTATAGATAAATAACTAACCAAGAATATTATAATGTCATCTACACAGTACAGCAACATTTGCTAACTGCCCAGCATTTAAGGAGTAATGGCTCTCTCGCCCGCGAGTCTGACATGATGATTTGCTCCCACTTGCCTCCCTGTTATTCTGACTGACACCCTCTCTGAGCCGTCTTTTGGTGGGCAGCTATTGCCCCTGGTACACTTTTTATCAAAAGTCCATACGCTGTCATCTTTTATAATCCTCAGAACTTGAAGATTGTCCTTTACTTAAGTTTTGTGAGATGAAATTAGGTTTGAATAATAATCAGGATTGTGGATCTTCTTAAGCAAAGGCACTTTATGAGAAAATGCTATCTTATGATTCTTCCAGGCATAGAGTTTCAGAGTTGAAAGATTTCTCCATCCTAGGATTTTATCTTATTAATATTCTCCTTTGCAATTCAAGCACCGAGAACTGGAAAAAAATCTCTGATTGTCCTGCAGCAATGGCATTAAAGGCTCCTCATAACATACAGAACCAGAATTGTGCCATAATTTACTGAAATTGAACATTGCTCTGTGACTGCTAATTTTCCATCGAGATGATTCTGTCTCTAACCAAGAAAAGAAAAGGTAAAATCTTGATAGAAAAAAAATTTCTGATTATTGTGAAGACTCTCGGATGATTCAGGTTAAATATACCATTTTACCATTGTCCTAATTTTTACCACAAAGTTCTGCTGAAAATCTTTGTGACTAGAATGTTGTAATTGGCAGTTTCTCTTTTAATCTTCTACTTGGTAAACCCAGCTATAATTGTATAGTGATGATGCTTTCTGTTCTAAGAGAATGCTGTATCAGCGTATTCATTTTTAACCTTTATTTTCAATTATTTGCAGTTTGGGATTTAGTCTCCAAAGTTAATTTGGGAGAGTTCTTCTCTTATAATAAAGGAAGCTAATTTGCCCATTCTGCAGTTGCCAGACAAACTCATTTAAAAATATGAACACATGCATGTTATCCCTGAGTTTTGAAATATACTTTTTAAACTTCCCTAATATGTTAATCATTAATGCAAAGTATCTATTATATTTCCATATTCTGCTAATTGTAGTGTGCCTTAATGATGAGAACTAGACAACGAGACTACAGATCTTGTGGATAACGTGAGGTTTTTTGTTTGTCTTTTCCTAGCCATGTAGAATAGCTGCATATTTTTTCTCAAGAAAGCACCCACTAGCTCCATCAAATAAAATGTATAGTTGTTTACATCCCAATATTGGTAATTCCTGTAATTTTTAACAAGTGTTACAGTATACAGTCATGTCTACTGTGCAAGTCTGACCCATAAGATTGTCATATTGGTATGAATTAGATAAGCAACAATGGGCTATGATTTGAGCACCCCTCCTCCCTATGAATTCCACACTGCACAATATGAAATTCATGTACTACTCATTCCTTTGGCTTAATGAAATCTCTTTTAAAATGAAAACATATTAACTGACAGAATATATAGTCATGTCATGGCATGAGAACACTTAAGGATTAATTTAAGAATTTAGTTAATGAGCTAAATATCAAAGGCTTGGGCTTTAAACAATGAAACATAAGCCAAGCATCAAAATAGAAGTAAAGAACTACACTTTTTAGCAACCATCCCCAATAGTATTTTATACATGCCACTGTTAGCATTTATTTAGCATTCATTTACTTTTAGGTAATTATCTTTGCCCGGGTTCCCTAGAGACCAGAGCCTGAAGCAAAGATTAGAGTCCAAGGCTTTAGAGGAGGCAAAATCCCACTGTTGCAACAATGAAGGGAGAAGGAAAGTGAGGTGTAGGGAAGGAGGCAGACATAAACAAAGTGGTAATTTACTCAACTGGCTACATCTTCCTAGAAAACACAGTTGTTCAATCACTTGACCCCCACTTCCAGACAGCTCTGTGGTACCACTGCACCTCAGAATAGTCTGTGGTAGACAGGAAGGCATGATTTATTTACCTGCCAGCCTCCTCCACTCCTGTTTATCATTGATCAAAGGTCACCAAGTGTCAACTTCCAGAACCACTTCTGAGTTATGATAGTCAGGCCTTCCTGGAAGCTGCTGGAGAAACCAGATCCACAGCCAACAATGTGATGCTTCCTCTGAGAATCAGAAGTAGTGGGGAATTCACAGCTTCCCTGCCCACACCTGGAGCTCAATCAAGTCAGATCTGAACCAAGAAGCCCTGAGCTCCCCCACTTCAGCAGACAATACAGAGCCCATGCTGAAGCCCAGATAGTGGTGATAGGAGTCGGACTGTGGCTGCAGAGGGCAGGGCCTCCAGGGATCAACCATCCCAGGCCTGGCAGGCAGGTAGAGCTGAGCAAACCTGGAAAGGCACATTCTAGGGTCTGGGCCTGGGGCCAGGCAGGGTGGCATGTGCCTATAATCCCAGCACTTTGGGAGGCTGAGGTTGGAAGATCACTTGTGGCCAGGAGTTCAAGACCAGCCTAGATAACATAGTGAGACCCCTATCTCTAAAGAATAAAAATTAAAAAATTAAAAAGATCTGGTACCAAAAGTATTTATATGTCTGTTTTTCCAAACAGACTATGTGCTCCTTGTGGGCAAAAATCCTATCCTGTCATTTCTCTTTGTACCTCAGAAGTTAAGGGTAAATCATAGCATACATAGACTGAACTAAACCTACTTAAGATAAATTTGCAAAAATGCTCACTTGATCTGACCATTCAGTGCGCTAGAATGTTGACTATAATTGTCAAATGGGTTCATCCATCTCAATTGCTTACCTAAAGCACTTCTGGAATGGGATTATTTTATTTGAGTCATGATTTGAAAAAAAAAAAAATCAGCAAGACTCCCAGTATTCTGTAGTAGTTAAGGGAAGACAAGTTCTGGACTCAAATAGACTTAGTGAAGTATTGTGTATCTTCAAACAAGTTACCTTGCTAGATTTTAGGCTTCTTTTCTGAAAAATGGGGAAGTAATATCTGTTTTATTGCACTATTGGGACATGTATTGGATTGTGGTATGTCAACTTGATTAGGCTGAGATCTATGTTTTTCAGACACCTATTTCCTATATGATTCAATATAGGATTGGCCAAAAAAAGAATCTGCATAAAATTTGGGAGGCAGAAATGAAGCAGTTGAGAGGGGAAGGGCAGTCAGATAATGGTGATGGAGTGACAGAGTCTGCAGGATCCCAGCTGACACTGACTTTCCTCCGCTCCATTTCTAGTTTGTCTTCCTGACTGCTGACACTGCTGACCAAGCCCACCACCAGATGCCTGGCTGCACACCCAGAGGGCAGCCGCTTCCCGTGGTCCTCTCGAAGAACTTCCCTTTTGCAATGCATGTTTAGCAAGTGGATGAGTTTGTCTTTTCTGATTTCTCTGCAAGCTCTGCATTGCCCACCTGAACCAGTGCTTCAGAAGAACTAATGGGATCTCTGACCCTCCAACATCCTCTTCCAGACTTTCACTTTCCTGGCTCCTTGCAGGGACATGTAATAAACGTGCTCTCCAGAGAAAGCCTGATTTGTAGCCTTTACTGATTTTGTGGTATAAATACTCCCTGCTTTCAAGCTCACCAACATTAAATCCCTGAACACAGAGTTAGGAAAAAAAGGCCCATGAGTGTTAGTAACCCATGCAAGCCAGCTCCAGTGTACCGCTTAATAAACCCCTCCACCCAAACCAGTCACAATGTCTGTTTCCCCAGCTGAACTCTGACTCGTGGAGGGGGATTAGGAAATGGCAGGTATCATGCACAATAGTTGCTGGCACACAGTAAGTGCACAACAAATTAAAGTTATCATGTCACAGAAACCAATCCTCATGTTGTGTTTAGATTTGAATCTGCTAAAGATGTGTTTATTTGCAACCTGCAAAGAAAAAAAAGTCCAGAAATAGCAGGATTTTCCAACTAATGTGAGAACTATTTTTATATAGCAGGGTTGTTACCTTCTTTACAAATTAAGTAAACAAATTCCATGTTCTACAAAACAAACATGCTTTAAGTAAATAATGGAATGTTTTGTACATGTGGCAGTAGAAGGTTACAGTCTATGAATATTAAACAGCAATACTGTAGTTAACATTAAATGAATATCTCCACAAAAAAAAATTATAGCTACTGAGTCTGTCCAGAAGCTTCCAGCTCTTTTCCAATAAACTTAATAACAGACAAAGTCTGTGTAAATTTAAATTTAGATACTGCCATTCCCCCTCCTGTCTGTTCTCTTAACTGTGCACTTTCAGGCTCTGTTGCTGTGGCCACAGAATATAAATATCCTTATCTCATCAACAAAGCACTTTCAAAATTCAAAGCACTTGACATACAGAATTCCTTTTCTTCCTGGGCTTGTCAAACACCATTATGCCATTATGACTTAGAATTGCTTTTAATTTTAGACAAGGGTTTTAGGTTTATAATTTTTGTTTCCCCTGCTGAGAGTGACTAAATTCATTCTTATTTTGGAATTGACTGCATATAGACTATTAAACAGTTCACTTAGGCATGAAAACATACAGTAAAATACTCATTCTTCCTCACCTCTGAATTGGCGAAACTTTTACCCAGGTGTTACTAAAAGAAATGTTCCTTTACCTGAAAGTGATACGGAGAATGGAATCAAGTTGGAAAACACTCTGCAGGATATTATCCAGGAGAACTTCCCCAATCTAGCAAGGCAGGCCAACATTCAGATTCAGGAAATACAGAGAACGCCACAGAGATACTCCTCGAGAAGAGCAACTCCAAGACACATAATTGTCAGATTCACCAAAGTTGAAATGAAGGAAAAAATGTTAAGGGCAGCCAGAGAGAAAGGTCGGGTTACCCTCAAAGGGAAGCCCATCAGACTAACAGCGGATCTCTCGGCAGAAACCCTACAAGCCAGAAGAGAGTGGGGGCCAATATTCAACATTCTTAAAGAAAAGAATTTTCAACCCAGAATTTCATATCCAGCCAAACTAAGCTTCATAAGTGAAGGAGAAATAAAATACTTTACAGACAAGCAAATGCTGACCGATTTTGTCACCACCAGGCCTGCCCTAAAAGAGCTCCTGAAGGAAGCACTAAACGTGGAAAGGAACAACCGGTACCAGCCGCTGCAAAATCATGCCAAAATGTAAAGACCATCGAGACTAGGAAGAAACCGCATCAACTAATGAGCAAAATCACCAGCTAACATCATAATGACAGGATCAAATTCACACATAACAATATTAACTTTAAATGTAAATGGGCTAAATTCTCCAATTAAAAGACACAGACTGGCAAGTTGGATAAAGAGTCAAGACCCATCAGTGTGCTGTATTCAAGAAACCCATCTCACGTGCAGAGACACACATAGGCTCAAAATAAAAGGATGGAGGAAGATCTACCAAGCAAATGGAAAACAAAAAAAGGCAGGGGTTGCAATCCTAGTCTCTGATAAAACAGACTTTAAACCAACAAAGATCAAAAGAGACAAAGAAGGCCATTACATAACGGTAAAGGGATCAATTCAACAAGAGGAGCTAACTATCCTAAATATAGATGCACCCAATACAGGAGCACCCAGATTCATAAAGCAAGTCCTGAGTGACCTACAAAGAGACTTAGACTCCCACACATTAATAATGGGAGACTTTAACACCCCACTGTCAACATTAGACAGATCAACGAGACAGAAAGTCAACAAGGATACCCAGGAATTGAACTCAGCTCTGCACCAAGCGGACCTAATAGACATCTACAGAACTCTCCACCCCAAATCAACAGAATATACATTTTTTTCAGCACCACACCACACCTATTCCAAAATTGACCACATACTTGGAAGTAAAGCTCTCCTCAGCAAATGTAAAAGAACAGAAATTATAACAAACTATCTCTCAGACCACAGTGCAATCAAACTAGAACTCAGGATTAAGAATCTCACTCAAAGCCGCTCAACTACATGGAAACTGAACAACCTGCTCCTGAATGACTACTGGGTACATAACGAAATGAAGGCAGAAATAAAGATGTTCTTTGAAACCAACGAGAACAAAGACACAACATACCTGAATCTCTGGGACACATTCAAAGCAGTGTGTAGAGGGAAATTTATAGCACTAAATGCCCACAAGAGAAAGCAGGAAAGATCCAAAATTGACACCCTAACATCACAATTAAAAGAACTAGAAAAGCAAGAGCAAACACATTCAAAAGCTAGCAGAAGGCAAGAAATAACTAAAATCAGAGCAGAACTGAAGGAAATAGAGACACAAAAAACCCTTCAAAAAATCAATGAATCCAGGAGCTGGTTTTTTGAAAGGATCAACAAAATTGATAGACCGCTAGCAAGACTAATAAAGAAAAAAAGAGAGAAGAATCAAATAGACACAATAAAAAATGATAAAGGGGATATCACCACCGATCCCACAGAAATACAAACTACCATCAGAGAATACTACAAACACCTCTACGCAAATAAACTAGAAAATCTAGAAGAAATGGATACATTCCTCGACACATACACTCTCCCAAGACTAAACCAGGAAGAAGTTGAATCTCTGAATAGACCAATAACAGGAGCTGAAATTGTGGCAATAATCAATAGTTTACCAACCAAAAAGAGTCCAGGACCAGATGGATTCACAGCCGAATTCTACCAGAGGTACAAGGAGGAGCTGGTACCATTCCTTCTGAAACTATTCCAATCAATAGAAAAAGAGGGAATCCTCCCTAACTCATTTTATGAGGCCAGCATCATTCTGATACCAAAGCCAGGCAGAGACACAACAAAAAAAGAGAATTTTAGACCAATATCCTTGATGAACATTGATGCAAAAATCCTCAATAAAATGCTGGCAAACCGAATCCAGCAGCACATCAAAAAGCTTATCCACCATGATCAAGTGGGCTTCATCCCTGGGATGCAAGGCTGGTTCAATATACGCAAATCAATAAATGTAATCCAGCATATAAACAGAGCCAAAGACAAAAACCACATGATTATCTCAATAGATGCAGAAAAGGCCTTTGACAAAATTCAAAACCCTTCATGCTAAAAACTCTCAATAAATTAGGTATTAATGGGACGTATTTCAAAATAATAAGAGCTATCTATGACAAACCCACAGCCAATATCATACTGAATGGGCAAAAACTGGAAGCATTCCCTTTGAAAACTGGCACAAGACAGGGATGCCCTCTCTCACCGCTCCTATTCAACATAGTGTTGGAAGTTCTGGCCAGGGCAATCAGGCAGGAGAAGGAAATAAAGGGTATTCAATTAGGAAAAGAGGAAGTCAAATTGTCCCTGTTTGCAGACGACATGATTGTTTATCTAGAAAACCCCATCGTCTCAGCCCAAAATCTCCTTAAGCTGATAAGCAACTTCAGCAAAGTCTCAGGATACAAAATCAATGTACAAAAATCACAAGCATTCCTATACACCAACAACAGACAAACAGAGAGGCAAATCATGAGTGAACTCCCATTCACAATTGCTTCAAAGAGAATAAAATACCTAGGAATCCAACTTACCAGGGATGTGAAGGACCTCTTCAAGGAGAACTACAAACCACTGCTCAAGGAAATAAAAGAGGATACAAACAAATGGAAGAACATTCCATGCTCATGGGTAGGAAGAATCAATATCGTGAAAATGGCCATACTGCCTAAGGTAATTTACAGATTCAATGCCATCCCCATCAAGCTACCAATGACTTTCTTCACAGAATTGGAAAAAACTACTTTAAAGTTCATATAGAACCAAAAAAGAGCCCGCATCGCCAAGTCAATCCTAAGCCAAAAGAACAAAGCTGGAGGAATCACACTACCTGACTTCAAACTATACTACAAGGCTACAGTAACCAAAACAGCATGGTACTGGTACCAAAACAGAGATATAGATCAATGGAACAGAACAGAGCCCTCAGAAATAACGCCGCTTACCTACAACTATCTGATCTTTGACAAACCTGAGAAAAACAAGCAATGGGGAAAGGATTCCCTATTTAATAAATGGTGCTGGGAAAACTGGCTAGCCATATGTAGAAAGCTGAAACTGGATCCCTTCCTTACACCTTATACAAAAATCAATTCAAGATGGATTAAAGATTTAAACGTTAGACCTAAAACCATAAAAACCCTAGAAGAAAACCTAGGCACTACCATTCAGGACATAGGCATGGGCAAGGACTTCATGTCCAAAACACCAAAAGCAATGGCAACAAAAGCCAAAATTGACAAATGGGATCTAATTAAACTAAAGAGCTTCTGCACAGCAAAAGAAACTACCATCAGAGTGAACAGGCAGCCTACAACATGGGAGAAAATATTCGCAACCTACTCATCTGACAAAGGGCTAATATCCAGAATCTACAATGAACTCAAACAAATTTACAAGAAAAAAACAAACAACCCCATCAAAAAGTGGGCGAAGGACATGAACAGACACTTCTCAAAAGAAGACATTGATGCAGCCAAAAAACACATGAAAAAATGCTCATCATCACTGGCCATCAGAGAAATGCAAATCAAAACCACAATGAGATATCATCTCACACCAGTTAGAATGGCGATCATTAAAAAGTCAGGAAACAACAGGTGCTGGAGAGGATGTGGAGAAATAGGAACACTTTTACACTGTTGGTGGGACTGTAAACTCGTTCAACCATTGTGGAAGTCAGTGTGGCGATTCCTCAGGGATCTAGAACTAGAAATACCATTTGACCCAGCCATCCCATTACTGGGTATATACCCAAATGACTATAAATCATGCTGCTATAAAGACACATGCACACGTATGTTTATTGCGGCATTATTCACAATAGCAAAGACTTGGAACCAACCCAAATGTCCAACAATGATAGACTGGATTAAGAAAATGTGGCACATATACACCATGGAATACTATGCAGCCATAAAAAATGATGAGTTCATGTCCTTTGTAGGGACATGGATGAAATTGGAAACCATCATTCTCAGTAAACTATCGCAAGAACAAAAAACCAAACACCGCATATTCTCACTCATAGGTGGGAATTGAACAGTGAGATCGCATGGACACAGGAAGGGGAATATCACACTCTGGGGACTGTGGTGGGGAGGGGGGAGGGGGGAGGGATAGCATTGGGAGATATACCTAATGCTAGATGACGAGTTAGTGGGTGCAGCGCACCAGCATGGCACATGTATACATATGTAACTAACCTGCACAATGTGCACATGTACCCTAAACCTTAAAGTATAATTAAAAAAAAAAACAAAAAAAAAAAACAAAAGAAATGTTCCTTTACAGATACCGTGCAAATTCTTTTTCTTTCTTTGTCCTGAATCTACTTTATTTGCTGATCTTCTTCTTTGCTTTACAAAATTCTACCTCTGATGCCACTGTGCTCTGCAAAGGATGCTTTCTTATATCAGGGCTTTCATTCAAATGATAGGGAATTTTTAGTTTCTCAGTCAACAACTGTTCAAAATTTATCTTTAAGTCATCAAACTTATTTCTGAGGAGATTTGGTTTCCTCTAAAGTGCACTCTCTCTACAAATAGTGGCTGCCTCTAATAGTCATTCAGAAGTGACTTTTCTTTCTTTGTTCTAATCTGTCTCTTTGAACTGCATTGTGACAATGGGAAGCATTTTATAAATGCTGGCTTGGATAGTAGGGGGCAGAGGAGGAAAACAACATCTAGGCTAACTATAACCTGAAAAAAATGTTAGCATTGTTCAGAATTCACTACATTTATGTTATTTCTTGTATAAACCTATCAAAAATGAAGAACGGGAAATCATCCCAGGCAAAAGAAATAGCATGTGTGAATGCCTGGAAATGAAAGAAAAAATACACAAGTTCAGCGCCAGGAAATTAGCCAAAGAGACATCTGTGGTAGTAGACTTCACAATTCAACAAAACACTGTGTTGTTTTCTGCCCCTGACCTTTGATTGGTGGAGTCTCATTGTAATCCCTAGCCTGAAAAAGGTTAAGCAGAAGGAATGGAGGAAGGCTCAGCAATGGAGTGAAGCTGAGGAATGAGGAAAGGGTGACATTGTTTTCTTTATACTTTGCAAAACAATGATACCAAAATGGCTGGCTCAAAATGGCTGCCTGACACTATACTGTTTAAATAGCTTTGTATATCACGCTAAGGCTTTGGACTTTGTCTGGCAGGAAATAGGAATTTACTGGATGATTTTTAGCATGGAGGTGATATGAGTAAATTTGATTTTGAGAGCAAAACAGGAGTCAAGTTTCCTTGCGGGCTACCGCCAAAACTCATGCCCAAAGTGGTATGGAAAAAAAGGGCAGGGCTTAATAAGAAATTGGATCGTCCTTGTAAGTCTTGGTGGCTGCTTATGAGGACTCAAAGGTGGTCCCTTGGTGTCTGAATTGGAATATGGGTGGATTTCCACTTCAAAGGGAGATCAGAAGGTAACGTGGGGAAGAATAAGATCATCCACCTAAATCATCCCTTCCTGTCTACCACAGACTATTCTCAAACTCAATATGTTGAGCTCAGCCTTCAACATATTGAGTTTGAGACGCCTATGGGTTAATCTCATAGACTCTCCACAAAGGCATTAGGATGATCAGGCCAACACCATTTTTCCTGGGTCTCTCTGGTCCTCTCTACCTGTGCCTCCTGAGGATCTCTGAAGGTCCCCTGTATTTCTGCCCATCCCTTAAAGAGTGTCACCTCCATATCCTCAGCCCTGTTCTTTACTCCCACTTCCTACTCTTCTCAAGGGATTCACCTCCACCCATGCAGAAATGACTCCCAGATCTATAGCTTCAGTTCTGATTTCTCCCCTGAGGTCCAGACCCTTACATCTAGCTGCTTGCAAAGCATCTTCCATCACCTATTTCTCAGGCACCTCATCTCCACACAACCAAAATTTAATGCGTCATCTCTCAATCCACACAGTCGCATCTGTTTCTCTTTCCATATTCTCTCCTTTCATCATGATCCAACCTTCTAAGTCAGAAACTTGGGTTGTAACCCTTTTCACTCCCTCCTCTCATGTCCAACATTAATTGGATGCCAAATCTTATTAATTCTGATTCCATTCCTCTCTCTACTTCACTTCTCTTCCCTCCCATGCCCCAGCCTTAGTGTAGTCACTCCTGTACTTTTCCACTAGCCTCCCACTGGGATGCTCTGGTTCTTTCCTGGCCCCTTCCCAAATTGTCTTCCTCTAGGTGGCCAGAAGGCTTTCTAAACTGAAAATCCGATCATGCCGCCATCATGCTTGAAACACTTTTATTAACCCTTATTCCCCAGAGGATAAATCACAAACTCCTAGGCAAGGCTCTGAGGTCTTTAACATTCAGGTTTTGCCCTCTCTCCAGCTTCATTTTATAACCCTCCCCACTTTGCTTCTCCTCCCTATATGCCTTGGTTTCTGTGCTCCACTCTGACTTTGTCCACTCAGGATTTATTCTACATGATTCATCAAGGACACCTTCTCTGATGTCTCCAGGCAGGACTTGGTGCTTCCTTCTTCAACCCCCTGCAGTACCTCATGTATTTCTCTATTGTTGCACTCCTCTCATTGGAAGACATGTCTATTTATTTTGTCCCCTCTCAGGCTATAATCCCATCCAGGGGAAGGACCATGCTCTTTTATCCAACATTTGGGATAGTGCTTGGAGCACAGCTATCCTTTAATAAATGTTCATTAAATCAATAAATGAACAGATAAATATAAAGAAGGCAAAGAAAGATTGACTGGTATACTCCTCTTGGAACCTGCCTGTGATTTCTCATTCTCTCTTCTTATGATACAACATTTACTTTCATTCGGAGCTTCCTGATGGCGAATGCAGAAAGAGAAACAATAAAGGGTATGGTGTCCCTGCTCTGAAAAGAGCAAAATTTTCACTTCTTTGACAAAGACAAACTTTATCCTGAATAAATTTTTAAAGGAATTCATCGCATGAGTTCTTGCACAAGGAACATTGAACAACATAATGGGCAGTATCTTTAAGCAGTTTTTACAGAAGCTACAAAAATATTCTTCACTTCACTGTTTCTACTATTAATGGACTTTTTTAAAAAAAGATAAAGACAATACTAAAACATGATTCATGAAAGAGTTTTTACTGGGAAAGGCTAAGCTAATGAGCACTACATTTAGATGTTTCTGGTGATCTGAATACAGCTTAGCACACATAGATGAGAAACTGCACACCTGTAAACTGCATTTTTCAAATATCAGTTGTCTTAGCCAGGCTTCGACAGGAGCTAAATGACAAGCCAAAATTGGATTCTCTGATGAGAGCCTAGAAAACTCCCACTCATTCAAGGGTAGCTATTTATAGCATGTAAACTCTTGCCAGACTGAAAGGAGAATTTGGCCCAGTGAATAAAAATATAGAAAATAAACGCTCAGAAATTGAAGGAGGAGGAGAGGTTCGGGATTGATTGTCCAACCACACCATTTGGCTTTATTGCACTGCATAGAGGCATTCAAAACAAAAAGTTAGCAGTCTAGGGGTTTATCACTGACCCGAATGCATACCAAGACAAGAAAATTTCTCTTTCAGTGGCTTTGTGTCAAAAAGTACTATTCACTTTTCCCCCCAGCCTCCATCTACAATGGCAAATATGAATTAATCAGGAATTAAGCCTCTAGAAATGGGACTTGGGGTGGGGGGGATAAATTGTCAAAGGAAGGGTAAGATATCTAAATAACTAACAATCCTTCAGAATGTTAAACACAATAGAAGATTTCATTTTAGCCATTGCCCTGCTTGCAAGTAGGAAGCAGAACAGCAGATAACAGTTCAAATCAGACAGGCATCAGGCCGAGCAGTGCAGCTGCAGACTTTATCAGCTCTAGTTCCATCAATGTACTAATAAAAAAATCTGAGCATGGCAATGTTGAAATTCAGTTGCAAGAATAATCATTGAAGGAATTATCAGAACCCAAGAAAGACTTTCACAATGATGAAAAAAAGAAGCAAAGTGTGTGTATACACACACACACACACACACACTATATATATATATATATATATATTTGCAATAATTATTTTCACATCTAAATCGGCCAACTATTGAGACCCCTGATACAAAGAAATAAAATACAAAGAAAATAAAAGAAACCCAACTTCTAAAATAAAGCTACTGGAAAAATATCAGCAAAGCAGTTTTCCAGAGCAAAGTAAGTGGATGTTGCTTCAGTATATTGATTGATATATAATCCAAACATACTGACTTATGTGTAATTAACAAAAGAGTTTAATTAATCTGCTGATTGAAAATGTCATCTATCTTATTCAAGTGAATTTTAACTCAAAGATAATATCACTACGAGTATTATGCACAAGTAATTTTATTTAATTAATCATAAAACTTGTTCTCACATATGCCTTTAGCTTCAATAAATCATAAAATAGATGACAAATTTTCTTTCTAGGAGAAAATTAAAGACAGCAATTTGAAGCACTTTATTTTATATTATTGCTTGGTGTGTTCTGAAATAAAAATTAAATGTTTCAAAAAATATCATCTTTCCTTTTCTCTCTGCTTACATAGTCATATAGGATGACAGTTCTTCTGTGAGCATTCCTGTATCTGTGAATAAAACCCTCTCAATTATTTTAAAAGAAAGTTGTGCTTTTTCAGAAATGAGGAATATCTGAGTTTGTTTTTCTGAAAACTTGGCAGAAAAATGAGAACCAGCTACTGAATAATCATTCAAATGACAAGTCTTCATTAGATTGAATTACTGAGATGAAACTATTTTAGTAATTGTCATTCTTCTCTCATCCCATATAGCAAACTAAAATGAGCAAAATACACTTTGAGTGTAGAAAGCAGATCCCCCGAAACCAATTAATGTTCCCAAGCTAGTAGGATGCTAATTAGCAATTATTTCTGCCCAGTGATGCCCAGGCATCCTGGATTGCTAAATTTTCCCCTTGTCTAGGTGAGTATTTTATTTCCTAAACCACCAGAGTACACTCATTGAATAGCGATAGCTTTTTTCTGAGGTATTTTATAGTATATGTGCCTTTACTACACCAAGTGTCCTCTTTCGTCATCCCTGAGAAAGATAAATTGTGTGCAGATAAGGAAAAGCCAAAACAGATATAGGCTTAAGACAGAGACTTTCAATAAATGGCACTACGTTATAATCGAACAGTCTGAGAAGGGCGAAAAGCAGTACGAAAAGCTGGGTGGAAAGGAGAGGCAGTGTTTAGGCAGAGATGAAGGTAGAGATGTGAGGAAGAAAAGGGCAGAGAAAATGGAACAGAATTACTGTTTTCCTGCCTCCCTCTTCCTACCAGTGTGAATCAATTTGCAGTTTATACAGTGAGACATAATTAAATCAAAACTCACTTCCAGGAGCCCCAAAGTCACTCCTTGATCCTGTTGTCTTTAGTAATCAAAAAGCAAAGAGACCATCGGTGGTTGGAGGAAAGGCAAATCCAATTTTAAGGAAATTCTAGTACATTTTCAGGAGTATGGATTGTGACCTTAATTCCCATTTACTCTTAGCACAATTTTTCCTAAAGTAAGTACATAATCCAATGACGCTTTTTCTCCTCCAAAGTTTAAAATATATGACAGTGTAAAATATCTTTTTTATTCATAGGCAGCAAAGTCAAATAAATTGATACATGAAAGTTCTAGCAGGTTCACTGGTAAACAATGGTCTCATGGCCAGCACATTTTTCTAGTGAAGATTACATAATTTTTACTTGAATTGAATTACAATTAACAAGTACTTATTGAGCACCCTTTATATCCAAGGTAGCATGCTTTGAGTTATGGGGAAGTCAGATATAAAATAGTCTCAGCCTTCAAAAATTTTAGAATAACGAGAATGGAGAGTACAGAAAGACAAGTAGACACATTAACAAATGACTCCAGTGAAGGCAAAATAAGGGAGGGCCCATAAAAAGATACAAACAAAATGAGATAAGGTGTTAAGGAGGGAGAGATGATACCTGGTTTCTTTGGAAGGATTCATTCATTCATTCATTAAAAAATCAACTCATAGGCTCTGCTCATGGGCTATATCTGGTGCCAGAGCCAGTACACAGGGGTGAACAAAACAAGAAAAAGGAAATAATAATAAAGTAGCAGTTTGAATGAACAGTATTTTTTTGTTTCAATGGCTTATTACATATCTTCTTCCACATGCACACTAATAGTGGACATTGTTGTACTTTATTTTTTAACAAACAGAAAGGAAAATGTTGTTCCGTTTTAGCTGGCATTTTCTGGATGACTAGTGAAATAAATAATTTTTTTTGCATTTCTTATATTTATTGTTCATTCATATTTCTACTAGGATTTGTCTTCTATATCTTTTGAAATTTTTTCTCTTTTCTATTTGTCTTTTTTTAACCATTTGTAGGGATTTATTTTATTCTAGATACTGATTATCATGTAAGCAGAAAATATCTTCTAGTTCATAGCTTGTTTTTAATCCTTGTTTATGGAATATCTTTTCTTAATGGAATCAAATTTATCTATCATTTACTTAATTAATTGTGCTTTTTCATCATTTTAAAGAATTCCTTATCTCAAGTTCACATTTTTCCTATTTTTTAAACATATTTTCCCTAGTAGTTTTAGAGTTTCATTTTTCACATTTTTGTCTGAAACTTGTGTATGGTGTGAAGTAAAAATCTACTTTCCATTTGTTTTACTTGCAGAAAGTAATTTGTTTCAACAGCATATATTTTAGAGGATATCTTTCCCCCCACTGATTTTGATGTCATTTCAGTAACAAGCCAAGTTCCATGCCTAAGTCAGTTTCTGGGGTCTCTATGCTATTCTACTGATTTACCTATAAATTTCTCTACCAGCCACATGTTGTTTGCAATGTAATAACTTTGTAGTAACTGCCTGGCAAAGTGGATACCCCCTTATTGTTCTTCTTTTTCTAAATTGTCTTGGCTTATCTTGCATCCTTTTTTATCCATATGAATTTTAAGAACACTTTGCAAGATACACAAAATATTCTACTGAGATTTTGATGGGGATTGGGAATGAGTTGCATTTATAAACAAACTTTGGGGAAATTTTTCATCTTTAATGTCCAGTCTTCCCATCCATGAATATTATATATCTCTAATTTATTCACATTTTCTTTTAAGTCCATCAGTAATATTTGATAATTTTCTCCATTAAGACCTTACACATTTTTATTATGGTTTTTTTCTTGGGTATGTTTCAGTTTTTAATGCTGTAAATGGCATTTTGTTCTATATTATTTTCATTTTATTACAGTTTGTCAATTTCTCCATGCAATTTTCAGTTTTGCTTTAATTTGGGGCAATATACTTAGGTTCATGTTCTTTGTGGATTGTTCCTTGTATTTGTATAAAATTTTTCTGTGTGTATTCCCTAAGTTTATTCATCTTAAATTCTATTTGGTCTGACATTTATATTGCTATGCTAGCTTTCTTTTTGGTTCATAATTGCCTGGTATATCTTTTTCCTCAGCTTAATTTTAATCTTTCCATATTCTTTTATTTCAGAGACATTTCTTCTAAACCATACATTCACACATTGGTAAATTGCCACTTGGGATTTTTGTTGTTGTTTGGTTGGTTATTTGTTTGTTTTTTAACCCCTAAGATTCTGCCTTTTAATAAGTGAGCTTAATCTCTGTTTTTGTTTTGATTGCTAAAATACCTGATGCAACAATTAGAATGTTTCAGCTTCGGGCAATAAACAATCTCAACTGATACCACTTTAACAATAAGGAAATGCATTATCTTCATAACCAGAAGTCCAGGGATAGGACGGGTTCCAGGTGCAACATGATCAATGACTCAGTGATGCCCTCAAGAACCTAGGAGTTTCCTCTTCTCTATTTTGCCTCTCTCAGCTTCACCCAAGGCTAGGTACCCTCATGGCTGCAAGGAGGCTGGTAGAGCCAAAGGAGCTACATGCATCTAGCAGGAGGAAGAAAAAAACCTCTCCCTTAACCAGGCAGGATAAATTGTTCCCTTCAGTCGAATTAGACCAATTTAGGACACATTTATCTCCCTCCTTCTCCTCCTCCCCACACAGCAGAATCTCCAGGACTATGTCATTGTCTGCTTGGCCTGGATTCATCATACACGATAGAACCAATGTCAGTATGTAGAGTCGGCCTCATTGTTCACACTGTTAGAACTCATTTCTGCCGTTATAGCTGGTGTTTTCTATTTGCTATGCTTCATTTATTCCCTTCTCCTGGTTTCTGTTAATCAATCACATTTTCTTCATATTCTTTATTTTCCTTCACCCATTTAAAGTTAAAGGGTCTGTATTTGTTTCTTCAACAATAATACCTAATTTTTCATATATATGTATATATGTGTATACACACACATACACACAAACACACACACATATATACATATATATACATATATATGTGTGTGTGTATATATATATATATATATATATATATAGAGAGAGAGAGAGAGAGAGAGAGAGAGAGAGAGAGAAATTTGAGTATTTTCTCTCAGAGGGTCAGTTAGTACATATAACTGTCTTTCTTCCAAACTAAATTAGGACTTCTGCATAAACTCTCCTCAGAAATCCCTCAACTAACTCTTCTGTTATTGTGCTATGGTGGGTTTTTTGTTTGTTTGTTTGTTTTGATATTTTGATTTCTTCCTGTTTGAAGCATATTATGAGCAATATTGCTACTATTCTCATTGATTTTAATGTCTGTTTAGATTTACCACCATTTATTCCCTTTGCTTCTTGCATCTCACTTCTTCCTTCAGAATACTTTTTTATTCAAACTAAAGTTTATCATTTAGTAATTGTTTTGATGACAGCAATCCATTAATATTACTATGAGCAGTAAATTTTCTACGTTCTAGTAGGCCTAAAATATTTTTATCTTACCTTCATTCTTCTATTTAATGTTTCAAATCAGTAAAACAAGCACATGATACATTTCCAAGAAGTGCAAAACATCCTCAGTCTTAAATGTTAGGCTGATTCAGCTGGGTGTGGTGGCTCACACCTGTAATCCCAGCACTTTGGGAGGCTGAGGCGAGTGGATCACCTGAGGTCAGGAGTTTGAGACCAGCCTGGCCAACATGGTGAAACCCCCTCTCTACTAAAAATACAAAAATTAGCCAGGCATGGTGGCAGGTGCCTGTAATTTTAGCTACTCAGGAGGCTGAAGCAGGAGAATCACTTGAACCTGGGAGGTGGAGGTTGCAGTGAGCTGAGATCATGCCACTGCACTTCAGGCTGGGCGACCATCTCAAAAAAAAAGAAAAAGTGAATGAATTAATGAATAAATACATACAAACATACATACATACATAAGTGTTAGGTTGACTCATTATAAATTTCTAGCAATCCAAATATTTGCCCTGGTAACTTTGAAAATATACCCACTACCTTAGGACAACCATTGCTGCTGCAGAGAAGTATGCTGCCACTCCTACTGTGAGATTACAGTTACCCTCTTTATTTTTCTCTTTGTTGGCTTTTAGGATTTCTCATTATAACTGCTATTCTGCACTTGCACTATTAAGTGTCTAGATGTGGAATTCATGTATGTATCTATCTAGCTCTAATTTTTCTACTTCTTAGTCTTCCAATTGGCCAATTTTACAGTTGCTCTGCCAAAGCACTATGAGCTTAACCAGCCCCAGACCAGTTTTTAAGTTAGTTCATGGCCTCAGAGTTCTTGTGTCACACAGGCAGCACACATTTGGGCCCTAAACCTGTGCAAGGCAGTCCTGGAACTGAGGTGCAGTCCTGGAACTGAGGCACAGTCCTGGAACTGAGACCCAGCCATGGTAAGATTATTTCCAACCCTTGTCTGAGGCAGAAGCTTGCTTCAGGCTATAACCTCTGTCTAGTGGACAATGGTTTTTTTTTTCCTCCCTGTAAAAAAAGGGGGGAGAGGGGAAACACATTTCTAGCCCAAAGCCTCATACAAGGAATCCAGTTTCTGAGTCTACCCTGACCCAGAGCTTATAAATTTAACTTTGTCCCCACAGTAATGTTGAAAACATAGCTGCTAATGCCTGTGTTGACTTCAGGCCTCCCTTGAGCAAGTTGACTTTGTCTCCTACTCATTACTTTGGGTTCCCCTTTTGTTTTTAGCATTGGAGAACTCCCTTCTTGCTTTGAGGTGTGACTTTTTAAATTTTTTTAACTGTCTTGCCTAGCATTTCTATGAATTTAGGTTGGGAAGCATATTTCAGTGTGTTCAATCTACTCTCTTTTCCAGGAAATTCCTTAGTACTTATTACCAATGTTGGAAACCTCAGAATCACACAAGATTCCTCCCTGTCTCTCAATCAGTTACAAACTCTTATTTATTCTATTCCTCAAGCTCTTTCAATTTTATAGCCTCTTTTCTAAGTCACCTTTACGGCTGCCAAAGCCAGTTCCTTAGTTTAGGCTGTTAGCTTTCTGACCTGAAAGCTTTCTTTTTAGTAACAAATCCTGGAGTGTGCTTTAACAAGGAAGATAGCATTCCTGTCCATCTCCCAACTGTTTTCCTCGATCCCTTCCAGTCCAGTTTGTACGGTGACACTAAATTGAGATATCTCTTTGAAATATATTTTTCTCGTTATAAGAGTTTATTATTCAATAAATAGTGTTGGGACATTATTTAGGCTTTTGGGAAAAAAACTTAGTTTCCAAGATCACACTATGTGCAAAAACAAACTCTTTTATGTTCTAGAAACTATAAAAGCAATAAAAAATATATAATTTTGAAATTATTCTAGTCTAGGAAATTCTTTCTTAAGCAGGAGGCAATACCTAGAAATCATAAAAGAAACTGTCAGATTTACTTTATATAAATTTTAAATTTCCTAATAGTAAAAGTCAAAATAAAGTCAGAAGAAAAGTGTCATATTGAAAGAAATTATTAAGTATTAATTATTAAAATGACAGAGTATTTACCATTCAAATTATATAACAAACTTCTACAAGTTAATGAGATAAATATGAAAGTCTCAATTTTAAAAATAGAGAAGCGATAAGAACTGGCAATTTACAATAATAAATAAAAATAGGCAACGTTCACAGGAAAGATTCTCAACCTCATTTAAAATAAGGAAAAAGAATATTTTTAAAATTTAAGCCCAACAAATTCAAAGAAATTTAAAATATTGATAATTTCATTCTTTGAAAAACAAGTACAAGAGTACATAACTGAATCTATTTTAGAAGTCATTTTTGACTACATTTTCAAGATTTTAAATGCTATACTCTTTGATCAAAAAATATACTTCTAGAAATCTTAAAGAAATATTTGTGTATGGGCACAAAAATGTATAGACAAAATATCTTTGAAGTAATTCTTATAAAAACACTTTTATTTAAAGAGGGAGTGGCTAAAATAAACTGTTTCATCCATTCTATGGAATACTATGAAACCGTTATAAAGAATAAGATACCCGTATGTGAAAGGCTTCCAGAACATTGTTATTGTGAAAAATATCACCAAAGACAGACACAGCATGATTGTATTTGTGTTTTTTAATTAACAAATTTGAATCACAATGTGTGTATACAAATGTGTGTATATGTGTGTGTATATGCAAGCATGTATATGTGTGTGTCCGTGTATACATACCCACAGATGCATAGAAAGATCAATGAGGGACTGAACAATAAAGCATACCTATTGGGAGGGGATGTAAGTTGATGGGGAGAGTAATAAGAAAAGCTCAAAATTTCTCCATATATTTCTAAATTTTTTAATCTTTTTAATAAAAATATAATTACACAACATTTATATAACATTTTCAAAAACGAAAGTTGAATGACAATTTTGAACGCACCAAAAATGACAAGGAGAATTAATATCATTTACAATCCCATCGTGACCTTTCATAAATGAAAATCTCATCTCTGTGCAGTGATCAATGACTCCCCATTCCCTCCCAGATAAATGGCAAGTACTTTAGCCTGTAGTGCTTATATCCCTGTCTCCTTCCTAGCTTCATATCCTATTCTCCCCAAACTTGCAACCTAACATCTGACCAGGACTTGAAATATCCTGAATACACGTGCTATTTCTTCTGCCTGAAATACAATCTTCTACCTTTGTCTGGCTAGCATACTCTTGTTCGCCCTTTATTCCCCTTTCTGTTTCAACATGAAGGTATTTTTGTTAAGGCTTTTCTCTCACACTATTAGGTTATCTCCTCTGCAATGCCATCAACAGTTGAGAGAAGGGATGCCTCGGTGCCTGTTGCTCCTCACCTACCTTCCCAATCACTAGCAAGAGAACTGGCTCACAGTAGGCCACACGCCAAATGATGAATAGAGAAACACAAAAATATAAGGACTCAGCAGCAGCTGCAGCAGTGGAGACTCAGCTCAAAAAGCACTGCATTGGACTACCATGGAACTTGACTGGGTTTCATGGCTTTCTCAAGCAACACCTCACACCTGGACAGCAGAAGTGGGGAAAGGGAGAAAATGCACCAGGGAAGGTTGTCGACAAAGTGAGCAAAGGACAAGGATCACCATTCACTCTGCAATGGTGCTGAGCACATGGTTAAGCGGCGTTGCAGCTGGCCAGAGAGCCAGAGCTGAAGCAGAAGCCTGGGGGGCTGAGGTGGAGGTAGGCTTAAAGGCAAAATGTTTCAGAGTATTTTTTCCCAAAGTAAGCAAATCGGTATTTATTCAGGGGAGGAAAGTCTTCCATGATCAAATGTTTGGGAAACACTGAATAAAGATGGAGATAATTCTTATTAGTATGATATCTCAGAGACTTGAGTTTGGTAAAGTGTTCCATTAAGAATCTTCAAAAGCAGGGTGCTGTACCAGTTTTTACCAAATGTACTTGACATCATGTATTAGTTTGCTAGGACCACTGTAACAAAGCACCACAAACAGGGTGGTTTAAACAATAGAAATTTATTGTCTCCCAGCTTTGGAGGCTGGAAGACCAAGATCAAGGTGTCAGGAGGGTTGGTTCCTTCTGACTGTAAGGGAGAATCTGTTTTCCTGCCTTCCCCAGCTTCTGGGGGTTTGCTGGCAATCTTTGGCCTTCTTTGGCTTGTAGATTCCCCCGATCTCTGCCTCATGTCCATATGGTGTTCTCCCTGTGTGGGTGTCTATCTCCACATTTCCTTTATAATAAGGACACCACTTATACTGGATTAGGGGCCTTCTCTACTCCAGTATGACCTCATCTTAACTGGACTAATTGCACCTGCAACAACCCTATTTCCAAAGAAAATCACATTCTGACGTACTAGGCATTAGGATTTCAACATATGAATTTGGAAGGGACACATTTCAACCCAAAACACACAGTAACCGTTTGGCATAAAACATGTAGCAGAACTGGTATCCACTGAGCTCAGTTTTGGTAAGATCTGCCAAAATAGATTGTGTCACAAGGTTCAGCCAATTGAGAGCTAAAGATAGGGGCTCATTCACTGAGTCCCTAGAATGTACCAGGCAACCCAAGAAAGGTAATATTGTATGGAAATTTTACAAATGAGAAAACAGATTCTGATCATTCAACACACTAGCTAAAAGTGACCAGGCTGCGATTCAACTCAAGGTCTGTCTCACTACCAAATCACCTCTGTCTCTCCACTCCAACTCACTGCTTCCCAAAAGAATATAAGCGTCATTAAAACAAGATCCTTGTTGTGGAAATAATGGGGTTATTTTTCCACCCCTCACTAATGCCTAATCCATACTGAAAAGCGGATGAGATTTGAAACAAAGCAAAGCCAGTGAGGCTTTCTTCTCATCATGGAAATAAATCTGTTTAATACATATGAAGCACTCCTGGTTAAATGTTTACCTTTTGAACCCTACACTGAAGGAAATGGTTTCTTGAAGCTCTGGCTAATCTTTTAGCAAACTGTCAAACTAAAAACTTGGGTGCTTCTTGATGGGGATTTTAACTGCACTATTGATTATAGTGCAGCTAGAAACCATTTTCAGGCTTATCTTCATATGATTTAATTGACACTGAGACGTGTTTTAATTGAAACGTTAGACTTCCTCAGTAGAACTACCCTTTGTTTCTAGCAAGGCAATCTAGCTTTTATGTTTTTAATCGCCATCTGTTGTTCAATAAATGTCAAATCGTTCCTAATGGTCTCTCTAAGCATAGGGTTGTTTTTTTTTAATTTGCTTTTGTACTCAGTGTTCGTTATGGGCAAATGAGTCCTTGCCGTAAAAGACCGACATTTCTCATGGTGCTCCAGTCCCGTTAGAAGGAAAAAGTGATTAGAAATAAAGAGACAAGAGAAATGTTGCTGCTTTTTTTTTTAATTCTTCTCAGCAGTGGAGAGATTTAGAAAGTCTATAAAAATGTTTCCTCTCAGCAGTGCTAGTGATTTTAATCCTATTCAAAGCATTTCTTAAAAAATACAGAGACCTCCAAAAATCTTTGAGTCATTTGAATTGTCTCAAATGATAGAGACTAATATATAGCAGAGGGTTAGTAGAGAGAAATCCACTAGACACAGCCAAGTTCAAGATGTACCAAGGAGCTCTTGACTTTATAAGGCAACAGAGATAGCTTTTTAAGTCTGTGACTATTTTGTAGGAACAAAGCAAGACTGATGCAAGAACCCCATAATTCAAGTTCCGCCATGGACTCTGATCTGATTCACCTCACTCTCCAGAGGTGGAGGAAGAAGATGGACACTAACTTCAGACAATGCTTAGTAAAGGGAAGGAAGGAGAGGGCTTCCCCAGGGAGATACAGAAAATGATAGCAAGAGACACAAGAGTGTTTTGCTCTTCCTCATTAGTTTTCTGACACAAAACATTCTCCATGAAATGTCCTCTTCCAACATTAAGTAACCAAATGACACCAGCTCTCTGGAGCCCTGGAGAGCCCTATAGATGATTATGTGGCTCTTGGGAAACGGGAGGGGGTGTTTGTGGAGATTTGTGTGTATATTAGGTCACAATCAGCTTTCTAACCAAGAAGTATGCTTGATTGCATGGTTCAGGGTTTACAATATTCTTCAAGGGCTGGGAGAAGTATATTCTAAAAGGTAATTAGAATTGGTTGAAATACAGAGCTATAAATGGGTGACTGGCGAGATTTTACAAGAAACAGATCATAACTCAACATTCTAATGACTTTTTCTTTGGAGAAGGTCAGCAAAGCTATTAACAAGGGAAGTGGGCATGCAGAGTTCTCCATCCCAGACTGTGACTGAACTTTGAACAAATCCTTCATCAGAATTCTGACTCTAATTATCTGGACTGGCTGCCTTTCCTCAAAAGCAAACACGAAGAAGGACTAAATGGGCAGCTGGGCTTCCGATGGCCCTTCTGCACTTTTCTAGTTCTCTTTCCCCAAAGGAACAAGAATAAAGATGTGGATGAGTTCATTTTTTCAGGTACTATGGCCAAAAATCAGTGCCATGATGTAAAGCTTTGGGAAACCTAATGACTAGGAGTACGTAGGGATAGCCTCTCTGAAGTGAAAGACAAGTTTTGCAAAACAGTAAGTTGTTATAAACATTAAAGTCCCCCAGACCTGGGTAGAATTTCCCACACTAAGCAGGGAAGATAAGGCTTCATAACAGTTTCTCTATCAACCTGTCCCCAGCCTGAGACATGGGTGAACACACCAACATGGACCATAGGCCACAATGGAATTTAGAAGGAGGACTCAACCCCAGTGCTCCAAGTTGAGAACATGAGGCTGGATAACTTCCAAATAAGCCAGACTTCCCCGTTACCACCTTGTGTTCTTTGTGTTTACGTCAACTATACTGGTCATTAAGTTTAAACTATGGTCAGAGAATATGTTGATTTATTTCCCTACTCCTCATCCTTCAAACTCAAAATAGTGCCTGCAACCTCAACAAATATTTGTTAAATTTAAAAAATTGCAAACTAGGTGATTTCAGAGGAGCCTCAGAGCAGCTTTGAGCTCCTTTCAAATTATCCTGCTCTCCCCCCGAAACTTTGGGGGTTGGAGACAGAAGTCCTTTTGGACTTCTTTCTGCTTTTTCTAGGCAGCCAGCATCTCTCTATCCTTTTGTTCCTCTGGAATCTACTACTGACTCATGTGATTGATTTAGTTTGGATGTATGTCCTTGCCCAAATCTCATGTTGAAATGTAATCTCCAATGTTACAGGTAGGGCCTGGTGGCAGGTAAGTGGATTTCTCATAAATGGTTAAGCACCATCCTCTTGGTGCTGTCTTTGCAATAGTGAGTTCTCCTGAGATCTGACCATTTAAAAGTGTGTGGCACCTCCCCCTCTCTTGCTCCCACTTTTACCATATGAGTGCCGTAGCCACTCCCCCTTTGCCTTCCACCATGATTGTAAGCTTCCTGAGGCCGTTCCAGAAGCTGAGCAGATGCCAGCATCACGCTTCCTGTACAGCCTGCAGAACCGTGAGCCAATTAAATCTCTTTTCTTATAAATTACCCAGTCTCAGGTATTTCTTTCCAGCAATGCAAAAACGGACTAATATAGTGATCTTGACCCTAGGCTTCTCCCTCTGCAAACCAAAAGCCAAGATAACCACGAGAGTCAGTATCAACAAAATCATCCTTCCAGCTGCAGCACTTCTTCCCCATGCCACCAGGCACCCTCATCAAACTAAACGATTTGGACCCAGACTCTAGAATCAAAGTGTTGTCAAAAGTCAAAATTCCGAGGGACAAGAGAGAAATATGTCTCGGACCATCATATCTTCCTTACAGTATTATCACTCCCTTAATAATGCTTATTTCTATGATGTCCTGTCCTATATATGTCTTATAACTGCCCTATGTGTGATTTCTTATATCCTATGATTATATAAGTTCATCATTTCCTTTGTTTCCAACACTAGATCCTGTTAACATTCATGTTGGACTTAGCTTTTGTTGCTCTCAGCTTCCAAAGAAACTGGAGAATTAATAGGGGCCCCTAACTATGCTCCCTTATATCAGTAGTAGGCCCAGCCTTAGCCTTCAGATTCCCGGGCCCACTCATGTCCTGCCTCAGCTCGCCTGAGGTCGGGTTAGTTCCTGACACCCCTGGCTCTGGACATCATGCAGTCACGCTCTGGGGATGGTTCTGTGTAACCAAGGTAACAATACGTTGCCTTAATTACTATTCGAAGATGTTTGTTGTGACAGGACACCAGGACAGCTTTTCCAGCCCCCCGCTGTTAAGAATTCTAAAGGTTAAGGCCTCCAGTAAACTGTGATTAGGAAAAAATCAATGGAATAACTGCATAATCATCCACTATATTTAGTAGGCAAGTGATTTCCAGAGTAACCTGGCATCTCTGCCCCGCAGCCTTCTTCAACCCCTCAGGAAGTCTTCTGGCCAGAACACATGATGCGTTTCCAGCCTAGCACCTGGAGCAGGGCCACAGGCCCCGAACATCTCAGCATCTCACCTAATAAAAAGGAGTCCAACTCCAAAAGAAAAAGAAAGAAAACAACTTACAGTAAAATGGTTGGGTAAGGTAGTGCTGGTTCATAAAACAAAACTGTTATACAAAATTCCAGCCAGTTTTTCTTCCCTTAGGTTCATGCAAGATACAGCCCCATTTCTTAGATTGCTGAAGATCTGGTGGTGAGTGGTCAGTCATGTCTTCCACATACTATGGGCTCTTTTTTCTGTGGCTTTTCTGCCTTTCAAGAAATTCCTTTCTCTTCCTTCCAATGCTGGTTTGCTCTTCTTCCTCTCAAAAAAAAAAAAAAAATAGCTGCTTTTCAGAAAGTCTGTCATGTACACCTCAGTGTGTCATGAAATTCACTTATGGGAGGAGAGAAAAGATGATTTATTGAGTACTTACCATGTGCCAGGAACTGTTCTAGGTGTGCCACATAGATTAATCGATTGAAGTCTCACAACCACCGAATGAGATACTTTGCTATTATCTAATTTCCATTTTACAGATGAGAAACTGAGGCACAGAAAAACTAAAAATCTTGCCCAGAGTCACACAACTAATAAGTGGCTGAGCTGACTGCAAAATTCATACTCTCAACCTCTAAACTATTCTACCTTTCAAACACTTTTCACCACCAGCAGCCCTCATTTATTAGGAAAGATTGGAGTAGAATGTTAAATCTGGCCCCTTAGAAGCACCTTTCAATCCTGCCTGTGCTCTAGCTATGCCTGTTTGTAACCAGTGGATTACAGGCACCCAGAAGAGAAGAATGGAGGTAGAATAGGACCAAGCTCGTTTTCTGAATTATAAAGGGAAACTGTGACAGCTGCCTACTGGGACTTTCAACCCACTTTTCTCTGCCCCCAGGATTTCATCACCATAGAGGGGGCAGGGCTCCAAGACTCCCTGTTTTCCACCAGACCCTCACACACTGGGTGTCTGGGTGAGATTTTGATTTAACATAGAGATTCCAGCTCAAAAAGGTCTGGAAACCACTGGGGATGGAGCAATCACCCAGGTGTCAGCTTCCTTAATCGCTAAGCCCTTCTCATTGCTGATTTACACAGTTCTGTACTCCCTAGAGAGGCAAGGCAGGCGGGTGTGGACCCAGGGCACATTCTGGAGTCTGTCTACCCATTATCACCTCTGCGACTGTCAGCTGCCCTCGCCAGAAGCAGAGAGAGAGCTCCTAAGTGAAGGGGACACAGTAGGGAGGACCGTGACTTTAACTTCAGCCCAGATAGGCAAGCCTAAAAAATGTCTAAGGGTAAATGAAAATCAGATGACTTTGTGTGATCCCTTCCAGCAAGTGCAACGCATTTGGATATTCATTTCTTCA
This sequence comes from Homo sapiens, assembly GCF_000001405.40. NCBI lineage: Eukaryota > Metazoa > Chordata > Mammalia > Primates > Hominidae > Homo > Homo sapiens. The sequence goes on along the minus strand of NC_000013.11, from coordinate 53,075,272 downwards.
CCTGTCTTCAAAATTCCTTAATTTAGTTACACAGTTTTCCCCTATGGTCTTCCTGCTATTTCTCACCTGCCTGTCTAAGCCCCGTGAAATGTTTAAGACTACCCATAAACAGGTGTGTGTGCATGCAGGAGAGATTTCACCCAGGCTAGTTGGCTTGTCTTCCCTGAGTACCTCTCTCAGCAGGGCTTCTGTGGATCAGAGAACCGATGCCCTGTTCCCAACATGCATCCGAACTTACAAATCGTATTCAGGGCACTCTCAGCTTTACGGGCTCTGGGGAGGCAACAGGGCAGAGGCCCAGGGGGAATCCTGGAGCCAGAATGAGGGGCTGAGTTCACGTCCCAGTTTTGTCACTTACAAAGCTGTGGGACTTCGGGAGACTTCCTAATGGAAACTCTTTGTCCCAGATTAATCATCTGTAAAATGGGGATAATAATCGTGCCTAGTGGTGGGGTTGTTGTTCCATGCATTAAATGCTGGCACGTGGCAAGAGTTCCATAAGCATCAGCTATATATAGCTGCGGCAGCACTTCCCAGCCCCATTGGGCCCTACCATGTTGGCCCTTCCCGCTCCAGTTAAGAGCGTCCTGGCTGCTGTCGCTGCAGAGTACAGATGCCCACAGCTAAACAGGAAGATTAGCGCCATCCTTGTTGGAGACAATCAGAAGTTACAAGGTTCCTGGGGGAGGCTGGCACTTGATTAGGCTTTCTTCCTGGTGTAACTTAAAATTGAAAAGGCTGCCTGAAGCATCTTGTGATTGGAACAAATATTCTTCATTCATTCACCCCGTATTTATTGAGCACATCTTAAAAATAATAGCCAACACTGCATAAACACTCCTGTGTAAACGCTGTGCTAAGTGATTTCCATCTACTCACAACAGCTAATGTTCTTTTCATTTTGCATTTGAGGCTCAGAGAGATAAGGGAACATGCCTCAGGCCACACAGTACATGGCAGAGCTAACATTCCACAGGGTGGTCTGTGCTTTCTCTCTCCTCTTCCCTGTCCCCTCTCTATCTGCGAAATGGGAGGCTGCAAATCCTACCTCCTTTCTTGCTAGCTCATGGAAAAGTCCTCAGGCGTCTGTCTACACACTAATACCAGACGGGAACAATGCTGGAGTAAGCATTGCTATTTAGCCACACAAAATCCAGGCTTCAGTTTAAACTTTACACACAAAACACCTCTAATATCTCTGCCACCACACTCAGACAGAAGGTGTAAAGACAGGCTTCCTTGTTTTCAAGCTATACAGATGTAATTGTGATAAAAAATTGTCTTGGGTGTGCCTGTCATAGGCATTTTTTTTGTTTAATTCCAAGTAGGTAATTTGGTCTGCTTCAAACAGAGATCTTTTTTTCTCTCCCAGAGAAACAAAATCCTTTGTTTATTGTAATTAGCAGTGAGTATTTTGTCAACTGAACAGTAACACTAGGCCCAAAGTATAGATAGTACAATTACAGAGTATTCAAAAAGTCTCTAAAAATATTCACAATGACATTAAGTTAAATCTGTACCCCGTCAGTACCCCCAACCAGCACCACTACACACACATACACAGAAAGAATGCAAGGATGCCTTGCTTGGTGATTGAGCTACATAATTCCCACACAAACTCAGTGAAAGTTACATAGCTAACACCCATGCAGTGCTCTGAAAGTTTTATTAATAAAAATCGATAGAGTGAATCCTGTGGTTGAAAGCACTTTTAGCACAGAGGACCAGACTGGAGGCCCGGGGGGTCTCTTGAACACAATGTCAGTCAGATTTTTAGTCTCCAGCATGCTCCGCAGTCTGGCAGGTGCTGTGGGCACCTCGATTCACAGCTATCCCACTCAGCAGGGAAGCTGTTCACTTCCCTGGCTCAAAAAACACAAGGGCTTCCCAGCCCTCTTCTGTTTCCCCAGTGGCCCAGTGAAGCTCTCTGGCCCTGAACTAAGCTGCAATCCCGGCCTGGGTTCAACCGTCTCAGAACCCACCCCAAACTGGAGGCTCCATCAGGACCACAAACCCCACCTACTCTAGGGGCAGCGTGGCAGGACCAAGAAGCATGCACACTAGGGGCTGGCACACTTGAGTAGGGGATGTGACTCTGTCTTTTGCTAGATTTGAGACCTCAGGCCTGTTTCTGGTCCTCTCCAAACATATTTCACCAAATACTAGATGGTGACAGTAGTAATTACCCCATAGAGCAGCTGTGAGGTAAAATACACAAAATTACTTGGTAAATATTCAATTTAATTATTCTTGGTATACATCCCCTTTGATATGTTTTCCCTTCTTTTCCTAATAAAATTAAGAATTAAAATAGGGCCAGGTGCAGTGGCTCACGCCTGTAATCCTAGCACTTTGAGAGTCCAAGGCAGGAGGATCACTTGGGCCCAGGAATTCGAGGTTGCAGGTGAGCTATAATTGCCACTGCACTCCAGCCTGGGTGACAGATTCTCAAAAAGGTAAAGCTAAGAAAATAATGAAATGCTACCTACACATTAGAATTAAAATTCAGCTTGCCTACAGCTAGCAACGGATGTGGGAAGGGGACAGGTGGACTCCAAGGTTCACCTTCTTGGAGTCTTAGGGCGATGTCCACCACCAGCACCACTCTTCTCAGGGACTTGTACTTCCCCTTTATACTCTCGCCCAGATATGTTCTCTCTGCCAGTTCCATGTGACAAAGCAGAGACCCAGCCATAAAATTTTTAGAAAGTTAAACTAATGGCTAAGGGATCAAAAAAGATAAATAAACAGAAAATAACAAGGAACGAGATCATCTGGTTTACACAATGTAGTTTATTCATTTTTATTTAGTAAGGGGCTAAATGTGCATGGAGATACAAGGGCACATTTAGTCCAGCCATCCTGGAGGGCCTTCCTCAATCTCCACACCAGGGATAACAAATCCATAGCCTACATGCTGTAGTCTTCCCTAGGCTGCTCATGGCAGACATCATTAATCAACCACACCACTCTTCGTCATTGAATGAAGACTTAGCCTTAGTACTCCAGCATCAACTACCAATCAATCAAAGGTAAATCAGTTTTATGATCCCTGCTTCAGACTCCTCAAAGTTATTTTCAAAAAGGCCAAAGCTCAGAGAAGGCCAGGGAATGCTTTTGCATCCCTGCCTAAGGCCCACAAGTCTTGGTTTCCTGTCTAAAGAACCCCTAGCCTCCAAGGGAATGACCCGCCAGGAACAACTTATGCCACGGCAGCCAATATCTGCCCACAGAGATATCCTTCTCTATTCACCACTCAAAACCACACATTTATGGGAAAGTCAATAAGAGAAGGATCCTTTCAGGTGTCTCCTCTTGTAGCTTCCACCTTACCCCCAAGTCCAGAATCAACACCAGAGGCTGCTGTAGTACTGGCTGGAGATGGATATCTTCATCATGTTGCCATAAATCTACCCTGCTGTTATCATCGTCACTGGGACAAAGAAAAGGGCATGACACTAACTGGTTATGAGATTTCCTTTGTGCTCCATACCATACCTCCTTAAACTGCCACCACCAAGGAAGGAAAAATTTTTTTCCCTAAAACTGTGTGAGCACCCATCTGGGAATGTGAAAATTCTGATTCTTGGGGCACAGTTATGTCAAGACCAAGCTGGTACCAGGGAATGCAAGGACTGCTCCTGCCTTTCCTTGAGTTTTCTTCTTGACCCCTTACCCCTCCTTGGGCTTTACTTATGTCATTCATTTTCACACCAATTCTGTGAGGTATGTATTCATGATGCCCATTTTACAAATAAGATAACTAAGGTTCAGAGAGGTTAAAAATGTCTTCCCAAAATGACATTGCTAGTAAATAGTTGAGCAAGGACCTGAAAATGAGACTATACAGCTTCAAGTCCCAGGCTCTATTACCATACTGGCCCTAGTGTCAGATCCTTCAAGGCCATACTCAGATCCAGACTGGCCCAGGACCAGGGCCCTATTGCCAGCATCCTTGGTCTTTGGGAGTACAAGAAAAAGTCTGAATCCCAAAGAAGGGCTTCAATAATATTGTTCACATAATAAAGTGTTGTGGGGTTGTTCGTGGAAATAGCTGGTGATGACCGAATGCTGGACTTCCTCAATGACTCAAGAGTTCCAACTCAAAGCCTCTGCAGCCATCAGCATGATGCTGAGAGGCAGGCAGATGACAGCCATGGCTTAAGACTATTCCAGACCAAGGATGCTAACCACAACCAGTCCATCAACAAACACTGGCAGGTTACCCGTAAAACAAATCAGTTCACCTTCCTTCACTTCCACTGCCACCATCATCGTATCTCTCCAGAAACTACAGTAACTCTTAAACTCATGTCCCCCTCATCTACTGTATGCCAAACTCATGTCCACACAGCCATCAAATTCCCTCCTTTAAAGCCACCAATGACTTCTGGTTATTCTTTAGAATAAAATCCAGGAAACTTATGATGGCTTTCAAGTTTCTACCTGATCTGGCCCCTGCCTGCTCTCCTCATATTTATTTACTTCTTTATCGGTTTTGTGTCTGTTTGTCCAAGTAGAAAATTTACTGTAGGAAAGGATATTTTTTGGTTTGTATACTTCTATAATTGCAATGTCTAGCACAGTGCCTGGTTTATACTAAACCCACAAAAATATTGGTTGGGTATATAAATTACTGTTATCTGTGACATGTAGAAGAATATAAACTCCTCCCTAAAGCAGCTTCCTAGAGTTGTTGGTTTGAGGATCTAAAGAAGTATAATGGCCTATAAAGCAGACTTGGGTTTCAGGCATTGCATCAGTACTTTAATTGACAGCATGAGTCTAGGAAAATCCTCAGCCTCAATTTCTCTATTTGTTAATGTTCTTTCCCACGATGGATGTGATAATTCTACTCATTTAGCAAACTTTATTGAATGACTACCATCTTCATGGCACTACACTGGGTGCCAACAAGGCCAAGATGAATAAGACACAGCACTTGTCTAGGAGAAATGCACAGGCTATTTAGGGGTGAGGTGAGAATAGGTAAACAACGAGTAAGTATAATAATCTTATTGTGTGCTCCAACAGAAAACCAGTGAAAATACAATGCACCACAAAGAAGCAAGTACTCATTACCATCTGATGTTCAGAGTGGAGACCACCCTTGAGCTGGATTTCAATGACAGGTAGGATTTCCCCTGACAGGAGGGTCAGATTACTGCATGGACTACATGCAAAAGGAGGCGGCATTACATCCAGGAAACAGGAAGTAGTTCCAAAACGCTGGTTATAGAGAGTATACAGAGGTATAGGTGACAGGTGAGATTGCACAGGTAGAGCCTGGAGCTTTTATGTCAGGCTAAGGAGTTTCCATCTTATCCTATAGGAGAAGGATTTTAAGCAGAGGCATAACTTAACTAAGTTTGTCTTTTAGAGAGATTAGTCTGATAGCAGCACGGAGGGTAGATTAGGAGGAACATACAATAAAAACAGAGACTAAAGAGGGCAAGCCGTGGTAGTAATCCAGGATAGCAGGGTACCCCAGAGTATCAGAGAGACAGAAAAGGCAGAAGAGGCATGATCATTGAAACATCAATTAAGTCTCCACCGCTAAAGAGAGTGGAAATATCCAAGCTTGGGTGATTGGTTGATATCATTTTTCTAAACACAGGGTACAGGAGGAGGAGCCCATTTAGGAAGAAATATACAAAGTTCCTTCTTGAACCTGAGTCCACTTCTAGGAAAATACACAAGGGCAGGATATAGCTAGTGCTCTTGTTGTTTTAAGAGGGCCATAGTAGCTGGGACTCCTTAACCAAGTGGCGGCCCATTCCTTCATCTTCTCTCAGCCAGGGTGAAAGCAAGTTATGATTGCTTCTTTCCTCATGGGGGTGTAGTGAGGCTTTGTTTCTTTGTTTAAAGAGCTGTACCACATTCAGATGAAAGGAGCTCTGTTAGGAGCATAAGGAGACCATGCACAAAGGAACGTTTAAAGGCCGCCTGAAGGGTAAGAGACAGGCTTGTAGGGGGCTCGTTCTGGCTTCATAATTAGATTTAAAGATCCAGAGATGAAAAACAAAAGATACAGACATCAGAAGATATGGATTAGTTCTCTCTCCAGATGGATTAACATTTGGGTTGTTTTTCCCAGATGTGACTGGCCAGGATTAAAAACATTCCATGGTTCCCGCAAGAGGACATGCTCACGGAGGCAGTGAAGACCCGGGGGGCCTCTAAAGAGACAGCTGTCAGCTCATCAGCTCACCATGGGGACCACACTCTGCAGAAGTGCAGAGGCTGGGACCTCAGGCATGAGATGCAGCCTTTTACAGCCCAGGAAGCCAGCACCAGTCCCTCCACCCTCACAAAGCCCAGGGGGACTGTGCATCAGCCACCAGTGCCCAGAAGCCTGGGAAAACAGAAAGAAGCTTGCTTGGTACTAAGCACCAGATGGCTCCCTTTCAGAAAAGACTTTCTAAGTGTCCACAACAGCCTTTCTTCTCAGCTAACCTTTGAGGCAGCTTCTCCGACTGCACCTGGCTTGCACTAGTTGCTCCTCCCCAGGGGCTCTGTGAAAATGGGTCAGACTTTGTGAGCTCTGGAAAAACAACTCTTCTTCCAGGTTACAAATCTCTGAAAGAAACAGCCCCTTCTGCTTACATGATGTGGCTTCTTAATACTCACTCTTTCCCTCCACTCCCCTCTCCCATTTCTAGCACTTGAGCACTTGAGTCTTATCTATCTTTAAATCCCTGACAAATCACACACTTCCCCCCAAAGCCTTCCCAGATTTCCCAGTAGGGTTTTCTCTCGTGCACACTCTTTCTCCTGTTGCATTTTGTTTGTTATAACCCTGAGTTTTCTACCTGCATTATAGTTTCAGTGGTTCTAAGTTTCTCTCCCACTGTTGATTTTCAACCCTTTGAGAGCAGAGCTACGTTGAACTCACCCTGGTAGCCTCCAGGGCATGCTACATTGAAGCTGTTCAGTCAATGTTTGTTGAATTCATTAGAATAAGTGAGTAAAAGCAGCAAGTTGTGCTGCTGCAGTGAGAAGAGGCAGTTATCCTCAAAGCGATCTGTTTCTACTAGCTGCCTAGATTTCATAACCCAATGTTATTGCAGGGGGACTTAGGGATGTCTGGCAGGAGCCATGGTTATGGGTCTGAGAGCATCCACTGGCCAGACCTGCCAGCAGTTCACAGGGGCAGAGTTGTGCCCCTAGAAAGAGTTCTGGCTCAGACATGGCTTGGTTGAATCCTGGCTCCCTCCACCAATTTTGAACTCTGGAAATAATAGGCAAATCTCTCACTCTATGATTCTTCATTTCTTCATTTGTCAAATCATGATTCCTACCCTTGCAGATAATTGTAGGAGTAGTGTGAAATCTGTAGTGAGTAGGCACTTTGCACAGTGCCTGACACCAAATAGGTGTGCAACCAATTCTTTGAATAATTCATTCACTGATGGGAAATATTAACTAAGAGAAGGCACTGCCTGGAGGTGGGGATGTCCGACCTATAAACAAGGCTGGTTTTTGTGGTGCAGGTTAGTGAAAATGGTTAGGTGTCAATGCATCTGTAATCTGAGACATGAGACCTGAATTCTGACCTAGCTCTCCTGGCACCCCAAGAATATACTGAATAACATTTCTGAGTCTTGATTATACCAAGTCAAAGCCATGGTTCTCACCACCTCCACAGGGTTCTTGTGAGTAATAAACCAACACAAGGCTGTTGACTCTCTTATGAAATGCAGACGTATTGCACAGCCCCATGCTCAGCCTCTAGTAAGCAAGCCATGAATAAGAGTTAGTTTTGACTGTTGTCTTTTTTTCCCTCTAGACTCTAAACTCCTTGGAGCCAAGAACCATTTCAGTTTTGCTTCTAATTCTGTCCCCACATCCTTAACTCAATACCTGAGAGATAGGGCCTCTCAATGAATGAAAAAAGAAATTAATGACCTGTCTGGTGTCTTTAAACTCTGAAGCATGGAGACTGTGGTAATTAGTAATGTTTATTTCATTCTACTGGCATTCAATGATTGCTAGTCAGACGCAGTGACCAGTTCAAGTCAGAAAGTATTTCAGCTATTGAGTCTGTGATTGCATTGTAGCATGAATGAAAATAAATCAACATTTTTCTTTTTCTTTCTCAATCTGGTTATTATCTCTGTGCAATAATTGGGGATTAGAAGAAATTCTATGTTTCTTCTTTTTTAATGTTGACCAACAAACTTGTGATCTTGAATGCATATTAATAATTAGTATTTATTAACTTTATTTATAAGCTTGGGCACATAGCTTTATACTGGAAATTCTGCAAATTTTCTTGACCACGGGTGCCAATAGACAGAGGACAACCTGAATCCATGACCACCATGAGTTTTTTCTTAACCAAAGAACCACACTTCTGACCTTTTCCAAATTCATGACTCCAGAAGTAAAAAAGAAGAGGGAAGTGACCATTTTTAATGTGTCCAGCCTTGTGCAAGGACTTTGCATTTGGCTAGCAGTAATTTGTGCCACCTACCAAATAAATATTCTGGCTCTTCTGGGCACACTTCACCTCCCTCTTGAGGTTAGGTTTGGCTACATAACTTGCTTTGGACAATGAAATGTGAGCAGAAGTGATGCATGTCACTTCTGGGATGAAGTTGGGGTGAAGTTTGTAGAGTCAGCATGCAATTCTGCCACTCACTTTCCCTCTGCCGTGGCAATGTGCCACATCACGGCACCTCCTTCAGCTTGGGACCTGGAGTGAGGCTGATCTGAAACAGAGTCCCCAGCCAATTCCCCATGAATATGTGGCATTAGCAAGAAATCTTTCATGGTTTAAGGCACTGTGACAGTCATGTGTTGCTGCACAATTGCCCAGCCTATTCTAACTGATAAAATAAGTTAGTTCTTTAATTCTCATAAAACAAAATCCATGAGGTAGATTTTGGGAGATAATCCTTCACTGGTCTCATGCATTCTGTATGTCTTGCAAGCATGGCAGTATCAGCCTTTGTTCCAATATATCTTCTCAAGGACTAGTGGGGAGCCAACAGCCTGAAAAAGAGAAGATAGCATCTTCTGCCAGAGAAAAGGGCAAGCATGCTTACTGCCCATTTTAAATTGAGGACACCTAAGCTTGGGGTCCCTCTTCTTTAACACAGCTCACTCTGTGTACAAGCATACATCAGAGCCATTTGCAAAGAAAATAGATACAAATATGGTGATGTCCATGTTTTGCTATGCCATGAGTAATAAAGTCCATGTATCTGACCCAAAATACCCACGTCTTCTGCCAGCATCTTTGCAAATGTGTCAGGCCACGTTAGCTTGAAAGAAGGTAAAATCTCAGATTTCTCATAGTTCTTGACAGTGGGTATTAACATTACCATTTTACACGTGACAAATTGAACCTCAGGGAGAATAAGTTACCCAAGGTCAGCACACTAATGTTTGGCAGATCCCATTTTTCCCATTATTCCACATCGCTTGCCATTAAAAAAAAACCCATAAAATACCACTAATTCATTCCTATATTCATTAATTCATTCATTTATTTTATTAATGCCTATTAAATAACTACTTTACATCAATCACCAACTAAAGGTACTGTTTTTTAGAGTTCCTTAAAAAGCAGCATTGAATTATCCCACCATAACTAGTTTCGAGAGTGTCTTAATCTTGGCATATACTGTACCCATTTTCAACTGCCTTTGCCCAGCAAGTAGATGACCTGGATAGTATAGCAATGAGTCAAGTTTCCCACAATTTAACATCAAGGGTACATTTTGCCTATTGGTGCAGTGATATGTCTGGGATCAGAGGCTTAACTCAATCTCCTTGGCCTTTCCTAAGGCCTGCAACAGATGAAGAGGAGCCAGTGCTCAGCAAAACCAAGCTGCCATAGAGGTTTACATGTCCCTCTACTGCAAAAGCCTCATGGTCGTAGGTCCCAGGAAAAGTCAGCCAAGTCCGATATCCACCCCACCCTTAAGTCATCCTTTTCTAGCAGGACATAGTAAGAAGACTTGGGCTGACAGCCCTGGGTTCAGTTCTTGACTCCAACTCTAACCTACTACTTCAATGATTTGGGTGCATGTTTTTTTAATCTCTCCAGGCTTCCCTTTTCTCATCCATAAAATAGGGAAATAGTACCTAATTTATAAAATGTTGGTGAAGATTAATAAATGAGATCTCATATGTAAAGCACAGTGTCTAGCACACAGTAGGTTTTCAAGAAATAACAACCACGTTATTACCATCATCATTTTGCTTTGGCTGGGAAGACAGAACAACCCTTTAAACAAAAAGAAAATTAGAGACTAGATGCAGAGCCACTGGCTGAAAGCCAAAAGGGGAAGATAAAGTGTTATAATCACCTCTCTTGGGAAAAACAATAAATCCAGGCAGCTGTGCTGCTCCCGCTCTTAGGCAACACAAGAGGAGGGCTGCGTCTGAGGACTTCTGTCTCAGAACATGTGAGTATCCACATACAAAGCACTTCTCAGGTGATGCGGGGGCTACAGAGAGGAAGCAGACACAGTCCTGCCCTCCAGGAGTTTATTATCTGCCAAGATTGGGACAAAGGGAGAATTCTCCAGCCAAAGAAATCATTCTAACACAGAGCAAACTGAGAAGAGGGAGGAATATGCAATAGGTATTCATGAAGAGCAAGCTTTCATTCTAGTGAAGAGGGTTAAGACAGGCTTCACATAGAAGCGTTTGGGATAGCCACTGATCATTGATGAAATTTCAACACAGAGACATGGGTAAAGGGATGGCAATTAAGCAAGGGGAAAGTAAGAAGTCTGAAAAGGATTGGGTCCACTGTAGAACAGCAAGTAATGCCTTTTGGGTGGAAAATGCAATGGGGTAACCAGGAAACAGGGTCTACACAATGGATATCCTTGACAGTATGCTTAGTCTGGTCATCAGTGAAGAGTGACGCCTCAGGACCATGTTTAAAGAAGATTAATTTGCCAGCTATGTTCAGTACAGGTTAGAGGAAGCAGAGGTTGGCAGCAGAGAAACCAATTAGTTAAGTATGCAACATTTGGCTGGGCATGGTGGCTCACGCCTGTCATCCCACCACTTTGGGAGGCTGAGGCAGGTGGATCATTTGAGGTCAAGAGTTCAAGACCAACCTGGCCAACATGGTGAAACCTTACCTATACTGTAAATACAAAAATTAGCTGGGTGTGGTGATGCATGCCTGCAATCCCAGCTACTTAGGAGGCTGAGGCAGGAGAATCACTTGAGCCCGAGAAGTGGAAGTTGCAGTGAGCCAAGTTCACGCCATTGCACTCCAGCCTGGGGGATACAGTGAGACTCCATCTCAAAAAAAAAAAAAAAAAAAGATGCAACATTTGAGGCATAAATTAATGCAGAGGATCAGCCATGAGAATAGAAAGGATTCCAGGAAAGGTAAATTCTAGATCCAAGAAAGAGAAGATGGAGAAGAAGCTTAACAATACCCAAGCCAGGTAACAAACATTCCCTGTACCGGACACAGAGAGGGCATCAGCAAAGCTTCCCTGTGATGGGGTTGTTGCCCACACACTGAGAAGGGAAGCCAAGTGCCTGGAGAGTACCCTCGCCAGGACCAAATTCATTAAGGATTTGAGGGTAAACTTCAGCAGTAACTTTCTAGCAAAGAAGTGATATTATCCATCCAACAGCAGACCGAGCAAAGAACCCACGGGCTTGACTGTTTTGAAAGTTTTTAAATACAAGCATGATGGAGGATGCCATCCCACTGATCAGAAGACTTAGGATTAGATTAGCTGAGCTTTAGAGGTCAAGTTCAGGTTTAGGTAGCCTCCAAATCAGTATACACAGGATTTTCTTAGGAGGAGGTCCCAAAGGATCCCCAAACCAGAGACATTTCCAACTGTCCTAGACGCAGCCCAGGAGAGGAAGGAAGAGGAAACTGACTCCTGATTGACCAAGGATATTAGTTAGGAATTTGACTACCCCTTTCACAAAAACAGCCCAGTAGGAAACCTTGGCCTGTGCAGCTTTGGGGAATGAGCTTTACAAAGCGAAGCGCTGCTCCTTTTTGCAAAGCAACTTGGCAGTATGGATTAAGATTCTGACAAGTGTTTGTATTTTGACCCAATAATGTACTTAATCTATCCTAAGAACATGATGAAAAGTGCAGACAAAGATTTATATTCTCAGAAGTTTATAAAGCCAAAAAATAAAATAGGGAAAACAAAGTAACTTGCAATAATAGGGAAATGATTAAATAAATTATGATATGTCTATGGAATAATTTGTAGACATTAAAAATCACTTTTACTCAATGAGATAAAACCTAAAGATTTGAGGGCCCTGTACTCATTAGCTACTGCCACAATAAAGTTGCACAATTACCTCCTCCCCTCAAAAATCATGATTTTTAAAAATAAGGGAAGTTGTCCACGAAAGAATTTTAAATGAAAAAAGCAGCCTACTAAATTATACATACATTAGGAACTCATAGCTGACTAAAATATACATACATTAGGATAGGAGCATGTGTCTGTAATTATATCTTCTGTCAGTCTGTACATAATGGGAAGAGAAGCAGTCTCTAAGACTAAGGCAGACTTTATTTCCTTCTTCATATCTGTGTGAGCTCCCCAATTTTTCTGTGATACATGTGTATTAACAAATATTTACTGAAGACTTGGTATTTACCAGGTGCGGTACTAAGAACTTTACATATATATCACCTCCACTTAATCCTCATTGCGACTACAAAATAAGCACAATCATCACAACCATTTTACAACTGAGGAAATAGAGGCTTAGGTTATTTGCTCAAAGTCACCTATCCGGTGACTTTGAAGCCAAACTTGAAGTCAGACCCAAGGAGCCCCAATTCCTCTATACTTAGTTACGACATTAACTCTCCCCGATGATCAGTATGTATGTATGTGTGTACTGCTTTCAATTCAAAATTGCCCTTTCTTTACAAAGGAGTACAGAGTGTTTAATAGAGAAAAGCATGAGCTTCAGGAGCTAGACTATGGTTTTCTGCCAAGTAATTCACCATTTATGCTAATGCCACTCAATACCAAAGACACCAACTTCTTTATGGTGGGAGGAATGTGGATATAAAGGTCAAAGAAAACTACTTTCCATTGCTAGTAATTAGCTAATTAAGTAAAATATGTTAAGTAGTTAACACTAGAACTAGTAATTAGAGTTTGCAAGTAGAATAAGAACAAATAAGAATGTGTTTTTTACTTTGAAATAAAATGAAATGAGAAAAATCCACCCATTTTCCCCTTGGGAAGCCTAAGCCTGTTTCTTTGATAGGCAGAGCAAGGAAGGGGAAGCACACTGATGCCCACCCAGGCTCCTGATCCAGCCCAGCCTGGCCACCTGTCAGCTGTGTGAAAACCTTGGGTAGGTCACTTAGCCTCTCTGGGTCTCAATTTCCTTATCTATGGAGCAAAGGGGTGAGTCTAGATGATGTTTTGGTTCATTTCTAGCTCTGATTATCTCTGCTTTTATGCTTCTGTGACAAAATCAATATACTGGATAAACCCATATCTGAAAAGGCTAGTCGACTATCAGGCACAGGAATCTAGCATTTTGCACGGTCCTTCTCCTGTAAAAAGCAGGGTCCCCGCCCTTCTCCCCAGCCTGGAAGCCCCAACTGAGATCCCATGTCTTAGCCAAAGCTTTCTGCAATAGAGCAACCAAAATAGGGGTGCAACTAAGGAGAAAAAAGTGGAGTCAGGGAGGGTAGAGAATAGGGTACCCTAGGGATTGCCAGAGTAATTCCCACCAGGCTTCTTTTTTGGAACTGCAAAGAGCATTGCATTCTGGTTCCTTTTTCCCCACTCTTCACAAGCACGATCTGTGAGCCTAAGGGTTCATCATTCTAGAAATTGCCAAGCTAATTTATAAAGTGAGAAAAAGAAGTTATTTTCTGTGATGTAGCATGATTTCTCCCCGATAATGCAGGCTCTGGGCTGGCAGTGCCTGGCTTGCTTCTCCTCTACACCAATTGATATTCTGCTCACAGCGTTGCACACAGGAGAGTCAAGGCCAAACCCAGAGGATGCACAATAGTAACAGGCCAAGAGCAGGCTGTTTTCTGGGAGACAGATCCTGTTACCCTCTTGTTGTTTGGGGATAGCAAGAAGTAGAAAGAGGAGCAGGCCTTCAGCAGTGTCTGAAAGACAAACACCCGTGCTAAATCACTACAGGATCTACCTGCAGGAACTTCAAGGAATCAAAACATAACTCTGAGCTGCATGGTTTCCGGTAAACAAAACACTCCCTGTTCTTTACCCAACTGTATTCCTCTGTTCAGCAGCCATACAATTGCCATTTCGTAAGCCGGGAGCCAGGCCATGCTAGGCCCTACGGAATATATGAAGTTGGATGAGTGGGGCTAGACCTGGATGCTGCCTGTAATAGGTATAAAAACTGAAACTAAATAAAAGGTTGACTGTGGGCATACTCCCTTGGCGAGAAGACAGCACATTTTTCTCTTGTGTAAGCCTCCCCCTGCTGCGCTTAAAGGTTCTTAAGTACTAGAACTGGAAGACAGGATGAGGATAAATTGGAAACTAACGTTTATTGACCATCCTATGAGGCAGACACGGTGCTAAAAACTGGAATATATTATATCAGTTAACCCTCACAACTACCACATTTCATAGTAAAGGAAACTGAGACTCAGAGTGTTTAAGAAATTTGACCAAGGTAACACAGCTCATAAATTGTGGAGCTGGGAGGATTTGAACTCAGGTTTGATTGCCTCCAAAATCAGATCTATTTACACTATGTCATACTATCAGCTCACCCATATGTTGAGTGCCTGCTTTGTGTGTGTGTGTGTGTATGTGTGCATGCGTATGCATGCATGTGTGTGTACACATATCTCCAAAGTCCCTCTTCTACAGAGAGGCCAGGACGAGTGATCACCCTTCACTTTGCTGGTGCTGGAAGCAGATATGACTTTGTCCTCCCCCTACTTTGAGTACCTCCATCACACAATACCCCTACTGTCTAGACAGTGGGCAAGAACCCACTGGGCATCTACACTACCACACAGCCACATCTTCAGCATATTGTACCCCAAAAAAGTTCCATTCAGCCCACGGGCCACAAGTAGACTAGCCTGCCATGCCATTTTCCAAAGCCTTGTCCCTGCTGCCAGGCCTGCGGCTTTAGTGCTAAGCAGTGATCACAGCCAGCATCGGGGGCCTGAGGAGGAATCAGGGACCCACAGACAACGTGTTCCATTTCAATCTGCATTTTTGGTGCAGTTTGATGTATTTTAGGCTTGCCTTGGTTTTTTTTTTTTTCCACTTGATTCATGTTTCTATTTGTCACTGAATTGCTATGTGAAGGTAGAAGCATGTGTCTCCTTGCAGCTTCCCCAAAACCAGACCAAAAGCAAGGAAGAGAGAAACAAGTGACAAAACAAATATCCTTTTTCTATGAGGTGCCTATAAATAGCGTGATTATAGGATTTATTGTTCAAATTGGAAGCCTTCTGGGAGTAAAAGGTGCTCACTATTAATAATTATACCAGGACAACAAGCATGAACAGAGTGAGGCAAGGTCTCACTGTTGCCCAGGCTAGAGTGCAGTGGTGTGATCTTGGCTCACTGCAGCCTTGACCTCCTGGGCTCAAGCAATCCTATCACTTCAGCCTCATGAGTAGCTGGGACTACAGGCATACACCACCATGCCAGGCTAATTGTTGTTGTTGTTGTTGTTGTTGTATTCTTTATAGAGATTTGGTTTTGCCATGTTGCCCAATCTGGTCTTCAACTCCTGGACTCAAGTGATCCGCCCGCCTCTGCCTCCCAAAGTGCTGGGATTACAGACATGAACCACTGCACCCGACCTGCTGTTGTTAATACTCATGAAAAACAAGGGGAAATAAAAGAGTTTTTTCTTGAGAAGGGGTGGAGAAAGGAGGCCCAGCAAAGGTAGGAAAAGGTGTCTCTCCAACCTTTCTGTCTCATTTTCCTTTCCCTTAAACTGTCCAGATGTTCCTCATCAATACCAAGCTCCACTTTCCTCAAAGTCTTTATGCTCCTCATTATTCAAACTTTTCAGGCAAGTTTTAAAAAGCATTCTGAATAAATTCTCTTTGCCAAAGATATTTGCATTTTAACTGTGAACAAATCTCTGAGGCAAAGGAATGGCTCTCAGCAGCCACGGAATCGGAATTGTACACCAGGTGGGCAGAGGCTGCCTCCGTTCTCTTGTGAGGCCCCTTCATAATGAAAAAGCACCTCCCCCTTCTTCACTTTGCCAGAGGGCTTAAAAGGAATAACCTGGCACTCATGCGAATTGAATCCCTGGGATTAACTGGCTCACAGCTTTATCGATACAAGGTTGATGAGAGACAGACGCCGGAGGTGCATGATTGCCAAGCTGGCACTCTCACCTGTGCAGGAGAGGGCCACAGGACGCACAACTCTGCGATGCCTCACGGATGTTGGGGGCCCACTCCAGAATCCCCTATTTCAGTACGACAAAAATGAAGTTTCTCCCCGTCGGCAATGATGGCAGCCATGCAGACCAGAGCTCTGCTGCTGGCCCAATCTGCAGCCAAATGACAGCAGAGCGGCACTGAGAGAGAGCTTCCAGGGTACTTCTTGATTGGGTGCAGAGTCAGAGTCTACTAATGGCCATTTAAATACCAGTCCCATTATCTGCTTCGCTATAGAACTACCCACCAGATGTGTAACAACCATAGTTACTGGTCTGTTTGCAGCTGGTTATACCTTCTCTGGGCTCATGCCCTATTCATTTAAATGGCTGTTTCTCCATCTGCTTAAATGAGAGAACCATGATACAGCCCCAGGACATGTTCCCTCACACACACCCACAAGATGCCCAGTGCAGGAGAAGGAGGGAGAACAGTGTCATGGTCAGATGACTGCAACCATCTGAGTTTTATGAAAAACAACATTTAAAAAGAACAACTATCCTATTGCCTCCAGAGTATTTTATTTTTCTGCTGGGAGAAGAAAAGCTCTCTGAATGTTTTATTCAGCAGGAACTAGAACACTGTTATTACAAACTTTCTTTCCCAAACTAATTCCCTGAGCTTATGCTGCCAGAATTCCTCCTCTCCAGGGCAGTTCTGCCTTCACTCATTGACTTCTCAGATCCTGCTAGAAAATCTGCCACCCAGGCTCCAGCAAGCAACAGATCATCTCAGTGGGGCTGTAAAACTCAGTGTAGTGCAGCTCCACCAAGAATCGTTCTGAGAAAACTGATGAACTGCGTGGTATCATTTGAAAGAATAAGAAAACTACCATAACTTGTCAGGATGCTCTTCAGGTGGAGATGAGGGACTGTGGAAGACCCCAGGGTCCCCCTCTGCACTGTCACCTCCCAAGAGCAGTAACCTGTTGGCCAAATAACCCCATAATTCTTCCTGGGAAAAGTTTCAGCCAGTATTTCAGGGATGATGAACAGGAGAAAATAGGGGGTATGGGATATTCCAAATTCTGGAAGCTTCTGGGTGGTTCTGATACAGGAGATAGAAATTATTTAGGCAGATAGGATAAAAGAGCCTTTGGCAGAATTTTCCTTTTAACAAAAAAAGCAACCCCAAAATCATTTCTTTTCTAACAAAGAGCAGCCTGAAAAATCGAGCTGTAGACATAGATAAGCAAGCTGGAAACCTGCACAGGGGAATGCCGGCAGCTGTGCCAATAGAAAAGGACTACCTGAGGGCCAGGTATGTTCAACATGGAGGCTCCATCTTCCTTTTCTTTGTCACCATGTGCACAGTAAAGAAACAGGCAACATGGTGCTGGCCAGGTAGAGAACCCATCTGCATAATAAAAGATTAGGCCAGCTTTCCACACCCTATGCAAATGGCACACGTGGTCCAACCAATCTTTCATGCCCTATGTAAATCAGACACTGCCTCCTCAAGCTCATCTATAAAATCCACTGCTTTTCACTGCAGAAGTAGAAAACCTGCTTGGGACCCCTCTCTCTGCAGGAGAGAGCTTTTCTCTTTCTTTCACCTATTACATCTCCACCCTTAACCTCACTTCTTGTGTGTCCACATCCTTGATTTCCTCGGTGTGAGACAGCGAACCTTGGGTATTGCCCCAGACAACAAAACCACTTCAGTTCTACCCAGAAACAGAAGAGATTCTTACCCAGAGACAAAAAAGAATTGAGGGGCCTGAAGCTCTCCTAGGACACTGATGGATCACCGGAGAGAAATTCGCCACGTGGTGCCATGTGACTCTGATGAAGTCTCGGGGAGGGGCTATAAATTGTAAAGCCCAGCTCCTCTTCAAAAGTTCATTTGGGGCCAGGTGCAGTGGCTCATACCCATAATCCCAGCATGAACCACTGAGCCCAGGAGGCTGAGGTGGGAGGATTGCCTGAGGTCAGGAGTTCAAGACCAGCCTGGCCAACATGACAAAACCCTGCCTCGCCTAAAAATACAAAAAAAAAAAATTAGCCAAGTATGGAGGCACATGCCTGCAATCCCAGCTACTCAGGAGGCTGAGGCAGGAGAATTGTTTGAACCTTGGAGGCGGAAGTTGCTGTGAGCCGAGATCGCACCACTGCACTTCAGTCTGGGTGACAGAGCAAGAATCCATCTGAAAAAAAAAAAAAAAGTTTGTTTGAAAGGTTTACTGTTGGAGGAGAAACTCTCCCCCATTATGGTGGTATCAGGCTAAGCTACCACTGGAGTGTGAGCATTATAAAATAAAATAGTGACAAATGACCAGGGGATACATTAGGTGCTAAAAGAAGCAATCACCAAGCAGCAGCAATGATGAAAACAGGGGTTACTGAATGAAGTTGTTGTGCCAGGTATTGTCTATTGGCACTGGCATCAATTTTCAACCTTTCCTCTCATTTTCACTGTGTCACAGGGGAAGAAAGATTAAAACTACATTTCCCAGGCTCCTCTGTAGACACAGTTCAGGGTGATTTTAGATTCAGTCCATGAGATCCACTTACATTAGATTTGAAAGGTGGAAGGCTTACTGTGGAAGGGAGTGGGGTGGATAGGTGAGCACAAGCAGAGATGAGTGCTTGTGGCAAATAGAGTCCATAGTCCATCATCTGGTCCAGTTTGGGGGATGTGGGGATGACACCCCAACGGTAGCAGCAGATGCAGTTTCTTGATTTCTAGGTTATAGGTAGTAAAGTGACCTCAAAGCCAGCTGTTAAATTGCAGCCCCTAGTTGCCCTGCACCTTCAGCCTTTCCAGTGATTTTGTAAGCACCTGATTCTCTGTATTAAATCCTTTTCTTCTTGCAATACCTACAGTGGTAAGGTAGACTGGCTGGCTGCTCACCAACCTATTTTGTTTTCTCCTGTGCACCCATCAACTATATGTTTCCCAGCCTTCCTTGCAGCTAGGCATGACCCTATGCTAATGGATTGTGTGCAGAAACGAACCTTTCAGATCAAACCTAAACCAACCTCTCACATAGGCTTCTTCACAGTCTTTTCCTTTCTAGCTGCTTGATGCAGATGAGCACAGTAATCTTGGAAGCTATAGGTGGAGATGGTGATAACACAAGATGGAAATAGCCTGGATCCCTGACTCACTGCTTGGAAGAGAGTCACCTTGGAAGAGAAGCTCTCTCCCATCGTGGCAGCACCAGACAAAACCACAACTGGGGAATGAGGGGGGAAAAGGGTGTTGGGATGAGAGAGATACTAAAAGAAGCAATGACCAAGGACAAAATGATGAGAGCAGGGGTCACTGAAGTGAGGGAGAAAAAAAAAACCCACTTATGCCAAGTCACTGAGACAGTGAGATTTATCTAATAGAGCAGTTAGCAGCTCCAGTTAAAAGATGTTGTTTCTGTTCTTACACCGAACCCTGACAACAGCCACCAAGGTGAAAGAGAAAATCATGGGTAACATTGATATAAAAATATTGTTGGTCACAACCAAAAAGAACACATGAGTTGGCAAAATCTAAAAAAAGAAGAGATTTGGTTAACTATGTGAGGCAATTGATGTGTTAATTCACTTAGTGATGGCAATTATTTCACAGTGAATACATATATCAAAGTATCATGTTGTATACCTTGAATATATACAATTTTTGTTTGTCAGTTTTACCTCAGTAAAGCTAGGGAAAAAAGAGAAGACTTGAGAAAGTTGAAGTTACTATAAATTTGATGGATGGAGATACAGAAATCAAACTCCTTTGATGGTATATAAACCCTGGGCCCTATTCATTCTTTCATACCCATCCTCTGCCACCCTCCACATACACTGAGCTCTAGAAAAACCCCTTGGAAGTCCTCATACACACCATAGGTCTTTCCTTAACAGTCCTCGGAGCAGCCAAGGTCTGAGAAGCCATTCTACTAGCAGAACTTTTGGTTCCAAGAGGTTCAGGGTGCCACCCAAGAAATCTCCCCTTTGGACAAACTGAAGGCCATCTTTCCCTACTCGACCTTGATTCCAAGGGCTATTCCCCCTGAATAAGTTCCAGGAACAGATGCAGATCTCAGAGACAAGTGGGAACATCCCGAGCTACAGATGTGGGGCCTGGCAACTGAACTGACAGCTCAAATAGCATCTCTTACCCACGAGCCAGGCCAGCTGGTCTGTTCCACTGACTAAGAGCATGCCTTAGAAATGTGCCTGCCTTTTATTTTCTGATGTGTCACAATTTACTCTTTTGTTGTTCCGGAACATTCTGGAGCACAGGATGCTAATCACCCTCCCATGGCATGACATCTGTTTGAGATGACTGAAGGCTCAGGCACAGAACCTCCCAACATCATCCTGAAGGCAGCCCACACAGTCACAGGACAGAGGGTGAAGCTCTCCCTTTCAATGGTTCATGAACAAGAAGGGGAGAAAAGTAGACTCTTTAGGTTGGTGATATAAACAAACCTTAAGAGGTAAATATATTTTACTAAAAGCAGAGTACAAAGTAAGTACCCATGCATGTTCTGAAAAGGCCAATACCCATATTGACTACAGCAAAGAGAGTAGAAATCATATGCATTTATTTGAGTCTTATCCATAGGGCTTCATGACAGCCAGCCTTCGTTTAGGTTGTCAGTGGCCCAAAAGAAATGGGAAACAGGCTTTGTTTCTGCTGCTCACATTGGTCAATCTTTTGGAGTCAAAGCATAGAAAATATCAGCTCTGAGGATCAATCTTGGAGTCGAGGACCAAGAGAGGATGTTCTAGCCTTTGGAACTCTTTCATGCCAAAATGGCACCTGCTTCAAAAAGTCACTAGTTGCAACAGCCATTATAAGGGGAAATGTAAACTTGAATCCCAGTTAGCTTTATATCTTGTCAACCCAATGCCTATTCTGAACCTAAAATTCAAAATGAGAAACTGGGATTAAAAACTCATCATAAAGGGCAGAGCATGGGCCAAGGACTTTCCTAGACACTTTATAAACTTAATATCATTTCATTTACCCAAGAGGACTGTAAAGTAGGTGGTTTTATTCCACCTTACAGAAAAAGACACTGAGTCTCAGAAAAGTTAAGGCACCTTCCCAAAACCATACCATATGCAAGTAGTAGGACCAAGAGTCAAATCCATTTTTGCATGACTCTGAATCCTGTGCCCATGACCACTCTATGCAATGTTAATTAATATACAGTCTCACCTGGGTAGGGATGCTTGTGGTACAGGAGTAAAGATTGGAGAACAAACCTTCAACAAGCCTGGTAACAAGAAACCCTCATGCTTTGGGAGCGCTGCCTGGTAGGTTTGATTGGTACACAGATTTAGACCCCTCCCATGGCCCTAGAGGCCACTCAGGAACACTTATAAGGGCAGTAGGTCACCACAGCTCTCCGTAATCCCCTATCCAACCCCAGGAAAGATAGTAAACAATGCAGGGAACCCCAAGAGCATTAGTAATGCCCAGTTCTCCTCTGGGGTAATTTGAACCGACTAATTCCCTTGTTGAAGAAGGCAGATTCAAAAGCCTATTCACTATATAATTCCATGTCCATGACTTTGGGGAAAAAGCAAAGCCGTAGGTATAGGAAACAGATCAGTGGTGGCCAGAGACTGGAGGGTGGGGGTAAGAGTTGTCTATAAAAAAAACACAAGAGAACATTTCAGGGAGGATGGAAGTGTTTTATGTCCTAATTGTGGTAGCCTTTACATGACTATACACTTGTCAAAACTCATTGAATTGTGCACTTAAAACTGGCAAGTTTTACCACATGTGAATTATACCTTATGTAATTTATGTTTATAATATATATATGTAAATTTCAAAACAGGCAGTAGCTGATGAATCTGGAGCTAAATTTCCCATTGTGTAACTGCACTGCGGTAAACCCAGGAGCCTGAATCCCTGAGTCCTTCAACCTTCCCTGCAGGGAGATTTCCTGCAGGCAGCCACTGCAGGCTGATACACCACGTCCAGTGAGAAAGAGGCTGGGAAGTGAATTTTTTCAGGCAAATGCTTCTGTAGCAGTTCAAATAAGAAGCTGATTGCTAGGGTTACCTTGGCTTCCTGCCTCCTTTCCTGAATCTTCAGAGGTCATACTGTGTACTTGGTACAAAACATTGATCTGGAAAACTGCCTAGAGCCAGATTAAATATAACATCCTGGTTTTTAACTTGTATCTCACATGACATACATGTCTTTATCTTCATATCTTGTTGCATTTTGAAGGGCATACCTGTCTCTACACTCAGCCCTGAAGAGATAGGGAAAAATCTTACTAAAATACTAAATATTATAGCTGCCATCTGTCTCAAAAAGTTTGGCAAGGATCCAAAATGAGCATTTCAGTAAGACTAACTACATCAGTCCACTGTGTCCTTCCAGCTCTAGGTCACCTGTCTTCTTACATATTCTCTTTGGTAAAGGTACTTCTCTTCCTGGTATAGCCAGTTAGTCCTTTTGCTTTCTGCCCAAGTCCTCCTGTCTGGGGAAGATCCAGAGGCTTCTGATCCATGTTCATAGCTCAATTGGAAAAGGAACATAAGCTACATAAATGTAGTCTAGCATTGGAAATAATCAGATCAGTCATGCAAATTAATAAGTACATAAGGTCATATCCCAAAAGATAATAGGGCAGTCATGTACAATAAAAGCTGCCAGAAAGAGTGGATTTTAAAGGGAAAGAAAAATGAAAGAGCCAGCCTAACTCTGGGCTCTTATAAAAGTTATTGATGTGATCTGTTGTTAGGTGTGCAATCTCCCCGCACTAGTGTTTGGGAGGTAGCCATTCTCCCAACCTCATAGCAAGATATGGACTACCCTGTTAAGAGCTTTAAAAAAAAATTAAAATTAAATAAAACAAAAGATGACTTTTTTCAAAGCACATTTTAATCATTTATTTTAAAAGGGGGAGTAAAGCATTTAAACTGCCAATCCTATAGACTAGGACTTGAACATCAAAGGAAAAATAGACAAAGACTAGATGATAAAGTCATTCAAAAGCACAGAAGCACATCACATACACCAGCAAGGTTTCCAACTACTGCACTGATTAACTAGATACTCTCAATAGCTTTTCTATAGCTCGTCCTAGAAAAAAAAATTAAATTTTCATTTTCTTACAAGTTCCAGGCTTAAACAAAGGCAAAAATTACATGCAACAACTGATACACTCATAAGTTGCACATATGCTCCAAGGTCTTTATTAGATAACAATAAATGCTAGCACTTTGTCACTGCCATCAGATTTTCTTATAGTCTTAGAGTCATGTAAATAAAAGTTCATAATGAAATTAAAGAAAATTAATTTTTCTAATCTTAGATCAGTTCCATAGAAAACTATTAATTTTTTTAAAGTAGGCAGTAGAAGGGGGTTGGTGGGGGGTGGAATTGGTTAGTAAGTCTGGTTCTAATCTTCTGAGCTGCCTTTGGAAGGAAGTTATGAGGTAGAAGATTCTACTGACTTTTAGTAAGGTGGACAATGAGAGAAAAGAAAAAGCAGGTGCCTCATCTACAGATCCTTCTGGGATTTATTTGCCATGTACAATTTAATGCATAAAAAGGCCTCTCTCCATAAAACTCAGCACTTTACAGATGTAGAATATATAAGCATGCCAAATTTACTTATCTGCCACATACAAAGCATCATTCCAGGTGCTAGTGAGGGGAAAAAAAAGTTGGAGATTTGGTCCCTCGAGGAGCTCCAGATATTAATCTACCTAACTAAGTCCCCAGGTTTCTTCCAGGCATGGAAGAATTAGTGGTGCTACATGGATGAGGACTAGTCATTGGGCAATATTTCCTGTACAAAGAATCCCTAGACGCCATACTGAGTTTTAAGTTCCTTAATTCCTAATTTAAGGCTTCTAGTGAAGCCTCCTCACAGTAGGCTTCACTAGGCCCACAGTGCCCCTAGACCTCTGACAATCCCACCCTAGACAGACTTTATTGCAAAATGCGCCTGAAGAGGCAGATGATTCCCAAGAGAACTCACCAAATCAAGACAAATGTCCTAGATCTCTAGTGTGGTAGAACTATGCACCTAAACATTGCTGCAAAATGAACACACTTTTAGACACCCCTGCAGATATCTAAGTAAGTGGAGAAGACTATTTTTTCAACAAACATTTTCTCTTTCACCCTAACTCCTAAACAGCTTACTGGGGCTTCTGCAAGACAGAAAGATCATAATTCAGAAGGTAACCATCGTTATAGACATAAAGTTTCTGGTCAAAAGGGTTATAGTTAATGCTCTGCACTTTTTCCTGCATCTTATGCATTACAATGTCTAGTTTGCCCTCTTTCCCTGTGTTTGTGTCATAATAGTAAAAAATCTCTTCTGTTCTGGTGTTCATAGTACGGGTGGCATACAGAACCCCACATACCATGAAGGCGTTAGAAGCAGATGGTTTATACTGCTTGGTATACCAAGTGTTTAGCACCTGAAGTGTGGTGTCATTGAGTTTACTAATCACCATGTTACCAGTGCTGGCTTCAGTTGAATAAATAACCCACAATCCATTCTCATCCACAGCAAAGTCAATATCTTGCCAAGCAACATTAGCATATGAAAAGCGGTTATTATAGGCAGCATTAGGGAGAGTTTGAGTCACAGCAATCGTGTTGGTGGTCAGGTTAACTCTGGCAATATTCCCGGTGTTGTACATGTTGACGTACATGTTGTTGTTGTAAACTGCTGTACCACTACCTTGGCCATAGGTGATCCGCAACTCTCGAGCATTTATATACAATAGCAAATCATCCAGTGTGTTGTACAGTCTATAATACTCCAACAGTCTCCCATCTGTATTCAATGGCGCCACCCAATACAGTCCTTTGTTTGGATGCTGGGGAGAGTAATCCCTACCCCAAGCACCATATAGATAAGAAAACCCTCTCCAGTTGAGCTGAACCACAGACGGTTTGCTGATGTTCACCACACCACCATGACCACAGCTCCCTATACAAACAAGAAAATAAAAAGGCATTTTTAGAGAAAAGGAATGACAGGATACAAATAGTTTAATATCCTAAGCACCAAAGGAATCTATAAATATTTTTCCTGTCAAGGTTCAATAACAACAGTGGTTCTGATGGAGAAGAGCCAAACCTCCTCTTAGTTCAGTGCATTCAGTCTCAATGCAAACCCAATGTCAGCTCTACAGAGAACTACATTCTGTTTCCATGGGTGGGCTTTCAATCTGGAAAATAGGAATAATGAAACCAGCAAGAACTATATTTAAAAAGTTTGGAGGCCCAGAGAGAGGAAAGGGAGACTTGGTGAATTTAATATATTTCCTTCTATCAGAAAGCATTTTGCAAATATTATCTTATTTTGTTTTTCTTATAGCAAAATCAAGGAAGCAAGATTATTCCACAATCCTACCCTATTTCTATAAATCCACAAGATTTATAGAAATCTATCCCAGAAAGAATAGTGATGAGGGAGAAGATTTTCCCAGGCAAGGCTTCATGCCCTTCCTCACTCTCCCCTTCCTTGGGACCCCCAATTGCACATCCACGCCAGGTACCAATCCTGCTTTAAGCTATTCTCAGAAGAGGATGTTTTAAATATAGCATTTTATAGATCCAGAAAGATGGTCCTATAATGGTGGGATTTCACCCTTGAGAAGCCATAAAGTTATTTTGGGGCAACATTGCCTGCTCCGTACCCAATGCACAGCCCATCAATAAATCACTTGCTGACCGTCCTGCTGCAGAGTTACATGGTGAGTCCTGCTGTTCATAACCCATATGCTATTGTGCCATAGAATGACATGCAAGTATTTCATCTTTCCATCCAGACACTGTCATTGTCACAATGTGTACAATCAAGTGGGACAAGATTCACTGGTCCACTGAATCTACATTCCCTGTAACACTTGGGTAAATAACTCAGTCTGGGCGATCAACCCTTCACATTGTACTCCCGCTGAAATGCCTGCCATCCCAGGAGTTTATGAGCTATAAAAATAAAATAAAGTTCCTCCAGTATTTTTATAATAACTATCCAAAGAGTTGAACACACATTTTCTGGGATCTTAACACTCAAAAAAACTCATGAGATGGTTTATTGGATAACAAAGAAAACCCAACTTCAAGTATATTTGAGGTCATTTTCCCTCGTCCTGCTGCTCAGAGCAGAGCAGGTGAGACAGGAAAGGAGCAGAACCTGAATTGTTGGATTTGGCCTGAAATACTTGCAGGGACTCAGAGAGCCATTGAGGAACATGAGGTGAGCTGGAGCCAAAAGCAGAGCTCCAAAGAATTGCCTGAGATTAGCATGGAGGCGGGGAAGGGGGAGCAAAGCCTTTGTCTCTGGGTCTCTGCTGTGTCCAATATGGAAAGACCCATTCCTTTCCTTGCTAAATGCTTTCCCTCCCCATCCTCCTCACCCAAGGACTGCTCAAAGGTGAAACCATTACTAGAAATTCTGTTTTTATTTTTCCAATCGGCTGGGGCTTTTTGGTCCCAGAATTAAATATATGCTCCTTAAATGCTCTCATAAATCCACAGTTGGTGAGAAAGCCAGCCAACCATACAACAGGTAGAGAAATGAAACCACTCTGTATCCAACCTCAAATAATTTTGCATATCATTAAGCAGAACACAGTCACAGGTTTATTTTAATAATGCATGTGCCATTTCATAAATAAAAAAGCAACGTGTTTTCAGCCAAGAGACTATTCTCCACTGAAGAAATAATAAATAAAATTATAAATTATTATTTCTTCTACTAAAAGTGATCTCTCAGATGAATGCTTGTTTGCTTTTGTTTATGAAACAATGCATGAATTATTAAAATAAAGTTAGCGGTGTGTTCAGTTTAATGATAACAAAAACTGTTCAAGTTTCCATATGCTACAAACTGGATTTTCTAGCTAAAGTATCTTCCTGAGAACTTATTTATTTAACTACATTTCACTCTGAGGAAAGTCACTTTTTTTTCTTTCAGGTTGGAAGACAATAATTGTTTGCTTCATTGAGTCTTGCCTTCCTGAAAAGAAAATATCCCAAACCGACAGCAACAAAATATTTAAGGAAAATTGATGATGCATATAACTTATTCAAGCACTACCAAGAGGTTAAACTATTCTGTCCCCAGATGTGGAAATTTTTAGACATGAAGGAACCAAAATAAACTTCTCAAAAAATTACTATTACTACTGCTATTATCATAAAACTAATTGCATTATTATTAGTATAATAGTATTAGTACTATTACTATTGTTACTACTACTAATAGTAATAGTGGCTCATCATTTCATAAGTTGACCAGAAAATTCAAATTGCCCAGTGTAAATATTAAAATGTATGAAACTTTGTTTTTCTCACCTCCCAAACATTCCTAAACACTTTCCTGTTCATTTGTTATCCTCCTTTTATCCTCTATGGGTAAGGATAAAGGGCTATTTTTAGGGCCCCGGCTGTGGTAGAAAGGAAGTGGAAATGGGGATGAGAACTCAACATTGCTGCCAATGCTACAAATGTGGCCACAACAATGTCAGACCAGGAAAAATGCTATGGCGGGCTTCCTCGACTCCTGGCAGCAAACCATCTTGGACACGATACTGAAACTGACAGCCAGTCCAGTGCCCACTGTTCCTCAGAGTCCCCATCCCCCCATCCCATCTTCACTGAGCTTCTCACCACCCTCCCTTATCTCATGCTCCTTGCCAGCCCCTTCCTTCATGTCAAGGTCTTAGACATACTTCATTCCATACTTCATACCCAGTTTCCATCCCAATTTCACCCTGACACTTGGGCAACAGCCCATTGCCCAATCATGATCCAAGAATTCTGAAAGACCATTGAATCATTTTGCATTTTCTGGTGGAAGAGAACACACAGCACAGAACTGTCAGGAGCAACAGTACCCTTTTACCTACTCCACTACCAAGGAAGCAAAAATAATTTGGTGTTAAGCAGATAGGTGAGTTGTTGGAATTTTCTTTTCACTCCAGAAATCACAGGTGCACCTCTCTGTTAGAGCAGCTATGGAAGGCAGCCTAGTATGGAAAATACTACTAGACAGATTCTAATTCAAAGCCTGATTCCAACAGTAGTTGTGTATCCTTGAGCAAGTTACTTAACCTTCTGAGCCTCAGTTTCCTCATGTCAGAAGAAAAATAATACCAACTCTGCAAAATAGTTACGAAAAATACAGAGAAGACATGTAAATGTTACTCAGTAAATGGTAAATATCTCAATATAATCACATCATGTTACAACTGGAGGTTTAGATGTCTCATTTCCTAGATAGTGGCTTCTGGAGGTTTCTTTACTCATGCTGGTAACCCCAGTACCCAGAACAGGGCCAGCCACACAGTGGCACCAAATTATGTTTGTGGAATAAAGGAATGAAAGATTAATCAAGTCACCTAAACTCAGCTTACCCTTATTTATAAAACACTAGCCTTCTACCCTGCTACATATCTGGTTTTTCAAAAAGCCTGGCATTTACTCCATGGAACATAATTTGAGGAACCCTCTATAGAAGTTTAGCCTTGGTTGGCACTCTCTTCATCATGCAATTCATTAGATGGCACCATGGTACTCTGAAAATACCTGAGGAAGCCATAATCATGAGAATTTAAAATATTCTGACTTGGCTTTTTAAAAGTATCATGGTTAGTAGCATTTTTTTGAAGCCAATAATTATATGCCTACAGAGGAAAATTAGTCTTGGATCTATTAATGCACTCTCTCAACTGGGCAACTGAACTTTGTTTGAGCCAGGAGGAGAATATGATTGACTTATAAGAATTAGGCAATTAAAACAATCATAGTCATAAAATGATTAAGACTAAATTGACTCTGAAGTGTTGGATATATGCTGTTCAACATGTGGCTCTTCCCTAAGCTTGAGATTTTAGCAGGTCACCCCATTTCTTTCAGACCCCATTTAATCATCAGCTACTTACTGAGCATCACTATGGACCAGCACAGAACCTTGCATCCCCAAGCAAACTGGAGATCAACCCCTGAGCACCCGATCACATTTGGCCTATATACAGTCATTTAGATTCACAGGCAAAACAGAGACAGACTGAAGTTTTAAGGGAAAAAAGTTAATGAGTAGAAGGCCAATTATTTTAGATTAGAAAGTTCTATGAAATGAGGCAGAAAAAGGACGTTGTTTGTAGCAAAAACCAAATAGGAAGCATATTTTATTGAACCTGGGATACATTCACTTGTTCTAAGTTCAAGCTGACCACTGGGTCAGCAAACTGTAGCTATAAGGGAGGGGGCCCAGAGAGCGCAGAGTTACTTTAGAGCTGAGACTTGCATATAGTCTTTTTTATTCTGTGCAACTCTGCAGTGAAAAAAGCAGACAGGCCAGATTTTAAAGTCCCATAATAGAGAATAACTTTAATTAAAGTCTCCACAGGCTCACAAGTTTGTGGTGCTTGGGGATTTTCCAATTCTGCATTATCAACCAATCCAAACAGAAAGAGAGCAAGTGAAAGAAATTGATTTAAAAACATGACCAAAAGTCAGTTTAATATAAACATCATAAATATAATATGAACAAAGCTGGAAGAGAGCCAAGTGGCTTGGCAGGGATTCAGGTACAGCCAAGGTTGTGGGAAAGTGAGTAAAAATCTGGGTCCAATTTGCTTAAACAACACAGCTGGGCTAGGATGGATCACAGAAGTCTAAGTGTGAGGGCCTAGGGGAAAGTTCTGGGAAAAAAAAAATCCAACAAAAACAACCCAACAGGCTCACTTGTTTTCTTCCCTGGATACTAAGCAATGCATTTTCTCCCCACCGTTGTCCTTGGATTACTGCTGCCTGACACCTTCGGTCCTGAACTGACCAGGGAGCAAAGACCCTTGCCTTGCAGCTTCTGCTCTGTCATTAACTACTTGTGTGGCCTCAGGAAAAGCAGCGTTCTTACCATCCACGTCTTCTCCTCTGAGACAAGACGAGGCTAAGTTAGATGGCCCTGAATATTCCTTCATCTAAAATGTCCTCATTCTAAGGGATGCATAGAAAATTGTGCCAGAAAAATCTATTCCATGAGGAGGATTTGCAAGGGGTGTTGGGGAGCTCGTTCAGGGATTATCAGGAGTTGTCATTGCTTCAGCCTCTGCCTCAGTGAGTCCTCTGTGGTCCACCAGAAACAGCTCTCATTTGCTACATTTTTGCACCACTAATCCCAGACTAAATTTAGCCTTAGTTTATTACAGAGGACAGACCATGTTGTCTGCCCTAAACCTCCTATGCAGGATGCGAAATTTGAACAGTTGTTCAAATTTATGTCACCTCCTTTCTGGAGAAGTTGAAAGGCCATTTCATTCTGGGGCAGGATTCTAACCATTAGATGACACCTGTCATAGTAGGACACACTCCTATTTGCAGAGGGAGGAAAAAAATCCACCTGAAGAAGACCAAGAGGCTTATATCTATGGCTATACCTATTTAATAATTGAAGCCTTAAAAAATCAGTTACAATGACAATAATCCAGAAACACAGTCTAAAAGAAAGCAGGTGTGAGGATTGGAATTCATAAAAATAAAAGGATTGCATGATTTGATGAAAAGATACAGTCCCCACTCAGGCTAAGATGCTCAGGACCTGCAGAGAGAAGGTCCCTGTGTCATTGATATCTCTAAAGGATGGGGCTGAACACTGTGGCTGAGAGGCTTTAGTTTACCTGAAGGAATGCATTGCAGGGCACAGTAATCTGGCACTGCTTTTGTTTTGCTGCAAGGCTTTCGCTTCAATTATCAACATTATTAACAATATCCATTGCCAGCGTGTGAGTGCCGATCATAAGGTTCCGAGCTTCCCAAGCACTGACTCATTAATCCCCACAGCCACCCTGCAAGGCAGGCACTATTATTCTCCCATTTTACAAATGAGGATATTAAGGATCCTTTTTGCTGCAGCCACCTAGCTGAGAAGCTCAGGTCTTTGGAATTCTAAAGCTATGTTCTTGTACCCTACACTCCACTGCCTCTGTTCATGGGTATATTTGCAGAACACCCACCTCTGTGCTGTACTTAACCCCAATGAGAATTCATTAAAGACGAACATGCCACCCCTACTCCAAGAACTCACAATCCATGAGGAATGGCAAGACACACCCACAAGCACATGATATGTGGGGTCATTCCTTTAATCCTCACTGAATCTCAGGACACACAATATAGCAGGTGCTCAGCATGCATTTATAGGAAGAAAAAAGAAAAAATTAAAGAGAAACAGAAGGAGAGAGAGAAGATGGCAGCATCAAAGGCATAAACCCAGCTCATCAGATAAGTGAGCCAATCAGTCCTTAACTCCACAGGAAAGTGGATGCCACACACAGATTCCAGAGGCTTTCCCCTGAGGCCCCTGATAGGGCCTCCATCACCATAGAGATTTTTGTTCCCTGTTAGAAAATGCAAAGAGAATACGTGTAACTCGTGGATTTTGCTTTAAATCAACTCATTGTTTGTGCTCTTCCTCTTTGAAACCCAGAATATGATAGCATGTAGAATACTTGGGAGGAAGGGAATTTTAAAACATGGAAGAGAAAACTGAGAACTGAAAAAAAAAAAAAAAAAACAACCCACCTTCTTCTTTCACCATTGCAATCCCCAATCCCTTCCCCACCCCACTCACAGCTCCTTATGGGGTCTGGCACAAGTGGTTAAAAAAACTGGCATGCTTACCTGGAGTGGGAGGAGGGTGGACGACAGGGGTGTTTTGATCTTTAGAGGCCTCACACTCTTTCAGCTTGGTCTTCAGAGCCACGATTTCTCGGCGAATGGCAAGGACATTGTTTTTGTCTAGTGTCTCAAGCTTCTCTACCAAGAGAGTCATATTTCTTATCTAAGGAAATAAAAATTCAGAGTGACTTTATATTATGGTGCAATTTCTTTCATAAACATTCCAGGGCTGAATTTGTCATTTAGTGAAACATTGCCAGAGAATACACCAGAGATTCTTCTGAATGGTTTCATTTGGAAGAATACATTTTATGGTTTAGCATGAATGCCTGTCAGATCTCAGGCAGATGTGTGTGACAAGAAGAAAATGGCAAAGATTTTAATAGCTTTAATAATAGAGCCCAAGCTCATCCTCAGCATCCACAAATGTCCATTAAAGTTCATTTCTAATAACCTTCCCCTATAAACTTGTGTTTACTCATGTTGTATTATAATTAAGATTCTAATGAATGGTGAGGGCCAGAGAAAGCTTAAATTCTAAAATACGTAACTAGAATTCTCAATTATAGCCCATGTCATGACTGTGCTAGTAAATTTTTGTTGATATAAATTACCCAACCATAACGTTAATGTGATGGTCTTTATCCACAGATCTTAAAAGGCTTTACAGAAATATACAAGAAATTTCTTAAAGGGGGTTTCCAGTTTGCAGAGAAGGATTCCAGGTTATTCAAAAGGAGAAACAAACCTAGCAATTTTACCACAATCAGGTATATTGTGGATTTCTAGTTCCATGAGGATAAATCTAGAGCAGAGAAGACACCTCATATAGCTTGGCCATGAACCGTTGTTCAACTTTATGCCAGCTCCTTTTCAGAGAAGTTGAAAGGGCATTTTATTCTGGGGCAGGATTCTGACCATTAGACAACATCTGCTCCTAAGTCAGCACATTCCCAATGTGCTTAACTTACTATTCAAACACATGCCCTTATCCAAAACAGAACATAGTGATATGCCATGTGGCCATGAGACAGTAGAGAATTAGAAGTTGGAAGAGATAGTTTCACTTCCTGGTACTAGTACTTGCTTACAGTCACTGAAGGGAGTTTATTATTAATTTACCAAGAAGTGAGTTCACTCCTTACCTCCACCTCCAGCTGGTCAACAATTTCTGAGCTTCCACCAAAACTCTCCTTCAGCTGTATGACCAGTTTTTCCATCTCCTTCACTTCTACCTTGATCAGCTCGAAGTCCAGTTCAGTGTAAGAAATGGTATCCTTCTCCATG
Source organism: Homo sapiens (assembly GCF_000001405.40). NCBI lineage: Eukaryota > Metazoa > Chordata > Mammalia > Primates > Hominidae > Homo > Homo sapiens. The sequence goes on along the minus strand of NC_000013.11, from coordinate 53,041,980 downwards.
ATGTCAATTCGGACAGTTAGGTTTAACAGTTTCTTTTCATACACACTAATTAATTGGACATATTCCCTCACCTGAAAGAAAATCAAAAGGTTCAAGCCAATTCCCTGAGTAGTATCACACCATCTTCTTCCACTACCGAGCCCTTGAGTTGAGAACTATTTGATTCTTGCCAATCATTGTGTTTTGTAAATAAATAGATCAAAAATACATTTAACTAGATTTTTAAAATCTATCCATATACAAAGAACTTATTACTCCAATTGAAGGGAGGTAGATTTTATACTTTGCTAGGCTAAACATAATTTTGCTTCAGCATCATCATTTGCAGGTATATTTTAATCTCCATTTTTTAAAAAGGTTTTAGGCTCAGGGGTATATACCCAGGTTTGTTATATAGGTAAACTCATGTCATGGGGGTTTGTTGTAAAGGTTATTTTGTCTCGCAGGTACTAAACCTAGCACCCAATAGATTTTTTTGTTGTTGTTCCTCTCCCTCCTTTCACCCTCCACCCTCAAGTACGCTTCTGTTGTTCTCCTCTTTGTGTCCATGTGTTCTCATCATTTAGCTCTCATTTATATGTGAGAACATGTGGTATTTGGTTTTCTGTTCTTGTGTTAATTTGCTTCGGAGAATGGCTTCCAGCTCTCTATCCATGTTCCTACAAAGAACATGATCTCATTCTTTCTTATGGTTGCAAAGTATTCCATGGTGTATATGGCCCATATTTTCTTTATCCAGTGTACCATTGATGAGCATTTAGGTTGATTTCATGTCTTTGCTATTGTGAATAGTACTGCAATGTACACACACGCCCATGTATCTTTATGGTAGAACAATTTATATTCCTTTGGGCATATACCCAGTAAAGGGATTGCTAGGTTGAATAATAGTTCTTTTTAGTTCTTCGAGTCACCACACTGCTTTCCACAATGGCTGAACTAATTTACACTCCCACCAACAGTGTATAAATGTTCCCTTTCCTCTGCCATCTCACCAGCATCTGTTATTTTTTTACTTTTTAATGATAGCCATTCTGGACTGGTATGAGATGGTATCTTACTATGGCTTTGATTTGCATTTCTCTAATGATCAAGTGATATTGAGCCCTTTTTTCTTAATCTCCATTTTAATGTTTGAAGACATTAACTCCCCAAACTAAACTGGTTTGTATCATAGTCTCTTGCCATCTCTCCTCCCTTCAACACACTTACTCTAATTGTTTCTCAACCTCAGCACTGTTAGCATTTGGGACTGGATTGTCATTTCTTGTGGGGGTTGTGCTGTGAATTACACAATATTAAGCAGCATCCCTGGCTTCTTCATGCCAGTTGCATCCAACCACTCTCCAGTTATGATAACCAAAAATGTCTCTGGGCATTGCTAAATGTTCCCTGGGGACAAAATCGTTGCCACGGCCAACACCACCCTCCTTCCATTTAGAAACATGGCTCTACATCTAAGTATTTTCTGGAGAAGGGAGAAATGCGCTATGCCGAATTCCTTCTTTGATCGCCATATACAATTAGTTTTGATCCCCTCTGCCTTTTACAAAGTGGCATAGAGATCCAACCTACTACACAATATGTGAGTGTGTGTGCCCTGTAGAGTACACATTTCATTAAGTGCACCCACATTTATTCCAAGAACTGATTATTGCAATCAGACCTTTAAATTACAGATTTGTTGCATATATTTGAATGTCTGATCATTAAGTTAAAATACTTCCAAAAATTCCCTTGGCAGTTTAGTGTATAATTGGAATATCCAAGTGGATATTTTAATAAACACAGTTGGTGGTTCTTTCTGTGTCTGATCTCTAAAGAAAATGCCATGGCTTTTTTAAGGACCTGCTCATTAAATAAGTTGCTGGCTTTATATGCTTTTTAAAAATTTGAACTGAAGTGATACTTTTCCCAAAACTACACTAATATCAAGTAGCTGATCCACAGTGCCTGGATGAATTTAGAGCCAGATGTTGGCCTTTAATCCTTCTTATACCAAAAGCAATCCTAACTTCTGTCATTTCAGCCCTTCCACTTAACCCCATTGTGCAAATTAAAGTAGACTCATAGACCACAGACCTGAAGGGCTAGGGCTTCAGGCAAAAAGGATTTTAATGAAAGTCGAAAAAACAGTCCTTGGCACTGCTAGTGTATCTCCTCGGGCAACTGATGCTCACTGCCATTGGATGTACCATAACTCGGAGGATGACAAAGCTGGTGATATTTTGGTGGATAGGGAGGTTAAAACATATATACGGCCACCTCTTAGTATCCATGGTGGATTGGTTTCAGAACCTCCCAAGAATAACAAAATTCAAGGATGCTTAAGACTCTGACAGAAAATGGTACAGTATTTGCCTACAATCTACACACATCCTCCCAAATACTTTAAATCAAGTCTAGATTACTTATAATACCTAAAACAATGTAAATGCTATATAAATCATTGTTGTATTGTTTTTTATTTGTATAGTTCCTGTTGTTACATGGTTATTTTTATTAGTTTTTTTCCGTGAAATTTTTCAATCTGAGTTTGGTTATATCTGCAGATGCGGAACCAAGGCTATGGAGGGCTCACTATATATAAAACCTAACAAGTCCCCCTGAGAAGTGCACTGCAGATATAGGGCTGCCAGGTTCCAGTGTCTACAAAACTCAGGCATAAAACCTTGACTATGATAAAAATAAATAAAGTGCCAATCCATTACAGAAATGGAAGTTTGAGAAATAAATATGCTTGTTGGCATTTGGCCTTGCCAGCTCTTGGAACAAATGAAACACCCTCAGCTTCTCTGGAACATTTTGGTGGCACATCGCAGCTGTTGTTCTACAAAAATGAGTGATTCAACTGTCATCTCTGCTAAATAAAATGTGGTTCTCCTAGATTTTCACAAAAAAAAGCAAGGCATATTCTGGAGTTTGTTACCTATAAAAATGTGTGGTGTGCCTGCCCTGGTGCAGACAAAATGAAGGGTCTGTAAAGATCCATTTGAGGAAAAAACTCAAGGTTCTTCAGCTGACACTTAAAGGATGCTCAGTGGTGTTCAGGAAAATGGCAATCATCCATGGAGTTAGAGAAGACACAAAAGAGCTTGGGGATGGGCCAGAAAGACTTCAGAGTGTGAACTTTACTAATTTAAGTAAATCATTCATATGAACTTTTCACATATATGAATCTGTAGCTTTGGGAATGCGTGGACAATGCTGACCACATGTCAGCTCCTCCTGGGAGGTGCAGTCTTGGGAGAGGCAGCCCAGCCTGCCTGGGAGCCTCCAGTCCCACATCTGGCACTTGGGGCACTTTCTGCATTTTTTTCTTCTTCTGGAAAATACAGTCATTTGCTGCATAACATTTTTGTCTATGACAGACTGCATATATGACAGTGGTCCCATGAGATTATAAATATCATATTTTTACTGTACCTTTTCTATGTTTAGATATATATGCACACACAAAAACTTACCATTGTATTATAATTGCCTACATTATTCAGTACAGTCACAGGCTGTACAGGTTTGTAGCCTGGCAATAGGCTATATCATATAGCCTGAGTGTGTAGTTGGCTACACCCTCTAGGTTTGTGTAAGTATACAATGACGTTCACCAATGTTAAAATCACCTAACGATGCATTTATCAGAACATGTCCCTGTCTTTAGCTGACCTATGGCTGTATTTTGATCTAGAAAAGTGGTTCTAAATGGAGGGAGGGCGGTAGTGGTGGTGATTTTGTCCTGGTTCTCATAACTGGGGGGTGGGCGAGTGCTATTGGCATCTAAAGACCAGGGACGCTGCTAAACATTCTATCAAGAATATGGGTCTAGCCTTGAGGAGACACGTCCTGTGTCAACATCTTTATCTCGAAGCTCCTCATCATGACAAGTCTGAGCACTAGATGGCTCATCTATGTTTTAGTTGAGCCTTTAAGCCACCAGCCTAACATTCACAGCTTCCATTTTATTTTGCTTGTTATGCACATACTATATCATTGATGAGGAATAAAATTTGTGTGAGCGTTGATTTGAGGGTGCCTGTTATTGTTCCTTATAATTAATGTGGTCTTGTAATAAATAAGGGTGTAGTGCTAGCAAGCTAAAGAATTAATCTGGTTCATGTTTCTGCCAGTCTCTCAAAACCTGTGATTATAACTATGGCCAGACTATTTGAAATAAGTACGTTTACTTTGCAACATACTACTATTTTCAATATATGTTTCAAAGTAAACGTAACAGGGTTCATTGAGCCTGGAGTGATTGTAAAGACATATAAAGTACTTTGGAGCTAGACCCAACTAGACTCAAATCTAACTTCAGTACTTAGTGGGCAAATCACTTAATTTCTTTAACCCTTAGTTTCCTGTAAACTGGGGGTAATGATACTGAGCTTACAAGATTATCATAAAGACTAGAGATAATGTACGTTAAGTGCCTAGTTAATGGAGGCCCTATGAATTATAGAAATTAATAGAGAAACAGTAATTTCAGCATTTTCCAATCTGACCTTTTAATTTATTATATTTCACTATACAAATACGGCTCAATCAATGTTATTTCTTTATGGGTTGCCTTAATGTCTCCTAGGCTGCCTCAACCTTCCCGTGCATGAGGATCTACTAGCAAATGTGTCATATTAAATAACTCATGCCAAAGACCATAAGCCTCCAGAGAAAGAGAAAATCCTGAGCTGCCTTTTGTGCCATCCCTTTCCTAAGTATAGTCACAAAAGGACATACCGTAAACAACAGAAAAGTATAAAATGCTTTCAGCATCTTATGCAGAGGCAGCTCCCTGTCTTCTCTGTGTACTGACAGACAATGAATCAATGTAAGGCAGTCAAAAACCTTTTCTACTGGCCTGTCCTAAACGGGCATTCTCCCAGGCCCCCGGATAAATGACAATTTTCAAGGCAACCTAGGGACAGCTGTAATAACTCACTTGGAAATTCGAAAGCCCTCAGCTAAAGGGATAACTTTGGATTTGAAGGCATTACTACTGCATCTCTTCCTGGGCCTACCTTGGAGGATGCTAACAGCATGGCCAAGAGGAAAGAGAGTTGAGATGATTTTGAAGACTCGAATTCTGACCTGGCTTAACCAGCCAAGAGAGGAATGACCTTGGGCAAGTCTCCTTACCTTTATGAACTGCAGTTTTACTGTCTCTAAAATGGGAGAGACAACACCTGGCCTATCTGCCTTAAAGGGTTACTTGAGAGGAGAGAATAGAACTGGAAGCATTTGAAAAAGCACAAACAAACTGCTACTATTATTGTTGTTATTATCACCTGTCACACTAAATCGATTATATAAATCCTAGCTAGCAGATAAACTTTTTTCTTAGGCCACAATCACAGTTTTTTTGGGATCAGAGCAGCCACCGACACATTCAGAACTAAAACTTTCCCACCTATTCTGCACTTCTTCCCTATCTGTCATTAGCAAAGCAGATGTTACCAGCCCCCCGTACAGTATTGGAATTAAATGTCCCATATTCACAAACCTGGCAAGCCACATACTCTCCCTGGAGCACATAAGGTTTCAAACTGCCTTTCACACTGCTGCCAGCAAAGACAACATGTAAATCAGTAGTTTCCACTATTTCAAAGCAAATGACTCTAACTGAAAAGATCTTTACCTAGGATTTTCCTCTACTTGTTATGTTTTTATGCATAACTTCTTATCTGTACTTGATTATGCTGGAATAAGGCTATGAATATTAATGGTTAGAATTTATAATTTAATGCTGTGCCTTTTCCACTGATTAATTCAAGGACATTATATTTCTTAAGCAGCTAGGTTTCTAGAGTAGTCAAACACATTTTCCTGGACACTCATTTAAACTTAGAATATTTATCTACCAATTCAGGCTGAAAGTAGGGTCTCAGCCTCATCATAATTTTTGTTTTAAAGGATAACTATGTTGGATGTTGAGGTGGCAAAGCTCAAATTTCTTAGGAAAACTTATTCTGAATCTTGCAGTAAAGCCAGAGCTCCTTGTAAATTAATGGAGTTGTATTAAATAATGCATAATGTGATTATAGACTAGCTTGGACTTCACCTGTGCAGAAAATAGGAACTTTTCTAATTGATTTTTAACTTGGGCTGAAAAGGTGGAAGGAGTCAAAACTAGAACACCAAGTCACATTGCTCCAGCCAGCCCAGAGAAAGGCAAACCCTTTAAGATAACTTCCTCTGGCTAAAGAAAAAAACAGTAATCAGAGTTCAAGTCAGTGTTTTTACCAAGGCTGAGAAACCTATTAGTCTTGATTCAAATTCCCAGGGAAGCCTTCAATTTTTGTCTAATATTGGACACATCAAATGTAATGTTCCTGCTGAGACAATAGAAGATAACCATCAAGAAAGAGATGGAGGGTGAGGATGGAAGTGGGGATAGTTAAAGGGTAAAAAATAAAAGTAGTTAGAAAGAATAAATAAGACCTAGTATTCAACAGCACAACAGGGTGACTATAGTCCATAATAATTTCATTGTACATTTTAAAATAAGTAAAAGAGTCTAATTGGATGGTTTGTAACACAAAAGATAAATGCTTGAGGGGATGGACACTCCATTTTCCATGATGTGATTATTACGCATTGCATGCCTGTCTCAGGGTATCTCATGTACCCCATTAATACATACACCTACTATACACCAAAAAAAAATAAGATTAAAAATAAAGAGACTACAACCTTGGATTTCACTTGGAGAAAATAGAAAAAAATAAAAGAGACTACAACTTATTGTCACAAAAAAAGAGAGTGAGGGGGAGAGAGAAGGAAGTGAGCAATTTGTAAAGATAAAAAAGGGTTAAAGGAAAGAGAGAGGGAGGGAGGAGGATGAGAGGGAGAGGATTTGAAGGAGTGGAAGTGGAGGAAGGGAAAAGAAGGAGGGAAAAAAAGATCATCTAAAAGTAAGAAAATACCCAAAAATGTCCCCCCCAAAAAAGAATTAACCAGGAAAGGAAAAGAGAGATTAGAAGGGATGAATAAGGGCAAGGATTGAGGCAAGAGAAATAAGAAACTAAAGGATGCAGGAATGGAATAGAAATAGAAGAAAAGGAAAAAGAGAAGGGAGATAGAATAGAACTAAAGGGGATAGAGGAGAAGAAAGAAAAGAAAGCAAAGCTTGAGGAAAGACCTAGAAGACCAAAAGGAAGAAGCAGCGTCAAAACAAAATAAAAATTGCAGGTTGGGGTTTGCAAGGAGAGCTCAAGGCTTCTTTCCAACTGCCTAAGTACCACAATACTATAGTGAGTTTATCCACGGCGTGAACAATTTGAACCCCACTTTCTTCCTGTGCTCTCATTTTCCCTGCCTTAATAAGAACTCCATTGGTGTCCTATAAAATAAATACTAAAATCACCATAGAATAAAAACGTGATGTCTTTGATAGTGAAGAATGATTGCTTATAAAATCCTAAATTAAAACACATTTTGTTTTGTTTCTCTTTATCAAGATATTGTTTGAAAAGAAAATGCTTACTTTGGAAAGTTCTTTCTCAAACTTCTGAGAAAGAACATGAGCTGTGAATTCCAAGCGTTCCACTCTGTCCACGGGAAAGGTGGTGTCTGGCAGGGAAACAGAGCACTGGCAGGTCCCACGGTCATCCACGGAGCCGGTGAAATTGGAAAACAACTGCAAATAATAACAAGTTGAACATCAATAACAAGCTGGAATCTGAGCTTTTGGCAACTGGAGTGACAGAAATTGGCTTGTCGAGAGTACTTACAGGCAAGTAAGTGGAGTCCAATACATAAATGAATAGAATCATAGAAACAAGCTAAAACAGCTTTGTTTTCACAGGTGGGGACCACCCAGCGTTTAGCCACATCGCCACTGGTTGTACGAAAACCACTACGCCAGCAGACTTTACCTAAAGGAAGATTCCCCATTCTCGAGGCTTTTTTTTTTTTTTTTTTTTTTTTTGAGACGGAGTCTCACTCTGTCGCCCAGGCTGGAGTGCAGTGGCGCGATCTCGGCTCACTGCAAGCTCCGGCTCCCGGGTTTACTCTATGCTCCTGCCTCAGCCTCCCAAGTAGCTGGGACTACAGCCCGCCACCACGCCTGGCTAATTTTTTGTATTTTCAGTAGAGACGGAGTTTCACCGTGTTAGCCAGGGTGGTCTCGATCTCCTGACCTCGTGATCCACCCACCTCGGCCTCCCAAAGTGCTGGGATTACAGGCGTGAGCCACCGCGCCCGGCCATTCTGGAGTCTTAAAGGAGATTATTCCTATCTCTATGCAAGGAAAGGGAAATAAAGAAGCTATGAGAGTGCTAAGTTTGAATTTCAATTCTAGCACTTGCTAGATGTGAAATCTCCTTAATTCTTAGTTCCTTCATCTGTAAAATAGAGATAACCTACTTCACAGGGTTGTCCTCAGTATTAACGAAGTAATGTGAGCCAAGTCCCTGGCACAGAGTAGGTGATCTGAAAATGTCACATTCTCTTTCCTTCTACTGCTCATTTTCTCTTCCTCACCTTCACCCCAACCCAATCCAATTCCTTTTCATCAGAATGAGGGAATCACCAAAGATGTGGGCTACAGTGAAAATATATGATGCAAATTCATATCCTCTCATCGCCTGGGAAATTGCAAATTAACATCCTTCAAAATGGGAACCAGCCATTTGTTAGAAAGTGAATAGCGTATGAGCTTGAAGGTTTTGTGCAATTTTTTTTAATAAAAGTTTTTTTCCAGCTTACCATTTGCAGAAAAAGTCATTTTAAAATATTTTATGTTCATTTAAGATATTCAGACTCACACTTCAGTGCCACCGCATATTTTTAAATGACACTTTTGAAAGATCCTGTTTTTCTTTTGTCCCCTTTGAACTTCCCCAAGAGGATCCCAGCACAATTAACATTTTTTTATTACTACTATTGCCTTACAGAGTAACCCTTGGCAGCCAATTTGCTGTGCCTTTTAATGATCTCATCTGAAAGCCAACCCAAAGCTCACCTGTGGAACATCAGCCTGAAGGGACTTTTTATGAAACCTCTAAGGAGACAGCAATGGTCTTCAGAGCCAGAAGTGACTCTGGCCATGTCTCTCAAAGTTCAGGTCAGCCAGCTGCAGGTGGTGTAATGGGTCCTGTGCATTTAATGGCCACCAACCTCCATAATGCCTGATCAAGCTGGGTCTAGATGCTTCTATAATGAAGACTTATTTTATCACTGGCCTCGGGGCCAATCAAGGCTTTTGCATCTAAGTTGTTTTTAATTTAATTTAAGTTTCAAGATGAGCAGAAAAAAAAAATATGTGTGTGTATCCAATCATATTTTTTATGTGTTTAGTCAAAATTTATTACCTTGGTCTCAATTTTCTTTTCCAATCACATCCCTACGTGGGAAACAGTTCAGGAGTAGGGAGGAGAAACAAGCAGATTTATGTCGAACATAGGGGTGGACAGCAGGGTTTGAATAGGGGAAGGGTCTTTGCCAGAGATGAATAAAGACTCGGTAAGATACACCAGGAACCTATCAGAGAGGCCAGCTTCCCTTGAAACCAGCTTTACTCATTTCTCCAAAGATAGAAAGACTCCAACTCAAGCATGCCAAGGCTTTTACAGAAAAGACCGACATATCAAGGACTTTTGAAGAAATAGCTTATTATAATAACAGTCTAGCAAAAAAAAAATCTTGCATTGCATTTTAACAAGGGGAGTTTAATTAGCTGCACAAACAGGGTTGGGCCATTCTCAGAGTTCTCTGAAAAATTCTGCCAACTCAGAAAACAGTGGATATCATCAAGCAATCTCTAGACAGTCAATTAGGAACCACTAGCTAACAACTTTTAGTCCTGAAGTTCACTTGAAAGACAGACAAGTAATTATGAGCCCTGCTGTCAGCCATTCCATCGGTTTCTATTGAACATCTCTGTCCCAAAGCTGTGGACTCCCCCAGCTTCCATCCTGCTTATCATCAGCCCAGCATGCTCAGCTGACATCAAAATGGTCCATAAGTTTGATCAGTGTCTCCCATTAGAGATATTTCTGCTCCTCGCATTCAAAGACAATGAAGCTAATGGTGATGAGTCTCTCTCTGCGGTGAATGCCCAAACTCTACATGAATGAAGCATGGGGGATGGGAGACAAAGACAAGAGCTTGTCCCCTTGGCCTTTGGAAGAATATGCGATTCCCCTTCTGTAGGGCAAATAGGACCCTGAGTACCTCACAAGACACCTTATATTGGTAGGTTTTCCCTAAGCACGTGTTCAATTAACATTTACTGATGTCTACACTATGCCAGGTTCTGGCTTTAGGGAGATGATTAAGACTCAATTTCTGCCCAGGAATCAGGCCCACTGTCACTCTGAAAGCCCTACTTGTTTTTTCAAACCAGCCTTGTAGCCTGATGACAAGAAAACACGTGACTCGTTGCAGTTCCAACTATACCAGTTACTCTGTGGAGTGAGCATTGAGGCTTTTCCTAGTCTTGTGAATTGAGGACCCTGCAGAGGCCCCTCCTCAGGAGGGAGACGTCTGAGGCAGAGAGTACTCTGAGTGCTTACAGCAGAAGGTGCAACTCACATTTAAGGTGATTTAATGTTGCAACTGGCTCTAATTAGTAGCCAAGGCTAAGTGTCAGCAAAGATTCAAGGTATAAAATAATGGTACTCAACATTTTCAAAGTACAGAAAATGATATGTTTGGAACTTACTCAATGACAGTTATAAAAGGGTTTTCTACCACCTTCCAAAGAGCTCATCAAGCTGACAGCCAGCCCCAGAAAATTAGGTTGATAGTGAAATTGACTCCTAGTCCAGTATAAAAAAAAAGTTGGAGTTGTGATACTGACTCACCAGGGAGAGATAAGTAAAAAGGAAAATTAAAACCTCTAAGTCCAATTTAACTACCATGTCTCATCTACTTTTAAATATCTGTCTTTTTACCAGACAATAGGCATTCTGGATTTCTCTGTTTCTTGATCTGTATTTTATTTTCTATTATTATAGTTGATAATCTTACCCAAATGCTGGTTTCTGACTGGTGATGGAGCTTCATAATAAATTATTATTGTTAACCTCAGTCCAAAAAAGAGTGCTAGACAATTCTGATCATCCCCAGAAATCATTGAGTATCACAGAATAAACTTATGTAACTGATTTCTGACTGCAAAGAATCCTTGTGCCTACTTATGATTCCCAAGCCTCCCTCCTCTAACTAAAAAATAAGCAATTTTCATCTATACTCCTTGGAAATATAGAAACCTATATGTACAGACATGGTGAAGAGAATGGACAGACTAATTTTGAGCTATATAACTTGCTAGCTTAGTGACTTAAAACTAATGACTTCACCTTGATAAGCCTTAGTTTTCACATCTCTAAAATGGGACCATTAATTGTACCTACCTCTTAGGGTTAAATAAGATAATACAGGCCAGGTGCGGTGGCTCATGCCTGTAATCCCAGCACTTTGGGAGGCTGAGGCAGGCAGATCATGAGGTCAGGAGTTCGAGACCAGCCTGACCAACATGGTGAAACTCCATCTCTACTAAAAATACAAAAATTAGCCAGGCGTGGTGGCGGGTGCCTGTAATCCCAGCTACTCAGGAGGCTGAGGTGGGACAATCGCTTGAACCTGGTAGGCGGAGGTTGCAGTGAGCCGAGATCGTGCCACTGCACTCCAGCCTGGGTGACAGAATGAGACTCTGTCTCAAAAAACAAACAAACAACAACAACAACAAAAAGATATATATTATGTACTTAACCTAGTCCTGGCATTTATTAGACACACAGTAAATGTTATTGCTGCTGTTTCTATCTAGGCCCTATCCAAATCATTTGTTAATTATCACATTTTTATTATCTGTAATTTCTGATGGTCAAAATAAAACAAATAAAAGTCTTTTCCTCCCCCTTCTCCCATTTGCCCTTCCATTCAAGCATGATAATGTAAGCAGCTACCTGACCTGTGAGGAAAGATCCTAGAGGCTTAGAGAGAGAAGCTTTGGCCCAGATAAGACTCCCCCACCCCAAGTTATACCTTAGCAAAAATAGCCTAGGAGGTTTGCAGAGTGGGGTTCCCGCAGAAAGGCCCAGAGTGAAATGAATAACTGCTTCTTACCTCCTAACCTCTCATGCCCTCCAGCCCATTCTCCTTTCTTTAAAGGAGATCCAAAGAGGACTCATCCCCCACGGAACTGGCTTACTATGCCTTCAATGCACTTAGCCTAGCTGTACCAGCCTCGTTGTAATGCATGACTTTTGGTTTTGTTTGTTTGTTGCTACTGTTGTTTGGAGCTGGAAATGGTCCTGAAGATTCCCTGTAAAGAAGACTGCAAAGAGTGAACACTCCCCTAGGCGAATGTCCACTGGTAATAACACTTTGCTAAAGACCAGTAACTCCCCCCTTATTTCTGACACCCACCTCCTTTATAAACCAGGCCAAGAGAAATGGTCAGGGCTTCAACTAGGGCACTGCGGCTCTCACTCCCTCGAGGGCTACTGTTCACCATTCCGGGATCCTGCCAGGCAGCAAAACAACTGGACAAACTTCCCAGAGCTGCAACTCACAGAGTCTTTCCCTAACAGTTCCCATCTTGGACTATATATTAGAATCACCTGGGGAGAGGTTTTTTAAAATATTTGATTTGTATACATCTATGTAGGATTTTTTTAAGTACAGAACCCAGGCATCTGTACTTTTAGAGTCCCCCCGGCCACCCATTCTAATGTGCAGCCAGATTTGAGAATTCCTCTAAAGCATAGATATTCCCAAAAGTCCCAGCTGGAGAACTGCGATATCGTCTCTCTTGCTAACAATTTAATTATTTTACTGAGGCTTTAATTCATTTCCGGGGCACCTATAGTTAACAAAATGAGTCGTAAATCTTTTAGAGTGCCCAGGTCTAGCCATCCATGAAATTGTATTCAGGTACCCAAAAGCAAATGGAAGGGAATGAATGCAGCTCATTCAGATTCTGGGGCCTCCTCACCTGGGACACAGAACCTCCGCTGCCTAAGCTGCGGCTGGAGCTGGAGCCCGACCTGGAGCTGGAGCTGAAGCTGGAGCTGGAGTCAACACCTGGGAAAGAGCTGAAGCCGGGGCTGGGAATTGGAGGTCCCACATCCCCCAAATCCCCTGCAGCTTGGCCAAGGAAGAACAGAAGGGCTAGGAGAAATGAGAGGCCGGGCCTCATCTTGTCCTCTTAGCTGGAGCCGCTGGCTCTGCAGAGAGCCCAGGGGCTTCTTATAGTGCCCAGTGGTGATTTCCCCATGGCCAGCATGTAGGAAAAGAGGGAGTGGCCAGGGAACGTGTGAACTGCCCCAGGAGGTTCAGGACACCCAGGAATCTGAGTCATGGCCCACACCTTGTCAGTGAGGCCCACTCTGTGAGCTGCCCTTGGATCCAGATATCCCCTGCCAAACATTAACTCAAATGTGCTTTGTAAAGCCCAATATTTGGTTTCCCACTTGGTACTTCCTTGAAAGAGATGAGACCAAAGTAGTCTTTGTGGATGACACAGAGTTTGGAGGCTCCATGGAGGAAAAGCAACCCTCAGTCCTTTGCCTCACAGCACTTCTAGTGCTCTCCCCCATTTTACTGAATACTACTTTTCACAGACAGTTAGGGAACTTGCCTTAGGGACTGTGGCTCTCCTCCAGGAGCGACTGAGCTTCCCTCTTCAGTTCCTATTGCCCAAGTTGTCGTTGACCTGTTCCTTACAGTGACTGTTTCTAGACAAAGTTGTCTAACAACCCCACTCTGAAGGAAAGACCAGCAACGTTTTGTTCCCTGGCCAACCAGGTAGGACTCTGCCCTATCAAGTACTCACCACTGTATGCTTCATATAGGGAAGAGAAAACACCCAAATAAACAAAGGGATCCCGATGACCCAGTGCCCGCTCTCCCAGGCCAGGGCACTGCCTCAAACCCAGTCAAGGAGGACCCCAGGAGCAGTTTCTCTCTCCAGAAAACTTTGACCTCTATTGCCCCTGAGCTTCTTGTGAGCCAGCCAGGCATTCAAGATCTCAAGCTTATTCTTCATAAAACTGAGAAATAAGATGCATTTTCTCTTGCTCAGCAGCTCTGACCCTGGGCTCCAGGATCCATTTGCCCTGCTCAACATTTCACACACCTTTGTGACCTCTGCCTTCTTCCCTGGAGAAAGAAAAAGGTGTTAGTCTCGGTATTAAGACCCAGCTCTGGGCCGGGGATGCTGGCTCGCACCTGTAATCCCAGCACTTTGGGAGGCCAAGGTGGGAGGATGGCTTGAGCTCAAGAGTTGGAGACCATCCTGGGCAATGTGGTGAGACCCTGTCTCTACAAAAAATGAAAAAAATAGCCAAGTGTGGCGGTATGCACCTGTGGTCCCAGCTACTTGGGAAGCTGAGGTGGGAGGATCACCTGAGCCTGGGAGGTTGCGGCTGTAGTGAGCCATGTTCACACCACTGCACTGCAGCATGGGTGACAGAGTAAGGCTGTCTCAAAAGAACAAAAACAAACAAAAAAGCTGTGTCACAATGAGTCGGTGGCCTTGAGCATGTCACTTAGCCCCTCTAGGGTTGTAACAATTCCTAAATTGTTTGAATTAAATGAAATATTGTATGGGAAGTTGCTTATGACTTTTGACGTGCCATAAAAATGTCAGCTTTTTCATTGTTTGTTTAATTTCCTAAAGACTAGATCAATATGTAAGATTGCTGGGTTCAAAACAAGGAGAGAAGGTTCATGCCCCACTCCACCCCACCCCAGAAGCTCCACACAAACTCTCAGAATAAGCACAGTGCTAATGTGAGAAACAGGGTCTTAAACCCCTGGTACACTATTCAGAAACTGGGGTGGTGGGGAGGGGGAAGGGGAGACAGGAAAACCACAAATGGATGGATAGAGAGTGAAGAAGAACAGATAGGGAGAAATGTGGGCTGTAAAGTTCATTGTTCTCTGTGGGAAGCAGTTCAGCCTTGGCCTCTTTGGTCAAATGTTCTAACCACTTAGATCCCCAGTCCAAGGCAGGGAATGCATACAGAATGTGTGAGAATGAAAACTGGGAGACTGAATCCATTATTCTAAGATTGAATGCAATGAATATGGACATAAGGAGAAGAATGTGTCTCTACCTCCCAGCACAATTCCCCTCTTCCTCCCGATTCCCACCAAAACAAATGGCAAATCTGTTCTCATTTGCTAGTAGCCTCTGCATGTGGCTGTAATGAGCCTTCCTTGTACCTTTTTTCAAGGAGCATGTTGGTGCCCTGTCAGAAAGAAAATCTCATTAACAGTGGTATAGCCTGTAGTCATGACTACCTTTAAGGTCTCCTATGGCCAATTCATTAGAAGACCCCTTACCAGAGGGGTGGCAATACTGCAGAAATGGGACAGCAGTTCTCCCAAGCACAAATGTGCCTTAGCCAGGGAAGAACCACCACCCACTGTGCTCATAAGCTTCTTTGTTCTTGTATGGCTCCAGAGTTTCCAGAATAAAACTTTAATCTATTTGGTAGCCCTCAAATGCACAAAAGCATTGGTGATGCCTCCGTAATGAGATTATTAATAATAATGAGATTATTAATAAAAATAGTTTGATCAGTTTCCCTGCAAATACCTTTGTCCTAAGAAACAAGCAGCCTCCTGGTTGTATGACAGACTCAAAGACAGGAACAAAATTATCAGAGCTGCAAAGCAAAGTGTATTATTTGTAAAAATGTGTTCTACCCTGGGCTCCTTCTAGAGTAAGGGGTCACCGAAATTCACATGAGTAATACAGCAATCTTCACTGACAGTTTGAAAGAAAGTTACTATTTATGCACTTCATTAGGGGACCTCCCCAAACCGTACTTCTTGAACAGTTGCAACACACAAGGAAGACATCCGTGTAGACATAACTTTAATTTAATCCTCCTGTCATTAAAAATCAAACATACTGCTGCATTTTTGCAGGAGGGTATCTATGGGGTATCTGGTGTATATGAGGAAAACAGAGGCTGTGTTTGGTCTACAGATTGGTAATAGAGGCTTTTCATATCAGTTGACTACATCGTCAACAACCCTCAAATTTCTATTAGCAATATCAACAATCGTGTATATAAGTAATAATCAGCTGACCCCATTTATTTACCCTGGAAAGTGGTCCCTCAGTTAACAGTGTGTGTTAGAGCCTACTCTGTGCAGAACATCAGGCCCTATGATGATAAGGAAAGAAGAATGCATAATTTTTTCTAATGAAAATGCCTAGTCACTTACGGAAGGCAGGCCACTTCAGGGAATATACTAGGAATAAACACAAATTGAACACAAAACCAGTTAAATGAATACTGAGAAATGACTGGATAGACTCCAGAGACCCAAGATGGGTTGAAGTGTGAAGAATTTGCCAGGTGCTGAGCTTCTTAGGGATGGAGACCATGGCTTCATTGGTTTTCAATCTCCAGCACCTAGCCCAGTGCTTGGCATTTGGTGTCTAATAAACGTTTGTACACTGAGGAATATATTTAATAAATGAATGCATGCATGCATGAATGAGTGGATTGATTTAATAAGAATTGTGAAGGAAATTCTTAAATAACTATTGGAGAAAATACTTATTTTTTTAAAAATTAGTGTTGAAGAAAAGGGAGTGATTTCCAAGCAAGAGAAATTGTACAAGTTAAAGAACATAGGCAACTCAAATTCTCTCCAGGGTCATGATTATGCCCTTGTACCTACAATCTCATGTAGCCCACTCTAGCAACTCATACTTGGATTCGAGTTCTTAAGGTTATTCCTCAGCCTGACCTGAACACCAAATCAACATTCTCACTCCCTAAGCCTATCCTATATCAAGAACTACCTAAATTTTGCCATGTTATTGTGGTTTAGAAGATCAAAACCCCCAATTACAGAATTTTCAGCCAAATACTTATGTTTTCAATCTGCAGCAAAATCATTCCTGTTGACAAAATGCAGAACCAAACTAGTAAAAATGGCAACTAATGGAAAACAGGGCAAACTTCTACGCAAATGCAGAAAGGCAACAACTGAAGTGTTGAAAGGTAGCATGTACTAATTTGGGGGGAAAAAGAGAAGCTTTACACCCTCCACAGAGAAAGTTTGGACTAATGAGCCATAACAGTGCCCAGAAGCCTTTCCCCACCACCATCACAAGGGGTGAATGGACTCAGGAGACACCAAACTTCAGGTTTATCTCTGGACCCTACTAGATGGAATCTGCCCAGAGACCTAGAACCAGACTGCCCTCTAAATTCCTCTTGCCATCTCCCGACTAAGCATTGAAGCACACCTTCACTTCACCTCAACATCAGTACCTGGGTTTTTCATATCCCATACCTCTTGGATATTGTAAATCACCCACGGGTTCCTCCAAGGCCAGGTCAGTTGGTTTCTGCAGCTAGAGGCAAAGAGCGTACTTGCCTTGCTCATCTGTCCCAATACAGAAGCCTTTGCCTGCCTCCCATCCAAACCACCTGAGCTACAGCACCTGGGTTCTGAGTGACAACTGTTGTCTCCATAGTTAGTTGCACATGTCTAACCTCCTACACCTCTAACTGTGAGAAAGAGGCAAACTCTTCCTGCACCTATGGGACACTGTCACCCGGAAATTTTAAGTACGACCACTGCAGCGATTTGAAGCATTTTCAAATTTAGTCATACCTTCTATTTTTCTGTTGCTGTTACTTCCCTGCCCGAATATTCTCAGTCTCTGTGTTATGGACTGAATGTTTGTGTCTGCAAAATTCAAGGTTGAAATCTTAAGCCCTAAGTGATGGAATCAGGAGGTAGGGCCTTTGGAAGGTGATTAGCTCATGAGGGTGGAGCCCTTGTAAGGGAATTGGTGCTCTTATGAAAAGAATCCCAGGCAGCTTTTTTTGTCCTCTTTCCTCCATGTGAAGAAAAGCCGATACAGTCTGTAACCTGGAAGAAGCCCCTCACTAGAACTTGGCCATGTCGACATCCTGATCTCAGAATTCCATGTTCCAGAACTATCTGAAATAAAATTGTGTTGTTAATAAACTATGGCATTTTGTGACAGGAGCCCAAACTAAGATACCAGGCAAATGCTAAACCCCAGCTGGGTGTCAGAATTCTGCACTTAATACTTCGGGGCAAGTCAATGGAGTGAGAAGGGCAAAGAGTCCAAAGAGTCCAAATTACTAAGCAAAACTATTAAATCTACCAAATTCCTAGCTGAGTGACTGAGCACAAAAGCACAGCATGACCTGAACTTTACAATATGGCAGCCACTAGCCCTGTATGGCTATTGAACACTTGAAATGCAGCTAGTCCAAATTGAGATGTGTTTTAAGTAGAAAATACACACAGGATTTTTTTAATTTAGTGTAAAAGAAAAGAAGATAACATAACTCATCAATAATTTTTATATTGATCACATGTTGAAATGGTAATAATTTAGATAGAGTTAAAATATTTTATTAAAATTAATTTCACTTGTCTCTTTTTTTTAAATGTGGCTGCTACAGAAAAATTTTAATTCCATTTGTGGCTTCCATTATATTTCTATTGCACAGTGCTACACAGAGCACATAGCACGATTAGCTATGATAGAGAAGCTCCTGGAGGTTGCCAGAACATAGGAAGTTTACCAAATGTCTCTTCCCACTCACAGGAGGTTAGCTAACTAGGTGGGTTGCTGTCATTTCTTCACAAATGTTAAATGTTACAGAAGTTCTCTCCAAGGAGCCTCAAGATGAAATTAGACACATGTTACTCCTTATATTAAAAAGCTTATCATACGAGAGAAATGAAAAATATGTCAGTGCTAATTGGGACAAAGTGAAGGAATTATGTCAAAAATTACCTCTGCAAGAGTAGCCACATGGTACTTTACTTGAGCCCACGTTTTTAAAAAGCAAGAGATTTCACATGAATTTCTATGTTTGAGGTCCCTTTTTTGGAGAAAGAAATATCTCATAATGCCAGGCTTACATTCCCCATGATCTCAGTGAGATAGAGTGACAACAGAGGCCCCTTTGAGTAGCACACACTCTCCAGTTTGCCACAGTCCCCATCATCCACACCTGGTCTCTTTCCTTTAGGTACATGACCTGTCTAGCCTTTATAAGCCCTTAGGTATGCAATTACTGTTTTAAGATTTCAAATTTGAAAAATGAGCTTTCCAGAAGCAAAGAAAATTTAAAGGTAAAAAGAATATAGCAATTTGGATATTGCATTTCCCCCCCTTTCATCAGAAGAACAGCATAATGTTAAAATGTATTACCAAGGATAACATGCCATGTCACTAAACTTGGATTTATGAGTTCTGGAAAACAATCAGAACATAATGAAATGAATTTTGAAACGGCTATTTAAATGGAACAAAATTTAATGAATCATTAAATGAAGCAATGGCCAAACATGCACAGGAAATTTATGCAAATAAATTTCATAAAACTACCAAATAACTCAACCTGATCTATGATCATTTAAACACAATTGAAACTGGCTCTTGCTTTGTCCATCCTGGTCCTTCCTTAGTGCTTCTTTCTTCACCCAGCTATGACTTATCGGTATGAGTTGGCCCCTGTGGGGCACAGAGCAAAATAAAAATGTGGGGCCTTTGTTCAAAAATGATTAAGAATGTTAAAACAGTGACAGTGAAGCATTAAACCAAGTGTGAGACCCTTCTAAAGGGTGAGGCCACTCACAGGTGGCACATCCATGAAGCCAGCCCTAACTACAGCAAGGGGGATCTAATCAATTCTGGGGGGCTAAGAAAGTCTTCCAAAAAAGGGGATGAAATTTCAAAATGAGACTTGAAACATGATTTTCTCATCTGTATAATCTAAAACTGGGCTTCGCAGCATCATGGTGGAAGAAGCACCCTTTGAGCTGTCACTTGTGCCTATTAAGCAGCACTTGGCAACCAACTGCTGAAACCTCGAGGATCCTGAAATATTGGCATGAGAGAGCCTGAGGCTTCTCTAATTTAGTCTCATGTTTAAGAATTTTGCACTTCTATTGCTATGAAGTTTCAAACTTCCTGATGACATATAAATCTTGCTATTGTGCTTAGAATTAGAATGACTATTGCTTTGATGTCATTGTGAAAATATTTAATGAAAAGTTTACACAATTATTTTAAAATACACATTTGTAAAACATTAGCCTGAATTTTTTTAGTTTATGGCTTACTTAGAAGCCTCTTTTGGTAACCAAACAGACCTAACACAAGTAGTCTACACCCTGTCTTGACCCAGCGTTCTTACCCCCTCCGCAAGTCAAACACTTTAGTTACACTATACCTGTGCTGGGTTCAGTTTTATTTTGTATGTGTATGTGTACGTCTGTCTGTGTGTGTCTGTGTGTGTGTGTATGTGTGTGTCATGTATGTATGTATGTGTGTGAATATTTGGTTTGGTTTCAGGTCTTGTTGAGCTCTCAATTCCTTCATACAGTGGAGAAAAGAAGAATAATAATGCTTATTTTCTAGGACTGTTCATTTATTTACAAATACTTAATGAGCTTGCCCTGTAGGTAAGGCTGTTCTAGGTGCTGGGGGATATAGCAATGGAAATAAAAACCGTTGCTCTCATGTATCTGACAGTTTAATTGAGACAGATGATTGATGATATAAATTAAGCAAAATACATAGTATGTTAGATGGCATTAAGTACCATGGGGAAAAAATTTAAGTAGGAAAGGGGAATACGGAAATGTAGATAACAGGAGTTGCATGTTTAAGTAGGGTGGTCAGGGAAGTTCTCAGTGAAAAGGAGACATTTGAGTAAAAGATATAAAGGAGAGAGGGGAGAAAGATGTGAGGCTCTCTGAAGAGAAATCATTCCATAGAAAAGCAAATGCAAAGCTGCAAGACAGCCATGTCACCTAGAATTGAATGACAAAGCAAGGAGGCCAGTATGGCTAGTGTGAAGCGAAGTGGAGAAGAATAGTCTGAGGTCAGGGGAGTGCCACATTGCATAGGGCCTCTAAGGTCATTGGAAGGATTTTGGTTTTACTCTGGGTATGTGGCAGCTGGTTGAGTAAAGGAGCAACATGATCCAGTTCTTATTTTAACAGGATCACTCTGAGAGCTCTGTTGAGATCAGAATGTGCTGAGTAAGAGTAAAAATGGGAAACCAGCATGGAGACTTCTGAGATAACCCAGGCAGAAGATGATGGTGGTTCACCCCAGGGTGACAGCAGTAGAAACGATGAGACATCGCCACATTCAGGATGAGACAATGTTAGAGGTGAAAATATTTGCCGTTGGCTGTGAGGAAAGAGAAGACGCAGATACTCTGAAGTCTTTGCTCTTAGCAAGTAGACGGATGAGGTTGGCATTAATTGAAAAGGAGAAGACCACAGAAGGAAGCCCAGGGCATCAGTTTGGGAATGTAAAGCTGGAGTTGTTTTTAGACAACCAAGTAGAGGTAGTATGTAGGTAGTTGGATATATGAAACTGGAATTACAAGGAGAGATCTAGGCTCTTGGAAAATATTTAGGAATTGTTAGCTTATTAATGATATTTAAAACCATGAGACAGTGAAATCACCAATGAAGTGAGTATAGCTAGAGAAGAGAAGACATCTGAGATCTGAGACCTAGGAGGCTCCAGGATTAAAAGTCAGGGAAATAGCCAGGCATGGTGGCTCACACCTATAATCCCAGCATTTCGGGAGCCTGAGGCAGGAGGGTCAGCAGGAGGGTTGCTTGAGCTAAGGAATTCCAGACCAGCCTGGGTTACATAGTGAGAGCCCATCTCTACAAAATATTAAAAAGTAGCCAGGCATGGTAATGTGTCCCTGTATTCCCAACTATTCAGGAGGCTGAGTTGGGAGAATCACTTGAGCCCAGGAGGTAGAGGCTGCAGTGAGCAAGGATCATGCCACTGTACTCCAGCCTGGGTGACAGAGTGAGATTTTGTCACACACACACACACACACACACACACACACACACACACACACAAAAGGTGGGGAGGAACATGGAGCTAACAGCCAAGGAGATGGAGAGGAACTGCCTGTGGGGTCAGAGGAAAGCCAGGCATGCACAACGTCCTTGAAGCCAAATGAAAAAAGAATTTCAAGTAGGAGAGAGCAATCAACTGTGTCAAATGCCTCAATTGGGTCAAATGAGATAAGAAGACTGAGAATGGGACTTAGCAACATTGTGGGTCATGGAAACCTTTCACGAGAGCTGTGTCAACACAGTGGTGGGCCTAGAGGCACAATTTAGGGGGTTTAATGAAGAGCCAGAAGAAAGAAATTAAAGACAGCAAGTGTAAGCATCTCTGA
This sequence comes from Homo sapiens, assembly GCF_000001405.40. Lineage (NCBI taxonomy): Eukaryota > Metazoa > Chordata > Mammalia > Primates > Hominidae > Homo > Homo sapiens. Next base: position 53,019,784 of record NC_000013.11, on the reverse strand, counting down.
GAAGAGTTTTGTTTAAAAGGGGACTGAAGGTACGAACCAAATAAGATACTGTGTGTGAAAGCATTTTGGAAATTATAAAAGTACTCTGTAAATGCTGAGTATAATTGTAAGATCTGAGACCTATCGTATACTAAAAATATGGCTTTCAAAATGTCAACCAGACTCGAGAATTTCTGTGCCCAGTTAGAGCTGTAGCATCTCCAGAAAACTGTGTTCTCACTGTACCCATAGCTGTTCCAAGTAACCACTAAATCCTCAAGAAATCAGAGTTCAAAGACTCTTGACAGTGATAAGCAGTCTACTAAACTCTTCCTTCCAACCTGCCTACACAATAACCCCATAAAGTACAGGATGATGAAAAAGCCAAAGTTCTACACACAAAGGAAAGGTACAATAAGAAAAGGGTTCTTTGTTCTTTTATGGTTGCAGAGCTTTCCTTGAAAAAGTCTCAAGCTAATCAGTATATCTTGTTTGATTACAGAATCAAAATATTACAAAGTGAGAAATTTCCAGTAAGAAATGTGTCCTCACCTAGTGCCAGTAAGAATGAACACCACTTACGGTATCATGGGATGTTGCAATTGATCAAAATAAGCATCTGTTCTGTTCAGTTCAGAATGTCATGTTAATATTTTATTCCTGGAAATATGGACACAGGTGCACAAGGTTCCTTCAAGACAGAGTCCATAGGCTTAAAGTAGGGTGTTCCATCCCAGGTTGCTCCATCTCTAAGAGACTCAGGTCTACAGGCCACTGATAGCCAGGCTGCCCAGCTCTAAGCACTGAGCATGAGTGGGCTGTGGGGTCATATTTGGAGCAAAGCAACATGAGCTGAGCCTGAGGTGGGAAGACAGTCACCTACCCTTTCACATAGATCCATCTACCAGTTTGTTCATTAACCAGATGTGCCAGGCAATACACTCCATACCAGTGCAGCCTAACAGAAACATAACGCGAGTCATAAATGCAAGCCTTATATGTGATTTTAAATTTTGGATTTCTAGTCACCACATTCCTCAAAAGAGTAAAATGAAACAGGTAAAACTAATAATACACTTTATTTAACATAGTGTGTATGCCCTAAGACATCTCTCCAAAAAGTAGTCAATATAAAAAATGATGAATGAGAATGTAAAATTATTTTACATTTTTTTCATGCGAAGTCTTTGAAATCCAGTGTGGATTTGACACTTCCAGCACATCTCAATTCAGAGTAGCCATGTTTCAAGTGCCCAATAGCCAACTGTAGCTGGGGGTGACCCTGCTAGACAGTGCAGTTCTAGGCACGAGGATTCTACAGGAACAAACCACATGTCTTGCCTTCTAAAATTGGACAGACCCTATGGGGTAAAGAGGACTCAGAGAAGTAAGCAGGGCATTAGAATCGCACCCAAATCAAGTTCATGCCCTGCAAGAAAGTAGCCTCCAACCAAATCTGAGCTGGTGGGGGTCAGAAGGGCTGCTTCAGGAAGTGAAGACTTAGCAGAACCCCCCAAAAGTAAGTAAGAGTCTAAGGGATTGAGAGGCAGGAAAGGGGTCAGGAAAGCGATGGCTACAGAGGAGCAGTCCTGGGAATAAGGGAGAATAGGGTATGTTCTGGGAGCTTCAAGGCATTCATTTTTGCCAGACCATAGAGTTTCAACAGGTGAATAAACACAAAGCCCTCAAGGTAAAGCTTGACCAGACCATGAAGTGCTTTGTGAGCCATAATGAGAAGGCTGGGTTTCCTCCTGAGGGTGTTGGGAGTCCTGAGAGAATTCTGAGTCAGGGTTCTTGGTTGCCTGCTTTTCTAAGCCTGCCTACTGCAGCCCCAACTATTGCAGTGAGGAATGGAGCCCCATAGAGGTGAGGTGAGCTGCTTAGGGTTTCCAGCTAGCTGGTGGAAGAGCTGAGGCCAGAACTCTGAACATGGTCATGATCTCTCAAGGCCCTTCCACTGCCCGCGTGCCAGAAGCCAAGTGTGTCGGAGCAGAAAGGGAAGCATCATTGCTCCACACAACAGATGGAGGCAACACAACTGATTGCACCAGGAGGTGAGGCAAGAGGATCAGGAACTAAGCCCTGGAGAAAAAAAAAGAAGTGTGGTCATCCCAGAGGGCAAGCAGGCAGCCACGGCTCTGCTCACCTGCCTGAGCCCAGGGTAGGGGTAAAGGGAGAAGTCCCATCTCTGGTGAGAAGGGAAAGTGCAAGCAAGAGCAAGGCCCTCAGCCTGGGACCTGCTGGCTGCAACTCCAGGCCTCCTCCGGAAATGGGGATGGGTCAGCCTGCATAGAAATTCAGCAAGTGAGGCCATTTGCCTGGAATGCACTCATGTTTGTTTTAATATAAAAATATCATTTAAAATAGAGACAACTGGAAGATGCACCGCATTTATCCTGTGGCTTTCCACACTCTTCGGCACAGTGGGGTAAGACTACCCCAGTCTGAGGTGCTCAGATCGGCCGCCCTGTGAGATGATCAGAGCTTGAGCTCTTCTCAGGGTCAGAAAGATTACGTGGTTTCTCTAATGAAACCCAGAAGCAAAGGTTAGGGCCCATGTCTTCTGTCTCCTTATCCTCCAGAGGGTAAGGACCACGCCATCAACATCATCACCTGGTTGTTCCACCACTATCCCTTAACACCTTTGAGTGTGGGTCTGTTTATAACTACAGGGCTAGCCTTTTATATGCAAATATTCCCAGGAAGGGTCCAACCTTGAGATATCGTTCATTAACAGAGATTAAATAAAATCAGGAATGAGACACAGAAAAGGTTGATGACCAGGGGCCAGAATGGGAGCCCAGGAGGGCATTAAGGGGCTCTGAGGGCAGAAGGAGGCATAAAAGCCAGCTTTGCCCTCTTTACCAAGCTTTCTGGAACCATAGAGCAAACATTAACTGAGTGCTTAATGTATACAAGGCACTATGCCACATCCTGTGGGATACAAAAAGAAGCATAAGGAATGTCTCTGCCCTCTCAGTGTTTAAAATCTAGCTGGAGAGTGTATCAGTTTTCCATTGCCACTGTAACAAATTACCACAGAATTAGGGGTTAAAATCAATGCAAATTTTTAATCTTACAGTTAGGGAGGTCAGATGTCTGGCACAGATCTCAATGGGCCAAAATCAAGGTGTTGCCACGGCCGCATTCCTTCCCCACTGAGAAAGGGAGTCTCTAAAGGAGCATCCATTCAATGCCTTTTCCAGCTAGAGACTGCTCACATTCCTTGGCTTGTGACCCCTTCCTCCACCTTCACAGTCAGCATGGCTGGTGGCACCTCTCACATCACACCACTCTGACACTGACTCTTCTGCCTCCCTCCTCCACTGTGATGATACCAGGTCCACATGAATAATCCAGGATTATCTCCTCATCTCAAAGTCAGCTGATTAGCAGCCTCAATTCCATCTGCAACTTAATTCCCCTTTGACGTGTAACATAACATAGCCACAGGTTCCAGGAATTCGGAAGTGGATGTCCTTGAGGGAGGAGAGAGAGTTGGCACTATTCTGTCTACCACAGGAAGGTTGAACATTCAGATACAAAATTAACTCTAGCACAAGGTAAGAACCACGTGGTTAAGTGCAGTGGAGTTCAGGAAGGGAAAGATCACTTCCGGCTGGGATCATCCACCCGGAAAGGCTCTGCTAGACAATGGGCTGGTGGCATGCAGGAAGTACCAGGATGCCCTGTGAGAGGAGGGGCTGGAGCTCTGTGATTCCCCTGTGTCTGTCCAGCTCTAAAGCGCTATGTCCCACAGAAGCAGCACCAGCAAACGTGGCAGGCATGGAAAAGGCAGAAGTGCAACTGAGGATAACTGGAAAATCATGGATTCTCCACCAAGCTGAGTGGCTGGGGATACGTTCTGGAGGGCTCGGGATGGCAGGCCAGCAAATGGCGCTTTGTCCCCTAGGCACTGAGCAGCAATGGAAGGTTGACCCTAAAAAGGCATCAGATGATGAGGAAGGGAATCTGGAGATGGAGAGGGATGAGGCAGGAAGGGCAGTCAACACTGTCAGCCCTCTAGACAGAGCTACACAGGCAGGGGAAGAGGGTGGTGGCGAGGGGCCTGGGAAGAGGCGCAGCACACGGGGATCCTGCAGTCAGAAGAAAGAGGACTGGCAACTGGTGGGTTGGGGAAAGGTGGGCAAGGACAGTGGCACAATGATGGCAGGAGAAAAGAGGATGTTTTAGGAGCAGGAGTCTGAGACACCGGCCAGAAGCCTGTGAGAAATGGTCCCACTGGCAGTGGAAATGCAGGTTAGGCCTGGGATAACATTGGGAAGATAGGAGGTATGGGAGGAAGTAAGATCTGTGATGAAAAGTAACGTAATAAAGGACAGGGACATGGAGGATACAGCCTTGGGTGATAGCCTAGGGCCTGGAAGAGGAAAGAAGGCACTGAAGGAGATGAAGACACATCCCCACAGGCAGCCCAACTGGAGCAGAGATGCTCATTGGTTCACGGTGCCTTATCAAGAGGGTGCAATGTGGGAAATTGATATCAACCACAATGCTTATCAGCAACTAGTCTATCAGAGACCAGCAGCTCACAGAGAACAAAGAGGTCCCTGAAAGTGAGAACAGGTGGGTCAAGGTTGACAGCAACTTAGCTGGGACTCTGCCAATCAGGACAAGTTCCCGCAAGCACCTGCAGCACCACTTCTCCACAGGGCCAATAAGGAGGACTGCTCTCCCTTAGAGGGGCTTCCTCAAAGGATGCAGGAGGGGGCTGAAGCCAGCCTGTTTTGAGAACTGCCCTGAGCCTGCCGGGCTGAGGCAGGGCCCCTTCCCAGTTTCCCCACAGAGCCTCTGGTTGCTGTTCTATAACACATCTCTTGGGCAACTATGTCTGTCCACAGTCTCTGGCACAATGTCCCATGTGTAACAAAAAAGCCACACTTGCAAGGACAGATGGAAGGAGGGGACAGAGTCACTCAGAGTATTTCCAGAATGGTCTTTTCCCCATGCAAAACTATGCTATGGTGAAAAAAAAAAAAAAGAAAAACAGAATGCATTGTCCCATTATATAAAATTCAACAAAAGAAAATGCAAAACACATGTCTGGTGCTAGGAGTTAGACTAGAGGTGGGGCTTGGGGCTGGGGAGAGGGGACCAGGGCAGCAACAGGAGCGAGGTTTCTGGGAGTGCTGATCCTCTGCGTCCCAGTCTGGGGCTGGTTACATAAGGAGGCTCATAATGAGTTTGGTGAAACTGCATTGAGCTGCAGTCTTATGGTTTGTGCATTTTTCTGCACGTATGTAATACTTTTATTAAAAAGTGGGCCAGGCGCAGTGGCTCACGCCTGTAATCCCAGCACTTTGGGAGGCCAAGGTGGGTGGATCACAAGGTCAGGAGTTCAAGACCAGCCTGACCAACATGGTGAAACCCCATCTCTACTAAAAATACAAAAATTAGCTGGGTGAGGTGGCATGCACCTGTAATCCCAGCTACTCAGGAGGCTGAGGTGGGAGAATCACTTGAACCCAGTAGGCAGAGGTTGCAGTGAGCCGATATTGTGCCACTGTACTCTAGCATGGGAAACAGAGCAAGACACCATCTCAAAATAAATAAATAAATAAATAAATAAATAAATAAATAAATAAATAGTATACTTTTTAAATGCTGTTGTAAGAGAGGGCCCTGTGTGTCTGCATGGGAGGTCAAGAGAGCTGGATAGGAAGACAGGAAGTGATGGCAAAAGAGAAAAGGGGCTGGGCACAGTGGCTTACGCCTGTAATCCCAGCACTTTGGGAGGCCGAGGTGGGTGGATCACCTGAGGTCAGCAGTTCAAGACCAGCCTGGCCAACATGGTGAAACCCCATCTCTACTAAAAAATACCAAAAAAAAATTAGCTGGGCATGGTGGTGGGTGCCTGTAGTCCCAGCTACTCAGGAGGCTGAGGTGGAAAATGGCTTGAACCCAGGAGGCAGATGTTGCAGTGAGCTGAGATTGTGCTATTGCACTCCAGCCTGGGCAACAGGGTGAGACTCTGTCTCAAAAAAAAAAAAAAAAAAAAAAAAAAACCCCAAACCCCAGCCATCCTGCAAGGGCCACATGTGGCTTTTCTCCAAAGAAGGGAATCTGGTTGACAGAAGAAATCGCCAATTAGGCAAGCTCACAAAGCATGGTCGGTGGTGGGGGAGACACACCTGAGAGCCCACTGCTTGTCATGTGAAGAAGGCATCACAGACTCCACAGTCAGCAGGACAAGAGGTCTCTGCAATGGTCAGTTTCATGTGTCAACTTGGCTAGACCTTGGTGCCCATTTGTTTGGTCAGACACAATCTGGGTGTTTCTGTGAAGGCATTTTAAAAATGTGATTAACATTTACGATCAGTTGAACTTAAAGCAGATTATCCTCCATAATATGCATGGGTCAGTTGAAGGCCTTAAGAACAAAGATCGATTTCCTGAAAAAAGAAGAAATTCTACCACCAGACAGCAACATAGACATTCTGCCTGAGTTTTCAACCTTCAGATGCAATACTGCAACGTCAGCTCTTACCAGAATTTCCAACTTGCTCTAAAGATTTTGGACTTGCCAGAACCCACAATTATGTGAGCCAATTCCTTGTGTATGTAGGTATGTGTGTGTTGTATGTATATACTCAATTGGTTCTGTTTCTCTGGAGAACCCGAATACAATTTCTAATAGGCTCTTCCTCCAGTAGCCCAGATCATCTTTCTCGGGTCTCCCATGAAAGCAAACAAGGTGGGAAAGCACTTCAGTTTAAGGGCTGCAGCCTGAAGTCAGGAGCTCTTCTTTAGGAGAAAAGAAATCCCCAGCCAGTCCAGGGATCTAAATGCTGGCTTTTTCCTCTTTACACTTATTTCAGCTAATGTCAGCAGGCACACTGTAGCTACTACCACCAGTCTGAAAAAGGGGAAGTACTGCGAAAAGGAAATATTGAGAGAAACCTGCACATTTCCAGTTTCTTCTGCTAGGGTTGCTTATGTGACTTTTTCAGAAAGTCCCCAGAAACTCCAAATAAAAAGCCACATTGCTGAACCCACCTAAAACTCTGACCCAGTTAGATGCAGCAGAGGGAGTGGATGAGACAAACACGAATGTTTGCGGGTGCTTTAATCTTCTCCAAACACCGAAATATTGTTGAGATTTTTTATCTTCCATTGCACACGGAGGAGACTAAAAAGCCATGATAAATAGTGTGCTCTCTGGGAGGGAATGCCATATATAGGACAATACATAATTTCCTGCTTCTGGTACCGTTTGGGATAATTGTTCTGGTAACATGAAAACAGGAGGAATATTAATTTAAGATTAAAGCACAATTATAAGCTCTGTCATACTGCTAATTTCTTTTAAATGTTCCTCTGAATAATTCCACCTTTGCAAGATGGAATAAGCATACAATTAAAAACTGCATTAAATAAATGAATAATTAATGAATAAAAAGAACTCTGAAAATAAAATGGGTCATGCAAATTCTAAACAATAAGTTCAACAACAGGCCAGATCTTAATCCTTCAGACCTTTGAAAGAACAGTATTGGGGGGCAGATAGATAGCATCTCTCTGTAGATGTAGATCTGGAATTGCTGTGTTCTCTGTTCACACACTGCCCAGGGATAGCTTTAGGTACAGGCACTGCAGGGAACTGAGGTGCTGCAGAGCAAGGCATAATTGACCAACCTGAACACGACGCTACCTCTCCAACTTTATCACCAGTGCCTCTTCCATAATGCCTGAAATTCTACACTTTCCTTTATCCTCCAGCCAGAAGTTCTACCTGGGTGATTCTTCCATGGATTAGGAATTCAGGTGGAAAATGCAAATATTCCCATGGGGGAAATATTCCTATAAGGGTTAAAGATCGATGGTTCATTAGCACATTGATAATGAATTCTGCTAAACAGATTGCTTTCCTCCCAACACCTAACTGAGGCCAGCCTCTTTGGGGGAGTGGGATGAGGGAGAAAGGAGTGGTCATTTTGCAGTAAAGGGGAATAGTAGGCTGAGAATGGTGGAACTGCTTGAGTGTGGCCTGGAGTAGAGGCATTCTGAGATCCCAAGGAGGCTGAGAGCATAAAATTCCATAATGAGCCACCATGACATATCCACAAGGGAGCTAAGACTTTCAGGACAAGACACATGGGTGAGGGAGAAAGGGAGGAAAATATTGCCTAAGATTGCCTTGATGTGCCAAATAAAATCAATATGATTATTTGCATTTTATTACTTGAGGAGTTATTGATAATCCATGACCACACAATAATGTGGTAAACGGGAGAGAAGAAATTAAAACTTTGTTCATCTGACCCCCAAATCCATGCTCTTTCAACCATACCACACTTTTCACACAGCAATCTTATGCATATGGGATGATTGCCCCATTTTTAAGATGAGCAAATCAAGGCTTTCAGAGATGAAAGAAGAGGCTGTTTCCAGATATGAAAACATCAGGCATGTCCAGTAACTGCAAATACTCTGGGTCCTTGTACTGAGTGTTTACATGCCAGAAGATGAGGCTAAAATGTCGTAGGTCAGCCAGGCCCGGTGGCTTACGCCTGTAATCCCAGCACTTTGGGAGGCCAAGATGGGTGGATCACCTGAGGTCGGGAGTTCAAGACCAGCCTGGCCAACATGGTGAAAACCCACCTCTACTAAAAATGCAAAAATTGCCCAGGCATGGTAGTGGGCGCCTGTAATCCCAGCTACTTGGGAGGCTGAGGCAGAAGAATCGCTTGAACCCAGGAGGCAGAGGTTGCAGTGAACTGAGATCGTACCATTGCACTCCAGCCTGGGTGGCAAAGCAAGACTGCGTCTAAAAAAAAAAAAATGTAGGTGAGAATATGGGAACCAGGAAAAACTGCTGAGGTTGACCACAAGCGTATGAGTCAGGCTTCCAAATCCTCGCCTCCAGACTCTAACAGGATGTTCTGACCTTGAACTAAGTCAAGTTGCCAAACCTGGGAAAGAGTCCAAGCTACACCTGAAAGCATTGTTTTCACTTCAAACCAGCTTGCTCTAACAGGCATTGATAAGAGCTGCAATTAACATCTCTGTTCTCAGGGACCAATTACCAACATAAAATCCTGCAGTTATTAAAATTATCACTTAACTCGGGGAGAGGATTGTGAGATAACCCACTTTGTCAGGTGCCAGGGAAAGAATGAGAACACTGGGCTTAAGAAAAGGCCTGGGACTCACACCCAAAGAATGTTCTCATGAGGGCAACTGTAGGCAGGACCCCATGGGAAGTCCTCCAAGGCTAGGAGCCTGCTAGCAGCCTGGGCTGAGTGCCCACCTGACCATGCCTTCTCAGCCCGCCACCCCCAATTCCACTGGGTCCTCAGGCCATCCTGCTACCTGCTCTGCTCCAGCTGGTGCTCCAAGTTCTAGCTCTTTTCCAGCTCCCCCCCTGCTCCTGTGACATTCTCCTTTCCTGGCAACTCCACCCCCTAAGCTTTCCAGACCTGCTAGGTTCAAGGAAGGAGTCTCAGCAAGATCCACTCTTTCCTTATCAACCCCCAGTTCCCCCCAACCCATGTCCATCTCCCCAGTCTCTTCTCCTTTCTGGAGCTAATCTGAGAAACTCACTTAGGTTCCTGCTAGTTCTCACTTTTAGCACTTATGCTCTGCAGAGTTGTGGAAATGCCTAGGTCCATCCATTTATTAAGTTCCCCCATGTTCTGGGCACTGTGGGGGGCCCAGGTGTAGAGTGGTAAACAAAAAGACAACACCTTGGCCCTGCCAGTCTCCCATAGATTGTAAATGCCTTTGAAGGCAGGGCCCAAATTGTGTTCATCTATATAATCCTGGTCCCTAGTAAGGGCCAATAATGCTATTGGACTACTACTATGCATAGTACAACTACTATGCACTATCGAACTACCACTATGCACTATTGGACTACTACTATGCATAGTAGTAGTCCAATAGCAATATTAAAGCTAAAAGGTATAATCACAGTTTACAGAGGTCTTTGATTATAGTCTTAAAGTGCTTAGATGTTAATGACCAAACAGAATCAATAGGCTTTCCACTGTAGATAATACATTTGCATCTTAATGAAAACCATTAATCCCTTAAACCTCACTCTCTGACCCTACTCTCCTCTAAGTCCTAATGGTTATCATTTCAGTTCCTGGGATGCCTAAAAGGGTGATATTTGAAGAAGACCCTCCAAACTATACTACATTTATAGTCAGTCTTCTACTCTAGGCACATAAAAACTAGGCCTTGGTCATCCCATCTGGACTCCTCAAACAATAGCTAATAAATAAAATGCCCAACATTATATTTTTTAGGAATCTACAACTTGCGAGCCAAAGCTAGATTTAACCCTCAGATGTTTTTGTAAGACTCCGCTTGTTTCATAAATGTTGAATTTTACAAAATGCATACAAAAGGAGATAGAGTGTCTCAGCAAAATTCATCAGAACCAACAGCAGGTAAGGCACTGAAAGTTTCCTGAAGATGGTGTGAGAGGGGCAAATCTAGAAGGCAAAAATGGCCACACAATACAAATTCAACAGGCCTCAGCAAGACCATCAAATGAGCCCCTTCTCCTGCTGGAACTTCTTCCTAGACTTTGTCCCATTCCTCACACTCAAAATCTTCATGATCCAGCAGCCTTCCCTCAATCCATCAACATCAACTCCAAAGAAAGAATGTAAATCTGGTTTCACTAAAGTCTTGAAGGATTGATGAGGCTTAATAATGTCCTACTGTGCTTTTCCTTATGGACTTTGTGTTTTATGGGAATGAAATGTTAAGTCAAAGGAATTAATCTCTACCTGTGGAATTCCTAACATCAATCCACCAGTGGGTGGGAACAAGACATTTTTGTTGCCTTTGAGAGAGCATCTGGACAGGCATGAAGAAGGGCAGCCAAATACAGAAGACTTGGATTTATAGTTAGAACAATTAAATTATCTTACATATTGGGTTGCTTATGGGCTTCCAATTAAAAAAAAAAAAAATCCTGGCTGGGCACAGTGATTCAAGCCTATAATCCCAGAGCTTTGGAAGGCCAAGACAGGAGGAGGCCAGGAGTTCAGGACCAGCCTGGGCAACATATTATAGCAAGACCCCCTTCTCTACAAAAAATGTAAAACTTAGCCAGGTGTGGTGGTACATGCCTGTAGTCCCAGTGCTTTGGGAGGCAGAGGTGGGATGATGGCTTGAGGCCCAGAAGTTCAGGGCTGCAGTGAGCTAGAATCACACTACTGCACTCTAGCCTGCAACTTAACAAGACCCTTTATAAAAAAAAAAAAAAAAAAGAAAGAAAGAAAAAGAAAGAAAGAAAGAAAAGAAATGAAAAGAAAAGATTCCTTGCCTTTCAAAGTAGAAAAAAGCAAGTTAAAACCACCAGTTTTGTATTTTTAAGATCTTTTAGCATCTAAATATTTTTTTAAAAATCTATGACTCTAAAGCTTTGATCTCTCTCATTTTTATCATGTGCAAACCTCTCCACAAGCCTGGCCAAAATGTCCAGGTGTTCAAGACACACCCCAGGAAAACGACCTTTAGGGCTTCACCCTCCCTCCCTGACCAATCTCACCCACCTCTGGGGCCAGGCTTCCAGAAGCTCCAGTGTTCACCCCTCTGTTAACAACTCTGTTATCTATCTTTTGGCTGGAGCCAAAACCCCCAGGGTCATGTTGGACTTTCCTCTTCCTCTGATCCCTACATTCAAGCCGTTAAAAAATACCACTAGTGCTACCCTCAGAACACAACTGGAACCCGGCCCACTTCCCACCACCAACTCCCTGGCTTCCTGCCTGGGGCAAAACATCAGCACCTCTGGTCTGGACCAAAAAAACAGCTTCCTCCCTGGCTCCCCTGCTTCCACTCACTCCACTTCCCCATCTGTTCTCCCTCAGCAGTCAGGATGATCTTTGTAAAATGTAAGCTTCATCGCATATTTCCTGTGCTTAGAACTCATTGCTCTTTCCCAAACTCTTACCAATGCCGGCAAGACTTTATATTCGTCCAGCTCTTACTCATTTTTCCATCTCCATCTCCCACCTGCACTCTGATTCATTCCCTTCATTGTGTTTACTGCAATCTGAAATTATCATTTCTATTATTTATTCAGCAAATACTTATTGAGCACCTAATATCTAGTGATCAGGGCTTATTTTGGGTGCTAGGAATACAACAATGAACAAAATAGATTTTTCTAAAAGCCTGCCCTTGCAGAGCTTGCATTCTGGTGTACATACATAGGGGAATTTGTTTACTTGTTTATTGACTGTCTTTCTGGCTAGAATGTAAGCTCCTTGGGAACAGGGACCTTGACAAACTTGATCACAGCTGTATCCCCTAAACTTAAAACTGTGACTCATTGTAGATGTCCAACAAATATTTATTAAGTGAATAAACTAAAGAACATTTCTTGATTCAAGACTAGCTTTGTTCTCTGTTCAGGATGCATATCTGATTATACTTCACTCTGGAGGTGTGAAAAGCCATCCCAGAAGCAACTCATGAAAAGACACTCCTCACTGGCCTTCATCCCATGCTGGGACACCTTGGGAGGCACAGGTGCTCCACTCCTGAGCCCACTTCTGAGTTTGAACAATTGGCCTGGCCAAGTAAGGTAACTGACTATTCCAAGCCCAGTGCCCAGGTCTGTCTCTCTGCCTTCCCCAAGCCATGTGGAAACTCTCATCTTGGGGTTTCTGGCTGCCTGGATCTCAATGGTAATTCCATCCTCCTCAACTCCTGAGATGAGAGGCATCAGACGAGCCCTGCCCAGGCTGGCCTGGGTAACATTGGCTCTCTCCTTCGGGTGAATTCAGCAGCACCCACGGTTCATAGAAAGCCCTCCCATTTGAAGTAAACCAATTAAATTGATTGATATTCCCATCCTCAACCCCCTACCACCACCACCAACCTATGGCCATTTCACTTTGGAGAATGGGAGGCATTCCACCAGACTCTGATGAAGGAGACTCCAATTAATAAAGATCTCTACTTCACAGGATGGGTTAAAGAAACGAACTTTAGAAATAATGCTTAGCACCGGCCGGGCGCGGTGGCTCACGCCCGTAATCCCAGCGCTTTGGGAGGCCGAGACAGGCGGATCACGAGGTCAGGAGATAGAGACCATCCTGGTTAACACGGTGAAACCCCATCTCTACTAAAAATACAAAAAAAATTAGCCGGGCGTGGTGGCGGGCGCCTGTAGTCCCAACTACTCAGGAGGCTGAGGCAGGAGAATGGCGTGAACCCGGGAGGCGGAGCTTGCAGTGAGTCGAGATTGCGCCACTGCGCTCCAGCCTGGGCGACAGAGCGAGACTCCGTCTCAAAAAAAGAAAGAAAGAAAGAAAGAATGCTTAGCACCTTCCTGTGCTAGAGCTTAAAACACTTCATAGGCAGCATAAATTAATCTTCTCCAAGTCCCCGAGAGGAAAAAAGATTTTATTATCCTCTTTTAGCCACAGAGAAAACATGGAGAATGAGCATTTTCCTCCACAGAGCAGATCTGTGCCCAAATTACCGGGCTACTACCTCCACAAGCCAAACACCAACCATCCTGCCCTACCTGGGGAGCTGCAGAAGAGGAAACGACACAAAACAGAAGTCTAAAGACCCCTCTAGCTGCGGTGGAAGACGGCATCAAAAAAATCCCACGTCCTGCAGCTCTAGTGACTCTACCTCCTCGCTCTGTCCTTGGGAAGCACCAGCGCGCTCTCCATGAGATATAACGAGCTTTCATACTGAAAGATTCTTTTTTATCTCCCTGGGAAGCTGGGATACCTGAAGACTGTGTTTTGAAATACATATATTGACAACCAATTACGCAGCTCTGCTTCTGTGGTATAGCTCCTTTGTCAGATCGCTCTCCGGGCCTGGCTGTGATCCGCTCAGACCATCTTCATTTTCACTGGGAAGTCTCTCTCCCTTTCCAGGCTTCTCAGCAGCTCACTGCCCCTAGGGAGAAATGACTCTGAGAGCATGGGAGGAAGCAGAAGGGGAGAGCATATCAGATTTACTCTGGCTTCTGCGGAGAGCTAAGCAGCTGGAAGGTGGAGCGGACAGGAGCCCCAGGAAAGGGATTACGCTGGGAAAGCTGATCCCTGGAGACACCTGTTCCTCTGTCTGCATCTCCTCTATCTACGTCAAGTTGCTTCTCGAATATCCCTCACGGAACATGTCAGAACGCCTTCCAGTCTGCCCGTCCAGTGCTCCATGTTCTACCTGCGACAGGTCACATAACTCACCTGAATGTGGTCTTAGGCATCGACAGCTTAACGTGATGGCCCAACAAGGGGTCATTTAATCTGGGCCTTCTGGAAACACAATATCCTAACCTAGAGTTTCTTGATTTGGACTTCAGGAATTTATAAATTCCCTGAAATTATGGGCAAAATTGCCTATACATATGAATATATATGTTGTTCTAAAGAAAGAGTTCACTGTTTTCATCTGATTCTTGTAAGGTTCTATCTCTCAAAAATGTTAAGAAATATATATATATGTTTATATATATGTTAATTTCTTTACATTTTTGAGAGATAGAACCTTACAAGAATATATATTCTATATATAGAATATATAGAATATATATATGTATATATTCCCTGACCAAATGGGCCAGGGACGGGGTAGTAGGGGCTAAGGTCAGTGGGAGATTTATATATATATATGTGTGTAAATCTCCAAAAGAGTGACTCCAAAGAGGAATTTTCCAACACACTGACCTCTGACCAGAAAATTGTGGGAGAGGTGAGGGACAAGCAGGTCCTTTTGCTGTTCCTTATTAATAATAGCAGCTAACGTGCGTGAGAGGCTTCCCAGGTGCCAGAAATTGTTCTAAGCACACTTTGTTTATAAACATGTTTAATTATCTTAGTAGCCCTACAAAGAGTTACTATTACTAACCCCATTTTACAGATGATGAAACCGAGGCACCAAGAGTCACAGCAAGTAGGAAGCAAGACTGGCTTTGAAACCAGCAGCCTGGCTGTGGAGTCTGTGCTCTCAATTATAGTGCCACTCATGGCTGTCTGGCTACCTGCTGCACAATTGGAGGCTCCTCCTGGTGGCTCCTCTTTACCCAGGCAACATTGAACATTTGCCTCAAGCTGCAAAACTGAACTCTACATACTCACTGTGCCAAGAGAGATAATGATTTTGGCAAATTTTTTCTCAGAAACTATACACTTGAGATGATCTATTATAAGCAAGTGCTTTGTAAGCTGCGCAATGCTATGTAATGTGAATTAGGCTGACAACCATGGTCTAGGTTTTGTCTAATAAAGTATAATTTTTAAAACCATTCCAAGTACTATGGGATATTTTCTACTTGAACCAAACTGCTTTCTGCTGTATTCGCTGTTGACCACATTTTACACTTGCCAGCCACTCCTCACAAAGTTAATTTAAATGCTTGAAATCTGACATCCTTGTTTAGAAGTACTGGGAACATAAAACTTCCACAACTGGAACATCTGGCCTCACAGCAGCACAGATGTGTGTGCCACACATTTAATGGATTTTGTGTTTTTTCCCAGTGCTCTGCACCCAGTGTGTGCTCAAATATTTTGTCAGTGCCAATGGTGACATTTTAAAAGGTTGCAGTTTTCCTAATGCTGTTTTACTTAGTTTCAAATTTCAAAATTTCTAATATGATCCAATAAGATACCACTCAACAGTAATTATTGAAATAAAAATCCTATGCCTCTGGTTGAAATTTTTTTCCACAGATCTCAAAACTTTATAGACAGAAAAAGTACAGCTTCCATTCAATTTGATGTATCTTATTTTCCAGAGTTAAAAACAAAACAAATCAGGGTACAAAAAAGATCAGAGTATGAGAACAAAATTGAATTAGTCCTGCTTCTCACCTCAGAATTAAATCTATTTTAGGATGGCTTTCAGCAGACTTCTTACTCATAAGTTCATTCATTCATTCATTCAACAAATATTTACTGAGCACTTGCTATGTGCCAGGCACCATTATATACTCCTGGGCTGCATCCATAAACAAAACAGGTAGATTTGAAACCTTGCAGAGCTTCTATACTAATGATGGGGTCAGTTAAAAACAAAATAAGTCAGTGAGTTAGATAGCAGGTTACAAAGTAATAAGTGCTCTGAATAAAATAGAGCAGGATAAGAGGGTCAAGATAACTAGGAGGTTGGGGGGTGGTTACAGTTTTAAATAGCGTAGTCAGAGTGAACTTAATCGAGAAGGTGAGACTGAGCAAAACACATGCCCCTGGTAAAGGAGTGTGTCACATGCATATCTAGAAGAGTGATGCAGGCATAAACACTAAGGTTAGTGTGCTTGCTGCCTTCAAGAAACAGCAAGACCAAATGGGCCAGGGAAGGGGTAGTAGGGGCTAAGTTCAGAGGGTGGGAGTGGGTGGGAGAGGGCCTGATGGTGTAGGGCATTGTTGGCCATTATAAAGGATTTCGCTTTCCTCTGTGTGAAATGGGAAGCCACTGGCAGACTGAAGCAGACCAGAGGCAGGATCTGGCTTTATATTAAAAGCATCTCCCTCTGGCTGCTATGTTAAGACCAGATTATATATGTATGTGTAGGAGTTGGGTGGAGAATCAGGAACAGAAGCAGAAAGATCAATGAGGATGCTATTGAACTTACCCAGGCAAGAGAGAATAATGTCTGAACTAGGGAGGTAATGGCAGAGATGGTGAGAAGTGGCCTGATTGTAGAAATATTTTGGTAGTAGAGCCTATGGAATATTCTGATGAATTGGATATGGGATACAAAAGAAAGTGAAGACTCCAAGATGACTCCGAGGTTTTTGGCCTGAGTATTTTATTATCAAAAACAACCAATGGCTCACGCCTGTAATCCCAGCACTTTGGGAGGCCGTGGCAGGCAGATCACCTGAGGTCGGGAGTTTGAGACCAGCCTGACCAACGTGGAGAAACCCCATCTCTACTAAAAATACAAAATTAGCCAGGCGTGGTGGCGTATGCCTGTAATCCCAGATACTCGGGAAGCTGAGGCAGGAGAATCACTTGAATCTGGGAGGCAGAAGTTGCTGTGAGCCAAGATCGTGCCATTGCACTCCAGCCTGGGCAACAAGAGTGAAACTCTGTCTCAAAAAAAAAAAAAAAAAAACGAAAAAAAAGACAACCAATTCCTCTGTTCTTTCCATGAAGAAGCAAAGAAAGCAGTGGCAGGCAGGGATTGACGTGGCTTGTAGTGGCAGCTATGGGCTGTCCAATGACCAAGGGATCATAGGCAAGGAGGTCCTCTTCTGCCTACATCTCCACCCCAGGGAAGGTACCAGAGATCTTTATTCCCTCTGCCCCTCCTCCCCTTCCTGCAGACCTAGGTCACCTTAGACCTAAAGGGCATCTTACTATCTAGATTCAGTATTTCTTTTCTTTTGTGGTGGCATTTGTCCTAATCTTTATTCTTCAAGCTTCTGGGAGCACTTGGAGTCCTGATTTTGCAGAGTGATGAACAAATGTACCATTCACAGTTTCAGACATGCTGATTCTATTCCCCTTTAACTTTCAACTGTCTAGACAGAATGGGTTAAAACACAAATTTCATGAATTAAGGGAATATCATAGATTTTTCTGAACATATCTATAAAACTGGTTGGTGGGTGACATATTAGTTACAATCTAACCCAGGCCCAGAAGTTCATATTTGTTCTTTTTACAAAAGGCACCTCATTAAATCACTGTCTAGTCCATAACTGGCTTTATTGGGACATAAATTCATTTCACTAAACCAATAAATGTTAATTCTTCACCCTGGAGATTCTAGTCAGTCTGGTTTTATCCTGCTCAAGCTCCTGAGGCTGCCATCAATTACTCATGTTTGGGTTTATATGTCATTATGGAATCACTTTAGCTAGAACTAATGGGAAGTGAAAGGGCAATAAAGCTAAGCCTCATTCCAAAGAGAATATACAGAAGGGGGCATTCACCTGAACCCCATTATTCTTTTCTATAAATTAAAATATCCTGGCATTCTGCAGCAGCAATCCATTATATTTAGATTCTCTGCAAAAGCCAGGGCAGGCGAGTGGTGGACACTAATGAAGGCAGCTGGAAGGTCTGGGGAGGCAACAAGCTCAGACTCAGAAGGTTTAGGTTTGAGACCTGCTTTGCAATAACTAAGTGTGACTTTCAGCCAATTGCTTAATGTCACAGAAACTCAAGCCTCATGTGCAAATTGAGCACTGCAATACCAGTTTCACAAACTAGGGAAGAAATACATGAGACAGTGGCGGGTAGAGGTGGAAGAGCAGGGCCACCTGGCTCAGAGGAGGTTTTCTCTTCCCCTGCCCCCTCCATTAACCTAGCGGCTGGGGCAAATTGCTTGTTCCAGCAGCCTTCCATTGCGGTCTTAAACAAGAGATTTAACCTCTTTGAGCTTCAACTTTCCTATTTGAAAAATGGAGCTGATCATATCTATCCTCCATTTTACCCTAGAAAAGTACACTGATACCGATCATCTCGGTAAAGCTCTTAGCACCTGACTGGAAGAGGGGGCCAATTTTAGAAGACTGTAATACCACTGATGCAGGATTCCATTTTTAAAAACAAAGGCATTATCTCTTCAACCAAATGTTCTTTCCTATGATGAAAGGTTTCTCTTTAAAGCCGTCAGCTCTTTTTTTCCCTCAGATAGAAAATGGCTTCCTCTCTCAGAACCATATATAACTTCAGAAGCAAGGGGGAGAAAAGCAGAGTTGGCAAAAAGTAGAGGTGAATTGAATGCCTGTACATCCCATTCAGGGTAAACTGCCCTTGGTATAAAACAGTCAGTAACATTTTACAAGGAAAAAGTGCGGATAAATGACTGCAGTCCCAGGACAGTGCTCCTGATGGCTTTTTATAAACCATGCACGCTGCCTGGATGCCTCTGTGCCTGCTCCTCCTGCTCCAGAGAGAGTGCGTGAGCAGGGCTTCAAGCCAGCGTACCAACCGCACCATCAGGCTCCAGCCCCAGACCTTGCTCCATCTGCAGGCCAGAGAGCCTCATCTTAGCGCCAGTCCTAGAGCCAGACTTAGACCTGGAGTGGTGCAGACAGCCTTTGTGCCAGGTCTCAAGCCGGGTGCTGAACAAAGCAGGGACAGCAGAGTAAAATGGGACCCGCATGGGCTTGGAGTCATACTGAGAATCCAGTTCTGCCATTTACGAGCAGTATGACCTTAAGCCATTTTTTCCTTCTGTAAAATGGAGATTTACAAAACCTACCATATCAGTTAAGAGGATAAAATGCTATGACATTATGAATGCACTTAACATGTAGTAGATATTCAACCTATTTTTATCTTTTCACCAGTTACTGAAGTTAGCTCATCTAGTCCTCACTAGAATGCCACCAAGTATATTTGTCCATTTCCATACTTCTACAAAGAAATACCTGAGACTGGGTAATTTATTTAAAAAAAAAAAAAGGTTTAATGGACTTACAGTTCCACATGGCTGGGGAGGCCTCAAAATCATGGCAGAAGGTGAAGGAGGAGCAAAGGCACATCTTACATGGTGGCAGGCAAGAGAGCATGTGTAGGAGAATTGCCCTTTATCAAACCATCAGATTTCGTGAGACTTACTAACTACCATAAGAACATCACAGAAAAACCTGTCCCCATGATTCAATTACCTCCCACCAGGTCCCTCCCACAACACATGGGGATTATGGGAGCTACAATTCCAGATGAGATTTGGGTGGGGACACAGCAAAACCATATCACCAAGTAATGAGAAATTGTAAATAAGGAAACTGAGGCACAAAGTAACTTGCTCAACAGCATCCCATCTGTCTCTGACTTTACTCCATGTTTATACACTACACACAGTTCAGCCTCTTAATCTAATAAACTGAGACTCAGAAAAGTGAATGGGTTAAACACCTTTCCCAAGTCACTCCTTGGATCCAGGTCAAGGCTACTTGCTTCTGGTTTAATGCTCTTTGCATTAGCCTAGCTCCTTAGAGATCATCTTCATTTCACAGATAAAGAAACTAAAGCCCCAAAAGGCAATGACTTGTTCAAAGCCATAGTCCAAATTTTGACAAAGGACCTTGAGATCTTTCAGAGTCCTCTAATGTATCATAGTGTCCTACGATCTCACAGCTGGTAATTCTTGAATTGATTTGAGAACCTGCTAAGTACCAGACACAGTCTCTGCTGTCAAGGAGTTTATGACAAAGTGGGGAGGAAAAAAAGTCCATAGGCAAGGATACCTGAGTGGCAGGTGCTGTCAAAGGGGTAAGCCCAGTATGGAAGAGAGTGCACGGGAAGGACATTTAATCCAGCCTTCGAGGACTGGGATTGGCTGACTCAAGGAAGTTAGACTTAAGCTAAAGAATGAGTAAGAGCTAGTGAAACAGAGTAAAGGAAGCAGAGTGTCCAGGAAGTGGAAACAGGGTGTCAATAGTCGGCAGCTTAAAGAGTGTGACCCATTAAGAAAACTGGAGCAGGAGGAGAACACAAAGAAAAATAAAGCTGAAAATGTAAGCCAGCTAAGGCCTTGTACACTGCTTAAATAATCTGAACTTGATGCTGTCAAAGGCAGATGTTGCTTTTTACACAATGAACTCCCAGACATGCCTGTGACTGGAAGGGCAAGTCCTATATAATCCAGAAGCAACATCTTTGTCTGGTAAGGTACACTTTCAGTTTCACACCAAGCCCCAGTTCCTACTAATATCGACTAGAAAGAAAAAAATCAAGCCATTGCATAATGCATCTTGATTTCATTAAACCATTTTGATAGTCCTTCTTGATTACTCTGTCAGCCAAGATGGAGAAACACAGGCTGGAAAACAGTCCTACTCTGAATGAATAGCTAGCTGGACATTTTACTCAAAAAGTTTATTAAAGGGCTGATGTCTTACTCAAAGGAACTCTCTAGTACCATGCCACAGAACTTTCTCTCCCTGATCCCTTTATGGGCATGTTCCAAGGCTTTGAGGCAGAAACTGAAGGCTTACTTATCAAAAGTGAAGGTGACACCAAGATAAGAGGAATACTTTCGAAAAAAAAATTTAAACATCAATAAAGTCATACAAATAAAATTAAATGTAGCTAGAACAAATGTAAAATTCTGCATTTTGGCTCAAAGAATTTACTAGAATAGGTGAGAGAATTTAATTGATAGTGGTTTGTGTGAAAAAAAGTGTTTCTGTCAACTATGTGACATGATTGCGAAACAAAAACTAATGCAATTCTTTATTGGAAATAGGAAAGAATTGAACAAATGAATAAAATCTGGCCCATATTTCCAGGCTAGTGAGGTCTGAGGGAATGAGGGGTGGTCCCAGTAAGTCATGAAGCAGTGTTTCTTTAAGGCACTGAGTCATCTTAGAGGGATGTCTCACGTACACTCCCCTTGAGACCTCCTCTCCCATTCCTAGTAATGGTTGTGTAACTCCTGGGAAGATGTGTCACAGAGGCTGCTGTGACACCTCCTGAATCTCCATCTTTCACCCCTAATATTGTTGACAAAGCAGCTTTGGCTATTACATTTGATGACTTAGAGAAATTATAGGTTCAACCCTTTCTAACTCCTAACTCCCACCCACAATGCCCTTTCCTGAGAGTCCATTATCCTGCCACACTGGTGCTCATCAACTTTTTTTCACATTATGGTGGCTTTCTTTCTGTGGCCTCTTGATTCCATATGTAAATAGACCAAATGGATCTGCCAGCCCAGCCCTCTGGACATACTGGACTTGTCTTATGGCTCAGAGTATGAACTCTGAGGGACTTGCCCTGCACATATGGCTTCTCTGCATTAAGATTCTGCTTAGATCAAAAGAGGTCATAACCCAGGTGTGGTTCGTGATGATTAACCCTATTCTCTATTTCTAGATACGGTGTTGTAAGCACATTCTCAAACTGGAAAACTTACAGACAATGGTGAAGTTTCTAGAGACCACATGTTTGGAGAAATGGCTAAAAGCTTGGACTACTTGTCTTGGAGAAAGATTAGTGCACATACAACATTCATCTCCAAACATTTAAATGGTCATACCACGGGGAAAAAAATAATAACAAGCATATTTTGTGCAGCTCCAACACAAATAACTAGGTTGCCTTTCTAACAATTAAAGCCAATCATAAATGAAATGAGCTGCCTAGAAAAGTAATGATTTTCCAAGTACTGGACTTATTCCCAGCATATTCCTGAAGGCCACAGGGCAGGATTCCTGCAGAAAATACTCCTACTTCGATAGAAAGTTGGACCAGATGTTGAGTTCTTTCCAAATCTAAGGTTTATAGGCTGCTGGATCTCTGTGTAGACTGCAGGGGTGCTCTGTGATTCCCATGTACGTACATGGGTCCCTGAATATCAAAAGATAGGCAAGAAGGTACAGGGAACTTGAGTTGTCAGTCTATCCTCCTGATTTTATTACTGACGATGAATGAGATTCTGGAAATTACAAAATTTACCTAGATCAACTACTCCAGTTTATATCCTTTATCAGAAAGATTTCCTTTTTCTTACTTCTAAATCTCTTGGCCTGACTTTTAAGCCCATTTCTTCTGGCTTTATGCTCAGTGAATATGAAGATCAATCAATCATATCCCTCATTATACCAATTCATAAAACTAAAAATGTAGTGCATAAGGCTTCTTTTTTCTAAGCTGAGAAATTCCAGTTCATTTCCTGTTCTCCTTAAGCATCTTTTCAAGTGATCTTTTCCCCCAGGTTTCTCTAAAACTGAGCACAGAACTTATTATGACTCCTTGTTCTCTATAAGGGTCACATGTCTGGAAATTTGATTCTGTCATTTCTAAGTGTTTTCCAAATATGTTAAATAATAGTTGTTGGAACATTCATTAATAGTTGTTTTTTAAGTGCTGTATGGAAAAGTAAATTAGTAAAAAAAAAAAAAAAACCATTCCAGACTCAGTAAGGTTAATCAGACTTCTCAGAGCCCTCAATATGCATCATGAATCTCCTAGACCATGAAGAGTACATGTATGTAGCATCTCCCAAACCTACTGACACCAAGATCTCTTTTAGAGCATCTCAAAGGCTCAGTTGTTCCAAAAATATATATATGTATATATATTGGGAAGTGCTCCTCTATAAAACAATGCCTAAAACCCATATCCACCCCGCAGAATTCTGTATACTGAAAACCTCCTCCATCCCCGTGGCCAAGTCTTCCTCTCCTTTCCTATAGGAAATCTCCCCAGCCAGGCTACACTCAGTCTCGCCTTCCCTATACCACTAATGCTAGCCTTCTCCTTATCTCCAAGCCTGATCCTTTTCAAACTTCAATTTCAGTTTGAGCTGAAATGGTGTAATGGAGTAATTATGAGAGATGGAGGTGACCAGAATCTCAACAAAAGAAATCCCTTCAAGAGACAGATGAGACAGCAAAGAATAGAAAGGTTGCCTTGCCCAAGTCACACAGCCAAACGGGAAGTGCTGGGACTAAGATTCCTAGTTCAAGGCTCTTTATGCTGCTTCAGTGGGTGGATCTGCTGGCAGGAACTCACTGAAAAAGACATATTCCTGAGCCTCATTCTGAGCCTCACTCTAAGCCTCCTGAATCAGGCTCACTTGAAAGTCAATTTTTAAAAAAGATCATAAGAGATCCTGATATTCCACCAGGCTTGGGAACCACCATTCTATATAGCACCGTCTCCCAAAGTAGGGTCATATGTGTAGTCCAACCCAGCACCTGCTCCCAGTACTATTGAGTTGTTTGGATAAGTGAACTTATTTGAGCCTCTGTTTCTGTACTATAATGACTTGATTGGGCCAATAAACCTATAAGATCCCTTCCGGGAATTTGATTCTGTCATTTCCAAGTGCTACCTTAGTTATGCTCAGTGGTTACCCATCTATTCTGGCTGGAACTGTTCTCTCTAGTTTCTGAGGCTTTATAAAACTATTATTAAGGGCCAAATTATAACATGCTATATGATATAGCATCTTAGAATAATATTTTTGGAGTGTCTCCAACATGCCAGTTCTGCTACAAATGTTATTGCTAATGCTTGCAACAACTCTAAAGGTACGAATATCCCTATTTTAATATAAAGAAAAGAGGTATCTTTCATGTGAAATGGAAATTTCCAGGATCATACCACTTTTAAGCTGGATTTCTAAACCAGGTCAGCCTCATTCCAGATGCTGTGCTCTGTCCACAATGCCAGGCTGCTTTTGAATGTGAGTCATGTTTCCTCATTAAAAGCAAAAGCTCTCCTCATCATGGATCCCCTACAACACTAGCATCTAGCTGAGCATCAAGTAGCACTCAATAAATATTTGTTGACTTGATTAGTGGATTAGCTCTCTCCTTCTACCTGGAGCACAGACCACATCTTTTTGATGCGAAAACATGCTAAACCCCTAGACCATCTGCAAATTTTCCATTAGCTCAGAACAGAAAATTACAGCTGTGTAGACCGCACCTGTAGACTCAAGCTTAATTAATAGGTTTATCTTGGATTGAATGAGTTGCAGATACTGTACCTTAAGCCAAAGGCACTGGGGAACATGTTGATGTGGAGAGGGCATGTTTCACTTCTCTTGTTTCATACTATTAAAACCATGTTAATGAAAATGTATTATTACTTAGTAATAATAATAAAGATGAAAATCCTCCCCCTCCTGATCCCTTACAAATGTTGTTTTTCACTTTGAATCCCAAATCTCCAGAGAGAAGTAGGAGGGAGTGTCACAAATCCAGATAATGATCTTGGGTATTACACTGTTCATTTGGAGCTCTGATTTAGCTAAGCTGACAGATGTTGGGGAAAACATGTCTAGCCTGAAAACTCTCTGGTGGCTGCCCAGCTGTGGCTGCAAAGAGGAGTGAGGTTTTGCCAACAGAGCTTCACATTCATTTAAATTCAAGATTTGACATGCAGAATCACCCTGCTCTAAAGGTAGAAGTTGAAGTGTTGTGACATTAGGAACTGACTCCAGCCTGATGCTTTGGGGTACTGACTTCCATCTAACCACACAGCTCACTCTGAAATCCTTGAAATTACTATCGCTGATTATGTCCTGCTGTCTTGACAAAACCTGCCTTCATCATGACATGCTTACCATTACACCAGGAAAAAAGAAAAAAAAAAACCTTTGTGTTAACCACAATCATGTGACATTTCCTTTGTTCTCTCCCCAGAGTAGTTTTAGAAGAGGGGAATGTTTAATTCACCTTTAAATAATACCGATTTCCCAAGTGACAGTCTGAATTCATGTTATTTTTTCTTCCAAAATAAATAGGCAAGAGGCACCGCGGGAAAAGACGCACTCTAGAGAGACAAAAAAAACTTAAAGGGTGACCTTTGATGCCCTTGGACCTTAGTTTTCTCACCTGAACATTTTTTAAAGGGCATTTTGATCTCAAAGGAGAAAATCTGCTAATTAAATATAAGGCAGAAGGTCAGCTCCTTCTCAGTGAGCTGAGGGTGGTCAGCCCTCAGCTCAGCCTTCAGAGAGCAGAGGTAAGATGAAGACATTGCAAGAGTCTCGTCTCTGGGCTCTAAACCCCAAATCAACAAATGAAGCCTGGATTTCAGAAACCCATAGCACAATATTTACAGCACCTAAATGGCCAATGTGTTTTCTGAGAAGCAGAGGCTTCCTGTAATCTAGTATATGTGGCTTAGAGTTTGAGTGTTAATTTTTATCACACTAAAGGCTGCGGTAAGGCAAAAGTGAGGGAGGTGCTTGTAAATGCAGTTAAACTAATTCATAGAAGAAAAAAAAGACATCAATGGTTAATTTGTCACTGTAGATGATTTCTAACCACAGGTCTCTTAGAAATGCTGGTGTCCTAAACATGTTCTTGGAAACACTAGCCTCCTCACTCCTGAACCCCTCCCCAGCAAGTAAATAAATGCATTGGCAAATAGGATTTGAAAAGAGCATTTTAATAAAAGAGGAATGACTTAGAGGTCAATGAGCCAGTAGGACTGTGGGGAGACCACCAGCCCCCAGCCCCCACCCCTGGGTCATTACTGGGGCCTTGTGACTACCCTCTTGGGCTGCTATTTCCTTCTCACATTCTGGGCCCTAGCTATATTACAAATATTTTAAAAGTCATCCATCTCATTTAGATGACATTAGTAGACCATTGTACCAGCAGCAGTGCTTCTACAAGCTCATCAAAATTCACCTGTGTCTTGATACAAAAAAGGAGAACAAAAGTACTACTGCAGGGTCAATTATCCATGAGAATGCCCAGAATTTGCATTGCACCTTTATTCTAAAAGGGCTTCAAAATCATCAGGGGAAGGCATCTACCTCTGATATAGCTGTGCAGAATGTTTATAAGGTAAAGGAGAGAGAGCAAAATCTCTCCCTCCCTTTGTCTTTATGAACCAGGAAACAAAAGCTCCTAAGTGGAGAGAGTTTATGTATCATGTTCAAGGTCAACCAGCCCATTCTTCACTCCTTCATTCAACAAACATTCATGGGGCATCTTCTTTGTGCCAAGTTCCGAGAATAAAAGGATGATTAGAACTCTGTGTCCTTTCCCTCAGAGAGGCTCCCAGGCTTGCTGGATGAATAGATTTGTAAAGAGATTGTTATAGAGAGATAGTGAGGCAATAATTGAGATGTATATAAGGAAGCACCTATTTACCTGGAGAGGGACAAAATCCAGAGTAGAACCTAAATTTTAAAAAGCAAAACAAACCAAATACCAAGCCATCTCTCTCCCAGATGAGTGGTTCTCAGCTTTAGCCACACACTGGAATCACCTAGGGTGATTTTTCCAAGTACTGCTGCCCAGGCCTTTCCACAGATCAGTTGAGTCAAGCTCTCTGGTATGGGGAACCTAAACCTTTATGTTTATAAAAGTTTCTGTGACACAGTATCACTTGATAACTACCATATTATCTTAGGCCAAGGCCATCTCCCCCAAAGCCTGTAGGTTATGTAACAGTGCAACGTTACCTATCTCTTTATGTGTGTTCTATCTCACCTTCTAGATCATCAGCCCCTGCAGGATAGTAACCAG
This sequence comes from Homo sapiens, assembly GCF_000001405.40. NCBI lineage: Eukaryota > Metazoa > Chordata > Mammalia > Primates > Hominidae > Homo > Homo sapiens. Next base: position 52,992,890 of record NC_000013.11, on the reverse strand, counting down.
GGCTTTCAGCTCTTCTACACCCCATTCACTCCCCATGGAACCAAGCATACCATAGTTACTAGATAAATATTCAATAAACACATCTAACTCAATAAAGAAGATAACAAAAGGATGCTTGAACTTGTCCCTGAGTGTCTTAGTTCATAACTCAAAGGCTGAGGTTCTGCCAACACAATAATGAAGTATAACTGGTGGATTTAATTCAGCTGGATCAGAATGATGTGTATGATTACTTGCAATGACTTGATGATCAGCCACTATCTGCTAATGAGTTTTTCTCCTGGAAAAGTGTGAAACAAAAAGTGTTGCCCGAGAGAGCATGCTGCCATGTGTCAGAGGGCAAAGGCCCTCAATTCCAGTGAAATGGGATTTTTTTTTTTTTAATGAAGTTGATGGCCGCCAGCTCTTAGCTGACAGTCAATGCATATAGAGGGAAATGAATTCAGGCTTTTGTTGAATTAACTGCTGGCCTTGTAAAACAGAAGCAACAGGGAAGCTGCGCCATGTTTGGGGTCCACTAAATCAGTCAGAGGTTTCCAGCACTCAAGTCTCCCTGACAACTGTGTCTGGGATCCGAACAAACAGAGGCTGCCGGCGGAGGCCTACCTGGTGAGAAGCCGCTAGGTCAGCTGACCACACCAGCTCAGCTTCTCCTCTGCCCAAGACAGAGTGGAACTTTTCTGACTGAACTAAATCCTCCAAGCCTCATTAAATCACGCTTTAGTAGCACATTGTTCGGCCATCGCCGCTCCCAGCGTTGTATGTCAAACCTGACCCCTCACCGTCTAGGATAATAAAATGTTCTATGGTTTTGCTGGATGATTGCTCCACATCCCTTTTATTTTATTTTCAAAATGGCACGTAATAAATACCCTCGCAGAGGAAAGACTGATTTGATGGAAAACACTGCACTGGGTAGAGCCAAAAGCAATCAGGCTCACCCGGAAAACATAGCACAGCCGGTGGGAGTTCTGAAGCCATGTCATTTGCAAATGTTTCCTCGGCCATTCATGAAAACTACAACCGGCAGGATGTGGCTCTACGCCCCCAAATAAGTGGCCTGTGACTCAGTCAGTCCAGCTGATTTTGTCCCCCACATGGTCAGTCCCAGCCAGGCTACAATGACTAACCCTGAATTCAGCCAACACTATCTTGTAGACTATTAGATGGACACATAGATGGCATGTAAAGGAAGCACGGACACTCACGGTCACCACAGGAGGGCCAGGGAGCACGTTGTGATTCTCGGCACATCTATGCCTTCCCTCCAAAGCCTAATCGCATTGAGTCCCACCATTTCATTGTCTGATAGCACAACTGCCATTCCCTCTCAAAAACCCCAATTTAACTTATAAAGGAGGAACATGTTATCTATAATCAAGAACATATGGAAGTCTGATTCAACTTCAGTCTGATTTTTTTTGATAGCCCAATTCAATTATTTTAATAATGCATAGGCTTGGGTTTCAATCCAACCCAGTTCAGTCGACTTTTAGAAAATGAAAACTTTGATGCCTTTTTGTAAAAATTAGCATTCGACTTTGGTTTTAGGTTCCTGAATTGGCATGATAGATTCCATTTTGGCTGTGGAGCTTCAGTTAAGTGCTTTGTTATAGTCAGACTCATTATCTTGGATATCAACATGCTTGTGAATTGTATCCTCAATAGCATGATCACTGGCAGTAGGTTCTGCATATAATTTAGCAAAGAGTTAGCATCACTTCCCAATTTAAGAGTTACAAGTGGATATTTCTATGCCTATGTATTCAATTCAGGTGTATTTAAATACTTTTTACTATTACCATTTAGAACTGTGAGGCCATCCTTAAGATAACTTGGAGACATATGGTTTATCCAGAGAACTGTCTATTTTGCTTCCTAGCATTAAATGCAAATATCAAACATCTTTGAATGGTGAACAGATGCATTTATTAGTGGTCATTAATGACCATCTTTAATCAATGACACCGTCTTTTTAAGGAAACAAATGAGTCCAGTTTGTCTTGTAAGTAAGAGATAATTCATTAATGAGATTATTGCTCTTCCCAAGCTAGGACATTAGCCAGCAACTGGTAAAATGAACCTTCTTTGCCAAGATCGTATCAAACAAAGCAAATATTTCTCTATCAGAAGTCTCAGTTCCAATATAAAAACCTTCTTTAAAGTAAAAGAGGTTTGTCTCAAGTAAAACCATCCGGGGGCAGTGTGTTGGAGGGCAGGGGCACAGCCACTTGAGCTGCTGGCTTTGTATAGAATATCAGTACCGTACCAAGGGGCCAAGTCATTTACAGTTAGCCTCACAGGCCCCTTATCCATTGGATACACAGGACAATAAGCACCAACCAGCCATCACCTCAAAATGGTAAACATACCTCCCAGGAAGCCCTCAAGACTTTTTCAAGAAATTAAAAATAGCAAGTCATATTTGCATAACTTTCCTAGACACTGCCCCACAATTGGAAAACAAGAAAGAGGCCTGAAGATCCCAGCAGACTGGAGGCCTTGCAAGCTTCCCTTCTTCTTTGGTACATCCACAGGCATTGAGAGGAAGGGGATGGTTCGTGCTGTTGCACGGGAGGTGGTATTGATGTAGGGTGGGGTGCTGGCCAGTGCAGGTGTGGGCGCCTTCTCTGTGCCTCTGGGTGGCTTGTTATTTCCTTTTAGTGCATTGTGATATTATCCTTCTGTCTTTGTGTATTCTGAATATGAGTATTTGGTAAGATATGTGTAGTCTGAATAGAAATTTTTAATTTTGATGAAGTCAATTTCCCCCAAATTAACCAATAAATGTAATGCAATCCAAATCAAAATCCCATTTGGATTTTCTGAGACACTCAACAAATGTAACCTAAGATTTAGGTGAAGAAGTAAATGCTTATGCATAGTTAAGTTGACCTTTAAGAAAGAGTGTTTGACCTAGCAGACTTAAGACACTCTTTAAACAGTAATAACAACATGGTTTGGGTTCAAGAAACTCAGAAACAGAATCATAGACACATAGGAACCTATTTTGCAATAAATGTGGCATCAAAAATCAACGGGGAAAACAGATGGTTTAGTAAATACTGTTAGAAAAACTGCCTGGCTATATAGAGGAAAATAAACTGGATACCTTCCTAACACTACATACAGAGATAAACTCTAGATGAATTAAAGACATGAATATAAAAGGTAAGAAGATAAAGTTTCTTGTAGAAAACAGATTTTCTTTGTAGTCTAGTGTTGGAAAAGACTTCTTAAACAAAACTTTAGAAGCATAAACAATTAGACAAAAGAATTGATTAATTCGATTATATTAAACATAAATATTTCTGTTCAGCAAAATAAACCATGGGAAAAATTAATAATTAACCAATAAAATAGGAGAAGATATTTGCAATGTCTAAAGCTGGCAAAAAGACTAATAAATAGAATATCTAAGAAATACCTGTAAGTCAATGAGCAAAAGACAGAAACTATAATAGGAAAAAAAAAAAAAACAGGCAAAATATGTGAATAGGGAATAATACAGAAGAACACTTCAAAAAGGCAACTCGCACATGATAAAATGTACCAAAAATGGTAACCCAAGAACACACCTTTTTTTCTAAAAATGCTTATTGCTTTATACCTATTAAAACACCAAAATGAGAAAGGTAAATGAATCTGAGTGTTAGGTGGGGATGGGAGACACAGGAACACTCAACCACTGCAGGTAAAGGAGTAGTGAGATAAATCAGCCCTACTTACTCAAACTAGACACATGCATTCCCTGTGGTCCAGAAATTCTACTCTTGAGTGGAATGTAGAGTGTACATCCCCACACGGATGCATAAGGAGACATATTCTAGGGTGGACATTGTAGCACTGCTCGGGAAACGAGATTTGGGCCACTTGGGAGTTCATCACTGAGAGAGTTAATACAGTCGAGATTACTAACAAAACCAAAAACTGGATTTTTTGAAAGAACAATATTGACAAAGTAGTAGCAGTATTGAACAAGAAAAAGACAAGGCACAAATACACATTTTTAGGAATAAAAAAAGATGATATAACTACATGCAGTAGATATTAAAAAAAAAAGAATGTTATAAACAACTCTAAGCCAAATAAATTTGAAAACTTAGATAAGATGAACAAATTCCTAGAAAAGCTCCTGGAAATCAAAAACTTTAATAATCTTAAAACCTTTTTTAAGGTTTTAACTTGAATCATCAGTTTAAAATCCTCCCATGCAGAAAACACAGTTGGTTTTGCCAGCGAGTTCTACCAAATGTTCAAGGAACAAATAATTTCAACCTTACAAAAATCTACCTCAGAGTTGAGCAAAAGAGAAAATACTCCTTAATTCAATGTATAAGGTTGGCAGCATTTCAATTCTGAAACCTGCAAGGAGAGCTTAAGAAAACAAAATTACGCCTGTAATCCCAGCACTTTTGGAGGCCGAGGAGGATGGATCACAAGGTCAGGAGTTCAAGACCAGCCTGACCAACATGGTGAAGCCCCATCTCTACCAAAAATACAAAAATTAGCCGGGCATGGTGGTGGACGCCTGCAATCCCAGCTACTCAAGAGGCTGAGGCAGGAGAATCACTTGAACCCGGAGGCGGAGGTTGCAGTGAGCTAAGACCGCGCCACTGCACTCCAGCCTGAGAGACAGAGCGAGATTCTGTCTCAAAAAAAAGAAAAAAAGAGTTAATAACAAAGTTAAACAAAGCTGCTAAATACAAAATCAGTATTCAAAAATCAATTGAATTTCTGTCTACCATCAATGACATTTGGAAAACGTGATTTTTTAAATGATATTCATTCTGCTATCCCCCCAAAGATATAAGGTACTAAAAATAAAACTAATAAAAATATGCTAAATATTTCCAAAAAATACAAAACTCTATTGAACAACATTAAAGAAGAGCTAAAAAAAAAAAAAAAGTGGATAGACACCATGTTCATGGGTTGAAGAATTCAATATTGCAAAGATGTCCATGGTTTCCAAATTGATTTAGAGATGCAATGTAATTTTACTGAAAATTACCACAGTTTAATTATGGAACTTGACAAATGGATTCCAAAATGCATATGGAAACGCAAAAGCCAAAGAGTAGGCAAGACATTCCAGAAGAACGGAGTGGGGTAGCTGATGTAACACACATGAAAAAATATTATAAAACTATAATCATTAAGACTGCATGCAAGGGTGGCATCTGATTATATAGGGCCTGAAGTTTATGTAGTTTGGGCACACTTCTACATAAAATAATACAAAATTATAAATATTAGATTCAGGATTCATGCAAATCAGGGGTGCTGAAGTGAGGAGGTACTGAGGTTTAAGCTTCTTTAGCTTCTGGTAAATCAACATTCAGCTGCATAGTAATGATGCTGGAATAAACAAATATCCCAATGAAACAGATTTGAAAGCCCAGAAACAGACCCATGCATATATATGGACACTTAATTCAAGGCTGAGATATAATTGTAGATCAGTTGAGAAATGATGAACTTTTTAATGCTGGAATAATTATTAATATTACTCTGGAGGCTTCCTCATACCATAATCCAAAATCAATTCCAGATAATTAAAATTTTAGATGTGGGAGGCAAACACATAAAACATAGACAGGAAAATATTGAAAAAAATATTGTTATTATCTCAAGGCAGAGAAGACTTCTTAAAACACAATATGTAAAAAACACAGAGAAAAAGATTTTAAAATTTGACTATATGAGTATTCTGCTCAGTACCTGGGTGACAGGATCAATCATACCCCAAATCCCAGAATCACAAAATATACTCATGTAACAAACCTGCACATGTACCCATGAATCTATAAAAGTTGAAATTTTTTTTAATTGGACTATATTAAGAATGAGTTTGCATCAAGAGACAATATAAAGAAAGTAAAGAAACAAAATACAAATTGAGAGACTATACTTTCAAATATACTTAATTGGCAAAGTATTACTATTCCAATATATAATATTTCATCACTATTAAATGCACTTTTCTTTCATATTTAACATCTCTCTAATTAAGATGCATCTTATAATCAACACTGTCACAATTTAATTGCTAGCGTTTTTTTCTTAGTGTAAATAAAATAGCAGCATCTCTTACAATAAGTATTCTCCTAAATTCAATGAAATATACTATAAAGAACTACAGATTAACACACAATGAAAGGCCAACAAAAGTCAATCAAAAATGGACAGAATATTTGAACAGGTACTTCACAGAAACAATAATTTGAATACCCTATAAATATGTGGGGAAAATGCTCAGCCTCATTAGTAATTAGGGAGATGCAAATTAAAACTATAACGAAATACTGCTTCATACATGCCAGATTGACAAAAATTAAAAGTTTGACAACATCAAGTGCTAGAGAGGATGTAGAACAACTAAAATGTTTAAACTCTGCTGCTGGGAGCATAAGTTTGTACAATTACTTTGGAGAACATTATGGCTTTTTCTAGCCTAAGATGCATATAACCTATGACTCGGCAATTCCAACCCTAGGTTCATACTCAAGATAAACTCTTGCACATTAGTACAGGGGACATGTACAAAGCATGTTCATAACAGTACTATTTGTAAGAGCAAAACTTAGAAACAACCCACAAGGACAGATAAATAAATGTGGGGTAGTCTCAGAATAGGATGTTATACATCAGTGAAATTGAATGAATGATAGCCCTATTCACTTACAAGGAATAATCTCTCATGAACGTAATTTTGAGCCCAAAAAAAGTAAGTTGCCAAATGCTTACAGGATGACTCCTTTTGTAAACAATGAAAAGCATGCAAAACTAAATACTATATTATTTATGCTGCAAATACATATTTTGAAGCCATAGAAAAGCAAGACAATCCTGAACACAATATTCACAATCATGGTTGTATCTAAGGGCCGAGGGAAAGAGAAGGATTAGGAAGCAACACTTCTGGGTTTTAGAGATCATTAAAATATTCAGTTTTTAAAACAGGGTTGTTAATATACATAAGTTCTTTGTATTGTTATTCTTCTTACTCTACACTTATATGTGTTATTTTAACATTTACTCAATATTTGACTTCTTACATTACAAAAAATTAAGGTCTTCACATCTAACTCATTTATCTACCAATATATTGTACAACCCTGATAAAAATCAATCATAAGTACATTTCACTCTCTAATATCAATGGCAGAGCCACCTGGAAATGGGTTAAGGCCAGTGTGTTCTTTCAAAGAAGGCAAATAGGCCTGTGGGTGTACTGGAAATATTTTGTTTAAAATAATACATATGAAAAAATTTTTTTTGCTAAATGGAAAAGTGTTAGTTATCTAGAAAATACACTCGTGTAGACAGATTTGAATACTCATGATGACAGATGAAGTGTTTGTTTAAAATAAACTCATTATAAATAAAAGTTGTCATTTTTTTCCACATCCAATGGAAAGCACCTCCACTTTGGAAAACACTAATCTTTTTAAGAAACTAATAAAATAACCTGGATCTCTCAAAAAACTCACGAATATGGATTTCTCAATCTTACTCTCCCCTCCTTGTCCTTCACCCAGCCCAGAAGTCAACTTTTGACAGACACGTTCAGAAAGAAATTTGCCAGAAATTCAAAGTCATAGAACACTTATTCAAGAAAAATTAAATCATAGAGGAAGGTTTTCCATGGTAAAATTGAACACTAACTTTGTGCCATGTTTGATGCAATATGCTGGAGATGAAACAGAAGGCAAAACCAGACAGGGTCCCACACTTAGGAAGCTTTCAGTCTAGTGAGGGAGACAGTCATTAATCAAAGAATGACTCGGATCACAGTGAAGATGATTGAGATAAGCACCACATGGGATTGTGAGAGCATAAAATAAAGAGAAATGGCCTAGTCAGGGATGACTGAGCCAAACTATGAAGGAAAAGTAGGCATGATCTAGGTATGCGTATTGCGGAGAGGGGGCAATGAGAGACGGTGGAAAGAAAATTACAGGCAAAAGGACCAAATAATGCAAAGACACTATAATAGAAATTGCACATGGTTTATAATCAGTAATCACACCAAGGAGAAATATAAGACAATAATAATAAATAAGTATACAGTAGTTAAGTGAGTAAATAACATGTTAAACTATTGAACAAATGACAGCTATTTCTTATCTAGACTTCAGTGATTATAACTAATATTTTTATGTTATGGACAATATCTATGTATTTTACAGTTTCAATTCAGGGTATACTTGGGAATATATGAATATTTACATGGTGAACTCAAGAATAAAATGTAAAAATAATGGCAAAAAAATTGGTGCATTTAAAATTGGTGGATGATATGGTTTGGCTGTGTCCCCACCCAAATCTCATCTTGAATTTTAGCCCCCATAATTCCCATAGGTCATGGGAGGGAGCTGGTGGAAGGTAGTTGAATCATGGGGGCAGGTTTTCCCTTGCTGTTCTCGTGATAGTGAGTAAGTCTCATGAGATCTGATGGTTTATAAAAGGCAGTTCCCCTACATATGCTGTCTTGCCTGCCACCATGTAGGACAAGCCTTTGCTCCTCCTTTGCCTTCTGCCATGATTATGAGGCATCCCCAGTCATGTGGAACTGTGAGTCCATTAAATATCTTTCTTTTATAAATTACTCAGCCTTGGGTATCTCTTTATTAGCAGTGTGAGAACAGACTAATACCGTAGATTTTGTATTATCATACTTAACATCTGAAAGTAATTTTACTCAAGAACGTAAAGCCTAAATTCATTTGTTCAACACTCCACAGAAGTACAGTCATTCACGCAATCATCAAATATTTAATGAATGTCCAGTATGTGCCAGACAAGGTGACAGACAAGAGATATATACAGATGAATAGATAAAATGCTCCCCTCAAGGATCTTGCTGTTACGTGGTGAATTAGTCAACAATGAAAGAAGTCACACAGAAGACAAGAATGAGGAAGGAATTAGGGGATTTCTGGGCTTGATATATCCTTAGAGATTTGGAATAATATAGAATGTGTTAAGAGCAAACAGTACACAGAAAAAAACAAAGCCAATTGGAAACATGAGGAAAAAACAACAGTTGTTGAAGAAAGAAAACATAATCATGATACTCTACTTGACTCTGAAGTATAAGATATTCAGATACTCATAATAATGTAATAACTTCATTACTATAACATGAAAAAAGCTCTTTTCAAAGAATGGAGAGAGAAGGATTGGGGAGTAGAGTATAAGTGGTAAATGATCACAGTAGAAAGAGAATAAATAATTTCTAAAGTTGGTAGACCAATAAACAACAATAATCACAAACAGAAACAGCTAGAAAAATTTCAGGCCGGGCACAGTGGCTCATGCCTATAATCCCAGCACTTTGGGAGGCCAAGGCAGGTGGATCACTTGAGGTCAGGAGTTCAAGACCAGCCTGGCCAACATGGTGAAACCCCATCTCTACTAGAAATACAAAAAGTAGCTGGGTGTGCCACGGGGGGGCGGGGAGGGACCTGTAATCCCAGCTACTCGAGAGGCTAAGGCAGGAGAATTGCTTGAACCCAGCGGGGGCAGAGGCTGCAAAGGAGCTGAGACCATGCCACTGCACTCCAGCCTGGGCAATAGAGCGAGACTCTGTGTCCAAAAAAAAAAAAATTTTCAAAGTGGTTGCCTCTGTGAGGTGGGACTGAGAGATGATTGTGAGTGGGGCAGCTCCCACTGCCTTGTATACTTTGCAGTGTTTGATGTTTTTTATGATATTCATCTATTACAGTTGACCCTTGAATAATATGGGAGTTAGGAGCATCGATACCCTGAACAACCAAAAATTCACTGTTTATAACTTTTGACTCCCTAAAATTTAATTATTAATAGCCTACCATTGACCAGACGCCTTACTGATAACATAAATAGTTGATTAACACATATTTTGTATGTTATATGTATCATACAATGTATCATACACTGTAGCCTTACAATAAAGTAAGCTGTAGAAAAGAAAATTAACATTTTCATAAGAAAATCACAAAGAAAAGGAAAATATATTTACTGTTCATTAAGTGAAAGTGAATCATCACAAAGATCTCCATCCTCATCATCTTCCCATTGAATAACCTGAGGAGGAAGAGAAATAATTGTTCTTGCTGCCTTGGAGGTGGCACAGCGGGGAGAAAATTCACATATAAGTGAACCCAGGCAGCTCCAACCCATGTTGTTCAAGGATCAACTGTACTTTGATCATTTTTAAGTGAATGCTATTTTAGGAGAGACTATTACAATGCAAGGGCTATATAATCTTATAAGCTGCGGCATATCAATAAATAAATAAGCAACAATAGGTGATCATGGTTTTATTAGGGAGATACAATGGGGACTAGAAGAAAGGAAGCATGGGTCCATAAAATGCTGTTTGAAAACCCTGCTCTAGAAGTCAGCCCATATGGGTCCCCAGCTAGAGAAATAAAATGTCACCATTTCCATTTTCACTGAGAACCATGGGATTCCACTCTCCAGTTGCTTTTTTAGGTGGTGGGATTTTCTCAGCCCCAAGGCTCTAACAGTGGCTGTTCTGTTGTATTTCCCTAACTGTGTGCCCACCCTGCACATGAGCTAGACAATTCTGAGGGCATTGTCCAAATGTGAAACACACAAGCTGGCATGGCAAAGAGGCTGGAACATAAACCCTGCCACTTACCTAATTTCACTGCTGTCTTCTCATGAGAAATTACTATGTAATCCAATTCTAGCTCCCACATTTTGCAGAATGATAAACTCACCAGAAAAACAAAAACATAGGCTTTTTGGTAAAATCAGTGGATATGTCCAATTGTTCTGGAAAGTTATCCTAGGAGAGATTTGTCCTAAGGACATTTCCTTCTTCATGGAAAGGAAAGCAAAGATAGGCTCATTCTTAAGATGCTGATGGCCAATTCAGCCCCCTCCAGAGAGCAATGCAGTCTCACCTGTCTTGAGGAAAGGTATGCATTTAGAGTGAATCTCTCTCTTGGATTCTATATATAAAAAAACCATTTACCTTTGGGTGATTCTAAGGTATTTATCAATCCACTTGCCTTCTCTCATCTATTCTGCTTCCTCTGGGCCCAGAAGCATTAACGAAAAGCTATTGATCATGTTGAGTGAAATGCTGAAAAAGTTACTGAGAGTCAAAGGGACCCTGCTATGAAGGGGCAGGGAAAGCAGCCAGGCTTCCAACTCAATCAGGGATTTATCTTCAGAGAAAGGTGCTATGTGTTGACAAGGGCTACTTCCATTCTTCTCAAAGGAAAGGGAGGCAGAGGCTCACCTCTGCCCAATGCCAAAGCTTCCCAATGAGGGGACCTAATAAGAGTTTGGAAAGTTTTGCCTCTCAGTCTCTGTAGCTTTTAAATGACTAACCAATCTTATTTTTAGTTAAACCCACTGTCTTCCAGTTCAAAAGTCAGCTTTGTCCTATGAATACATGGTGAGGAAGATAGAAAAGGATAAGGATGAGTCTCTTTGGGAGTGGAGGGGCGGCCACAGCAACTCAGATAGGAACAAAACCCTCTTCAAAGAGGGAATGGAGGGGCTGCCATAGCAACCCAGTTAGGAACAAATCTCCTTCAAAAATGGAGTAGAGGGTCAGCCACAGCAACCCACATAGGAACAAAACCCCCTTCAAAGATGGCAGAGTTTCAAAATGTTAGGTTCTGGGCAGACAAGGAAGGAAGCCTGATCTATGTTTTCTTTGCAATAAACTTTTTACTCATCTGCAGTCAAAATGCCTGCCAATACCATCAGGGTAAGTTGCTAGAGACATTGCAAGATTCCGAATGAGAGGGCAATAAAACATATGTACAGCAGTCCCTTCTTCTCTACGGTTTTGCTTTCCAAAGTTGCAGCTACCCATAGTCAACCGCAGTCTGAAAATATTAAATGGAAAATTCCAGAAATAAACAATGCATAAGTTTTACTTTGCACACTATTCTGAGTCTCGTGATGAAATCTTATGCCATCTCGCTCCATCCAGCCTGGAACATGAATCATCCCTTTGTCCAGTATTTCTATGCTGTATACACTACCTGCCCATTAGTCACTTAGTAGCTGTCATGGTTATCAGATTGAAAAAATATAGTATTTATAGCTTTGGTACTACTCACAGTCTCAGGCATCCACTGGGGGTCTTGGAACATATTCCCCGAGCATAAAAAGAAACTACTATATAAGAAAACAATTAAGGAAGCAATGTGCTTCAGAAAGCACGTGGATGTGTCCAAGTCCTGATTTCAGCACAAAGCCCTTTGCTCCACGAGGTCTTCTAGGCAGCCCTCTTCCATCATTCATCCTTATTCTGGGAATTAAAACATGACCATCAGGAGTGCCTAGGCATTCCTCATTCAACCAAAACAATTTAAGAGGACGTTAGGATTCCCTCATCTTCTCAAAAGCTGACCAAAATTTATTTTCATTCCCTCACTCATTTGAGTTATCCATAGGACACCTTCCTGATAGGCACTTCTCTTCATCCAAAACTCTCTGTGCCCTTTACCTGCTCATCCGAGACTTTGCTGATGCATCACTTTCCTCCAGGAAACCTAGCCTGCCCCCCATAGGTTCAAGAGAAGCACCCCCGATACTTACTCTATTGCATCCCACACTTCCCCAATTAGAAGTATTGTAATACTTGCCGATCTCTCCAGCAAAGCCATACATTTCATAGCAATCATGTCTGTCAGTCAGTGCCTGGCCCACTGTAGGCATGTATTAAGTATTTGTGGAATGAGTAAATGTGAACTACAGAATGGCACTACACCTGGCACTATGAAAATATGAAGATGAATTCTTTCCCGGAGCTGAGGGTCAGGCAGCTGGGATGAGAAATAGCAAGCAAACACACCAATTATTATACGCCAGGCAGTTTCAATTGCATTGCATGTATTAACTCAACCACTGAATTTTCACTATGACCCTCTAAGGAAGGTACTACTACCATCTACATTTTGCAAATAAGGGGACTGAAGCAGAGAATATCTTGCCTAGGCTTCCACAGATAATTGGTGGCAGAGGCAGGATAAAAGCACAGGTAGTTGGCTTCCGAGTCCTTAATGACTTTGCCACATTGCTGAGCTGCAGGTCCCCAAATGAGGACAATACATAGTACTAGGCATGCCAGACATGTGCCTAAAGTGAGGTACGCAGTGCTCCAGAAGACAGGAGGGAGAAATTAATTCCAGTTAAGGAAATTTCTGAGGTCAGACCTTAGCAACTCCCCTTATCCTCTCATCCTTCTTCCCACCTCATAGATTCTGCAAGCCACCAATTTTGGAACCAAGTGCAAAGCCTCAGAACCAATCAACACCCAATCAAACTCAGTGCCCAAGATGTAAATGGAAAGTTGAAGACCTAATTCTAATAAATTTCAGCATGTGGCCATAAATTGCTTTGTGAGTAGAGCTGGTAAAAATCCTTTACCTCCCAGATGAGATAAATATTGCTTGCTAAATATTACACAATGGTGCAACCTGACATAAGGTATGTTTTGAAAGAAAGACCTCTTGTCCTGACCCCTGTATTTACAGACTTAAAAATTGAAAAGATTTAAGATGAGGATTTTTTTTTTAATTTGGCTTTTCTTGTCTTTCATGGCTTTGAAAATAAAGTGGCAATTCATGGCCATAATAGGTAATTCCACGGTGTGCCTTACAGAGAATAAGGAAGGAGTCTTTCGTATTCGGTATTCTTATGTTCCTGCAGGGCCAGAGCCCGTGACCTTGTGCCCTGCAGCTGCTAATGGGAAATACCAAAGCTTGCTCATTCTCCTTTTCCCTCAGCATTTTGAAAAGACAATGAAAACATTCCTTGGCATCTGGTCCCTTAACCCCATCCTACGAACAGTTCTTTCTATCTTTGAAGAGGCCAACATTTATTATTATAATAAATATCATTTTCATACTTCTTGGGAACAGGAGTGGCTGAGGGGAACTGAAGAAAGGGGATTCTATAGGGTGGAAAATAAGAGAGAAGCTGAATTCCACGATGGGCAGTCACTGTGTTTGGGGGCATGATAGGATGATAGGAGTCACTGAGAACAATCATTTTAAGTAAACTTCATAAAGTTGAAATTTTTAAATTGAGGTTTTAGACTTTGGTACTTCAAACATTTACTTGTCCTTCCTCATTAATTTAAACTTCAGAAAAAGCAAAAATGATACTTACTTTTCCCTCCAGAGGAGAGTGCGATATCTTCATGAAGGGACAAATGTGTACTTGGTAAAATTGGTACAGCATTGTGATATGAAGAAAGTAAAAACAGAGTAAAGAGGCCAAAAAAGGTAGCAATGGGGTTTCCCTTTAAACTCTCCTCTGTTTTTCTGGGTAAGTTTCACTCTCTGAGAATACTACTCCTCTTCTTCCAAAACCCATGCCAAAAAAAACCTCTCCTTTAAACTTTCATTCATTCTGTCAGGCAGAGACCATCATGATGCAGTCTATGATTACTTTTCTTTTTTCTTTGAGGCAGGATCTCACTCTGTTGCCCAGGCTGGAGTGCAGTGGTGCTATCATCGTTCACTGCAGCCTTGAACTCCTGGGCTCAAGTGATCCTCCCACTTCAGCCTCCTGAGTAGCTGGGACTGCAGGTGTGTGCCACCATGCCCAGCTAATTTTTTTAATATTTATTTTTTGTAGAAATGAGGTCTTGTTATGTTGCCCAGGCTAGTCTCAAACTCCTGGCCTCAAACAATCCTTCACCTCAACCTCCCGAAGTGCTAGGATTACAGGTATGAGCCACTGCAGTAGCCTATGATTAGTTTTAAAGCTTATTTTCATTGTCCAATGAGCTAATCATCTCTTTCCTGGTTGTCAATTCGTTCTTTTAGAAGTTACTTTTTCCTCAGTGCCATCATCATCATCATCACCATAATCACTATCAGGGCTGCCGTTTGCAGAGTGCTAACAGGCATCATTTCCTATATATGTTGTTTCATTTACCCCCTCACTGCAGCCCTCTGAGACAGGCAGTGCTACTCTCACTGGAGCTGAGCCTCCAAGAGATTGGTAACTTGCTTAAGATCGTAAAGATCAGATCCAGGATTCAAATCCAAGACCAGTGCTTCCAGCATCCTGGAGGCATTCAGATGGGCTTCAGAGGTATCCAACCCCTCACAGTCTGATGGGGACAGCTGTGGTCATTTAGAATACTGGGAGGGACAAAGTAGAACTTGGTCTCCTTTCCAGTGTAGAAGAAGAAATACAGGAAGTTGGAAAGTCACCAGTTTCCCAAAAGGAAAGGCACCTTAGCAGAGCTTCTCAAACTTCACTGTACAAACAAATCATCTGGAAAACTTGCTTAAATGTGGATTCTGATTCAGTGGGTCTGGATGGGCCTGAGACTCTGCATTTTTAACTGGCTCCCAGGTAATGCAGATGCTGCTGGTCTGTGGACCACACTTTGAGTAGCAAAACCCTCAGGAACATCTACTTCAACCTCCTGCCCAATACATGATTATTCTGCACAGGCTCTCCAAAGACTGAAAAAAATTCAGGAGTAGTGGGGAAGGTCAATGACCCAAAATCTCCCAGAAATACTGGGCCTCTGCTTCTGAAATGAAATTTATTTCTATACCAGCTGTTCAATAAGTTAAAAATTTGTACTATGAGTTTACTACGAATGAGAGTTACCTATCTACATTTCATTTTATGTTCAAGCAGTATCGAAATGGGACTAGAAGTAGCCCCTAAAATGCATTTGGTAATGGAAAAACATACTGATCCTTAACTTGTGTTGTGACATATGAAGCTTTAATTATTTACCAGTTCTTAATGCCTGATTCATAATTAATACCAGAATGCACTTCTCTCCCTAGCTGCTCCTTGATTGCTGCCATGGCTATGGGATTAGCATATCAAGATCAAATTCATCTTTTCTTAGGAAACCCATGAATATGTATCCAGCTCATTGAAGGAGAAGTTTAGAATGCAATTTGCCAAAGCATTAAGAAACTAATAGGAAACAAAATTGATAATGGTCACCTTCTTAATTTGAATTAGTTTCATTAAATTTAAATTAAAAATTAATACAGTTGGAAAGTTTAAATGGGTCCTTCCCACACTGACAAAATAGCAAAATTGTCTGCAACTTTTAAAATGTCCCTTGTGAAATGATTAGAAGCAATTCTAGCTTTGTCCATAATAGCATAATTTGTTAAAACATACAGATTGCCCCTGAAATTTTACCTTCTAGAAATCCAAAATAGCAATAGCTCTCATTAAAAATCCTCTTCTCAGAATTGGAATTAGCAGGCTTGGTGACCCAGCCAATAAAAACACTTCCTTCATCCCCAATTCCTCTCCTATAGGCAAACTGCTTTCACCCTCAGAACTAAATGAAGAATGAAGCAGATGTTTTTAAAGTATATCCGTGACATTCTTACTATGATCACCTTTCCAGGAAATTTGGAGGCTTTTCTCAATAACAAGTAGAGGATTTAGAAAAACAAACAACATTAATTTAGGCTTCCAGTTTGAAACATGAAGGCGAATTTGCATTTTGAATGTTTGGCTGTGTCTTGCCTACATTTTTAGTGCTTCAGTTCAAAGTCAGATTGTAGAATTTTGAATCTTCTAAGATTTCATTTCAGCAGCATACTAATTCAGCATTTACAGACAGAGCCCCAAGAAATAAGGGCTAGCTCATTGCTCCACCTGCCCACATCGACTCTGGCCATACCGTGTGCCCAGCATCGTCGCTTCTCTGTGCCTTTGCCATGCTAGGGCCTCTGCCCTAGATCACCTTCCCTCTGGCTTTCACTCCCTCTTCTCTTCTTTTTCTGACAATTCTCCTCTCTCAAAGCCCAACTCTAATGCCTCCTGCTCTTGTGAAGCCTCCATGACCCAGCTGCCTGCCACCAACCCTAACAGCCAAGTTGACTGCTGTGAGCCCTCCAGGCATTCACAGGGTGTCTTCACTGAAATCGCACTGTTTCCATAGGGATGCATCTGCCACCTCCATGAAAAGTTGAGTGCCAAAAAAAAAAAAAAGTCAGCACACTTCCTTGGCAATCAGAAATCACTTAATGAACGTAGGTTAAATCACGTAAATGAAAGAATGATTGACTGAATGACCAAATTGCTAAATTCATTATTTAGCAATCAGATCCACACTAGTCATTCAATCCACTGCTCAGGTATCAGTGGTTATGATTGGACTGTGAACCCCAGGGAACATAAGCTACATTTGTAGACCTGCCTTGCACATCTGAAATATTCAATAAATATTTTCAAGTGAATGGTTGGATGGGTCAGTAATAATCAACCTTCAACCTGCTCAGAACGCCACACCATAGAGAAAAATTGTACAGCGATGTTTCCAGCACATCCTGCAGTCCCACCGCAGGCCCCATGGGGCCTCCATTGGAGCCCGCAGGGTCGCAATTGTGACTCCTGAGCTCTTTTCTGGTGCCGTTTCACTCAACAGTGTCCAAAGACAGAAGGCAGCTTGTGATTGCACCACAGCAAAGCACCTCTCCTTGGTTTCAATTCAGATCATTTCATTTTAAACAAAGCTTTCTGGGGCCAAACTGTTACCCAGAGCTGCCAAAGCGAACAGGTTCCCAGCAAATGCTGGCAGTAGCATTGAAAAGCACAAGGCTTGGCAAGCATCCGAACAAGAGCCACGTTCTAGTTGTTTAAATTAATGGTGATGTGCACGGTTCTTATCACGCTGCCACTGCCTCTCAGCACTAAGCTATTCCCCATTCATGGGCCTGATGAGCAGTGACTTGACGACTCCCAGAGAGGGGTGGCCTACTTGGATCTTCACTCTGACAGACATCCCTGACAAGAGCGCTCTGAGATTGAGCCTTTGGTCCCCACCACTTCCAGTTTGAGCTCAATCTCCAGAGCAAATGTCTGTTTCCCCACCATTAGAGAAAGCTATGAGACTCACTACAACACCAGCAGCCAGCCTTGGCCATCCTTGTCCCCAAGCAAGGCAGCTGGAAGACTCTGAGGCAGCTCTGTGTACCTGGGGAACAGGGTGGCAAAATCACCAGAGCACCCCACCGCCTCGCTCCAAGCTCCTGGGTCTGTGGCAGCCCAGGAGAGAGCACTCGTGCTACAGGTACCCATGTGTGCCACTATCCAGGGCCCTGGAACCAGGGCATCCCTCTGTAGGACTTTTAGGAGCCCTTCCTACTGATGAGGCTAAAGGACCATGACTCTGACACAGTCTTGCAACCCAGTTTAAAGGTCTCCTCCCCTGTGAATCTTTCCATGACCAGCCCACCATCACCAATCTTAATAGCAGAGTGGCTGCCCCTGCTCTTTGTCCTCCTGGTGTTCATTCAGGTTCTCATTGTAATCACACTATTTGTTTAGAGGTCTCTGGGAGGACTGAAGAGTGACCTCTGAAAAGCCTGATCCCAAGACACATTCACACACTCCCCACCATCAGAAAGCTCAACAAGTTGGACTCCACACACTGTCTCAAGCTTCACCTTTGGTGACCTTCCCCCTGCCTGGGGCCCTGCCCTTCTCATATCACCATCATTTTATCTCAACCTCGTCTATATAAAATAATAGTAGAGAGAATAAAAGAGGGATGGGGACAGGGGAAGATTCTTTTACCCTTAAGATTGCCCTGTAATGAAAGTCCAGACCCAGGAATCCATTGGGATAGTCTTGCACATGAGACATGCAATATGACTTCTATGGCTCCAGTTTCCTGCTACAGAAAGGAGAATGAGCTCATCTTAATTTGTCGATCAACAAACACTGCTTGAAGCTTATTATGGACCAGCACCGTGTGGGGCACAGGAAGGAGGCAAGGAGGAGAGAAGAAATACAAGACATGGTCTGCATTCACATTAGATTCTGGTAGAGATTGTAGGTACCATAGGAGACTAGGGGAGGGAGAGAACACATAGATGGGAAAGTCTTCATGAAGCAGATGAGACTTAATAAGTCTTGACAAATGAATAAAATTGAGGTAAACGGGTGCTGATAGGAGAGAGAAGGGTGTTCCAAGTTGGTGGAACAGCATTCACAGATTCACAGGCTTCACAGGTTTGCCTTCATTCTCACCCTGTTTTGGTGCATTTTTTTCTAGAGCAAAGAGGGGAGTCTAGGTCTCCCCTTTCTCTCTTCCTCAAATTCCATTGGAAAATGATCAAAACAGGAATCCCAGAAAACTGCAGAGTCATCCTGGGGGGTAGATAATTATAGACCACAATGCTGATCTATAATATGGAGGGATGAATGTTGGATATTTATACATGTTAGATGGCTAAGCCTGGCACACATGGGGCAGTTGGAGCACTTCTGGGGAAGCATCTTGATTTTGCTCCAGACAGAGGCAGGAGCAGCCCTGTGTGTGACTGGAGGGTGACATTCATTTCCTTGTCCAATACAACCAGGTGGCAAGGTCCCAGCACATTTGCTGCCCATCGAGGAGGATATTTGCAGGCACGTACTTTTATTTTCTTTCTTAGTAGGTTTGAGGAGATCCGTGAAAGTTGAGAATCCTCCTAAAAGCCAGAGCCTCTAGTCTTCCGGGAAGTCTTGCACTCACACCAATTCAGCAAGGGTCCCCAGAGTGGCTGAGGATTCTGAACTTTCTGTTTCATGTTGGAGAAGAATACAAAGGAATCCAAGTGAGATTCTTTCCTCCAGTAAAAATGAGCACCTGGAAATGAATTCTCTCACACAAACTGTTTCTCCTGGTTGAACATTATCAGCCTCTTGACCTTGGCTGGAACTGAGTACCTTCACCATCGACTCATGAAATACAATTATCTGCTCCCTGGTTTTCTGATAGTAAACCAGGTGAAAAATGCAACTGTTGGCCGGGCGCAGTGGCTCATGCCTGTAATCCTAGCACTTTGAGAGACCGATGAGGGCCGATCACGAGGTCAGGAGATCGAGACCATCCTGGCCAACATGGTGAAACCTCATCTGTACAAAAAACACAAAAATTAGCTGGGTGTGGTGGCATATGCCTGTAGTCCCAGCTACTAGGGAGGCTGAGGCACGAGAATCGCTTGAAGCCAGGAGGTGGAGGTTGCAGTAAGCCGAGATTGTGCCTCCAGCCTGGTGACAGAGTGAGACTCTGTCTCAAAAAAAAAAGAAAAAAGAAAAAAAGAAAATGCAACTGTTGAGTTCACTATTGAGAAACCTTGATGCCAGAAAACAGGGGAGCCAGCAGCAGGCAGCTCATCAGACTCCAAACCTATTTTCCCAGTGGCTTGGGAGGGAACTGAGAATTTTGCACTTTGGGGTGAACATTGGGTGATTAAACACTTAAATAATCATCATTGCCAATGCTGAAAAAATAAATGTGTGGCTTTCATGTACAATTTCCTAAAAATTTTTTGAGCTGCCATGTGGGGGTGGGCTAGGGTGCCCAAGTCAAGAGTCTAGAAAAGATGGTGCTGTCTTTCTCGCATCCAAGTAATATCAAGATCCATTCATTATCTCCCTTCCTTGGTTTATGGGTTTGTAATTCCCACCAACAAGGCTGGGAATATTGGACCCCATTCTGTCATGAGCCAGAAAGAAAGAAATACTCTCCTGGGAAGCCAAGTGCTCACTTGTGTGAAGTAAATTACCTCTTCTGCAGTGCAAAATTGGTGGGATCCTACAATTTGGGCCCAGGAAAACACTCCCTTGGGAGCAATCTGCTCAGCCACATGTGATAAATTCAGTCTATTTTTAAACTATTCTTTGGCATATCTGAGTATAAGCACAGGTGAAGATAACTGGCCAAAACAAGTCAATCAAGTTAACTTTTCCCTCTGTTTTGTCTGTTTCTTTCTAAACGCTCTATTTTCCCTAACACACACACCACACACATACACACACCCACACCACCTCTTGTCTTTGTTCCTAAGTCTCTCCTCCTTCCTCCCTTAAGCTTTCCCTCCTCTCCCTTTACAATTCTCCCTAGACCCTTCCTTACCCATCTTTCCTCTTCACTTTTCACATTACCACTCCTCTTCCCTGCATCTCTCTTTACTCCCACTCACCTCCTCTAAAAATGAGTCATGGTAAACAGAAAGCTCTGGCTTTTCGGCACAAATAAATAAGACCAAAAAAAAAATCATCAGGAAAAAAAAAAAAACAGGATATCTTCTTAATGCACAGTTTAAACCTTCCAAAGGATTAATAAAAATTTGGCATACATATGGAGTGTGAAGCTTGCATCTCTGCATTATAAATCTGACATCAACTCACAGATATAATGATTTTGGCTCTGTGCCTTTCTAAAAGGAGACAAAATGTTTGCAGTCATTATTGGCATTACTGTCTAACAAGAGAAAGGAAGACTCTAATTATGACTAGACAAATCATGAACAAGGTACATTTCATTGCAATCCTGGGAAAACAATGTATTGGGGAAAATTAATGAGGGCAAGGGGTAGATAAAAGCGCAATGTCTAATTTGCAGAATGTCCTCAGTGGCTCTTCCAAACCAGCCACCCTGGATTACAGGCCTCCTGGCTGTGTTAATGTTCCCCAAACTTTTCCAATCCAAGTGTCCCTCTGTGCCACCTAAGAGCGTCCTTGGTCACTCCATAGAGAAGCACCTAAAAAGAACAGTGAGCAAATTTAAAAACACCAAAAATATTCCCAGGAAAGTTCATGGTTTACAGGAATCTGGAAGGAATCCTTTGCACTTTGGGGTGAACATTGGGTGATTAAACACTTAAATAATCATCATTGCCAATGCTGAAAAAATAAATGTGTGGCTTTCATGTACAATTTCCTAAAAATTTTTTGAGCTGCCATGTGGGGGTGGGCTAGGGTGCCAAAAGAGTGGCCATGCCCTCATTTCCTGGTTTTATAAATTCCATTTTTCATGTAGCAGATTTTCTTAAAATAGGCTTGCATGGTTGTCTCCAAGGCCACACTGACATAGGTGGCCGAAGCAGGGAGATCGCTTGAGCCCAGGAATTCAAGACCAACCAGGGCAACATAGCGAGACCTTGTGTCTTAAAAAAAAAAAAAAATTAATTAGCTGGGTATGGTGTCGTACACCCATGATCCCAGCTACTAGTGAGGCTAAGATGGGATAATCGCTTAAGCACAGGAGGTCAAGGCTACAGAGAGCCATGATTGTGCCACTGCATTCCAGCCTGGGCAACAGACTGAGACCCTGTCTCAAAAAAAATAAAGATATAAATAAAGACATAAACAATAGCCACTACCCTGGCTTCAACCAGAGGGAGAAGCTAGGGAAAGAAGGAAGGGATGATATGAAGGAGATATTCAATCCAATGCCCTGCCTCAATTAAATCTTAAAAACTCTTTAGTCAATGGATGGCAAACATACAAATATACAGTACTGCCTCTGAAGGCCTCAGAGTACCTAACATTCTGGTAATCTGTACACTGTGGGCACAATCAGGACTTTCTGGAGTGATCATGAAGATAAACATACACCTGCTACTTAATAATTTGCAGATGAACCAGGCCTCTAATTGAATGCGTAATCTCTTCTGAGACACTTCAATGTCCTTTAATGAAAACCCAAATGACCACTGATAATGTCTGCTACCACTGATTTGATTTGGTGAAAAGATGGCACATAAAATTGTTGAAGGTCACCTGGGATCTCACACCTTCTCCCAGTTCCTTCAGCCTGGCCTCACTCTGGCTAGAAGACTTTAAGATTGACAACAGAATTTATCCATCAGCTGTCCCAGCAGCTCACTGCCATGGATAATTAGCCACTGGCTGTTTATTTACATAACTTCAATTTGCCTAGGAACCCACAGCTTATTTATTCCAATAAGCAGACATTGTGCACCTATATAAATGGGAAGAGAAAATGCATGACTTTTTTATGGAAACAGGATTTTTGTTAATAAACATACATGTGATAGTGGTAGATTATAATCAATATTGGACTTGGTGTTTTAGAACTGTCTTCCATTTGAAACATAATAAAACTGTATTAATTTGAAACTTTAAGGACCAGAAAAAAACTTAACCAACTTAACTCACTTCAGAGTATCTCATATTTTTGCTCAAGAAAGAATGGGGCATCAGGCTGCTGAAGAAAAGCAGTTGGCTCCAATCAAGCATGATTTTGAATAACCAATATTGATTTAATGAGGTTTTACTTTATATCAGCATTTCAGGCAGCACTATTCTAGCTGCACAACCTTCCAAGGTCAAGCCCAGAGGTTTGCCCCTTACCTGAGGTGGAAAATAATGAAATCCATTTTCCCCTGGGGAAAAAAATATCTATAAATCACATTTTCCACACCTCACGTGGCTGCCGCAAATGGCCCCACTATACAACATGTCTATCTGTCACTCCTTCAGCTGCCTCAAGGAGACTCCATTAGACTCTGGGGAGAGGAGCAGCAGGAAGGAAATGACAGCTGGGGCATCAGACTGACAGTTGGAGCATGGGCTGTGCTGCAGCGAGGCTGGGAGTTTAGGGAAAGACTCTCTAGTATCTGAGGGTTGTTTTCTTCCCCTAAGTAAAATGAGCATGAGCCGTGAGAGTCAGTCAGCCTAAAAATGGGAGCAGCATCTGAATACAAAGGTTACAGGCTAGATGGCTTCTTCACACTGCTCTTTATTTTAAGATCAAGATTGTCGGTGGCAGTCCTACCGTTCTGAATTTCTATGTGTTGCCCTGTATTGCAATTAATCAAAATACGTAGCATCATAACACCAATTGGTGGTCTTATCACATAGATTGTAAATCATCCACAGAACTCCGAGTCATTATTGGAGCTGAATTTACACATTGCCTTTATGGAACTCTGGGGTTATGTAAAGATGTTCCTGGAACTCAATACACAGATGAGTCTCTGTGCCCTAAGATAAGAGTGGGGAGATTTGGAGCTGTTGCCAAGCCCCCTCAACAATGGATTCAAACTCTGCCTGAGCCATGTGTGGAATAAGAGCCTTGCCTCAGAGAATAGATGAGCACAGTTAATGCCTTGTGATATTGTAGGATTACATAGATTGTTTCCCGGTTACTTTTTTTAAAATTTTTATTTGTATTTCAATAGTTCTTAAGGTACAAGTGGGTTTTTGGTTACATGGATACCTTTTTTTGTTTTTGGTTTTTTTGGTTTTTTTTGTTTTTTTGTTTTTTTTTGACAAAGTCTCACTCTGTCACCAGTCTGGAGTGCAGTGATGCAATCTCAGCTCACTGCAACCTCTGCCTCCCAGGCTCAAGCAATTCTTCTGCCTCACTCTCCCAAGTAGCTGGGATTACAGGCACGCACCACCCAGCTAATTTTTGTATTTTTAGTAGAGAAAGGGTTTCATCATGTTGGCCAGGATGGCCTCGATCTCCTGACCTTGTGATCCGCCCGCCTCAGACTTCCAAAGTGCTGGGATTACAGGCATGAGCCACCACACCTGGCCGGATAAATTCTTTGGTGATTTCTGAGATTTTGGGGCACCCATCACCTGAGCAGTGTACACTGTACTCAATGTGTAGTCTTTTATTTCTCACCCCCTTCCAAGCTTTCCCCGTTACCACCGAGTCCCCAAAGTCCATTATATCATTCTTATGCCTTTCTGTCCTCATAGCTTAGCTCCCACTTATGAGTGAGAACTTAACGAAAGTGAGAATGTGATAGCTGGAAAGCTGTTTCTCAAGTTATGCAACATCCTAACGGCCACTAGAGGGTGCAGCAGGGACGATGCTGGAGCTGCCCTCTACCGGCGGTGCTGACAGAAAGGGAGCTGTCCAGGGACCCAGGTGAAGAGGGGAAACTCAAGGAGAGGCCAGGTAACTGGAGCTGTGCAAAGCTGCGGTGCCTGGCTGCTGCCATTTGGTGGAGGTGGAGGAAAGTCGGCAAATCCCTACAAGGGAACTACTAGGTTTGGAGCTCAGAGAGTAGGGGTGGGGTTGCAGCCAGCTAAAAAAGTCCTGTCCTAAGATTGCTGGCACAGGGATTGCTGTTATAGTCTCAAGAAAATGACTTCTTCACTTTTCCAGATACATTGCACAAGATTAACAACATGTACAGTTGTGTGTGCATTTTCGTGAATTATCCTAAATGATCTACTTTTATATCCTAGCCTCTATTGATGGGTGACATTATGGAGGACAGTCACTTCGGAACCATAAGCCCTGGATGTCTCTAGCACACCATCCACCACCGTCTACCACCCGATGCTATTTCTTGTCCCTAATTCCTCTTTGCCTTTCTCTCCACTAAAGCCTTCATTCCCATTCACTCATTCTCACTCATCACCTTTCTACTCATTAAGCACCTATTACGTGCTAGAGCTGGGATTACAGTAGTAGGAGAGAGGAAAGGCACAGCTGCTGACCTCAAAGAATTCACCATCTTACCCTCCTTCTGCACTCCCTATTACTCCATGGAGGAGGGGAGGGTGATAGGGTGAAATATAATTTGAAAAAATATTTGGGGGCCAGATAGTGAAAAGCATTAACTGTCATGCCAAGGATTTCAGATCTCATCTCATGGCAATGGGAAGCCATGAAAGATTTTAAGCAGGAGATTTAGATCCAGCTTTGACTTGCATAAAGATATGGAGGCTAAAAAGTGTTCAACCTTATTAGTAATGTGATTAGAACTTCAAAATAGAATATTTACCTAAAGGATTGCTGAAGTTGTTTTTGAAGACAATAATTAGCTTTGGGAAGGATTCCTTAAAATTAACAATCCCTTATCGGCAAGAATGAAATTTGGTATAATCTCTGAGGCTAATTTGGCATATCCATCAAATACACAAAATATTGCATCCCTCTTGACCTGAAAATGGTATGAATCCAATGAGAAATGATAGAAACATAACCTAATGTAGGGACAGAGAGGTTTAAAAAAAGGACAATACTGAGAAGAGTTTATTCTAGAGACAAAAGTCATAAAACCCTGTAATTGATTGTATTGGGGATGATAAATAAAAGGAAAGAGTTGAATATGACTTCATGGGTTGTAACGTAGGCAACTAGATCTATGTAGATACTCTAAAATTACAACAATTGGAGCAGAAAGAGGGAGAAATTGTGAGAGCAATTAAAAGTTAACTGCTGGACATTTGGGAGCACAGAGTATGTAAGGAGAAATATCTGTGGGACGCCCAGATGAAAAGTTTAATTGGATATGAAGATTTCTAAAGAAGGAATTTGGAAAGCATTTGTGATATTTAAGAAGAGTGTCAAGTGGTGAAACTGGAAATCATATTGCAAAGACCAAAATAATGAAAGACAAGTAAAGAAGAATCAAGGGCAGGTTATAGAGGTAGGGTACTAGCTTGAAGGAGAACAGAATCAAGGGAATGATTTGCTAGCGTCCAAGAGTTTTTCAGTGGAAGTAGCTTGCAAAAATGTCAAAGCTGCATGGGAGCACCCAGTAGAAGGGGAGAAAGAGAAACATTTAAAGTGATAAGGTTAAGTTTATCAGATTTTGCAAATAAAACTATAATACAAGACACTCGGTTAAATTAGAATTTTGGATAAACAATGAATAATTTTTAGCTCTGTGCAATATTTGGGACACAGTTATACTAAATATGTTGCTCACTATTTGTCTGAAATCCTAATTTAACCAAGTGTCCTGCATTCCGTCAGGCAATCCTAGGCAGGGCAAACAAGGAAGGAACCAGGAGCTGAGGAAGAAAGACAAACCTGGGAAAGACTGTGGGGTGTGTCGGTTCTGAGAAATGGGAGAGAAAAGAAGGAACAGTGAAGAGAAAACTATTTCAATGTAGGGAGCTCTGAAATCATGCCCTCTATTTTCTCAAAGCTGGAGGTCAGGTCATCTGCAGAGAGTGGGCAAGTCAGAGGTCAGCATGGAGATCTGATGGGGAGATGTAAAAGCTAGAAGCATCAACTGTGGCGAGAGGAACGGAGCGTCCCCCAGGGACAGGTCTGCCAGAAGCACTGAGGGTGCGCTGGTTCTGGAGCTGTGCATCTGTACAGGGCAGGGTGGAATAAAATGAGGCTTGAGGGCCAGGTCAGGCAGGGCCTCATAGGACATGTGAGCAAGTTTTACATTTCATTCTCATCAGGAAATTGGAAGTAAGCGAGTCAGCAGAGTTGTGTGTGTGTGTGTGTGTGTGTGT
Organism: Homo sapiens; assembly: GCF_000001405.40. Lineage (NCBI taxonomy): Eukaryota > Metazoa > Chordata > Mammalia > Primates > Hominidae > Homo > Homo sapiens. Next base: position 52,965,887 of record NC_000013.11, on the reverse strand, counting down.
GTGTGTGTGTGTGTGTGTGTACATCCTCTGGCTGCTGAAAGAATTAAAGGTGGGCAAGAGCGGCTGTTGGGATACCAATGGGGAGAATAGGATAGTAGTTCAGGAAAGAGATAGCAGAAACCTGGACTGCAGGGTTGGGAGAGTAGTGAAGAGAGAAGACAGAGAAAGAAGGGGGAGGAGGAGAAGGAGAAAGAGGGAGAGAGAGAGAATAATCTAGTCTTAGATTTGGCAATGACTAGATTTGGGAACATGATTAGGAAAAGGGAGGCAAAGGAGAGGTGTTCAAGATAATTCCCTAGTTCCTGACATAAACAAATGAGCAAATGAGCAAATAAAGAACACTGACATAAGGAAAACCAAAGGAGAAAGTGATGTGGCAGAAAGGGCACTAAATCCAGCCTTGACACTCACACTCCCTTAGAACCATGAGGGGAAGTAGAGATGGCATGGATTATGACACCTACCTATTCTTTGAGCATCTCGGGACCAAGCGATTCACATTCCTATGTGAACTCTACAACAATTTACAGGGAGGATGTTATTATCCCCATGAGGCAGAATAATATTTGGAATGATTAATTGATTTTCTGCTTTGCTCTGGATACTGTGCTTTCTTTCACCTCTTCACTGCTCCCAATTCAAGCAACTGGACCAGTCAATACTTATCGCATTAGGGGGCAGATGAAACAGGTAGAAAGCAAAGCAAAGAAAAAAATATTCTGGCATTCCATTCTAAAGATTCAATGTTTTTATAAGACTCAAAAGGACCTTGGGCATAGGTTAAATGCTTGAATGAAGTGAAGTTTAAGAGTAGAGCTTTCCCTGGAGACTAGACCATTTTTTTCTGCTAGGGAGAGGGATGATATAATGGAGGTTGCTGAACTCCAGAGAGGGAACCCTGCACCTAATGACCAGCAGCGCCCCAGAGAGGCAGTGAGGCCTCTAGGGAGAAATGTACAGTGAGTCAAAACAAAGGCAGCTTAGCTGAGCCACAGAGATTTTTATGCCCCAGTGTTGCATGAGAGTAACAAAATTATTGCAGAGGTCTCATGCATAGCATGATAGTAGAAGAGAGAATCAGAGGACCTGATGGGTCCGCATAGACAAGAGCAAGGGGCACCTCAGGGGCAAACTCAGTTTGATGGATAATCAAGATCCAGAAGGGTCAAAGGTCACTGTGTTGGATTTTGGTGGACAGATAATAGCTAGGTCAGGACTGGCTCTCTCCAATGCTTTGACACTACAAGAAACAAGGAAAGGTGAGAGGGGCCCCTAGGTTGGCTGGGATTAAGTTATATCCTGAACAAAATATCTTACAATAGATGTAAAGTTCATTATCAGAAAATTTTGAAAGTTATATTTTTGTACAATTGAGTTATGACAAGATTTATATATACTGCTTACATTTTGTAAATGCAAAAACTGAGGCTTGGGGAGTTGTTGAGCCATGCACAAAAATGAGTAAGGGAAGAATGAATTCAGATGCAGGTCTATTTGTTCCTAAGCCCACTTGCTTCCAACCCTATCATAATTCTTTATTCAGGGAAAGCAATTTCTGCCCATTTCCCCCAACCCCTCCTTTTTGCAACCATTGACTTCCATTACAGATCAGCCTCATGAAATGGGAGTTGTGAATACCAACCACCAATAGAACACTTCAAGATCCCAAGAGCTAAGAAGCCCTCCAAGTTAGAAACTTCCTTTGAACAGTCAGTTACTTGGATATGGTGGCTGTCAGAATCACTAGGCCAATGAATGCACTAAAAACAACAATTTGCATTCTTAAAGCCCAAATAACGCCACCCGGGGTCAAACTGAGATTTTTATGCTGCCATTAAAGCAAAGTATCAGCAATTCCTCAGGGAAAGGGAAAACCAAGAGTTCAAAGGACACATTAGCAAGTTTCCCAATTAAATGCCAAGCAGTAATACAACTTCGTTTTAGCACCCTCTTACTTAGTCACTTAATTTTTCTTGAAAAAGAAAAGCAACCCTCGAGGGTGTCAAACCTAATGCCTGTCTAAGTAGACAAACTAATGCTTTTTCGGGGAGGCTACCGAGCCATATATCTGATTATATCTATTTCTGAACAGGAAAATTGATCAATTAAGGGAAAAAGAGGTTTGCAGAGCCAAGCACTGGAAAAAAAAAAAAAAAAAGCTGCAGGCAATGCTCCTGCTGGGAGCTAATGAAAGTTCCATATAAGAAGTTAGATTCCAAATTGGAGGCCATGAGAGTAGTGTTCATGTCAGTCAAGCCAGAGTGAAGGAACATGTTGAGAAAAGATGGAACAAGAACAGTTTTTTAACTAACTTAGGGAACTGATGCATGAGCTCATAGTGGGCCCTGAGCTCTGTTGTCCATGTTCATCCTCAGAGGGCAGGAGATCGTGAGGGTTTTATGTAATTTGTTGGGGCCCAGCATAGCACAACACAGAGCTGGATGCTTCGGAAATCCCTAGATCATGAGCATAGTCAGTATACGTATATACTTGCTGTTGAAGTGGCCAATGAACAGTTCCTTAAGAAAACAGGAAAAGACACACACATTCACACAGTATACCACAAAATACTCTGTGCTGTAGAATCAACAATGGCTTGTACTTTGATCAAACTACAGGAAGCCAAGCATATCACCTGAACTTAAAGTCAGGGCTTCTTGTCCATTTTAAGCATTGCTGTTCATCAGCACCTAGTGCATAGTAAGCAGTTAATATGGACTTGTCAAATGAATGGATGGCCACGGAGACCTACAATTATAAGGCTAAGAGCCATCTCCAAAGATCAGTTATCCTAAACTCTCAACACTAATAAACTGAGTGGTGGCATTGCCCACCACAGACGAGCAGAGTCAAGATAATAAATACCAGCAGAGAAAGACAATTAAGATGAAAAGGATAGTAAGGGATCTATATGTCTGTCTCTTGTAGGAGATCTTTGGGAATAAGATAAAATCTGCCTGTGACAGTTTGAGTATACCCCTGTCTAGGTAAGGAGCTGGGGAGGAAATGAGTGTATACTATGGCCTGTGACTCTAAGGCTCTGTTGGGTGTGTCTTTCATAGGACATTCATACTGGCATTAACTGAAGTGTCTGGTTGTCCCCGTGGCCTTGTAATGAATCAATAAGACTTAGAGCTCTTCTAAAACCACTCTGTCCCTGGCCTCAAATAATCAAATAATTAATTATCTCTCTCTTTCCTCATCAGTGGTTCACACTCAAGGAAATATTTAATTTTCCCTAACTGAATTTGTCCTGTACAACGAACAATTCGCCTGGGTTAACTATTGAGAGACTGACTCCCTGAGTCCTCTCCCCGCTCCTCAAAACAGGCGAGCCAGCTGCTCCAGTCTTGGGACACTTGTTCTCATTATTCCAGAAAGCTAATTTGTACTAAGCCGCAGAGGGCAGAAGGTGCTGTCCCAAACCCCAAGGTGAGCTCACATCTCGAGGTTTCTGGTCCTGAAAAATGATCAAGTTATAGGTCTAACATCTGCTGCAAGTGACCCACACATTCCTTTAACTTTTCCAATGAAAATTTGCACCAATCATGACGCAGAACTTAGCAATTGCAAAGAACACATGCTCATGAAGGGCATTTTTGCCTTTTAAATGAATTTGTGGGAATGACCTCCTTGCAGTGGGGACAGGACTCCTGTCATGGAGTCCTATTGAGACCTGGACTGAATATGCTGCTGCCGGTCCACTGACCCCCAGACCCCCTCCCTCCCATGGTGTGACTGAGGCTCAACAGTTTGTGGTACCATATGGCAAAGGTTGAGGTCAGACAGATAAAACGTTTCATTGCGTTGAAGAATGGTTAACAAACATGTGAATGTAAATTCTAACACATTGTAAAACTGTAGCAAACCAGGCTGAAAAGAGACTTTAGTTATGGCAGGAAATCTGTTTTTCAGCTCCACCCCAGCCCTTCCAGTTCATTACAGGTATTGTGGAGAGAAAATGGGGTTTTGTGTCCTCTCTTGGCAATCTGCACTGTGCTCTTCTGCCAGATTTCTAATGACTTTTCAATGATGATTTGAGAGGTTTAGTGCCTGCAAGTTGTAAAGGATTTCAGTTCAGCTCTGCTCTCCTCTCCCCTCCAGTTCATCCACTGAGATATGCACACACGCAATCTCCTATCAGCAGGACTAGCATCAGCAACTTTTGTCCAAGTCTCACTTCACAGTTCACTCTCCACGTCACAATGCCTCTGAGGTCACTGGATCAATCTAGCAGCAAGAGAAAACCCCCAGAGCTCAGTGGTTTACACTAGAATTGGATCTATGGCAATTTGTAAATGTCGTTGGTGGCACAGCCACCCCCACTACCAAAAAGGAAACTCCCATAACCCAGGGAGAAATTTAAATTGAAACCAACTTTCTCTCTTTAAGCTAGCAGCTGCCACTCAAAACATGAACACACACACACACACACACACACACACACAATGCAGAAGCCCTATTGTAATGCCTTGAGTGCCTCTGTCCTCTCCTTTGTTACCCATAGTGTAAAACCCTAGAGGTTGGAGAGCTCTAGGAAAGATACAGCCTCAGGCTGCTGGGAGCACATGAACTGCTCACTCTGAGGCTTACTTACAAATCTCTTTCTCTTATGGCCATTATGGAAAACAGCACAGAGTTTCCTCAATAAATAAAAATAGAACTTTCATATAATCTGGTACATACCCAGAAGTGTATATACACATAGGAAATGAAATCAGTGTATCAGAGATACCTGCACTCCCACTCTCACTGCAGCATTATTCACTATAGCCAAGATACAGAAACAACGTAAGTGCCCATTGACAGATGAATGGATAAAGAAATTATGGTATATATAAACAACGGAATATTCTTCAGCCATAAAAAAAAAGAAATCCTATCCATTACAATAACACAGACGAACATGAAGGATAAGAGAAATAAGCCAGGCACAGAAAGACAAATAGTGCACGATCTCACTTCCATGTGGAATCTAAAAAAGTCAGATTCACAGGAGCAGAGAATAGAACAGTGGTTGCCAGGGGCTTAGGGGAGGGGAGTGGGAAATGCAGAGATGTTAGTCAAAAGTGCGAATTTTCAGTTAAAAGATGAACAAGTTCTGGGGACCTAATATACAGCATGGGTGGTGATGGGTGTGTCCATTAACTTGATTGTGGTAATTACAACATACATGTTTATCAGATCATCACATTGTACACTTTGACTATATTTAATCTTTGTCAGTTAACTATTTTAAGATTTAAAAAGGAAAGGAAAAAAATCTCTTCCTCAACCAAGCATCCACGACTCCCCTCCCTCTATCCCCCATTCTTCGCTACTTAGCTAGGATGGTATAGTTGCAGAGGCACCGCTAGCCTATGTGGGACTGACATGCATCAGAAAGGACATCAACCCCCCACCCCCCTCAAACCCCTCAGTCTCGCCCCGTACCAGGGTGCTTGGCTTGGCAAACAGCACAAACTGGATCTCAGTTGCCACTCACCCCTTGGCCATGCACCTTCATTTAGTGCACTAACCACAGAACTTAGTGGTCACACGTGTACTCCTCCTTTCTTTGCCTCTCTTCCCTCTCTTTTCATTAAGACCTTCTCCCTCATGTTAGATTGTTCCCCATCCCCATCTAACAGTGGCACTCAGAGGAGCCCTAGATTCTAACTGCTCCTGGATAGACGAGGTGGAAATGGAAACCACAGTGCATTGTTAGCACATTTCTCTTCATTGGCACCCCAAGCTAACCCAGACTCACAGGAAGTTACAGTCCATATTACATTCCACTGAATGTCTGAAAAAGACAATTCAACCCTTGGTTTTTCCATCTGAAAATAGAAATAGCCAAGCATGGTGCCTCACACCCATAATCCCAACACTTTAGGAGGATCGCTTAAGGCCAGGAGTTCAACACCAGCCTGGTCAACATAATGAGGCTCAACTCACTCTCTACAGTTCCAAAATCTATTTTCTTCCTCCCACCTGACGCATATACTTTCTGCTCCCTGGCTCCTTCAGCTATACTCACTCTTTGTTGAGTCTCCCACAATTACCATTGTTCCTGGCCCAGACTTCAATCCAACCTTCCACATTATTCCCGATACCACACCTGACCCCCATGACTGTATCTCTCTGATCCACCTGACATTCACCCCATTTCCCCTTATTTCCTTCTTTCCTGTTCCTCACCCTGAACACACTTGGTTTATTGATGGCAGTTCCACCAGCCTAATCGCCACTCACCAGCAAAGGTAGGCTATGCTATAGTATCTTCCACATCTATCATTGAGGCTACCGCTCTGCCTCCCTCCACTACCTCTCAGCAAGCCGAACTCATTGCCTTAACTCGAGCCCTCACTCTTGCAAAGGGACATCAATATTTATACTGACTCTAAATATGCCTTCCATATCCTGCACCACCCTGCTGTTATATAGGCAGAAAGAAGTTTCCTCACTATGCAAGGGTCCTTCATCATTAATGCCTCTTAAATAAAAACTCTTCTCAAGGCCACTTTACTTCCAAAGGAAGCTGGAGTCATTCACTGCAAGGGCCATCAAAAGGCATCAGATCCCATCACTCAGGGCAATGCTTATGCTAATAAGGTAGCTAAAAAGCAGCTAGCTTTTTCCAACTTCTATTCCTCATGGCAGTTTTTCTCCTTCTCATCTGGTCACTCCCACCTACTCCCCCACTGAAACTTCCACCTATCAATCTCTTCCCACACAAGGCAAATGGTTCTTGGACCAAAGAAAATATCTCCTTCCAGTCTTACAGGCCTATTCTATTCTGTCGTCATTTCATAACCTCTTCCATGTAGGTTACAAGCCACTAGCCTGCCTCTTAGAACCTCTCATTTCCTTTCCATCGTGGCAATCTATCCTCAAGGAAATCACTTCTCAGTGTTACATCTGCTATTCTACTACTCCTCAGGGAGTGTTCAGTGTTCCTCCCTTCCCTACACACCAAGCTCGGGGATTTGCCCCTGCCCAGGACTGGCAAATTGACTTTACTCACATGCCTTAAGTCAGGAAACTAAAATACCTCTTGGTCTGGGTAGACACTTTCACTGGATGGGTGAAGAGGCCTTTCCCACAGGGTCTGAGAAGGCCACCGCGGTCATTTCTTCCCTTCTGTCAGACATAATTCCTCGGTTTGGCCTTCCCACCTCTGTACAGTCCGATAACGGACCAGCCTTTATTAGTCAAATCACCCAAGCAGTTTCTCAGGCTCTTGGTATTTAGTGGCTCCTGGTTTTACCTCAAATCACCACCCTTAAGTCTCTCTTGAAGTGGATAGAAGATCTTCAGTGGCAAGGTACCCTCCAATACTTTCACCCTGATGAAGTCCTATTCTTTACTTTTATACTCACTCTTATTCTGGTTCCCATTCTTATGCCACCCTCTACCTCTCCCCAGCTATCTCCACCACACTATCAAACTCACTCTCTCCTAGCCATTTCTAATCCTTCTTTAACAATTGCTGGCTTTGCATTTCTCTTTCCTCCAAAATCACCGAGGCCTCGACTTACTCACTGCTTAAAAAAGAGGACTTTGTATATTTTTAAATGAAGAGTGTTGTTTTTACCTAAATCAATCTGGCCTGGTATATGACAACATAAAAAAACTCAAGGATAGAGCCCAAAAACTCGCCAACCAAGCAAACAATGATGTCGAACCCCCTTGGACACTCTCTAATTGGATGTCCTGGGTATTCTCAATTCTTAGTCCTTTAATACCTATTTTTCTCCTTCTTTTATTCGGACTTTGTGTCTTTCGTTTAGTTTCTCAATTCATACAAAACCGCATCCAGGCCATCACCAATAACTCTATATGACAAATGCTCCTTCTAACAACCCCACAATAACACCCCCACTCCAAAATCTTCAGCTGAATCTCTCCTACTGTAGGTTCGCACGCCGCCGCTAATCCCGCTCGAAGCAACCCTGAGAAACATTGCCTATTATCTCTCCATACCACCCCCAAAAATTTTCACCACCCCAACACTTTACCACTATTTTGTTTTATTTTTCTTATTAATATAAGAAGACAGGAATGTCAGGCCTCTGAGCCCAAGCCAAGCCATCATATCCCCAGTGACCTGCTTGTATACATCCAGATGGCCTGAAGCAACTGAAGATCCACAGAAGTGAAAATAGCCTTAACTGATGACATTCCACCATTGTGATTTTTTTCTGCCCCACCCTAACTGATCTTTGTACTTTGTAATCTCCCCCACCCTTAAGAAATTTCTTTATATTCTCCCCCACCCTTAAGAAGTTTCTTTGTAATTCTCCCCACCCTTGAGAATGTAGTTTGTGAGATCCACCCCCTGCCCCCAAAACATTGCTCTTAACTCCACCACCTATCCCAAAACCTGTAAAAAACAACGATAATCCCACCACCCTTTGTTGACTCTCTTTTTGGACTCAGCCCGCTTGCACCCAGGTGAAATACACAGCCTTGCTGCTCACACAAAGCCCGTTTGGTGGTCTCTTCACACGGACACATGAGACAAGACCTTGTCTCTACAAAAGAAAAATTTAAAAATTAGCCAAGAGTGGTGGTGCACACCCGAAGTTTCCGCTCTCGGGATGCTGAAGCATGAGGATTGCTTGAGCCCAGGAGTTTGAGGCTACAGTGAGCCATGATCATGCCAGTGCACTCCAGCCTGGACAACAGAGCGAGACCCTGTCTCAAAAATAAAAACAAAAAGAAAATAGGAATGATAAAAATTGCCATCTTCTTTTTCTCTTCTGGAAATGACACTTTGTGCCTATTATTTTTCCTCTAGGCACACACGTCCAGAAATCCACCAGGGATGGCTCTCTCTGTCCCCAGGGCCTGCTATAAAGAGTGTATTTGCTGATGAATTAAAACAATGGAGTGGGCAAGGTCATCTGTAAGTATTTACCGCTTGCCCATTTATAGTAGTCTTCTGGGCAATTGTCTGTCCTCTGTTGAGCTCAATCCTTTTTCTGCCGCCAACTTGGTATGTGTCCTTACTTAAGACCCTGCTCTCCATATTCAGTTTCCTCTTCTGGAAAGTAAAGACGTGAAGAAGGTGACATCTAAGGTCATACTCCATTCTAGAACTTTCCCACTCAGCGATTCAAAACACCTTTTAAATGTCATGTAAATAACATGTTGCTATAAATACAAGATATGAAAAAGAATATATTTGCCATGCCCAGTGTCAAAAATAAAATGGGTACAGTCATTCCACCGGGACATGGAAGAATGTCATGATGAGCAGGTTTGATGCCATCAAGATCAAAGTACCTTTTTCCCAACCCTCTCTGCCTTCCCTCATCCAGCAAGCCCTGGGATCCAGGCAAACCCTGGTAATTACTGAAATACATTTTGCTTTCTTTCTACTTCCTACATGAAAAAAAAAAGAAAAAAAAGTTGAGTAACAGAAATTTATTAGAGTTGGTTCCTTTTCCTGGGAGCCTTCAAGTTATCTTACATTATCTGAGAATGGGGGTGGGGGAGCCAGGAGGAAGGGAGAATGAATCCTAAGAACATTGACTCCAAATAATAGCAAAGTTGACTCTTTTACCCTAGAACCTTTGAGTTGTTTGAAGACCTACATCAGAGGCACAGCATTTAGTATAGGGATTTCTGAAGTTCCACCCCACCCACTATATCTTGTGAACTTCCCACACAATCAGTATAAATTGGTCAAGAAAAAAATAATAATCCTAGGTTGCCGGCGACAAGATACACAATTAAGATGTGTGTGGCACTAGTGAGGGTTAGAGAGAAAGAAGAGAAATAGCACATGAGGCTGCATTCATAGTGGAAATTACCTATAAGAAAGCTTGGGAAATGGCTTTTTCCCATCATGTTAATAATATTTGAATAAAAATGGAAACTTTTCAGCTCTTCAACAAGCAGTTTGGGACCTTCCTGCACCCCTCCTGGTTTCTCCCAACTCACCTCCTCCACCCCCACCAATGATTGATAGCGAGGAATGGGCACTGTGACAGTCTCTTTCTTTGCTTTCTTAAGTTCTTTTCCCTCCTTTCTTCCCCACAAGAAAAAAAAATAGGCAAAGGTCAGTGGGAGGGGGTAACTGTCCTTTCAAATGCAAGTCTTAGAAAGCAAGCTTTCTCAGCAGGGAATGGGGAATTGAAGTGTCAGTCAGGAGCACTTTGGAAATGTTTGCCTTGGACTCCAGCGGGGCTCAACTGATCCCAGCACCTTATTCCCCTCGCGTGCCTTGGCTGAGCCCCAGGGCCTTACCCTGCTGTCTGTCCTCCCCTGCTTCACACTCCTGTTTCTCCTGCCTTCCAATGCACTACTGCAACAGGAGGAGAAAGAAGCAAGGCTGAGAGAGGAAGGAAGGGGAGAGGTCAGGCGTGCTGCTGGGGGCTGGCCTGGGCTGGGGTTGGGCATGCTCTGAGGTCTTGGATAGAAACTGTCACATAGAGCACTAGCTGACTTCCACAGCTCCTGGAGGATGCACTAATATTATTCCTGCCTATAATTAAAATACAGGCCTGATATAAAGAGAATATTTCATTTAAAGGTTTGATAGAGCTGCATTAAAGATTCGTATACATGAATGAATTCATAATGGCCAAATGACATATTTATGCCATGTACTTAGTTATGCCTTAGCTAACTCCATGATTCTAATTTATTTGCTGGTAAAACACCATCCCCACTGATGTGCTCTGCTGAGTATACTTCTGTCAAATACCTATTCAATAAACAAACAGTGTGACATATAAATAACAAAGCCTTTTGTAGAGAATAGCAATGAATTTCACCTTCCTGGAGACAACCCTGAGCTGCTGGTTCTTGCCCACCCCCCAAGTTGCTCTGTGGGAGCATCTTCAAGAGAGGCACCAGGCCTCTCCCTTCCCTACTTCCAATCCCTTAGCAACCTGATTTAACCTTTACGACTTCTTTCAGGTTCAGGGACTCCAAGTACAAGCTCACCATACCACTACTGAACTTCCATTCCCACCCTCATTCCTCTGACTCTATGCAGCTTAGCAGGCAGCTTATCGGCTGTAAACATCAACCAGCAGAGCCAGTAATCACAGCTACCACTTACCAAGCACTTACTATGGGTCAGGGACTTAAATTACATAATTTTTATGCCTTGGGATAATACTGCAAATATCAGTGGCTGCATTTTGTTGATGAGAAAATTGAGCACTGAGAAGCTAAACATCTTACCCAAAGTTGGGCAGCAAGGCAGTGACAGGGGTAGAATTTAGGGCCCAGGTCTGTCCATCTGCAAAGCTCATGCATTTTAGAGTATATTATGCTGCCTTTGTTGACAGAGCTCAATGGAGAATAAGAATAAGAATAACTAATGGAGGCCTTCCCATGCTCTGGGCATTTTGTTTGTTTGTTTTTTGTTTAAGCTCTGGGATATAAGCACAGAACATGCAGGTTTGTTACATAGGTATACATGTGCCATGGTGGTTTGCTGCACCTATCAACCCATCATCTAGGTTTTAAGCCCTACATGCATTAGGTATTTGTCCTAATGCTCTCCCTCACCTTGCCCCCAACCCCCCATCAGGCCCCAGTGTGTGATGTTCCCCTCCTGCGGCCACGTGTTCTCATTCTTAAACTCCCACTTACAAGTGAGAACATGCAGTGTTTGGTTTTCTATTCCTGGGTTAGTTTGCTAAGAATGATGGCTTCCAGCTTCATCCATGTCCCTGAAAAGGACATGAACTCATTCTTTTTAATGGCTGCATAGTATTCCATGGTATATATGTACCACATTTTCTTTATCCAGTCTATCATTGATGGGCATTTGGGTTGGTTCCAAGTCTTTGCTATTGTAAATAATGCTGCAATAAACACACGTGAACATGTGTCTTTATAGTAGAATGATTTATAATACTTTGGGCATATACCCAGTAATGGGATTGTTGGGTCAAATGGTATTTCTGGTCCTAGATCCTTGAGGAATCGACACAGTGTCTTCCACAATGGTTGAACTAATTTAAACTCCCACCAACAGTGTAAAAGCATTCCTACATCTCCACAGGCTCTGGGCAATTTTTAAGCGCTTTGTATGTAACTGCTCGTTTAATTCGTGAGGCAAGGGTTGTTATTATCCCCATTTTCTAGATGACAAAACAGACAGAGAGCTTAAGTGATTCTCCTTAGAGTCACACAGATGATTAAGAGTAATGCCAGGATTTGAACCCATGCAGTCTGCTCCAGAGCCCACACTCTGGATCAATATTTTGCTCATCCTGAAAGCTATTAATCAGACCATGAGCTATTAATCAGACCATCTCCCCAAAGAATCTGTGGCTTTTTCCAGAATGGAGAACTAGGGCCCAGGATGGGGTGAAGAGAGCAGAGAGGAGAGCCCACAGACATATGGGAAACCACGTCCTGGATATGTGGAAGGCATAGTCCTGGAGCCTTCTTAGAATTTCTTCTCTCTGTTACAGAGGTAGCTAATCAGACATGAGCAGAGCAGGACAGGGCTTCCCCCCACTCCCACTCCAACATTCCCCCAGGAATGTCAGGCAACCATCAGGTGATGTTCAGGAGGTTGTTAAGCTGTCTCTAAAATAATCATTGGTCACAGACAGTGCCAGGGAAAAGCAGTCTCCCAATACACAGGAACACCTGAAACTAGTGATCAACAGCTTCCTGATAGGACCTCAGGAGCTGGGTGAGTGGGCTCAAACATGCACATTAAGAAGCGAAGTGGGGGCATTTAACTGGTATATGACCTCCTAGGGACATTTGGCTGGTAAGGGAAGAATGCCTCAAGTGAGCATGTGCACAACTCCAGTAAACACACTGTGCATGCTCCCCTCCCAAGCACTAGCAGGCCACTATGCATGTGGACAGTCCACCCCAAGGGAAGAATCCGGGGAGGAGGGATGCAATCCTGGAAGCAGGCCAACATATGAAACCCCAAGTCAAAGAGCAAACTATGCACTTGATCTCCCAAGTCACTCACTTGGCCTTCTTCCAAGTGTACTTTCCTTCCTTTCATTCCTGCTCTAAAGCTTTTTAATAAACTTTCACTCCTGCTCTAAAACTTGCCTTAGTCTCTCCTTCTGCCTTATGCCTCTCAGTCGAATTCTTTCTTCTGACAAGGAAGAACTGAGGTTGCTGCAGACCCATATGGATTCGCTGCTGCTGCTAACATCACCTACCAGCCCCTCTCCACGTAAGCTCTTATTTCTTACCTTTTTTTTTCCCCTACTACCTGGAATTGGGCCCGACTTCATAGGTTAAGGACACAGTCCTCTACAAGACTGTCCTTTTATCAGATACTAGCTGCAAGTTCAGGGTACCCCCACTTCTGACCAGCTGGCTACAAATTCAAGGCCTCTCACTCACCACTCAGGTTCAAAAATTTGCTAGCATGACCCACAGTATTCAGGAAAGCACTTCACTTATTTATTTATTTTTTTAAGAGACAGAGTCTCACTCTGCTGCCCAGACTGGAGTGCAATGGTGAGATCTTGGCTCACTGCAACCTCCGTCTCCCCGGTTCAAGCAGTTCTCATGCCTCAGCCTCCCAGGTGGCTGGGATTACAGGTGTATGCCAACACGCCCAGTTAATATTTGTATTTTCAGTAGGGATGGGGTTTCACCATGTTGGCCAGGCTGGTCTCAAACTTCTGGCCTTAAGTTATCTCCCTGCTTCAGCCTCCCAAAGTGCTGGCATTTCAGGTGTGAGCCACCAAGCCCAGCCTTCACTTATGATTATAGTTTTATTATAGCAAAAAGACACAAATCAGAACCAGCCAAAGGCAGAGAAACATGAGGTCTGGGAGGGTCTCAAACCCAAAGCTTTGTCCTCCTAGAACATCTATGTGTGTCAATTTGTGTTCACACTGCCAAACAGGGAAGCTCACCCAAGCTTTGGTGACCAGACTTTTTTGGGGGTTTAATTACATAGGCATGATTAACTGAATCATAGCCATATGACTGAACTCATTTTTTCCCCCTCATCCCTTCCCAGAAGTTGAGCTAATACTGCTGACCCAAAACTCCAACTTTCTAATCACATGTTTGGTCTTTCTGGCATGGTCAGCCCACATCCTGGGTTATCTCCTTAGCATAAACTCTCTAGAGGCCCACCTTGAGTCACTTCATTACCATAAACTATCAGGTGTGGTCAAGGGAGCCTACTGTGAATAACAAAGACACTCTCTTAAAAAAAAATGAGAAATTCCAAAAGTTTAGAGACTACCTTCCTGGAACCAAAGATAGAGGTCAGCCATATTTTTTATGACACACCTATAATGCAGAATTTAGGGCAATAGACACCTGTCTACAAATCGTGTGATCACGTGGTGATAACAGAGCCAAAATGAGATGCCAGTGCTGATTCAATTTAGTGACTACTGTAGGGTCGATCTAATTGTTTAGGCCATCTTATCTAAATTAGAGGGATCATATAGCAATCCAATCAGTTTCTCAGGTATTAACTATCAGACAAGTGGGAAAATGATTCTAATCTGCTTTGATCCAGTTGTTTACGGTGTACACACTTTGCTAAGGTGTGAATTCCTGAGAGATTCTAACAATTAACCTTTGTCAGTGGAATCTCCCCAACTTCTCTAGAGAAGGAATCAGAGAATGAAGAAACCAGAAGGAATATCTGAAGTGAAGGAGTCCCATGCCCGCATTTTACAGTTAGGGAAACCATGAAAAAATTGCTTAGAGAGTCCAGCCAGCAGACAAACGATGTGATCCTGGGCAGCTCCCCGCCATCTGAGATTTATTCCTCAAAGTTTCCCCTACGGCTCCCATACTTAAAAAAGCCAATACACCTTGGAGATTGAACATATTAAGAAAGTTATGCCACCTCTTTGAGCCTCAGCTTCCTAATCTCTAAAGTGAGGGCAATGAGTGGGGGCTCAATACACTCAGAAGTATCCACCTCAAGGCTCACAGGTAACATAACTGATTTAAGCGGGTAGTTGTGAAATGATAAGGAATCATGGGGCTGCGGAGAAATAGAAAAAACATAACCCAAGGGAAGGCCTCCACATTTGAACTTAAAAATAAATCAAAATCCTTGGCGCAGGGTTTGTCATCTCTGGCCAGGATGGCCTGCCCCATCCGTCCCGGCTCTATGATTCTATGACTGTTTCCCTTAGCACACTGTTTGTCAGATGGACTTTCTCTTCAAGTCAGTCATGCTGAGGAAATCAAGGAAGTGGAATGACTTGCGAGGAAAAAAGAAGGGAAAGTTTTAAACTGGGGAATAGACAGTTTTGGCTAGGCAACTGCTAGAACATGAGTTGCCAAACAGGAAAAGGAGGGGCATGGAGAACAGAGTAGAAGACACTGTTTCTAAATTTCACAGTTTTGCCATAGGTCATCCCTAATTTAATAACTTACACAAAATAAGGCTGCTGCTGGGGGCTTCACCTTCACAGTAGGACTGGCAGCCCCTGGAACTGTTCAGTGCCCAGCCTGCACAACAGTACGCAGCAGCTCTGAGAAACCTGACCCTTCAAAAAAAATTCTGGAGAGACCTCCAGACCCCAGAAGATGCATTCAGCTGCTCCCAGGCCTAATGCAATTATTAACCCTGTTCTCCTGCTTCTTTACCCACCAAGTTTTCTTTCTGCTAAACCTCTCTGCCCCATAGGCATTTAGAAGTGTGGAATATTTTAGCAAGAAAGGATTCAAGAGAAAACGAGGGCTCACTGCTTTCCCTACACATACACACCTACACACCCTCCTACAAAGCTTAGCATTGATGGTGAAAGATTATGTTCCTCCTGAAGATTTCTTTTTCCTCATTCCTGAGGTGTTTGGCTCTGGATATATTGAGGGAGGAGGCATGAGGCAGGGGCTGCCCCCTCCTTGAGCCATCCTCAGGCCTGATTTGCATAAGTTCCAGTCTCTTGGCCCAGTTTCTGTCCCTTCTCCAAGATCTGCCACCATCCCCAGAACACTGTGTCCTTAGCAGCCTGATCCCAGGCCCAAAAGCACTGAGCATTTCTCCCAAGAGCAGGAACTGGGAGCAGAGCAACCTTGTGACGAGTCCCACCTTCCTCCCTCTGAGCAGGGCTTCTCCCTCCGCAGCTGCCAACACTCCTAATGTTATTGTGCGCGGGAGGCCCCCAAGACGGATCCAGCAGGAGTGAATTAATAATTGCTGGCAACGAGCTCCTGCAGCAAGCAGCTCCTCCCCATCAGGGACCGTTTGCCCTTCTTCAGAGAGTCCTCCATGACTGCTTTGCAAACTCTGTGTGAACGAAAAGCTTAGTAGTATTATGTATTCTTAAGAGTCCCCTCAATTTCAGAAAAGCTCATGGCTGGGTGTCAGGACACTGACTTTCTTGGCTAGCTCAGCCACAACTGGGAGGTTAACCTTGAGTGGGTCAGAATCTCTGTAGGTCTTGTTTCCATATCTGTACATTTTTAGGTCTAGAAACCCAAGTGAATGAGCCATAACCCTTCCCCATCTCCAGACTCTATTGCTGTCACTTAAATTCAGTCCCTCCTCATGCACCTGAGATCTAGTGCCTGGGTCATTGTTCCTGGGCTACAAAGATGCTACAGCAGCTTCTTCACAGTTGATCTGACCTGGGGCACATGAACCAACAAACAGCCCCATCTCAGGTTCTTTCCTCCTCCACCTCCTAATGTGTCTCAGTCCACAGGTCCTTGGTCTCTACACGCCCCCTGTTGACTTCTCTTTGAGGCATATTTGGGGCTCACCCTAAGCCCTTGCTCCTTCCAGGGCCTTTAGCAAGAAGATTATGGTGCCCACCCACCTAGTTCCATGAATAATACAAACTAAATGTGCATTTTGGAAAGCAGCCAAAATATATGCTGAAATTTTCACTTTTTTTAAAGTTTCTGATAATGTTTGAAAAAGTTTATCAAGACTGCATTTTTCTTTTCTTTTCTTTTCTTTTCTTTTTTGAGATGGAGTCTCACCACTCTGTCACCCAGGCTGGAGTGCAGTGGTGTGATCTCGGCTCACTGCAACCTCCGCCTCCAGGGTTCAAGCAATTCTCTGCCTCAGCCTCCCAAGTAGCTGTGATTACAGGCCCCCGCCACCACGCCCGTCTAATTTTTGTATTTTTAGTAGAGACGGGGTTTCACCATATTGGCCAGGCTGATCTTGAACTCCTGACCTCGTGATCCACCAGCGTTGGCTCCTAAAGTGCTGGGATTACAGGCGTGAGCCACCACGCCTGGCTAGGCTGCATTTTTCTTAACCCACCTCACTGAGTCTTCCCACTGGGTGGGGTCCCCTAACCTTGCTTGAAAGGGCTCCAGAGAAGCTCTGCATGTTGGCCCCTTAGCACAGCTGCTTAAACTGAGTGTGGTCACCTGACAGGGCTAAACCAATCAGAATCTTGAGAGGAAAAACAAGTCTGAAGAGACAAAAAAGCTACAGCCCCCACAGAGTTGGGTGCTGGTGCTGTGAGGCTGAGGTCAGGGTCCTTGCAATGGTAAGGACAGTCAAGGGCAAGCCAAGTTACAACTGCTTGCAGAGGAAGCCAGACTAGAGGAGAAAAGAGCAGATGTGCAGACAAGAGACCAGTGCAGCTCCAGAGAGACAATCTGTCCCTGCTGACAACTCCTGATTCCTGGGAGACTTGGCTGCAGCCCCTGCAATTGAATGCCATGAGATTCCCTTGAGTGCTGACTCTTAACCCCCCTTCCCCTACCCTTGTTACCAAAAGTGTGGTCTGTGAGACAGCAGCATGGGCATCACCGGGGAACTTTTTAGAAATGCAGAACCTCTAGCCCTACCCCAGACCTAATGTAAACAAATCTGCATTTTAAAGAGATCTCTGGGTGATGTGCACATAAGGTCTGCTTTGGAGGGAGTTTCTCTTCCTGTTAAGACACCCTGCACTTGGTAAACCCCCACGCCTGCTGGTGTCTCTGCCACTCAGCCCCGCTGCTGCAGCCTCTCAACCCTGGCACTTCCCCAGCCACCCAGCTCAGCGCCTGGGTCTGACATCCAACAAATCCAGCAAGGAGTAAATTAATCATTGCTAGAAACAAGCCCCTGTAGCCAACCAGCCTCTTCCTTGAGAGGACAATCTGGCCTTCCTCACAGAGTATACCACCACTCTCTGCTTCCCTGACTCCAGGGGCAGGGGCGGGAGGGACTGCTGCCTGCAGCCCCATCGCTGCCGGGTTACACCCTGCAGGGAACTCTCCAGTTACTCTTAAGGCTGTGGGTCCTGCCTGCCCTCAGCTTGCTCAGTGGAACCTCTAGAACCAGCTTCTGCCCAGTTTCCCCAGCCCCTGGGGCAAAGTGTCCCCCTCTTTGTCAACCCACAGAAGGTCTTGGGGCTTGGCTGCTAGAGGCCTGCTCTGGTGACAGACACTGGACCTAAGCAGGTAGAGTCTTCTAGGCCCCCACTGGCATCCAGGAGCCAAGTCTCTAGGCTACAACTTCTCTGCCTGTGTCAGAGGTTCCAAGATTGAGTGTGTAAGACACTGGACTGATGGGAAGCCTCCTATGGGCAAGGACAGAGGAACACCATGCCACACAACCACACATACACAGTTCCTCCAGGAAGACTGGTCAGAGTGCAGCCAGAAAGCCCAGCCTGCTCAACAGAGAGGTCTTCATGTCATCTGGGTGGGTCAGAAGACTCAGTGAAGGAAGGAGGTACCCAACCCTGATGTTCTACCTAGGCCTCCTGCCTTACACATATTGCCAAATGTGGGCCAGAGTCTCCCTAAAACCACATAACCATAATCACTTGCATCTCCTATTGCTTTTAGAGTCTGCAAATGTTACTGTGCCTTATCTCCTTGAAGCTTCACAAGAGCTCCAACTTACTCTAAAGTGAACATGGTCATTCCCCAAATGAGAGACCAGGGCTCAGACAGGTGAAGTGGTTGACCCAAGGTCACACCAGTTGTGGTGGAGCTGGTGCTCAGACAGAGGTTTTCTGACACTGGTCTACTGGTCTACTGCTCTAGTGCTCTAGGCAGCCAAATTTCTTTTTTTTTAAATGTTTCATTTTTAACTTTTGTGGTTACATTGTAAGTGCATATATTTATGGAGTATATGAGATGTTTTGATACATGCAATGCACAATAATCACATCAGGGAAGATGGGGTATCCATCCCCTCAAGCACTTATCCTTTGTGTTATAAACAATCCAATTATACTCCTTCAGTTATTTTTAAATGTACAGTGAAGTTATTATTGACTATAGTCACCCTGTTGTGCTATCAAGTAGTAGATCTTATTCATTCTTTCTGGTTTTTTCTACCCATTAACCATTCCCACTTTCCTGCACCCCCTACTACCCTTCCCAGCCTCTGGTAACCATCCTTCTACTCTCTATGACCATGAGTTCAATTGTTTTC
Source organism: Homo sapiens (assembly GCF_000001405.40). Taxonomy (NCBI): domain Eukaryota; kingdom Metazoa; phylum Chordata; class Mammalia; order Primates; family Hominidae; genus Homo; species Homo sapiens. Next base: position 52,946,575 of record NC_000013.11, on the reverse strand, counting down.
ATCTTTAGATCCCACAAATAAGTGAGAACATGCAATGTTTGTCTTTCTGTGCCTGGTTTATTTCACGTAACATAATGACCTCCACTTCCATCCATGTTGCAAATGACAGGATCTCATTCTTTTTTATGACTGAATAGTACTCCATCATGTATATGTGCCATGTTTTTCCCCATTCATCTGTTGATAAACATTTAAGTTGCTGCCAAACTTTGGCTACTTTGAACAGTCATGCAACCAAATTTCTTAAAAGAGTTTTTTTTTTTGTGCTAGCCCATATTATTTTCCACCTCTCGATCTCTTCTCAACACACTCTGGACATCTTCCCTCATCTTGCCACAAAAACAGCTCTCAAAGTTACTGAAGAAATCTGTTATAAATTGACTTGGCACCCCAAAAGGATGTGTTTGAGTCCTAACCCCTAGGATCTGTGAATTTGACCTTATCTGGAAATATGTTCTTTGCAGACATAATCAAGTTAAGATGAGGTCAGACTGGATTAGGGTGGGCCCCATCTAATGCGACTTGTGTCCTTATAAAAAGAGAGAAAGGCATGAAGACACACAGAGGAGAAGCCTATGAAGGCCTTGTGAAGATGGAGGCAGAGAATGGAGTGATGCATCTACAAGCCAAGGAATGCCAAGCATCTCCGACAACCACCAGAAGCTGAAAGAGGCATGGAAGGATCCTCCCATTGAGCCTGTAGACAGGGCATAGCCCTGCCCACAACTTGATTTCAGGTTTCTTGCCTTCAGAACTGTAGAAGAATAAATTCCTGTTGTTTTAAGCCACCCAGTTTGTGGTAATTTGCTATGGCACCCTAGAAAATGAACATGATCTCCTTTTTGTTGGATTCCATGGACAATGTCTATTCCTCATATTATTTGACATCGCAGCAGCATACAGCACTAGTAACCCTGCCTCTTCCCACAAATGCATTCTCTCCTGGAAACCGTGCCCACACATTCTCCTGGTTTGCAACTTCTGGCCACTTCCTTCTCTGTCCCCTCCGCAAGCTTACCTTCCTCTATCTGGCCAGCACACTAGATTTCATTAAGGCTGGGTCTGTCCCAGGCTAACTTGGCTTCTTCCTCTTTACTCTCTCCCTAAGCCATCTCACCCAGGCCACAACTTCATTTACCACCTATTCATCAATGACTCCCAGAATCAGAGTCCAGTCCTCTTCTCTGAGCAACAGAAGCTCATGTCCTACTGCCTATTTGGCTCTCCCTTTCAGCTAATCAAACTGATTGTGCCAAAAGCCCAATTCATCATTTTCCCCATCCATCCAGTTCGATTTGATGGAAACCTAGGGGTCATCCTTGACATCTTCTTCTCCTTCACCCTCTGTCCAATCCCTTACCAGATCTTGATTTACTTTAAAAACATTTCACCTTTCAAACCAGTTTATTTCCTTCCATCACCATGCCCCCCATGCCAGCATGAGCTGGTGGCATCTCTCACTTGAATCCCAGAGACAGCTGTCTCTTTTTGCTTTCCCCAGCTTCCCCTTTGCTCCTTTCCATCCATTCTCCACCTAGCAGCCAGAGCAACCTCAAAACACAAATCTTATCATATCTCTACCCTGCTTATAATCTTCAATAGCTTTCCATAGTTGTGAAGATAAAGAACAAATCCCAAAAGGGAACTCTAAGAACTTGCAGAGCACTGCTCCTCACCAGTTTAGAGAAGTTACTTTTCTGTGTCTCAATTTCCTCTTCTATAAAATGGAAATAGTAAGAGTACATATGTTATAACTTTGTCAGAGAAAATAAGTGAATTAATACATAGGAAGTCATTCCATGGCACCTGGAACACCATAAACCTTCAGTAAAAACATTACTATTAGTATCAATATGATTATTATTACCACAATCTTTATTAATATTTCTAACCTTACACTGCAACATGTTCCCTCCTTGCTCTCCTTACCCAGACACACTGGCCTTCTTTCCTGTGCTTAACCATCCTATTCTCCCATCTGCCACAGGGCCTGATATGGTTTGGCTGGGTCCCCACCCAAGTCACATTTTGAATTGTAGCTCCCATAATTCCCACACATTATGGGAGGGACCCAATGGGAGATAATTGGGGGAAGTTTCCCCCATACTGTTCTTGTCATGCTGAATAAGTCTCACGAGATCTGATGTTTTTATAAGAGGCTTCCCCTTTCACCCGGCTCTCATTTTCCTTTTGCCTGCCGCCATGTAAGATGCGCCTTTCACCTTCCACCATAATTGTGAGGCCCCCCAGCCACGTGGAACTGTGAGTCCATTAAACCTCTTCTTCTTTATAAATTACCCAGTCTCAGGTATGTTTTTATCAGCAGGATGAAAACAGACTAATACAGGGCCTTAGCACATGTTTAGCATATACCTGTCATACCTTCCACCTCTTTGCCAAGTTACTTCCCACTCAACTTGCAGATTTCAGCTGAAGTATCACCTCTTAAGAGAACCCTTCCCTGACCTTCTAGACTGAAATTAGAATACTCAGCAGAACAACATGTTCTCTTTGTTCATTTACCATTGTAATTATACTTGTACTTGAGCGATCATTCCATTAACATATGCCTCTTTGACTAACCTGAGAGCATGTGATCACAGGGCTCATGTCTGGTTTTCTTGCCATTTATCCCCAATGCCCTAGCACAGTGACCCTCAAACCTCAAAGATTCTTTGCTGAACATATAAATGAACACTCTCTCCATCCAGCTCACTACCTCAAGTAAATATCCCCTTCTCTAAGACCCCCTTAGGCCCACAGTGCTGAACTTGCTACTGCAACAAGCAGAAGAACAACTCAGGTAAAGTTTTTGTGAGTAACCCCTCTCTGTTCCAAGCAATAGGGAGGCAAATGTTCCCTGTTCTGTTCCTTCTGTCTGGGCAACCCATTCCAGAAGCATTAAAATCATCTATCACGCTGTTTATCACAACATATCCAGATGCTCTGAGCAATAAAGCCACTCACAACACACAGACATCCCATTTTGGGAAGATGCTCCCAATCAAGCCTTCCCAAGGGATGTTTCAGAAAAGGAGAGACCCCCATCTGTCTGGGAAGGGGACCTGCTGTCTGTGGAGCTTCCTTCCAGCCTGGCAGCATATGTCATGGGACCCGCCATAGAAGCCTGCAGGTAGCAGACCCTGACGTGGAGCCGTGTCCAATCAGGCTGACAGCAAATTCTGCATTTGTTCAGGGTACTAGAAAATGCCTGGCTCGGGCTGATTTTCTAAGAGTCTCCTGTTCAAAAATAAAGAGGGCTTTTCCCCCGCAGCAGTCAAATAAAATAAAACTTCGCAAAAAGAGGTTTCTGCTGAGAACAAAATCAAGATGCAAAAAGAAAAGTGGCTTCAACTCCTGAATCAATGAGCCAAGCCTAACAAGATGAAGTTTAATAGGAATTAGTTTAAGGTTCTCTAGTAGGGTCCAGAAAGCCAGCTGAAAGCAGTACAGAGTGGGGTCAAATAAGCCCTGGAAGCAGCCTGTGTGAAAAAGATTGAGAGGTTTTCGTTGACTCTGCTCAATAGCAGTCATCACTGTGACACTGCTGCCAAGAAGGCTGCAACAGCATTCATGGAAAGATAGGACCCAGGGAGATGAAAATGACTGTCCTGCTCCCTCCATACTGCTCCAACCACACCCAGGATACTGCTCTCGGTACAGAGCAGAGAGCATAATTTTCACAGAATACAGTCAAGCTGAACAGCATTACCAAGCATAGGGGTAGTTTCCTGGAAGACTCACATTTCAGTGCAAGGTTCAAGGAACCAGGACCACTTGGCCTACAGAGCTGGTGCCACAAAAGAAACAAACTAACAGCATTTTAAAACTTTTTTTTCTAAAAATTCCATTGAATTTCTTTTTTAAAATAAAACAAATTTTAAAATGGGATCTCGCTATGTTGCCCAGGCTAGTCTCAAACTCCCGAGCACAAGTGATCCTTCCAAGTAGCTGGAAATACAGGAGCATGCCACTGAGCCTGGCTCTTCCAAAACATTTGGCAGATGAGGAAGAAACAGCATTCTGTGCAATCCCTTAGAACTAGACGGGAAAATGGAGAAGTAGATTTGGGCTCAATGTAAAGAACATCAATGTTTGTGTTGTTTTGTCTCTTATTTTTTAAATTACACGACTAATACATGTAGAGTATAAAAGAAAAATTTGAACAATACATACATACACAAAATAAAAAGTCACAGTTCCCCAATTAACTTCCCCACTTATCCACATTTCACTCTCCCTCCCATGAGGAGCCACACTTAGTTAAAAAGTGTGTATACTTTCAAGTCTATTGGAAATGCATGTATTCACACACACAGTTTGGGCTTGTGGTTCCCCATCAACGAGACCATACCTTTCCTGTTGGGAAATTTTGCTGACCAGAGCTATCCAGAGAGGCAATGGGCTGTCTCCAAAGAAAATGAGACCTCCTCCACTAAAGATGACCAAAGGTGGACTGTTACTAATCAGAGTTCTTAAAGAAGGATCTCAAGCATTGGCTAGATCCTTAGTTCTCTCAACATTCAGCTTGAAGAAGAATCACCTGGGGTGCTTTTGAAAATTCAGATTCTCAACCCCAAATCCAGAAAACCTGACATAGAAGTTTGTAGAGGCCACAAATCTGCATTTTTGACAAGCACCCCAGGTCAATCTAATGTGAATCATCAATGGACCACACGTTAGAAAACACTGGAACAGGTGGTTAGACCACTTGACCTTGGCGTTCTCTCCATGCCTGGCCCTCAGCTTGGACTGGATCAACTGGAAAGCCCTTCTTGCTAGGAACTGTTTGCAGTGAGACCTCAGTAATGTCCCCATATCTACCCAATTGGCCTCCTTCATCTGCTTCTCCCAGCTCCTTCGAGCCCGATGTCATGCCCTCACCTCCTTCTGGAAAGCTGAGGGATTCTTCCAGAGGGCTCAGCATGGAGTAAACACCTAGCTCAAAAAGCAGAGTGAGGAACACACCAAATCTAACTCGCAGTCCACCACCCTCAACACCCCAACCCCCAGGGATCAGTTTTGAGAAAGGCAAAGACTCAACCCTGCCCCAGGTTCCTAGAGAACAGCAGAGCAGGCTGGGACCAGGTGGAAGACAGGTTCCCTACAAGCACCCATCACCCCAAGTGCTTTTGGGTTCTGCATAAACCCTGGCAGTGGAGGTTGGAAATGTGCAGACAGTTTTAACAATCACATAACTGGGGATGACATTACCATTCAGTGGGTGGGAGCCAGGGAGGCTAAACACCTGGAAACTGAGAGCACCACAGTCCACCATGCGAAAATTACTTACCTTACCCCTGCACCACCCCCATGCACAACACCATCAACTGTGCTGTTAGTGTCGATGTGAGCTGTACCCCTTGATGCTTTCACACACTAACAATATTAACTTAGCTCTAAAGCAATAGGATCTGGGATACTACAAAAAAAGGGCAAAGACCCCAGCAGAAATTTAGCCAAAGTGCATGCCCATCGGCAAGGTTCCAGGCCATCCCCTGGCTAATCCAGCCACGGGACCTGAGAAATCCTCTTCTGCCGAGATAGCTGTTTCCTACCAGCTCCTAATGAGGAACTGACCCCAGAGTGACAATGGCTGCTTGTTTCCAGACCATCTCTGAAGGGTTCATGCACAAAAAGACTTTTTCTCACCTCAAGGTCTCTTGGCTGGTTCAACAGGAGTGCTATGCACAGCAGGACCATGTCCTCAAATGGTCGAGGCCATTTGCTTTGTCAACTGACAAATGCCATTTATCATTTGAGACAGAAGATTGGATATTGGGGCCTCTAGCTGGTGAAAGCTGTTGAATATTTTTTTCAGGATGGCTTAGCAGAAACTTGGCAAACTGACATGTTTTCTTGAGCTGTGGATTTAAAGGTATAGTCTTCCTCTGCATCAGCCAGACATTACCAGATGGCTCAGCCCCGCGGTTCAGTTTCACAACTTGTAGCACCAAACTCATGCCCTATCTCTTCAGGGGCTTTGCCAGTATTCATCTCACCTCCCCTCCCACTAAAATTATCAGTGGATGGAGACTGAGCCTCTTCCTTCTCCCACATCCCCCACAGCACCTAGGACCAGTGCTAGACTCATACCGTACCCAATGCAAATGTGTCCTCTGATTGATTATTGACTGACCATTACCAAATATGTCTTCACTGTTTCCTCATCTGTCTTAGTCATGGTCATCCAGCCATGTAAATTGTTTCTCCCTCTCCACTCCCACCCCCTTCCCTTCCTTGTACTACAGGACACAATCTAAGACCTCCTTCAAAATGGCTTTCCTTGAGTAAGTCCTAATCTTTCTCTTACTCACTTTGTGTTTCCCTGGATTTAAATGCAGGAAAAGCTTAGAAGGATGCATTTACTTAGACATGCTGTATGTGTATTGTCTTTTTAACTAGGATACTGGTTTCTTAAGAATGGACATAACATTTTTCTTCTGCCTTTGATCCCAGATTGCAACTTCTACCACGCTAAGCTTATGATAGGTGTTCATCAATGAACGAAAGAACAAAGGAAGAAACGAATGAATGAATGCTTTATTTTCATAAGGATACTTTTGAATCAAACTACAGTTTATAGTCTAAAAAGCATTTTGCAATGTTTAAGGTCCTTTCATGTAGATTACCTATGTGAGGAAATACACAGAAAGACTGTCTTCCCCAAAATCGCACAGCTAATGACCAGCAGAGCCAGGACTCAAACAGGTGTTCCAATTCTAACTCCAATAATCTTCCAACAAAACCAGACTTAGAGATCCGTACTAATCTCAAAAGGGTCTGTTTTTGGTATTTTCTCTTATTATAAAATTCATGAGCATTAAAAAAATACATTAACTTCTTTGCAGACTGTGTTTAGTTATTAATAATGCTCTGAGTGACTAATTTAGAATTTATTATTTTGAACCATGAACAACAGCCACACATATTTCATTATTTAGGATAGTGAGTTATGCACTTGCCTAATTAGTATTTTAAGATTTGTTAACAACTTTTGCAGTAACAGACTTCCAATGCTGACTCTTCCCTGGGGCTTCTTGAGTCTTTGCATGTTATGGTTACTCTACTTGTCCCTAAGGATTTTAAAGCTTTCTACACTTAAATTCATTTAGATAATCCTCCTAGGACCAAAACACAATACAAGAATAATAGCTAACATTTATTGAGCACTTACTGCATGCCACGCATTGTGCAAACCACTTTACATACATTACCTTGTTTAATTTTCCCTTGAACATATGAAGTTGGTACTGTTAATATCCCCTTTAAAGAAAAGAAACTCAAGTCTCCAAGACGGTAAGGAACATTTTCAAGGTTACATAAAGCATAAATGCAGAACTGGGACTCAAACCCACAGTTATTTGACTCCAAAGCTCTAATTACTAGTCCCTGTATTGTAATGACTCTAACTGGAAACCAGGGGATCTGGATTCTACATGAGCCTCTGCCATTAAACTACAGACTTCAGGCAGGGTGGTATTCACAGAAGAGGTGACATTTGAGCTTGAAGGTGAGTAGGCATTTGTAGCACAGTAAAAAGCACCTCAAGCAGAGGGCAGAGTATCTTCAAAGGCTTAGAAAGGCATGAAAAATATAAGCACTAAGGTTGACAATGCCATTGAGGCTCTACAAAGGTATACCCTTAGTTGACAAGAGAGCAGTACCATCCCTAGGGGGTTTCCCCAAAATGTGTTTTGCATAGATTTGGCAAGCATGGGGGAACCAAGGAGACAAGGCAAACACTCAGGAGTGCCTGAGTCTGCCAGGTACAGTGACTCATGCCTATAATCCCAATATTTTGGGAGGCTGAGGTGGGAGGATCATTTGAGGCCAGGAGTTTGAGACCAGCCTGGGCAACATAGCAAGATACCATCTCTACAAAAAGTATTTTTTTAAAAAATTAGCTGGGTGTAGTGGCACACCCCTGTAGTCTCAGCTACTCAGGAGACTGAGGCAGGAGGCTCACTTGAGCCCAGGAGTTGCAGCTGCAATGAGTGATAATTGTGCCACAGAACCCCAGCCTGAGCAACGAGTGAGACCCTGTCAAGAAAGAGAAAAGAAAAGAAAAAGACCAAATCTGACAAAGTCCCAAGGCAACCTGATAGCACCAGGCTTCAGACGTCACAGAAGCAGAGTGACCTGGTGGCTTGGACATAGGGCAGAATCCCTGTCAGAAAAGCAGGTGTGAGTCAACATCTTACCTGCTCCTGCTAATGGCATCCTCCTTCCTTTAGAGAAATCTCTCTCCTGTGGTATATTTCTATTGAGCTGCCAATCACAGCCCTCTCCTGGGAATCTGAACCTTGAGTTTGACGAGCAGGGGAGCCAAGCAATTATAGCTGTCATCCAAGGATTATTCTCTAGGGGATTCATCCACCTGCTGAGGGACCAAGACCTGCCCTGGTTTCTGCCCTGCCTGAAGCCTAGTTGTTCAGTTACTATTCTTTGCAAGCCACTCTGAAGCCGTCCAATAATGGATTCTTGCTTAAATTAGTTGAAGTCTGTTGCTTGCAGCCAAATAATTCTAATACTCAGTGATAAATGAAATATGGCCTGTTAAGAATGTCCTGTACGGTTTGGGGCTGGTCAAGTCCAAAATGGCCAATATCTGGAAGTGGCAACTGGGCAATATAATAATCTGCTGGACTTACTCCAAGAGAACTGTCTTGGGAACACTTCTATATCCAGAAAAACCTAATAGTACATCTCCTAGAAGCAGGCACCATCTTGCCAGAACATTCCATTCCAACACCAGTGAAGTTTCCATACACAGCGGCAATCTTCACTCACTGCTGCATCTTCACTCTCTCCATCCTCCTCCCCCAACTCTATGTTGTCCATCCAAACACTATAGCCTAAAGGTAAGGGATCAAGATGCTTTTTCCTGAAAGTCAACAGGCTGAAGAAAGTCATACGTTATACCAGTCCTTACAACCCTGCAAGACAGATAGAATTGTTACCATTTTATCAAAGTAACACCAACTCACTCAGCAGTTTGCACATTTGGTAGCAGCCAAGGTCCATCTGGGCTCTTTTTGATACCTGCATCAGACATACCTTGCGCCTCCTCAGCTTCAGCTGTCTCCCTGACCCTCAACCTCCTGCTTCATCTCAGTCACAGCCTTGGCAAACCAATTCCCCAAGGCCTGCTTGGCTCTTCCACCTGAGGTCAACCAGCCACCTAAGTGGTGTCAAAGGTCCCCAAGACCACCTCCAGGTTTGATGATTCACTAAGAGGACTCATAGCACTCAGCATATATAGTAGTCATGGCTAGGATTTACTGTGGCAAAAGGATACAAAGCACAATCAACAAAGGAAAGAGGCACATGGGGTGAAGTCCAGGGAAGAGCAGGCACAAGCTTCCAAGAGTGCTCCCCCAATAGAGTCCCACAGGACTCACTTCATTCCTCTAGCAGTAGGTTGTGACAAGACACGTGAAAGATGTCTACCACGGAAGTGCATTGGAGACTCAGTGCCTGGGGGCTTTTATTGGGAGCTGGTCACATAAGTACCCTCTGCCAGCACATACCAAAATTCCAGACTCCCAGAAGGAAAGCAGATGTTCAGCATAAACTACATGGCATGCCCCCAAACTTTTAGGCATGGTGAGCCATTCTTAGCAAGGAATAGTAGGAATCCCCCTGAAATCTAAGTTCCCAGAAGCCACCAACAGTCAACATTGCAAGCAGGCCTTTTTAAGGGTTACAGTCTCTGGCCTGCTATATTTACTCTTTTCTGCATACATGTGAATTGGATGAAATGTCACGTCATAGCACATGGGCTTAGAATTCTTGAGTGGCTTTCAACAGTGTCAGATAAAGCAGACCATAAATACAGGGAAGTTCTCTCCCCATGGGGCTTAACTTTGACTGATAAAGGTAGCAATGGGAGGAAAATCTCCTTCCCTTCCTCCTCCCAAGGACTGTTTTGAGGCACGTTTTTACCGTCTGGTCTGTCTAGAAACATTCTGCATGGCTAAGCAGGTGTACCTGCTGAGCAACTAGCTGTGGGTTTTTTGTCATTTTGTTGTTGTTGTTGTTGTTGTTGTTGTTGTTGTTGTCATTGTGTATGTGCCCACATACACACCATGAAGCAGTGGCCAACACAGCAGCTCAACACCTTGTATTTGCTGCCTGTCCTTGCCTGCTTCATTTCTCTTTTCCTTCATTTCCATTGCCCTGGGATTGTACCTCCCAAATAACACATTAGCACTTAAGCCTTGTTTCTTTTTTCTTCTTTTCTTTTTTCTTTTTTTTTTTTCTTGAGACAGAGACCTGTTCTGTTGCCCAGGCTGGAATGCAGTGGCATAATCATGGCTTACTGCAGCCTTGAACTCTCAGGCTCAATCTATCATTCCACCTCAGCCTCCTGAGTAGCTGGGACTACAGGTACATACCACAATGCCTGGCTCGTTTTTTGTGGTTTTTGTAGAGACAAGGTCTTCCTATGTTGCCCAAGCTGGTCTTGAACTGCTGGGCTCTAGCAATCTGCCCACCTAGGCATCCCAACGTGCTGGGGTTATAGGTGTAAGCCACCGTGCTCAGCCCAAGCCTTGTTTCAATCTCTGATTCTTAGGAAACTCTGCCTAAGACACCACACTCTGTTGGAAATATATTGGTACAGTGCCACTTTTGTTTCATTTTACTCTGGGATGAATGACCCAAACAGGCTGAAATGGCCTGGATGCATGCGTTAAAGAAAGGTAAATGTACTCTCTAGAAGAATTAGATCATCATTCATTTGTATAACAAAGTCCTCACCAAACACTGATAAAATGCCAAGCCTAGGGAAAAAACAGTGAGTTGGGTAGATATACATGGTCCTACCCTTGAGGATCTTGCAGGCTTGTGGAAGAGAGAGTTCATTAAAACATTACAAAAATGTGTGGTAACTACTCTGATAAAAACCAGGGTACCACAGGAACATGTGATAGGAGACCTAACTTGGTCCAAGGAAATGAAGCCTTGTGGAGCAAACAGTACTTAAATGGGAAATGGAAAATAAGGAGGAGATAGTCAAGGGAAAACATTATGGGAAATGTCTAGGCTGGAGACGTACATTTAGGATTTAGGATTCTTGTCCATATATAAGTAACTTAAGTCATGGGAGCCAAGGGAGTGGTTAAGAAGGTGCAGAGAAAAGCGTGTCTGACATTGATAAGGTGCTTAACCCTCTCTCTCTTCTCTGAACTCCCAGGAAACTCTCTGGATGGCGAAAACTTCTCAAAGTCCCTAACATTTATCTGACACCTCAACTGTGAATTTACATTTCATTTGCATGAGTCTCATGTCTGCAACTAGGTTGTGGTGACCTTGAGAACGAGGGGATCAAGAGCCTTGTCCAGCACTGGGAGTGGAGGTGAGATCAGAATGCCCAATTGTCTAATTGCCCTACTGATTGGTTAGAATCCTGGAATGGGAGAATGCCTTGAGGTTTTATCTATTTAAATCTCCTCAGTTCACCTATAAGAAAATGAGGAACCAGAGAGAGATGAAAATTTTCCCAATGTCCTAAGATTATCACACTGCATCATAACTGCCCAGTAATTTTTCCATCTCCCTCATTAACCTCTAGAAGCCATATGAAGGTAAAGTCTGTGTCTATCTTGTGTGCTCTTGTATCCCAAGGGCTTAGTACAGGGCCTGGCACACAGGAAGTGCACAATACATGTTTTGTTTTGTTTCATTTTGTTTTTGAGACGGAGTCCCTATTGCCCAGGCTGGAGTACAAGGGTGCAATCTTGGCTCGCTGCAACTTCTGCCTTCCTGTTCAAGCGATTCTCGTGCCTCAGCCTTCCAGTAGCTGGGATTACAGACATGTGCCACTATGCCTGGCTAATTTTTGTATTTTTAGTAGAGACGGGTTTCACCATGTTGGCCAGGGTGGTCTCAAACTCCTGGCCTCAAGTGATCCACCCGCCTCAGCCTCCCGAAGTGCTGGGATTACAGGTGTGAGCCACTGTGCCTGGCCACAGTACATGTTTTTTGAATACAGCGTGAATAGGAAGCTAGTTCAGGCGGAACTCAAGCTAGAAAGCATGTTCTCTGACCCTGCCAGAGTTCCATCCATCAGCACTAAGTCTCCCTGACTCATCACGTGCCCAACCAGCTTTTGGAGGCTGATATTCCACTCAGTGGAGGCCCAGGCTCGGAGCCTGCCCCAGGCTGCTGCTCTGAGTATCAGAAATATGTTGAGAAAGTGCTTTAGTTCAAGCACAACGTCCAGCTCAGCCTGAAAACTCTGCTAGCACTATTGATTTGTGTAGAGTTTTGAAATGGAATGAGTGGCTGATTTTCTCCAAATGGCACATTTCATTCATGATGCATGATTGTAATCGTGGCAGCCTGAAGCCTGCAGTCCTCGGCTCAGCAAAACGAAAAAAAGAAATGGCTATTTTCTGGAGTGAATACACTGAAAGGGCAAGAAATCCATATTCATTTTCTTGCCTCTCGGCTGGACTCTATATTTCGCAGGCAGGTGGAACAAAAATCTTTAAATATCATGCTGATCCAGGAAATGCTCAGCAATATTTAAAGAGCTCTGCGTGCCTGCCTCGTGCCCCTCTCCGTTCTCCACAGGCGGGCCCCACGTGACCGGGCTGCATGGCCATCCTCGCAGCCACCGTGAGCGGGGCTGGCGCCAGACCCCAGGTTCAGATTAACTGGCGCGTGACCTTTACGAAGTACTGTAGTTTATAGGAATGTTGAATTTTTCAGCAGCGAGGGAGGACTGGCGCTAGTGGGAAGGGAGAAATGGGAAATGACTCCAGGCCATTTAAGCCACCAGGGGGAAAAATGAACTCAGCTTGGACTTTAATTATGTCCGCTGCCCTCGGAGGCACATAAGAAAGACAATGGCCTGATACCATTAATAACGATTCTCCTGCCCTCGCTCATGATAAACAAGAAGGTCTGCAGAATATGTAGATTCCTCCTCCTCCCTCCTCCAGCACTGACTTCCTTTTTCCTTGGCAGGTGGTTGGAAATCCCGGACCCCCGGTCCACCAGCCTTGGCCTCCTGCAGATGCTAGGCTCAGGATGAAGTGCGGCCGAAGACTGCTGGGAAAAGAAAAGAAAGAGCCCTAATGTGCCATATCGGGCAAGCCGTGGGGTGGCCCACTAACTGCTTTTTTATGATTGTCACTTACTGGCTCTGATTTAACCCCACTTAAAGAGTGGTGGCAGCAATTGTGGAGGGCCTCAAAGGGAGACTGATGCAAGTGAGGGCAAAGTATTATTGGGAACGAGGTCAAATGGGTGATGAATGGGCCATTATGAGGAGGGGCAAACTGCCATCGTTAGGGATGCTGCAACAAGCTGGACGTTGATCTATTGTCCGCTCTGAGATCCTCCAACAGGCCATTATGGCTCCCCTAATGAGATTGTCATGCATTTCTTTTTATGTAGCTATTAAAATCTTGTCTACATCTGCTGAAGTTTTCCTGGGGAAGGGCTCGAAGGGGCAGCCAAGGGAAAGACGCTCGATATTTTCCTCACTTCCGCAGGTTCACATGATACTCCAGAAAGGGCTCAGGTGTGACCCAACGGCTGGCAACAAACCTCCAGAGGGTAGCAGCAGAGGGTGGGGAGGGGCCTGGGTTTGGAGGAACGTGGGAGAGGAGGGTTCAGGAGAAGGCTTCACAAAGGACACTCCTGATCAAAGGGCCTGCTTGGAATGGCCAACAGAGTGCCGCTAGTCCCATCACGTCTTTCTCACCCCAGATGGCGAATAACATGCTCTGTGATTCTCATTCACTCAAAATCCCTGATGCCAATGTGTGGGTGGTAACCCAGCCAATTCCATTTAATGCTTCTCAACTCAGGCACAAATACTTCATTTTTTCTCTGTAACCCTGAAGGAGGAAAGATTGGAAGGAAAAACACTCGACATCTCCATGATTCACTGCCATATTGGCCATGGGTTCAGGACCATTCAAGGGCCCATGAGTGTGCTGGGGTAGAGTGAGGGAATTACACACAGATCTTGACCATGCTGCCACTCACAGACTAAGGAAAACCCTGCCTCCCAGCCCAAGGTAAACTTGTTTCTTGAGAAGCCATCACCAAAGATGCCCTGCCTGAGACTATCTGCCATGACAGCCATGGGTGCTGTCCAGTCCAGCTCTGAGATGGGTAGCATTTGCTGTCCATTTCTCAGGGACAGATCTCAATATGCACAACTGGATCTGTTTGAAATCAAAAGTACTTATTTTTATGATTTTTCCAAAACAACAACCACCACCACTACCAAAAAAAAAAATGCATTTAAATGTAAGCAGAATGACTCAGAACTGGTACTAAAACATCTCCAAGGGAGGGTTTGCAATGAATATATCTGATGTCTGGAAATAGCTCCACAAGAGGTATGCAAGGAAATCCCCTCTGCTCTAATGAGACAATTTGCAATGGGTGAATACATTTTGATACACAATGCTTCAGTGTCTGGTTTGTTTTAGAAAAACAGGAGCCCCTTTCCCCTTTTCCAGGCCAAATGCAACACAATAGAGCAAAGCCACATGAATCTATTATGTCTTATAGGGCTTTTAGCAGGAGTATGACTGTTTAACCAGGCAGTGACACGAGAAGAATTACTATTAGACACTCCAGCTGAAAGTAGAGATTTTATTGATTCCCCACACTGGCCTGCCTTTTTATCTTTGATTGAGTAGCTTTCATGAATCCAAAAAGGTAGCACTCTTGCATTGAAAGCAGCAGCAGGCAGTCCAACCCGGACTGAAACCATCTGTCAGTCTAAAAGAAAGACGAAGTTACTTCCCAAAGTCCCATCTAACCGGGCCCCTCTCCCACAGGACATCTATTGCCTACCCCAAGTGCAGAACCCAGCCCCTCTGTTGTATGGCTCCTGGAAACAGCTAAATCTTGACAAAGGGTTTACTGAAGAGATAAGCAAAATACACCTTTGTGTAATTAGGACACTAATTGCACTCTGAGACAGAGTAATTATTCCCCCTTTTTAGGAAAGCAGTTAGTTCTGCACATTTCTACTCTCCAGGTTTTTGTGATCATTATTTTTTATTGTTTCTGAGGTCTCATTTGGAAAACGATTGGATTTGTCTCTCTGTTTACTAAATATCAAACATGATGTACAAACATCTTTCAATTAGGTGTTCTGTGAGGAGACTGCTTCCCCCTCTCTATTTTACACAGGACTCATTTGCATTCATGGGCAAATTAGAATGCAGAAAAGCGTATGAGCAATGTGCAGGTTTACACTTCAGTGAATATTCATAAAGTACCGATTCTCCTTGCAACAATTTCCCTGCAAATGGCCCTCCCACTATGTGTGCCATGTTTGTCATTCAGGGGCCTTTTCATTTGTTTTAAAGTGCCAGGTTTGGAGACAACACAAATGTATTCGGGCAGACCCTGTGAAAGCCAGAGCTGAAAGGAGATGGTATTTGTGTTTCGTGACACAACAAAGCACACTAGGAATCTTCAAAATTCACGACGTTGCCACTCTGCGCAGGTATAAGAGAAATAATCCAAAGTGACAAATGGATCAGGCTGAAGCTGAAGGAAAGATAACCCCTTGTTCTGCAATACAAGGTCTGCTCTCCAAGCTCCTGCCAGGACAGGGTCCCCGGTACACAGAGAACTGGGGTTCTTGTTGCATGCCCCCCAGGGCCCTGTCTTCTCCAAAGTTAGGTCTCTGTGGGTGGCATCATCCTGACAATTCAGACTTTTTAAATAAAATCCACTCTGCCTGTATTGTGTTGCTCAGATAAAATGTAAAGTAATTGCATAATCCATCCCCAAATCAAATAAGCCCTCTCTGTGAAATCCAAGGAATCAATAGAAAAGCAAAGAATAGGAAAAATTAAAGGTAGAAGCTTTATATGAATCATCTGTACTCTGAGAAGGAAGCATATTTTAAAACCGGAGCTGTGTTTCCAATCCCACAAGCGTCTGCACCTCAGGTGAGGAATTGGTCAAGTGGACGGCAGGCTTGGGACAGGGCCAGACTATGGAAAGAGAAGAGGAGGGCCTCATATAGAGCAGGGTCCTGAGCCCACGGAGCCAACCCTCCCCCTCCACCTCCACCCCAGAAGGGACTTCCTAAGCAAAAGCTGGCTTTTGATCCTAGCTTTAATGCTTATGGCTTAGCCATTGTCCAGAAAGAATTTAAAAGCATGAGAGGAAAAAAATATAAAAATAAAAATCAGAGTGAGAAGGAGCTACAGGCCCGAAGAGCAGTGGGATGGTGAGAATGTCATGGAGCTTCCACCTGACTGCCTCTTGGCAACTCGTGGGCATGTGTAACTCCAGAGGATATAACCATGGACAACATTCATGGACTGAAGTCAATGACCTGGCTTCCTCCATGGGGAAAATGCACATTTGTATGTTTTGCTGACCCATGCTGGTTAATCAGCCAACTAGACCTGCACCTTGGAAGCAGACATTTGTAGGCTCCTCAAAGACCTCCAAATGCCCCACTACCAAATCCCCAAAAAGGAAATAGCTTCCCTAACAGCTGTTACCAATGGACAAAGGCCATCTTTGTTCAGCTGCTCAGACTATGGTGTTGCGCCATGCATGCCTTCCAGACTGACAGTCCCAGATGTGTGAAGCTGTTCTGTGAGTTCCTGTACCACCCTTAGAGTCGTTTTGTTGGCAAATGGTAATGAAAAGAGAAGGAGGAGAAAGAAACTGTGGACACTGAGGCATAAGCCACAGAGAGAAATCCAAGTACAGTCATCCCTCTGTATCTATGAGGGATTGGTTCCAGGATCCCCTGTGGGTACCAAAATCCATGCATGCTCAAGTCCCTTATATAAAATGGCATAACATTTGCATATAACCTACGCACATCCTCCCAAATACTTTGAATCATCTCTACATTACTTATAATACTGAATACAATGCCTACACATCACTTCATTTGCGTGGATTCAACATAATGCTCAGCACTAGGCAAATTCAAGTTTTGCTTCTTAGAACTTTGTGGAATTTTTTTCTGAATATTTTTGATCTGCATTTGGTTGAATCCATAGATGAACCCACAGATACAGACAAGTGACAGTACTCAGAATCCTCCAGACTCAAACATGGGTGAGGGCACGCAGATGTAGACAGGCTAGAATTTGCTCTTAGAGATCTTCAGGTCCCTAAGACCTGAAGTCCATCAGGGAACAGGGGTTATGAGGCTCTTTTGGAAACAAAGGGCCCACAGACATTTTCTAGCAAGCATTCTTTTTCCTTCCAAACCCATCAGAAGGAATGAGGTTGCATTGGTGTAGATGGATGCTGCTCTGTAAGGCTGGGGAGGAGTGCACTAAGGGAGATATGTCCCATGCCACGGAGACCTGCTGTGACCTCTCATGAACTCCAGGTGCCAGCCCTCTCTGCTTTTTTCATCTCTCATTCTCATCCTGACTCCAGCCCAGCCTGTAGTCCATGCTCAGTCATTTCCACATTAAGCCCCCTCACATCCTTTCAATCAGATTTATGTCGCTCTGCTACTTGCTCAGGTCCTGTTTTCATATCCCTCCTTTCCTTCCCTTCCACATACGTCGAAAGAGGTACTGGTGCTTCCACCGCCTCCCCACTCAATCTCCTTTTATCCCTTATTGCCTGTCCACCTGCCTCATCTCACACGGCTCAGGAACCATCTCCCAAATGCCATAGGAAAGACCTTTCCTCACTCATCCCTCTGACTTCCAGGCAGCCTTTGACCCTGCTGACCATCCTGTCTTCTTCAAACGTTCTTGGTTTGTCTGCCATTTTAGCAGCCTGGGTGTTCCCCACGTTTCTGAATGCTCCTTCTTGGTTGCTTTCACCAGTGTCTCTTTCTCACTCTCTAAATCTGAGGACTCCCCAAGGTCCTACCCTCAGTCTTCTTCTCTAGCCAGGTTCATTGCTTCACCTCTTTGCAGACGACTCACAGTCTGCCTCTGCATCTCTGACATCTTCCCAGAGCCCCAGACCTACATTTCTAGCTGACTCGTGGACATTCCCATCAAGATGTTCTAGTCAAACACGTTCAAAACATGTTCAACAGCATGTTCAACATCCAGGCTTCCCTTCAGCAGAGATTTGTGCGAAACAGATGCCAGGCAGTGGGCAAAGCACTGAAAATACAAAGATTAATAAGATCCAATCCTTGCCCTCAAGGCCTTCATAATCTAGTGGAGGAGACAGACTTATAATCAGGCAATTCTAAGAAAATGTGAAAATGCGGAGAGACACAAGATATTATGAGTGCATTGAAGAGAGGCACTTAAGTGAGAAACCTCACCCAGACTGAGGAGGAGGGAATCTGGAAGTTTTCTCAGAAGATAGGATGCCTGAATCAAGTTCTAAAGAATAAGTATGAAGAGATGATTAGGAGGAACTCTGAGAGCATAATTAGGCAGAATTTATTGACAGTATCCTGTTGATTGATTGTTCGTTGGCAGTGACAAACAGAAGTCAGGCATGATACCCAAGAGTCTAGCTCCACCAATCCCAGGTACCCAGTGCTCAAAATCTCAAAGCCATGCTGACTTCCTCTTCACCCCACCCCTCCCAATCTATAGTTCAAGAAATGACAGTCTCACAGATCACCTGAGGTCAGGAGTTTGAGACCAGCCTGACCAACATGGCGAAACCCCTTCTTTACTAAAAATACAAAATTAGACTGGCATAGTGGTGCCTGCCTGTAATCCCAGATACTTGGGAGGCTGAGGCAGGAGAATCACTTAAACCTGGGAGGCAGAGGTTGCAGTGAGCCAAGATCACACCATTGCATGCCAGCCTGGGCAAAAAGAGTGAAACTCCATCTCAAAAAACAAGAAAAAAGAAATGACACCCTCATGTTTGTCTGCAAAGCCATCCTTTCCCTGCCATCCTCTCAGCACAAGCTGCCACTGTGTTCTTGCCTATCTTTCACTCCACGGCATCCTGACTCTCCTCTGTCCTCAGTAGCCTAAGGAGCTCCTCTTTCTTTTTCCCCTCCTTCTCCTTCTTCTCCCTCTCCCTCTCATCAAACTGCTCTATTTACTCTCTTCTGAACATTCTCGCATCTGTGTGTCTCTGCTCAGGCACCTGTGCACCTGGAATGATCTTCTCCACCCATTGCCCTACCTAAAATAATCCTGTCCACACTGCAGAATAATATGTGTAATATTATATTGTTTTAGTAAAAACAAGCCCACCTATATTGTTTGCATACATAGATTCAAAGAAGAGGACAGGAGAGGAGAGGAAAAGAAGGGAGGGAAGAGAGGATAAAAGGAGAGGGAAGGAGGAAGAAAAGGAGGAAGGAAGGAAAGGGGACATGAATGGAAGGAGGGAAAAAGGACAGAAAGCGGGAAGTAAGTACATTTGTTTCCCATTGCTGCTATAGCAAATTACCACAAACTTGGCAGCTTAGAGATATAAATGTATCACCTTATAGTTCTAGAAATCACAGGTCTGAAATGAGTCAGCAGGAGGGGAATTCCTCCAGTTCTTTCTGGAGGCTCCAAGGGAATAATCCATTTTCTTACCTTTTCCAGCTTCTAAAATCTGCTTCTAATCCCTGGCTCACGGCCCCATCCTCCATCTTCAAAGCCAGCAGTGCAGCACCTTCAAACCCCCAAACCTCTCTCTAACTCTGACCTCTCCAGCTTCTCTCTTTTAGTTATTTATTTATTTATTTTTGACACAGGGTCTTGTTCTGTTGCCCAGACTGAAGTGCAGTGGCATGATCATGGCTCACTGTAGCCTTTACCTCCCCGGCTCAAGCGATTCTCCTGCCTCAGTCCCTAAGTAGCTGGGACTAGAGGCCCGGATAATTTTTGTATATTTGGTAGAGACAGAGTTTTGCCATGTTGCCCAGGGTGGTCTCAAACTTCTGGCCTCAAGTGATCCACCCACCTTGGCCTCCCAAAGTGCTGGGATTACAAGTGTGAGCCACCGCACCCAACTTCCCTCTGACAAGGACACTTGTGATTACATTTAGGGCCCACCTGGGTAATTCAGCATAATTCTGTCCATTTCAGGATCCTTCACTTAATAACATCTGCAAAGATTCTTTGCCATATAGGGTAATATATTTAACTTCTGGGGATTATGACGTGAACATCTTGGCAAGGCGGGGCATGGGGGTGCATTATTCCGTCTACCACAGGGAAGGATGGAGGAAACGAGGGAAGAAGAAATTCTATGCAGGACTCCTCCTCTGTGACATTTGTCCTGAGTTTTCAACTGTCTGTTCTCTCGTCCAACTCTGAACCCTAGCCACCCTTGGTCTTCTCTCTCCTGTGGTTCTCAGAGAAGCTAGAATTTAAGGTCCTTGAAGCAGAAACTGTCCCTTTCTCATCTTTGTTTCCTCTGCTGCCACTCGCCAGGCCTCTTGCGTAACATTGGCTCAATAATATTTGTGGAAATGGATTGAATTGTTGAAAACACAGCTCCCCTGCCTGGACATGCCCTTGTGGCCTAGGCTGACAGCCTTGAGATTACTGCCTAATGAATCAAGCTGCTGAGCCTGGTCCAGCTGTGCCTTTCAGAATGTGTTCGGGTTTGCTTTGCCAAGTGCAGATTATTGCCCCTGTCACCCGCTTTTCAAGACCCTGAGCCGCCAAGCCGAGGCGGGCAGGACCACCTGATTGGAGAAGCAGCTGCAGAGGCAGCCAGCGAGACGTGGCTTCGGCTCACCTGCCTTGAGTGACGTGAAACATAATGCCGGTCTCCAAAGCTGCCAGCTGCAAGGCTGCAGAGGCCCGAGGCAGGGTTGTCACCACTTACCTGACTGGTTCCATATGGCCTCTCCCCATCCCACTCCTACCACCCCTGTTGACCTGGTGGTGGTGATGTTTTAATAAAGATGTGGCTGTATGTGCTCAGAGGTGGTTGGAGGTCTTTTTTTTTCTTAATGAGACAAGAACGTGTACAATTCCAGAAACATCAGATCAAGCGTGATTGTGAACATTTAAGAGGAGCCTGTCTCACACAGAGGCCAAAGATGTCTGGTTTGAGGATCACTGGAATCTGGCCCATAATGAGTTCAAGGGAGGATCCCCAAGGCTGGCACAAGACAACTGGCTAATGGGGCTGCCATCTTTGGACAGGGCTACAAAGAAAGCCTCATGGCATCCAGGAGGACTTGAAAAGGAAGCTGCAGGGCAGCCCCTGTGACGCTGGGCACAGCTCCCAGGATAGAGGAATGAAGGCCTCAGGAATGAGGAAACACAGCTGCCAGGCTGCAGCTGTTCCCATCCGTACCTCCCTCTGATGGCCTCACTTTCCTTGCTCCCCACAGAGGGTGAAGTGCTTTCACCTGGGCTCTCTGCTCCTCTCTCTCTCTGGATCCTTCTTCCTCTGAGAGTGAAGAGAGAAACCAGGTCCGGGAGTGATGAGTGTGGTGAGGCTCTTCTAAAAGCAAAACTTTCCCATGTGTCTGTGAATTATCCATTCATTCATTCACTCAATAGGCACTGAGTTCCTCTGACGAGCCAGGAGCTGCTTGGGTGCTGGGAAACTGCAGTACACAAAGCAGGCATAAGATAACTAAGATAAATAAGCGAAATGGATAGCATGCAGGATAGTAATGACTGCTGAAGAGAAAGATAAAGCAGAGAAGATGGAGAGGAAATGTGGAGAGGGCTGCAATGTTAGCTGGGTGCGGCCAGGCACTGGTAGGCCCACACTGACTTCCCTAAGCAAATGCTTTTAGAATCAGTGTGAATCCATTTCACTTTCCTAATCTCTGAATCCCACTGCTCCCAAAGGTTTGCCTTCCAGCTTTTGCCTCTCCTCCCAGTTTCATGCCTGCACCACTGTATTCCTGCTGCCTGGGAATTTGCTCCTCTAGATTTCAGTAACTGGAATTACAATCAGCCTGAGCTGTTTGTAGGAAAGCCAGAGCACCCGGTCTGAGTTCCACCCTCAGAGGAGCCAGGTGGTGGCTGGCAATCCCCTTTGCAATAATCCACTGCAATCTCAAAGCAAGACGGACCTCGACATATGAATATGCTCATTACAACACTGAAAAACAGGGACTGAAAACTAATGTCCAGCAAGGAGAGAAGGGGAGGCTGAAGTAAAGCAGGCATCTGCTCTTAGGACTATGAAGTCACCGTTTCACATTGCAACAGGAGTTCTCCGCCTCACCACCAGTGACATTTACAGCCAGATCTTTCTTCATGGTGAGCCCTGTGTTGTGCATTGCGGATTGTTTAGCAGCATTCCTGGACTCTACCTGCTAGGTGGTAGGGGTTTCATGCCCTAGTGGTAACAACCAAAAATGTCTCTAGACATGGCCAGATGTCCCCCGCAGGGCAAAATCACCCTCCAGTTAAGAATCTGTGCACTATAATTACAAACACTTTGCAGAAATATGGAAAAAATCAATAATAAAAAATTAAAAGTGTGACAAAAAATTTCTTCCTAATGAATGAATTTATTTCTATCACCTTACAGAGGTGTATAAAACTAACTCACATTTTGTTATACATTTAATGATTTGAAGATCAGAAATAAATGAGGGTGGATTGTTCCAGAAAATCTGGAACATATTGGGAAAAAAATCAAATAAAAAATAGAGATGTTTTCTAGTACAGAAAATAAATACAGGGGAAAAAAGTCATAGTAGAGAAAAAAACAAAAACACCACACACACACACACACACACACACACACGAAAACCCTAACCTATACCTTCTCTATGAGTATAATAACATAAAAACAAAAAAATTAAAACAATTTGATTTGTTGAGGGTGGCAGGATTGTGGGTGAATTTTTTTCAACTTCAATCTTTTCATGTTGTTATGAAGTTGTATAGGAAAGTAATTACATTTTTTAAATCTCTCTCTGCAATAACTCTCGCTGATGGCAACAGTGATGGAGAGCTGTGTGTTTGGTGGGCATCTATGGGATTTTGTGGATCATGAAAGAATTCTGCCCTCATAGCTCCAGGGCAGCTCACTCCTCCAAAAGAGCTGTCAGGCTGCAAAAGGGGCAGGGGTTAGCCTGGAGGAAGAAGGAAATGCCACCACCCTCAGACAAAATTCCAAACCTCCAGATGTAACCCTTGAGGTGCCTCTTCTGGAGGGAGCACTTATTAGGACATTGGGACTCTATGTAGGGAACTGCACCTTCCTCCTGGGCTTTCCAAACAAGTCCCATGTTTGTTTCAAGGGGGCACTGCAGTTCCCTCTTTATGTCAAACCCAAGTGTTCACAAGCTACCTCTTCCCCATATACATGGTAGCACAGCTAGCTCTGAGATGAAATAATCAAAAAGTCTTTACTAATGGCTGGGGGTAACAAAATGGAAAAGCACAAAGCATATATAAAATCTAGCTCATCCCTCTAGTAAAATATTGCTTATTTCTCTTCAGTTGGCAAGCACCATAGCACTCACCTCCTCCTCCCTTCTCTCCCTCACCTCAGCATGAAAGCCACCACCCTCAACATCCCCCATGCAGGGTGTAATCCCAGACACTGTCATTCCTCAGAGTCTGCAGAGTACTAGCAAAAAGACAGGGTGGAGTTCTCTCCATCCCCATGGTTTGGTTCCTAAGAATCTGTCTCTTTCCAAAATGATAGACGCCAGGAATAATCTCTCCCTACAGACAGGACCAAGCCTACCCAGAGGGGTCTATCTTAATCTCACAGGCCCCAGCAGGGTAGCCATGTCAGAACACCCCACAACACAACCTTGACATTCACATAAAAGATGCTCACATGCAGTTACAGGGTATGGCTACTCTGCAGCAATCTGGCATTATTCCCATATTTGTGCCCATCAATTTCTATCACTTTCTCTGGTACCTTGCAGATGCTCATAACTCTCATCCCAACACAGCACCTAGCAGAGGGGAATTGCTACGGATTGGCAGTGAATTTGTACAAGCAGACAGGACAGAGCAGAGCAGCACAAGGCAAGAGTTCAGCACGCCCATTCTGGAGCCAGATGGTTTGAGTTTAAATCCCACCATCTGCCAGTTATCCAACTCCGAGAAAATTAATTTAAATTTTTTTCAGTTTCTTGTCCCATAATATGCAGAGTTGATTATGATGATGGTGATGATGATGATAGGACAGTCGTAAGAAACAGTAAAAATAAACCATGCTGGCTGAGTGTGGTGGCTCACACCTATAATCCCAGCATTTGGGAGGCCGAGGTGGAAGGATCACTTGAAGCCAGGAATTTGAGACCAGCCAGGGCAACATAGTGAGACTCTATCTCTACCAAAAAAAAATTTTTTTTAATTAGCCAGGCACGATGGCACAGGCCTATAGTCCCAGCTACTCGAAAGGCTGAGGTGGGAGGATTACTTGAGTCCAGAAGTTCAAGGTTACAGTGAGCTATGATCATGCCACTGTACTCCAGTCTGGGTGACAGAATGAGACTCTATCTCTATAAAAAACAATAACAAAATAAACCACGCAAAGCACCTCACTTATAGTAAACACTCAAATACCATTGTCATTAGACAACAACTGCAACTTCAGAGCCAGTCCAAGCCACTGACTGGTTGAACTCATTTTAGTCACTGGCCTTCTCTGCACTTAGCTCCTTAGCTGAGAAGTGATGTTCCTATCCTTAGTATGTTAAGCTGCCATGAAGAAAACTTTATTACAATTACATTTAGACTGTCTACCATGAGCTCATAAAGTATACCATCTAATTATCACTCAGAGGAGTCCTGTGAGAGACCAGCAGTCTGAGTTGCCCACAGTGCTCTAGTGAAACCCACGAAGCTCACAGTAAGAGCCACCAGCACTTAGCTGGAGAAGAAATGCAGAAAGGAGCACAAAGAATATGTTGCTTTGTCTTCTGAGTAAAAAGAGTCTCCTAATAGCAAAGTCTGAACAAGCTCCCTCCTCAATAGAGGCTCTATGTGTTCCACAGCCTTGAATTTTGGCCAATGGTTGACCATGGCCATGCCTGCCCATACTGTCTCCATAACTTTGTACTGAATCTATCATCCTGTGACTGTGGGCATTTGGACCCTCCTTCTTTCAACGAGAAACAAGTTTTGGGGAAGGCACTAAATCCACATGGTTGTGAAGGCAGAAATCACAGCAGGGTCACTCTAGTTGTGGGTGAACACTGAGCATTTCTGCCTCAGAGCCCTCTCTGGCTTCGCACTTAGGAACAAATGCTGAGTGGTTTAATCTCAGCTTACCCATGAATGCATACAAAATCTAATATGTGGCCACTTCTGCTTTCTGACTTTCAGTTCCCTTTATTGTTTTGGATAAGTCCTCCCTGTGTCATGTCACATGAGCTTACTAGTGACAGTCACATCATGTGATACCTTGCTGTGCTTCGGATGCTGAGAGGGGCCATAGAAAAGGTGAAGGCCACGCTCCAGCAGCATACTTCCCCAACACTGAGAATGAAGGTGACAAGAATCTGCTTTGGCTTCCCCTAGACAAGCAGATAAACACGTAGCACAAAGAGACAGGTCCCCTTCTATAGAAGCTCTGCACAATAACTCCATTGAGGGTTCACAGAGAATTTCTCAATCCATCATTTATTTACTCCTCACAACTTTGGACTTGCTTCCACTCCATCAAAACAGTAGTGTGGGCCGGGCACGGTGGCTCACATCTGTAATCCCAGCCCTTTGGGAGGCCCAGGTGGGCGAATCACGAGGTCGAGAGATCAAGACCATCCTGGCCAACAGGGTGAAACCCCATCTCTACTAAAAATACAAAAAATTAGCTGGGCGTGGTGGTGTGTGCCTGTAGTCCCAATTACTTGGGAGGCTGAGGCAGGAGAACCACTTGAACTCGGGAGGCGGAGGTTGTATGGATCACCCATCTGTCAGGCTCTTGACCTAAGTCCCTGTGGACTCTTATACTCACCTCTACCCCCTACCTCCGGGGTCACACATGGACTTTGTCACCAATGGAAACTACTTCACCTCCAAAATCACTCATTCCAGCATCCTACTCCAAGATGACAACCTCCTCTCCAAGCACCTTTCTTGTTTATGGGCTCGCCACATTTCACCCACAATCCTGCCACCCCCAGCAAATCAAACTGTTTTAACTTTTTTGTTTTTATGTCATCATACTCACAGAGAAGTTATAGTTTAGGGGGGGTGTGTGTGTGTGTGTGTGTGTGTGTGTGTGTGTGTGATTTTGTTTTTTTCTCTACTATGATTTTTTCCCCTGTATTTATTTTATTTTCTTTCTTGTTTATTTGTCAAGCCCATTAGGACCTCCAGTTCCTTCATCCCCTATGAGTGCTTTCCTTTCTTCACTTCCCTCCTAACCTACCCTGGGTCTCTCGCCCTTCATGTCAGCAACCCTCTGCCAGAGTCCTCAATTCCCTTGGCCCTCTCTTTTTACCGTTCCCACTTTACAAAAGCCCCCATATTTCTAAATGGAGTGTTATGGGTATTTTAGGCAAGACAATTCTCTGTTCCGTAGGGCTGCTATGCAGAGCAGAGCATTTAGCATCCTAGCACCTGGGCACTAAGTCTCAATAGTGTCCTCCATCATCATAACAACAAAAAATCCCCCACAACTTCCAAATTCCCATTGCCTCCAGTCCAGAGCCCTGGAAGAAAGCAACCCCAGCTCACCCCAATTCCCTGGGCCACTGTGGCACAGGCAGGGATGGCTCCATGGGCAGGAAGATATGTCAGTCAGGATTCTACCAGAGAAACAAAACCAGGGTATACATGTTAAGACACTGATTTCAAGGAACTGGCATATGCAACTGTAGGGACTGGCTAGGAAAGTTCAAAAACCACAGGGCAGGCTGTCAGGAAGGTCAGGCTAGAAATCTTGGGCAGGAGCTGATGCTGCTGTCCACAGACTGAAATTCTTCTTCAGGGAAACCTGGATTCTGCTCTTAAAGCTTTTCATCTGATTGAATCAGGCCCATCCAGATTATCTAGGATAATCTTCTTTACTTAAAGTAAACTGATTATAGACTTTAATCACCCCTACAAAATGCCTACACAGCAACACCCAAGTCAATCTCTGACTGAGTAACTGGGCACTATACTATAGCCAAGTTGATACATAGAACTGACCATCATGGGAGACCATATAATTTACCATTCAAACTGAGACACTCTTAAGAATGAAAGGGGGAGCTACTCATAATAACGCCAGGAAAACGATAAACTCAAACAGTCACAGGCAAGTTAAAACATAGAATCACCATATCTATGGGGTACCAAAATCTGCCTTACAAAGTCCCCTGTGTCTTACCAGGGCTCAGGAAGCAACCAAATACTCTCCCACATAGTGGAAGACGTCAAAGCCATTTTATATGATCTAGCAGACTGGAAGGGCCTCAAACTCATGAAAAGGGAGGCTGCAGCATGAAGGCCTGTGAAGAATTTTCAGTCTAGCATCTTCCCAATTTATGCAGCCTAAAAAGCTCTCAACAAAGTTAGCAATGACCTGTACATAACTAGGAGGGAGCAGCAGACAGTGGCGATTAAGGATATGGGATCTGGAGCCATATTCCCTCAATTCAAATTATTTACTGTGTGACTTTGGGCAAGTTACATATGCTGTCTGTGCCTCAGTTTCCTTATCTGGAAAATGAGGATAATGAGTTACATTCACAAAAGATGTGTTAGAATAGTTGCCAGTAATGTTAGCTATCACCACCATTACATCAAACAGACCTAGTCTATCTGTCCTGTCAGCAGCATTTGACAGTGTTAAACATGTCCTCTTTTTTGAAACACTCGTTCCTTGGCTTCTGTGAAACATACTCTCCTGACTTTCTTCCTAACTCTCTGGTCATTTCTTCTCAATCCACATCCATGAGTTCAATGACCATCGCCTGACCCTCCAATTCATATCTCCAGGTCAGACCACACTTCTAAGCTTCAGACCCTCATTTCTACCTGCCTACTTAACACTGCCTCTTGGATGTCTCAAAAGTTCTTGGATGTCTCAAAAGTCCAACATATCTAAGACTGAACTTATAATCTTTTTTCCCCACTGCAAAACTGGGTTCTCCTACGTGGTTCTCCATCTCACACAATGCTGCCATCATTCACCCTGTCCCCTAATCAGAAACCAAGGAAGCTGTCCCTTCCATCTCCCCCTGCATCTAGTTGACCTCCAAGTTCAGTCAATTTTATCTCCTAAATAGATATGTAAGAGATCTCAAAAGCATCCAGTCCTCACCTTCTCCACTGCCACCAACCAAGTTGAACATATTGTTATCTTTTGCCTTGACTATTGCAATGGATTGCAATGGCCTCTCAACATGTAACCTGTCTCCTTCTCAACCAATCCTCATTTGTAGACATCACACACACAACACACACACACACACACACACACACACACAGTTTAAAAATCTTCTGTCATCTCCCATTGCTACCAGGATAAACATGAACATCGTTGCTGTGGCCTGAAAACCCCCACCTGGTTTGGCCCTTGCTTGCTTTACCAGCTTCCCCTCATACTACTCTTCCCTTACTCTCTCAGCTCCAGTCATGCCGGCACGTTTTTCAGCCTCTTGACCAAAACACACTGCACACCTTCCCACCAAAGAAATTTGCACATGCTGTTTCTCCTGTTAGGAACACACTAATCCCACTCTTTAATGGGATATTTACCTGCTCCAAGTTCAAATTTGTTTTCCTCACAGAACCCTTCCCTAAACTGTTTTCCCACTCTACTCTCTCTCCCCCCTTTCATGTAGGTCAGACTCCCTTGCTGTACTCTCCCACAGAGCTATGCTCTTAACCCTTAGATTTAGAATGTACACTCAATTTGGAATGACACACTCAATGTGATTCCTTCATTGTCTCTGCTACATGGTTTGAGTGTGTCCCCCAAAAAGCATGTGTTGGAAACTTAATCACTAATGCAGCAGTGTTGGGAGGTAGGACCTAATGGCAGGCGTTTGGATCATGGGGGCTCCAACCTCATGAATGCAGTGATGCTGCTTGCAAAAAGGCTGGAGGTTTAAGTTTGATCTCTTGCTCTCTGTCACCCACTCTTTGCCCTTCTATCATGGGATGATGCAGTAAGAAGGCCCTCACCAAGGCCAGTCCCTTCATCTTGGACTTCCCAGCCTCCAGAATCATGAGCCAGTAAATTTCCATTTATTATAATTACCCAGTCTGTGGTATTTGTTATAGCAGCACAAAGTGGACTAAGACAGTCTCTTTCACTATACAGTACACTCCATGAGAGCAGGGACCATGCCTTACTTTGCTTTTTTTTTTTTTGGCGATGGAGTCTCATTCTGTCACCCAGGCTGGAGTACAGTGGCATGATCTTGGCTCATTGCAACCTCCGCCTCCCAGGTTCAAGGGATTCTCCTACCTCAGCCTCCTGAGTAGCTGGGATTACAGGCGTGTGTCACCATGCCCAGCTAATTTTTGTATTTTTAGTAGAGATGGGGTTTCACCATATTGGTCAGCTGGTCTTGAACTCCTGATCTCATGATCCATCTGCCTCGGCCTCCCAAAGTGCTGGGATTACAGGCATGAGCCACTGCGCCCGGCCTGCATTTCTAGCGCATAGCTTAGTGCCTATGATAGCAGGTGAATAAACAAATGAACAAAAATGAATAGATGAATGAACAACCCTAACAAGCAGGCCCCAACCACTGGCATTTTAGACTTAGGAAACTGAGCTGGATGTGGGGAGGTGAAGTGACTTGCCAGTGATCACACATCTATTAAGTAGCAAAGCCAGGACTCAAACCCTGTTCTTCAGATGCCAAATCAAATAAAGTATCTCTGTCACTACTCAGAGTATTACTTTTTCTGAGAGGCTAGTGTTATATGACTAATGGTGCAGAAACAGAAACACTAAAATGGCCTTTGCTCTCTGAAAATAAAAGTTCTAGACATGGGCACTGAATTCATATCAATACACTCAACATAAAAGGATGTCCTTCTAAGAGGCAGTAATAAAGGCTCAAAGGATTTTTTCCCTCAAGAGTAATGCCTCCTTTCCTGAGTTAAAAATAGCCCCTCTCCTTGGCAGGTTGGGGTCTGTTTCTCTGTAGTCCCTTGCTTCATTTCCCTCAAATCTTTTCTGAGCAGAGCTCCTCCATTGACTTAAAAAAAAAAAAAAAAAAAAGCCTTTGAGCTTCCATTAGCCACAGGAGGCAGGAACATGGTGAAAAATAGGTAGTTGGTCTTGGAGCAAGCACAGGCTACCAGGAGACCTGTGTGTGTGTATACATGTTGAGCTGCCTCAGGCAGTTTTGTCAACTCTGCCTGAGCCCTTTCTGAGTGGAGAATGATATCAGAGTTACTACACGTCCATCCAAAAGGTAATGGAGTAATTTCTCCATCACTATCTTTCAGAAATGGGATTATTTGTTGAAACAGGAGATTACTGGTAATTTGCAAATGTAGTATAGATAGAACAATGGCACAGAGGTCAGGACATCACCATTCCAGTCCTGGTTCTACCACTAGCTCTCTGAGTGGCCTTGGACAAACCTATTCTGCTGTTAGCTTTTTCTATGGTAAAATGAGGGTTGGGACAGGATGGCCTCTAAGACACCTGTTCTATGATTATAATACCTAATATCTGCCCTCATACAGTAGGTTAAAAATAATATTTCTTTAGGCTTCAAATGACAAGTGTTCAAAAAAAGGTATTGATATCAAAATGAATTGTTATATTATTAAGAACTGAGGCCGGGTGCGGTGGCTCATGCCTGTAATCCCAGCACTTTGGGAGGCCAAGGTGAGCAGATCAAGAGGTCAGGAGATGGAGACCACAGTGAAACCCTATCTTTACTAAAAATACAAAAAAAAAACAATTAGCCGCACGTGGTGGCGGGTGCCTGTAGTCCCAGCTACTCAGGTGGCTGAAGCAGGAGAATGACGTGAACCCGGGAGGCGGAGCTTGCAGTGAGCCGAGATCGCACCACTGCACTCCAGCCTGGGCGACAGAGGGAGACTCCGTCTAAAAAAAAAAAAAAAAAAAAAAAAAAGAACTGAATGAATAAAACATTTTAAAAAGGAATTATTTCTATTGCTTTTGGGTGAGTTGGCAACTTCCTAAAACTATCACAGATATGGATTTTTTTATATTCACAGGCAATAGGGAAATATGAAATATATATATCAGATCCCTTTTAAGTAATTCTTCCAACTTTCTTCCCATAGTCGTCAAATTTAGGGGCAATCTGCCCAGCACATAGCTGTTTCTCTGGTAACTTCATTTATGGCCTCTGGTGGAAAGATATGTATTAGTTTTCTATTGCTGCTATAAAAAAAATTACCACAAAACTTCGTGGCTTAAAATAATACAAATTTATTATCTTATAATTCTGGAGGTCAGAAGTTCTAAAATCAAAGTGTTGGCAGGACCACATTCCTTCTGGAGGCTCTAAGAGAGAATCTGTTTCCTTGCTTTCCCCAACTTCTAGAGGCTGCTGCATTCCTCAGCTCATGATCCCTTCTTCCATCTTGAAAGCACATCACTCCAGACTCTGCTTCTAGTTCACATTCTACCCTCTAACTTCGATCTCTTTCCTCTCTATTATTATAACTGTTTTTTGTTTTTTTTGTTGTTGCTGTTTTTGTTTTTTTTTTAGACAGGGTCTCACTCTGTCACTCAGGCTGGAGTGCAGCAGCACAATTATAGCTCACTGCAGCCTCAACCTCTTGGGCTCAAGCAATCCTCCCGCCTCAGCCTACCAAGTAGGTAAGATTACAGATACACACCACCACACCCAGCTAGTGTTTTTAAAGTGTTTTGTAGAGACATGGTTTCGCCACATTTCCCAGGCTGATCTCAAACTCTTGGTCTCTGCCTCAGCCTCCCAAAGTGCTGGGATTATAGACATGAGCCACCATACCTGGCCTCTTATAAGGACTTTTGTGATTACATTGGGTCCACCTGGAAAATATAAGATAATTCCCCCATCTCAAGATCTGTTATGGGTTAAACTGTATTCATCAAAATTCGTATGTTGAGCTCTCAGCTCCTAGTACCTCAGAATGGGACCTCATTTGGAAATAAGGTCATTGCAGATGTAATTAGTTAAGATGACATCATGCTGGAGTAGAATGGGCCCCTAATCCATAATTACTTGTGTCCTTATAAAAGGAGGAAATTTGAATACAGACGACATACATACATGAACACAATGTGAACATGAAGGCAGAGATTGAGAGGATGCACCAACAAACCAAGAAATCCCAAAGATTTCCAGCAAACCACAAGCAGCTTAGAGAAAGACAGTGAACAGTCTCCTTCACAACTCTCAGAAGAAACCAACTTGGCCAAAGCCTTGATCCCAGGACCTCTAGCCTCTGGAAACCCCCCAGTTCATGGTACTTTGTTAGAGCAGCCCTGAGCAATGAATACAAGATCCTTAACTTAATCACATCTGCAAAGTCCCTTTTGCCATGTAAGGTAATATATTCACAGATTCAGGGGACTAAGGTATGAGCATCTTCAGGGGAGGCCATCCTTCAACCTACTGCAGTATGCCAGGCAGCCATTTTATATCATGTGACCTTGGCCATAGCTGATTGAATCAAGGGTTGACACCTAAGCCAGGGGAAAGCCAATCCATTGGTTTGTCAGCGACCAGTCAGGTTGGCTCCCTGAGAACTGAGCCAAGGAACACAGAGACTGTATACGGTTAATGGATGGGTGTCATGTGAAATCAGTGCTAGACCTGGCAACATGGCAAGGCCTACATATGCCATGATTAGCAGAGGAAGACGGGCAGAGAAATGGAACAGCGAGCAGAAAAAAACAGCAATGTGGACCCCAAAACTCCAGCTGAGGTGAGAGCCACAGAGATTCCCATCGAAGTGTTTACTAGCACATCTGCTCACCTTAGATCCCATGTTTCCAACTCCCCCACTTCTTACCTCTTGGCCAGAAAGAGGTAAAAAAGTCCCGCTATCAAGTCAGGTGAGCCTCACCTCTCCCACTACTCCACCCAACACCAGTCTTACCACTGGTTCTCTTCAGTGGGTGAACTGGGTTGAATTATGGCCACAAAAGATATGTTCACCAAGAACCTGTGAATGTGACCTTATTTGGAATAAGGGTCTTTGCAGATGTAATTAAGAATCTTGAGATGAGATCATCCTGGATTAGGCCCTCCATAAATCAAATGGCAAGTGTCCTTAATAACAGACAGGAAAGAAAGAGACATAGAGAAGAATGCCATGTAAAGACAGAGGCAGAGATTGGAGTAATGCAGCTAAGCCAGGGAACACATGGGTCCTCTAGCCTCCAGGGTGGCCAGAAGGTGAAAGAGGCAAGAAAGAATTCACCCCTAGAGTCCTCAGAAAGAGCACGGCCCTGCCAATCCTTGATTTCAGATTTCTGGCCTCTGGTACTACGACAAACTAAGCTTCTGTTGATTTAAGCCACCAAGTTTGGAGTAATTTGTTACAGCAGCCCTAGGAAACTAATACAATAGGTAAAACAGCTTTCAAAGCACCGGAAAAGAAACATAAGGGAAGAAGGCAGATATGGAAAACTTGAAGAATCAGCCTCTAGGTGGGCAGACAATAACATCAGTAACATGGGTACCAAAAGTGATCAGCCAGGCCCTGCTGTTTTCAGGAACCTCCACCCGGAAACAGTTCATCCATGGCTATGAAACCTCCAGCCTCTGGATCCCATTTGCCCACATTTCTGTAAACTCCTTCAGCAGATTGCAGACTACCTGACTTTAGGGACCGCATCTTACTCTACTTGGTATCCCTAAAAGGGGACTACCTTACAAATGTAGTTGAGGCTCAGTGTATTGTTCATATTGTCACCAAAGTAATGTTTATGAACACAAACTTCATCGTGGCACTTCTTGACATAAAATCTGACAGTGCCTATACCTCTCCCAAGAGGGTATGTGTACTCTATACCCAAGTTACAACATCTGTAATGAAAAGACTCACATGGGGAACTTGTTACCAAAACACTCCCCCACTAAAATTGTCAGACCCTCTGAATGAGCATCTCCAGAGGTAAGGCCTGGCGGCGGGGGGCGGGGAATCTGTTTTTCCTTCTTGTTTCATTATTCTTTTCCTTGATAAATCCCCCCACTCTCCAACATGACTAATTCATTATCAAGAGAAACTGGATACTGCTGCTCTAGAGAAATAAGGGTCAGGATGCTGTTTGCCACATTATTTTTGATAGCATAAAACTGGAACCAACCAACATCTCCCTCAACTGGGAAACAAATAAAATGAGGTATTTATAAAATGGGATTTTATGCATTAGTTAAAATGAATGAGGTTGATCTATCAACATGGATAGAGTTCAAAAACAAAGTTGAGGGGGGAAAAGCAAGACACGGAATAATGTGTTACATAGTATACTACATATGTTGTAAAATGTGCTTTAAATGATCTAAAAGGATAAATACCAAATGAACAATAATCACCTTGAAGGAGGGATACAAAGAAAGGGGTTAGACTAGGTATGATGGTTAAGGGGACTTTAAGTGGGTCTGTAGTGTTTAATTTTTTTTAAAAAGGCTAGAAAAAATAATAAAATTGTAACAGTTTTTAATTCTCGGTGTTAGGAATACAGCTATGAGTATCTATTTTTGTTTGTTTGCTTGTTTGTTTTGAGACAGAGTCTCTGTCACCCAGGCTGGAGTGCAGTGGCGCAATCTCGGCTCACTGCAAACTCCGCCTCCAGGGTTCAAGCCATTCTCCTGCTTCAGCCTCTTGAGTAGCTGGGACTACAGGCGCCCGCCACCACGCCTGGCTAATTTTTTTGTATTTTTAGTAGAGATGGGGTTTCACCGTGTTAGCCAGGATGGTCTCAATCTCCTGACCTCGTGATCCGCTCACCTTGGCCTCCCAAAGTGCTGGGATTATAGGCGTGAGCCACCGCACCCAGCCAGCTATAAGTATCTATTAAATTACTTTTTGTACTTTATTGTATTTCTTAAATTCTCAAAATTAAAAGCAAAGTATGAGCTCCTGAACATGACATACAAACTCTCTGGGATCTGATGCTTGCCCTGAATCATCTCCTGTCCTTCTTCTCTGCATACCCTCTATATTCCAGTCATACCAAAATACTTCCACTTCTCCTCATAATAGTGTGACCAGCTTCCATGACTTTGCACATAGTCAAATATGACCCGTCCTGCCTCTCAAGATCCCCACATCTGCGAGTGATGTTCTTACTCATCCTTCAATGCCCAGTTCTACTGACACCTCCCCCATGAAGTGCTCTCCATCCTGCTCAGACAGAGCCAGGTGCTCCCCTATATATCCCTTAGCACAGATTTTACTCCTTGAATGTCCAGCATCCAGCCTAGTGCATGGGTCACAATCTCTACTCCATTGAGTCCATCAGATGAAGGAAGGAATGAAACAGAGCATATAGCTGGTTTCCTATAAGCAGGACTTGTTTTTACATATGAAATGTCAATTAAATAAAACAAAGCTATTTCAGGGACATGAAGGCCACTCTTCCATAGCTCTTGTGCAACACAGATAAGAAATTTTATTTTAAGAAGGCTGAGGTAACCATTTTCAAACATATGAAAGGGTTTTGAATGGAGAATTGAGAATAACTGCTCCATTTCGACCAAGCACTGAGATAGCATGCTTAAATTATAGCTGGAAAGATACTAATTAGATATTGAAAAGAACTTAATAAGAGCCACATACTATAGTGGGAAAGAGTTTGGTTTTGTAGTCATACAGACCTGACAATGGAGCCCAACTTCTCTGCCCAATGACTATTTAACTTTGGTCATGTTATTTAAACTCAGTGTCCTCATTTCCAGACTGGACATAATAATACCTATCTTATGTGTTCATGAGAGATTTAAAAAGTGGAACATGGCTGGATGCGGGCTCATGCCTGTAATCCCAGCACTTTAGGAGGCTGGGTGGATCACCTGAGGTCAGGAGTTCGGGACCAGCCTGACCAACACGGTGAAATCCCGTCTCTACTAAAAATACAAAAGTAGCCAGGCATGGTGGCACATGCCTGTGATCCCAGCTACTCAGGAGGCTGAGGGAGAAGAATCACTTGAACCTGGGAGGCAGAGGTTGCAGTGAGCTGAGATCGTGCCATTGCACTCCAGCCTGGGTGACAAAGCAAGACTGTCTCAAAAAAAAAAAGCAGAACATGTAAAGCCCTTGGCACACAGTAGTTACTTCCCCTAAATCAGCACAGAACTAAAACAGAAAATCCCCCTGTCTTGCAGTTTTTGAGGTCACATTGTACATCACTTGTTTAGTAGAACCCTAGCTTAAAGCAAGAGGATGGGTTCCAGGACCTCCACGGGACCACTGGATCCTTCATGTTTATTGTGTAGTAGAGCCTTAAGGGCTACTCAGGGAGAGGCTGTTAGACTCCTTCTATGGGAATTAGCCTGTCCAGAACAATGTCACAATTTGAGCTAAATGATTATTTTTGTGGCCAGGTATTCTGCACCGGTGTTTTTATTTCATCTCTTTAAAAAGAGATGTCACTTGTGGTCCTGATAACAGCCTAGGCTAAACTGTTTAGCATTTTCATTTTAAAAGGTGATAAATTGTCTTTTTAAACTTTCATTGTAAAAGGTGATAGTTAAACTGTCTTCCTTGCTTCAGCTCTAACATCCACACCTTCCCCGTTCCAGCCCTGATAATAAGGTCTGGAATTGTGCTTCAGTTGCATTTCTCCTTCTCCTCTTCTCCCAACTGGAGATAGAAATAAAGACTTGCTCAAGACTCTTTCAGATTTTTTTCTGTCCCAGTCTATTCATCCTTACCCCTAGAAGAGGTGATATCAGATCATAACTTCTTCTTGATTATTTTGGGGATCATGAACTAGGAAATGAATTTATGCTGTGATTCTAGCAGCCTCCATTTATAATGAGATCAGTCTTCAATTTACCCTACTCTAAATTGAGAATATATTTCTTATACAACAAGATTAGAATTTACCTCTAATTGGAAAAACATATGATCCAGGATTAACATCTCTAGCAGGGCTAGACTGACAGCCTAGATTGGGAATCTGAGTGACATCTGTTTTAAATCCTACTGTGCCACCCACCCCACCCCATCTTCCTCCTGCCCTCCACTCTTCCATTTCCCCCTCCCATCTCCCCTAACC
This sequence comes from Homo sapiens, assembly GCF_000001405.40. Classification (NCBI taxonomy): domain Eukaryota; kingdom Metazoa; phylum Chordata; class Mammalia; order Primates; family Hominidae; genus Homo; species Homo sapiens. The sequence goes on along the minus strand of NC_000013.11, from coordinate 52,909,570 downwards.
TGCCCCTGGTGGAATGACAAAGAGGTATCTTCTCCACAACTCCCAACAATATGTTCCATAATTAATACAGCTCTTCCCCCATGGAACCATGGTACTGTTTACACTTGCCTTCTCAAGGAGCAACAGAGAGGGTGGTTATTTCCTTCACAGGATGTGACAGAGTTCAATATGTAATGAACAGAATGTCATAATAGCTCAGTAAAGGCACTTTGTAAAACACATGGAACAAGTAATTTTTAAAAACTCGAAATGAAGATTCAATTCCAAAGGGACAAAAGCCTTTGGGTTTTTTGACAAAGCAAAATATTCTAAAATTCAGTTGTTTAATAGGGTTTTCCCCAGCAGCACTAGCACATATTAATTCTCATTTCAAGGCGGCATGTTTATTTTAGTTCCAACCTACTTTCAATGGTAGGTAATTAGGGAAACTAAAAGTGCATATCTTATTACTTAATTTAGAGTCTACCACTGTGTTTCTAGGCCTTTCTCAGGATATGTTTTAATGATACAGAACAGTGAACGATTTTTATTCAACTTTAAGTGCTTGAGAAAAGCAGTGAATAAAAGTCAGGTTACAAATTCTGGTTTTTAAAAGAAACTTCCTATTATTTTAAATACCAGCTTTGGCACATGTAAGCTAAACGCTCCTGTAATAAATTTCACCAGAAGTTCCCAGAGCTCCAGACACAATTGCTCCAGTCATTTCTCTAAAGTCTGGACACTTGTCATATGATTCCTACCATTGTCACCAATAAAGATTGTCTCAGGTGACCATCGTGGAAGCCACAAGTGTTGATGGAGTATCTTTCTATCTAAAAAGAGGCAAGAATCCACACCAGGAGCAAGAGCAATTATACAGAATCACAAACTCCCAATGTTGGCAGAGACTTAGAGGGGTACCATCCAACAGAAATACAACATAAGCCACATATGTAATTTCCCTTTGTCTATTAGCCACATTTTTTAAAAAGCATGCAATTGATTTTAACAATGTACTTCATCTCACCCAATATTTGCAATATATTATTTCAACATGTAATATAAAAATTATTAATGAAGTATTTTATCCTTTTGTCATACTAACTTTTCAAGATCTAGTATTTTACACATCTCAATTCTGCCATGAAATTTTTGATGGTTAAAGTGAAATATCTAGGTGTGATGGCTCACACTTCTAATCCTAGCTACTCAGGAGGCTGAGAAAAGGGGATCGCTTGAGGCCAGGGGTTCAAGACTAGCCTGGGCAACACAGCAAGACCCCAATTTCTAAAAAAAAATACTAAACACATTTTTTATAAAGTGAAATAAAGTCCTATCAGAACAAGAAAATACACTTAACAGAAAAAAAGTTTTTACACTGCTTTAGTTTTTAAATTTTAATTACAGTTAAAAATTCATTTTCTCAGTTGCACCAGCCACATTTCAACTACTTAGCTGCTACATGTGGCTAGGCTACCTTACAGGACAGCACAGACACAGGTCTTGTAGTCCAAGCTGACATCAGGCTCTGAAGCCTGCCAGCAACGAGGCTCCTGCTCCTCCCCAGAGGCGGCTCAGCCAGTGGTGAACTCAGGTGGTTAGAAAATTTCTCCTTTATGTTGAGCTGAAAAACGCTACCCTGTCCTTTCCATCTTCAGATCCCAGCTATGTTTCCCACAGTCTGTCCCCCTACCTAAGGGGTGATGAGAGAAATCCCACAGCCCAGCCAACCCCAGGGCTCCGGCAGCCCAGACACTCCCAGCTGGCTCTCCTGAAGTCTCCTTCCTACAAATCTGTCTGCCCAAAGGGCACCACATCCATTTAAGAGGAGTCAGGCTCTTTGAGAAACTCGTTCTCACTGCTGTCCCCTTGATCAGGACAGAGGGGAGGGTGGACCAGAGGAGCAGTTAATAACAGTTTTTCCCTGAGGCAAAGTGGCTCTGCTCACACTGGGCTTATACCATAAAAAGAAGCTGTACCCCACTGACCCTGAATACAGGGAAAGGGCTTGCGAAAAAACTACCCCTCAGTATCTGGCAGCAGGAGATGTTTTCAGATAGGGTACTTTTGGGGAAAAGGTGAGCAGAGTAGGTAAAACTGGTAAACTGTGATACACATAGAAATACCAGTTGTAGGTGAACGGGATCCTATGATAAATGCTGTTAGTATGGACATCTTACCCTACCCCCCTCCTATCAGCATCCTCACCTCATTCCCATACCCCCGCCCCTGTAACTTGGTTTTTTTTGTTTTTGTTTTTGAGACGGAGTTTTGCTCTTGTTGCCCAGGCTGGAGTGCAATGACGTGATCTTGGCTCTCTGCAACCTCCGCCTCCTGGGTTCAAGCGATTCTCCTGCCTCAGCCTCCCGAGTAGCTGGGATTACAGGCGCCCACCACCAGGCCAGGCTAATTTTGTATTTTTAGTAGAGACGGGGTTTCTCCACGTTGGTCAGGCTGGTCTCAAACTCCCGACCTCAGGTGATCAGCCCGCCTCGGCCTCCCCAAGTGCTGGAATTACAGGCGTGAGCCACCGCTCCCGGCAGTAAGTTTTAAGAACTCAGCCTGTGTCCCAGATTTTCATCTGTGTGTAATCCAGTATAGCCCTTTACGTACACATGCGGAGTTTGAGCAGCTTGTCATGGTCTGTTTTACAAAACTGAGATCTTCTTATACACGCTTTCCTGCACCTTGCTTTTCTCACTTAACTCTTTTTAAGCTGGATGAGAAAGCAGAACCTTCTGACTATTTCCCACTTATCCCCGTTCGGCCCCTAGATTGTGGGGGCTGGCAGGAGACAAACTGCAAGATCACTAGAAGGGGTGCGCCTGTGGCAACACATGCTCTGGGGCTCCGCGTATCCTCGCTGCCAAAGCAGGACTGGCTCCCTCGGCAAAGCAGAAGAGAGATCAACACCAGGACTCCTCAGGCTTCAAAGTGGCTGGGAGTGCGGTTCTTCACGCGTCAGCCTGGCCAGAAGCCCCACTTCCCACGCCCCGCCCCCGTCCCTTCCCTCACCTTCAGCGCTTTGTGTTGCAGCACACACACAACTTCTCCCCATCCCCAAGATTAAGGGAGCATCCAGGAAATTGAAATTCAAGCCCCTAATTGGAAACCTGGCAGGTTTACAGTTGTGACTGGAGTTCTTCACACCAGGTGTACTGAGTTGAAAGGAACAATTATGCAGCGGGTCCAGAGAGGAGCCCTCATTTATCTTGCAAATCGATCACTACCCATTATTTTGCTCACCTCCATTCTCCCATCCCTGCTCCGACCCCTTAGACCCAGACAGCAGTAGTGCCCCTGGCAGGAGCCAGCTGTGTCCCTCAGCTTCACTTGACCTCAGGGAAGCAGTGGAACTACATTCTCCAAAATGTTCCCTGCGCCGGTGTCTGAAGTACCCCCCGGAAATGATGAGGAAATGTTTCCTTCATCCATTTTTAATTGCTGCAGATTATAATTACATTCTTTGGGAAATAAATACTTAACCACCTTCCTTTAGATTTTTTTTCAGGCCCAGGGAGGACTGTGATGTAAAGCTTTCAGTTAATAGCTTAGTTTATTCTGGTGTCATTTCTTTTATTTCCTTTCAGCTTGTTATTTATGGTTTAAATTTTTTGCACCCTGGTGCTTGGCCTGCTTTCCTCAGGAGGATAATTAAGAAAAAGAATTTAGATGTTCAGGCATTTTTTACATTGGGCTGCAGGCAGTAGAAGTGTTCAGGGGAAGAGAGGGAAATGTGAGAGAAAGGAGCAAACACCACTGCAGCCACCACCAAAACCCCACAATAAAATCCATTACTTCCCTAAAATGCATTAAGGTGTTATTCTCGTCATTTGGGAGGGCACAACCCATTATCCTAACACTCAATGGATTCCCCTAGACAAATAGCTAAGTGACAGGACTCTTGCATGTGAATAAATTACCATAGAACTCCTCAGTGACCAAACAGTCCTATAATTGCAATGGGATCGACATTCTCCAAAGTGTGTCTGCCCCACAGCCAACCCGATCTTGCTGCATGTCTATCGGCCTGTAAGACAAATGAGATCAGAACAGAAGCCAAAATAAAACTGAAAGACTACTGCTCCTGTTACACAAAGCAGTGAGTGTTTAATTAGACAGGGGCCATGAATTGCAGCCTTCAAAATAGAGGGGAAAAAAAAAACAAACTTTCTCCATGAGTGACTCTTCCTACCCTTGAAGACAATCATAATGAAACTGACAAATACACCTTGGAGGCCAGCTTCACGAATCAAATCGATTTATTTAATAATTTAGGAATCACTTCCAGCCATCTCTCCCATTAAAATCTGAAGGGCCATTGTATTCTCTATTTCCTCGGTTCCTTTCCTTTCTCTTAGTTATACCTCACTGCCTTTAATAAATAAGTAATACAGAGAGAAGAAAACACTTATCTGGAGTACCTCGACTTCGCCTTCACCCTGCAGGGCTCTCTGATTCTTTTCTACCTGGAAATAAATGGAGTCAGGAGCAATCTTTTCTCCCTCAAAGGCTGGGGCGGCAGGGTTAGGCCCCCTAAGTGTGGTCGGTCATAGTAGCCCCGGAGCCCAGGGCACTGCTCAAGCCAGGAGAAGAGCTGCAGAATAAATAACGTGTTAAGACAAGCTCATAGAGGCAAGGGCTCATCCCAAAGGCTGAGTGAGCGTCCACAGGCTACTCTCCAGCTAGCAAATGGCAGGAAACTACTGCAGCTAGTAGGAAAATTCCAAAAGCATCAAAGTAAACTGTAATCATTTGTAGTTTATTGCTCAAAAGTGAGGGCTGCTGAACCCAATCGCAGTTATATTTCCTCATGATGCTTTGAAGAAAATGGGAAAGAGATTGCTATTATACAGTAGGTCTCAGAAAGCAAACTTGCTGATGGAGCAGGAGCGTAGACGACTCAGCTCGGCCCCTCCCTGCTCTCCGGCTCTGGGCAATGCATTCCTCCTTCTCGCCTTGAGGCCACAGGAGATGTGGGGGTCCCACAGAGCTGCTGATCACCTGCAGCGGGGTGAGATCTTGCTCCCTGCAGAGCCACCCTAATGATAACACAGGAGCCATACTGGTCATGGACAATACTGACTTCATCCACCACCCTAAGCCTCCAGGGTTGAGCTGGAGGCACAATTAACATTCATTTCCCAGCTCCTGTCTGAGCTCCCTTCCCTTGGCCAGCCATTTCTACTATTCACAGGTCCTTCTCCAGCCTTTAAAGAGTTACTCCCCAGTGGAAAGCTGCCCCTCTGCCTTTCTCCAATCCTGGTCTGTAGTCTAATTCCTTTTGGCCCTTATAGGCATGAACCCTCGCTGCCAGGAATTTCCCCCCAGCACTGGAGGACATGCATGTCTTCTCAGTGATCATCTGATCATGTACTGTCTTTTTCTGTGCCTGTCTCCACTTGCCAGACTGAAAGCTCCTTAAGGGCAGAAACAAGCCTTCTTGGTTTTGTATTCCCATACCTAACATGGTGCACAGTATGTGCGTAAGAGACATATGTTAACTAAACGTTGGGGGAAGCTGAGTTGGCTCACTGCTGACAGATATAGAGCACTTGCCACTGGTTTATGGCATAAATTGTGCTTCCTGGGTTTTTCAGGTGGGAAAAAGAGAAAGAAGAGGGAATCACAAATGTCTGTCTCTCCTGGAAACCAGAATCCAGAGTCTTCACCCCACAGCTGCTGGGAAGGTAATTTATCCCTGCCAGGAAAACATGGGCACCAAGCCACGTAGCAACTTCTCTCCCTCCACAAATTAATCATGATTCCGGTGTTAATTCCATAAATAATTCATGAAGTCAAATATAAAGTATCACAACACTCACATCAGCTATACTGTGCAGCTTCATACGCAGGAGAAATTTAAACAAACCTGGAAGCTTCTCTGGTTTTCAGGAAGTTCCGATATGGCTAAATGCACATTAAATTTAGCCAAATGCCCTTTGAAAGTAAATATTCATTGAACACCCTGTCTGTGCTAGGTACGATGCTGGGTGAAACTGAATAAAGGACAGTCTTTGCAGTAAAGGACACAGTCTCTCCCCTGCAGTCAAGAAGAGGAAGCGAGAAAACATCACAGAATGTTAAGCGCTGAACAGATAACACAGTGAGGTTGTATATATAGCACAGTGGTTAAGTCTCTGTGCTGTGCAAACAAACCTGGATTCTAATCCTAATTCTTAGCTGTGTACCCTTGAGCCAGTTAATCTCTCTAAGCCTCAATGTCCTCTCCTGTCTCTTCATCTGCTAAGTGGTATGATGACAATAATAGTATCTATCTCACAGGGTGGGCCTACAGAAAAAAGGCAATTAATGTTGGAGATTAACATGATTAGCATTGTAACATTAACATTACAATATATAACACACTCTTGGCGAGTCAGAAAAGGTTTCTTGGAGAAGGTTTCAAAGGCTGCCTGGGGGAGAATGAGGAATGTGGGGGAAAAAAACAGTTCCATATTTTGTGGGGCCTAGTGCAATATCAAAGTGCAGGTCCCCTTTTTTTCTGTTTTAAGACTTCCAAGAGAGTGACAGCAGAGCATTGAAGCAAGTCAAAGTCCTTCTAAGAAAGGACACTGGGCACCTGCATAGGTCGTAGCCCCAGATGCTGTCCCTGAGAGAAGGCATGCTCCCTACAGTCCCAAACATGGGATTGGTACTTGCAGGACAGATGGTTTTGACTTCCTAGAGAACAAATTCTAAGCCTCAGCTATCCTCCAAATGATGCTTCCGACTGAACCGCGATGTCAGAATTGACTTTCAAATTCAAGGTAGCTATATAATCTAGTGGCTAATATCAGGTTGTGGGCACATATGTAAATGATGCAAATGCACCTCCCATTCCTCTGATACTCTCTCTGTCATGCACAAGGGAATGCATGAGGCCACTTCCCCAGATCCCTTACTGGGTCTTAGATTCCTTGGGAGAAAAAAATTTTCAATGGGAAGTACAGAGTCTGAGAATCAGGAGTCCTGGGTACCAGCTCCAGGCCCTCCACTCAGGGCAAGTCACCTTGTGTCTTCGAACACCAGTGTCCTCACCTGTGAAATGCAGAGACAGAATCACTGATCTCTAAAGTTCTTTCTGGATAGACTATTCCATATTTCTGTGGAATAGCAGCAGGAGAAAGAAATAAAAGCCTGCAAAGCCAGAGTAAAGTAATAATAATTTTAAAACAAGCTCTATGCCTGCTGATTTTTTAATATACCATTTCTGGTCTGGAAAAAAAAACTATATTATGCAAAATAAAATGCGGTTGAAAATTCCCATAATGTCCCCGCGTGTGTTTCATTTAGCAGGTGTCGTGTATTTCATACCATTCAGGCTTTGTGTAATAGGGGCTCTGAAGCCCAATCACTGATAACACTCTTATTTAGACCACTCAGCATGGGGAGCATGTATTTCCTGTACATCACTGGCTGGTTTTATTGCTTAAAACATTTGCATAAAGCCAAACAATTATCCTCAGGGGATGGATCATTTGCTCCTGCTTTTCCTTACCTGAAGTTGCGATCCTTCAAACCCCCTTCTTGGAATCACCTCCCTGGTTCCCAATTGTGAAATTATTCACTGAGTAAGTCCAGGAACTTGGGCAGACTCCCAAAGGCTGCTAGGTCCAGGGGCTTTCTTCTCTAGAAACTCACCTAAGGGATTTCATATCTTAGAACGGTGGTTCTCAAACTGTAGTGTGCGTGGGAATTATGTGGAGGGCTTCTTAAACACAATTTCGGGGCTCCACTCCAAGTTTCTGGTTCAGTAGATCTGGGGTGGGGCCTGAGCATTTGTGATTCTAACAAATTCCTAATGATGCTGATGCTGCAGGTCCCAGAACCACACTTTGAGAACCACTGTATTTAAGAGAAAAATATTAATAGCAGCAAGGTCCTGGCCAACTCGTAAGATAAATATCTAAAACACGATCAGGTGGGCCGGGCGCAGTGGCTCACACCTGTAATCTCAGCACTTTCAGAGGCCGAGGCGGGCAGATCACGAGGTCAGGAGATTGAGACGATCCTGGCTAACACGGTGAAACCCCATCTCTACTGAAAATACAAAAAAATTAGCCGGGCGTGGTGGAGGGCCGCCTGTAGTCCCAGCTACTCAGAAGGCTGAGGCAGGAGAATGGCGTGAACCTGGGAGGCAGAGGTTACAGTGAGCCGAGATTGCGCCACTGCACTCCCGCCTGGGCAACAGAGCGAGACTCCAACTCAAAAAAAAAAAATTATCAAGTGAAAGCTTACCTTGCTAATGAATGAAAGGCAGGATTCTTAGAAATGCTGTGAGGTGGCCGGGCACGGTGGCTCACACCTGTAATCCCAGCACTTTGGGAGGCCGAGGCAGGTGGATCATGAGGTCAGGAGATCGAGACCATCCTGGCTAACACGGTGAAATCCTGTCTGTACTAAAAATACAAAAAATTATCCGGGCGTGGTGGCGGGTGCCTGTAGTCCCAGCTACTCGGAAGGCTGAGCCAGGAGAATCGCTTGAACCTGGGAGGCAGAGGTTGCAGTGAGCCAAGATCGTGCCACTGCACTCCAGCCTGAGCGACAGAGCAAGACTCCATCTCAAAAAAAAAAGAAAAGAAAAGAAAAAAAATGCTCTGAGGTTGGGCCTACCCTAAAGAGGGAATCGTATCTTCCTACTAGGTTTCAACCTCTACATAGAGAGATGATTGTTTTGATTTCACCTGGGAGCTTGTTAGAAACGCAGAATCTTAGGCCCCAACCCAGATCTACTGAACCAGAATCTGGCTGGCTAGAAATTTGCATGCACATTAAGGATTGAGAGGCACTTCTCTAAGTAAAATAGGGATGGAGAGAAACACCTCTGACACCAAGGAGACAGATTTCCAAAGGCGTGTCTCCTTCTCTTGTGGATTTTAGCCTGGTTGGAGTCTAACTGGGTTTGGGCAGCAGGTCCACACAGGAAGCATCCCCTGGGCGGTGCCCAGTCTGGACTCAGCCTCTGCCTCTCCTGGCTGCCAGCAGCTGCCCTCCCCCACAACCCCAGCCATCCAGATGGCACCAAGAGCCTAACTGCCATTGTTAGTATTGATGGCTCATTCCAAACACACCTGGCTGCAGTAGATCTGGACTGGGAGATACAGGGGGGTGTTAATGTATGTGTAAGTCTTTTCTCTCTTCAAGTTAGACTCCAACCAGGCTAAAATCCACAAGAGAAGGAGACACGCCTTTGGAAATCTGTCTCCTTGGTGTCAGAGGTGTTTCTCTGCATCCCTATGTTACTTAGAGAAGTGCCTCTCAATCCTTAATGTACATGCAAATTGCTAGGAATCTTGTTAAAGCCAGCCAGATTCTGGTTCAGTAGATCTGGGTTGGGGCCTAAGATTCTGCGTTTCTAACAAGCTCCCAGGTGATGCTGCTGCTGCTGCTGGCTTAAGGATTTAGGGAGCACTGCAACCTTGGGGAAATGTGTTTATAATGGAGGCTGAGAATGAAGCCTCTTTTCACGCAGACTGAAAACTTCTGGGAGCAGTGAGTCATTGCTTCTTTCCTTCCAGTGCCCCCCAATATCCAGAAATGAATGACCATCAAGGTCATTTTCTTTTATTATCCTCAAACTCTAGTAACAATTTATTAAAGTACCCCTGTCTCACCCCAACTCTCACCCAAGTAGTCGGCACCCCCAAGGAGAAAGAGAGCATGGAGCAAGGCCCACCCCTCCCTGTCTGCCTCACAGAGACTCCCCTCTGTATTATCCACCGAGGATAAAGAGGGAACTTTACCTAAAATTACAATTCCCCCTTGAAGTCTCTGTAGCCAGGGCCCTATCCTGGAATCTGTGACCCTAGACTCAAACATATCAGTACCTTGATCATTTTCAAAGAGTTTTCACATGCCTTTCTCATTTTGTTTTGGCCACAACATGGGTGCCAGGTTACACCAACTCCATTTTATACCCGAGGCTCAGACAGGAGCAGTGAAATCAACCAATTCCGAAATGGAGGCAATCAAAGCTGATGAAAATCAGGTTTGATTGGGCTGGATCTGTTAACTGGGAATAATTACCATCTCTTTCCTTGAGGAACTCTCACAGTGACTCTTCGGCGGTTCATCTTGACTAACTAAAATGAGTAAGGAAGCATCTTTGTTTCGTGGAACTGGGTTTGGGCGGCAGGTCCACACAGGAAGCATCCCCTGGGCGGTGCCCAGTCTGGGCTGAGCCTCTGCTTCTCCTGGCTGCCAGCAGCTGCCCTCCCCCACAACCCCAGCCATCCAGATGGCACCAAGAGCCTAATTGCCATTGTTAGTATTGATGGCTCATTCCAAAACAGCAGAGAGGAACAGGCAGGAGAGAAAACATCTCTCTGTGGAGCCACCTACTGCCTGTGTTTAATGCAGATGAGCATCTAACTCTGTGACTTCTGGCATCTGTGTCCACAGGAAAGCGCTGGAAGCCCCTTTTTTGCTTCAGAAACAGTATGGAAGCCATTAGGAAGGGTGCCCTTGCCACTTATTGGCCCAACTCTCCTGAAAAGACATTAGCCTCAAAAATTAAAAAGCCTGACAAGACCAAGTAGTGGTGAACATGTGGTGCTTCTGGATCTCTTATACAGTACTCTGCAGAGGAGCCTGTATACTGGAACAACCACTTTGGAAAATTGTACATTATCTAGTAAAGCTGAAGATATCCATGTCCAGCAACCCAGCAGTTCCACTCTGAGATGTGCACCCTATAGCAATGCATGCCAGGATGCACAGATAGAACGTTGAAAGTAGGCCAGGCACGGTGGCTGATGCCTGTAATCCCAGCACTTTAGGAGTCCGAGTCAGGCGGATCACCTGAGGTCAGGAGTTCGAGACCAGCCTGACCAACATAGAGAAACCCCATCTCTACTAAAAATACAAAACTTTTCTGGGTGTGGTGGTGCATGTCTGTAATCCTAGCTACTAGGAAGTCTGAGGCAGGAGAACTGCCTGATCCCGGGAGGCGGAGGTTGCAGTGAGCGGAGATTGTGCCACTGCACTCCAGCCTGGGTGACAGAGCAAGACTCCATCTCAAAAAATAAATAAATAAATAAAGTTGAAAGTAGTGTCATTCATAATCACCACAAACTCCAAACCACCTGAATGTCCATCAGCAGTAGATTAGATAAATAAGTTGTGGTAAAGGCAATCAATACCTTTGCCATTGTTATTATATGAAAATGAATAAACATAATCTTAAGCAAAAAAAAAGAGACAAAAGAATATACACTGTAGGATTCCACTTATATAATGTTCAAAATCATCAAAATATCAAACCACACACTGTAATGTTTAGGGATGCACTTGAGTGTGGTAAACACCAAAGTAAAGCAAAGAAACTATTACCAGAAGTCAGTACAGTGTGGCTAATTCTGGGAGAAGAAAGGAATTGTAGAGGGGGATGGGGAGTTACTAAGGTGCAGGCAATATTCCTCTTCTTGACCTGGGGAAAGTGGCTACCCAACTGTCTGCTTCTGTACATGGGTGCCTTTGTGCATTATTCTGTTGATATGTTCCACTTCACACACACACACACACACACACACACACACACACACACACACACACACCCCAGAAAATGTTAAGAAGAAAGGCAGCTCCCAGCCGGGCGCGGTGGCTCATGCCTGTAATCCCAGCACTTTGGGAGGCTGAGGCAGGCAGACCACGAGGTCAGGAGTTCAAGACCAGCCTGACCAATATGGTGAAGCCCCATCTGTACTAAAAATACAAAAATCAGCCTGGCGTGGTGGTGCATGCCTGTAGTCCCAGCTACTCAGGAGGCTGAGGCAGGAGAATCGCTTGAACCCGAGAGGTGGAGGTTGCAGTGAACGGAGATTGTGCCACTGCACTCCAGCCTGGGTGACAGAGCGAGACTGTCTCAAAAAAAAAAAAAAAAAAAGAAAGAAAGAAAGAAAGAAAGAAAGAAAGAAAGAAAGAAAGAAAGAAAGAAAGGCAGCTCCCCAGGCCTGATGGCAGCTGCCCCCTACTGGAACCCAAGGAAAGTGCAGGTTCAGAGGAGGTATTTGGTGGGTGGGAGGGGGTGTTGAAAGGGTCACAAGAGCTGTTGTGGCCTCAGAAGAAGTTGTACCCAAATCCCTTTTGGAATGTTTCTTAAAGTTTTATTCATGAGTTGTTAAGCATTTTGTTTGGCAAATCAGTTTATCCCAACCACCTCTGTGGAGGTGGCAGATGGCACCTAAAGAAAGCCTCCTCCTAAATGCAGCCCAGTCTGTTTGCTCACCCTCTGCTCAGGCCTTGGCCGCTGTTCCCAAGGCTCAAAGGAGCAGTCAGAGAAGGAGGGGAAGGGAGGGAGAGAGGGGTTTGTCGGCAGCCGGCGAAGTCTGTGGGGATGGATAGAAACATGGTGTTTACAAGAAACAGCAGCCCCAGGACTGAGCCTTTTCCTTTGCTGGAAGCCCCGCAAATGCGCACCAATATTGAAGCCTGGGAAACCCAAGCTGCTAAATCTCACCACTGGGGCAATGGCAGGGGTGTGCAAGAGCCAAAAAGCATGGGAGCATTAATTTGTATGAAAATCCAAGGAGGAATTGTGTTAAGAGTGAGGGTGAGAGCCAAAAGGATGGAATGCTTAACTCCTTGATGCAGTCAATAGTCGCATCTGGTCCTTCTGACTGTGGGAGAGAGTCTGCAGTGAGGCCTTTTCCAGGCCCTGACAATTCATCTGAAAAGGAAAAGCCAGCACAGACGTTTCCAAAGGCTTCAGTCCTGAGTGGGACAGGAGGGAAGTGAAAAAGGGACAATAAGACATAGTTCTATTATTTAATATTTTCTAAAATGGCATAACGGGACTATTAATCAGGTTAAAATGTGATTTTCCTTGTGTCTCATGTTAGTGACAACCCAATTTAATAAAAGAGCAGGCACTTGTAAGAGTTCTTGGGTCTGTGCTTTTAAGTGACACTTTGTATCTCTCACCTTTTTTAATTTGAAGATGTTTGAATTTTCATACTCTAACAAAGACCTCCCCACAGTTCCTGAAAGAGTGTTTCAAGGACTTTGGAAGCCATTTCTAATTTGTTGCCTTTAAAGAACTGTCCCCAAGTATAATGATGTTCCCAAGCCCCAGGTTTCAGGCCAGGCACAGTGGCTCACACTTGTAATCCCAGCACTTTGGGAGGCTAGGCAGGAAGATTGCTTGAGGCCAGGAGTTCAAGACCAGCCTGGGCAACACAGTTTGGCCCTGTCTCTACAAAAAAAAAAAACTGTTTTAAAATTATCCAAGCATGGTAGCATGCGCTTGTAGTCCCAACTACTCGGGAGGCTGAGGTGGGAGGCTCGCTTGAGCCTGGAAGATCAAGGCTGCAGCAAGCTGTGATCGTGCCACTGCACTCCAACCTGGGCAACAGAGTGAGACCCTGTCTCAAAAAAGAAAACAAAAGGCTACAAGAAATAGATTACCTATAACTCTCCATTATTCACCAAACATGTGTTAAGTGCTGACTAGATGCCAGACCTGGAGTGCATACTGCCTCGTGGTGGAGCTTACCTCTGTGGGGAAGGAGGGTAAGACAGTATGATTTGGGATGGTGAACACTCTGATGCAGGACAGCAAGGCATTGCAAGGCTTGTGGAAGGGGCACCTCACCCAGGCTCAGAGGCTCAGGGAAGGCTGCCCAGAGGGAGTGACATGCAAACTGAGATCTGAAGGAGGAGCAGAAGCTGGCTGGGTGAATGGCAGAGGCCAGCAGTGTTCCGGGTAGAGGAAATGGCACATGCAAAGGCCTGAAGAGAGGAGAAAGATGGTGTGCACAGGCTCAGAGCGGGGAACTGAGGAGGGGAGAGAAATGACACCCAGAAGCAGGAGACTCCAAATCATAAGGGACCTGGAGGCCATTGGAAGGAGTCAAACTTGGTTCTAAACTCATGAGAAATCTCTGAATGGTTGGGAACAGATTTCTGAATTAGAAAGATGCCATTGTGTAGAGCTTGGATTAGGAGGAAAACAAGACAGGCATCAGGAAGACCAGGTGGGAAGCTTCCTCAATATCCTAATGTAAGACAATAGAAGTGAGGCTGGATGGGGACTGAAGACACAGGAGAGGAAGGGCCTATGCCTATTTTGCCTCACTCACCTGGTAAAAGAACATATTTCAGAATACATCAATTTCCAAGACAAGCAATCAATCACTTTCTGTTAAGTGTGACTGTGTACCTACTATGCATCAGCATGGAGCAGTGCATGGACCATTGCTTCAACGATGCCAAGATGCCGCTCAGCAGGCATGCTAACACGGCACCATTCCAGCCTCATGAGCAAGGGCTCTGGGGTCAACCTGGGTTTAAATTCTGGCTCCACTTACTCTCTATGTGACCAGAGACATGATTTTTAATCTCTTTAAACTCATTCTCCTCTTAATAAAGTGGGACAAAAGTGCCTGCCTTTTAGGTTTGTTGGGAAATTTAATTGGGTTAATACACGTAAAGAGTCTGTCGCAGTACCAGGCACAAAATATTTCTTCCATAAATGCAGCTGGTGCTGCTGCCGGTGGTGATGGTGGTAGTAAACTTTTTGGTAGTGCTTTCATAGTTTGATTCTACAAATCCTGTTTTAGCATAGCTGGTAAATCCTGTGCAGACAAGCGAATGTTGTTCCCTGCATTTTTCCTGTGGTTGCCATGCAAGTGAAAGTCAATGCTGTGGTCCTGAGTGCCCAGCCGACAACATAGCACAGTTCAAAAGAATATTGATCAGACACTTACAGGAGTGGGGATGCAGTGAGATGCTGCCGGCATCAGTATGGTCACCTGAAGATGGTGACAATGACAACTCTGAAATACAGACAACTCTTTACTCTCAGATCCCATACCCAAGAAGATGCACAGTGGGCCCAGACAGTTTCACTGAGCAACACAAGGGTGTAAACTGACAATAAGAAGACTAAGAACACACCCTGGATTGCAGGAAATACTACATGCGTGGAGCTCAAAACATTCTCCTGTAACACGTTGCTGAGAGCTGCCCTGAACGCTGTTGCCTAGGCAGCAGAGCATCCAATGATGGACTGTGGAACAAGGAAATAGGAAAACAGATCAAGAAAAATGGCATGACCTTTGGGAGACAGAAAAGCAGAATGAGGCCAGAGCTACATTTAGCTCCACACTAAACCTACGCTTTACAGACCAAGAGTGTCTGACTTTCTTCTGAGCGCCACTATCTGCTTTTTTAATTTTTTTTTTTTTTACTTTGCCAACAACAGGTCAAAACAGAATCATCCTCAAGTGCTCCAACACTGAAGCAAATCAATCTGCAACTCAGCCCCATGGGAATGAAACCATATGGAAGATGGATATAATAATAGCGACGTAGTAGAAAAATGTTTTGAGATTTTAAGCAATGTTCTTGTGCCCTGCAATACCTTCAGTCCTTCTACCAACCCCTTTCTCCCCAGGCAGACACTTCAGCATCTAGCACTTACAGCCTCAGGAAAGGAATGGCACAGCAGAATCACTGAGAAAAAGAAAAAGTCAATTCTTGATGTGGGAGTTTCAAATCTGAAACTCACAACTGAGTTTAAGGCAAAGACTTTTGCATTCCAAAAGCTTAAGAGAAAGCTATTGTCCTCAGGGGTTCAGTACTGAAGGTGATGGGTGCAGTCAAAGGGGAAGTGAAGGTGTCTGGACACTGGTGTGTATCCTCACCACACCTCCAGGCAAGTGCTGGTGGAGAGGGCCCAATAAAGACCCCACAGGGATTCTAGAGGATTTGAGAGCTTTCCAAGAGAAGGCAACAAGAAGTAGGGCAGGCCTGGGATGGCTGTATGGGGATTGTAGGCAGGCAGACCCGAGAGAGCCTTGCAGAGTTTCCCTACTCCCGGCATGAGGGGAGCAACCAGATCTTCCATGTGTCCAAAAAAAGAACAGAAATAACCAAGTAAAACACAGATCTGGAGAGGGCTTGCAGATGAGAGGAGAAAATGCAACCACCATCTTTGCAGACAGAAGCCCAGAGAGCTGATGGGAATTGAAAGGGAGGGAGAGCAGGAGGTCACAGTTACGAAGAACCAGACCTTCTCCCCAAAGATTCAAGTAGGCTGAGATCCTGAATTGATTGAGTTTAAATTTTCTCTACCTGGCAGAGACTTTAAAAATAAAAGAAGAAGAAGAAGAAATTAAGTTCAGGTACAAAAAAAAAACAAAAAGTCACACTTTACATCTTTGCACTCCTGTGTGGCATGACATAATATTATCCTCACCATTGTTATTAGTGAGTATGATAGCTGCCCCTGGTAAATCACCTACTATATGCCAGCCATTGAGGGTGGCACATTGTACCAAGCCCTGTACAAAAATTGCCGTAATTATTTCTCCAAATAATATTCTGCTGAAATTAACATCACACAGTGAGGCATACTGGCAAGGGTTGTGTTGCCACCCTTTACTCACATAAATGAGCTGACCTCTCCATGGGTGAGCACCCCAGTGACTCAGCATCAGTCAAACGTGTTCTTGCCAGGATCAGCGATGGATTTCCCATAACTCCTCAAGCCCATCCACATATAAACGTGTGCACACACAGTAAGCCCAGGCAGGGAGGTGTTAGGCCTGCCAGACTCCAGATGCCCCTTGACACAGCAGCCTGGCCCAGGACCAGCTCAGGCACCAGAAGGACAGACCCAACAGGAGTTTTGTTTGTGTTTTAAGAGATATCACAAATCCCTGTTCAATATGCATTTAGGGATGATTTATCATTTGCTCAATGAGATGATAGCTTCCTGCACTCTTTGATTTTAGGCCTCTCATCCTGCTTGGTGGAACTGATGATGGCAAGGCAGCAAGCTCTGTCAGAGGCTGGGAAGGAGCTATTTCAAACTGGCAAGGAAATAATCCTTTAAGTAACAGATTTGAGCTAAAAGTGGCGTTTTGCCCTAAACAGAGTCATTTATATAAAGTCATCAGCTTCCATCATGCACATCCTCTCCTCCCAAGGAGTAGGATTCCAATCAGGATGCGGTTTCCCCCACATGAGGATATTTGAGGACCATCTGAAGGTTGCAATTCAGACTGCAAGCATTGAGTGCTTGTCACTATATCTAACAGCAAATCCTTTCTCTTCCAAATTAAATCATCCCTTCTAAATCCTAAAACCAATATCTTAAGTCCTTTTTACTTTTCTCCATTCCTTATGCATCAAAATCCATATTATGTTGATTCTCCCTCCCCAGTAATCCCCAAAAGTGTCCCTTCCCTGCTCCCTAGTTAAACCCCGCATTCAAGTATAAATCCCTTCCATAACAATCGATCCAGCCTCTCTAGCATGGCCCTCCCAGACTTTTTGCTTCTGTGTTACTTTCCCTTTAATTTTTTCAGTAGGACCCATTTTATCTTCCTCTAGGACCACAAAAGCCCAGATAAGCAAAAGACTTGTTTGTTTAAAAAGCGAAAGGAAAATATCTGAATCAAATTTGATATGGTCTTTTACCTTCACAGCTGCTCTCCTCCTTCCTGCCTCAGACTATGGATTCATTGTTGGTTAATGAGATAAATTTTCTTCCATTGACATAGCACCCAATAATACCAGAGTATTTATTGAGCACCTTTTCTGTGCCACACACCCTGCATGATGCTGGTGATATAAACATGTGTTCTTGCCAAGGCCGGCCGTGGATTTTCTGTAATTCCTCACACCCATCCACACATAAGCATATACACAGTATGTCTGGGTAGGGAGGGGTTGTTAGGCCTACAAGCCTCCAAGTGCCTCCCCGCATTCCCCACCTGAATGCGTAGTTTGAATTGCAACCTTCAGATGGCCCTCAAATATCTCAGTATGCAAGGAAACACCTCGGAATTGGAATCCTGCTGTCTGTGAGGTGAGAATGTGCATTAACAGAAGCCAATGATTGTAAATGATACTGCTTAAGGGATATAAAAATAAAAATAAGAAAACACAAGCTCACATTTAACATGCAGAAAATGGGAATGTTCACAACAGCCCATAAATACTTCTAACTCCAGCTCTCAGCTCAGGAAGATAATCTTTCTCACCCCTTTGTACTTCCATCTTAGCACTTATTCACAATGAACTGTAATTGCTGGATAACCTACCTATTTCCCCCACTAAACAATGAGTTCCCTGAAAGCAGCAACTGCTTTATTCACTGTTGAGTCCCCAGTATCTGGCACAGTGCTTTGTACCTGGTAACAAGTATGTGCTCAGTGACTATTTCTTGAATAAATGAATGAATGAACTAACAAGTGATGTGCCATAAGAACAAATAAAGGTGGGTTAGGAAAGACTTTAGGAGAGGCAAATCCTGAGCTGTGCAAAGGCTTGGAAGTGTGAAACTTCTCCAGGCACTTATAGAATGGCAAGTAGATGAATGCACTAGAGCACTGGACCAGTCAGCAGCCAGAAACCAGGCTGGACGGCTGGTAGGGCCGGGCTGGGAAGAGCCTCATGTGCTGAGGAGGTTTGATAAAATCCTATGTAATAAGGACCATGTTCTGTCCTCTTGGTGTCCTCCAACCCTCTTAAATTACTCCTTCTCCTTCTGCTAAACATATCAACATATAGCTGCATTTCATTCAGGAGAGGAAAGTGTGATGGAAATAGAATTTCCTAAGGTCCACTCAACAACAAAATAACCCCAAACAACCCAATTTAAAAACAGGCAAAGAGCTTAAATAGCCATTTCTCCAAAGAAGATATACAGATGGCCAATACATACCTGAAAGATGCTCAACATCGCTAGTCATTGGGGAAATAAATGCAAATCAAAGCTACAAGATACTACTTCACACCCATTAGGATGACTACTATCAAATGAACAGAAAGTGGCAAGTATTGGTGAGGACGTGGAGAAATTGGAACTCTTGTGCATTGTTAGTGGGAATGTGAAATGGTAATACCACCACGGAAAACAATATGGTGGATCCTCAAAACTTTAAAGACGGAATTACTATATGATCCAATAATTCCACTTCTGCGTATATGCCCATCTACCCAAGAGCAAAAGGTAGAAACAACCCAAACATCACCAACATGAATAGATAAACAAAATGTGGCATATACATACAATGGAATATTATTCAGCCTTATAAAAGGAAGAAAGGAAAGGAAGGAAATTCTGATACATGGTACAACGTGGATGAACCTTAAAAACATTATGCCAGGTAAAATAAGCCAGACACAAAAGGACAAATACTGTATGATCCCACTTATGAGGCACCTAGAAAAGGCAAATTCATAAAGACAGAAAGTAGAATAGAGGTTTAGTGGCTCGGAGTAGAGGAAATGGTGAGTTATTATTTAATGGGTATACAGTTTCAATATGGGATGCTAAAAAATTTCTAGAGATAGAAAATGGTGATGGTTACAGAATATCACGAACTTCATGCTGCTGAAATACACACTTCAATGTGGTTAAAATGATGAGTTTTATATTAAGCATATTTAACCACAATAAAAATATTAAAATTAAAAGTTTTTAAGGCCTTGGTTTTTCTTTGACATGGCAAATTTGAGGGACTGGGGAGCATCCCATGTCCACCAAATCTCCTCATTTTCTCTCCCAGTTATAATGCTGGAACATATTGTTATGGGTACTTCTTCTGTTATCCACTAAACCTCTTCACCTCTTCAAATTCTTTTTTTTTTTTTTTTTTGAGACAGAGTTTCACTCCTGTTTCCCAGACTGGAGTGCAACGGTGCGATCTAGGCTCACTACAGCCTCTGCCTCCTGGGTTCAAGCAATTCACCTGCCTCAGCCTCGCAAGTTGCTGGGATTATAGGCGCACCACCACACGCAGCTAATTTTTGTTATTTTTAGTAGAGGCGGGGCTTCTCCATGCTGGCCAGGCTGGTCTCGAACTCCTGACCTCAAGTGATCCACCCGCCTCTGCCTCCCAAAGTGCTGAGATTACAGGTGTGAGCCACTGCCAACCTCTTCAAATTCTTAATGAATGTGAGTCTTTCCATGACACATTTCGGTCATCTCCCAGCTTTGAAGGGCTTTTCAGAGTTCAGAGGGCTCAGAGGTGAAAACATAGCACCTCTCACAATTAGGTTTACCTGGTTCCCACTAATGATTTTACCTAAATTATCCACCTAGGATGCCAAATTTTTAGCACTTAGTGTTTTTGAATATATTAAAAGAACTGTCAGCAACCCATAAGTAAGAAGTGTAATTTGCTTACCTATAGGTGAGCAGGAGACTGTTGTGACCTCTTGAGGGAAGGTTTTCACCAATTTGTGAAAGGAGGAAAATGTCTGCCTCTTGCCCTCAAGAAGTGCCGTGTCTGGCCAGCCCCCTGTAACAGCCAAGTTACCCTCAATTTCTTGAAGGCATAAACCAAGATGGTGGTTGGGGCAGGCAGGAAGGCAAACAGAGATGCCCTCAGGGAACACTGCACAGCACTTGTGGTTCTTTATCCTGAATATTAGTCAGTCATAGGTAATCATTTGAAACATTAACTGATGTTCACCAGTATTTCCCATAATTGCAATACTTTCCGCCACTCAGGCAGATGAGAATTCTGTTTTTGTCTCCTCAGGGAAGGCCTGACACAGAAGAAAATGAGAGCAATAGTTTGAGAGAAAAGAGTTTTGAGTTTCAAAAGCCTAGGACTTGGGGCATAAACAAAAGATTTGGAATAAAATGTGATCAGTCGGAGCCAGTTTTTCCTGTTCCTGAGAGCCAGATAAAGTTTGTCCCAAATGAGGAAAGGAAAAAAGAATAAGAGGTTTAGAAACTACTAAGCCTCTGAAAAGGGCTCATTCCCTGCCCCTGCTCCTGCCCAAATCAACCCATGCCAGTTACGCCCAGAGAATGCCAGGCCTGCTTTGTGCATGCCCAGAGAGCCCAAAGATCTGGCACCATGTCCCCACCATTAGCTGAGGATGGGAGTAGGAGAGGAGACATGCTGGGTTAGGTGTGAAGGTAGAAGGTCTTGGTCAGCTGTCTGAGTTTCCTGTGGCCCCAGAATGACCAGGGAGCAACAGTCATGAGCACGTGTCAGGAAAGCAACTAAAAGAGAGAGCCAGGCTGGGAGAAGACATGGTTGGCCCACATTCCCAGGTGTGACCCAGGTGGACAAATGACTGGTCACCACCTAAGAACAAGGATGTCTTAGCAAGTGTGTATGGACAGAGGGCAACTCAGAACCAGAGACCCCCCTACCACCTTCTGTGAAAGGACACAAAGCCCCTCCACCCACCAGCCCAAGCGTGGCCCCTATCCCAGGAAAGGGAGAGGAGACTCTGAATTCATTTAAATTAAGTTTCTGCCTCTTGGTGCAACAAAAATTCAAATGAGAGATTCTGGAGTGATGGAGGTAACAGAGTAGTTCCATCTCTTAAAAACCTGAATTTATGGTCTCTGATTCACACCTCCTATATATGAATGTGTTTGTTGCTTGTTAATATCCAGTGAAGTCATGTTTGACTCAAGGGTTAAGTTCTAAAATTGGCCCATGAAGCGACAGCCAATTGTATATTCACAATTACCCTTGAAAAACTCTTAATTTACTTATAAAAATAGAGTACTGTGCCATCATTCAATAAATTCAAAGCAGCCAGCTTTTCCTCCAGCTTTGAAACAGATTGATGGTTTCTATTTTCCAATTGAGCACCAAATATAGTAATTGGCTTTTGTTTAGAAGTATGTTCTTCAAAAAAATAAGTATTTTATCTTAAAATGCTAAAATCACACACATGATTTCATCACACAAAGAAACCAAGGCCTAGTTAGGGAAATAGAGTCCTATGTTCCTATCTAACTTTAGGGTACCATCTCCTGAGGGGAATGGAAGGAGAATCTGACCCACAACTTAAATGTCATTTACCCCTTCTCAGAGAGCCTAACGCTGAATTCACATGAGCATTCTCCACGTGTATTTTGTGTGGCCTGTGTTAGCAGTATCTTTAAATCTGACTTATGTAGGAGTGATATCAGAGGCGTTAGAACCAGAGCACTTCCATCTTGAATAGGTGCTGGGTAAAATGAGGCTGAGACCTGCTGGGCTGCCTCCTAAGGAGGTTAGACATTCTTAGTAACAGGCTGAGCTAGGAGATCACAAGGTACAGGTCACAAAGACCCTGCTAATAAAACAGGATTCAGTAAAGAAGCCAGCCAAAACCCACCAAATCCAAGATGACTGCAAAAGTGACCTCTGGTCATACTTACTGCTCATTATATGCTAATGTAATGCATTAGCATGCTAAAGGAAACTCCCACCAGCACCATGACTGCTTACAAATGCCATGGCAAACTCTAGAAGTTACTCTATATGGTCTAAAGGAAGAGGAATCCTTAGTTCCAGGAAATCCCTGCCCCTTTCCCAGAAAACTCATGAGTAATCCGCCCCTTGTTCAGCATATGTTCAAGAAATAACCATAAAAATAGCCAACCAACAGTCATCAGGGGTGCTCTGCCTATGGAGCAGCCATTCTTTTGTTTCTTCACTTCTCTAATAAACTTCCTTTCACTTTACTCTGTGGACTTGCCCCAAATTCTTTCTTGTGTAAGATCCAAGAACCCTCTCTTGGGATTTGGATCAGGACCCCTTTCCAGTAACAGTGATGCTTATGTGAAATGAACATTCTGGAAACTGTATATCAGCTGTAACTTCACACCAACATTGAGGTGAGACTTATTACTTCTTCACATTCACCAAAAGACCCTCTTACTCCAAAGCATTCTTCAGACATGATTTCCCGAAGGTTTTGCAGGTGAGTCAGAGGAGGGGTTTACATCACACAGAGCACAGCTCCATGTCAAATGTCCCCATGAATCTCCCTCCCCAGCCTGACAGCCACTGGGTCCTCTTTCCTTCATCACCATCCCTGTCCAGCATTTGCCCCTCCAGGGTTTCGCCTTTCATCCCTGTTCTTCTCCTTCCCACGTTTCTCAATATCCACATTTGCATACAGACTTCATCAATTCAAACTTACATCCTCCCTGCCATCAAGCCTTTTAACAAAAAGACACCTCCACCTGCCAGAATCCACTGTCTTAAAAGGTAAAGGAAAATGGGTAACCATTTATTTCCTATTACACATCTATCACACATTAGCTCATTATAAATATAATCTGAATTTAATTCACCACCTTGACAGCTACCACTTACTATTGAGCTAAATACGCTAGATGCTTTATATTTGCTATCCCAGTTACTTCCTACAATAATTCCTGGAATGGTCTCCAATTCGCAAAGGATCAGAGAATTCAAAGTAAAGTCACATGTCCCAAGTCATGCAGCTCAACCTAAAGTCCATAAGTTTATTCACCACACTACAATGCCTTCTGCTGGGGAGAGTAAAATGGCTTTCTTACCCAAACTTCTGTTTCACACCAGATTTGTCCAGGTGGCCAGATTTTCAGATAACCACCCTGGAGTGATAGTCAGCCGAAGACACAACCACAGATACCAGGATAACAGTGCCCAAGAAGAGAACTATAACAAACACTGTTAGCCAGCTAGTCCAACCTCATCTACCCACCTTCCAGTTAGGAGTGGCTACCTGACACAATTCTGACCCATGAGATACAAATGGAGGTCACTGTATGGGGCTTCCAGGAAAGCTTTTCAGAAAAGAAACACCAAGTCTTCCTTCATCTTCCTGCCTAAAACACAGATGCCATGCCTGAAGATGCGGCAGCCATCTTGTACCCACAAAGACAAAAGCCACCTGCTGAGATGATACCATGGAAAGGTGGACAGAGCCCTGACAATATGGTTGAGACATATTTCAACTGCAGATCACCTATCCTGGTCTACTGAATGGAAAAAAAAATACTCATTATTTCCTGAAGTAAGGTTTTCTGTGACTTGCAGTCAAAGGCATTCCTAACAGATCCAATTCCTCTCTGTACTGCTTTACAATTGATGGGTGGTCTCTTTTCTGCTATAGGACACACCTCAACAGCACTCACTAGCCAAGGACTGACCACTGTCTGCTCTACTCAAACCGCGGTCTTCACTTCTCAGAGTAACAAAAGTCAAAACTGTCCTACCTGGGGGACAGAGTGGAACTTAGCAAATACTATATCTGAATGAATCAAAATTATACAGGCTGTGCCCTGGTGGAGTATGTAATTAAAAGGACTAAAATAATCATATGCTCACGGGGAAAGTTCTTTTCATATTTTCATAAATTTTGTTTTTAATGACCAACTTTTTCTGGGTAGATGGTGCCTCTGCTTAGTTTCAGCAGGGGCTCCTGATGCACAGTGAGATCTGAATAGCAGAGTTAAGATCGGAAAGAGAAATTCTGCTGTGTCACTTTCAAACCACTAAATGTGTTCCCTAATGATTCTGGGCTAGGAGTTTTGAACATCTGAAAACCAAAGGAGACACCAAGTCTGCTAAAAAGAAAGAAGCACGTTGGTGGTTGGCAGCCAGTCCCACGTTGAATCCGGTGATGGCCATCTTACCTATGAGGCATCCCCTGCTGTAGGTCAGATCCCCACCAACAATAACCCACTTCCCACTAGTGTTACTACTAGGAACAAAATCCATGAGCGTCAGGGCTTGCCACATTCATCCTCGCATTAAAGGGCACAGAAGAGCCCTCGGCCTCTCTGGGTAAGCCAGGCAAAGACCATCATAGGACTTGCTGCACCACGACAGGACTGAGACATATCAAAAATTTAGACATTAACCCCTATTTACAACATTTGTTCACAGCATACGGCCGAGAACCTTTTTAGTAAATCACTTGAGATAAGCTGTCTGGCCCCAAATAAAAGAAAGATGTTTGCCAATTTCTTGGTGAGGCAGAAGAAGAGCTCTTTATCAAAAGCATATTAGCATATTTTGCCTCATTAATAACTTCACTGCAGCATTAATTTGCCTAATTATCACATTTGGAATTCAACATGGTATCTAATTAATTCCAAACCCAAAAAACAAATCCAGAATTATAAAGCACACTGACGCGCTCCCGCCTGTGCATTCCTTCTTTCCCCTGTGTGTGTGTTTGTATAGGCAAGTGTGTGTGCTCTCGTGTCTCCTCGGTGAGATCATATTCTTTATTCTGTCTCATGTAATAAGAATCCATTATTTGAATCCAATTTTTCTTCTAATGAGGAGATTATCTCCCAGGCCTAGGAGTTTTTGTTTTCTAAGTCATCTTCAGCCCTCTTTCTCTCATTTTTTTTTTTTTTTTGCTTTCTTCCTTATCATGGTCTTTCCTAAGATTTGCAGGAATGCAGACTTTCAGAGCCAAAGGTCTTGACTTTGTGACATAAGGAACTGTCATCAATTTTCTCTATCAGTCAACAACTTCCATAAGTAAACTAAGACTGTCCACATTTTTCCCTCCAGAGAAAAGTCCTCCTAACCAATTTTCAAAAGCCCTGAGTAAACATTAGATGGCACTATCAAAACTAAAAGTCAAAGCATATCAGCTGAAACTTCCTGAAAGGTTTGAGCTCTTGAAAAAATGAAACTGCAGAAAACTTTAGTTCCAGGGCTCAAACCAACAGCTTTTTACTCAACATCACTCTCCATTCACCCATGCACCTCTTGCTTCCCACAAAGATATCTGATGGTAACAATAGACCATATGCTACCATTACAGTGGAAAAATACAGAAAAGACTTAGATCTGCATGACATTGTAGAAGGATAAAATAGTTGTTTAAGTAAATGCTCTCTCCTCTATGCCAGCTTTGGGGCTATTTTTAAAGTGTAAAGTTGTGGCTAAAGTCAGATCAGGTCAACATACTGGGGATATTCAGATTTTAAGAGGCGTTGCAAAACACCCAATGGGAAATGCAGCCCTAGCAATCTAAGACGTAAAATGTGGAGCCTGCCATCTTCAATTAATGCGTCTTAACTCAAACAGCAGATATTTATAGATTACGAGGCATCTCCTGCTATAGGTCAGATCCCCACCAACAATAATCCACTTCCCTTGGCAGATAATTTTCTATATGAATGTATATTTCAAATACTCCTAGACTATAAACCTACTGGATTTTTTTTTCTCTAGACTATACTTCATGACCAAGAATAGTCCAACTCCAACAGTTCAAGCATGAATATCAGCAATGACCAAGAATAAAAGATGTTGCCTTGTGAGTTGAGTTTTTCTTTCTAATACATGTAGCATCAACATGTTTCTGAAAGCACTTCCAAAATGCCCAAAATGAACAGCCTTAAAACCAGTCTAGCAAACTTCCACACTGCACATGGTAAAAGTCCATGGTAAAAGGAGGACCTATCTAGGTCTCGATATCTTATTTTGATATCCAAGCATCAGGAGTAGATCACAAATTTCTCAATATTAAAGACAAAGGCCTAATGAAAACATGAGCCAAGAAACCTTCAACAGAAGAATGAATCCATTCAAGCTAATCTATAAAAGAACATCATCATCAACACTCTTTTATCCTGGAACCATAAGACTGCTCATCTGCGTCACTGACCACTGCAGCCCCAGAGTCTGCCCTTTACTAAAGGGAGGATGTAACAGAACCAAATATCTGCTGGACCCCCAGTCTTATGCCCACTGACAGACACAGGCTTTGGCTAAATCACCAGTAAAAGAAGGGAAAATGCATTAAAGGCTCTCTCGTGCTCCCCTGAAAATAGGCATGAATCCACATCGTAAACCTGCCACACCATCAGGAAAGATTTACTGTTTATTCAGGAGACACAGAAGCCCAGAATAACAAGGGTCCAAGGTTAAATAGCATAAGCAAGGAACTGTGTGAGCAGCTCTGGCCACCTCCCAGCCCTGCATCCTCACTTCTGTGAGCCCAGGAGGCATGGAGTAGCTTTTCAAACCTCAAAAATGTCTCAAGAAATAAAAAAACCAAAACCATTTTTTTAATCCTTCATGCTCAATAAAGACTGTACAGACATAAAATCCCTCATTTAAATGCCTGCAGTTTTAATATAAAATGTATTATACAGGAAAAAGATTTTATTACCATTAAATGCTTGCTGCAATCCAACAAAAGAAAAAAATGACCTTGATTCTAAATCTTCTGCCTCCCCCCACCACCTTTATTATCCTTAGTGTTACTTACTGAACATACTTTCATTATTTCTCTTCCTTTTTAGAGAAATAATGATTTTTCCCTGGAAGGTTAGAAAACGTGCATTGTTTTCTCAAGACAATCCAACAGACTGTTTTGCAAAGAAATGCTAATACAAG
The DNA here is from genome assembly GCF_000001405.40 of Homo sapiens. NCBI lineage: Eukaryota > Metazoa > Chordata > Mammalia > Primates > Hominidae > Homo > Homo sapiens. The sequence continues at coordinate 52,882,478 of NC_000013.11, read as the reverse complement.
AATAACTTCCGCTCTGGAAGCCAAAAAAGAAAAATCTCTCTATCTTAGAAAATAATAATGGCAATTGGCTTCCTCTGGTCTTCCAGACTAAATTCAGAGAACAAGTAGTAAGGCAAAAGGAAAGTGATATCTAAAAAAAAAAAAAAAGTTCTTCTGGAACTTATATTTAGGAGATCCTTAAGAAAAACAAACAAACAAAAAAGGACAAAAATCATCACTCTAATAAAAATAGTCACTAACAGATGCAAAATCAAGACAGCAGCTATGACATTACTAAGGTGATGTATACCTGTAACAGTTAAGGTCCCAGACATAACAAATGGCACACTCAAATTGGGCAATCCAATTGTCTTAATAAAGTGGCTAATTTACAGACCTGTGGGCAGTGTTTAGTGAAAACACAAGGGATAGTGCAGTCCCCAGGAACTAGCAACAGCAGGAAGCTGTTACTCCCCCAAAGCCCAAAGGGTAAGGGGAGGGAACAATTATTAAAACCCTGAGGGCACTGCAAGGAGAGGGCCACCTGGCAGGATCTGTGGCATTCAGTAGAGAACCAGAACAGAGAGAAAACTGGGGATATGAATTCCTGATGAAGTAGTCATTAGAGGTCAGTCTGCCAAACACAGGGCAGAGGGGAGAAGAATAGAGAATAGATCCGAAAGGACAAACAGACATCCAGCACATGAGGGCCAACAAGTTCAAACAAACACACAAACCATAAGAAAGAAAGTAGAAACTCGATCAAACCAATCATTAAGAGCCTCATAATAAGAATGGTGAATTCACATAAACTTCCGGGGTCAGACATATCCAGATTCAAATAAAGTCCAGCTCTGCCAATGACTGTGATGTTGAAAATCTTACACACTAAGCCTGTTTCTTCCCCTGTAAAATGGGGATAATACCACACAGACATTCATGAATCATACCTAAGGTAGAGCCAAGCATTTACCAGACCCTCGATAAATACTGGTTCTTCCACCCTCCTCACTCACACTCCTTTCCTTTCTACAGAGACTTTTAATGGAACTTATGTTACAAAGAAGAAGGAGGAGGAGAGTCGAGTCACATGCCTTTGTGGGTGCAGACACAGCTTGGCATCACAGCATTGAAAGAATCAAGAACACCTCATTCCACCATTAGTTTCCATGATTTTGTCCAGCAACCTGTTGACCAGGTAATGAGCCTGGAGTGGCCAAACTCAAAGCTTTGAAAGACCCTTTTCTGCATAATGTGTTCTCCTGCTCTCCGTGGACGGCTCCTTACTAGGGAGGAATTGCTCTGGGCCTGCCATGTTCCTGGGCTACAGTGGGGCTGGCAGATCTTCATCCTTCTGCACCTTCTTTTCCTTTATTCACCTCGAATCAGAAGCAAGTGAGCACCTAACAGGACTGACACTGGATTATGCATAAGTCCTTCTAAGAACCTAATGCTAGGCTCTTTGCTGAATAAAAACAATGTCTGTTTCCTTTCATCTTCTGAGAGACTCTACATCTCATTCCTCAGGGCTGTGCCCCCACTCCCCCAGCACGAAGTTCGCTACCTCTCTAGCTTTCAAGAGACATGAGGAAAGAAACTTTACAGCTCTTCTGCACTAAAATGTAATAACTTTCTCCACACGGCTGCACAAAGGATTTCTCTGGGAACAAGGCACCAAGTTTCACAGTTGCATAAATATAAACTAAAGTAGAAATCCATCTTGGAGTCTGCAGGCACACAGTCAACATTCCCATTTTTCAAGAGTCTCAAGGTCATTCTTCACTGTGTTCTTTTGGCTCGGCTTTAAAATTAAGCTGGTTAAATAATTCATGACATCATACCCATTAAATATGAGTATTTTCTACCAAAGGAAACTGCCTTTTTTTTTCCATTCACGGTGGAAGAGGCCCAGACAAGCCCCCGCCTAGGAAAGCAGTAACGTTCTGCAACAGCAACTGATGAAGTTTCAGAGAGAGGCTTGCAATTTCGTCTGCTGCTGCACACAACCAGTTTCATCATGAAAAGCCAGTGCCATATGCCAGAGGAGACAGGTTAAGCCTCTTAAATGTTCCTGACAACAATGAGCTTTCATTTGTAAAAAGTAAACATCTGCCTCCTGGGGAAATAATCTACAAAACAATGGGGATGGTTATTTGTTTGTTTGATTTATTGTTACTGCACTAGGGGCTGGGGAGTTTCAGACACTCACGGTATGTCACAATATGGATAATTTCTTAAAGATTAAAAAAATGTTGAAAGCTTTTTTAAAAGACATCAAAGAAGAGCTCTGCATGCTATAGATACTTACAGGGAAAAGCTGATGATTTTAAAGATTAGGAAAGAGAAGACCAGAATTCAGGCACTGGCTCTGCCACTACTAGCAATGTGTCTTGGGCAAATTATTTAACTTCTCTGGGCCTTATTTTCCACATCTGTAAATGAGGGTCAAAATGGAATCTATTCTACTAAGTCAAAGGGTTATTATGAGGCACTGATGATTTATGACTTTAGAAGTACTTTTTAAACTGTACAGAAAAACAAATGTTAAGGTGGTGGTTGGTATTAAACAGACAAAAGGGACATTTTCGCTCTACACTTTTAAAAGTCAATGGGAAGATTTATTACCTAAATGGAAAATGAAATTTCTTCTTACTTATGAATCTTCCTTGGAAATGGCTGCATCCCCCAGCTTAACATAGCTGAGTGTGCAGGTGACAATGATCATCTGACCTGTTAAAAGCAGGGACTATAGTGATCACTGGTGTGGGTTGGAAGAAGGAAAGGTAATCAGCATCATCGTCATTATCATCATCATCAACACCTATGGTTTGCAAACATCCTTTTGGTCATTTTTTAATTTGATACCCATAAAAGCTGTAAGTAGGTATTTTTAGTCTTGTCCAAAAATGAGAAAACTGAGATTCAAAGAGGCTTTAGATTATGCATAAATAGCAAGGACAGTATTATAATCCAAACCCAAGAGTAGAGAAAATAGTAATGATTGTCCCCTCCTTTTTTGTGCCCCACTGGGCCCCATACAGACATTTAGCATGGCACACATAAATGCCCCCTTACCTTGCTTTCTGTCTTTCTTCCCCTACAAACTGCAGAAGATTCTTGAATAAGAGCCAGCCTCTTGATCACATTTGAACCCCTAATCAATCCCTAACACAAAACTTGTCACATAGAGGCACCCGAAAGGATTTCTTGAAGGAATGGGAAAAGGAAGTGAAGAGTAAAAGAGGAAAATGATAGTGGTTTTGTTCTCTTTCCTTCTTTCTTTTTATTTATTTATTTATTTATTTATATTTTGCTTAACTTGTAGAAAAGTCTCTCTACTTCTGAAATTCCTTAGGCTGTGGGAACAGGCCCCTCTCTTGGGCTCAATTATGGAGTCCATAGTTGGAAGGAAGCCAGTGAGTGCAACAAGATTCAGGGAGGCTCCAGGCATGTGCAGCTGATTGGGGAGGCAGTGCAGAAAGGGGAAGTACGGCAAAATGCCTCTAGAAATCATTCCCAGAACCACTCAGGGAGATGTGTGCCAGAGTCTGATCAAAGCTGTCTACTATATTCTGGACCCAGACCACACAGGGCTTCGTCAGCTAATATAAGCAGCCAGCACTAAATACGGAGTTGGATAAGTGAACAGCATGGATGCCACAGTGTTGGTTCAGCATGTTCTGTATGACTCCCACCTTCAAGCAGATAATCAAATACATCTGCACTTAATGACACCTCTGAAGGAACAAAATGAGCTAGCTTGAGCCAATCATTTTTAAAAAAACATTTTACATAAAAACTTGCTGTAGAATTAACAAACTGCCACTGGCTTATACCTTTTCTCCTACTTCAAAACTGGGCACCCTTCCCAACTTCACCAACAGTCCATCACCCAGATTTACAACCATGATACTTTTTTTGCCTTAGGAAGTTTATAATTTGAAGATATCAAGCATATGCAAAAGTAGGGGAAAAAAGTATAATGCATTCTTGTGTACTCATAACCTAACCTCAACAACAATCATCTCATGGCCAGTCTTCTCTCACCAATAACCCACCCTCCCCACCATCTTCTTCCCTATATAGGATTATTTTTAATCAAATCCCAGACATTATATCATTCCATCCATAAATATTTCAGTATGTATCTCCGAAGATAAGAGCTCATTTTTTAAGCATTTCTGGCACCATTTTTAACCTTATTCTTCATCCTTCGCATCTAATTTATCAATAACTCATAATAGTTATTTTTCTGTCATGGTGTTTCCCTGTTGTTTGTTTGTATTTCTGCAAACCCCATCCTGATCTTAGTTCTCAGCTTAGAAAACCGAAAATACCGGCCGGGCGCGGTGGCTCACGCCTGTAATCCCAGCACTGGGAAGCCGAGGCGGGCAGATCACGAGGTCAGGAGATCAAGACCATTCTGGCTAATATGGTGAAACCCCATCTCTACTAAAAATACAAAACAAAATTAGCTGGGCGTGGTGGCGGGCGCCTGTAGTCCCAGCTACTCGGGAGGCTGAGGCAGGAGAATGGCATGAACCCGGGAGGCGGAGCTTGCAGTGAGCCAAGATTGCGCCACTGCACTCCAGCCTGAGAGACAGAGCGAGACTGCATCTCAACCAAAAAAAAAAAAAGAAAAGAAAACTGAAAATACCTCCTACTCAGTGTCCTGACCCTAAGCTACAAGCCATCTTGTGTTAAGCAGTTTTTATCATTGTTCATCAATACCCTCTTATTATCCCTTGTTCAAGAATCCATGGTGGAGACCTCTGTTTCCCATTATTGATATTAGACTAACCCTCCTACTAAAAGAAACTTGAAATTAGACATAACATATGAAGTAACTGTTCTCACAAATAACATACAAACTCACAAAACTGATTTCTTGAGAGATAGGAAATTGACAGGCTGAGATCCCATCTTTACACCAGGGGACAATTTCTCAACTGTGTGGTAGTAAGCGGGAGTCCAGGCAGGGCACAGCAGCCCTGGTGAGCTAAGTAGGCAGAGATCATAGCTTGAGGCAGTCGAAGTGGGTGGAATCTATGAGGCAGGGCACAAAATTGAGGGAGCTACACAGATGGATCTTCAGAAGTCCATGTGGGGATCTCCACAAGGGCTTAGCCAAGGACTGAATGGTATTTATGTAGGGAAAGTTTAGATAAGGCTGCTCAGAATGTGGCTTATTCTGGGATTGAGAGCAGAACAGAGATACCAGAGGATAAATAAGCTTTGTTGGGGGATGTTGGAGTTCCAGCTCTGCAAGAGGGGAAAAACCTCAGCAACACCTTGTTCACAGCCCAAGCATCCAGCCGAGACACCAGAAATGCCACTACCTGAGAGTAAGAATTACATCCCAGAGCAATGCTTAAAATAGACCTACCCTACCAAAGTTTAAAACCAAGCTTTCACAGGATCAACATGCCAGAAAAAAGATTGGAGATTGAGTCCCATGAGTTTAAAGGGCTTTGAAAACACCTTGGGATTTCCATGGCACTTCCTAAGAAAGCATACAACCAAGCTTATACAAGTTCTGTGTGATCTATTAGTCATTCCACTACCTACAAAAACAAAAATAAATGGAGGAATATCACAAAATTCAGTGTCTGCAACGATTTATCACAATATGCAGTATACAACCAAAATTGACATGCACACACATACACACACACACATACACACACACGTGAAATATAATGCATAATAAATAGAAAAAGCAGATAATATAAACCGACCTGGAAGTGTTCCACATATGTAATATATCAGACAAAGAAGCTATTATAAACATATTCAAATAATTAAAATATGTTCAAATTATTAAAGGAAAATTCAATCGTTTTGGGTTTCCTGTTTTTTGTTTTGTTGGGGTGGATTTTTTTTTTCCTTTTATTCCTGGAAAGCTGTGAAAACCAGACATTTTTTAAAAGAATATTTTTTAGAGATAGGATTTTGCTATGTTGCCGAGGCTGATCTTGAACTCCTGGCCTCAAATAATTCTTCTGCCTTGGCTCCCTAGTAGCTGGGACTACAGGTACATGCCCAGCTTTGAAAATACAATCTTAATGAATGAAGAGATATAAGCTTTCAGCAGAGAAAATGGAAACCACTAAAAAATAGAAACACTAGAATGAAGAGTACAGTAACTGAAATGAAAAATTTACCACATGGCTTTCAGCAAAATTAAAGTAGCAGAAGAAAAATTCAGTGAATTTAAATATGAATCAACAAACACTATCCCATCTAAAGAAGAGAGAAAGAGATTGGATAAAAATGAATAAAGCCTCAAAGACCTAAGGACAATATCCAACAGTCAAACATATGTAATTGGAGTCCCATAAGGAGAAGGTGATAATAGACCAGGAAAATTATATGTGGAAAATTATGTGAGCAAACAGATGAGCTGTGGGACAGAGCTGAGTACTTAGGCATTGGAGCCAATTAAAGCAACAAGCCAAAAATGAAAGGGTTAAGTCTTTAATAACTTACTGTGATGATATATGCAAAAGGCTAAAACAGGAAAACATTGACTCCCCTTTGTTTCATTCTTCTCTTGGAATGGTGTATCTGTTGAGGCTCATTTGGGGCAGAGCAGATGTAGAGAACGTCTCACTATAGACAGAGCCTCAAATAAAAGCCCCCAGCAGTTTTATGAAACAGGGGATCAGGAGGAGGGGCAGGGGGAAGGGCTAGAGTAGAGAGAATTGCTGGGTGTTGGGTCACAGTAGGCCAGGTGCAGTGGCTCATGACTGTAATCTCAGCACTTTGGAAGGCCAAGGTGGGTGGGTTGCTTGAGCTCACGAGTTCAAGACCAGCCTGGGCAACATAGCAAAAACCCATCTCTACAAAAAGTACAAAAGTTAGTTGGGTGTGGTGGTGTACGCACATCTATAGTCCCAGTTACTTAGGAGCCTGGGGTGGGTGGATGGCTTGAGCCCAGGAGGTGGAGATTGCAGTGAGCTGAGAGCACTCACCACTGCACTCCTGCCTGGGCAATAAAGCCAGACCTTGTCAAAAAAAAAAAAAAAAAAAGGAAAGAAAGAAAAGCAATATGAGCCTGACTGGCCAGGGGGACCTGAGTCCTTGACTTTAGCTCCCTTCAGAGACTGCAATGCACTATCTGTGTGCCAAGTCTGTGTGAAGAGGGCAGCTTTCTCCATGAGGTCTACTATACAAAGCCTTTTGAATTTGGTCAGGCCCAAAAAAAATCACACAAGTGTGTTTAACCAGAAAGAATAGCTGAAAATGTCTCACATTTGGTGAAAAACTTTAGCTTATAAATTCACGAATCTCAGTGAATCTCAAGCAGAATAAATACAAAGAATACTAGTGCTTCCTTGTCAAACTGTTGAAAGCCAACAGTAAGGGGAAAATTTTGGAAATAACCAGAGGAAAACAGACATCACATGCAGGGGAACAATAATACAAATGATGGTTGAGTTCTCATCAGAAAAGAGGGAACTTTAAAAAGAAGGAGGAGGAAGAGAAGGAAAGGAAAAAGAATAAAAATAAATAAATAAATAAAAAGTTAAAAAAAATTTCAGAACAAAGTTCTCTGAGGACAAAAAAAAATAAAATAAAAAAGAATGAAGGCCAAAAGTCAAAGGAATCACATCTTTAAAACATTGGAAAGAAAAAAAAAAACTGTCAACCCAGAATTTTATATCCAGCAAAAATATCCTTTAAAAACAAAAGTAAAAAAAAGACATTTTCAGACAAAAAAGGCTGAGAGAATTTGTGGCGAGCAGACTTGCACTAAAAGAAATGCCATGCCGGGTGTGATGGCTGATGCCTGTAATCCCAGCACTTTTGGAGGCTGAGGTGGGCAGATTGCTTGAGTCTAGGAGTTTGAGACCAGCTTGGACGATGTGGCAAAACCCCATCTCTACCAAAAATACAAAGAAATTAGCCAGGCATGGTGGTGCACAGCTGTGGTCCCAGCTACTCAGGCGGCTAAAGTGGGAGGATTGCTTGAGCCCTGGAGGTGAAGGTTGCAGTGAGGCAAGATTGCACCTCCAGCCTGGGCAACAGAGCAAGACCCTGTCTCCAAAAAAAAAAAGCCAGAGATTGTTCCTCAGGCTTGGAAATGATACCGGAAAGAACAAGAAGGAAGGAAGAGCACCAAAATTGGTAAATAAGTGGGTAAACGTAAAACACTAGCTTTGTTTCATCTCATAATTTCCTTCAAGAAAACTACTCGAAGCACAAGTAGTAATACTGCGAGGTGGGATTTAAAATTTATGTTGAAGTTAAAGACATGACAAATAGAACAAAGGCTGGGAGAGAGAAAAATGGAATTATACTGTTGTAAGATTATTAATTTGTGAAGTGAGAAATAGGGAGTTTGAATTTTCAGGTTTGAAGTAGGAGGTGAGAAGTGGGAAGGGTACCATATTGACTGACACCTGACAACTTCAAAATCACCTAACAAAAACAGGGAGTGTGACTCCTCTCCAGGGTATTTGAATTTTACTAACGATTCTGAAAAAGACTTGAGACCCAAAAAAAAAAATGACTACCTCATAATAAAATGGCAAGCTATGGTGTTTGAATTTTGGAGTAGGAATCTCTGTTACCACCCCCTTAAGTCATCTGACACAGATGACTGCCTATTTTGCTAATGTATATGACCAGGCCTCATTCTAACTTTCAATTTGCTACAATCTTCAACTTACTAGAACCTCCTTTCACCCTAGTATCTGAGAGAGATATATATAGCATATAAGAATATGCTTTAATTTTTATATTTTACTGCATATTGTCATATATTCTATTGCATGTCCTATCTTGAATTATGTTTTACTATAATGTGTTAATGCTGTAACAAAAAATACCATTTAAAAAAAGAAAAAGATGCATATTGCATGGTATGTTATCTTTTTATCTATTATATGTTATCATACCAACTATTGTAAATTATGGCATTTTTCTACCACAGGTTTGGGAAAACAGGAGCATAACAGAAAGTCAGCAAAGAATGGAGCAGTCCTGAAAGCCAGCACAGTGAAAAGGAATAGAGGGGATCTTCATCAATTCTCAGAAGCTAAGCCCTTTAGCTGATCAACATCACCAGAAAGGAATCATATTATCGTGATTAGTCAGTATTAATTCAAAACTTGAAGCCAGAATGAAGAATTTGCAATGGCCAGTACCTATCAGTAAATTTGTCTCTTTTGTCTACTTCCCTCCCTCTCCCAACAACCTCTCTCCCTTCTCCCTCTCCTCCTCACCTATTTCACCAGTCTCTTTCTTTGTCATTGTCATGGGTCCCCTAAATCATTTATCTGAGTTCCCTATAAACTTTAACTCCATCCTCCTCTGGGGCCAACCATTATTTCTTAGACCCTGTCAGGCCCAAGTTTGTAATGTGAACCCCTTCACAGAGACCATCTCATCCTACACACATAAATCTGCCATCATGAAATAAAGATTTAGGCGTTAGTCGTGCCATTTTATTCGCTGTCCCTGAGTATAATTTGGGGCTGGTGAATTCTAATAACAGTATATTGATGCCTTGATGTGTTTGATGTCCTGATGGACCAGACAGCTAGAAACATCTTACAAATAGCCCACTTGATTTTGCTGGCTCTTGAATTCTCCACATGTCAGGACACTAGTTAAAATAATTTTTGATAGCCTGAACCTGTTACCACTTCAAGCCTCGAGCCTGGACCTTTGCAAATCAGCCAGCAGAGTGGGCAGTTTACTATTCCCACATTTTTAAAGTTTTCTTCTGATAATATTGCCTGAGTGGATTTTCTTTTGCTAAAGAGCTTTAGGTCAGTGCTGATACATCTGACAGCTGCTTTTCTTTATCGTCCCCAGGTGTCGGGGCAGTCAATAGGTCACTCTCCCATCTCCATGCTCCTTTTTCTTTCACTGCTTCTGACTGCTGCCTCTAACTTGCCCTCTCTCCCAGCACGCAGAAAGACTGAGGTGAGGAGAGGGTGGACAGGTATGTCCTTTCCAATCTATGACTCTTTGTATTTCTTTTCTGTGCAATGTGTGTACACCCACTCCTAGCTTATTTTTTCCTTTTGGTCAATAATTCCCTTAAATATTTATAGAGTGCTTTCTATGCACAGGCATTGGACAGCAGCAAAATATAGAGCTTATACTCAAATGTGGGCAGGGACAGCAGACACGAAACAACTAATTAGTCAATGAACAATTTAATTACAAATGTGAGAAGTGTTAGATGGGAAAGATACTATGAAGGCATGCAAGTGATGACTCAGCCCAGTCTAGAGTGTCAGGGAGGGCTTCTATGAGGCATGATTTTGAGCTGAGTAGAACTTAAGGAGCAAAATGGTTAAAGGAAGAGAGGCAGAGGAAATTGGAGGGGCCAGACCAAAAGGTGGAAAGAAATGTGGCCATTTGGGTCCCTGGAAGATAGCTCTAGCATGGCTAGGGTGCCAAAAGAGAGTGCCACCAAATGAAGGTGGTGCAGTGAGCAGGAGCTGGTTTCCACAAGGCCCAGCAGGGCACAGTAAGGACTTGGGGTCGATCTGAAATACAATGAAATTTGAGAGATTCCAGTCATACATATCATCAATTGCAGTCAGCTCTATAACCAAAAAAAAAAAAAAAACCCAAATCCACAAATGATGAGACATTGTCCAATTTCTAATGCCATTGAAGGCAGAGAAATCTAAATCCTCCAGCAGCTGCAGCTGAGGCTCTGCCATCCTGCCCAGGAATGTTCCTGGTTATATTAAGTTAACTGAAACAGCACAGTCAGCTGCAGTCCTGGCTAAATGGGCTGAGTGTGGTCCCACTTTAGCCAGAGATGAAGCTCTGCCTTCATGCCATCATAACCTTCAAGAGGTCCAAGTACCCTGCCCTCCCATCTGTGGGCACCTGTAAATGTGCTGGTGGTGTTCATAAATTTGGGGCAGATGGGGTATTGGGCAGAGTCTCACTGCACAGATGACCATTGCTCCAAATGTGATCACTCATTGGACAACAGACTGATAACTAAGAATGGGTGGTCCTCTCCGGGTAGGAGTGAGATGTCCTTAGGCTGCTCAGCTTCAATGCAGCAACCTGGGACTAGCCACCTTGCTTACACAAAGAGGCTGCCATTTCTCCGTCTCACTTTCTGCTTGGTCTCATGTCCCCCTCTTCTCTCTAGCCTGCACGCCTATGTCAGATGTCTTCCAGTCACTCCTTCAGATCCACTCTCCATTCTTGCTAGCAGACTCCATAATCCAGAAGTTTGGCCCATGCCCACCACATCAATGAGCTCCCCTGCCCTCCAGTTTCTAGCTGAAGTCAGCTCATGGGCAGCACTAGCAGGAGGACAGAGGGAGAGAAGAGAATGCATTTTGGGCTTATTACTTCAGCTCTCTCCCTAGGGGTCACCATGGGCTGACGATACCCTCAGCCAAAGGTCACTGCTCCTGCAAGATGGGCCTCTCCAGACAGCTGGCCTTACTGGCTCCAGATACTCCTCCCTCTTTCTGTTCCCTCAGGCCTGGGAGTGGCAACGGCTCCTGGTGCTGCTAATCCCTTGGACACTGCACCATCCCTCTTGCACTCCCTACACTCTGCCTGCATCATTGTAAATAACACCTTTATTAAATTCCTCAAGGTGCCTAATTTTAGAGTGCCAAGCTTCCCTCCCCAACCCTAACAGATATAGCAGGAGACTCAGAGCAGAGCAATCTCAGCATTCTAATTCAATCTTGGGCCGATGACTACTTGTTTTATGTTTCTGGAAGATTTTGATTCAGATTCTCTAATGACTGACCTATGTAGACCCTCAAACAAAGTGAAGGAATTTGGTAAGTGTGGAGGAAAGAGAAACACGTGGCTGATGTTTGCTCCTCCCCTTTCTTAAAAGGCACCACCTGATCTGTGTCCCTCATCCACGCCCCCCACTTCCAGCCACATTGATCTCCTTACTGTTCTTTGACCACACCAGACACAACCTGCCTGAGGTTTTATAGACCCTGTTCCCTCTGTAATACTCTTCCCAGCAAAATCCATGTGGCTCACTCCCTTACCAGGTTTAGATCTTTTCCTCCAATATCACCTTTACAACTAGGCTTCCCTGAAACCCTGTTTAAAATCATCCTCATCCCAGCATCCTCTACCGCCTTCCCTGCTCCATGTCTCTCTATACCATGTGTCACTTTCTAATGTACTCTGTAAGCACTGATTGCATTTATTGATCACACACACACTCCCACATCGGCACATGAATGCTCTATGAAATGCTCCAGGAAGGCTGGAACTCTGTCTGCTTGGCTCACTATTACATCCCCAATAATTAGAACAGAAGCTCACCTGCAATTTGTTGAACAATTGAAACCCCAGTTCCAGGAAGGGACGTGTAGAAGGGAAGTGGCTGCATTATTTTGGTCCCCAAACTTCTGGTCTCTGGGCACAGCCCCTTTCTGCCAAGTCACACCTTCAGTAAGGGTCCATGCCTCATCAACAACATTCTGCAGGACAGAGAAGATGAGCTCTGCTGGGTGGTGCCACATCTTGTCACATCCAGTTTGGCTGCATTCATGGGGAGGTGATGGGTCATTCTCTCTTGTCTCCATTTCAGAAGCTGAACTATGCACTGGAAGAATAAAGTTCCTCTTTATCTGGGAAAATGACCTCACTGATCCTGGAGGAAGATACACACTTTGAGCAGATATATCTGTTCACACTCTATTCGTTTTGAAAACTCCTACTACATGCTAGGCTTTGTGCCAGAAGCTGAGAAAGCAATGAATAAAATATGGTCCTTTCCCTCCAGGTGCTCTGACATACCATGCTGCACTTCTACGAGGTGAAAAGATGAAAGGCATTCTCTTCTGTAATACAGAATCAACACATTAGACTTAGCCACTGCCGTGCAGTGCTACATCACTAAATACGTGGGGAAGCTTTCATACCAGGAGAGCCAGGCCTTGACCCTGCATTTACAGGCTCTGAGAAATTAGAGACATGGTCTACTCCAATATCTGAGATCCAGAGAGTGAAAGCCCAAAGTCTGGGTGAGTTACCACCGCATCCTGGGATAGACAATGACCACAAACTCCTCAGGGCCAGGACAGAATCCTCGGGCTCAGCACCTGCAGAGTCCCTCACAAATAAGTTTGTTTTGAGTGAGTGAAAAAAGTAAATGAATGAGAAAAAATAAAGGAGGTAGGTGAATTAAAGTCACAAGTGGGTCCAATAGTCAGTATAGCTTCCATTACTTCTAAACTATAACAGCTATGGTTCCAGAGCCTGCAGGTGTTCTGGGCTGAAACTCGCGGGCTGAGAGTCAGGGCCTCAAGAGGGGCTCAACATTAGGAGAACAAGCTCAACAATAGTAAAGATTAGAAACAGAGAACAAATCAGTAAATTTAGTTCAGGATTAGCTATTTGGACCCTCAGGTGTCAACTGAACATTGATTGTTCATTAGATAATGCAATTTCACTCAACAACAGGCACAGCGAGAGTCCTGAGTGGTTTTAAATAGCAGAGTTGGGTATTTGCACCCTTTCGGTTCATGTGCTCTGTGAGAAACTAAATGCAGTTTCTAAGGAATCATGCGCAGGCACAGCTTTTTAAGATAGCTATCAATCTGGCCCAAATACATCACTCTGTTCACAGGATTTCCATTAAATTTCAGTAACTGTCTCCAAGAGGTTAGACTTCAAGAACCAGAATCAAGGATGCAGGCTCCAGGATGACCAAGGGGTTAGGGGCAGGTCACGCAGAGGCCCCGTGCAAAGAATTAATTCTCTGAATGCTGGGCTCAGAGGTCCAAGAGGATAGGCTCAAACTTAAAGATCTGCACAGGCCACCTCCCAGCTGTTGCCCCATGTCTCTGTTGTTCAGGTGGGGCTGATAAAAACTCTTGTTCCACTGCATCTCAAAGTAGCACCAGGAATCTGGTTATAAAGCAACTAGATATGGAAATGACAATTTTATGTGCAAAGCAGATGTGTGCTGCTTCTGCCATTTCTTGGGCATATGTAAAACTTACAGGGTGTCAAAACCTCAAAACCACAGCTTTAAAACAGTACCTGTTCTAATTCAGTTCAAATTTCTAAAATGATGGTTGGCACTGTCTTCGTGCAATCAATCTGAGAAAGCTTCTGTCAACTCCTTTGCAGATGCTTTCAGTCCTGAGTATTTCCAGAAAGAACAGTACTTTTCTGTGAATAGTCTGCCAGCTGGTCTGAGAAAAGCAGGTGCAGATCTTTTTAAATACCACATGTACTTGCATGCTTTCCCTGTACTTGCATACTCCCCTCCGTCCCCCGCCACGATTTTGAGAAAGGATTGTTTTGGTTGTTTTATTTTTTTCTTCTACACAATTTTCCCCAAGACTACTATGGTCAAAAGCAACAGTTATAAAAACAATGTAAAGTGTTCATGCTAGTCATTTTAACTTCACAGCAGATTCTTAACACTTTGTACATGACATTCTGTTTGTTTGAGGATCTGTCTAACCCAGGAAGAATGGCTAAGGCTGTTATGAAGAAGGAAAGAGGAAATTTGTCCCCAGTTTCCTAGGACCTGTGTAAATGATGGCATCCCATTATCTGAACAATGGGCTAAGAATGGCACTGTGCTGCTCACTCGCCGTGATCCTGTTTCCCAGAATAACCGAGGCAAGAAGCTGGTTGCACTATTTCTTTGTGGCCTTGCCATCACTGCCATCCTGCCATTGCATTAGATTTTTCCATTTTGGGCATGAATGAAAATAAAATCAGAAGACCCCAGCTATCTTTGATACAAGCCTAGAATAGAAACTAGAGAAATAAACAGCTCCAGTGCCTCACTCATCACTCTTGCAGGTAGAATCCTATTACATTTGAAAGTGTCCTTTGAAATTCTGATTAGTCTGAAGCCTTTGAAAGCAGATAGTTATGCAGCAGCCCATCTATAAAGCAATATTCTCTTGCTATCTCACAGCTTCCCAGTCTTTTGACCCTACACCTTCTGGAAACCTCTGGTCAGCGTCCTGCCACCACAATCAGATATTTTTGAGCTCACCAAGGTAAAGACCCTCCACCCTTACCCTGCAGAGACTCATGAAGCTGGAGGCAAAGGGCAGAACTGGTCATGTTAGGAAAATAGTTACATAAATTGATCTGAGAGAGCAGACAGCACCAATATAAATGGAACCAGAGGGACACTGACTTCATTTACTCATTGATTTAACAAATATTTATTGAGCACCTATTATGTACCAGGTACTCTGCTGGCTGCTAAGAATACAATGGTAAGAAAAACAGACACTGCCTTCTCAGGATGTACAGCCTGGTCAGGGAGACAGGCATTAATCAAATAATCCCATAATCATAGACACCAGCTGCTGAGGCCAGAGCAACAATGGAAGGTCTACATGGTCCTGAGAGTGTGTGGTGAGGGCTCTAACCTAGCCATGGGAGCCAGGGAAGACTGGAAGATTTCAGTGGAGGCATCATTTGACCTGAGTTCCAGTAGGTGAAGACATGAAGGAAGGAAACCAGGAAAGCCTTCACAATGGAAGTTGTTCTGGTCCTACAGTTTAATACAACCTGGATAGACTCAGAGTGCCCAGTGTTCAGCAAGCTGCCTCACTTAGGCCAAATGTCTGACATGCCCAGGACCAGTGAGGTCTCTTCTGTCATTTCATATGTTCTGAGAATTTATTCTTGGTCAGATGCTGTGTTGGCCCTTTGTGCACATTATCACATCCATTCCTTACAGCATCCCTGGCGAGTCAGCAGTATCACTATCACCATTCCATAAAGAAAAAACTAAGGTGCAGAGGAGTTGAGCAATATGCCCAAGGCCAACCAGTAAGTAAGAGGCTGTGCCAGGATGTGAAGCCAGGTCCAGCAGCTGTAAAAGTAATATTTTTGAGGGCGGGCGCAGTGGCTCACGCCTGCAATCCCAGCACTTTTGGGATTTGGAGGCCAAGGCAGGTGGATCACCTGTAGTTCTGAACTCTGTGCTCCTAACCCCACCCTTAGCCATCTCAGATTAGACATTTTGTTTCAGCTTCCCAGGGGGAGCAATTCATCCTTCTGAAGGCTGAGATGTTTCTTCTTTAGGTCTCATCAAAATTACTCTTGTTTGAAAGTAGCACCTTCCTCCCCTCTTTCATGAAATATAAGCAACAATTTGCCCACAATTTTTTCATTAAGCACCACACACACACACATTTTTTTTTCCAAAATCTATTTCAGTTAAGGCGGTGTATGTGCAGGTTTGTTAAACAGGTAAATAGTATTTCACTGGGGTTTGGCGTATGAATGATTTATTCATCCAGTTAATAAGCATATATCCAGTAGGTAGTTTTTTGATCCTCACCCTCCTCCTTCAGGTAGGCACTGGTGTCTATTGTTCCTGTCTTTTTATCCATGTGTACTCAATGTTTAGCTCCCACTTATAAGTGAGAACATGCGGTATTCAGTCTTCTGTTCCTACGTTAGTTCACTTAGCATAATGACCTCCAGCTGTATCCATGTTGCTACAAAGGACATGATTTCATTTTTTATGGCTGCATAGTATTCCATGTACACACACAGCTTTAAATGCTTGAAGACAGAATGTGGGCACCATTCAGCTTTCTCTTCTCCAGGAATAACAAACCCATGTCCTCTGTAAAATGGATGTCTGCACCCAGAAGCAACAGCAGGATTTCTTGGAGCAAAAGAAAAATGAACAAGGCTCCTAGTGGGGTCAACTACAACATTCCAGCAGCTGTAAAAAGAATATTTTTGAGGCCGGGCACGGTGGCTCAATCCCAGCCTGATTACTCAACCTGTAATCCCAGTACGTTGAGAGGCCGAGGTGGGTGGATCACCTGAAGTCAGGAGTTCAAGACCAGCCTAGCCAACATGGTGAAGCCCCGTCTCTACAAAAAATACAAAAAAATTAGCCAGGTATGGTGGCGTGTGCCTGTAGTCCCAGCTACTCAGGAGGCTGAGGCAGGAGAATCACTTGAACCCGGGAGGCGGAGGTTGCAGTGAGCCAAGATCGTGCCATTGCACTCCAGCCTAGGCAAAGAGTGAAACTCCATCTCAAAAAAAAAAAAAAAAAGAATATTTTTGGAGGAAATAGAATAAAATGTTTTTGAAGTTGGAGCCAAGTTCCAGTGTTTTTCTACAACTTTTTAATTTTCAGTTACCTCATCATTCTTTTTTATTTGCATGAGACTCCCAAATCCTAAGAACTGAGCTTTTGGATCTCCCCAGGAATGCAGCAGAGTCAGTCACTGGAACACATGAAACTAAATCATCAGGAGGATTGCTAAAGGACTCCAGAGCTTCTTCCAACATTACTGATTTCAGGGACAGGTTCTGACTGACAGCCAAAATTTTTAAAAGGTGCTAAAACTCGGTGTATTTGCATTTACACATTGTAAATCTCATTAGAGATGTGTCAGCATGCTGGGTTCCAGTGTGGAGAGCTGGCAAGGCCCTGCTGCTGGGGAATGTTGCATGCTGTCAATCCCAGCACCTGTCACATGGACAAAAAGTCAGTTGCAACAACTTTCACTGTGTGCTGCTCACCACCTTGTGGGTTACACAAAGATCAATCCCAAAGTTTTGTTTGTGGCCTTGCTTAATCAAGATGAGTGGAAAATTCTGGAGATATTCAGAGTACAGAATATACCCCTGAAAAAAATGCACACTTTATTCCTAGCTGGAGCTTTAATCCCATATTCTTGAATAGTCTCTTAGTCTGGTCAGCTAGGCTTAACCGCACATGAACGATCTGTTCATCAGGATTAGGTTCATTTGCATATGCTTTAGCATAACCAACATAGAAGCTTATTTCTCTCACATAAATCCAAGCCAAAGAGCTCACAGGGTGGCTCTGTGATAACAGGGACTCAGGCTCCTTCTAGTTTGTTTCTCTGCCATCCCCAGTACATGACTTTCACCTCATGGTCCAGGGTGGCTGCTCCCATTCCAGCTATCACACATGTATTCTAGACCAGTGGCTGACAAATTAAAGCCCATAGGCCAAATCCCATCTTCCACCTGTTTTAATAAATAAGGTTTTATTGGAATATAGCCACGCCCACTTGTTCACATATAGTCTATGGCTGCTTTCACAGTTTAATAACAGAGTTGACTAGTTGCAACAAAGACCATATGGCCCACAAAGCTGAAAATATTTACTCTCTGGCCCTTTACAGAAAAAGTTTGCCAACTCCTAATCTAGAAGATAAAAATAAAGACAAAGAAGATCACAGCACCCCAGGCCATTTCCCCAAAGTCACATATGACATTTTTGCTTATATTTTATTGCCAGAATTTATTCTCATAACCATACCTAGCTACAGGGAAGACTGAGAAATGTGGTCTTTATTTTACATGGCCATGTGCCCAGATAAAATTCAGAGTTATCTTTCTACGGAAGAAGAGGAAAAGGAATTTGAGGAGTCTATTTGTCCTCCAAGGACCCTTTTGGTTCCTTAGACTCAGGACAGAGACAGGATGAATGGCTAACTCTGTCCCTTCCCTAGGTCCACAGACTAACTCTGTCCCTCTGGGTTCTAGCTCTCAGTCAGGGTTCATGGAAACAGAACCAAGCAGAGTTCCTCCCCCTAATGACTATGGTAGAGCTGACCCAAGCAAGAGACCCCTGCCTTTTTTGCTTTGAGCCACTGTTAGGTTCTGCTTGCCTTTAACAGAAAGGCTCTCCTCTGAAGGAAGGCAACCCAGGCCCATGTTACCACATTATCCATGTGGGAAGGACAAAAAGCAATGCAAACAGAGATGGGTTAAGAGACAGAAGCAGTAACTGTCCATCAACAGATGAATGAATTTTTAAAATGTGGTATATATACACAATGAAATACTATTTAGCCACAAGAGAGAATGAAACTATGTCTTTTGCAGTAACATGGATGGAGCTGGAGGTCATTGACTTAAGTGAAGCAAGCCAGGCACAGAAAGTCAAATATTGCATGTTTTCACACACAAGTGGATGCTAAACTATGTGAACACATGAACTTAGAGAGTGGAATGATAGACAGTAGAGACTCAGGAGGGCGAGGGAGTGGGGAGGTGAATGAAGAGAAATTAGTCAGTGGGTACAATGTGCATTATTCAGGTGATGGATACCTAAAAGCACTGACTTGACCACTACACAATCTATGCATGTAACAAAATTCACATATACCTCATAAATGTGTACAAATATAATTAATTAATTTTTTAAAAAATGTTTTAAGAGGCAGAGAGAAAGAGAGGTGTAAGAGAGAGACCTGGAGAAAGCTTTAAGGTAGGCATACAATTTTGTTTAAAAATCCAGGTGTGAAAAAAAATTCATCACTTTATTTTCTTCACTAAATCCAACTGTAAGCCACCATCCTTCTGAGGTAGTCAGAAATTCATTGCAGTAAGTATTGGGGCTCCCTCTCCAGATTCAAGCAAAAGTCCCAGGGGCTTCTGCAGTGACACCCCCCACCCCCATCATAAGTCACGGCAGGTACACTGGGACACCATATGGTCTCTTCAGGTAAGGCTGGGAGACCCAGAAAGCAAGACTCCCTAGAAGCACCACCCCTTCCCAGGCCTTGCCCCTCCCCAGGGCATGGC
This sequence comes from Homo sapiens, assembly GCF_000001405.40. Lineage (NCBI taxonomy): Eukaryota > Metazoa > Chordata > Mammalia > Primates > Hominidae > Homo > Homo sapiens. The sequence goes on along the minus strand of NC_000013.11, from coordinate 52,862,957 downwards.
ACTCCTGTTTCTTTCCCAACAAAGGGAAAACTCATAGTACACCCTCATCCACACTCCCAGAAGCATACCCCTTTCTCTCCTGCCCCTCTGGCTCTTCAAGCAGCTTCTACTCTATGTCCAGTGAAAATTATATAATTAAGGACTACCTTTTGGAATGGAAGGTAGTAAGAAAAAATGTAAAACTTAATATTTTATAGATAGGCAAGTAGGTAGATGTCCATCTATAAATCTAGATACAAAGAATTAAAATCTGTCTATCTCCCCTACCCTGTAGCCTATTTGCATGTCTCTATGGATTCCTGTAAATCTTGACCCCAAGATGGATTTCCTCCTGAAAGTGGCTGTTGGTGAATGGAATGATTAGGTTTGGAAAAGAGGTGGTCATCTTGAGCGCCCCCTGGAGGCATGTCTCCAAATAGCCTGTACCTGCTCTGATAACCACACCTAAATTTAAGCCTATCCTGAAACAATCATGTATGTGGAGGTCCTTGTTGCCAGTGGAAATTGGTGTTTGCCAAGTGTGGGAAACAATCAGGCACCATTGATGAATGGAGTTGGACTGGGGCCTGTAGAGGATTCCTCAGGGTGGGCTAAGCGAGTTAATATTCAGCCCGGATGCACCAGTAATGTGCTTATTGTTAAAATACTCAAGTACAGCTACAGTACGCGGTATAAATCACTAGTACTACCCTAGCCTCTCCCCTAGTTATCTCCTCAGCTTCCCACAATCCAGAAATTAAAGGGTTAATGCATGGCTCAGTGGGAAGCCTGTAGATCTTGCCCCAAGGCTAAGATCAGTGTCCATTCTAATTGGTCAATGTCCATGACACACCAGTTGTTGAATATCTTGAAATCACTCCAGATGAGATGTTTTAAATGGTGAAGAATATAAGATAAGGTGAGTCTTCACTTCAGGGGTCACCAGGCACTGATGTGCAGGCTGTTCACTGCACAAGTTCCCCTGACTGGGGAGTCAGTGGGTTCCAGCCTGTGCTCTGTTTGCCAAGCCACGTGCCCTGGTGTGGGACTGCATCTACCCAGAGGAAAGAAGACTTTCTCTGATGTGTGTAGAGGTGCCATGTGTTCTAGCAGCTGGCTCACTTCAGAAGCTCTTTCAAGCTTCCAGGCCTGGGTGGAAGAGGGCCTGACCTAGGATGGGGGCCATAGGCTGGGAAGTCAGAAATAGCTGCAAGAAACATTTGGAAGCGTCATACAACCCTAAAAAGAACTGATAGGTTCAGGTGCAGCAGCTCATGCCTGCAATCCCAGCACTTTGGGAGACCGAGGGGGGCGGATCACTTGAGGTCAAAAGTTCAAGACCAACATGGTGAAATCCCATATCTACTAAAAATACAAAAATTAGCTGAGCGTGGTGGCGCACACCCATAGTCCCAGCTACTCAGGAGGCTGAGGCAGGAGAATCGCTTGAACCCAGGAGGCGGAGGTTGCAGTGAGCTGAGATCACTGGACTCCAGCCTGGGTGATAGAGTGAGACTCTGTCTCAAACAAAAACAAAAACAAAACAAAACTGATGGTTAGAAGAGATGAGGGAGAGTGAAAATGTAAACCTACTTCCTATCTGAAGTATTGAAAGACTCTGTGCTGGTGACAGAAAGAGAGATCAGAAAAAAATTATCAGTTGGAGAAATGATGTGATGAATTTTGTTTGCTGCCTACTGGGTGGGAAATTATAGCTAAGTATACAAACAAGATGCCCAAGTAAAACAGAGTGGGAGTGCAGGCAAGTGGTCAGGGCTCCAGATGGAGAAGCTGGAGTTCTGCACATTGCAAACCTTGAGGGGCCTCTGAGAGGAGACAGAGGACCCAAAGAGCCCTTGAGAGTAAGAAGGTGGTGAAATAGGGGTGCAGCTTCATATAATGGAAAGCACTTGGGTTTTTGCACCATTAGAATTGGATTTAAGTCTTTCCTTGCTACTAACCAGCTGAGAGCCCTTGAAGACATTAACTTCTCTGAGCCTTGGTTTCTTTGAAACTTATCATAATAAGACCTACTTTACAGAGCTGCTAAGAGAATTAAATTAAGTATGTGAACTGCCTAGCAGAATGTGTGGCTAAAAGCAAGTACTCAATACCCGTTGCCATCATTAGAAGTATTATTGCTATTATTATCAGCAGAGGGCTGCATCTTAAAAAGCCTTGGTGAGCACCTACAGAGCAGGATAGGCGCGCCTGCAGAGCCAGCCAGGACAGATTAAAGGGATGTATCAGTGGCAAACTTCCCAAGATCTGTCCTAGGATTACGCCCCCTTCTCCTAGAGACAGAATTTAATATATGACTGTGATTTTGATAAATGATATGTAATATGAGCTTATCTGTGAATGAACTAGAACCACCTTCAAGCTGGGTTTGGCAACAGGAGAGATGAAGGCTGGGAAGCAGTGATGCCATAGCCATAAAGGCCCTTGATGAAGAAGAAAGATTCAGCAAAGGCCTGAAGGCTTAAGCTGCCTTGGCCAGCTGGAGTCAAGCAGGGGTGGCTGGGAGGAAGCCAGCCCTGTCTTAGGGAGCCAAAGTCAGTCTGGAGGCTCTCAGGGAAGAAGGGTCAAATGTTTCCAGTTATGGAACCAGGAGAAGGCCGAACAGTCCAGATGTCACCCCGTCTGCATCTGTAGCATCAGGACTTTCTAGTAGTGCTGTCCAAGACCTGACCAGCCTTGAGATGCCCGTATTGAGTTGAATCTTTGACACTGCCCTGCCCTGATTGCCTGACTCACATTTACTAAAGTCAACCAAAAGGAGTCTTCAGCATGTGTGCAGGGCAGGGAGTCAATATCTGTGCCCCTGATACAACTGAGGGAGATGTTATTTCAGAAGAGCTCTAAGGCCAAGACAGTCGGGTCTTTTCACTTCTTCATTCATTCAATATATCCAACACATACTTATTGGTGACTTCTTAATGCCACGCACTGAGCTTGAAGCAGTGAAAACCTCCTGTCTAACCAATATCCAGCCTCTAGCCCCTCCTATCCCCAGCTAAACAGAGTGCTACCTTTCTTCCCTTTAGCACTGTTCCCCACCCCATGGTTCAAGGGCATCAAAACTTTCTGATTGACTTCAGCCCTAGTCCCCAACTTGCCTTTCAGCAGCTACCCCAAGCCACTTCCTTTCCTGTGTCATCTGTCACCCACACTTGTCTCTGCGCAACTGGCTTAATGTCTCTTTAGTTTAAGCATCTCCATCAGCACTATGGCCTAATATATATAATGCCTTACAGTTCATAAAAGACCTGCATTCTTTATATCACAGAACCCTCACCTCTACTCTGAGATAGGTAGGGTAAGAATTATCCACTTCATTTAACCAACTTAGAGTGGATGAGGAGACTAGGATGGTACCCTGTGCCTCCTCCAATTCTCTAAATTCTGTATTAAAATATTGTTTTATGTATTGCTTATACCTGCCTACTTCCAAAGATAAATGAATACTATATTCATCTCTAATGGGATACTTTAGTCCCCAGCTCTTTTTGATACTGGTGGTTATAACTGAACTTTGAGGGTACATAGTAGCAATTATTCTTACCCTATGCATACTCCCAAGTCCAATACTTGGCCAGAAACAGCCCCTTCCTTCTCCCAAGGAGCTCACCGCACTATCGCCTCTCCTTCTCAAATAAGTTCCTAGAATCTGATCTCCTTTCCTGGGCAAATCTCTATCTATAACTAACTACCTTACACTAAAGTTGGGCAACGTGACTGACACTGTGAAGACAGTGTGACTGTCTTCCCCACTGACCACCACACCCTAGAGGGCAAGAGCTTATACCCCAGTGCCTAGTACTGTGAATTACACACACAATAATGAATTAAATTCTTCTGGTTCAATTCTTCCTAAATACCATTCATGATCCCTTCTGCAAAGATTGCCCTGCAAAAAATATTTGTTCTTCAGCCTTCCCAAAGTGTTAATATTCATATTCACATTGCTCTCAGTATTTGTTTAGTTGTCCTAAGCACTTCTGTCCTAAGTACTTTTGCTAAACAGGTGATTTAACCAAACTGTAAAGCACTCAGCATGCCTAGTTCCACATTCTGAAAGTTGCTTAGTAAAAGGTTTTTGATCTTGGTGGTAGGTTGATGGTGGTAAAAGTAAAAGCCATTAGGACTGTAATTAATGAAGATGGTTTATGCAAGTTTTCCCCAAGTGCAAGTGAGAGGACATGTAATCCCATTACCGATACTTGATCTTTCACTCTCGGGAGATTTCCCCACCAATTAGTCAGAAACTGTAATTTACCCTATACTTGAAGGAATGTGTCACATGAGGACACTTCTAATTTATTTCTGACCTTCTTTGAATTTAGAGGCACATATGCCGTTGACCAGCATTCCTCCCAATTGCCATTTTCCTGCCACCAACAAAAAAAAAAAAAAAAAAAAGAAGAAGAAGAAAAGAAAAAAAGGTAAGGATTTGTCTAAGACCTGAGAAGGGAAAGCAAGCTCAGAATACATGTCCTAGCACTCCGCTTTTCTAAAGGTTTTGTCCAACTGTCCTGCTCTGTTTTCTCAAGCCTTCCCTCTACCGACCAATGAGCTTTCTTCTACATTTTCAGGACTTTGAAATGTACAAAGAAATGTAAGCAGAAGTGGTGTCTGTCATACCTGGGTGGAAACTTTAAAAGCTAATCCACAGCTTGTTCCATACCCTCTCCCTTCTGCCACAGCAAGGAGAAAGTTCCAGATGGTGGCTGGTCAATAAGCCTGGGTCCCCAAGTGAGAACAGCATGTAACACATCCCCCAGCCAATTCATGATGGACATGGAGAGTAAGAAAGAAAGAAACTTTGCTGTTTGAAGACACTAAGACTTCGGGGTTGTTTGTTACTGAAGCATAACTTAGCCCATCCTGATGGATATAATCATCCTATGTTATGGAAACCCTATCTCAGACTTAAACAAGTTATGTTTTGCTATTGCCCCCTACATTTTCTCCTAGAAGCCTACCTGCACAGTTGACCTCAGTGGGCAGCCTTTCCGGTCCTTATAGATTTCATGGCACCTTATTCCTAGAATTCCCTCTCCAAAATAATCTAGTCACAACATTCCACTCCTGGGGAAAGCCACTCCATTCCTCCTTTTCCAAAAGTCCAGCAAAAGCCTCCACTGGGGTTTGATGGAAAGGTGTGTAATCTATCACACATCCTATATTGTTCCCTTTTTCCAGCTCCCAGCCCTGAAGGATGCAGGGCCCGGCGGGGCCCCCTGGCCACTGAGGGAACAGGAGTCACCCAGTCGCCGTGTTCTGACAGCTTGTCACATTATTTTTCCCTGTGGGGGCTCTGCTCCCTCCATCTAACCTTCTTCTCTGTCCCCTGAGACCAGAGGCCTCTATACAAGGCTCCTGAGGCGAGGCAAAGCAAAGCAAGATTGATGCCTTACGAACGGCCATGCCCGGGAGGGCTCGCGGTTCAATGCATAGAGCAGCCCATTCTTCCCCATTTCAGGTTCCCACACTGGACACCAAAGCAGGAGCTCAGAGCCAGGGCAGCAAGAATTCAACCTTTGTTCATCCTCCGAACACAAATAATCCACCACATTCCCCAATCTCTCCAACACAGGCCCTCGCACCTCGCCTACTCAAAATCTTTCTGAAGGTGTCCCAGGCCCTTTGGACAGAGGAGCTGGAATCAAAAGGTGATTCAAAAAGTTTAATTGTAGCATGAAAAAAAAAACCCACTCATTTAAATACTGGCCAAGGAGAAACCCATCTCCCATTCCCACACCCACCAATGTGCCTTCCTCCCCACTTGCCCCATTAAAGCAAGTGGTGCTTGAGGGCTATAGACTGGGTAATTCTGCTACAAAATCATAAATTAGCATGAATACCAATGGTTTACTTGCATCCCTAGTCCCCTGAATGTGCAGGTAAAAGCCCCCTAAAGGCTCAGACCTAAGAGCAGGGCTCTGGGACTTCCAGGGGGTGTCAGGCAATACATATAAAAATGATTTCATCTAAATTCTCTGAGAGGTTTCATAGACCAAAGCACCTCTGAAGGACAAAGAGACAACTGTAAAATTACCTGAAAATAAATGCTTCTAAAGTGGTTGGAAGGAATCCAGGGTAAGGGATATTCGAGGGCCAATAACTAATCCATCAGCTCTTTTTTTTTTAATCCCACATCTGGATTTTTTTTTCCAAGGCCATAGCCTGTCACCATGCAGTTTATCAGCTGTCACTCCATCTCAATTCTGGGTGACGTGAGATCAATGGTGTAAAACTGCTCTCAGATCTATAGAGAAATTTATAACATCAGGCTCCACCGTGTCTTGGCTGGTCCTGGGTCCCAGGGTTCTGAGGCAGAGGCTGCCATGAAGACTTCATTTCCATTTCAAAAGTGGATTGTGACCCACTTAAAGCAAGTGAGTTCAAGCTGTCAGATGCAAAGGAAGACCTAAGTCAGAAGTCTTCTGCACTTACAGAACAATGTTTTGAGGAGGAAGAAAAAAGACTAGCCAATGATTAAAATTCTCTCTGCCTAGAAAAGGCTCTAGCGACCTGCCTTAATTTCTTTTAAGTCATGTGGGATTTATTAATAACAAAACCCTAAATTTGTAGCAACATATTTTAGGCTCTGAGACCAATTAAACCATCCAGTTTATGTAACTATACAACTCCTGCATGTAGTTTAGGCACAGATTTGTGGTTCTTCACTGAAGGTTTACTTCATTACCCACAACCTCTTTTTCCCCCATGAACTCTGTAATCTCTTCCAATTCTGCCTCAAAGTGCCCAAGCACCAAAAACAAGGTCGTAGGAACCCAGGCCACATCCCATATCCCACACCCTCCAGCCAAAAGGCTCCAGGGAAATTTTTAATTTCTTCCTCACACACACTGAATCCTTCGGGTGTTAAGGGAAACACCCCTGGGCCATGGACAGCTGGAGAACATCCCACTTCCACCCCACCATCATTTGTCATGGACAGATGTCCAACAGAAGATACACTGAGGTGCCACTAGATTTGCTTGTGGTTGAACCCAGAGAAGCCTCAACTTGTTGAGAAAAAGTAAATCCTCTCTCCCACCACTGTCCATCTGCATTCTTCTTGGAACTAAACTCAAGAGGAGGCTCCCAGGAGGAAATGCATTCTCCAGAGGGCTGGTGATGGCTGGAAAACACCAACCAGCAACTCCTACACCATTTGCTTCAGCTCCTGGTTGGAGGGAGATGGGACTCATAGTAGGAAACACAGTCCTCAGGCTCAGCCCATAGACGAACAAGTGTCATCAGAGTGTGCTCTTCTCTCCCCTGAGTCTCTTGGGATTTGGCCTTACCAGTCACTCACTACTCTTCCCTAAACAGTTACTTGAGAGAATTACCCTTGACTTTCCTTCCAGGTCAAATTTCCACCAGCGCAGGCTTCTTTCTCCACTTCCCTTTCCCTGCACCTGATTTTCTTTCACTTTACTCTGGTGAGCCTGTTTATGTCAGGGTGACATACTTCAACACTCTCCATTGCCTTAAGAGTAAAACCCAAATGCCTTAACAAGATACACAAAGCACCCACCTGCTCACCCCGGCTTTCATCACCTCTCTGTACTCACTAGGTCCTTTCATAGAGCCTTACACCCCAGCCCTGAGACCTTTGTTTCACTTGCTGTTCGTCCTGCAAGGAATGCTTTTTTCATCTCCACCCCTACCTTCTCCCTTTCTACTCCTAGCTAATTTCTATTCATCCTTCAAAAGTCAACTCAAATGTCACCCAAAAGCTTTCCCTGAGTATTCCCATTTCCCAGCACAATTTGGCCTCCCTCCTCTGGGCTCATACAGTCAGGCAGAGCATACCTGTACCGTTCTTAGGCCCCGTGCCACATGTCCAGATATTCCTCTTCCTCAAGAAGCCACCTGTGATCAGCAGCGGTGTGGGCCTTCCTCACAGCACTTCTCACACACATTTGCTGTCTGATTACTCTTCTGTCTCCTCATCCTCAGGGTTGGCAGGATCTAACTTTTTATTTCAGAACAGTTTTACATTTATAGAAAAATTGTAGCGCTAGTCCAGAGAGTTCCCATAACCCCACATCCCTTGTCATTAACATCTTACTATGGTACTTTTGTTACAATTAATAGCTAATATTGTTATTATCTAAAGCCCACATTTTATTCAGATTTCCTTGGTTATTCTCGGATGTCCTTTTTCTGTGCCACAATACCACATTACATTTAGTCATCATGTCTCTTTAAGCTCTTGCTGTGACAGTTTCTCAGATTTTCATTGTTTTTGACTATTTTGACAGTTTTGAGGCATACCGGTCAGTTTTTGCAGAATATCATCCTTCAGTTTAGTTTTATCTGATGTTTTTCTCATTATGAGACTGAAGTTCTGTGGTCTTGAGGAAGATCACAGAGATAAAGTGCCATTTTCATCACACCACACCTAGGGTGCATACTGTCAACATGACCTATCACTGTTGATGTTGACCTTGAGGACCTGACCAAGGGAGTGTTTGACAGCTTTCTCCATGTAAAGTTACTCTTTTTCTCTCCACTCCATACTGTATTCTTTGGAAGAAAGTCACAATCCACGTAGTCCATACTTAGAGAGTGGGAGATTATGATCCACTTTTTTGTGGGCAGAGAATCTACTACATAAGTTCTTCAATAGTCTTCCTTGTGGTAGAATTGTCTCTTCTTTCCTATTTATTTATTTGATCATTTATTTGTATCAGTATGGATACTTTATTTTTTAATCTGTTTCCACAGCATTTATCACAAAGTCTAGAACTTAGTAAGTTCTCAATAATATTGGTTGAGAGAATGAAGGTGTTACAGACTGACCTCCAAAAACTCATAAGTTAAAGGCCTAACTCCTAGGACAACAGACTCTGACTGTATTTGGAGACAGAGCCTTTAATCAGATAATTAAGATTAAATGAGATCATAAGGGTGGGCTCTAATCCAGTATGACTGGTGTCCCTTTAAGAAGAGGAAGAGATACCAGGGAGCTCAGCACACAGGGAAAAGGCCATATGAGGACACAGAGAGAAGGCGGCCATCTGCAAGCCAAGGAGAGAGGTCTCAGGAGAAATCAACCCTGTTGGCACCTTGATCTTGTACTTCGTGCCTCCAGAATTGTGAGAAAATAAATGTTTGTTGTTTAAATCACCCAGTATATGGCATTTTGTTATGGCAGCTCTAGCAGAGTAATAGAGGGGTCAAACACTTTTTGTACCTTGGCTCAGTATAAGTCAGCAGGAGGTCACCTGCTGCTCCTAGGCATTACACTATCCAGGCATTCCACTGTCCAGGAGGGAAAGTCCCTTGAAATATTCTGCTCCTCCAGAATTATGGGCTCCTGTCCATTAAATATCTGTATCTGTAGGTGGTTTCAGTCAGAATACATGGCTTTTATAGAAATGAGTAGGAAAAAACTCTACTGAGAACTCCTTTTTGTCAACATCTGATCTCAACTAGCAAGTAAGGTACCAAAAGGTTTTGAAATGACATGAGGGCACAAAAATTGGTGGAACCCTCAGGTGACCATTGTCTCTTTCCTCTGGGATCTATATACCTACCACAATACCTATTATTTCCAGAGAGGAATGAGGGAATTGGGGAGACAGTTGTCACCAAAGCAAAGAAGCAGACAGGAAATGGGAGAGTTATTTTTCTTTCTGAACAAATCCCTCGCCTATAAAATAAGAGGTTTAGATTACATAGTCTTTGATGTTTCTTCCCTGTGCTTTAAAGGGAAATAAAAACTAACATGTGTTCCTAAGCACCTGATATTATATCATTTTACACAGTCTTCAAAACAACTTTGCAAAGTACTATTATTATACCCATTTTGCCGATAAAGGAACTAAGATACAGACAGGCCGGGCGCCGTGGCTCATGCCTGTAATCCCAGCACTTTGGGAGGCTGAGGCAGGATGATCACTTGAAGTCAGGAGTTCAAGACCAGCCTTGCCAACATGGTGACACGGTGAAACCCCGTCTCTACCAAAAAATACAAAAATTAGCTGGGTATGTGTGGGGGTGCAGGCCTGTAATCCCAGCTACACAGGAGGCTGAGGCATGAGAATCGCTTGAGCCCACGAGGCAGAGTTTGCCATGAGCGGAGATCACGCCAGGGCACTCCAGCCTGGGCAACAGAGCAAGACTCCATCTCAAAAAACAAACAGAAAACAAAAACAAAAAACAATACAGAGAGAAAATAATTTGCACGGGTCACACAGCCAATCAGTGTAATGATCAGATTTGAACCCAAGCAGGATGATTCCAGATCCTGCAGTCAACAGCTGCGTTCTGCTTCTTATCAGGTAAAGCAGGTCTCCCAGAGTGACACACAGAACACACAAAATGAAGAGTGGCCCAAGATCTGGAAATGATCCAGGGTTTGTGAGCATCTGGCACTGGAATCAATCCAAAATCAATGTTTAAATAACAGTTACCTTCACCCCCAAATTGTCTCATTGTCTGACTGCTGAATTTGAATCAGGGCTATGGAGAATGCTGCTTTGTGGTTTACTATACAGTTTAAAAGTCACCATGCCTATACTGACAGCCCAACAAATACACACACAGAGAGAGATAACTTTAAAAAAAAAGAAAAAAAAAGAATTTGGAGTGTAGAAAACAGCTTGGTTGCATTTCTAGTGCACCAACCCCAGAAAACCCAGAGGCTTCAGAATTTGATGAGATTTTTGCAAAGTGTGTTTTCACTACAAAAATGAATTAGATGCCCCGAAGAGCTTCCTCTGTTCTTTGCTTGGCCAAGCACTTGCTGCAAACTTCCCTGAGGGGTTTACCCAATGGTGAGCCTGTAGGAGGAAAAACCAGGGCCCTGGGCTTATTTTTAAAGGAAAAAAAAAAGTAAAAGTTTAAAAAATAACCCCTCTTCATCCATCCTTAGAATTACACTTTCCAGTGAAGTCTAGTACCCTTTCCTGGTAGATATAATCCTAATTAAAAATAAATTACATGCTGTATAGAACTTGAAATGGACAAGATAATCCTATTACATATGAGAATATATCCTGATTTTCTTTCCCGCTAAACTGTGGGAGATATCAGATCAGTCTGAGCCCCCCATTGTCGCCTCTTTGAAAACTTTCCTGGAGCCCTAATCCATCACGTGACGCCCATGTCAATCTTGGTGTTTGCACGCGAGTTTCACAATGCCGGCATTAGGCTCGGTAACAGAAACCCAGCTTTGCGGAGCCCGCAACATTTGCATTCCGAGAAAACGCCGGCCATTGTGGAGCTGTGTTTGTTCTCAAGATTGCGAGACAGTTGCCGGCGAAGTTGCTAAAACCGAGAGAAAGGGGCTCCTTTGGGCCTGCCCAGACCTTTTGGTATGATAACAAGGCGATTCGAGCGGCTTTTGTGAGGCCTGATCAGCACCCGGGCGGGCGAGCTCCCCTCCCTTTCCCCTACTCCTCTCCAGCGCCACCTCCCCGGACATATTTTCCTTCCCGGGGAGTTGCTGCGGACGTTGATGTGCTATTTTAAATCGTATTTCCATAATCGAGTGGCTGTCCGCTGCCGGCCCGGAGCTCACGGTGTTCGCGTGCCTTCACACCTCCACCGCCGGCACGGAAAGACCTGTGCGCGCCGGTGGCGGCTGGAGGCTCGCGGCTCCCTTCCCGGGCTCCCCGGCTCCCAGCTCTCAGCCTCCCGGCGCCGCCGCCGTCGTGGCTACTTCCGATCGACGAGGGCCTGGCCGCGGAAAAAACACTTTAGACCTGCTACCAGCCACCCTACACCCCTCCTCCCGCCTCCTGGCTTTTGCCTGCCCCTACTCCCCTTTCCTTTTCCCACTTTCAAGCACGCCTTGGTTTATTTCAGCCTTGAGAATGAGCATGCTGACGCGGAAGCACTTTGAGTAGAAATTGCAAGTAGTTCCGAATCTCTGGCCAAGCGAAAAACCCAAACTTAGCGCGTGGCGGGGCTCCCGAGTCCAGCCCAGAACTGCGGGGTGCAGATGCGCAGGGGGCGCTGGCGCGAGGTCCGGGTCCCAGCCATTCGCGGCCGGGCTGTGCTCGCGGAAACCGCTGAAATCCCTTCCTTTGGGACTCCGGCCCCATTTCCACCCACTTTCCCCACCTTCCGGGTCCTCCGCCCGGCAGCAGCAGCGCCAGGCGGGCCTGACCTTGCCCTGGGTACGCCAGCGGAAGCGCTGAGGCCGCTGTCCACCAGCCAAGTTCTGAACCTGTTCCCGTCTGGGTCTCCGGGGGAAGAGGGGTGAGGAGAGATGACGTTAGCCTAGGGGCGCTAAAGGTCACCAGCCAGCCCCAGGTTGGGGTGGGAGTGTTGCGGGGCTCGGAAGGAAAATAGAAAGTTCCTTCGACTGCGTGTACCCCCCAAGGAATATCTCTTGGGCGGGGACGGTGGGAGGGCTACATACTAAATCGCACTTGGGAGATGGAAGACAGCGGAAGAAAGGGCTGCGATTTGGGCTCCTGTAGGGGGCGCTCCTCCTTCCACGTCCCCACGCGGCTGCAGATGCCTGGCCTTATTGCTTTTAGCATTCCCAAGACTACAAGGTGGAAGAGGTGGAGAAGGGAACCCAGAGACACACCCCTCTGAGGAAGTCTCCAGCCACTCATCATCCCCCTCCCCAGTCTTATAAGAGCTTGTATTTATGGATGGCTGGAGCTGCATGTTCCGCTCTCTGACAATTCCAAGCACCTCTCATCCCTGCCACCCAGCTCCCTGCTTGGTCTCCCTACTCCAAGGAAACTCCTGACCCTCTTCTGAAAAAAAACCCAAAACACACTCCCTCGAGTTTGAGGGAAAGGAAAACATGGATAGGACGCTGACAGCAGGACCAAAATCGGGATTCTGAAGAATGTTTACTGAATTCAATCTACTTACCAAACCTATCGCCTAAAAAGAAAAATTTCTTCCAGTGAGTGGCTTTTGTTTTTTACCTTTCCTCCTTCGTGTGTATTTGCATAGCCTGCTCAATAAAGCCCTTCAGTAAGAATCATTAAGAATCCGTCTTGTTGCAGATCCGAGCTCCATCTCCCTGGCCGTCAGGGATGGGAGGGGGCTATCTGTGGGGCAGCGCAGCGCCCGGCCAGCCCCAGGATCCGCCCAGCCCAGATTTTGGCAGTGCCGAAGCTCCACACTTTCCTAAGCAGATGGTTAAGTTCCCCCCACGTTCCTGCCAGGTTTCAACGTCACGCTGTGATTTTGTTCTTCTGGAACCGGACGAGTGTTGCTTCCCAGAGTGGCCCTATTAGAACAGAAAGAAAATCCTCTAAATAGGCGGAACAAGGCATCAGGAGGAAAAAGTTCTCTAAATGCACTTTAATACGAGCCGGGTATTGTGTGGAATTCAGCGCCCATCACCGTTTAGCCGGAGAGTTATGGCAGTGATTGGGGATGAATAGAGGAACATAATGGATACATGTGGCGTTTGCTCATTATATTCAAGTTAGTCCAACTCCGCTGTGGAAACTGTTCAACTTTCTCTCCCCTTAGCTTGTCACAGTGAAATAATACAGACATTGGGGCCTCCAATGGGATCGCCTGCCACACCATTCTATTTCCACTGCTAACGAGGGCTTCATAAGCCTTTGATACAGTCTGATCTTTGAAACCTTTCCAAATCTCCTCAAGCTTATGCTAAATCCTATTTGGAACTTTTTTTTCCTTGCCTGCTAGCTCCCAGGGCTTAAGAAGGCCACTTGGACAGTGACGTGCATACTAACATATCGCGGGGCTCTTTTCTGAAAGGGAAGTGGCAGCTCTGATCACTGGGGCTCACACGAGCAAAACACAATTGAGTACACAAATTTGAATAAAATCAATTTTCCCTTATCCTTCAGGCTTCTTAATCGAGAGGCTATTCCAGGCACCGTAGCTAGGAGAGAAGGAAAGCAGAGCCTCATTCAGCAGAGCAAGTCTGTGGGTAGGGGGCTGCAAGGGTTTGGAAGCGTCAGAGGTGCAAAATGCAGAGTGTGTGTGTTGGCAGGGGCTGGGGGAAGGCGGAATCAGGAGCCACTGGGGTGAAACCCCAGCGTGTTCGCACTTAGTTCTAGCCGCGGCACGGAGGGAGGCAGGCGACAATTAACAAAACCATCCGCTCCTTTTACTCCTGGAGCCCTGTGCCAACTCCTCTACATGCAGGGTGCTGACAAGAAAAGGGGGAAAAAGCAAAAGGAGTTAAACAAAAGAAAGATTCCCTAATTTTCCTTTCTTGTTTTCCCCTCTAAGCCTTTCCACATTAAAGGGATTGTCAGAGGCAGGCGGAGGGGCGACGCGAGGGGGAGGCGGCCATTGGCTACCCGGCTCGGGTGATTAGCATATCGGCGGCTATAAAGGCAAAGGCGGCGCGAGGCGGCGCAGCTTCTGTAAGAGACGGAGAGGCGCAGAGTGAGGGCGGGTCCGCGCGTCCTCAGAGCCCGCTGGAGGCTCGGAGCTGCTACCCGCAGACTTCTCCCGCACAGGGCTCGCAAAGAGCGTGATTCCGAGAGCCTGAGACTGACGCCCGACCTGGAAACCAGAGAAGACTTCCTTAGCCTTTCGGATCGCACTTGAGGCTGGAGGCATGAGTCCTGTGAGGCGTTGGGGCAGCCCCTGCCTTTTCCCCTTGCAGCTCTTCAGCCTCTGCTGGGTGCTCTCAGTGGCCCAGAGCAAAACAGTCCGATACAGCACCTTCGAGGAGGATGCCCCCGGCACGGTCATCGGGACCCTGGCCGAGGACCTGCATATGAAAGTATCGGGTGACACAAGCTTCCGCCTGATGAAGCAATTCAACAGCTCTCTGCTCCGGGTGCGCGAAGGCGACGGGCAGCTGACCGTCGGGGACGCCGGCCTGGACCGCGAGCGGCTGTGTGGCCAGGCCCCGCAGTGCGTGCTGGCCTTCGATGTGGTCAGCTTCTCGCAGGAGCAGTTCCGGCTGGTGCACGTGGAGGTAGAGGTGAGGGACGTCAACGACCACGCGCCGCGCTTCCCCAGGGCCCAGATCCCGGTAGAGGTGTCCGAGGGTGCGGCAGTGGGCACGCGCATCCCCTTGGAGGTGCCGGTGGACGAGGACGTGGGCGCCAACGGGCTGCAGACCGTGCGCCTGGCCGAGCCGCACAGCCCCTTTCGCGTGGAGCTGCAGACGCGAGCGGACGGCGCTCAGTGCGCAGACCTGGTGCTGCTGCAGGAGCTGGACCGCGAGAGCCAGGCCGCCTACAGCCTGGAGCTGGTGGCCCAGGACGGCGGCCGCCCGCCGCGCTCCGCCACGGCTGCCCTCAGCGTGCGCGTCCTGGATGCGAATGACCACAGCCCGGCCTTCCCGCAGGGCGCCGTGGCCGAAGTGGAGCTGGCGGAAGACGCGCCCGTGGGCTCCCTGCTTCTCGACCTGGACGCAGCCGACCCCGACGAGGGACCTAACGGCGACGTGGTGTTCGCATTTGGCGCCCGCACCCCGCCGGAGGCGCGCCGCCTCTTTCGGCTTGACCCGCGATCAGGCCGCCTCACCCTGGCCGGGCCCGTGGACTACGAGCGTCAGGACACCTACGAGCTGGACGTGCGGGCGCAGGACCGCGGACCCGGGCCCCGCGCTGCCACCTGCAAGGTCATCGTGCGCATCCGAGACGTCAATGACAACGCACCCGACATCGCCATCACCCCGCTGGCCGCCCCAGGCGCGCCGGCAACCTCACCCTTCGCCGCTGCCGCCGCCGCCGCTGCACTCGGGGGAGCGGACGCTAGCTCGCCGGCGGGAGCCGGGACGCCGGAGGCTGGTGCCACTTCGCTGGTGCCGGAGGGGGCGGCGCGCGAGAGCCTGGTGGCCCTGGTCAGCACCTCGGACAGGGACTCGGGCGCCAACGGGCAAGTGCGCTGCGCCCTCTATGGGCACGAGCACTTCCGGCTGCAGCCGGCCTACGCGGGCAGCTACCTGGTGGTGACCGCGGCGTCGCTGGACCGCGAACGCATCGCCGAGTACAACTTGACGCTGGTGGCCGAGGATCGCGGCGCGCCCCCGCTGCGCACAGTGCGGCCCTACACGGTGCGTGTGGGCGACGAGAACGACAACGCGCCGCTCTTCACGCGGCCGGTCTATGAGGTGTCGGTGCGCGAGAACAACCCGCCAGGCGCCTACCTGGCCACGGTGGCCGCCCGCGACCGGGACCTGGGCCGCAACGGCCAGGTCACCTACCGGCTGCTGGAGGCCGAGGTGGGCCGCGCCGGGGGCGCCGTGTCCACTTATGTCTCGGTGGACCCAGCTACCGGAGCCATCTACGCGCTGCGCAGCTTCGACTATGAGACGCTGCGCCAACTCGACGTTCGCATCCAAGCTAGCGACGGCGGCTCCCCTCAGCTTTCCAGCAGCGCCCTAGTGCAAGTGCGCGTGCTGGACCAGAACGACCATGCGCCAGTCCTGGTGCACCCGGCGCCAGCCAATGGCTCCCTAGAAGTGGCGGTGCCTGGGCGCACCGCAAAGGACACGGTTGTGGCCCGTGTGCAGGCCCGGGATGCAGACGAGGGAGCCAACGGGGAGCTGGCGTTCGAGCTGCAGCAGCAGGAGCCGCGCGAAGCCTTCGCCATCGGCCGCCGCACGGGGGAGATACTGCTCACCGGCGACCTCTCGCAGGAGCCACCCGGTCGCGTGTTCAGGGCGCTCCTGGTCATATCCGACGGCGGCCGTCCCCCGCTCACCACCACCGCAACTGTCAGCTTCGTGGTAACAGCAGGGGGCGGGCGTGGGCCGGCTGCGCCTGCCAGTGCAGGAAGCCCGGAGCGTTCCCGCCCGCCTGGCTCTCGGCTCGGGGTGTCCGGGTCGGTGCTGCAATGGGACACGCCGCTGATCGTCATCATCGTGCTGGCCGGGAGCTGCACGCTGCTGCTGGCCGCCATCATCGCCATCGCCACCACCTGCAACCGCCGCAAGAAGGAGGTGCGCAAAGGGGGGGCCCTCCGGGAAGAGCGGCCCGGGGCGGCGGGCGGCGGAGCCTCGGCTCCCGGCTCCCCGGAGGAGGCCGCCCGGGGAGCCGGGCCCAGGCCCAACATGTTCGACGTGCTCACCTTCCCTGGCACCGGCAAAGCGCCCTTTGGCAGCCCCGCGGCGGACGCGCCTCCGCCTGCGGTCGCCGCGGCCGAAGTGCCGGGCTCAGAGGGCGGCAGCGCCACTGGGGAAAGCGCCTGTCACTTCGAGGGGCAGCAGCGGCTCCGCGGCGCGCACGCCGAGGTGAGGCCTTCCTTCGGCTGGGCGCCCCCCTCCGAGCTCCGCGGACAGGCTGGGGGAAGGGAGACTGGAGGGGTAGGGTGGGTGCATTCAGGTAGACAACCTGTCGCACTTGTTTTTTGTTTGTTTCTTATCCAACCCTCCCCCCACTCCCATTCCCCTATTCCCTGCTGCAGCCCTACGGTGCCTCCCCGGGTTTTGGAAAGGAGCCGGCGCCCCCTGTGGCGGTGTGGAAAGGACACTCCTTCAACACCATTTCTGGCAGAGAAGCAGAGAAGTTCAGCGGCAAAGACAGCGGTAAAGGGGACAGTGATTTCAACGACAGCGATTCCGACATCAGCGGGGACGCTCTGAAAAAGGATCTCATCAACCACATGCAGAGTGGTGAGGACTCTTCTTTCCCGCCAAATTCGGCATTCCTCCCTTCCCTCCCCTTCACCACTGTTTGCCTCCTCTCAATCTCGGTTCCCAGCCCCCTTCCCTCTTCCCCACTTTTTCTCACTCCTACAGCTGCGGATACGGGCCTGCCTCACACGGTGAATTTCAAAATGCCAAGTCGAGGCAACTCCAGCTCTTGAATAAAACACACCCTCATCCTGTTAGGCAGCAGCATGGGTGATGCTAGCCATTAAAAAGTGGGTTCTGCTTATCAATTTTTTTTTTCACTTCCAGCTGAAGAAGCTGGACCAGCTTTGCATTAAGATGGCTTTACAGGAAGCAATGTGCCTTCGATTCTTGAGACACGGTGTATATCTATGCGCACAGCCTTTCCTTTCAGCTGCCCTGACCCAGGCTGACATGCTGAAGATGGAAGCCTGAATATGTATAATCTCAGGAATAATCGTCATGCTGTTTCCTTTTCCCTTTCGTATTAGGACTGTGGGCGTGCACCGCTGAGTGTAAGATCCTGGGCCACTCTGACCGCTGCTGGAGCCCATCCTGCAGCGGGCCCAACGCACATCCATCGCCTCACCCACCAGCCCAGATGTCAACCTTCTGTAAGAGCACGTCACTGCCTCGGGATCCTCTGCGCAGGGACAATTACTACCAGGCCCAGCTGCCCAAGACAGTGGGGCTGCAGAGCGTCTATGAGAAAGTACTGCACAGAGACTATGACAGGACAGTCACTCTGCTCTCCCCTCCCCGTCCAGGGAGGCTCCCAGACCTGCAGGAGATTGGAGTACCCCTCTACCAGTCCCCTCCTGGCAGGTACCTGTCCCCGAAGAAGGGAGCCAATGAAAATGTGTAATCCCATGCTGCATGTCTTCACACATATACAGGTCACTCCGAGAAGCCCCTAAGTTATTGACCGGTTTCAGTGTTGTATATATAAATATGCAAGATGTGCCTTACAATGAAGTTGTTGGAAGCTATTTCCAATCACATTGGTACTGTTTGGTATTTGCAAACAAAAATGTAGTTAATGTAATTTTTATGAAATGTGTGCAGTATTTAATTTTTCTTATGCTATTGACTTTGATTTCAATTGCGGCTTGCCATTTTCTTAGTGTTTTTAACCTGTACATTGTGTAATGTAATGTTTGTATATAATGAAATTTTGTTATATTTTTATATAATAAAAGCTAAAGTGGAAGTTATTGCCAAAGGAACTGTCTGTAAGACAAAAAACAAAACATGTTGGAATTACTTAATTGAAATTTATCTTTCACCTGAAACAACCTAGTGTTTGAGAAATTTTGCCTTGCCAAGTATAACTTGTATATCTTGACTCTGTGGTAGATTTCAAGTTCAATGTTATTTAATTACATTTGGTTTTCCGTAAACCGTGTCACTTATAAGCACAGTAATAAAAGATTTGTCATGTGTTTGAAGAATCTGCCAATTGCTTTTCATGAAGCTGCCTATAGTCAGACATTCACAAATAATTTGAGTATCAGAATGAAACCTTCTTTCAAGTGCTAATTATTTGGGCATTATTAATGTTCATGACAATATTAAACCTGTAGGATTTCAAGTATTGCAAAATGTCACCCAAGTATTAAAAACGTGTGTTGATTTCATAAATTATGTGCATCTCCATATGTATTAGTCTATAAAATCCCTGCTCTCATTTATTCACTAGGTAAATATTCATTGAGCAGCCACCAAAAAGTGAAGAAAGCTAAGTTTGGGTTGTTCATTCACTAATTAAACAAGCATCTGTAGAACTTTTACTAGCTGCTGGTACCTCCTCCTCAAGCTGGAGTTTGAGGTGAAGAAGACGTAGTCCCAAAGAGCCCTCAGCTTATTCGGGGTGTTAGTATCAAAAAGACTAACATCTTAGTCTTTTGGAATATAATAGGTTCCCACTACATTCTGTCCTACTTCCTCTTTCCTTGCCTTCCTCTGGAGCCAGTCTCCAAAGTAACTATCAGCTCTATTCCACTCAAATTTATGGGCAAAATGACATGATGTTTGGGATTCGCTTTAAAATGTTCTAGAAAAAAACACAGGGAGCTATGTGAAACAAGATCGATTTGATAAGATATTGATAATTGTCAATGCTAGCATAGGTGCATGTGAGGTAGGGAAATTTCAGCAGTATCTCTAAATGTTTGTGTTTGAAAATGTACATAATGGAAAGTCTTAAAAAAAGACACTCAAGAGTACTATGCCTATGTCTTATACTCTATGGATTTCATTTGAAATTAAAATGATGATAAGCATAATGAGACCTAACATTTACTGAGCAAGTCTTCTGTGAGCAGAGCTCCTTACCAAGCATTCTGCATGAATTATCTCATTTAATCAGCAAACTACCCCCAGGATATGGGAAGTATCATTAACTCCATTTTGCAATTAAAGAAACCGAGGCACAAGAAGGTTAGATAAAATGCCAAAAATCACACAGCTAATAAGTATCCAGGGTGAGATTCAAACCTAGGTTATTCAGTGCAAAAAATAAAACAAAGTAATGAAACAAGTTGTTTTTGATTTGCTTTTTTTTTTTTACCTGAAAGAAACAAGGAGTTATGTAGAAAAGTCCCAATGCATTGCCTTTGCTGCATGATTACTGTTTAGCCCTTTATATTTGTGAAGTGCCTGTGTTCCTTTATTACTAATTATAGAGTGTGCGGCAGTGTAATGAATAGAGAAGGCCTCAAAGCTGCCTGTTGAAGTCATAATTGAAACCAGTGGTAGCTCCAGGCTGAACAGCAGGGTGGGTACACACAAGTGCTTCACCACCCACAGCCCGTGCAAAGTTCAGCCGTTTCTGCAGGCAACGGAGTCGCACGTGCGCCTGACAAGCTCAGACCGCCCAGACCGTGGGTTCCGAAAGAAAACATTACAGCTCCAGAGCCATGATGGCCAGGCCCTAGGGGAACAGACTCCCAGGTAGACCTACCATTATAACATCTAAAACTTTATTCTCGAGCCAGCCTCATCAAACGCAAAATAGAAGAATGAATGATCCCACTGCAGTCTAAAAGCATCCAGTCTCTGAATGTGTTTGCTGCTTTTGTCCTTCAAAAGTAAAATAATGTTATTGTCATTATTTTATTTTGTACCGTGCGAATTATTTCGTTACTCCAAAAATTTGGGTTTCAAAACCTCTGACTTACTATCATTTTTTCCCTTAGCAAAATAACCACTATCAGATCTTGTTTTGATTTGAAACTTTAAAAAAATCAAACACACAATTTCAGTCCTCAACATTGTTTGCTTAAACAAAAAAGGTTGGGGTGTTCCTCTATGGGCCAGCAGCAGGAACTCTCCAAGAAACAGGAGCTGTGTGTGGGAGGCTTTTCACTTGTCTCCAGAAATGTTTACTCTCAAGCACATTTTTAAGAAAATATATTGCTTTATTTAATTAAGTGAGATAATACATATGCAGAATTCTTGGCACAATTCTTGGCCTGTAGTAAGTTCCCACTACAGTCTATCCTACTTCCTCTTTCGTTGCCTTCTTCTGGAGCCAGTCTCCACAGTACTATCAGCACCGCCCCACCCACTGAGGAAGACAAAGTAGACCCAGGATGCCCAGCCTTGCTCTGACCCTGTTTTGCTGTCTTCACTCCCTCCACTTTCACCAAGTAGTCCAGAGCCTCATGTGTAGCCAACACTTTACAAACAAGCACAGCTAAGGTGAATATCATTGGCAAAATCACAAGCCTTAGAGGTTTGTGATTATAACACAGATACCTCTCTGGAAGTAGAGGCCAACAACCCTTGGGCACCTTAGCAGTGAATACTGGGACATGAGAAAGCCCATGGGGAAGACAGAGGTCACCTCAAGAGAGAAAGCTAAAGCCAGGCTTTACCTGTTTCACATTTTTGTCTCTGGCCCCATTGACTTGGATGTTCTACACGTCTTCCTATAATAAAATATCTATAAGGAAACCACTTTAGAAAGTTAAACTGTTAGTGGTTTCAACATCTATTGAAAAATGCATTCTGAAATAGAGCAAAAACAGGAATCATGTCTCTAAATACAAATATATATATACACACACACACACACACACACACATACATACAGAGAGAAAAATATATATTTATAATCAGGATGAGTTCCATGCCATAATGAGCTAAATATCTGGCTTATTTCACTTGGCAAATATAAACTTTTAACATCTAAAAATTCCATTTTAGAAGACGAGCATATTCACTTTACTACTGAATATCCAATAATAGGATAATTGGAATGCTGTAAGCTCTGAAAGCAAACTGAAGCAAAGAAATACAATAGTTGATGGGGCACTGTGCTCTGCAACAACTCAGAAGAGCTTTGAAATGCTGTCTTGGTTTTCAACAGCTATGCAATAACTCAAAAGGGTGTTTATTATTCCCTTTCTTCAGGGAGAGACAATCTGCAATGGAATTCACCAACAGGTTCAAAGTCAACTAATAAGTGAACAGCAGGTAGAAAGAGACACCAGGCTATTTTAAAAGCCATCACTTAAACCACCAGATTAAATGTGCAGAGGGGAAATCATTCATTATCAGAGTCAGGATTTGTTCCCACAAAATCTGTTTAAAGAATTTCGAACATGTCAAACTGAAGCCTGCATAGTTCAATATGGAATTAGGAAAATTCCATTTGCCAACTTAGTGTGACACTTTGCTATATCACAGACACCTCCAACTCAGGATGCCCAAATGAAAAGCAACTTCTCTTCTCTGCCATCACTATGGCCAAAACTACTCCTCTGGCAATTGTTTTAAACTCAATAAATGGGACTGCAAATTTTAGACAAAACTAGAAATGCAAAAGTCATTTTAAGACTCTACCCTATTTCTTACCCCTCAATGATCCAATCACTCATCAAGATCTATTGTCTACATTCCAAATATTGTTTAATTGTCCCTTCACTTCACTGTAGCAGATATGATGCTCTGTCCATGTTCCCATTGCTGACATCTGAGTCTACCTCAACTGCAGTGTTCCAGTTGCACTATGGCAGTTTCCTTCTCAAGCACCCATCTCTGCTGCTGCAGACTTGCTGAGCGCTTGCGGCCCCACCTGAAAGTTGTTCAACCTCTGCACAGAGCAGCCTGGAAGTACTAAGATCTGCAGAAGCAACCCTCAACCAATGAGCGATAGGAGTTGGTGGTTAAATATCCCAGCTCTCCCATCTCTCAAAGGAATCACTTTGAGCTGTGATTTGCACAGTTCCCACGAGCATCTCCAGGAAACATAAGCCTCAGTCGCCCACAGCAGCAGCCCACCCAGTAACACCTCCTTTATTGGCTTTCCTGCCTTTCCCTGCTCACTTTCCTCACTGCCTCGCTTGTGCTTCCTGGGATCACTTTCCAAATAAACTACCTGCACCCAAGTCCTTGTTTCAGTGTCTGGGTATAGGAGGACGGTCCAAGTTAGGATGGCTGCATAATAATAGGAATAAGGGTTTTCTTTCTTTCTTTTTTTTTTTTTAAGAGAATACTGTGTTCCGCCAGGTGCGGTGGCTCACGCCTGTAATCCCAGCACTTTGGGAGGCCAAGGCGGGTGGATCATGAGGTCAGGAGTTCGAGACCAGCCTGGCCAAGATGGTGAAACCCCGTATCTACTAAAAATACAAAAATTAGCCAGGCAAGGTGGCGCATGCCTGTAGTCTAAGCTACTTGGGAGGCTGAGGCAGGAGAATCACTTGAACCCGGGAGGCGGAGGTTGCAGGGAGCCGAGATTGTGCCATTGCACTCCAGCCTGGGTGACAAGAGTGAAACTCCATCTAAAAAAAAAAACAGAGAATACATGTTCCAAAACTTCACCAAGCACTTTATGGGTATTATCTAATACCCCCAACTGTACATTAAACCATCTTATATATGGAAAAAACAAGGCTTGGAGAGGTAAGGTAAATTGCCACAGGTCACACAGCTAATGTTAGATGGAGTTGGAATTAAAATCAAGATCTGAAACAGACTAAATCATACCACTGCATTCAACTTTCATTGCTTCTTTTTTGGGTTCTAGCATAAATCTTCTATCTGCTGTCTCTGTGTCCACTGCCTGTCTCCCTCCACTCCGTCTTCTACACTGCTGCCATAAAGATCTTTTTCTAAACACCTGATCTTGTAACTCTCATGATTTCACATCACCTTTAAAGTCCAAAGTGCTGTCCATGGCATCTCAGACCCTTCGTGCCCTGCCTCCATGGCATCTCAGACCCTTCGTGCCCTGCCTCCCTCCTCAGCCTCAATCCCACTGCTGTCTTCCCTCCCATGCCCTTCACACACCTGATGCTTCAGCCAGAAGAATTACTTTGTTTCACCTCTCATTTCTGATCCTTCCTCCTGGAATGGCATTCTACTTCCTCTCCCACTCTCCCCACCCACACTTTTTCTTCTCTGAACCATTCCTCTTATCCTTCAAGACTGTTTAAGAATCGCTTTACTAGAAAAGATTTCTGTGCCATGCCTTCCCCAACCCCCTCTCCCAGCCAACAGCCAGGCGAGCCCTGCCCCTCTGTGAAGCCTCAGCACGGGGCCAGCTGAGGACAACTGTTGCTTCACTGCTGGCTCATGAAGTCAAGGACTGTCTGTGTCATTCAAATGGGTATCCCCAGCACCAGGTACACTGGCTGGTACATCATCAGGATTCAATTAAAAAAAGTGCTTGCTGAATGGAATGACTCCCTGAGCTAAGCACAGAAAGTCATAGTTATACACCATAGCCAAGAGGCTACAACCACCAGTCACCTTATCTCCCCACAGGGGGTCGGAGCTAAATAAGCCTCCGAATCAGACACAACCAATCGATTCAGCTTCTCATCCACCCCAGCTAGTCTAGTGACTGGAGTGTTTGGAGGATGCAGGAGCAACAACAGCCCTGGCCAAGTCCAAGTCACCTTACCCACTGAAGGTCAAGCCTTCCCCTCTTCCTGCCTTAGTGCAGCAGCATCTTTTTAGACCCAACTTAAAAGAGGCCCAGAAGTTTCTGCGGGGTCTCATGTATCTAGAGATTGATATAGTCTAGTCCATTTGGGTACCTTAACCCATGCAGCCCAAATAATCCAGATAATTGTCAAATCTCTACTTTGTTCTTTGCAAACACAGCATACCCTAAAGTTGATGAAAACATCAGATGGTTTTCTTTGCTAAGTGTTATTAGTTTCTTATTTTATTTGGCCAAATTTTCTTCCTGTCAATTCTAGGAAAATAGCAGTAGAGGAGTGAGGATTTGCTTCTAATGAATGTCACTAGATCATCAGAGAAAGTGCTGGGTTATGAGGGTGGGGGTAGAATCTCATTTTTATTCAGCAACTGACTTTCAGCCACCGACTTTCAGCCACCATTTAACCTCGTTATGATTCATTCTGCTTATCAGCCCAAAGTCCTTAATCACCACCCTCACTGAAGGTTGGAGAATGAACTAATGAAGATGCTTAAGTGCTTCCTGGAATGCTAAGGACTCAGTCAGCTAAAGAAATTCAATGTCACCATTCTGTCCCTGGTATTCCTCTCTGTGTCTGTGGTGGTGCATCTCCCAAACTATGTCTACAAACAAGAGTTAGTAAAAATCACATTCTACATAATTATCTAGTCATTTTTCAAGTACTCACATGGAACTTTTAAGCATCTTTATTAAAAAATCCTTCCTTCAATTCCTCAATTTTGTATTATTGTTTTCAGTCAAATTCCTGAAAAACATTGTCTGGGATAGGGATTCTTATAAAAATCATTTATTGAGGAAGTGCTCACAGAAATAAAGAGAAGCAGCCAGGCTCTGTGGCTTATGCCTGTAATCCCAGCACTTTGGGAGGCTGAAGCAGGAGGATTGTTTGAGGTCAGGAATTCAAGACCAGCCTGGGCAACATAGCAAGGCCCCTGTCTCTTAAGAGAGAGAGAGAGAGAGAAGCAAGCAGGATAGGATAGGAGAGAATCTCAAGAAATGGTGGTCTTTGTATCAGCCTGGCCTCATCCAGAGCTCTGGAGCACAAATTGGTCATCCCTTGAGGCAAGAGGCCAGACTTTTTATACCCCATGTCAGTCACTGGCCTCTGGATGGGGGAGCAGGGATGCATTGCCAATACTCCCATGGCAAGGGGGCTCCATGTTTGGTTAATGGCAATTCTCTCAAGAAAAGAGCTACCATGGGCCAGGCATGGTGGCTTATACCTGTAATCCCAGCACTTTGGGAGGCCGAGACAGGCGGATCACGAGGTCAGGAGATTGAGACCATCCTGGCTAATACAGTGAAACCCCGTCTCTACTAAAAATACAAAAAGTTAGCCAGGCGTGGTGGTGGCTTCCTATAGTCCCAGCTACTCGGGAGGCTGAGGCAGGAGAATGGGGTAAACCTGGGAGGCGGAGCTTGCAGTGAGCCGAGATCGCGCCACTGCACCCCAGCCTGGGCGACAGAGCGAGACTCCGTCTCAAAAAAAAAAGAAAAGAAAAGAAAAGAAAAGAGCTACCATGAGCCTCTTGCAGCCATAATAGTTAGGAAGGAGTACACAGGTTCTTCAAGTGCATGCATGTGGGGAGGGCCACCACAGCATCTAGTCTATTAGTGGTTTTCAAATCACTATCACCTGGAGGGGCTGTTAAAACACAGATTGCACTGGGCACAGTGACTCACAACTGCAATCCCAGAGACTCAGGAGGCTGAGGCAGGAGGATCACTTTAGCCCAGGAGTTTGAGACCAGCCTAGGCAACAGAGTGAGACCCCATCTCTAAACACACACACACACACACACACACACACACACACACATTGCTAGATATGATAGTTTGGGGACAGGATCCTTTAACTGACATGTCTAACAAGTCCACAGGTGATGCCAATATTGCTAGTCCAATGACCACCCTTTCAGAACCACTGCACTATAGAGATTGTGCAGTGTTGGGCCAAGATACCTTCTGACTTGCTATGATTTGGTCAGGTTTTACCCAGATATAGAATATAATCTTCAATCACTATCTTCAGAATGTTTGATTCTGTTGCTGGAAAGGGTCCCAATCCAGACCCCAAGAGAGGGATCTTGGATCTTGTGCAAGAAAGAATTCAGCCAAGTCCATAGAGTAAAGTGAAAGTGAGTTTATTAAGAAAGTAAAGGAACAGTCTGGGCGTGGTGGCTCACGCCTGTAATTCCAGCATTTTGGGAGACCAAGGCAGGTGGATCACCTGGGGTCAGGAGTTCGAAACCAGCCTGGCCAACATGGTGAAACCCTGTCTCTACTAAAAATGCAAAAATTAGCTGGGCGTGGTGGTGGGCACCTGTAATCCCAGCTACTCAGGAGGCTGAGGCAGGAAAATCACTTGAACCTGGGAGGCAGAGGTTGCAGTGAGCCGAGATCACACCATTGTACTCTAGCCTGGGCAACAAGAGTGAAACTCAGTCAAGAAAGAAAGGAAAGTAAGAAAGAAGGAAGAGAGAGAGACAGAAGAAAGAGAAAAGAAATAAAGAATTGTTGCTCCATAGATAGAGCTGCCCCAGGGGATGCTGGTTGGCTATTTTTATGGTTATTTCCTGTTAATATGCTAAAAAAGGGGTGGATTATTCATGAGTTTTCCAGAAAAGGGGTGAGCAATTCCTGCAACTGAGAGATCCTCTTCTCCCCTTTTCAGACCATATAGGGTAATTTCCTGACACTGCCATGGCATTTGTAAACTGCCATGGTGCATGGCGCTGGTGGGAGTGTCTGTTAGCATGCTAATGCATTATAATTAGTGTCTAATGAGCAGTGAGGATAACCAGAAGTTGCTTTTATTGCCATCTTGGTTTTGCTGGGCTTTGGCCAGCTTCTTTACCGCAAGCTGTTTTATCAACAAGGTTTTTGTGAACTGTATCTTATGCTGAACTCTTATCTCATCCTGTAACTTAGAATGCCTAACCTCCTGGGATTGCAGCCCAGTAGGTCACAGCCTTATTTTATCCAGCCCCTATTCAAGATGAAGTCACTCTGGTTCAAACTTCTCTGACAATTCTATGCTTGTCACAAACACAAAGAGCAGGCATAAAACCCCTGAGTAGAGAAGGGGTAAAATGGTGAGGGTGGAGGTTACAGTTAAAAAGGCAGGACCCTTATCTCATCTACCAAGGCATCATCAACACCACTTCCTACCTCCTCCCCCTTCCCCCCTCCCCCTCCCCATCACAGCACTCAGATAGGAGGTACAGGAGGCAGCAAAGAGAGCATAGAGAAGTCTGCTGATAAGCAGTCCCTGCTGCACACAGATGGCCAAGCCCCCTCTGGAGTGCCAAGTACAGCTCTGAGTGGTACACCTTGTTAGGGACACAGAGCAACTGAGGCATGTTCAGGGAGGAAGGAGTCACAGATGAGGGGACTCAATGCAATAATGTTTTGTGAGGGAGACTTGGTAAACAATCCATAATGACGTAAGATACCCACAACTGGGATGGGCTATCTCTAGAGGTGGTAAATCCTTGTTACTGGAAACTTTCAAGCAAAGACTAGACAACCAGCTAATGGAATGAGGTGGGAGTAGAAGGCATCTGGATTGGAGGTTGAATCAGGCCGCTCCTAAGTTTCTTCCCAAGCCTATTAGTTGATGACTTTAATGATAATTTTAGGTGTCAGCTTGGATGGACTAAGGGATGCCCAGATAGTAAAACATTATTTCTGGGTGTGTCTGTGAGGGTGTTTCTGGAAGAGATTAGTATTTGAATCAATAGACTGAGTAAAGATTTGCCCTTAACAATGTGAGTGGACATCGTCCAATCCACTGAGGAACTGAATAGAACAAGAGCGTGGAGGAAAGGCAAGTTTTCTCTTACTGAGCTGGGACATCCATATTCTCTTGCCCTGGGACATCAGAGTACCTGGTTCTGACAACAGTAGACACCTCCCCCACCCCCTACTCCCACTTCGTTCTCAGGTCTTTGGTCAAGGACTGAATTACGCCACCAGTTTTCCTGGTTCTTAACTTGGAAACAGCATATTGTGGAGTTTCTCAACCTGCATAATCACATGAGCCAATTCTCATAATAAATCTCCTCTTATATACCTGTATGTATCCCATTGGTTCTGTTTCTCTAGAGAACCCTGACTAGTACAATGACTTTATGCAAATTATTGGTGCATTTTTTTCTTCCACTCTCTAGATGTTCTTAGGATCCTGTCCTGCTTTACCTGATTCTCAAATGACAGAAAGCTTAGCACTCTAGCTCTTATCCCAGTTGACTTGTAAGAGCCCCTCAATTCCTTCCAACTTTCTGAAAGAGCCAGAATAATTCCTGCTTCCCTGATTGGATGCTTAGCTGATCTGGGAGACTAAGGCTGTTATTTTCTCCTTTTATGGTATAAAGCCCAAGTCTTGCCCCAGTGAAATTGCTTTTGATATGTTGTAAGGTATTTTCCAAACCACCTTCAGTCACTTCTAAAATATACTGCTCACAATAGCCCTAGGAGAGCCGATGAGGATAAGCGGTCCATCATACAGAGAGGGAGACTGAGATTTTGAGATTATCAGAAGCAGGTGGCTTCCCAGCCCCTTCTTAGGCTTTCCACCTTACCTTCCTTTAATGCTTATTAAATGGAGATATTTATTCATCATAAGTCCCCAGATTTATGTTCATGGTAAATAATTTAAGAATTGAGTCGCTGGGGTTGTTTTGGCCAACCTCCCGCATTCATTCATCCCAGACTCATGTTCTAGAATACAAAGGCACTGTGATTCATTTCTACTCTTCAGCTTCACTAATCAGAGAAGCCCATTGCTCTTGCCATGCACTGACTGATATAACGGAAATTTCTAGGCTGAGGGCATTAGATTCAGACACAGCTAAAAAGAAATGTCAGGCGATCTGATTTACTGTAGCTGTGGAGATGTGGGGAGGGAAAAAAAAAAAAGCAAAACTAGGTTGTTTGTGCTCTCTCTTACTCCTGAAGCTGTAGACACAGACAATTGCCATTTGCTTGACCAAGTCATCCGTGTGGGGATTGCTAGGCTTAAGTAGTTCCAACCAGACAAAAGGAATGTGCAGGCCCAGCCGCTGCATGGGAAACCAATTTATAATGAGCTTCCAAACTCCCATGAAATGCAACGAGATCCAGAAAATTATAATTTCCAGAACTCCTCTCAGAAGGAGTCCTGTGTGGCTGGCATTTTGGAAAGGGGGGCTCAGGCACATTGGGGTGCAGGGGAGGTTGGCTGCTAAACTGCCTTCCAAGGGGCAACTATCATAAATTGTGTTGCTTTTGTTTGCAGAGTGGGCAGGCGAATTTGGGGAAAGCTGAACTGCTAGGAGGAGAGGGTGATTATCTTCCTCTGCACTTTCCTCACACAGCACTCTGCCATTCTTCAAAATAAATGTGAAATGAATATTTAAATAATATAGGCTTAGGGGACTAAAATCTTACTTGTAATATTTTAGTTCTTTTATTTAAATAGATCTACAATAAATATGACAAAACATTCGCATTTGTCAATTCTGGTTAGTGGGGCACACAATTGTTTGTCATATATTTGTTTTTATTTTCAACTACAACAAAATAGTCCTGCTTTGAAAGATCACTCCATTTATTATCTTGCCCGGGGTTTCCATAGGTCTTTATTTTGTAATATAACACTGCCCCCATTCTCTCCCCCACCTTCCTACCCCCCAACTGAGCACTGCTCTGAATAGGATAAAGATCAGCATATGAATGGTGGCCATGATCACAGACTGAAGATATGAACACATGGGTAATCTCGTCAGAGAGAAGCATATGAAGGTCTGGGATGATAGATGATGTCTCTGAAAGCCCATCTCTTCTCCAAAGACCACTTCAGTGTTGGCGCCACCATTCCCATTTTGCTGATGTGGAGAGTACAAGAACAACCCTTACAGGGCAGTGTTTATGTTACAACGGGCTTGGCGCTAGGCCAGGATCTGTCTCTAAGAGGGCGCTGACAACATAAATGAGCATCCTCCCTGGCACTGCCTGTAGGCACCTCTTTATGGATGTTGACTATATGATGTTCACACCCAGTCTAATATGGCCATGCTCCTGTGAGTAAACATGATCTCTTTTCACTTTGAAGGGCCTTATCCTTTCAAGCACCAAATAATCTAAGGAAGAGACAGAAAAGGGGAATTCAGATTATGGCTGATATGGTTTGGCTTTGTGTCCCCACCCAAATTTTATCTTGAATTGTAATCCCTAGGTGTTGAGGGAGAGACCTGGTGGGAGGTGATTGGATCATGGGGGCGGTTTCCCCCATGCTGTTCTCATGATGGTGAGTGAGTTCTCATGAGATCTGATGGTTTTATAAGGAGATCTTCTCTCTTTGCTTCCTACACACTCTCGTCTGCTGCCATGTAAGCCGTGCCTGCTTCCCCTTACTGCCATGATAGTAAGTCTCCTGAGGCTTCCCTGGGCATGCAGAACTGTGAGTCAGTTAAACCTCTTTTCTTTACGAATTACCTAGTCTCGGGCAGTATCTTTGTAGCAGTGTGAGAACTGACTAATACAGTGGCTTTTAGGTAGATTTGAGACGGGACTAGTTCTCAGTCTATTAGGTCTGGATGTAAAAGATTCTGGATGGGCTTGCAGTAACCCTGAGGAGGTAGAAGGTTAAAGCAGTGTTTCTCAAAGTACAATCATTGGACTTCTGGAGATTCTTTAGAATCTTCTGGAAGGTCCACTAGGATAAAACAATTTTCATAATACTACTATGTTATTTGCCTTTTTCACTGGGTTGACATTTGCTCTGATGATACAAAAGAAAGAGTGGGTGAAACTACTACTGGTGCCCTAGCACCAATCAAAATAAGAGTGCCACACTACTAATCACTGGATTTCTTGCACTTACAGAAAAAAGTCCTTAAGAATGACCTTGATGAATCAGTAATAAGTATTACTTTCATTAAATCTCAACCATTGAGTATATGTCTTTTTAACACTAATGTTCTGTGTGACAAAATGGACAGTATGCAGAGAACATTTCTGCTGTGTTCAGAAGCACTATGGTTGTCTCAAGGAAAAGCACTAGCCCAGCTGGGCATAGTGGCTCATACCTGTAATCCTAACACTCTGGGAGGCCGAGGCGAAGGGATCACTTGAGCCTAGGATTTCGAGACCAGCCTGGGTAACATGGCAAAACCCAATCTCAAAAAGGAAGAGAGACAGAGAGAGAGGGAGGGAGAGAGATAAGGAAAGAAAGAAAGAAAAGACAGAGCTCTCTGCTGGTAATAATACTAACAAATGTTAATGTTTCTAAATTTAGTTGATCTACATGACTCAGTGAATCAGTATTTTCCCAGTGGACAGTGGATGATGTCACAAAGTCATGCATAGGTAAATGATCTGTTTAAAGTGCAAGACAGACCAATGTAACAAGGGATGAAAAGTTCATTGATCTGGTTTCAGATTCCAGGGCCACTAATCTGTAAAATACTACCACTTGTAAAGTTTTGGTATAGCGGATCACAAAGAGGGCCACAATTAAATGAAAGGCTAATAAAATACTCTTCCCTTTTCCAACTACATGTCTGTATGATAATGGATTTTCTTCATATACTTAAACCAAAACAACATATTGCAACAGCTTGAATACAGGAGCAATTATGAGAATCCAATTATCTTCTATTCAGCCAGACACTAAAGAAATTCGTAAAAATGTAAAATAATGCCCGTTTCTCATAAAATTGTTTTGAAAAGATACTTATTTTTTGTAGTAATTATATTATTTTGTTAATATGTATTGGGCTCATCATTTTAAATTAGTTATTAATATTTTTAAGAATCTCACAGTTTTAATTTTAATACAGTAAGTATATATACATAAAACATTCATAAACAAAAGTTCTTCAGAGTTTTCAATAAGTTTCAAGAGTGTTACAAACCAAAAATTTGAGAACTACTGAAGTAGAGCATCATGTGAAGGTTAAATTAACAAATATTATATATAAAGTGTGTGGCTTATAAAAAGTGCCTAGTTATAACATTAATAGCCAATATATATTTACTATGTTCAAGCACTATTATAAGTGTTCATTTAACCCTCACAATACCTCTGTGAGATAAGTACAGTTATCTTTTTAAAGATGAGAAAAATGAGGCACAGAGAGGTTAAGCAACCTGTCCAAAGTTAAACAGCTAGTAAATGGTAGAATTAGGATTTGAACCCAAATAGTTTGGCTCCAGATCTGGGTTCCAAATACTTATATTATATTGTCAGTACCTGTTGATGTTGATGTTAGTCATTGTTGGTAATGGTTGTAAGCTAGATTCTGTAGTTTCACATGCTGTATTTATTTTCCTCTTATTATTTTAGGCCTCTTTATAAGGTGTTATTTAATATTCAAAATTAGTCTCAAATCTGCCATGGGATATTAAGGGACTGGAATAAGAGATGGTATTAGTGGAGAAAGCAGTACCACCTCCTATTTTCATGATAGAAACAGAAATTCACAAAGAGCTCAAAAGAATCAGGGCTAAAAAGTCCAGCTGTCCTTCCTCATGCAGAGATTTCACCTCTACAGTCAACTTTAGGGGATTCATGTTACATTTGTCAAGTAAGTTGGCACTTTCCCTATATGCAGACCCCAGCCCTCAAGAAAATGACAATCTAATTGAAGGGAATAAAACAAACATATGAAATAACAGCTAGAACAGATGATAGTAGCTAATTAAGTTCTAAATTAATATGAAACCAGATTGAAATTAAAAAAAATTTTCTTAGATGATTCAGAAAATACTTTGGAGCCTACAGTGCCTCTGGGTCATAATTAAGAACAGTAATTATTATTGTATTCCTGATGTCACAGAATTCTGAGTTCAATTCTTTCACATCTCAATTTGGCAAACTTTTTTTCTACGACTGGTAATCCTGGATTTGGTTCTCAGTTCTCCCCTACGCCCACATAGAGTGCTTTTTCCAGAATGAGCTTTGCTTAGTTGCCATCAGCTACCATCCCTGCACTAAGGGATGCTTTTTCTGTGCATCACTGGGATACTGTTGAGGACCTTTGTTATAACCCACGGAGTTTTGTTTTTTGTTGTTTTTTTTTTGAGACGGAGTCTCGCTACGTCGCCCAGGCTGGAGTGCAGTGGCGCGATCTTGGCTCATTGCAAGCTCCGCCTCCCGGGTTCACACCATTCTCCTGCCTCAGCCTCCGGAGTAGCTGGGACTACAGGTGCCCACCACCACCTCCAGCTAATTTTTTGTATTTTTAGTAGAGACCGGGTTTCACCGTGTGAGCCAGGATGGTCTCAATCTCCTGACATTGTGATCCACCCACCTCGGCCTCCCAAAGTGCTGGGATTACAGGCGTGAGCCACCGCGCCCGGCCACCCACGGAGCTCTTTTTATGGCTGATGCCTGTCAAGTACTGGTACCAACAGTGATTAGACTTCTAGGAGCTACTGGTCTGTTTTACTTTCATACACATCATGAAAGTTGTACGTAACCACGTTTCTTTTCCTGTTTTGATATATAGATGTTTAGAGCCAAGTTTGGGGCTAACCTGTTGCAGGCTCCCTTTTTGGTATATATTTCTATTTTGATCTTACTCTCAAGCTCATTTTTAAGTTACGTTCTTTTGTTCCTAATTGTAATTTTGCTGGCTTATATTTTATTTATCCTTAAAACCCAGTTTAAATTCTTGCAGGAATAAAGTGGGTTATAGATAACTGTTCTGTTCTGTTTCCAATATGGCCTTGTGCAAGTCCTTCAAATCTCTGGGCCTCGTAAATGCTCATCTCTAGAGTGCCTTTCAGCTCGAACATTTTACGATTCTTAGTAGTGGATATATCAGAATTATGGTTAATGGAATCTTTTAGGGCAATGTTAACCGAATTGTGCACTAAACATGTACAATATTTGCTGTGATCCGTCTTAGATGTTACCAATCAACCGGTATTTGGAAATAGATGCAAACAGTGGAGGGTGGAAATACCACTTTCACAATACTTCCCTCTGGTCTTTATCTGTGGCGAAGACATTTTTGCAATGCCTTGTTGAGCACCTACTTTGTGCAAGGCAGAATGCCAGGAGCAGAAACAGCGAATACAATATGCAAGATCTGGTCCCTGCACTTGAGAAGCTTAGCAAAGGGAAACAAACTCTTAGGAAGAGAGTACAAGGGAAGAAGTGAGAAAGGGCAGAAATGCTAAATCAGGGCTGAAATTAAAGGGCCAAACTCCTTAGCTCCTCATAACTAAAGCAAAGTCAGCCTCGACCAGAGAAGAGGTGCTGAGGGCCAGGGAGTCCCTCGGCTGGCCGCGCTGTGGCAGCAGCAGATGAGACCTAAGACCCTAGGTGAAGGAAACTGCTCGCCCTGCTGCTGGTGCCAGAGCTCTGCTCATGTTCATCCATAATAATAAGTACTTCACACGTGAGTTCACTTGTCTTTCCAGGCTCTGCCAAGTTTACGTGCCAGATGGCACTTGCCTCCCACATCTGATTTACTGTAGGGCAGACCAGCTGTGCCTCAGCCCAGGGCAGGCCCACATCTGGCAGCCAGTTGGTAAAATTCTCTCCATATGATGCTTGTGCCCTCATATCATATTCCCCAGAGCAATTCTCTTTCTGTCAACTTTATGTTTGTCTCTTCTCTGCTTATTCCTACGACTATTGTTGAATATCTCTTGGCAATGGATCTGCTTAAGCACCTTTATGTCAGAGAAAAGACTCTCACTGTGAAATGTAAATAATGCTACTACTATATTCTGTAGTAAAAATACTCACGGGTAAAGTAATGTGACAGACACGGATGGCTGCATACCCAAAAATTACTCCTTCCTTTTTCCTGTGTTGGTAAGGCTGACTATTCAGGGAGGCAACTCGCTCCTGCGAGGACCTCAATCCCCCAACCCCAAAGGATGTCAAGGGATTGCTCCAATGTGCCTCCATTTCCTTTTTTAGGTATTGGTTTGGAGATGAGAGGGTGACTAGGACTGGCCAATGATACATAAGTGAAAGTCTGGTCCGGGGATTCTAGAAATAATTTTGCCCTCTACAAAGAGAGAAAGACATCATCCAAAACAAATAAAAACATACATGCACACAAAGACTTGTCCCCGAGTGTTCAGGGCAGCTTTACTCACACCAGCCCGTATTAGTCCACTTTCGTACTGTGTCCGGAATTGGCGGGTTTTTGGTCTCACTGACTTCAAGAATGAAGCCACGGACCCTCGCGATGAGTATTACAGTTCTTAAAGATAGTGTGTCCAGAGTTTGTTCCTTCTAATATTCGGACGTGTTGAGTTTCTTCCTTCTGGTAGCTTCATGATCTCGCTGGCTTCACGACTGAAGCTGCAGACTTTCCCGGCGAATGTCACAGCTCTTACAGCGGCACATCCGCAGCTGTTTATTTCTCTTGGAGAGCTCATGGTCTTGCTGGTCTCAGGAATGAAGCTGCAGACTTTCCCCTTGAGTGTTACAGCTCAAAAAGACAGTCCGCACCCAAATAGTGAGCAGCATCAAGATTTACTGCAAAGAGCTAAAGAGCAAAGTCTCCACTGTGGAAGAAGACCCAAGCGAGTTGCCGGGGCTGGCTCCGCAGCCTGCTTTTATTCCCTTATCTGGCCCCACCCACATGCTGCTGATTGGTCCATTTTACAGAGAGCTGATTGATCTGTTTTGACAGGGTGCTGATTGGTGCGTTTACAAACCTTGAGCTAGACACAGAGTGCTGATTGGTGTATTTACAATCTTTTAGCTAGACATAAAGGTTCTCCAAGTCCACACCCAACTCAGGAGCCCAGCTGGCTTCCCCTAGTGGATCCCGCACCAGGGCTGTGGGTGGAGCTGCCTGCCACTCCCGCACCTCCCGCCTGCACTCCTCAGCTCTTGGGCAGTCCATGGGACCGGGCGACGTGGAGCAGGGGGTGGCGCCCATCAGGGAGGCTCAGGCTGCGTAGGAGCCCACTGCGGGGGTGCTCGGGCATGGCAGGCTGCAGGTCCTGAACCCTGCCCCATAGGGTGGCAGCTGAGGCCCCACAAGAATTCGAGCCTGGTGTGGTCCCGCCAGCAGTGCTGGGGGACCCGGCACCCCCTCTGCAGCTGCTGGTCCGGGTGCTAAGCCCTCCACTGCCCGGGGCCAGCGGCACCGGCCAGCCACTCTGAGTGAGGGGCCGCAGAGCCCAGGCCCACCCGGAACTCGAGCGCCGAATGCAGCCCAGGTTCCCGCCGGCACCTCTTCCTCCACACCTCCCAGCAAGCAGAGGGAGCCGGCTCTAGCCTCAGCCAGCCCAGAGAGAGGCTCCCACAGTGCAGCGGCAGGCTGAAGGGCTCCTCAAGCGTGGCCAGAGCGGACGCCGAGGCCGAGGAGGTGCTGAGAGTGAGCAAGGGCTGCCAGCACGTTTTCACCTCTCACTACTGCTATAAAGAAATACCTGAGACTGAGTAATTTGTAAAGAAAAACAGTTTTAATGGACTCACAGTTCCACATGGCTGGGGAGGCCTCACAATCATGATGGAAGGCAAAGGAGGAGCAAAGGCACATCTTACATGATGGCAGGCAAGAGAGTGTGTGCAGGGGAGCTGCCCTTTATAAAACCATCAGATCTCCTGAGACTTATTCACTATCACGAGAACAACATGGGAAAACCTGCCCTGGTGATTCAATTACCTCCCACTGGGTCCCTCCCATGACAGTGGGGTTTATGGGAGCTACAGTTCAAGATGAGATTTGTGTGGGGTCAGAGCTAAACCATATCACAGCCCTAAACTGCAAACAACTCAAATGTCTGCCTGCAGGTGAATGGATGACAAATGGTGGTATAGTCAAACAACAGACTACTACTCAGCAAGAAAAGGAGTGAACTACTGATACATGCAACCACATAGATGAGTCTTAGAATTAGTATGCAGCACCTGAGTCCATACTTTGTGTCTAATTTCTATGAAAACCTAGAAAAGATCAATTTAATCTATAGTGATAGGAAGCAGATCACTAGTCACTGGGGGATGGTGGGGAGATTGAGTGGAAAAGGGCTCAAAAGGACTTCTTGGGGTGATGAAAGTCTTCTGTATCTTGATTGTAGTGAAGATTATACAGATGTATACATTCGTCAAAACTTATCTGGCCATATACTCAAAATAGGTGAACTTTGTTACATGAAATTCTATTGCAATAAATTTGAAATGGAATGAAAGAAGTAAGAAGAAAGCTTGTACCTTCTTCCTCCATGAATATTGTTGTACAGAGATGCATGCTTGGAGCTGAGACAACCATCCTGCAGCTACAAGATGATAAACCTGCAATTCCCAAACCATGCACTGAGGCACCCTGGAATGCTACAGTGAACTCCAGAGGCATCACAATGTAAATTTGCAGGGGAAAATTTTAAAAACAGTGATAACATATCAAGCATCATGAAAACTGCTAGATCCAGACAGTTCCTACTTTCAATATTAGATTGCACTAAATTCCTTTTGATAGCATATCTTTGTGAAATGCGGTTTTCAGCAGTTGTAATTTTTTTAAAGTACTGTGCAAAAATGAAAATGCAATGGGAGTTGAGGATAGCAGTAAAGTTCAAGAAATTGTATAGTGCCCATCAGAATTATGGATCCCATTAGTAAATAATTACAGTTATTTACCAATGAAATGAAAATACTTTGTCTTTCAATTTGTGTGTATTATTTTTTTCAAATGGCTACTCAATTATTAGGTCATGAATATCTACTAAATTGTTTGGACCTATTAATAATTACCCAATAAACATAAATTTTAGGTATTTATTTTGGCCTAGTGGCACCATTAAAAAAAAATCACTGAGACACTAAGGGTACTACAGACCAGAAAGTTTGGGACCCTTTGTAATAAACCTGAGTAAAAAGCCAACATGCTTAAGGAGTATAAATATACAGTTAGATAGAAAAAATAAGTTCTAATCTTTGATAGCAGAGTGGGCAACTGTAGTTAACAACAATGTATTCTATTTAAAAATAGCTAGAAGAGAGGACTTGAAATGTTCCCAACGTATAGAAATGAGAAATAGTGGAGGTGATGGAGACCCCAAATACCTGACTTGATCATTACACAGTCTATGCATGTGACAAAATATCACATATACTCCATAAATATGTACAAATATGTGTATCAATAAAAATGTTTGTTTAAGCCAATATGCTAAGAATGGCTGAGCAGATAAAAAGAGCTGGGGTCTTTAGTAATATCACTGCCTTGCCACACACGCATACAATGAAATACCTACCTCCAGACTTTTATGTAAGATACATAAATGTCAATACAATAAATGTCTTTATGGCCTAAGCCACTATGATAAGACTAAAAAATCAAATAAATAAGAAGAATCATCTACATACCCCACATCCTGACTTTCCTCCTTGAAAGTAAGGCATGTATCCTTTGAGTGCCTTCTCTATGCATTTGTATGCAAATAGTTATCTCTAAGTGTGTTTATAACATAAATGTAACAGTTTTATAACTTGATTTTTTCACTTATGCCTTAAAGAGTTTTTGAAACTGCTGCTTATATCGCACTGTGTGAATGTACCATTCCATTATAGATGCGTATTCAGAGGATATCCAATTTTTAAGATAAGCATCATTGTGGTGAATACCCTTGTAAATGTT
This sequence comes from Homo sapiens, assembly GCF_000001405.40. Lineage (NCBI taxonomy): Eukaryota > Metazoa > Chordata > Mammalia > Primates > Hominidae > Homo > Homo sapiens. Next base: position 52,823,869 of record NC_000013.11, on the reverse strand, counting down.
TCTGATGCAACATGCCAGTATTTCTGCAGCTATAGAGATGCCTTGGAGTGATAATTCAAAGAATGTACAAATTTTGAATTTTGGAAGATACCGATGGGCTGAACCAATTCAGTAGCGAGTAAGAGTACCAATTTCCCCATGCCCTTGTTAAAGTGGTCATGGTGGATGCCTCCTTATCCACGTGATAAGGATAAGCCCATTTCCCTTTCCAGAGATGGGTTTAGGGAGGGAAATGTGACCCAATTCTGGGCTAATGAACCACGAAGGAAAATGTGCCTGGGGAAACTTCTAGAAAGGTTTCCTTACTCCTAAAAGAGTCACAAGAGAAAAGATCCCCTCTTCTTGTGAAACTTTTCAGGACTGGATGTGGTATCTGGAACAGGCTTAACCCTTTTGCCACTCTTAAGAGTTACGGCCTTAGGATGAAGTTTGGCAGAGCACTAAAGAAAGGTCATTATAAGTCACTGAAGGTACCACACCAGGAAGTGGCCATATCTGTAGACATTTGGTTATGTCAAATAACAAATTCACTAACTCTTCAAGGCAGTTTAAATCATGTGTTTATGCTACCTACAACCAAAAAGCTTACTGATATATATGTGATATTATTGAATGGTTTCTATCATTTAAAATTTGTGTTCAATCTTAGTGTGGATAAAAATTGATGTCACATTCTTATTTTAATTTGCATTTCCCTTTTATTAATAATGTTGAGTGTTTTTCACATATATATTGACTTTTGTATTTCTTCTACTGTGAATTGCTTATTCACGTCCCTTGTTCATTTTTTTTTGATTGTCTGTTGATTTATGAGAGTTCTTTAAGTATAATATACATTAATCCTTTGTGTATTTTATATCTTGCAAATACTACCTCCCACAGAGAATTTTTGTGTCTTGGATTTTGTTTTGTTTTGTTTTGTTTTGTGTAGTCAAATCTACCCATTTTTTCTTTTCTGTTTTTTTTAATCTGTGTCTTACATAAGAAGGCTTTCTCCATTTCAGCATAATTTTTCTTAAATCTCCTATTTTTCCAATATTTTAAAGTTTAGGTTTTATGATTAGCTTTTTAATACCTCACCCATTTATTTTTGTGTTGGCACAAGGTTAAATTCCAACTTTATTTTTCAAAATGAATAGGTACTTTTCCCAACATTGTTCTGAACATCACCTCCCACTACCTGAAATGCCATTTTCATCAAAAACTAAAGTGCCATAAATTGATTTGTGTTTCTGGATCCTCTATTCTGTATTACTAATCTGTCACTTTTTGCACAAGTTTAATTCTTAAACTTGAGGACCATATTTTGATATCTGGTAGGGCAAGCCTCTCCTCCACTACTTATCAAAATGTTTCCCAGTTATTCTTATGCTTTTTCTCCCCCAGATTAATTTTAGTATATGTTTACCAAATTCTGGGGATTTTATTTGGATGGCAGTGACTCCAAAGACTGCCTTGGGGAGCACTGTCATCTTTACAATGTTGAGTAATTCCATTTTGGGTGTGTCTCTGTTTTCAGGGTTCAATTCTTGGTTTTTATAATAATGTTGTCATCATCATTTTATAGTTTTTTTCATTATTGCTCTTGCCCATTTCTTGTTAGGGTTATCATATCAGTATTCTTGGTGTTTTGTGCATTTTATTGTTGTGAATATGATTTGAATCTTTTATCCCTCTTGTTTTCTTAGTTATTTCTAGTATATAGAGAAGCTATTAATTTGTGGAGATTAATTTTGTGCCTAGCCATCTTACTGACCTATCTTATAGGATCCAACTATTTGTCAGTTGATTTGCTTGCACTTCCTAGCCAGGTTATATAAAATATTGTTCTTGATTTGGTTTAATGCATTTGACCTTGACATTGTTTCATCTGATACCAAAATGACCATACTTGCTCTTTTAGTCAAACTTTTCCTGGGAAATATTTTCCCATCTCTTTATTTCCAACCTTAATGTGTGTGCATGCGGTATGTGTGGGTTGTTTATTTGATTTAGATCTGTTTTTTAGGCCAGGCATGGTGGCTTACACCTGTAATCCCAGAACTTTGGGAGTCCGAGGTGGGTGAATCACCTGAGATCAGGAGTTTGAGACCAGCCTGGCCAACACGGCTAAACCCTATCTCTACTAAAAATACAGAAATTAGCCAGGCATGGTGGCACATGCCTGTAGTCCCAGCTACTCGGGAGGCTGAGGCAGAAGAATCGCTTGAACCCAGGAGGCAGAGGTGCAGAGGTTGCAGTGATCTGAGATTATGCCACTGCACTCCAGCCTGGGTGGAGTGAGACTCTGTCTCAAAAAAAAAAAAAAAAAAATCTGGTTTTTTTTTTGTTGTTGTTGTTGTTGTTATTTACTTTTTATTTCATAACCATAAACTTAACTCTGCAATCCAGCTAGACGTGGAAAGGAATAAGGAAAACATGGAACCCAAAGGGAACTGCAGCGAGAGCACAAAGATTCTAGGATACTACAAGCAAATGGGGTGGAGGGGTGCTCTCCTGAGCTACAGAAGGAATGGCGTGGTGGTTAAGAAAAAACACAAGTTGGCCAGGCATGGTGGCTCATTCCTTTAATCCCAGCACTTTGGGTGGCTGAGGCGGGTGGATCACCTGAGGTTAGGAGTTTGAGACCAGCCTGGCCAAAATGATGAAACCCCATCTCTACTAAAATTACAAAATTAGCCAGGCGTGCTGGCGCGTGCCTATAATCCCAGCTATTCCGGAGGCTGAGGCAGGAGAATCACTTGAACCCGGAGGCGGAGCTTGCAGTGAGCAGAGATGACACCATTGTACGCTAGCCTGGGAAACAAGAGTGAAACTCCATCTTAAAAAGAAAAAACACAAGTTAAATTCATTAGAGTTGTCCACAGTCAACAATGGTGATCTTGCTGGTCTTGCCATTCCTAGATCCAAAGCGCTCCATGGCCTCCACAATATTGATGCCTTCTTTCACCTTGCCAAAGACCACATGTGTGCCATCCAACCACTCAGTCTTGGCAGTGCAGAGGAAAAACTGGGAACCATTTGTGTTGGGTCCAGCATTTGCCATGGATAAGTAATTGGTTTGGGAATGTGAGGGTTCAGGACCTGTATGCTTCAGGATGAAGTTCTCGTCATCAAATTTCTCTCCATAGATGGACTTGCCACCAGTGCCATTATGGTGTGTGAAGTCACTGCCCTGACACATAAACCACATAAACCCTGGAATAATTCTGTAAAAGCAGAAACCCTTGTAACCAAATCCTTTCTCTCCAGTGCTCAGAGCACGAAAGTTTTCTGCTGTCTTTGGAAACTTGTCTGCATACAGCTCAAAGGAGACGTGGCACAAGGGCTCATCATTGACAGCCATGTTGAAGAACACGGTGGGGTTGACCATGGCTGATAGTATGGGGTTCCTGGCAGCATCTGCAAAGCCAAGATCTGTTTATTAAACAGGATTGTTGAAAATCAAATCTTAGAACATCTATCCATTCATTCATTCAACAAATATTAATTGAAGGACTCAGCAGTGAACAAACAATTACAATCCCTGCCTTCATAATGCTCACACTCCAGCATTTGACATACTCACCCCTTACTATGATCCCTGTTGTGTCTGGATTTATTCCTGACAGCTTGTTTTATGCTTTCTCTTTCCATGTGTTTTGTTATTTATTTTTTCCCCTCATTTGCCCTTTTTATTGGATTGGGATTTTTCCCCCTTTATTGGTTTGGAAATTACACATCCTATTTCTATTTTTTTAGTAGTTGTCGTTTTGACAAATTTTTGACAAATGAATAAAATTTAAATTTGCTATTCAGGCCTAGATTTACTATCTGTAGCTTCTCCCTAATGATATGAAACTCTTAGACACTAACAGCGTTTCCGTCCCACCATTCTCTCTGATGACATAGTAATTCAGAAGTTTAGTTCCAGACTACTGTGGAACTAAATTTGTACTATGCATCATGTTTGTTTAGATTAATCACAACTTTTGCTGATGACTTTGCTCAACATTATTTTGCATATTCCATAGTCTTACATCTTGAATCCATTTTTTCTTGTTGCTACAATTCATTCCCAAGAAATTCTTTCAGAAAACTTCTGTGAATGGAACACTTTCTGAGTCATTACACATTCTAAATATCTCTTTATTTTGCCCTCGCACTAGAATAATAGTGAATGGATATAGAATTCTAAGTTCAAAATTATATTCTAGGTTCAAAGTTCACATAGAACTTAGAAGAATTCTCTGTGTTATCTTCTTGTGTTCCGTGTGGCTGATGAGAAGTCTTGATGCCAATCTGATTTTCATTTCTTTGCAGGTGCATACTACAGGAACAACTCAACTGCCTTCAGCAAAGTATGGAATTTGGTGACTTATCCCTGGAAAGTCCAGAGGTGGAGCTGGCCTCAAGTATGGCTGAGTAGTTCAAATGGTGCCATTGGGGTTTTCTTCCATGTCTTGTGACTCTGTTTGTTATTTCTTTCTGTATGTTTGGCTCATTCTGTACTACTGCAACAAGCTTCCTCTGCAAGAAAGACAACTACATGCAGCTGTAGCCAACATCCCTGTGGCCACATAACCCCAAAGGAAAGAGACCAACTTCCCCATTAACACATGAAAATCCTGGGGAGGGCTTGGAGTGAGCCCTTTTTGGTGCCATGCCCATTCTGAGCTAATCACTGTAGCCAGAAAGTGGGATTCTCTGATTAGTCATGTGTGGGTTCTGGGCTTCTCCCTGTGGCCTGGGTTGGGGTGGTCCTGAAATTCATAGCCCCATCTGAATGACATATAGAGAGAAAAGAAAGAAAAGAAGGAGAAGGGAGGAAGGGAGGGAGGATGGCAGGACAGACATTCTTACTGGAAGAAAGGAGAGAAAAAAGCAAACAAGAAAGCTAAAACTGTAACTACTATTGTCCACTATAGTAAATGGAATTTCTTTTGCTCTCTGGAAACATTTCAAATTTTCTTTTCACCGGTATTTTCTGGTGTGGATCTTTTTATATTAGTTCCATTAGCTTTCAATGGCTCATTTTTTTTTTAATTCTTTTAGTATTTATTGATCATTCTTGGGTGTTTCTCGGAGAGGGGGATTTGGCAGGGTCACAGGACAATAGTGGAGGGAAGGTCAGCAGATAAACATGTGAACAAAGGTCTCTGGTTTTCCTAGGCAGAGGGCCCTGCTGCCTTCCGCAGTGTTTGTGTCCCTGGGTACTTGAGATTAGGGAGTGGTGATGACTCTTAACGAGTATGCTGCCTTCAAGCATCTGTTTAACAAAGCATATCTTGCACCGCCCTTAATCCATTTAACCCTTAGTGGACACAGCACATGTTTCAGAGAGCACGGGGTTGGGGGTAAGGTTATAGATTAACAGCATCCCAAGGCAGAAGAATTTTTCTTAGTACAGAACAAAATGGAGTCTCCTATGTCTACTTTTTTCTGCACAGACACAGTAACAATCTGATCTCTCTTTCTTTTCCCCACATTTCCCCCTTTTCTATTCGACAAAACCACCATCATCATCATGGCCCGTTCTCAATGAGCTGTTGGGTACACCTCCCAGACGGGGTGGCGGCCGGGCAGAGGGGCTCCTCACTTCCCAGACGGGGCAGCTGGGCAGAGGCGCCCCCCACCTCCCAGACGAGGCGGCTGCCGGGCAGAGGGGCTCCTTACTTCCCAGACGGGGTGGCCGGTCAGAGACGCTCCTCATCTCCCAGACGGGGTGGCGGTGGGGCAGAGACACTCCTCAGTTCCCAGACGGGGCCGCGGCTGGGCAGAGGCGCTCTTCACATCTCAGATGGGGTGGCGGGGCAGAGGCGCTCCCCACATCCCAGATGATGGGCGGCCGGGCAGAGACGCTCCTCACTTCCTAGACGGTATGAAGGCCGGGAAGAGGCGCTCCTCACTTCCCAGACTGGGCGGCGGGGCAGAGGGGCTCCTCACATCCCAGACGATCGGCAGCCAGGCAGAGACGCTCCTCACTTCCTAGACGGGGTGACGGCTGGGCAGAGGCTGCAATCTCGGCACTGTGGGAGGCCAAGGCAGGCGGCTGGGAGGTGGAGGTTGTAGCGAGCCGAGATCACGCCACTGCATTCCAGCCTGGGTAACATTGAGCACTGAGTGAGCGAGACTCCGTCTGCAATCCCGGCACCTTGGGAGGCAGAGGCTGGAAGATCACTTGTGGTCACAAGCTGGAGACCAGCCCGGCCAACACGGCGAAACCCCGTCTCCACCAAAAAATACAAAAACCAGTCAGGCATGGCGGCGGGCGCCTGCAATCCCAGGCACTGGGCAGGCTGAGGCAGGAGAATCAGGCAGGGAGGTTGCAGTGAGTCAAGGTGGCGGCAGTACAGTCCAGCCTCCGCTTGGTATCAGAGGGAGACCGTGCAAAGGGGAGAGGGAGGGGGAGGGGGAGAGGGAGAGGGAGCCAATGGCTCCTTTTAAATAAATGATTTTTGTCTCTCTTTAGCTTGAAGAAATATTTCCTCCATTATCTCCTTCCTGCCTCTGACTCTGTTCTCTGACTCTGGAATTCCTGTTCAATTGGTGTTTTGGGCCTTCCTGGACTGATCCTTTTTGTATTAACATTTCTTATATTTTTCATCTCCTTGTAGTTTTGCTCTACATTCTTTTTTTTCTAAGATAATTTATTATTGAATAAAGAAGTCACAAAGCAAAATGGAGTGGGACAGATGTCAAAGATAAATTGAAAACATAGTTTCTGTCAAATGTTATTATGGATTTCCTAAGTTTAGAAACAGGAGAAGTGCCAAATGAAAGTACTTGTTCAAATTAAGTCTTTTTAAAAGGTCTGTGACTTGAAAGGAAAATAACTTTTCACTAAAAATATTCTTATTACGTGAAAGCCATAATTTAAGAGACTGAGAAAAAAGCTTTTTAATTAACAAATAAACTGCATCTCCCAGATACACTTAGGAATATTTGTTTTTAATCAGTCGGTCTTAAAATCACTGCTTCCACATGACAAACTAACATGAATCGACTGTGGGTTGACATCATCTGATCCACACTGAAGTTTTCCATTTTTTGTCACACACTTCCTTTCCTGCAGCTTTCAGCAAAGCAGGTTTGGAGGGAAAGAGGATTAGAAAGAACTACAATTGGTTCCCTAGTGAATAACTCCTCTCAAAGTGCTAGGATTTCAGGCGTGAGCCACCATGCCTGGCCTATTTCTCTCCTCTTTCTATCTTTTATGAAGTCTGAAATTTCCTCGAGGGCACCTTGGTTATTTCCCTCCTAAGCCCTCCAGTCACTTCAGAGGCCCTCTCCTGCTGGACTGTTTCCTCTCCTGTGTGTTTTACCAGCCTCGCTGTTTGGCCAGAGGTTTAGTAAGAGTTGCAACTTGCCTTTCTAGTCTGAACGCAGCTCTCGTTAATTTCCTAACAGCTGCCCCAGGACTCTCTTCTTTACTGCATATGCTGAAGTTGAGCTCAGAGTTTCTCTCCTTCTACTCTTACTTCACAGTAGTCTTCTTCTAGGTGGGTTTTGTACGAAGGTTTTCTTAGCTCCTTCCAATCTCATTCATTTGAGGAATTTTTCTCAATTTCTGATTTTTAATCTCCTTTTACTGCATTGAGGAAATTGGAGAGAAAGAAAGCTGTGTTCCAAAGCACGCATAAATTTATTTTATATATTGAACTCCCCAAGTAGCACTACAAAGGCATCGGTTTGCTAGAATTTAATTTACATATAAGAGTGATGTGAACAAAATTTTTTATTATCATTATTTTTTTGAGACGGAGTCTCGCTGTGTCGCCCAGGATGGAGTGCAGTGGCGCGATCCCGGCTCACTGCAAGCTCCGCCTCCCAGGTTCACACCATTCTCCTTCCTCAGCCTCCGGAGTAGCTGGGGCCACAGGTGCCCACCACCACGCCCGGCTTTTTTTTTTTTTTTTTTTTTGTATTTTTAGTAGAGACAGGGTTTCACCGTGTTAGCCAGGATGGTCTGGATCTCCTGACCTCCTGATCCACCTGCCTCAGCCTCCAAAAGTGCTGGGATTACAGGCCTGAGCCACCACGCCTGGCCGAGATACTTTTTTTTTTTAAGTACATCCTCCCCACTACCTTTTTCATAATGGGTCTCTTTGAGAGGTGACAGCGTGCTGGCAGCCCTTGCAGCCCTCGCTCGCTCTGGGCGCCTCCTCGGCCTTGGTGCCCACTCTGGCCGTGCTTGAGGATCCCTTCAGCCCACCGCTGCACTGTGGGAGCCCCTTTCTGGGCTGGCCAAGGCCGGAGCCAGCTCCCTCAGCTTGCCGGGAGGTGTGGAAGGAGAGGCTCGGGCGGGAACCGGGGCTGCCCGCAGCGCTTGCGGGCCAGGGCGAGTTCCGGGTGGGCGTGGGCTTGGCGGCCCCGCCCTCAGAGTGGCGGCCGGCCCACAAGCCCTGGGCAGTGAGAGGCTTAGTACCTTGGCCACCAGCTGCTGTGCTCGATTTCTCGCCGGGCCTTAGCTGCCTCCCTGAGGGGCAGGGCTTAGGACCTGAGGCCCGCCATGCCTGAGCCTGCCCCCCCACCCCCGCCGCCGGCTCCTGGGCAGCCCGAGCCTCCCGGAGGAGCTCCGCTACCTGCTCCACAGCGCCCAGTCCCATCGACCGCCCAAGAGCTGAGGAGTGCGGGCGCATGCCCCGGAACTGGCAGGCAGCTCCACCTGCCGCCTGGTGCGGGTTCCACTGGGTGAAGCCAACTGGGATCCTGAGTGTGGTGGGGACTTGGAGAGTCTTTATGTCTAGCTAAATTGTAAATTTAGCTAGGGATTGTAAATACACCAATCAGCACTCTGTATCTAGCTCAAGGTTTGTTAACACACCAATCAGCACCCTGTGTCTAGCTCAGGGTTTGTGAATGCACCAATCAGCACTCTGTATCTAGTTAATCTGGTGGGGACTTGAAGAAACTTTATGTCTAGCTAAGGGATTGTGAATGCACCAATTGGCACTCTGTATCTAGCTCAAGGTTTGTAAATGCACCAATCAGCACTCTATGTCTAGCTCAGGGTTTGTAAATATACCAATGGACACTCTGTATCTACCTAATCTAGTGGGGACTTGGAGAACTTTTGTGTCTAGCTCAGGTATTGTAAAGGCACCAGTCAGCACCCTGTCAAAATGGACAAATCAGCTCTCTGTAAAAGAGACCAATCGGCTCTCTGTAAAATGGACCAATCAGCAGGATGTGGGTGGGGCCAGATAAGAGTAAAAGCAGGGTGCCCGACCTAGCAGTGGCAACCAGCTGGGGTCCATTTCCACCCTGTGGAATCTTTGTTCTTTCGCTTTTTGCAATAAATCTTGCTGCTGCCCGCTGTGTGGGTCCACACTGCCTTTATGAGCTGTAATACTCATTGCAAAGGTCTGCAGCTTCACTCTTGAAGCCAGTGAGATCACGAACCCACGGGGAGAAATGAACAACTCCAGACACGCTGCCTTAAGAGCTGTAACACTCACTGTGAAGGTCTGCAGCTTCACTCCTGAGCCAGCGAGACCACCAACCCACCAAAAGGAAGAAACTCTGAACACATCTAAACATCAGAAGGAACAAACTCCAGACACACCGCCTTTAAGAACTGTAACACTCACCGCAAGGGTTCTCGACTTCATTCTTGAAGTCAGTGAGACCAATAACCCACCAATTCTGGACACACTTTCATACTCTAGGAAGAAGTCAACTCCCTGGAACAGTGGCTCCTGTAACTGCATCTAAAATAGGTTCCCTCCTTTCCCACCCATATTTTCTAATTCAATATTCTGTTTCCTCGCTTAACACAACTTGTAATTATTTTGTTTACTGTTGGGTATTTTTGTTTGTTTTTGTTTTTATCTGTCTTCCCGACTAAATTGTAGGCTACAGGAGAGAAACATTTCTTACATCAGCCTCTATTTGTTAAACTTACTTAAACCATAGTGTTATTAAGAAGTAGACTGGGCACGCTGGTGGCTCGTGCCTATAATCTCAGGAGTTTGGGAGGCTGAGGTAGGTGGCTCATTTGAGTCCAGGGCAACATGGCAAAGCCTCGCCTCTACAAAAAATACAAAAAAATGATCTGGGCATGGTCACACGAACCTGAGTGCTTGGAGTCCCAGCTACTCAAGAGGCTGAGATGGGAGGATCTCTTGAGCCCAAGAGGCAGAGGTTTCAGGGAGCCAAGATTGCACCACTGCATTCCAGCCTGGGTGACAGACAAAGCGAGACTCTGTCTCAAAAATGAAAATAAAAAAAGGTAAAGTAATTTTCCCCAAGCCAACAGTGAAATATTCAAGGTTAGGAAAAGAAGGGAGATGTAAAAGCAAACAACCTGGAAAATCCTCACACTGTATATCATTTCATAAACAATCAAAAGTTAAATGTTGAACCAGAGATCTCACTTCTGTGTTCTCTACACATTCTCTTCTCAAGAAACGGCTTTCCCAGCCTTCTGCTGAAACCTCTGGCCAAAGATAATTGATCTAAAAGAGGCCACCTGATTGGACCAATTTGGTCAAATAACCATCTTTAGAATAATCCTATTGGTCAATCAGAATTGCTTATTGGGGGAATTTGGCTTGGGGATTCTGGGATTCTCTGAAGATCAGGGAAGAGGCAGAAATGCTTGGTGCATGTGTGACTTAAGAAAACCACTCAGCCGAGAAGAGAAAAATAAGCTGACAGAGGGAAGCAGGACCCTGAGGCCTCTTGGTGGCTTTCAGTTCAGGAACTGAGCCCCATTCAGCCCCATGGGAGCCCCACTGTTGTCTCTGCCCCTGGACTCTGTGAGACAAATTTTTCTTTTTGCCTAAACCAACTTGAGCAAATTGTGGCCAAACAGCCCCTGATGAAGGCAAGTGTAAATTGTTATTTCTCACCTCTTCGTGTGTGTGTTGTGTGTGTGCGTGTACTGAGGGAGGGACTATTTGACCTTATTCCCAAGGCCTTCCCCTTGGTATATGGAGATGATAAATTCTTTCTTACAATTAGGTCATGTGTTACACACCAGCAGCATAAGCCATGGGGTATCATTTCTGAGACACCCCAAAAGCCCTTTGCGTTCTCTAAACTCCTCCTACTCTTAAAATTGTACCATTTCCATTTAATACTTGGGCTTAAATCTTGTCTTCCTGAAACACTGTTTCCTGGTAAACAGGTTCCTTATAAGCAGAGACTGGCCCTATTCATATTTGAGTTCTCACTGCACATAGACTGGTATAAGAGTGGAACCTGGCAGGAACTCCAGTTGGAATAAATGAATCAAATGGGAAAATATGGTGAGGAGGGAAAGTCGTGGGTGCCACACTCAGACGTCCTCAACTTCACCATTTTGGGCTCAACTAATTTCAATCCTAGGTGAGTTGTAAGATGACAGTTACAAAGAATTGAAAATTCCTGAACTGGGTGACAGACTCTACATCTGTCTTTGCAGTTTCCATTTACTTTTACAAGCATTAATGCCACCTGGCCAGATTCATTTAAATGAAGAGGAGCAGAAACGTTTATGTGCACAAGGGAATGGAAAGGCATAGAGGGGGAAGAAAAGAAAAAGAAAATTGCCGGGCAGAAAGGTGGAGTTATCTCAATGTCTCCCTCCTGCTTTCTCTCTTCACCACCCTTGCTCTATTTCATAAGTTTTATTGCCATCTTGACATTATCTAAATTATGATTTGAAATTCATTCAAGCAGACTAACTCGTGGTTATATTTGTAAAATTTGAAAAAACAAATTTAATTTCTTTCTTCAGGAAAAAACGAGTCTGATAAATACAACTAAGGGACTGTTCATGTGCACCCAGTGACTGGAACAAGCAGATGCATGTTTTTAATATCCATTCTCATAAAAGCCTGGAGGTTAGCCTCTCAACAGCACCCTGCAGGATTCCACACCATCTTTTCAAAGCACTTCACTAATGAGCTGCCATCATTTGTGCAAACAGCCTTGTGAGAAGGAGGAGGTTGTAGCTGTTCCATTTACAAATGAGAAGAGTGAGGTTTGAGGAAAGTAGACGAGTTTTCCCAACTGTGCAGTAAACCCAGATAGGGCTCGAAGCTCTGAGCTCCCTGCACTTGATCCCATGAGCTAGGTTACTATTTGAAATGAGACTCCTTCAGACAACGAATTCTTAGATTCTGATGTCACTAAAATGGGGTAGAATGAAGAGAGAAATTCCACAAATGGAGATAGACTTAAAGCATATGATATACAACATCCATGGACTTACATCCAAGGCAAATATGCAATTTTTTTTCACATGGCTCATGGACAAAGGCTTTAAGAAAAATAATAGCAGTCTCAGGAATCATGTTCTTCCTAACAAACATGAGCGGCACACTATTCTATGTGGATGTAGGCCCAAGGAGTATTTCTGTATGCTATTCTGGGTCCAGCACAGGATATGAGTTTAATTGGAACTGTTTTAATTCACATCTGGAATTTTCCAAAGAATAGCTCATTGACTAATTGGCCCCTTGAGTTAACAAATGGTTGCTATTTTGATGACTGAGTTTTTTTTATCTGTAACAACTTTTTTTACTCCGTTCAGTTCAACATACATTTATTGGGCAAGCAACAATGCTGGATATTGGGCAAGGCAAGGAAGGATAGAGAAGTTGGGGAACAAAGATAAATAATATGCAGTCTGTTGCCTCCAGAAACATAAAGCCTATTTGCATAAATAACTGATTTAATTATAAGGCAAATGGAATTTGATACTATAAAGGAGGCAAAGATATGCGAAGGCAGAGGAAGAAATAATGAGTGTTATAAAAGGTAATCAAAAGGGGCAAGAGGCAGGGAATTACAAGGCTTCATGAAGGAGGCAGCCTCTGAGCTAGGCCATGTAGAATGCATACAATGTCAATAGGTGAAGGAGAAAAGAGAATTCTAGGCAGAGGGAACAGGACAGAAAAGACACAGATGGAAGTAGAAAGGCTATGAGTGACTAAGTTGGAAGTGTAGGTTGAGGTCAGGTTGTGAAGGACCTTGAATTGAGTTCTGCAGGCAGTAAGGAGTCACCAAAGATTTTTGAGTAAGGGAGCCAAGTGCTCCCCTGCCAGCCTGAAACAACTGGGTTACTTCTAAGAAGCAATGAACTATTAGCTGATGTAAATCATGCTATTTGGGGGCCTCTTTGCTGCATCAGCTTAGCCTTACCCTAACCAATAAAAAGGCCCTCATTTTACAAATGAGGAACCTGAAGCTTAGAGGAGACAAGTGACTTAACCAGCATCATGTTACCATAACTCTACCACGTAGAACCAGGGCCAGACAGGAAATCTGGGCCTAGATATTCCATAGCCCCAAAAGATGTGATGATGGTGGCGGTGGTGGCAGTGGTGATGGTAATATGATGGTGATGATGGAGATTTTTTGTTTTCGATAAACTGGTGTTTCAAGGTTTTGTTTTTATACCTCTTCTTTACATTTTTCTATTTTTTAATGTAAAAGCATGGAACAGATTCGCCATATAATCATTTTAATCAATTTTCTGCGGTGATAACTTCCCTGCAACTTAATTGGCAAAGTTGTTTCCCAGACTAAAAGTACTATGGCATCATCTAAAAGTCACCTCAAAGAGACAGAACAATTCATTAAAAACCACTAATGTCTGCAGGGTTTAAAGATGTTAAGTGTTCATTTGGAGAATGAGAAATCAACGCACATTGACTTTTGCCATCCGGGTTTGTCACGCTCTGTGTCCGTGGGATGACTCACATTGCTAAAGCCCAAGTTTAATTAACATGCTTATTCTGTGCCGCTACTTCCATTCTAACAAATTAAATGTTTAAACAGCCAGTGCAAACATTTAGATCTGAGTCAAAATTGTTTGCACTCTGCCAGTTTAGGCATTTAATTTATTATAATCCTTTCCATAATATATACTTTGAAAGTCATTCTTTTGCACTGAAAAATATTGTTAGTATTTCAACTGATGCTATTGAATCTGAGACTATCAGAATGTGACGTGAGAACTAAATTGGACTGCAAATAAGGCCAATAAATGAGATAATAAATGAATCCTCATCTATCCTAACTTCCTCAATTGACCAAGTAATAATAATGACAGGTGCCAACTCAGGCCTGACTTTTGTCCCATAATCTCTGCTCTTGTGGAGAGATGCTATAAGATGAGACAAGGATCTTGCAAAGCTCGTAAACATTTCTTCTTAAGAGCCTTTCCTGGATTCTGACCTCTTCCTCCCTGCAGATGTTTTTTCAACATACAGAATTTTGCTAGCTTTCAACAACTTCCCCTTCCCTGGGCTAAAGAAACTGAAAATGCAATGGAAGAGAAATTATAACAAAAGCTTCATTGACGCAATGCTGACTGCACTGATAAAGATCTCAGGCAAGCAGCCAAAGAAGCTAGACAGAGAGAGGTTCCCAAGGAATGACCCTGTTTGGCCCCAGGTGACCACAAGGTGGCAGTGAAGGTCTTCTTCACCCTCCCCATTGGCACCACCCTCCCAGGCCCCGACCCCCAGGCACTGTGCCTCTTCCCCACTGTCTCCCAGGGAAACAAATGGATACACCCAGATCTAAAAAGCTGACACTTTTACATTTTTAATAAAGATAACTTGTGTTTTATTGTGAATAACATGGAAACTGGAAAATGATTGAAAATTTCCCCCAATAGCCCTTGCTTGAAGAAAATGGAGCATGGCGTTGGAACCAAGAGGAAAATATTGTAGAGTAATAGATGCTGGTCATGCAAACTCATTAGATCTCAGCTTCCTCATCTACAGAATGAGAGGTTAGGTTCCTCTCATCCCTGAGGTTTCTTCCAGTACCCTTCCAGAGACAATAGCATGGATCAAACTCATCAACCAAGGGAGAGGGGTCAGTTTCAGGAGACACCAATTGGTTTGTTACTGTGTGCTAATCAAGGTCACGTGCCACTGAAAACCTGAATGCATTCACTCTCTGATTCTTCAGGCTTCCATCTCCTGCTCAGAAATCATTCAAGGTCTTCCACAAAACATTCCAGATTGTTTATACTTTGAGATTGAATTATATAGAGTCAAGCTTGGTCAGATTTTATAATGAAGCTATATCTACCCAAAAATTGGCTGGTGAAGGAAAGGAGGAAATCGTTGAATCTAGCCAATTTGTTGTTTCTGAAAGCAATCAACTCAGATCAATCCAGCTTTGTTTGTTTTTCCAAATAATGTAGGTCATTTAGACACACGATAGGGCTTTCTCCTAGAGCCACCTCAAGGAACTACCCATTCAAAAGGGCTTTGTTAAATGAGAATGGATGCCTGCACCTCAACACACGCTCACTATTTAAATGCCAGGAGGGTTAACTGAGAAGTAACAGACAAAAGTCTTCCCACTGAATATCTATGCTGAGGCATTTTTAAATGTTTTTAATGTCTAAGGGTTGTAATTAAGTGAGGCATTAATTAGCTTTTCTAAACCACTTTTTAAAAAGTTAATCATAATTAGCATTAATTAAATACTATGTTCCAGACAATGTGTTAAGCACATTATATGTATTACCTCATCAATTCTTATTCCAACCCTATAAAGAAGGAACTGATACTTCCCCAATTTTATAGATGCAGAAACTGAGGTTTCAGGAGATGAGGTCACCTATCCAGGTTCACACGGCTGAAAACCAGGTATGCATGCCTGATTGCAAAGTCCCAGCTCTCTCTTTTTTTTTTTTTCAGACAGAGTTTCGCTCTGTCGCCCAGGCTGGAGTGTGGTGGCAGGATCTCGGCTCACTGAAAGCTCCACCTCCCAGGTTCACGCCATTCTCCTGCCTCAGCCTCCTGAGTAGCTGGGACTATAGGTGCCCGCCACCATGCCTGGCTAATTTTTTTTTTTTTTTTTTTTTTTTTTTTTTTGGATTTTTAGTAGAGACAGGGTTTCATCGTGTAAGCCAGGATGGTCTCGATCTCCTGACCTCGTGATCCACCCGCCTTGGCTTCCCAAAGTGCTGGGATTACAGGCATGAGCCACCACGCCTGGCCACAAAGGACCCAGCTCTTGAAGGAAGTTTATCCAGCCCCAATTCCGTTTTTCATGTCTTCATAATCCCCGAGGATGTTTTTTTTGTTTTATTTTGTTTTTTTGAGATGGAGTCTTGCTCTGTTGCCCAGGCTGGAGTGCAATGGGGCAATCTCAGCTCACTGCAACCTCCACCTCCCGGATTCAAGCGATTCTCCTGCCTCAGCCTCCCGAGTAGTTGGGATTACAGGCGCCCACCACCACGCCCAGCTAATTTTTGTATTTTTAGTAGAGATGGGATTTCGCCATATTGGTCAGGCTGGTCTCAAACTCCTGAACCCAGGTGATCCACCCGCGTCAGCCTCCCAAAGTGCTGGGATTACAGGCATGAGCCACCACGCCCGGCTGATTCCTCTTTTTTACTGGCACCTGTGTCAGTATTACACATTTATAAGTATTTTAATATTTCTAAAATGAGACCAACTCATCAAAAATTTGCAGAGGAAATCCCCAACTCCTTATAGTGGAAAGAGTACCAGGGTCGCTTAGGGTTGCTCTCCATCTCTGTACCATTTACAAATAAATGCTGCTGGTCCCAGGCTCTGCATCAAATTTACCACCTAAGGAGATTCCACACTCTTCAAGGAATCCACCACAGTGGCCTCAGCTATCTTTGAACTGCCTTTCCTCTTGTCTTAATGCTCAATGAACACAGAGAACAGCCAACTTTTCCTTCTGATTCTGAACTTGAGGACGATCAAGAAAACACACGATTTTTTTTTTTTTTTTTTTTTTTTTTTTTGAGACAGGGTCTTGCTCTATCTCCCAGACTGGAGTGCAGTGGCACGATCTCGGCTTACTGCAACCTCCGCCTCCTGGGTTCAAGAGATTCTCCTGCCTCAGCCTCCTGAGTACAGGGATTACAGGCGCACGCCACCATGCCTGGCTAATTTTTGTATTTTAGTAGAGACAGGGTTTCACCATGCTGGTCATGCTGGTCTCAAACTCCTGACCTCATGATCCACCCACCTCAGCCTCCCAAAGTGCTAGGATTACAGGCATGAGCCACCACACCCAACCGAAAACACACAATTCTTAAGCAAGATATGACTTCAAGAGGTCCTCCAATCCTGTCTTCTGCTTCCAGACAGGGACTGTATAACTAAAAACAAAAAATCACCAAATATGAACAACCATCACTAACTTTTTTGGACATTCATGAGAGTGCAAAGGGTTCTACCTGTATCAGCTCATTTTACAGTGGGGGAGTTTGAGGCACAGAGAGGAGAAGTGATTTTCCCAAAGCCATATAACTAGGCAAGGGTACAGGTGGAATTAGAATCAACTGTCCCCTGAATTTTATTTGCTATATCTCTATTCCTTCTCCCTGGCCTAGGTTGATGTGGGGAAGACAGGAGCAGGCACCTGGAATTGTAGAATCATGGGCAAAGCACCAAAATGGTAGTAAACACGGGTTCCTGAGCCACCTTTGCCTCTAACTGGCTGGGTTTCTTTAGATGAGCTCCCCCCATGCCTGGGCTTCAGTTTCCTCACCCTCAGATTTCCCTAAAGGCCTTTTTTTTTTTAACTCTAAACTTCTAGGATTTGGGTTCAACAAGGTTAGTTGGGAGAAAAGCAGGGCAGAAACGTAGCAAGTTGGGAAACCAGCGGACCAGCTGGTGGCCACAGCTGTCCTGTTCATTCTGCTAGAATTCCGCACCAGCCAGTGACTTTTCCTCCCATTCTCCACATTATGCATTCACATCAGACCTCTGTTTTATCTTCAGCATGTTAGTATTACACATTTTTATTTTGCCAGTTATCTCTTCTATTAACCCGGGCACTCTGCAAAATGACTTGTCATTAATAACGTGAACTGGCTTTTTCAGTTTAGACAGAAAGGAAGATATGGAATTGAAGGAACCGTGTTATCTAATGCATTTTCAAAGAGATTTGTTTGATGAGAGTGCTTGTTAGAAATACCTAAGCAGAGAGCATCAAATCTTTGACAAAATATATATTCGAAATATTGCATAGAGGACTTTTAGGGATTAGAGTCTATCAGCATGCATTGCTTCAAATTTTCGGATGAAATTTTAGCAGCAACTATATTAGAATCTTGTAATCACATTCACGAATGCCAACGCCCAGATCACAAATGCCATCCCTACTGGATATGGATTTGAGGGTATTTTTTTTCAGGAAGGTATTGTTAGCTTTAGGGTCTAGTCTGCTTGCTTACCTTTTTAAAGACAAGCGCAGAATTTTAGAATTGGGAGAGTCCAGATAGATTATTCCCAATCCCCCTGTTCCATAGGTTAGGAAATTGCACCCAAGTACAGGAATGTCCCAAGGTCATACACCACAATGCATAGCCAGGACTCAGACCAGCTGCTTGATTCCTAGTCCCTCACTTCCACCCTTATGCCAACTGTCATGTTCTGCAAAAGGACAGAACCAGAAACAAAGGAGCATCAGAAGACTATGTCATTAATCAAATGATCTCTGAGCCAGAGATGGATGTCCTACAGTGCTCAATCAGAGCTTCAGAAAAGGGTAAATAGATCCGATATAGGGAACCTCTGTAGACCATGGGGAGCAACTGGGGAGGGTTAAGCTAGTAACTAATGCCCCGGGAGCAGAGGCCAAGCCTGGTGATTGACTTGGGAGCAGAGATTTATGTGGAATATGCCTCATATAGAGATACTGACGGGACTTTGGCAGGTAATGCAATGGGGAAAGAATGGGCTGTGGGGTCATGGGAGCTTTGATTGTGAACCCCAGCTGTCTCTCACTGCCTATGACTTTGGACAGCTACCTTGCTTCATCTCTCTGAGCCTCAGTGACCCCATCTGCAAACTGAGACATTTTTGTGTGCTGTATAATGCTGTGAATGTGTAAATTTTAATACTGTGGCTTACATTTGTAAGTATATATTTATGATACAGTCATAACTGGCCAACAAACCACAGTTTGCATCCTTTCCAGGGACACAAGCAGCAAACTGACTCAGGGATGTAGGGCTTGGGCTTGAACTCCTACAACCAAAGTGGTCACAAATTATGCAGTGTGGGCATGGGTTCCCAGTCCCAACCTTTCCATTCCACCAACCCACTATTCTGCCTAATCTGCCTACATTTGTTTACATTGATTCAAACCCCATCAGAGCCAGGGAAGACACTGTTGTTATTGAAGGGGAGGCCCAGGACTGGCAGAGGGGATGCACTAAACAGCCCCTGTGGGTGTGGAGGAGAGGGCAGGCAGAGCAGTCTGCCCTGGGAAGGCTGGGAGGAACCTGCCATGGGTTTGGACAGGCAGGCAAAAGACAGCTGCCCTTTCTGAAGGCATGCGCCCTCCAAGGCCTGCCAAAAGGTCAGCTTACCATAGAGGACCCGAAGTGAGCCCAGAGCCTTTTAGGAACACATCTGCTATTCATGTATAATGTAACTGGATCAACTCTGAAACCAAGAGGCTTTAACCGCAGAGCTTGTCTGGAGGGAGATAATGAGGAGGAAGAAAAGGCCAATGAAAACAGAAAGTCCAGATAAAAAGCCCAGAAACAGATTAGGTCATCCCAGGTTTATTGTCATGGAAGAACCATTTCTCCAAGAGTGAAAAACTTGCAGCCCAGTTGCTAAACAAACTAACCTGTGGATTGTTTTACCTTCCTGGCCTCAGTTAGCTCCCTAGATCTTGGTTCACCTCCCTGGGCCTAGGTTAACCTCCCTGAGTCTCTCTTGGTTATCTTTTGGCTCTAACACCAGAGATTTCCCAGATTCTAAGTGGTAAGAAACATACAAAAAGTAAACTAAATAACATGTTTCCTTGAAATATTAATCAATCATGCTTTCCTTTTTATGACTCGCTTTTGAATCAGTCAGAGGCATTCATGTGGCCTCAAGGAGAATTAGGAATGCTTTAGTGGGACTGCAAAGGGAAGAAAATAAATTTTTTGCTTTCAAAATAAGCCTTCAGAGCTCAAAGTGAAGCCCTGGGGGAAGCAGGGGAGAGTTTTCATTATAACCATGGATGGAAAGAAGAGAAGGGGTGTCTACCAGGTGACAGTTAAACTGGACTGGGATGGGAATCAAGACCCAGGATGGGATGGTGGATGGGGTTGAGAGGAGGACACCAGACCTGGTGAGCAGGGAGGACACCCCAGGGAAAGAAGGAGTTCTTATGATCAGGGACCAGAACCTGAAGTCTCATGACAGCCAAGTCATTCCTTTTTTGGCTTTTTTGTTTGTTTGTTTTTTTGAGACAGGGTCTTGCTCTGTCACCCAGGCTGGAGTGCAGTGGCGCGATCTCAGTTCATGGAAATCTCCAACTCCCAGGCTCAAGCTATCTTCCCACCTCAGCCTCCCAAGTAGCTAGGACTACAGGCGTGAGCCGCCATGCCCAGCTGATTTTTGTATTTTTGGTAGAGACGAGGTTTCACTATGTTGCCCAAGCTGGTCTTGAATTCCTGAGCTCAAGCGATCTGCTCGCCTCAGCCTCTCGAAGTGCCGGGATTACAGGCGTGAGCCACTGGAAGTCTCAAGATAACCAAGTCATCCTTGACTCCTCTCACTCACACCCCACATACACTCCATCAGAAGAGCCTTTTCTGCCTACAGAATGCATCCAGAATCTAATCACTTCTTACCACTTCTGCTCCTACCACCCTGGTGCCAGCCACCAGCACCTCTCACCTGGTTTATTACACACCTCCCAGTGGGTCTCCATGTGCCTGTCCTACCCTCATCTCTTCTCAGCACCGCAGTTGGAGCTGTGTGCCATGTAAGTCAGATCCTGTGATTCCTCTGCTCCAATCATCTGACAACTCCCCATCTCAAGCATCCTCAAAGCAAAGCCTCCCAGATCCCACCAGGATAGGGCTCCTGTGACCTCTGTCACCTCCCATCATCCTTACTGCTCCTTGAACATGCCTGACACTCTCCCACCGAGGGCCTCTGCATGAGCCCTCTCCTCCATGGATGCTCCAGCCATCCTCATGGCTGCCTTCCTCTCCTCCCCAATCCCTGCTTAAGCTCGCCTTTTCACCCTACTGCCAGCTGCCTCACAAACACCCCCGACTGGTCTTGCACAAATTGCCTTCTAAGATATTACGTAAGAATTTATTGGCCAGGCGCGGTGGCTCATGCCTGTAATCCCAGCACTTTGGGAGGCCGAGACAGGCGGATCATGAGGTCAGGAGACCGAGACCACAGTGAAACCCCATCTCTACTAAAAATACAAAAAATTAGCTGGGCGCAGTGGTGGGCACCTGTAGTCCCAGCTACTCGGGAGGCTGAGGCAGGAGAATGGCGTGAACCGGGGAGGCGGAGCTTGCAGTGAGCTGAGATCGCACCACTGCACTCCAGCCTGGGTGAGAGAGCGAGACTCCAACTCAAAAAAAAAAAAAAATTTATTATGTTTAACCCTCCTTGTCTGTCTCCCCTACTGGAATATAAGCTCCATGAGGACAGATATCTTTGTTCTATTCACTGATGTAGCTCAAGTACCTAAAAGAGTGCCCAGAAGGTGGTCAATAAATATTTGTTGAAGGCCAGGCATGTTGGCTCACGCCTGTAATCCCAGCACTTTGGGAGGCTGAGGCGGGTGGATCACAAGGTCAGGAGTTTGAGACCAGCCTGGCCAACATGGTGAAACCCCGTCTCCACTAAAAATACAAAGATTAGCCGGGTGTGGTGGTGTCTGCCTGTAATCCCAGCTACTCGGGAGGCTGAGGCAGGAGAATCGCACGAACCCAGAAGGCAGGGGGTTACAGTGAGCCGAGATCGTGCCACTGCACTCCAGCCTGGGAGACAGGGTGGGATTCTGTCTCAAAAAAAAAAAACAAAACAAAAAATATGTTGATCGAATGAATGAATGAATGAAACCATCCCCACCCACTGAGCAATGTCTATGTGGTCCAGGCTGAATGGCCCAGCAGCCACTGTTGGCTGAGTCTTCAATCAACAGCTGCCTATGGACTTTCCAGCAATAGGAGGTCCACGTGGGCCCCAAGACTTTTCTGAGCCTCATCCAAACTTGCCCCATACAGATATTCCCCCTTTAACTGCTAAGGAGGCTGTAGTGGTGAGAAGGGAAACACTGCACAGTGGTGAAGGCCACCCCATGGCTAAAGATCTGATGGTGCTCTTTTGTTCTATTTTATGCAGCAAAATTTTATTCAATGTGGAAACTAGTAGTGCTCAGGCCTTGGAGAAATTTTGTAATGAGTCCATACCAGAATATGTAAATAACTCTTAGAAATCAATAAGAAAAATACAGAAAACCCAATAGAAAAATGGACAAATGACTTAGATCCTTCGCAAAAGATGATCTCCAGACAATAAATACAGTAAATTGGTTAATTAATCATAAGAGAATTGCTAACCAAAACTACAATGCAGTACACCCATCAGAATGCCAAGAGGAAAACGGAGGAAATTTGTGTTGGCAAGGAAGCAGGACAACTGCAACTCTCAAACACAGCTGGTGGAAGTGTAGTTGTACAACTACTTTGGAAACCATTTGGCAGAATCCACTGAAGCTGAACATACTCATACCGTATGACCCAGCAATTCTACTCCTAGGTATACACCCAGCAGAAATGCATCTATATGCTCATTACAGATGTGAACTTGAATGCTCACAGCAACACTGTTTGTAAAGCATAAAGCTGGAAACTACCTAAATACTCATCAACAGTAGAACAAATAAATTATGCTTTATTCATGCAATGAAATTCTTTAAATGGCCTATATCTACACACAAATATACGAATGCCTCTTACAAAAGTCAGAGAGGAAAGAGTACATACTGTATGACTTCATTTGAGTAAATTACGAAACAGGTGAAATAATCTATGGTGCTAAAAGTCAGGATGGTTATTATCCTGGTGAGGGTAGCGACCATAGGGGTTTCTAGGGTGCTGGTAATGCTGTTTCTTGATTGGAATGCTGATTGCATAGGAGTGTTCATGAAAATTCATCCAGGTCGATATACATACTATGTGTACTTTTTGTGTAAGCATTATATTATACTTGGAATTTACTTTTTTTTTTTTTCTGAGACGGAGTCCTGCTCTGCCACCCAGGCTGGAGTGCAATGGTACAGTCTTGACTCACTGCAATCTCCGCCTCCCAGGTTCAAGCAATTCCCCTGCCTCAGCCTCCCGAGTAGCTGGAACTGCAGGCACATGCCACCATGCCTGGCTAATTTTTGTATTTTTAGTAGAGACAGGGTTTCTCCATGTTGGCCAGGCTGGTCTCAAACTCCTGACGTCGGGTGATCTGCCCTTGCTGGCCTCCAAAAGTGCCAGGATTACAGGCATTAGCCACTGCGCCCAGCCTCAAGGAATTACTTCCAATGAGGGGGACAGATACATGAGCCATTCCTCACGTTGTAAGGTGGAACGAAGTGAGTGAAAAGCAGAAATGGAAGCCATGTGCTATGAAGGCCAAGAGGGACAGAATTCTCTCTGACTTGGAGATGCGGTTCACAAAGAAAGCTGGGCTTTGAGGAAAAAAGCTGAATAAATTAATGGAGAAAAATCCAGGCAGAGCAAAGACCAGAAACACAATACCAAGCATGCCTCATTTGAGGGCTGAGAGAAAAGCTTAGAAGCCAGAACTTGAGGGAGTGGGGAGGGAGGGGGAAGGAAGGGAGCATCCCACGGGCCCTGCCTTTCCTACCTCAACACATTGCCATGTGTTGACTTTAGCTTTCCTCTAACTGACTTCTAAAGAACCACAGTATGTTCACAAGTATTAACAAAATCATTGCATGGCCAAAGACATTAAGAAAACACTGCACACTAGATCTCTCTTGGAGATTCATAATATACCTTAACATATTAAAAGCTTGTAACATCCTGCAATCATGAAGCCTGCTGAATTCAGTGTTTCTCAACTTTAGTTCACTATGGAATCTTTTCTGTCTCTCTCTCTTTCTTTCTTTCTTTTCTTCCTTTCTTTTTGAACGCATATTAAGATGCCATCTGGTCACACCTAGGGTAATGCCAGCTCCAGTAATAAAGAAATCCCAATTTTTTTCAGTGCCTTCCACAATAAAAATGTACTGCTTACTGACATGGTACTATTAGTGAAATGCAGGAGTCACTTGTCAGTGGGTGGTCATCCATAGTGATTCAAGGCCCAGGTTTCTTCCATTTGGTGACTTTTCCATTGCCTGGCATTCAGAATCTTTAGCATCCTAGTCAGCAGATAGGGAATACAGAATGGAAAAGTAGGTTCACTTCTTGACCGCCTTAACCATTGATAAGAATACTAGTTACATGTCCCCATCTGGGCACAAATGCATTTGGGAAATGTAGTCTGTGGCTGGGCAGCTATTCTATGGTATTAGAGAATGCAAATTTTGTTGTGGTTTTTCTGCCACATCCAGTAACTGAATATATTCCCTAAGCCACTGCTTTTTGTCATCGCACCTTTAATCATGCCATTCCTTTTGCCTAGATAGTCCCTTCCCCTCCCACAAATACTTTCTCCAACTGGCAAATTCTTACCCTCCTCTGGAGCCCAAGAGAAAGGTCACCTGCTCCATGAGCCCTTTCCTCACCTTGACCTTGTTGATCTTCTCTGTGTACCCGCATGACTTTGGTGAGAGGTCATCAAAACCTTGTGTCTATTTCCAACCAGAAGAAGAACCCTATATGGGCAAGGTCTCTACCTCAGTTACCTTCATATCCCCAGTCCAGAGCTGTGCTTGATGAAACAGTCAGGGCACAATAAATAGAGTGGAAAGGGAGGGAGGGAAGGAAAGAAGGAAGGAAGGTAGGAAGGAAGGAAGGAAGGAAGGAAGGAAGGAAGGAAGGAAGGAAGGAAGGAGGGAGGGAGGGAGGGAGGGAGGAAAGGAAGGAAGGAAGGGGAGGGAGGGAGGGAACAAACTGTGGCATATGAAGGAATATAGTAGGAGGATATTGCCCCTTTCAATCTGTTATTCTGTAATTAACAAGGGCAAAGGGGCTTTTTATAAGAGTTTTGCTCCTCTTAGGAGCCCAGGGGTTAGATAGATGCCACTATAGGCAATTTATGCTCTAATCTTTTTCTCTGAGTGTTTTTTGTAGATGGCCTTTAACAGCATGCAAATTTGTACCCTTTTGTTCATTCAATCTCAGGATTGACACTAATGTAAACAATTATTGAAGTCCCATGTCTGGAAGATGCCTGGATAAATGTTTTGGTCTGAACGCAGTCAAGCTGTACTTGATGGTATATAATTTAAAATAACACAATTAAAATGGGTAAGAAAAATCCAGACAAGCCGGGCACAGTGACTCACGCCTGTAATCCCAGTACTTCGGAAGGCAGAAGCTGGTAGATCACCTGAGGTCAGGAGTTCGAGACCAGCCTGGCTAACATGGTGAAACCCTGTCTCTACTAAAAAAATTAGCCGGGCATGGTGGCGTGTGCCTGTAATCCCAGCTACTTGGGGTGCTGAGACAGGAGAATTGCTTCAACCCAGGAGGCGGAGGTTGCAGTGAGCTGAGATCGCACCATTGCACTCCAGCCTGGGCGAGAAAGCAAAAAAAAAAAAAGAAAAGAAAAGAAAAGAAAAATCTGGACAAGATTTAATGCTCTAAAAAGAAACTTTAAAATGCAGTCTCACAATCTTTTTATTGATATTGTCAAGATAAAATATTATTCCCAGAGAGGTTCATCAGTCTTTCTTCACTGAAAACCAGAAGAGGCACCTGATCTGGTGCGGGCACCAGAGGAGCTTTGCCTGCCTCAGCCCAGGGTGATGCAGGAGTCAGCTGCCCTGCCCTGTTCACCTGACTTCAGGAGCCTGAGTCAGAGTTCAGTCTGCACAGGCAGGACTTGAACCCAGACCCACAGAGTGAGCCCTTGTCAGCTGTGCTGAGTAAGAAATTAGAAATGTTGCAGGTCCTGAGGTGGGGTAGGTGGACAGTGGGATTCCTGAAGGATTCCATACCACCTGGCAGGAAGAACAAATCAAATCCCTGGTTTTAGCACTGACTTGTCTCTAAGACAGCATAAACAAGTTACTTAATCTTTGCTGGCCTTATTTTTGTTATCTTTAAAAAGGGACTAACTATATCAGTCCTCCTTTACCACCTCAGAGTGTTACAAAAACCAAATCAGACCAGAAATTTACATTAAGCCAAGAGTGACCAGGAAGAGGGAAAATGTCCAGACATCCTTGCTACCCTGGAGTTGTATGTCTTCCAGACAGGGTTGCTGCCTCACCCTAGGGTGTCCCTTCTGGCATCTCAGGTATTGCCCAACCACACAAAAACAGAAGATCTGCCATGAGCAAGAGCTGGAGCCTGAGCTGGTGAATGTCCCACCACCTTGACAGTGGATATGCGTTTGGCCAGGGTGTCATGGGGGCTATTGCTGATAACCATGACCTTAATATCTGATCCCACATTTCTCATCTTTACCAGACTTTAGACAGAGCCATCCCTCTAAATGCCAGTTTGGTCTGATGCTTGATGCCTTGTTTTCAGCAGCTTTCCTTCCCAAGACATGCTGGCTTCATTGATAAGTGTTGCTAGCTCTTTATCGACATCATTTTAGGAAAGGTTGCCAAGGCAACAGGATTCAGGAATGATTCTCATTACTGTACAGTTCCCAACAAATAAGTGTCTGTGTGTATGTGGTCTCAACCAGTATTGGCACTCCCATCTCCAAGCTAAAACGTCAACACTTACAGTTTGCAGCACACAATTCAACATGTAATTATATATTGTCTCTTAGTAATTATACATTGTCTTAGTGAACAATGCAGCTGTGGGCACCCACAGCAGCTCACATTAATACCTCCTACGTTAACATCCTCCTTCACTGATGGGCCAATAATACACATTTGTAGAAGCCATAAAGAAAGCCAAGATATTCACAGAAACATATTTATAGACCAAACCTAAACTCTGACTTCTGAACACTGCCTCAGTTTCCATCATGTAGGACCTTATGGTTCCCACTGCTGGAATTGGCCAGACTGTGATTGTTTTGTTTTACCCATTGGTTTTCCAAGAAGGAAATACCAATACTCTCAATGTAGCCAGGGTTTGACAAAGACCAAGTGGGGTGAGCCCATTCAAACTGGGACAGATTCCTATATATTTTCTAAAACTATGGAATAGGAGTGAAACCACAATGTCAAAAGTCTCCAGCTTCAACCCTGGTGCTTCACTTGGATGATGTCCCTGCTCTGTACCCAGAACTATGAAACCCACACCAATCACTTAGAAATGTCAGACTTGGCCGGGCGCGGTGGCTCACATCTGTAATCCCAGCACTTTGGGAGGCCGAGATGGGCAGATCACGAGGTCAGGAGATCGAGACCATCCTGGCTAACACGGTGAAACCCCGTCTCTACTACAAATACAAAAAATTAGCCGGGCGTGGTGGCGGGTGCCTGTAGTCCCAGCTACTCCAGAGGCTGAGGCAGGAGAATGGCGTGAACCCGGGAGGCAGAGCTTGCAGTGAGCTGAGATCGCGCCACTGCACTCCAGCCTGGGCGACACAGCGAGACTCTGTCTCAAAAAAAAAAAAAAAAGAAGAAATATCAGACTTTACTTTTCCTCTCTAGGCTGTGAAGGAAATCTATAGTGACAGTAGAGTTGAAGGGGGAAAATATAAATAATTTAAAATCTCTATGTGGGTTATAACATATAGCTCTTCCTCTTCCCCATCTCCTCCCTTCCTCCCCAAAAAAGCTTTAGAGGAGATAACTGGATTACAGGAGGTCTGGGATTGTAAGCACTGAGTTGCATTTTGAAAGAATTGGTGGCTCCAGGTCATTTTAATCAAGTTGCATGTCAGCTTGCAAATTTTCCAAATTAGCTGTAGCTGGAGGAGAGCAAGATGCCTTTCTTTCCTAAAGAATCAAAACAGATTGTTGTGACATGTTCTCAGTCATAATGACAGATTGGAGCCACTGTTTGTGGTACAAGTCAGAAAACAAAGCAACTTTTTTTTCCCTAAAATTGTAACCTTTGATTGATTTCTGTTGAGATTTGGGCATCTCCCAGTTTGTCAGTGATGTTGATGGAGTTCACAAAAATCTTAAAAGCCAGATGCGGACACAGAGACTGATTTAAAGACTGGAAAAGGAAGCCTCTTGGCCTTGAGGGCAAGTTTTAGGGATGCTTAGTGTGAATGCTGTTCAAATGTTGTTCCCTAGAAATGAGAGGATAATAGAAAAGGAATAGTTGGCACTCCCTCATCCTGGGCAGCACTCTGCTTCTGAAACAGGAATACTCCTACAAATAAAAGCTATGCAAGCCATCCTGAATAAGGCCGGCTCTGCACAATCAAACCAATGGATCATGCCCAGCCGGGGATCTGTGTATCCCCCGATCAGTCCATGCAAAGGTCAGTCCTACATCACATCTCGTCAGAATGGCTGAGGCACAGAAGATTGGTTTTCACAAACCAGGCAGGAAGGGTTTTAGACCTGTCATTCATCTTGAAGTCACCCAGTAAACAATACAGCTTAAGACTATGGTTCCTGAATCCATAAATAGAATATTGAATTAATATTTGCATAATGCAAGGGAGGAACTAGGAAGCCAGGGAATGAACAATGACGGGATATGCTGGAACAATCCCTTAAAATGCCAACAAACCCAAAAATAAACAAGCACCTCCCACATTCTCAATATCTCAGTTTCCTTTACCAACTATTTCTCATTTTCTTCTTAAACCCACACCTTGTCTTAGTCCAGCTTTGAGGGTCATCTCCTCCCCCAAAGAACTTAGAGAAATGAGAATGAGTGCGTTTTCAGAAAAAGAATAGAAAATAGGGGAATGGGCTGGCCACAGTGGCTCACACCTGTAATCCCAGCACTTTGGGAGGCCAAGGCAGGTGGATCATGAGGTCAAGAAATCGAAACCATCCTGGCCAACATGGTGAAACCCTATCTCTACTAAAAATACAAAAATTAGCTGAGCATGGTGGCTTGTGCCTGTAGTCCCAGCTATTCGGGAGGCTGAGGCAGAACAATCGCTTGAATCCGGTAGGTGGAGGTTGTGGTGAGCCGAGATTGCACCACTGCACTACAGCCTGGTGACAGAGTGAGATTCTGTCTCAAAAAAAAAAAAAAAAAGAAAAGAAAAAAGAAAATACGGAAATAATGCATTGAGCCAAAAGTTGCATAGATCTGGTATGAAAAGAGGAAGAGATGCCAAGGGAATGAGAGAGAAACAGTTCAGAAGAATGATGAGAACTCAGAGAATTGAATGTCACGGAGGCCCTCTGAGGAAAGAGCTTCAAGGAAGATGGGTTGCTAAGAGCACCCAAGATTACAGAGTATTAAGGGATGGGCACTGCGCAGCTTGACCATTGGAGAGATGCCCCTGATGTCAGGGGTGTCATCTGAATAAGAAGCTAGGGAAGGTCCCCACTGAGGAGGTGTAAGCTGCCCCAGGGATATGCCCCAGATAATGTTGGCGGCAGATGAGGATGACTGGTAAAGAAGCTCACCAGTGAAAAGAAGTAGAACTGGGGGAGCGGGTCAAGTGTCTGAAAGCTGGAGAAGGGCCAGTGGAGAAAAAGAGAAACAATCCAGACTACAGGAGAGAACACAGGGTCCCAACAGAAATGATGGCCTCCAAGGTTGGCTCTGTTGAGGAAAATGTCCACCTAATCTTCTGAAACTGGAAAGTGGAGGGCAGGGGAGGTGACAAACCAGAAATATATTGGAGTGGAGGGGAGATGGCCAGAGATCATTCCAGTGGGCCTCAGTCTTCTCATGACCATCCGCCTAGTTGGGACAGAGGTAGGGAGCATCTGGAGAGAAGGGAGGACATTTGCAAGCACCTTGGATAGAACAGAATGGAAGGGGAAAGGGGAAAGTTTTAGGCAGACAGTGGGAATTGGATGAAGAATCAAAGTGCGCTGGGTAGGAGAATAAATGCATTAAAATCCCTGAAAAATCAGCAGTGGAAAATATTCTCAAGCTCTCTCTTCCTTCCTATGCTGGCCTAAAACGAGGCCACAGTCCAATCAGGCCTCCTAATATCCAATAAGATCAGCAGTGTGTAGGCTGTTCCTTGGGGCTCAAGTCCTAGACTCAAGGCTTAATGAGTCACCTGCTCTATATTTTCCACTTCAGGCCTTTGGCTTTCTGGGACCTCAGTCCACTCAGCTGCAAAATTGACTTACAGGATCATGTCAATCGCCAGATGCTGCAGAGCAGAGCAGCGGGTCCAGCTTCTGCAGGTAAACGAACTGCCTGAAAGGGAATGAGCAGTGATTTCTCAGGGAGTCCCTTCTGCAATGTCGTTATAATGTCAGCTTTTGACAGCACAATGGTTTCAGTGAAAGACTCTGGAGCATCCCCTGAAAGTGCCTGAGCCTTATTAAAATGATGTCAGGGCATGCTACGTTTCACATCTCACACACATGAAAACCCCACAGTGGGAGGACTCGGTTGCTCAAGCTACCATGATGCCTAGACCCTCGTGTGCATGTGGCCTATGGTATCCCCCATGACCCCTTCAGAAATTTCAGAATAAAGACAGTCAGTCTTGAGCTCAGAGAGTTGGAGTCTGTCAGTCCAGAGGGGCGTCTTCTCAGCATTAGCTCCAAACCCCAGCATTTGTGTCTCCATGAAGTTGTACTTTTCATTTCCTCCGCATTCTTCTCCAGTCAATAGGTCATGGCACATGGTGCCTCTGGGCCTGGTATGTTCTGGTATGTTTTATTGAGAGCATTCTCTTTGGCCTCTACTAGAAGCTTGGCACGCTTTATCTCATGTTATCTTTATTTCATGAGGTTGATGTAATCATCCCCCCTCCTTTTTTTTTGAGATGAAGTCTTGCTCTGGCGACCAGGCTGGGGTGCATTGGCGCCGTCATAGCTCACTGCAGCCTCGACTTCCCAGGCACAATCAAGAAACACCCTCCACCTCAGTCTCTCAAATAGCTAGGACTATAGGCATGCACCACCACACCTGGCTAATTTTTAAAATTTTTGGTAGAGATGAGGGTCTTGCTGCCCCAGCTGGTCTCAAACTCCTGGCCTCAAGCAATCCTACTGCCTCAGCCTCCCAGTGCAGTGGGATTATAGGTGTGAGCCACTGTGCAGTCCAATCCCCATTTTTACAGATAGGAAAATCAAAGCTCAAGCAGATTGAGTTACTGGCCATGATCACACAGCCAGTTGTTGAAGAATTTGAACCAATGTCTGTGTGACTCCAAAGTGCCTGCTCTGACCCTGTTGACATTGCAGAATCATCACATCATGATGGGGCATGAACTGTAACTGAGCACACAGGGTGGGATCCCATTCTCTGTCAGGGGCAGTGAGGCCAACACCATCTGCATCCCAGGAGCCCCACAGCCTCACCCAGAGGATAAATCTAGAAAGGCTCTCTGTCTGCACTCTCCCAGGGCCCCAAAGTCATCAGCATCTGCCTAAGGAAGCTGACAGGGGGAGCAGATGTGGAGTGTGAGCAAGAATAGGTTGCACATCCATCCCTGATGTATTGGCATAACTTTCCCAGTATCCCAGAGTAACTGTGAGCAGCCCCAGCCAGCTGGACCTGGGTGCTGCTACCCCTCTGCTTCCCTGGCTCATATATTCTCTCTCAGTTGACACTGACAGCACTCCAGGGATGCTGTCCCCCCAGGGCTTGGCCCCTGTGTCTTCACAAGCAGGGGCTGAAGGAGAGAATAAAACAGCATGCAGTGGTCCTTTAAAACACCATCCCATCTAACCTTCACAGCAACCCAAAGGCTATTATCATCCCCATTTAATGATGAAGAAACTGAGGCTCACAATGGTGGGATCACTTGCCGATGTCCCCCAGCTGGTCAGTGATAGAGCCAGGATTTGTTTCTGTAATTCTCTGCTCCAAAGCCTGGGCTCCCACCCAGGCCTACACTCCAGTTCTCCCCCATGGACTTGTCAGAGAAGACAACTCAGCTCAGAGGCTTGACCTTAGTCCTGCAAGAAGCCAGACTGGCTTGATCACCTCATTCAATATCTGCATCAACCAGTCAGCAAGTGTTTTTTGGGGTTTTTTGTTGTTTTTTTTTGTTTGTTTGTTTTGAGACGGAGTCTCACTCTGTCGCTCAGGCTAGAGTGCAGTAGCACGATCTCAGCTCACTGCAACCTCCGCCTCCCAGGTTCTCGCCATTCTCCTGCCTCAGCCTCCTGAGTAGCTGGGACTACAGGCGCCTGCCACCACGCCTGGCTAATTTTTTGAATTTTTAGTAGAGACCAGGTTTCACCATGTTAGCCAGGATGGTCTTGATCTCCTGACCTCGTGATCCACCCACCTCAGCCTCCCAAAGCACTGGGATTACAGGCGTGAGCCGCCGCACCCGGCCTTGTTTTTGCTTTTGTTTTACAACTGTTTGTTTGTCTTTGAGACAAGGTCTTGCTCTGTCACCCAGGCTAGACAGAGTGCAGTGGTGTGATCATAGCTCACTGCAGCCTTGAACTCCTAGGCTCAAGCACTCCTCCTGCCTCAGCCTCCCAAGTATCTGGGACTACAGGTGTGCACCACCACACACGGCTAATTTTTCAATTTTTTTGTAGAGATGGGTTCTCGCTATGTTGCCCAGGCTGGTCTGGAACTCCTGGCCTCAAGTGATCCTCCCACCTTGACCTCTCAAAGTGCTAGGAATACACACGAGAGCCACTGCACCTGGCCAAACAAGTGTTTGTTTTTTGTTTGTTTGAGATGGAGTCTCGCTGTGTCTCCGGGCTGGAGCACAGTGGCGCGATCTTGGCTCACTGCAACCTCTACCTCCCGGGTTCAAGTGATTCTCCTGCCTCAGCCTCCCAAATAGCTGGGACTACAGGCACACGCCACCATGCCCAGCTAATTTTTTTATTTTTAGTAGAGACGGGGTTTCACCATGTTGGCCAGGATGGTCTCGATCTCCTCACCTCGTGTTCCACCCCACTCGGCCTCCAAAGTGCTAGGATTACAAGTGTTTTTTAAAGCACCTTCCAGGCTGTGAGGGGAACCAAAAGGAAATATGGGTGTATTACCTATCCCTAAAGAGCTCACAGTGGGGAGGGGAGGGGAGGCAGGGGGAGGGGAGGGGAGGGGAGGCAGGGGGAGGGAAAAGTTGGCATACGAGAAACAAGAAACAAAAGAAAATGAAACCACAGACTGGCCCTGGCCCTGCGGCATGTAGTGCAGCGGGGAGGAAGCTGAGGCAGGGGCAGGGGGAAAAGGGAGATGGGCCTGGAAATCCAGAAGCATTTGGATATGTGGAGGGGCGAGAAGGGTTGGGGGTGCAGGCAGGGCTGGAAGAGGGCCTTCCTTTTTGGGGAAGGGGCTATGACCCAGGGAGGGAGCTGGCTTTGCAGGGAGTGATGGAAATGGGAGTGTTCAGAGAGAAAGACAGGGATAAAAGGTAAAGAACATAAAAATAAAAAACAATGGTGAAGGTGGAGACAAGGAATGGTAGGGAAGGAAAGAGAGGAAAATGGAAGATGGGGTGGCAACCCTTGGCAAAGGCACAGGGGGACACGGGGGAGCTCATAGTTAGGAGTCAGCGCACTCAGGCTTCTGGTAGGAAGGAAAAAGAAGGCCCTTGAGAACCTCCGCCCTAGTCTTTTGAAAAGAGCTCAGGGCAAGTGGGAGGAAAGGTGTCTGGGACTAGTACTGCCGTGGCCTGGATGATGGATTTCTCAGCAGCCGCTTTCTAGGAGTGGGGGCCGCGTGCCCTACCAGTTACCTTTCAGGCTGTGGGGTGGTGGCCAGTGGGGGTCTGTCTGCTGGGGGGTCCCCTGGGCAAGGCCAATGCAGCAAGGCCAGCACTCTGGTGACTCAGGAGAGCTAATGTGGCTCCCGGAAAGGCCTGAAGACACTGAGATGGTGGGCACTCCTTGGCCGGTGCAGAGAGCAGAGGAGTTGGAGTCAGGGTTGAACTCCATGGATCCCTCCTCTCCTGGCAGTGGCTCGGCAGAAGAACTAAGGGGAAAATCCTGAAAGTCTCAAACTCCACGCTCCTGTGCTCCCTGGAAAATTGCAGACACAGAAGGGGAGCTCCAAACATGACTGTGTGGAGGGACAGACTCTGCTGACATAACGGAAATAATGGCCTGGGACATGGATGGGAGGGATGAGAGAGGGGCAGCTTCACAGCTGACATGATTCAAAACTTAATTCGCATTGTTTCCATATTGAGTTTAAGCTAAACTTCCAGATTAGCCTAAAATGCAAGATATGAAAATATAATTTTTTGTGTTTGAAACTTGCCTAAACTTTAACATACACTTTGTGGCCAAAAGAGAGGGAGAAAGACAGAAAGAGAGAAAAAGAGGCATTTTTTTCTTCAGGAGGAATGGCTAGCATTTATAGTTCTCCCTTTCTCTCCATCTGAAGCAAATGCAGATGTTTAAGCCTCACTGCTTCGGAGAAAATTGTTGTTCTTTTTTGTTGTTGTTTTTCAGATTGAGTCTTGCTCTGTTACCCAGGCTGGAGTGCAGTGGTGCCATCTTGGCTCACTGAAACTTCAGCTCCCGAGTTCAAGCGATTCTCCTGCCTCAGCCTCCCGAGTGGCTGGGACTACAGGTGCATGACACCGCACCTGGCTAATTTTTGTGTTTTTAGTAGAGACAGAGTTTCACCCTATTGGCCATGCTGGGCTCAAACTCCTGACCTCAAGTGATACACCCTCCTTGGCCTCCCAAAGTGCTGGGATTACAGATGTGAGCCACTGCACCTGGCCCGTTATGTTTAATAATTAATATAGACAGCCTGAGCACTGACCACTCAGAATAGATGCTGGACCTAACAACCAGATGGCCCAACCAGGGAGTGGCAGCTGACCATTAGCGTGGCTGAATCTTGTTCACGTGCACGCGCGCAGGAACATGCACGCGCACACACACACAAACACACACACACACCACTCATGCGAGAAAGTTCTGCCCCAGTTTGCTGATTGCAGAAGGACCAGGTACTAAATACCACATGCATTTCCAGTCTAATTTAGCAGGGCTTAGTGATTGTCTAAAAATAATTCTTCAAGTCAAGTTTCTTCAATTCTCTAGCTGCCGTTTCTAGACACGGCTCCCCTGACCTTTTCAGATTCTCGCTATACAATTTGCCTCTTGTTCAGATAATTTGCAATTACCACACACCAACTGGTTGCTGATAAAGGCTAAATGTAAAATACCAACAGTATCCGACTTCAAACGGGGGCTTAAAATTGGGGTAGTTACTAACAATGAGGATCAAGGAGATGGGAGGAAAAAAACCTAGGTTTAATTACATATTAGATGGTGCCATCACAGCTCTAAGACAAGTCCAATTCTCAGCAAGAGAATCAATTGCCCTCAGGATGGAAACTCAAATCCATAGAGATGTACAGATACTAGCTTTCTTTTAGAGCCAGGTTGGCAATTAGTTATTAGACTAGTTGTAAAGAGCAGAAACTAGGTGGCTAATCTGCAATTTCTTCCTTCCTCTCCTCCTCCTCCTCCCCTTTGCCTTTTTTTCTTCTTCTCCTTCTCTCTCTCTCTCTCTCTCTCCCCTCCCACTCTCCCTCTTTCTCAATATTTTTATTCTTGTTTATAATGGGCTGGACACTGTACTAGGCACTAGGAATATAAAATAAGAAAGACCATCCCTACCCTCAAGGAACTTACAGCCCACTGGGAGAAGAAGACACATAGAAAATCCAAATACAGTGAAGGGAAATTCCAGGCATGCCTGGAGCACCTAACAGCACCAACCTAGTCAGTCAAGAGTCAGATCAGCTCCAGCACCTGGACGGCGCCCGCCTGATGGGGCTTTGGACATCAGGACAAGTTGCCCAGAGTGCCCTGAATGTCCTAGTGAAGTACAGGGCCCTGGGGCTATGAAAGATCTGGGAAGGTGCAGGAGGTGTTCAGTGCCTTCGGCTCAACACCTAAAGTGAGACAGGAGCTGAGCTCAACCTAAAGCAGCTCCTGAATTCCTCATTGTCTCTGCTCAGTAGTGAACCAGGAAACTCCTAGGTGTCTGAGGTATCGGCCTCACTCATACAGGAAGGTGCGAGTTGGCTTTGAGAAACTATAGGGGAAATCTCTCAGATGGCTTCTCTTTTACCTGTAAAGGGAATCTGGAATTCCACCACTGAAATTTCATTTAGAATCTAGAAATCTTGCATCCTTATTAAAGTATAAAGTTCCCTGGAAAGTCCTGCCCTCAATTTATAAGGAGGTCCCAGGTGAAGAGGTGAGCAGCCGAGAGCAATTTCCTGTGAGGCCCCAGGGGGATCAAAGACTCCTGGGAAGAGTCCTTGGGGGAGGAGAGGAAGAGGGCCTGAGTTACTGAGAGCAAGAAATATGCCCTTTAAAGCATAATGAAGCCAAAATGAAAAAAAGGCATTTTTTTCCTTTGTAATTTCAGAAGTGGGCAGCATTTGTAGTTCTCCCCTTATCTCCATCTGAAGCAAATGCAGACACTTAAGCCTCTTGGCTTCAGAGCGTTTCATTCTTTCACCCTGCAGACTGTATGGAGCACCCACTGTGTGCCAGGCTCTGTGCCAGGCTGGGACAGGAGGGGGTGTCAGAGGGCTTCTTCCTGCCCTCCAGTCACTTTGTGTGGCCAGAGCCTCTGGCACTGGGGCCAGGGATCAAAGGTGCCATGGTGGTGGGCAGTGCCCTTCCTGCAGCTGACTTTGCCCAAAGACCACATCCAGTGCCCTGCAGAGAGGGCCGGACCACCACAGGATGCATCAGCAAACAGCACCTTGTCAAAAGGCTTACCTAAAACCCAGTGCCTGCAGGTTAAAAAATAAACCAACAGTTGAAATGAACATTAGAGGAACAACCTGCCGAGCCTCTTAATCTGTCACTTAAATCTAGGGCTTTTAGCTATAATTGAACATCCTACTGTGACTATTATGAAGAGGAGGAGGAAGAGACATTGAAGTTGTGGTTTAGGAGGGTGGAGGAAAATAAATTTTCCTTCAAAACCAGTCAATAACAATGCCTTTGTGTTAAAGGGATGGAGTGCTGGCCCAGTCACTGCAGAGGAAAACAATACAGCCAGTCATGGAAGGCGGCAGCTGACTCACCATGGAGGCTGCCCATTACCCTGTGTGAGTCTAGAGGACCACTGAC
The DNA here is from genome assembly GCF_000001405.40 of Homo sapiens. Classification (NCBI taxonomy): domain Eukaryota; kingdom Metazoa; phylum Chordata; class Mammalia; order Primates; family Hominidae; genus Homo; species Homo sapiens. The sequence continues at coordinate 52,786,891 of NC_000013.11, read as the reverse complement.
AGGCCCAAGGACCGGAAAAGCACCACTGACTTCTTCTAAGCTTGAAAAGAAGCCTCCTTGGCAGATGACTATAAGCAGTATCATCCTAACTGCTCAATCCGACTAAAAGAAAGAACAAAGAAAAGAAATGAAAAATAGTGGGGGAGGAGGAGGGAGAGAAGAAAAGAAAAAAAGAAAGAAGAAAAACCCTCCATAGACTATGGCATCAAAAACTCCATTTACAAGCTCTGAGAAGATCACAGGGTACAGGGGTGATTTTGTGAAGAACAAATTCTTTCAGGCTGATCACCACCCAGCCTCCTGGGAGTTCAAGAGGGAGCGATAGCTCCTTGTCTTCTGGAAGGAGAGAGGATCTTCAAAGCATTCTGTCCCCCTGGAAGGGCAGTGTGGTATAAAAACAGGAGGTGGTTGTGGTGCCTGTATTACTATTATTATTTGACAGAATTGTCTTTGAGAGATTGTTCTCCTGCCTAAGAGGGAAATTAGGCTGAGGGAGCGAATTGTTTCTGCAAATTTCTTCTTTAGAGAAATTGGGCTCCTGGGGTATGAAGAGACATAGTGAGGGGGTCTATGGTGGATACCTCAGCAGGCAGACTCATTACATCTTAATCTTTACCGAGAACCAACTGGATGTGTGACCTTGTGAGAGGTTGAGTGGAACTAAATTTGCTGTAACTCTCTTCAGAAAGGATCAAAATGAATAGTGTACTCCTCACATCAAAGCTTTTCCCAAGAGCACCACGCAAGGGCCACTTTCTTGCCCATCTGGAGTCCCTGCCTTTTAAGTGATCAGAACAGATCCTGAAACACTCCCTTCTTCAAGAATCATGGTCAGAGCCAGGGCAAGAGGAGTGGTGACCCGCTTCAACCTTCCTTTGAATAAATGTGAGTCACTCAGAATACTCCTTCAGCTCATCATGCCAGAAATACAATGGTTGATGCCTTGTTCGCAATCTGAATCTTAATTCCTCCCTACTGTAACACCTCTTTGATCCCTTCCTTGTCAGGGGATGAGACACGCGGGAGGAGTGAAAGTGCCATGTAATTTGGGCTTACTCCTTAAAGCACTGAATCATAAAAAATAAACAAGGAGCCTGGTCGTACTACATGCTTTCCTGCTGAAATAAACAGAGGACATTTCATACTTGAAATTTTATGATTCAGGCCATCGTCTTGAATGAGCATTATATTGTGCGTTTGTAATTCACATACAGTGTGTAATAAAAGGCTAAGTAGTGGTGATTTCTGCCTGTCTGGCTGATGCTTTTAATGGAACCTGATTTTTGAAGCATTACATGTTATTAACTACTTTCTGTAAGTCTGCTCAGGACTAACCCTATCAGGGTTAATGAAGGAAGTGTTAAAAAGACATGGCTCAAGGTAAGAAGCTCCATTACAGAGATCAAAAACCATGTCAGTAATTCATTCCCAGCATGGCTGTGAGCAAGGAGACTTGAATAAATGCTCTTTTGTGTAATGAGGGTGGTGGCCATGGCAGGGAGAGGCATCAGTTAGGATTCTTGGTGTGAGCAACAGAAACCAACTCTGGTAACTTGAGCCAGAAAGGGTATTTATGGGAAGAATTCTAAGTGGGTACCAGTGTTTAAGGAAGAGCTGAACAACCAGGTCCCAGAAAGAACTAAGTGAAGGCTGCTCCCATGAACTCAAAAACAGGACTCACGGCCCCCTCTCTAGGATGCTGACATACCATCATTCCACTGCAATCACCTCCAGTGCCTGCGTGTCTCCACTCAAGAGCGGATTCCTGGGAGAGGTGATGGTGATATAATTGGCCCATTTGAGGCCATGAGTCTATCCCTGCACCAAGTAGATGGAATCCTGTATTTGGCAGCCCCATAAAACCCACAAAGAATGAAGAAAGGTTATCTCTCCCAAAGAAAGGAATGTTGAGTGGACAAAAATAACAGATCTCCATTAGAGACAGCCTCACTGACACAAATCTACCCATTTTCACATTCCCTAAAGTCTAGACGCTCCTGGTTTCATCTGAATGTGTCTTCCTATCCCAAGAACTGGCCTATAACCTGTTCTTCCTTCAGAGGTCGTCATAGGCAGAATGTACTCCCCCGCCTGCTCCACAAAAAGGTCCATGCCCTAATTCCCAGAACCTATGAATAGGGGCCTTTGCAGCTGTGATTCAGCTCATGGACTATAAAATACAGCAATTAGCCTGGTTTATCCAGTGGGCCCACATGAGTCAGGGAGATTCAGGACAAGGAAAAGTTGGAGAAATCCTGAGCATGAGAGGAACAAGATGCCCTGCTGCTGGAGAAGGGCCACATGGAAAATACAAGAAGGAATTCAAGTAGCACTGAGGAACAAGGATAAGCCTCTGACAGGCCAGCAGGAAACCAGGGACCCCATCACACAACTGCAAGGAACTTGATTTAGCCAACAACCTGAACGAGCCTAGAGCTGGGTTCAGACGTGGAAATTCCAGAAAGGAACCCAGCCTGGACATCTTAATTTTACCCTCGAAGCAGAGAGCTCAATAAGGCCACACACTCTACTTAAACTTCTCACCCACAGAGCTATGAAATGAAACTTTGTGTTGTTTTAAGCCACTAAATTTGTGATGATTGGTTACAGCAGCAATAAAAAACCAATACAGAGCTCATGTAGAGGTCTCACCCACTATAGCATTAATGCCAGCATCTTATGATTTTCTTGGTGACTCTCTGGGGGGATAATCTCTCTGGGTTTATCAACTTGGCTCTAGTTCTTTTTCTGCATCATCAGCAATAACAACAATAACAAACTTAAAAAACTATTTATTAAGCACCTACCATGTGGTATATCCTTTATAGCAATTATAATTTTTAGTCCTCACCCAAAAAAAAGATTTTACAGATTAAAAAGTCTCCATGCCACTGCATTTTAGAACATGAGGACAGTAATAATGCCTACTTCACTGGAATTTTACAAGGATTGACTAAGATACAGAGAAGTTGCATAACTTGTCAAATTCACACAAATAGTAAGAGAGAGAGCTGGGATTAAAACCCCATTCTGTCTGATGCAAACCTGTGTTCCTACTAAGCCACACTGCCGCAACAATATAGCTTGGAAGCACACAAAATAACATGTCACTCAACTGGAATCCAGTATCACTTCATGGCCTCACGTTTCTCCAGTGTCTTTGACATATGGTTCAGTGGAAAGCGCACTGGGGTCATCTGATGAGGTCTCCATCCCTCTACCAATTTGGTCTGTGTGAAAGTTGGGGAACACATTGAAAGTTGCAGCCAGTTCTCAGTTCTTCTTGGTTTTCAGTCTCCCTGGGCCCTCTTGGGTCTCCCCTATGCAACACAATCTTCCAGTCAACCAGGAATATGTGGAGGATTTATCTCTGCTCTTTTGTGGCACTCTTTTATTTCCGGCATCTCCCCATTAAATTTCCTGCTGGTCCACAGCCCACCCCAACTAAGAACACAATCTTGGGCTAGCAAAGTCACAGATTTTCCTCATTCTTTCCCAATTGAGTCTTCCACATTTAGCTAGCAAAGCCACAGGTTTACACACACACACACACACACACACACACACACACCCCGTGAAGTGAGTCCATCCCTCCTGGCAGCAAATTGCTCATTTTCATGGCCAGCCCTGCGCTTTTAAAGGTCCAGTTCTGGCCAGCTGGGCTTGTGGGAGAAGATGGAGCAGCTCCAGGCAAGAAGGCCAAAGACTCCTGCTGTTCTTACCCGAAGCTCCAGCAGTTTTTCAGGAATAAAAGCTTCACAATTTGCTGTCTGCCTTTGGTCAATTTACAGTGCTTTGAAATGGTTATTCTTGACAATTTTATTCCAGTTTTCTGCTTGTTTTGTGAAGAGGAATCACTGACCTCTCACGCTGCAGTAACCGGAAGTCCCACCCACCATCTTCTCAAGAGACTCCAGCACAGAGGCTCACCCAGCAGTGGGGAGTTCTTACTCTATTTACTCAGTAGTCCTTGTCCACAGGCCCAGACCAGCCCCAAAACTACTTCAAGGAGCCAATGTCTATGCCTCTCAGAAACCCCTCTCTCCACACCTCCCAGCTCTTCCCTGGGATAGACAAAATGGAGTCCGAATTTTGCAGTAAATAGAATCTGTTTCTGTTACACGTATCTCATATCAGAAAATGCACAGGCCTGGCTGCTGAACCTTCAGCTTTGACTGTCTCTCTGTGTTTTCCACTGCAGTTAATGAACCATAACTGCCCCCAAATACTTTGGCTCTCAGTCTATTTCAGCCAACATTCCAAATTGGGTATCAGTTCACCATTGCATTTATATGAAAGAACAAGAAAGAGCTTTGTTTTCATATTTTTTTTTTTCTACTCAAGCCTCGTTCCTCGTAGCTGACAGCTTAGCCTTGGACCATTTTAGAAAAAGGACCAGAATGATTTAGCCTTCTGCTCCTCTTTATTTTTGCTACACTATCCCTATGTTATTATCCCCCTTTCGTAACTCTCAGAAAGTAAAGGAAACCAACAGCCCTTCATGGCAGTGGATGGGAAAGTCATCTAGTGAGGTGGTGACGTTATTGCAAGCTGCTCACAAATCTAAATGCCATCCAAGCATCATTGGTAGTCTGAATAAATAATATAGGTAAACCACTTTTGAAATGCATGTACATCTTCATTGTAAAGTGCTGGCAAGTTTACAGTGGCTAGTATTGTATTATTGTACATTTTCTCTAACGTTGAATATCAAGTCAATAGCTGCTATATCATGCTGGAAATGGGGAGAAAGATCAATGAAATTTATCAATGTAAGAAAGTATTCCTCATTCTCAGGCTGGGCGCAGTGGCTCATGCCTGTAATCCCAGCACTTTGAGAGGCTGAGGCAGGCAGATCACCTGAGGTCAGGAGTTCAAGACCAGCCTGGCTAACATGGTGAAATCCCACCTAACTAAAAATAAAAAAATTAGCCGGGTGTGGTGGCCTGCACCTGTAGTCCTAGCTACTTGGGAGGCTGAGTCAGGAGAATCACTTGAACCCAGGAGGTGGAGGTTGCAGTGAGCTGAGATCGTGCCATTGCACTTCAGCCTGCGTGACAGAGTGAGACTCTGTCTCAAAAAAAAGAAAAAAAGAAAGTATTCCTCATCCTCAAAAAGATTGGGAATCACTGCTCTGGAGAAACTGGACTTCTAGAGAAACAGCATTCCTTCTCTTCTTTGGCCTAGGGTGGAAGTAATATTAGGGACTGTGTCCCCATCCCCCCACCCCACACCACCTCCTCTGGCTCATGCCCATGATATTGGCCCAGTGTTGAGAATCGTACCCTTGTAGAATAGGGTAGACACTGGTCTGGGAGTCTGAAGAGCCAGTTTCTACTGTGGTATGCCATTACTTGCTGGAAAATCTTGGGTCTTTTGCTTCACTTTCTTGAACCTTCATTTATAAAACAATTCACTAAATGGTGTCAAAGACCCTTGCTGGCTCAGCCATTATTTGACTCAGCAAATTGTAATTCTAGGCATCTTGCACACATCCTCCTTATAAACCCCAGAATGGCCACACATCTTTTACAGATAATTGTATTTTCCAGCTAAGTGTCAACAGTCTCTTTGCTTGGCTACTGGCCATAAAAATAAAGTGCAATTCAGGGTATAAGTGGCCAATAGCATGAGGACTCAGATGGAGGAACGCACCTGTGTAAATAACCACCACCATTTACTGAGCACTTGCTATGTGCAAGGCACACTGATAAGTGCTTTTTGTGTATTAAGTAATTTCATCCCCTTAACACCCTCTGAGGCATCCTGTTATTTACCCCTTTTTCCAGGTGAGACGACCTAAACCCTTCCCCAGCCTGCATCTGCATCATCTTCATATCCTCTAGATGATCTTCCCCTTACAGAGAAATGAAGTATGTATTTGTTCTTAGAATATAATTCATAAATGTATAAGCCATCACCATGTGGGTTCCTTTCATGAAACACAGCAAGATTCAAGGAAGAAAATAAAACGTTCATTTAACTATTAACGTTGAACATTTCCTTCTCTGAAGCAAATGTCAAATGTCTGTGTAATTATCCTTAACTCTCACTGGCAGCAGGAAAGAATTTGGTGATTCAAAGTTTGTCACTCCTTTGAGTTAATCTTAAAAGGAGAACATATAAAGCAGTGAGAAAGGCATAAACTGGACACAGTTCCTGACTGCTGAAAGCCTTCAGTGATGAAAGATATCATGACTTCTGCCACTGAGTCAATCAGCCCCATCCCTAATCCCACTGATAACTTCTTCAACCAGAACCCAACCCAGAGAAGACTGGGTTCAACCCATAGAACAAATTAGAACAAAAATAAGCAAACAATGATTACCCACAGGGTTGAGAATGTTGCTATGAAGTCATCCTCCACAGATAATGCTTGTGTATATAGTATATATATAAGAATAGATTTGGAAAGTAACATGACAAAACTAAGCAACAACCACTCTGAATCTGATTAATAATTTTTAGAAAAAGAGGTAAGGGTGAATTCAGGAAACAGCTGCAGTTAACCAGCTTAAGTCAAACCAAGATGGAGGCATGGAGACTGTGGGCTGCAACGCAGGTGTGAGAGCAGCTGATGACCCAGTAACCAGAAATAGGCTAGAAACCGCAGTGAGAGTTAGAAGGAGCTGGGTATGCCCATCACATGGATAGGACGGACTAAGCCATAAGGCTTCAGGTATCTGCCTCTGCCGGCTGCCTCCTTTATTGCTTCAGCATAAAACAGTTGTGCATAGCTTCTAACACTAACAATAGCTAATATCCTATTTGTGAGTTCTTACTATTGGCCAGGCTGCATGCCAAAACTTTGCACACATTATCCTGATTTCATTCTCCCTGAGTCCTAGGAGGAAAGCACTGTTCATCCCTTTTATAGATCAGAAAACTGAGGGACTAAGCACCTTGCCCAAAGCCATGTACTGTACTTGGGCAATGTAGAAGCTCCCAGTCAAACTCAGAAACCTTCATTCCAGAGCCTTGTACCTAATTGCTTCCTGATTTCCTAACCACTTTGCGAGTTTTCCTTGAAATGGAAAGGAAAAATGTGATACAGGTGGTAAAGAATCAAAACCCAATTTTGCCAAATTCACAAATCCGTTGGGGTTGGACCTGGGCAGGGGACAGTAGGAAGCAACAGGAATAACACTGTCAGTGGGGACAGTGGCACCCCTCATTCCAGAAGTGACCACCTGAGCACACAGGGGCTCACCCACAGAGACCTGGGGTGGGAGTGCAGAACGCACCTGAACGCTGAAGAAAATCCTGCTCAGGTAGGAGAAGGTGCTGTTGCCATGGCTACCACAAATTCTTGGCCCAATCCTAGGGCAGTAGCTTCAGTCCTAATTCAGAGAGGCCTGGTTTTCAGGGGGAAAAAAAGAAATAAAACAGAAAAGAATCAGAGCCTCTCTCAGCCACAGCAGCCCTCCACAAAGGGGCAGTGTCTCTGCCCAGCTCGCAATCTAAACAGATTAACCGCAAATGCCTGGAGGCCACTGAAAGGCGCCTTGCAGAAGATGAAGCGCCCTTTCATACCTGACAGTATCCCAGATGGGGCTTAGCATGGCTTTACGAAGGAAGCTGCCAGAATAAATACACACACCGTTCCGACAGGATCCCGTTCCACTCGTGGGTCTCCCGCAGCAGCCTACAGTTGGCCCCTCACAATGCTGGCTTTTTCCCAGCTAGTCAACCCTCATTTACCCAACCAAGCTAAGCCCTGGAGGCGCTGGGTGCTTTCCCACTCAGCTGCCCACAGCTCTGCCTGCAGCTCAGTGTAGTCCTAAAAGCCCCCTGTTTAAACAGAGGCCGGGTTGTAATTCCTCTGCAATGATGGCTTGCTCCTTTAGTAAGAATTCAGGCCTAGCATGAGGAGTCCTGATGCCACCACCTTGCCTCTGAGTGTTGCCTGCTTTGCTGACCCCAGCGCACTGCCAGGCATACATGCACTGCCTACACACCTGGAAAGGCACCCCAGAGTCCAGGACCAGGGAACTGACTGCAGGAGCTTACCCTCCCCATCAGGTTGACCCACCATGGCCACCATACTATTCTGGAACCCACAACGGTCACCAGCTAGGAATTGTGCAAACTGGGTCCTGCTTCTCCATTTTTTACCCCTGCACTGAAGTGTCAGCAAAAACATTCAGTGCCTAGGGTGGAAAAACAATCTACCTAAATCCTAAAGCTTCCTGTACCTCAGAAGGGGTCAAAAATAGTGGAGCCAACTAATTACAGCCTAGTGACAATAGGTTCCATAATCCTTTATTTTTACATTTATATCTTAGCTCAGGCAGAAATTATTGAAACATTAAACAGAATTCTAAATATGTGAAAGAAAATATTTATTCCATTTTTGGACCATAATGAGGTAAACTAGTTTCATTGGTCTGCATGCAACTGCTATTGTTTTTCATTTTTCCAGAGAACTTTTACTGTTACATCACATCTAAAATCTAACCTCATGAGAAGAGTAAATTAGGCTTTATTATCCCCGTTCCACAGGTGAGGCTACAGAGGCCTAAGAGATCCAGATGAACTCCTTAAGGGCAGTGGCTCAGCTGTTCTCTCAAGACAGGACCAGAGCACTATTTTAGTGAGTCTTGGTCTATGGCCCAATCCAACTTCTCCAGAATATCATAGGTCCCCGCTACGCCAATGTCCTGGGTTGACCCAAGGCCTGAGTGGATTGAGGAGATAGGTTTTCCTTTCATAAACAGTATCAGTGATTGCCTCGAGGAAAGGGAACTGCGTGACTGGAGCCAGGGATAAGAAGATTTTCTTTTTACTGTATACCCTTTTGTGGCTTTAAATTAGGTACCATATACATGAATCAATTATTCAGAAAATAATTAGCACTTCATTTTAAAGGTGTTCCCTTTACAAGTCAATTTTATCCTACCTCCAAACTAATGGAATTGAAACATGTAATTTTAAGATCTTTAAGCCCACATTACGGGCTGTGAGCCCATATCATAGATGGACCCACAACCAAGCTCAAAAGGAATACACTGAGATGGAAAACACTGCACACAGGGTTACCCCACTACACCCAAAAGATGCACAGTTCAATGAAAATAAGATAGCCAGCTTTTTATTTTTTTATTTTTTGAGATGGAGTCTCACACTGTTGCCCAGGCTGGAGTGCAGTGGCGTGATCTTGGCTCACTGCAAGCTCCGCCTCCCGGGTTCATGTCATTCTTCTGCCTCAGCCTCCCTAGTAGCTGGGACTACAGGCACCCGCTGCCACGCACAGCTAATTTTTTGTATTTTATTAGAGTTGGGGTTTCACCGTGTTAGCCAGGATGGTCTCAATCTCCTGACCTAGTGACCCACCTGCCTCGGCCTCCCAAAGTGCTGGGGTTACAGACGAGAGCCACCGTGCCCAGCCAATAGCCAGCTTTTAATTATCAGTGTTAGAAAAAAAAAAAAAGTCATGGGGGTAGGTCAGCTACAATGTAAGTAAACATTAAAAGTTATATTTAATTTATATACAGCTTTGGAATGTGTTTGTATAGTGCACTTTGGACTATAGATCTGTTTTCTTCCATGAACTTACAGCATTGTAAGCTAAATAAACCCAAAGGACTAAAATATTGGGAAACTGTGTCTCTTAGGATGCTTTTGGCTACTGGAAACAAAAATCCTAACTGACACTGACTTAAACAATAAGGAAATTAACTGCCTCACAAAACGGATCAGGATCTCAGGGTTTGTTGATCCCCCAGCTCAGCAATGTCAGCGGGTCCCAGGTCCTTCTGTCTCTTTCCTCTGCACCCCTCAGTGCTGGTTTCATTCTCAGGCTTGTAGCAATATGACAGAAGAACTCCAGGCATCACTCCCCAATCTAACAAGGTTAAGGGGAAAAAGGAAGCACCTTTTCTTAGAAATAGATACCTCTCTCAGAATCTTCCCGCCTTCACTTTACCCTGAGACATCCCTGCATTCCTCATTTCATCACGTGTCCTTCCAGAACCAACCACGAGCAAGGGAACAGAATAATTGCAATAGGCTTACTCTAATCAAAGGGACAAGAATGGATGTTGGCCAGTCAAACACCACATCCTCTGCACATGTCCTCATTTCCCCTGTCCCTGAAGTCACTCCATGAGAGCATCACAGGCAATAGACTGAGATTTTTGACTAATGCTGAATTTCATTTTACATGTGGATGCCCCCCTCCCACTTCCTTCTTTTTGGTCCTGCTAAGGAATGGTGAGAAACTATGCATTTTAGTCTGAAGTTCCTGCTACCTGAGTGCTGTAAGTAATGCAAATAAGCATAAACAAAGATAATGTTCACATCATTAAAAGACAACTTAGACTGAATAGGGGATGAGTTCAGTAAGCCACTAAAAGCAAGATTTGCCATGAGGGAACACAATAATAAGCAGCCAGCCCCATATTCAAGGTGAATGTGTCTATCAGGATTAGTATCTTGTGCATTATTGTCATTTCCAGAAATCTACCTGAGCCAAGAGTATGTTTCAAGGCTAATGATCAGATGAAGGGTGTAGTGAACAGGTGTCATTGATTCAAAGGTTCCTGTGCAGAGCGGGGTGGGTAGGTCTCATCCTTGGCTACTGCCCCTGCCCCAGAGGCTCAGAAGTGGACACTCGGGGAGTGTGCTCATTAAAGGCATACAGTCCCACAGGAGAAAGGATGGATTGATGTCACTAACTTGCTGAGATAATAACCACCTCAGCTCCACAAAGCCCCAGTTGGAGGTTAAGAAGAGAATTGCCTACAAGCAGTTTACACACAGCAACTAAGAAATAAAGCACTGTGTCAGATGGATCACTGAAAAGCAACATGGGAATCTGTTCCCTTTTTTTTCCGGAAAGAAACAGAAGGTACAGCCACTGGCCACATTTATTTTTGGAGCAGAGAGAAGAGAAATAGATAGAAAAAGATATAGACATATGGATTGATCTGATTCAACCCTAGAGAAACATCCATCTCGCATGTCAGGGTTAAGAAGGGCCATACACTCGTGACCTGCACCATCAGAACTGCACAGTTTGGTCTTGCTTTTTAATAGTAGAAAGTGCAACAATGCCAGGGTGGGATCATTCTGGAATCAAAAATTGAAGAAAAAAATCCCTGATTCCTCTTATATCATACACAGCCACACTGTGTTCTCGGGCAGTGCTTCTCAGGCGTCGGCATCATATGAGTCACCTGGGAGCTTGTACAAAGGCTGACTCTGACTCGGGAGGTCTGGGGTAAGGCCCAAGGGTCTGCATTTCTAACAAGCTCCCAGGTGATGCTGATGCTGCCATCTGGAATGTAAATTTTGAGTGGCCATGTTCTAGGCTCCCTACAGTATAGCATAAGGTCTATTGAGTTACTGTTGGTGGGATTTTAAGATGTGTAGATTTTCAGACAAGAAGAAGCCTTTAAAAGTCAGCTAACACAGTGGTTGTTAAAGTGTGGTCAGGGAACGTGGGGGGTTCCTAAGACTCTTGAAAGGGTTCATGGGATCGAAACTATTTTTATAGTAAACTAAGATGTTAATTTCTCTGTTTCACACTCATTCTTTCACAAGTGTCCAACAGAGTTTTCCAGGGGGGTTTTGATGTGTGAAATCATAAAAGACTAAATAGAGAAGCAAATCTAAGAATCCAGCTGTCTTCCAATAAATAAGAGAATAAAGACATTTGTAAAAATGTTTTTTTAAAGTCAGTTAACAGAGATTAACATCCAAAGCATATTAAAAAATAACTCCTACAACCCAACAAAAAAAAAGCCCAATTTAAAAATGGGCAAAGGACTTGAATAGACATTTCTCCAAAGAAGATATACAGATAACCAATAAACATGCAAAAAGATGTTCAAACCTCACTAATTATTATTAAATTTTTTTTGAGACAGAGTTTCCCTCTTGTTGCCCAGGCTGGAGTGCAATGGCATGATCTTGGCTCACTGCAACTTCTGCCTCCCAGGTTCAAGCAATTCTCCTGCCTCAGCCTCCCAAGTAGCTGGGATTACAGGCATGCCCCACCATGCCTGGATAATTTTGTATTTTTAGTGGAGACGGGTTTCTCCACGTTGGTCATGCTGGTCTCAAACTCCCAACCTCAGGTGATCCACCCACCTCGGCCTCCCAAAGTGCTGGGATTACAGGCGTGAGCCACCATACCTGGCCCAAACTTCACTAATTATTAGAGATATGTAAATCAAAACCATAATGAGATACCACTTCACACCCATTTGGAGGGCTATTATTTAAAAACAACAACAAAAAAATAAAAATAAAAATAAAAAACAGAAAATAGTAAGTATTGGTGAGGATGAGGAAAACTGGAACCTTTGTGCACGGCTGATAGAAATGTAAAATGGTACAGCCATTATGGAAAAAAGTATAGCAGTTCCTCAAAAAAAATAAACATAGACCCATCATATGGTTGTGTATATACACAGCAATCCCACTTCTTCATATACACACAGAAGAACTGAAAGCAGGTACCAGAATAGATATTTGTACACCAGTCTTCCTGGCAGCATTATTTCATGGTAGCCAGAAGGTAGAAACGACCCAAATGTTCATTGAAGGATGAATGGATACACAAAATGTGGTATACACATACAGTGGAATAGTATTCAGCCTTAAGGGAAATTCTGACATGTTTTACAACATGAATGAACCTTGAAAACATTATACTAAGTGAAATAAGCCAGACACAAAGGACAAATATTGTATGATTCTACTTCTATGGGTGATATGGTTTGGATCTGTGTCCCCACCAAATCCCCTATTGAAGTATAATCCCTGGTGTTGAAGGTGGGACCTGGTGGGAGGTGATTGGATCATAGGGGTGGTTTTCTCATGAGTGGTTTAGCACCATCCTCTTGGTGCTGTTCTTGTGGTAGTGAGTTCTTGTGATATCTGGTTGTTTAAAAGTGTGAGGCACCTTCCACCTCAATCTCTCTTCTTCCTGCTCTGGCCGTGTGAAGTGCCTGCTCCCGTTTCCCCTTCTACCATGACTGTAAGTTTCCTGACGCCTTCCCAGAAGCCAAGCAGTGTTGCCATGCTTCCTGTACAGCCTGCAGAACCATGAGCCAATTAAACCTATTTTCTTTATAAATTACCCAGTCTCAGGTATTTTTTTTATAGCAATGAGAGAACAGACTAATACAATGAGGTACCTTGCATAGTCAGATTCATACAGACAGAAAGTAGCAGGGTGGTTGCCAGGAGCTGGGGAGAAAGGAGAGTGAGGAGTTATTGTTTGATGGGTATGAAGTTTCAGTCTGGGAAGATAAACAAGTTCTGAAGATGGATGGTAGTGATGGTAGCACAACAGTGTGAATGTAATTAATGCCACTGAACTGTACACCTAAAAGTGGTATAAATGGTAACTTTTATTTATTTTTATTTTTATCTTTTTGACACGAAGTCTCGCTCTGTCACCCAGGCAGGCTGGAGTACAGTGATATAATCTCGGCTCACTGCAAACTCCACCTCCCAGGTTCATGTGATTCTCCTGCCTCAGCCTCCCAAGATTACAGGACCACACCACCATGCCCCGCTAATTTTTGTATTTTTAGTAGAGATGGGGTTTCACTATGTTGGCCAAGCTAGTCTTGAACTCCTGGCCTCAGGCGATCTGCCCGCCTTGGTCTCCCAAACTGCTGGGATAACAGGTGTAAGCTACCAAGCCCGGCCGGTAAATTTTATATTATGCATATTTTACCACAAGAAAAAAGGCTAACTTAACTCTCTGGTAATATATGAAGAGGGGGAGGCAAAGGATTATTATAAACGGCTGAGCAGAGAGGCACAGCTGGCTGGCGATGGAGACCAGACAGAACCCCTGGGACCTAACTCCCAATTCTGTGTTTTTTGGCTTCAGAACTCTGACCCTGGGCTGCCCTGTAATGATGTGCAGATGCAAAATGGTGTAGTGAAGAGATAAGAGGACCAGGTACCAGGAAACCAAGATTCTAACCATAATTCTGTCATTCCTGGCTGTGACACTTGAGAGGAGTCTTTGACTTTCCTGGAACTAGTCCTCTGGTCAGTAGAATGTAGAGATTGACAATGTTTTCATCAGTGAAATAAAGAGAATGTCTCCCAAAATATTTTGCTTGGAATACTGATGTCAAGAGATATCTATGGGGAAAAAATATGGTTTTGTAGTCAAATATTTGGGACATGTTGCAGACTTAATCCCTCTTTTGGATATTCACAAAACACATTAGCATGTTAAAGGATCTGCAAAATTCTGTGGTAAAGAAATCTGTTCATTTTTCTTTACCCACGATCTCACTTTGGGCTCCCGAAGCAGACACTGAGCCAAGGATTTGAATACAAATAGTTTATTTGGGAAGTGAAGGGAAAACAGTAAGGAAATCAGGAAGGAAAGTCAGTCTTAAAGGATACCTAATCAAGTTAGCTGCCCTTGGGACAACCAGCTCACAGTCCCACTGCAGAAATTCTAGAAGCTAGAGTAGGACACAGTTCAGTGATCACACCTAAGGGGTGGGGGAGCTGGGGTGTTTATACACCACGGCCCGCCAGTTATAGTCTGAGGACGGCTTGTGGTGAGTGTCAAGCTCCTGGCACTCTTGGCCCATTATTTGAGGACAGAACAGCCCTCCATGGCTTCAGAAAGGACCCTAGACAAAAAGATTCAGACTCGAGCTCCTGGACATCAGCCTCTTGCACTGAAGCAGTAAGACTAGAGGGATACAGCAGAGCACCGGCAGCATCTGCTAAATCAGCTTTTCCCAACTGCCATGACCCTAGAACGCCTCCTCCCTTGTTTCTCAACACCTAAAAATATCCTACAGAACCTTAGGAAACAAGACAATTTGTAAGATCCCTCTGGCTCTAATGTTCTAATGAACTCTGATTTTAAGTTACTTAAGAAAACTTACGATGCCACTTCCAAGCTCAACGACCATTCTATTTCTCAGCTTTGACCCTACCTGGCTCATTCTGGGCAAGGCTGGCCTCCTGCTGGGGCTGGCAGAAAGACAGGCTGTCCAGCTATGGCAGGTGGAAGAGATCAAGGACCTGCCCTCTTCTCCCGCCCCTCTAGTGCCTCAGATCCATGGGTGTGTGTCTCAGGCTTTTCTCTCAAAGGAGAATGCACCATCTGTGAGAAGTGGCAATCTCTTCTTCAAACGCACACATTCCTTGGCTATTATTAAAAAGTCAAAAAATAACAGATGTTGGCGAGGCTGGGGAAAAATGGGAACCCTTTTACACTGTTGGTGGAAATGTAAATTAGTTCAGCCAATGTGGAAAGCAGTTTGGAGATTTCTCGAAGAACTAAAAGTGGAACAACCATTCGACCCAGCAGTCCCATTACTGGGTACATATCCAAAGGAAAATAAATCACTCTTCCAAAAAAACCCACATGTAGTCATATGTTCATCACAGCGTTATTCGCGGTCACAAAGACAGGGAATCAACTGAGGTGCCCATCAATGGTGGATTGGATAAAGAAAATGTAGTACATATACACCATGGGATACTATACAGCCATAAAAAAGAACTAAATCACGTCCTTTGCAGCAACATGGATGCAGCTAGAGGCCATTATCCTAAGGAAATTAGCACAAAAACAGAAAACCAAATTTTGCATATTCTCACTTATAAATGGGAGCTAAACATTTGGTACACATGGACATAAAGATGGGAACAATAGACACCGAGGACTACAAGAAGGAGGAGGGAGAGAGGAGGCAAGGCTTGAAAAACTACCTGTTGAGTGCTATGCTCACTACCTGCGTGATGGATTCAATCACACCCCAAACCTCAGCATCACACAATAAACCCATGTAACAAACCTGCTTATGTACTCGTGAATCTAAAATAAAAGTTGAAATTACACATACACACACACAAACACACACACACACAGAGAGAGAGAGAGGAGAGAAGAGAGAGAGAGGGAGACAGATTTCTTTAAAAAGGAGGGCTCTTGTCTAGTTCCCCAAGTTTGCATAGTTAATTTTTTTTCTCCAACAGCAAACCGACCTCCTATCTTCAAAAAGAGAACTCTTATCTGAGCCTAGGGAAAATTTGAGGCCAGAGATCAATCACTAAAGTCTAATATCATACCTTTTGTAATGAAGAAAAGAAAGGACAAATCCTTATCCACGAAATGTGGGTAATTCCTCCAGACAAATGGGCTGTCCTTAAAGAAGTCACATGCTGACGAACAGTCATTCCCATCCAACGCCACCGTCAGTGTTCTCTCAGAGCCAGGCAGTTTGAAGGCTTCCTTCGGGTAGAAAAAATTACACTAGCCTTGGTTCAAGCCTCCTTTACACTAGCCTTTCTTTAGCTGACAAGTCTTAAAAAGAAATCAAGAACCAGAAAGAATTAAAGGTTTGCCTATTTTTCCTCACAGTCAGAGGCGGTGCTGCTTCTAGAATTCATCTTGAAGTTCCATTTGCAATCTCTTTCTCCCTGCACAAACACATCAATAATCGTCCCATTATACACACACCTGAACTATATTTACAAAATGCAAGTATAAATTATCCCGCAAATTGTATTAACACTGTGAATAAATTTAAGGATGTTCATGTGAGACAGAAAACCAGCCTATTTGTAAACAACAAATACCAATGTAAAATATATTCAAGTCAGTTCAGTCAAGAGCCTGGCTTGGTGCTGAGTGCTGAGGAGACAGCAGGCTAGACTCTGTTGAACTGCTGTTTTTGTAGGAAGAAAAAAGTCAGATATTGGCGATTTAATATGGTCAGCCTTATACAAAAATAAGTTACACAAATCCTGCATGCAAGGAGTTTACAGTTCAGGAGAGAAGACTAATATGTGAAACCACCAAGGTTGAAACAAGGACTTAAAAATGTACAATGTGCTAAGGAGCCGAGGGGGGTAACCAGGGCAGGTGCCTTAAGGAAGAGTTTTTGCCATTTATGTTAACAAAAAAATCAAATATTATACAAGTATTTTATTTATTTATTTATTTTTAGATGGAGTTTCTCTCTTGTTGCCTAGGCTGGAGTGCAATGGCGTGATCTCAGCTCACTGCAACTTCCGTCTCTTGGGTTCAAGCGATTCTCCTGCCTCTGCCTCCCGAGTAGCTGGGATTACAAGCATGTGCCACCACGCCTGGCTAATTTTGCATTTTCAGTAGAGATGGGTTTTCTCCATGTTGGTCAGGCTAGCCTCGAACTCCCAACCTCAGGTGATCCGCCCACTTCAGCCTCCCAAAGTGCTGGCATTAGAGGCATGAGCCACCGCACCCGGCCATACAAGTATTTCAAAAAGAAAAATTCCCGCCGAGTCCTTCCCTCCAGAGATAATTTACATTATCAATAGTTTAGTGTATTTTACATTTTTTCTTTGTACTTTTATTTCTGCTTCTTTAAAGAAAAGTTGGGGCCAGGCATGGTGGCTCATGCCTGTAATCCCAGCACTTTGGGAGGCCAAGGTAGGCAGATCGCTTGAGCCCAGGAGTTCCAGACCAGCCTGGGCAACATGGCAAAATCCCATGTCTACAAAAAATACAAAAATTAGGGTGTGGTGGTGTGCACCTGTAGTCCCAGCTACTTGGGAGGCTGAGGTGGAATAATCACCCGAGTTCCAGAGGTAGAGGCTACAGTGAGCTGTGATAGTACCAGTGCACTCCAGCCTGGGCAGCAGCAGAAGACCCTGTCGAGAGAGAGAGAAAGAGAGAGAGACAGAGAGACAGAGAGGAAGAAGGAACGAAGGAAGGAAGGAAGGAAGGAAGGAAGGAAGGAAGGAAGGAAGGAAGGAAGGAAGGAAGGAAGGAAAGAGGGAGGGAAGGAGGGAGGGAGGGAGAGAAGGAGGGGAAAGAAATTTCTTTATTTCCTTTACTTTCTTAATAAACTTGCTTTCACTTTGCTCTATGGACTTGCCTCAAATTCTTTCTTGCATGAGATCCAAGAAGCCTATCTTGGCGTCTGGATTGGGACCCCTTTCCAGTAACAATACTGCTGATGTCATAAACGCCCCTTTGCCGATACACTAACACACATGTGTCTCTTCCATGTCTTCAAAGGACTCCTTGGGCCTCTCTAAGGTAGCAGACAGAACCAAAGTCCATGTTGGATAATCAATTAATCATTTATCAAGTAATAGAGAAGGAAGTGCTTAAAGTGGACAACCATAGTTTGGAAATCAAGGAGGCTGTGATGGGAACGGAAGTGGAGGTGGTAAAGGCTTCAGCAATGGTGATGACATTGATAAGGACCGGTAGGTAGAGGCCTACTGAGGCCCCTTCTTTTTGGTTGGCAGCTGTCTTCTCTGAAATTTGAAGGTAGAGAAAGTGTTGAGAGAGAAAAAAGTGCTTCAGACACAGATAAGAATTGGAGAGACAAAGGATGTGTGAAGAGCAGCAATCTTCAGACTGAAGAACCGGAGCCCTGGGGTTATGTAGAGGCTTTCCTAAGGACACGGGGCACAGATGGTTCTGGAGAATTAAGTCCCAAGTCCTCCATTTCCATGCATTAATTTGCCTGAGGATGTGTCTGCAGCCAAAAGTCCTGGAAATTTGTCTTCCCCTCCTCCCCCTTCACAAGTTCAACTCCCACTGTTAGCTATTATTTGATTTGCTGTTGTTAACCATTTCCTCAGTGCATATATTTTCTATACTGTGGCACAATAATTTTGCTCAGAGGAGAGTCTCACAAGATGCCCTAGGGAAAGCAAGGGAAGGATATGATCTATAAATGTCAAGAAACCAGGAGCAGTTTTCCGACATCCTGTGTGTGATGAGAGATAGCCAGATCAGGGCTTTTATTACACTCTGTCTGATCAGTGTATCAGATGGGATCCCACCACGCACTGGGCTGCACTCTGTAATCGATGGTAAGTTGTCAAAAATGATTTTTTTAATGAATTGCTCAGACTATACTGTGCCTTGAGAAAAATGGCCCTGTATTCAGAAAATCTCATTTTTTTAGAGAGGCAATTTTAGTAGCTAAATATTTGAATGTAGTTAAATATTTATGGATTCACAACATTAAATATTCACATTACCTCTGGTAGGCAGATGTCTCTTATCATCAGTCATAGACTCACAGATTCATGTGTCTCTTATTACCTGTTTCTTCAGTTATTCTTCCAAGTCCTTTCCAGTGATCTAATTGCTCCTGCGACAAGGACATTTTTATCAACTTATGTTCATTAAAAGGCTCAACTTCCAATGTGCCATGCCTAAACCAGAATTAGTAGTCAAGAACTATAATCCTTCTTGGAGTGGCTTGGCCATTCACCCACCCTGCTCTCTGCTTCCACCATCATAACCAGCCATCTCCAGCTCCAGCTCTGAGCTCTCTGTTACTTGTCCTTCTGACTCTCTTGTTTTAGTCCCTTTGAGCTGCTAAAACAAAATGTAATACCTTAGACTAGGGGGCTTATAAATAACAGAAATTTACTGCTCACAGTTCTGGAGGCTGAGAAGTCCAAGATCAAGACACCAGCAGATTCAATGTCTGGTGAGGGCCCATTTCCTGGTTCATAAATGGTGACTTCTCGCTGTGTCTTCACATGGAAGAAGGGCCAAGCTAGCTCTCTGGGGTCTCTTTTATAAAGGCACTTATCCAATGTATGATTAATTAACCTAATAACCCCTAAAAGGCCCATCTCCTAATACCATCACCTCAGTGGTAAGGATTTTAACATATGAATTTGGAGGCGACACAAACATTCAGACCATAGCATTCTGACTCTTCTGTCCATCTGCAAAAGGAAAAGTGAGGCTGCCCCTGTGGGTCTACAGGAGCCATAGAAAACAATTAGGGTCAATCTGGAGGGATGTCTTCTCATAAATCTCACAGTTTGGGCCAAAAGCACTAAGACCAAGCTTGTTCATTCACTTAATCTCCTTATTTGGTCATATATGACCCAGGCAAGCCCACTCCATACTCATTCATCCTTCTCACTACTCATTACCTCCACCATTATCTTAATGTTAACTCTCAGAGAGAAATCAGTAACAGATGCAAATAAGGTCTGTGCAACACACAGCACTGTTGGTTCTAGTCCCTAAGGTCCCCAAAACTACCCTTCATTTTTCTCTTCAATTCTGCAAACTCATGTCCTTCCAATGAGTCCCTTTCTTGATTAAACTAGTTTGGGTTGGATTTCTGTTTGTACATTCCAGACTGTAATCATGAACATGTATGCAATGTATGAACTACTCTTGCTTTACCATCACAATGGTAGCTTATCTAAAGGGTCTCAGTTCTATTTTTCCACAAAACAAGAAGACCCATATGATATGTACTACATGCCAGGAATGCGCAGGTGGATGAGCTGCTCCTTCACCAGAGTCAACAGACATTCTCTGGGTGCCTGACATAAGTCACTGGCCTCATGAGCTTGCTATCCAAAGAGGGTTCTCACCTCTAATTATGACAGTTGTCATAAGAGAGGGACAAAGTACCTGCTATGGTGGCTCAGGTGGGAACAATGATACCACCATTGTGGGAGCAGGAAAGGCTTATGAATGATGAAGCATTTTAGCTGGGTCTGGAAGGATAGGTAGGGTTTCAGTCGGCAAAGATCATGAGAAGGAACTTTTCAACCAGAAAGCCAGGAAAAGCAAAAGCGGAGAAGTAATAACATGCAGGGCAAGCTTGCAAACCAGCAGTGCCCAAGCTGGCTGAAATGTTGGGTGTATGAGCATGAGCTATGGGAGAAAATACAGGGAGGGAAGACGTAGCCACGTGGTGGAGGGGGTGCTTACCTTGTGCTAGGCCTAAAGAGTGTTCTCTTAATTTAATAAACAATGGAAAGAACTCTCAGAACGTTTCTGAGTCAAGGAATGATGAGATCTGAGCTCTACTTTAAGAAGATTAATCCAGCAGCATTATGTGGGATGATTTCAAAGACAGAGAGAATGGGGGCAGAGAAACTAGTAAGAAAGCAGACGCAATAAGCTTAGGCAAGAGATAATGAGGGATTGAACTAGGACGGTAGAGATGGGAAGGGGAAAATTGATAGATGGGAGAGACACTGCAGAGGTAGAAAACCGACACGATTTGACAACTCTAAGTACGAAATCCTTCACAAACGTGTGTATCATTCTTATTTGGTGTTACTTAGGGTAGTCAAGATATGCAGGCCATCTGTCACTGATGCTAATGAGGAAGTCAGATTTTATCCTCATTTGAAGCAGGCTGTCAGAAACCCAGAGACCCCAGGCTCACAGGACTGTGTAGTAAGGGAATATCACAGGGCCAGCCTTACAAGGGCCAGTCACCTATTTAGTGCAATGCCCAAAACAACATCAGGCTCCTACACCCCCAACACCTCCCCAAGTAGAACACCTTGACGCGTACCTGAACTATCACTACATTCATGAATTTTCCTAAGGTCCAGTAGGGCAGTGTGACACTTGGAGGCAAACCTGCTTCAGAGCACCTCCCAACCCCCCAAGCAGGCCTGGGGCTCCACGTAGGGACAGAGAACAATCTTTAGAGTCAGGAAGTAGGACTGCCTGTTTCTCACCTGCATCTGCAGCACCCAGCACAGAGTCAGCATGTAGCATTGCACAGGAAATGGATGAAAGAATGATTCAATAATGAAATGAGGCTGGGGATAGTGGCTCACTCCTGTAATCCAAATGCTTTGGGAGGCCAAGGCAGGAGGATTGTCTGAGGCCAGGAATTCAAGACCATCCTGGGCAACAGAGTGAGACCCCCATTCTAAAGTTTTTTTTTTAGAGATGAGAGTCTCACTCTGTTGCCCAGGCTGGAGTGCAGTGGCATGATCTCGGCTCACTGCAACTTCTGCCTCCCAGGTTCGAGAGATTCTCATGCCTCAGCCTCCTGAGTAGCTGGAATTACAGGTGTGCACCACCATGCCCAGCTAATTTTTGTATTTTTAGTAGAGACAGGGTTTCACCATGTTGGCCAGGCTTGTCTCAAACTCCTGACCTCATGTGATCCACCCGGCTTGGCCTCCCAAAGTACTGGTATTGTAGGTGTTAGCCACCATGCCCGGCCTACAAAAAAAAATTTTTTTTAATTAGCTGGGCATGGTAGTGCACACCTGTAGTCCTAGCTACTGGGGAGGCTGAGGCAGGAGGATTGTTGATCTCAGGGATTTGAGGTTACATTGAGCTATGATCATGACACTGCACTTCAGCCTGGACAACAGAATGAGACCCTGTCTACAAAAATAATCATAATAATCATGATCATAATAATTGGCTAAATTACAGGATTTCTAGAATGTCCAAGCATTCTATGCAGGCCCCAGCAGCTGCCGCCCCTCTCCCTCCACAAGCATCACATCCCTGCACATCTTCTGAAGCACCCCAGAAAAGCTGAGTTCTCCATGGCTTTCAGCTGCAGCCTGCAAGGTGGTGGAACATGACCCCAACTTGCAGGAGACAGGGGTGGGTGAGGAGGGCTTTGTGGAGTTATGAATCCACTCCTGCTCCACCTTCAGCGACGTGGAAGACCGTAATGTTTGTTCTCTCAGGGGTAGGCAGAAGAGCTGAATATATTAAATAATCATTTTTTAATTTAAGCTGGTAAAGCATTTGGGAATATCAACGGCGTGAACAATTCTCACAACAAAATAACATTCAAGGCGCCCACCACAGTGACTACTTATGTCTCAACACTTGTTTCTTTCCTTATCATTCCCTCTATTGCTTCAAGCCATAACTTGATGAATATCGGTGCCAGAAAAAAGCAAAACTTATTAAAATTGTGCTGTCAAACTGTTGTGATTTTACTTTGTCATGCATTCGACTGTTTAAAAACAATGTTCCCTCCCCAACCCTTGAGCCCTAAGCTTGGAAACAACACCTGCCTCAGGTTCTTCTGCTTCTTTCTTGCACAAACAAAAGTTTCTCCTGTAATATTGGGGTCTACAAAGATCTAGAAAGGGAAATCTCTTGTTGTTCCCCCTTCCTCTAACTACATGTGGGTTGTCATTACTGTAAACATGTGGCATTTTGAGATTGAAAAATTACAGCAATCAGAATTCTGCCATGCCATGCCCCAGGAGGAGCCCCTGGAAAAGGTCTGAGCAAAAGGCCCTGATCTCTATTAGATTTTTGTTTGTTTATTTTTTTGAGACAGAGACTTGCTCTGTCACCCAGGCTGGAGTGTAGTGGTGCAATCTTGACTCACTGCAACCTCCACCTTCTGGGTTCAAGCGATTCTCCTACCTCAGCCTCCCAAGTAGCTGGGATTACAGGTTTCTGCCACCATGCCCCACTAATTTTTTTATTTTTAGTAGAGATGGGGTTTCACCATGTCAGCCAGGCTGGTCTCAAACTCCTGACCTCAAGTGATTTTCCTGCCTTGGCCTCCCAAAGTGCTGGGATTACAGGCATGAACCACCACACCCGGCCATCTATTGGGTTTTTACCACATCAAGGACCTGGGCCCTGCAAACGAGCTGAATGGAGGAAATTCAGGAACTCTCGAGGTGATCCTACAAGATCCTAGACCTTGGAAGGTATGGGGCCATCCAGTCTTTTTCAGATGAGAGAAGGCCATTGATCAAGGATGATGGTTTCTTCCCTGGAGACCTGGTGGCCACTGGTGAGTCTAGGCCTTTGTGACCAACTACACTAAACCTACCCTTATGAACCAGCCTCACGAAGAAGCTGGTGAAAGTGTCTCTGTGAAATCATACCAGGAAATGCTGGGGAAAGAAACAAGCTGTTTGGGGACCTGGCCAGCAGTGGCGCCCAGACTAATTGGGGGCAGAACTTTTGTGAAACTAAAGTAAGGAATTCAGCACTCTATGATCACATTCATTTCCTCCCTCTTGTATTTCTGTATTGTCTGGTTTGGATTTGTTTTTCCAGTGCATTTCCTAATAAGATTTCCTCTGGAAAAGTCCAACTTTACTTCAACTGAACCATGGGCAGAAAGGATGCAGACACCTGGACCTAAGTAATGAACAAAGATCAGTCCACCTCCCCACGTGGCGCCTGGAGGAGTGGTGACAGAAGCTCAAGTGGAAACAAGATGGCAGGCAGAAGACGGTGGGGTAGCCGGGAGAGAAAGCAAAATGTCAGAACCAGTGGCTAGAGACCCTCCTGGGCTCCTCCTGGGGTGCTCTCTCTCACCCTCTTTAGCTCCTCTAGACACTCACCTACACTGACTGCACCGAAGATCGTGGGCTACCGGCAGGGGAGAGGGAAGAATATTAAGAGCACGGACTTTGCACTCAGACATGCTTGGGCTCAAGCACTCGTGCTGCCACACTTGGCTGTGTAACCTTGAACATGACATTGAATATCCCTAAGCCTCTTTTCTTTTTTTTTTTTTCTTTTTTTTTTCATTTGCTGAAAGAGAGTAACCAAAGTACTACTATTACATGGTGGGTTGTTGCTGGAATGAAATGAGATGACAGATGCAAACGTTGAGTGGAATTGTGTGGCTCAGCCAGCCCATCACCTCTGCCTCTTCTGGGAAAGCATTCCTCTTCTCTTGGGGAATTACCCTTCCTCCCCCAACTTCACCATAGCAATCCAAATGGGAATTGCTGCCTTTTTACATGACCTTGAAGACAGTGACAAATCAAGAGGTGATCACCCATTCCAAGTTATGCCAAGCACGGTACACGCCCCATAACTACCCTCACTGGTCGAGGGATGGGTGTGTGTCCTAAGCAAGTCAATGAGACTCTTCAAAAGGAACCTAGACAGCAGATATTGAAGCCCCTGGCTCCAGTCACCTGGACCTTCTGTAGTTTGGCTATACGCTAATTTGAATTGTGTTTATGTCCCATACAGGCAAAAGAATCTTGTAATAGCCAGAAGTGGGGTATTTAAAGTAACAGAACCTGAAATGTGGAACTGGCTGAATTAAGGTTATGGAGGTTTTAACAAACATCTGCAAATTCTTTACCACTCCTTCCATCAAGAGGTAGAATCTCTGTTCCTTCTTCTTGAAGTTGGGCAGGTCTTGGTGACTGCCTGGATTAACAGAATGTGGTAGAAATGACACTATATGATTTCTGAGGTTAGGAAAGAAACAGCCATGGAGCTTCTGACAGTTTTTCTTGGGATTCTCACTCTGGGAGCCTTCAGTCACCACAGAAGAAATTCAGATCCCCGAGGCTGCCATGTGGACAGACTGCGTGGAGGGGGTTGCCTGAGGAGCCCCAGCTATTGGAGTCTTCCCAGCTCATTTACCACCTTCATGGGTTGAAGTCTTTGCAAGAACCCCTCAGCTTCTGTCTGATACCATGAGTAAAGCCTCCCTTGCTGAGCCCAGTCAACCGCCAGAATCGTGAGCAAAATAAATTATTATAATTGCTTTAACCACTGTTTTGGGTGATTTGTTGAACAGCAACAGATAACCAGAATAGCAAGTGAAGGCAGTCGGGACTCCTTCTTTCTGACAGCAATCTTTGGTGAGAGTCAGTTAAGCTCTTTGTTAAATGATTACCTGCCATGTCTGGGGACTCAGCCCACTGAGACTTTAGAGATTTGGGCAAATTGAGAGTACTTAAATATATCATATCATCTATAAATTGCAAGATCCTAAGAAGCTTCTCCTGGAACTGATGAAAAGGAATGAACATCACCAATGATGTGGTTGGGTATACAAGATATACATGAGTTAGACATGACTTTGAAATATTTCAAGATGCTGAGGAAATAAGTAAGCGTGTAATCTTTCCATGGGATAGTTCCATTAAATTGGATGAGACATTTCTGGAAATGCCTTGGAAGGAGTGTGTTTGTATGTGTGTGTGTGTGTGTGTGCGTGTACATGCACGTTCATACCCAGGCACTGAATAGCCAAGGGTGTGGACTGTAATGGATCTCTTTTTCTCTTTGCCCTGCACTCTTTACTTCTAAATACAACCCTTTCTCTCTCTTCTCCTCAGGTTTACCCTCAGGAGAGCCATCCCTCCTGTCCATTCACTAGAGGATCTGAAGCTGCCATTATCTTAACATTATGGGTTAGGAGGTAAAACCTGGCCCATGCTGGGCCTCCCAGAGGTCTTCCCAGCATTGCTCAGACCTGAGCAGGAAGGCAAATAGCGTGGTGAGAGGGAGAGAACTTCACGCTCTCCACTTGAATCTGTAATAATGAAAGACCAAATCTGAGAGTGGAAACGGTCCTAGCCTCATGCAGGATGAAGCCAACACAGAAAGAAAAGAGTTGGTGGGAGACCAGAAAAGCCCACGTGGTGCTTGAGTACCTACCTTTGCCACCACTGACTTACATCAGCCAAAAATTCACGGCCAACACTGTTTGATTCAATCATCAGCAATCAACAGAATCTTTTAATACAGTTCCAGGGCCATAGAAAGCACCCAATAAATGCTTTTCAAACCTGTTTTCCACTGTTGTGCTTCAGCAAGAAGGAGAAAAGACAACTATGCATGAGAAATGTGTTCAAACCACACTCCATTAGGGCTCAGTGGGCCACGAAGTCAGCTCACTCCATCAGCCTCCTGTAGAGCCCTTAAAATATAGCAGTGCCCAGATCCCACCCCGGATCCCTGAATGAGAATCTTTAGGGATGGGGCCTAGGTGCCTGTGTATTGTTAAAAATTTCATGGGTGGACTTCTGACTAAGTAAACACAGGTGCTTATCTCCACTCCTTCCTAAAACCCCATAAAATGACAGCAAAAGAATTAAGGAGCTAAAAATATACAAAAGCAAAAAGAACAGGAGTAGAGCCAACAGCAGATGAGAAATGTCAATAACATTTTGTACCATGGAAACTGCATGGAAGAGTCAACAAAGAAAACCGAATCTAAGTGTCCACAGGAAGGCAAACAGAGGCAAGCCTGTTTGCACCACAGGACCCCAGAAAGGCCCAGGAACTGATCATAGGTACTAGGTACCCTGAAAGACAGAGGAGCAAGGTTGGGCTGAAAACAGGAGGATTGGTTACAACCCTGTGCAATAAGCAGTTTGTGCCTCGATAAATGTCCCACCCACATTGCCAGGCCACAGCCCTTCCTTCAATAGGCAGAAGATGAGGTTCACTCTCTAGTGGGGGATCAACAAGCCAGGTGCTGGAATCCAGGACTCAGGCACAGATGAGAGCAAGATGAGATGTTCCTAAGATTAGGAGATTTAAAATATCGCAGGCTGAATGGAGAGAACCTCCATCTCTCTTCCCTTCCTGCTTCCCCAGTGCTGGAACTGAACTTAAACCTTCAAGACAAGAGCATAGAGAGGAATCCTCCCAGAGAAAATTGATAGGCCCAAGAGAAAGACACACAGGTAAAGATATTTGGGTGTCCCCAGTAAAAAGCCAAATCCCTACCCATTGACCATATCAGATCATGATCCTACCCACGCACTCCAGGCTTCTATTTAGCTTTTCAGGGGCTCACGTTTAGATATGAATGACAGCCAATGATCCCCAACACTTGTGAGGAAAACTACTTCAGGAAAAGAGACCAAAACCATTACATGGGACAAAGAAGGCTGTAAGAAAAAAGGCAATGCAGGGAGTAAAAGAAAACTTCTTTAAAAACTGTAATTAATATGCTCACAGATAGGAGAAGATATTACAGCAATGAAACTAAAATAAAATGCTATTTTTAAGAACCATTTGAGAACAAGAAAGATTATGGCAGAATAAAAGAAGTAAAAGATAAAGTCATAAAAAGCTCACAGAAATTAGAATTTTTTAATGGAAAATAAAAGAGAAAAGATGAGTGGCCATTCAAAAAATATTCCAAAAAGTGAAAGCATAGAGGAAAAATTTAACCCCTCCAGAAAAACTACGAGAAAAATTCTTAGAATTAAGAACATGCATTTCTGCTGATTTTATCTCTACAGACTTATATTCACAGAAAATACAGGGGGATAATAAAATAATTACTACTTACTGAGAGCTTGCTCTATGCCCAGTGCTTGCTGTGTCTTACATGCCTTATATTTCATTTAACCTTCATAGTAATCCTATGAAAGTGGTGCTATTATTTTTCCTGCTTGCAGATGAAAAAACTAAAACTCAAAAAAGTTAAGTAATTTAGGGGCTATAATTCAACCCGAGACTGCCTGTCCTAACCTATTCTGCCTCCTGCCTGTTAATACAAACTGCATATATGTACACACACACACACACACACACACACACACACACATCTTTACCTGTGCTGCCCCTTGCTCTTACCTCTTGGGTAGCTGCTAACCAGTTTTGTTACTTGCTTTCTTTTGTTATTTTACTTTTCAGAAAGACTTAATCCTTTTTGCCACTTCACATTCTCAATTTTTAACTAAATTGGCCATTTTCTGCTTTTCATTTGGGAGCTTTGCACACAGAAATGTGAAAAATAACTCAGTCCTTGGGCTTGCTGTACCAGCTCATATGGCCCTTTAACCTCACAGTTATTCTTCGGAAGTCAAAATCCCCTAGAAAAGAAAAATCTTCCTTTTGTCCCTATTTGGTTAGGTAAGAGCCTGCTAAGGATAGACTTTGCAGAGATGCAGAAGAGTTCACATCCCCTGTGAAATGCAAAGACAAGCTGGGAGACAATATTGATAGATCTTGGGATAGGAACAAGATCGCCTTTCACCAAGGACTGCTTTATTTGAAAGTGTGAAGATAATGTCAACGGTGTCTGTCTTGGGGCTCCTCTCTAAAGAAAGGATATGTATTCAGCTGGGCTGAGCCAGCCCTCTCCGAATAAAGGCAGTGACAGAATCTTTCAAGGCACATTGGCTCTTATGTGAACATTATGGTACATTGGCACTGAAAGCTCATAAAATACCACAAAGGCTACAATGTTACTGCACAGCAAGGAGAGGTTTTTCTTCAAAGATGCACACATGCAATTTCTTCAGTCCTGTCTATCTAGGTATTCTTTTATTTTTTAATTTTATTTATTTATTTATTTATTTTTGAGACAAAGTCTTGCTCTTTTGCCCAGGCTGGAGTGCAGTGGTGCGATCTTGGCTCACTATAACCTCTGCCTCCTGGGTTCAAGCAATTCTCCTGCCTCAGCCTCCCAAGTAGCTGGGATTGCAGGCAGGCGCCACCACACCTGGCTAATTTTTTGTATTTTTAGTAGAGACAGGGTTTCACCATGTTGGCCAGGCTGGTCTCGAAATCCTGACCTCCAGTAGTCTGCCCGCCTTGGCCTCCCAAAGGGCTGTGATTACAGGTGTGAGCCACCGCGCCCGCCTGACCTATCTAGGTTTTTTGTTTTTTTTTTTTGAGGCAGAGTCTCGCTCTGTTGCCCAGGCCGGAGTGCAGTGGCACAATCTCAGCTCACCACAACCTCTGCCTCCCAGGTTCAAGCAATTCTCCTGCCTCAGCCTCCTGAGTAGCTGGGACTACAGGTGTGTGCCACCATGCCCAGCTAATTTTTGTATTTTTAGTAGAGACAGGGTTTCACTATATTGGCCAGGCTGGTCTCACACTCCTGACCTCGTGATCCGCCCCCCTCGGCCTCCCAGCGTGCTGGGATTACAGGCATGAGCCACCACACCTGGCCCTATCTAGGTATTTTTAATGTGTCTGTTTCCATAGTGTGTCAGAGGCTCTTCTGTTCCACAAAAACTGTGTGACGAATGCCAACTTTTTAGCAGGGACCATCTCTTCCAGATTCGCAAAGGGTGAAAGGAATAATGAGGGAACTAGTGTTGGCTCCCTAGTATGTGTCATCACTGAAGCAAATAGAGAAGTTAGAAAACAGACGATATCCACCACCAAAAGGAGAAAAGGTAGGTACAGTGATGGGTCGACTTTCAAGAGGGGATTGTCTCGTAAGTAGTTGAAAACAATTCCATAGTAACAAGAGAACATCATTTTGCTAAGCCACCAATATAATTATGCCTTTGGCTATTTAAGGGATTATTAAAATCTTGAAAATCACCTGTAGATCAAATTAAACGAATGGCAGCATTCGACAAGATATAAAATCATCAAATCATCCCGAAGTTTATAATACTTAGGGCATTCCACTTAAATATTCTTAAATTAATTTGAAAAAGTTAGGCCAAGCATATTGGCTCATGCCTGTAACCGCAGTACTTTGGGAGGTCAAAGTAAGAGGATCACTTGAGCCCAGGAGTTCCAGACCAGCCTGGGCAAAATAGCAAGACCCTGTCTCTATAAAAAAAAAAGTTTAAAAATTAACCAGACATAGTGGCACCTGTAGTCCCAGCAATTCCGGACGCTAAGGTGGGAAGATTGCTTGAGCTGGGGTGGTCAAGACTGCAGTGAGCTGTGATCACACTGCATTCCAGCCCAGGGGATAGAATGAGATCCTGTCTCAAAAAGAAACCAAGAAGAAAAAGAAAAAGTTGTTAAAATAATATTTTGCAGAGTACCCAGTTTTTTTCACATCATTTTGTTTGGAGCTTTAAGATACATTTATGAGATGGATAAGGCTCCTGTTACTCTCCTCATTTTACAAAGAAGGAAACTAGGGCTCAGAAAAGCTAAGAGATTTGTCCGAGGTCACACAACTAGTAAGAACAATGGCTAAATTAGTATAGTGCTTTACAAGACACAAAGAGCTTTTAAATTCATCATATCCTGTGGAACTCTCCCTATAGTCCTGTTAGAACAATGTTTACTAGTAGGCCCATTTCTCAGAAGTAAACTGAGGCTTTGAGAAGTAAGAAAGTTTTCCTTTTTAAGGTCTCACCATTGCTAGGATTGGTCAATTCAATACCCACATCCCAGATTCCAAGTCTCACTCTCTTTCTACTAGAATTCAAATCCAGGTCTACTGACTACAAATCCATTGCACTTTCTGCTAAACCACCTGGCCTTGAAAAGAATAGAGAAATAAATCTTCTTCCCTCTTAACTGACATTTGTTGGGCTGGATATTTTGAAATCCTTAGCATCCTTGGGCTCCATGTTGATTATTTCAGCTCATTGGGTATTAGAGCAATTGTCTACCCAACAGCCCATTTAAACTGATTTACAAATAGAAGATGCCTTAGAAACTATAGAAGTCTTAACATACAGAAGTATAGCTATAGTTTGGATATTTAACCCT
The DNA here is from genome assembly GCF_000001405.40 of Homo sapiens. Taxonomy (NCBI): domain Eukaryota; kingdom Metazoa; phylum Chordata; class Mammalia; order Primates; family Hominidae; genus Homo; species Homo sapiens. The sequence continues at coordinate 52,755,975 of NC_000013.11, read as the reverse complement.
CCAAGCCTCATGTTGAAACTTGATTTTCAGTGTTGGAGGTGGGGCCTATTGGAGGTGTTTGGGTTACGTGAGCAGATCCCTCATGAATGGCTTGGTGCTGTCTTCACTCTATTAATTCCTGTGAGAGCTGACTGTTGAAAAGAGCCCGGCACCCGTCTGCGTTTCTCTCTCGCTTCCTCTCTGGCCATGTGATCTCTACACATGGGCTCCCCTTCCCCTTCTGCCGTGAGTGGAAGGAGCCTGAGGCCCTCATCAGAAACAGAGGCTGAGGCCATGCCTTTTTTTTTTTTTTTTTTTTGAGGCGGAGTATCGCTCTGTCACCCAGGCTGGAGTGCAGTGGCGTGATCTCGGCTCACTGCAACCTCTGCCTCTCAGTTTCAAGCAATTTTCCTGCCTCAGCCTCCTGAGTAGCTGGGATTACAGGCGCCTGCCACCACGCCTGGCTAATTTTTGTATTTTTAGTAGAGATAGGATTTCACCATGTTGGCCAGGCTGGTCTCGAACTCCTGACCTCAACTGATCCACCCACCTCGGCTTCCCAAAGTGCTGGGATTACAGACAAGAGCCACGGCGCCCGGCCTGGGGCCATGTTTCTTGTACAGCCTGCAGAACTGAAAGTCAAATAAACCTCTTTCTTAAATAAATTACACAGCCTCAATAATTCCTTAATGGCAGCACCGAATGGACTGAGGCAAGTACATTCATATATAGCACAATATTTGAAATTTTACATTGAAACCAAGACCTGTGATTTTAGAAGACCTCAGCATGCTTCGATATGCCATCACTAAGCCCTCCACCAGGTCAATATGTTGAATTGAAAGCATGCAGTAGGGTAGTTTCAAAGCAACACTGAAGCGGCCACCTACAAAATATCCCATTGTCCTGAAGACCCTAAACACTCCTCTTAGAGTAATCTAAATCAAGGTCCAAGTAGGAGACAAGAACGAATCTATTAACAAAGTCCTAAGGTTATTAGTCCTAACATAGCATTCTGTCACTTTTCTTATTTTTTTAATTCAAAGTTAACTTTATTTTGGCATTGATTTTGGTGTCTGGTATAATTTCATTTTTCAAGCAAAATTTAAAGACTGTCATTTCCCCACACTTGCACCCAATGAGAAACAGCTTTGGTGACAACTTTTTTTATTAAAGTTGCTCATGACCAAACAGTAGTGCTTCATTCATCTGAATTGAAAGACAAGGTTGTCAGAAAATCTGTAAACTGTTTCCATACAAATCCCCAAGTACTGTGAATAGTGCCTCTGTCCAACTTTTTTCAGAGGTCTGACTTCAGCACAAAACTTGGCTCAGTAGGTTTCATAAAACCAATCTTCAGATGCCACAAATGCCCAGTGGGTTTTCTGTTGACTCTGAAAATACCATATACTGTATTTAATCTCTTCATGGAGCACGCTCATTAGTTTAGTTTCCACGTTTCTGATATATTCGAAGGTTCTTACAGGCTCAGGGTATAGTTTTGAGAAATCAAAATGGTTTATTGCTTTTTATGTTTTATACAAAATAATAGGTGCCACTTTTTCTTTTCAACATCTTTACTTTCCTAAACAAAGTGAAAGTAGGGATGAGGGAAAAAAAACTTAATAGTGTGTTATAAAAGTCCATCATTTTTCTGTTTTCGTTTCTCTAATTCTTATGTAACTTATGTAGTCTTTGAATTAATACCGAATCTCAACGTCAGTGGAAATCTTGGTCCCAAGAGAACTGCCAGGGATTTAAAACAGAAAATAGCTCACATGGTATATGTAGCTGGCATCAATCTGAGAAGCCAGCTTATTAGGGAAGCTTTTATTTGAAATGCAGCACGAAAGGCTGAACTCATCGCTGCAGATGAGATCTCTCTTGGCTTAGCAAGAGAAGGTAGAGCAGGTGCCTATGGTGATTCTCAGATTACGTATTTGATTTTTTTTTGCAATTAAATGAAAAGTTAGGAACCTCTTGATTGTTCACATTTGTTTTTGCTACAGCTGCTCCCAGGAGAAACAGTATTTTTGCCATTTGCAAATTGGCAGTAACTCCCAGCTTTTCCTTTATGTCGTGGCATATGTTATCAGCAGTCTTCTGTTTCTACGATATTGATATGCTCTTTTTAATCCCTGCTTAAAATTCACTTTTCCTGTGCTTCCATGTGTGAAAGCCCACCAGCTTGCTCCACTCTGCCACTACCGTGCATCTTCATTTAACTCAGCACCTATTACATGCTGGCCACTCTCACTGGGCATCTCCACGTGTTAGCTCACTTCTGTGCTCTCAATAACCTTCAGAGATAGGTGTTTTGTTTTTTTTGTTTGTTTATTTGAGACAGTCTCATTCTGTCGCCCAGGCTGGAGTGCAGTGGTGCCATCTTGGCTCACTGCAACCTCTGCCTCCCAAGTTCAAGTGATTTTCCTGCCTCAGACTCCTGAGTAGCTGGGATTACGGGCATGCGCCACATGCTCAGCTTATTTTGTATTTTTAGTAGAGACGGGGTTTCACCATGTTGCCCATAGGGATAAGTTTTGATGTTCTGATTCTACAGATGACAAATCTGACATTCAGAGATATAAAAAGTAACTCGTTCGCCAGGCGCAGTGGCTCACACCTGTAATCCCAGCACTTTGGGAGGCCAAGTCAAGCAGATCACTTGAGGCCAGGAGTTCAAGACCAGCCTGGCTAACATGGTGAAACTCCATCTCTACTAAAAATACAAAAAAATTAGCTGGGCGTGGTGGCACATGACTGTATTCCCAGCTACTTGGGAAGCTGAGACAGGAGAATTGCTTGAACCCGGGAGGCAGAGGTTGCGGTGGGCCGAGATCGCACAACTGCACTCCAGGCTGGGCAACAGAGCCAGACTCCGTCTCAAAAAAAAGAAAAAAAGTAGGCCGGGCTCAGTGGCTCACGCCTGTAATCCCAGAACTTTGGGAGGCCAAGGCGGGCTGATCACCTGAGGTCAGGAGTTCAAGATTAGACTGGGTAACATGGTGAAACCCCATCTGTACTGAAAAAAACTACAAAAATTAACCAGGAGTGGTGATGCGGTAATCCCAGTTACTCGGGAGGCTGAGGCAGGAGAATTGCTTGAATCCAGGAGGTGGAAGTTGCAGTGAGTCGAGATCGCGCCATTGCACTCCAGCCTGGGCAACAAGAGTGAATCTCTGTCTCACAAAAAAAAAAAAAGTAATTCATCTACAGTCACAAAGCTTGTCCGTGGGAGAATTGGGATTTGACCCCAGGGCTAGTGGACTCCAGAGCCTGGCCAGTCCATGCCAGCATGGTGTTCCTTAGATGATGTGTTACATCTGCCTGGACCAGTAAAATAGCTATGAATAACTGACAGCTTCTACGTGTGTGTATAAAGGTCACACGGTTCATGAGTTAGACTCAGTTTCAGCAGGTCTTTGAGATCATCTCGTTCAAACTTCTACACCCTAATAAGCAATTCCCTGTACAACATTCCAAGTAAAAGGTTTCTCAGTCTGTGTTTGAGTTGTTTTTAAATGAAAAAAATATATAGTAAATGGCTGTGAATATGATCACACTTACATATAAATATTCATCCCATGATTGAGTTTCTGCAGCAACGCTCTATTTGGGAGCAATTGTGCAAACAGCCATGCTCAGGGTGGATCAGAGAATTCCCACCAGCAGAGCCAGGCACCCAGGAGAGACCCAGCAATGAGGTATAATCAAGAATTGCAGTCCTTGTTGTTGTTTATCTGCCTTCCTGGGACTGACAATCTTGAAAGTTGTCCCCAAAAGGGCCAAACAGCATCCTTTTAAGATGGTACAAACAAGATCAACATAACACAAATTCAAAAAGAAGGGGGATCCCTTACAGTCCCACCGGCCAAACTCATCTCTTTCCATTCTTCTTGCTTCCAATCCTTGCCCACATGTAAACATGATTTTTAGAGTTGTAATCAAGTATACTTGCAATTTGCTATTCCACTCTGCATGTTTAACATTATATCATCACATTTTATGATGCTACACAGTCTGCATAATTACAATTTTTAGTGACTATATGGTAGTCCATCAAATTGACACAATGTAATTTACTTAACTACTCACTCTTAAGTTGTTTCTGGTTTTTCTTTATTATGAATTACTCCACAATGATCATTTTCATTTTTATTAATTTTTCTCTTCTTTTGGATGATTTCCTTGGAGCCAAAAATCGGTATACTCTTGCTGTTGTTGTTGTTGTTGTTGTTGTTGTTGTTGTTGTTGTTGTTGTTTTGAGACGGAGTCTTGCTCTGTCGCCCAGGCTGGAGTGCAGTGGCGCTATCTCGGCGCACTGCAAGCTCCACCTCCCGGGTTTGCGCCATTCTCCTGCCTCAGCCTCCTGAGTAGCTGGAATTATAGGCGCCCAACACCACGCCCGGCTAATTTTTTGTACTTTTATTAGAGACAGTGTTTCACCGTGTTAGCCAGGATGGTCTTGATCTCCTGACCTTGTGATCCACCCCAGAAAGTGCTGGGATTACAGGCGTGAGCCACCGAGTCTGGTCTGGCAGCTCATTTTCAAATGATCCTGCCCCAGGCTTAGGAGTAGAACAATAGATACCTGCAAACTCAGATTCACCTGAAGTACTTCCAAATCTCTGAGCTCACCTGCCAAAAATGCTGCCCCAGGGGAGTCATTTGTGTAAGTTGACATACCATTTCCCCATCAGCCTCTAGTTACACTGCAACCCACTCTTGAGTGAATGACATATTATTATATCATCTACAAGGTGGACCTGAGGAAGAAGCCACTGGGCTAGGGAGTCAGGGGACCTGGGTCCTAGTCTTTGCTATGTTGTTGTGGTAACTCCCTTGATCTTGCCCAAATTCAGTTTATTATCTGTACAATGGGGATAGTAATGACTATCTGCCTGTTTGACAAGGTTTTGAGCTTCATGTGAAATCTTGCATGTGAACTCTCTTTGTAAACTCTGATGTACTACAGAGATGTTGGAGGGGTGAGGGAGCAGAAAGGGGAGGCAGGAAGCTGGTCATATCCCCAGCTGGATGGTGGATGGTAGAAAGCAGAGTCCTAAATGAATAGGATACAGGATAGGTAAATTCTGATGAGTCAGCCTGAAAAGTTGCCTTAGTTTGCTCAGGCTGCTGTTATAACAAAATTCCACAGACTGGGTAGCTTAAATCACAGATGTTTAGATCTCACAGTTCTGGAAGCTATAAAGTTCAATGTCAAGGTGCCAGCAGATTCAGTTCCTGATGAGGGCTCTCTTCCCGGTTTGCAAACAGCCACCTTCTCACTGTGTCCTCACATGGTGGAGAGGGTGGGCTCTGGTTCTCTTTCTCTTCTTACAAAGACATGAATCCCATCATGGGCTCTCCACCCTTGTGATCTCATCTAAACTTAATCATCTCCCAAAGGTCCCACCTCCAAGTACCATCACATTGGGGGTGAGGGCTCAACATATGAATTTTAGAGAGACACAAACATTCGGTCTATAACAAGGGCTAATATTTGAGAACAAAGCACTGATGGAAACAGACCTGAATGGGAGGCTGATTGGGCTTCAAGCACCCAGGACAAGAGGATGCCTGAGGATCCTCTTGGTGGTGAACAAGGTTATGAATCCTGCTTCTGTCACTTTCTAGAGTTGTACAACCTGGACAGGTTACCAACTCTGCTATACCTCAACTACCTCTTCTAACATGGAGACTCATTTATTCACTTGCCAGATATTTATTGAGCAGGTACTGTGTACCAGAAACTGTTCTCAGTGCTGGGGATTATAAAAAGGTGATTAAGACAGACTAAGTCCCTGCCTTTATGAAGCAAACATCCCCATGAGATGTACCAGTGCCCTGTGGGGGTCTCGTGTAATCTACGTGGCATGTGCATAGTAAGTGCTCTAGAATTGCTAGCTACTATTATCATCTATTTCACCATTTTTCCTGGGGCTGGCCCTGTTAAGATGCTACGTGAATAGAACAAATGCATAGAAAGCCGGGGTATTAACCCAGAGGTCCATTCATATATGGCATCTGTTTGTATTTGCTTTGTGGATAGAACTTCCAGGGTCACCCCCGCACTGCTCATCTCACTGGGTAGCCAATATCTGTGCTATTCAACCATTCTCTGGGCTCTCTTCTCCAATGAGTCCAGAAGGGCATCGTTTATTTAGGAAATGACATGTTCTGAGTTATTAATACATTCCAAATATTAAAATTTCAGTCGAAGCACTGGGAAAATCATGGCAGGATCATAATTTAGGGAGGCCAGGTGGCTAATGAATGCTTGGTGCCCAGGAATATCTTGATTCCTCTGCCCCTCTCTCTCAATTAACAAAAGTGCTGATGATCTCGGGGCTGTTTCTGGCCAGCTGGGATAAATCAACCCTCTGGCAGCTGCCCAAATGATGTATTTTAAGGGCACAGGCCATGTGGCTCACGATTGCAAAGCAATTGGGGTCACTGTGTTTGCATATGGATTAACTCACTGTGCAGGGATCCTACCCGCTTACTGTGCCCGCTGTGGGTTGACACTCAATAACTATTCAACAATGATAAAGAGGAGCCAGACCTAATGACCCTTCAGAATGCTCCCCATCTTCATTTCTCTCCATTCCTATTTTTATTACTTTCAGCACAGAGAATTCAGTCAGCTTTCCTATTTTCACAGTCCTAATTCTTCTTAGAAGTTTTCCACATTTGACAGAAAAAGGTATCTGGGTGACTATGGTTGGAAAAAAACATACTGATTGGTTGAAAATTATCGGCCTGGCCCATTCTCCTTGGTGATTCCAAGGCAAGTCACAAAAGTTAGAGTCGTTTTGAATAAACTATTAATTGGATGTGCTGTTCTCTGGGGAAATCCAGGGTAAGTCCCATTGATGGGCTTAGGTGGTAATTGCTTTGTTGTGAACAGTGTCTAGAAGTTCCCAAATAGTCTGTCTCCATTCCCCTGAGCAATCATCTGTGGCACCAAGGAGGTAACTGACTTAGTCCCTATTCAGCCATTCAATAAACATCTACCAACAATCTACTGCATTCAACACACCATGTTAAACATGGGTAAGTTCCTACGATGTAGAAGACAGTCCCCAGCAAGCCAGGAGCTTGCTGTCTTACAAAGGGGATCAGGATCAGGAATTCACAAAATAAACACAACACGGGTCATACAGTTTAGGCAACAACAGTTTCATGATCATTGTGATGTGTGATCACAGGTCCTGGATTTTCTGGGCTCATTCTAATACTTCATTTTCTCTGCCATTATCCCCATAAATCATTGAAATATTCCAAAAATTCCAATAGTCAAAAATCCAAACTACATTTCTCAGACTACCTCTACTATTTGAAAGCAAGACAAAAATCCTCTGTCAAAGCAGAAGTTCTGGTTTTTACCTAAAATGATGGCCACTGGTCACCTAAGTACTCTTACCATAGGTGACTGGCCCATTCATGATTCTGCAGTGGCAATTTACAAGGAACATGAGCCTCTTCAGCAAGGTCTTCTGTACAATGACTTGGCACATGTTTTCAATGGTCCTTGCCCTGCTTTCTTTTCTTTTCCTTTTTTTTGTTTTGTTTTGTTTTGTTTTGTTTTGTTTTGTTTTGAAATGGAGTTTCGCTCTTGTCACCCAGGCTGGAGTGCAGTGGCATGATCTCAGCTCACTGCAACCTCCGCCTCCCGGGTTCAAGCGATTCTCCTGCCTCAGCCCCCAGAGTAGCTGGGATTACAGGCACCCACAATCACACCCAGCTAATTTTTGTATTTTTAGTAGAGACAGGGTTTCGCCATGTTGGCCATGGCTGGTCTCAAACTCCTGACCTCAAGTGATCCACCCACCTCGGCCTCCCAAAGTGCTGAGATTACAGGCGTGAGCCACCATGCCCAGCCCGCTTTTCTTTTTCTGTATTAATTTACTATCCATCTGCCCAACGAACAACAGTAAATAAGACACAGACCTGAACTCCCAGAAGCTTACATGATGGTCTGGTGGGGACAACAGGCAATTAAACAGGCCAAGAGGAAAGCAGGGAAGGGACCAGAGCTTCAGATGTGCTTCAAAGGCATTTGGACTTGACTCTGATGGAACTAGAAGCCACAGAAGGGTCTTGAGCAGAGGTGCGAGTGGATGTGAGTTGCACTTCAGAAAAGATGATGTCGCTACAGGGTGAAGAGATGAAAAGGAGCAAGATTGAAGAGAGTGAGGAGGTTCTTGTGTCATCCCAGAGACAACTGCCTCATAAAGCTCCCCTGAAAGGGGTTTGAGTTCTTGAGAGCGGAAGGGTGAGATGGAGCCCACAAGCCAAGATACAGTCGCCGTGAGGGGTGCAGGGGCAGAGCATAGCTCCAATTATTTTTACATAGTCTTATATCACTATGCTCTGTGCAGGTCCTGCACACTCTGGTATTTGAGTGTAGACTAATATACTTTCAAAAGGCTCAAAATTTGCTAAACTAAAGGGAAGTAACCCTGTTTTGATGATTCCAAAAGGCAGATAATGAATGAATACCTGGTATTTAGCTTTGGAATATGACATTATTTTTTCTGGAGTGTATCTGTCATCAGTGCAATTTTTTTTATTTTGCCAATGTAAAAATGTTCCCTGCAGTACCTCCAAATAGGCTAGATGACAGGAAGTAGAAAAGGAAAAGCAAATAGAGCCTTTGAGCCAGTTCATTGGCACAAGGATGTAGGGTCTGTAATAATGCACAAAAAGTTAATTGCCGGACCAGGCGTGGTGGCTCAGGCCTCTAATCCCAGCACTTTGGGAGGCCAAGGCAGGCAGATCACGAGGTCAGGAGTTCGAGACCAGCCTGACCAACATGGTGAAACCCTGTCTCTACTAAAAATACAAAAATTAGCCAGGCATTGTGGTGTGCACCTGTAACCCCAGCTACTCTGGAGGCTGAGACAGGAGAATCACTTGAACCTGGGAGGCAGAGGTTGCAGTGAGCTGAGATCGCGCCACTGCACTCCAGCCTGGGAGACAGAGCGAGACTCTGTCTCAAAAAAAAAAGAAGTTAATTGCCTATGACAGCCAGACATCAATGCCCTCTCACCTCCCCTCCACCTAAGTTGTAAACATCAATATCAACATCTGAAAATTCTAGAGATGCTTCAGCTGCTTGACTGGAGCAATTATGTTAGTGACACAGTAGAATTCCCTTAAAGGCTCTCCTTTATCTTAAACCACTTGTCCCTAAGCACCCCCCTTCTCCTAATCTAAACGCCAGAGTGTTCAGAAAGCAGTAGTGATGGAAAGCTGTATGTAAACGTAACTACAATAACAGTGCCATGAATTGGAGCTCTCCATTGCTCCCTAAACCTTCTGAAAGAGAGAAGCTCTGTATGGATTCCCAGGAGACAAGGGGCTGTTTCTGGTTCTCCACCATCCATTCCAGGACTTTGTTCCAGGCCCCTCTCTCTGCAAAATCTCTTCTTCTGAGATTCACGCATCCATTCATACCACCTTCTTCTCTCTCTCATCTCTGGCTAGGGAGTTCCACAGAGAACATTCTGCCACTCTCTGTCACAACTTCTGCAACTCCCTCACAGGTTTTTTGTTTTTTTCCCTGTCGGGTCCCTATCATGCCCACAGCAACTGCTGTGGTATAAATGTTTGTGTCCTCCCTACCAAATTCATATGTTGAAACCTAATCCCCAATGTGGTGGTACTGGGACGAGGGACCTTTGGAAGATGGTGAGTCATACGGGCTCCTAAAATTAGTGTCTTTATAAAGAGGACTGAGGGAGCTTGTTTGCTCCTTCCTCTGTGTGAGATGCAGTGAAAAAGTTCCATCCTGAACCAGAGTCTGGAGCCCTCATTAGAGAAAGTCTGCTGGTGCCTTGGTCTTGCACTTCCAAGCCTCCAGAACTGTGACCAGTAAATTTCTATTGCTTATATGTTATCCCATTTAAGGTATTTTGTTATAGCAGCCTGAATGGATGAAAACAGCAACTTCAAAATGCAGGCTAATTTCAACACTTTTCCTTCAATATCCTCAACTCCTAGATGTGTCATCAGCTCCAATCCTTTGTTAGTAAGTCCACACTTTAGACCACATTTTTACGCAAAATTGGTCCACCCCTAAAATCTCAAAGTCTGAGTTCTCCTTCTCTGATTACAACCTTCTTAGTTTCTCCCTCTCCTGTCCCATCCAGACACCATCATCATGCCAGTCCTTCCCTATTCCTGGTTCATGAACCCTTCCTCACTTCGTGGACTTTCCTTCCCAACCCAGATTCTAAAATTACCTAGCCCCTGACTCTCTCTCCTTCTCAAGACAGACTTCAATATCAAATACTCTACCGGGCACGGTGCCTCACGCTTGTAATCTCAGCACTTTGGGAGGCCAAGGCTGGAGAATCACTTGAGGCCAGGAGTTGGAGACCAGCCTGGCCAACATGAAGAAACCCCGTCTCTACTAAAAATACAAAAATTAGCCAGACATGGTGGCATGCACCTGTAGTCCCAGCTACTCGGGAGGCTGAGGCAGGAGAATCGTTTGAACCTGGGAGGCGGAAGTTGCAGTGAGCCAAGATCACGCCACTGCACTCCAGCCTGACAGAGCGAGACACGTCTCAAAAAAAAAAAAAAAAAATCCAATACCCCCAACATCTTCCAGGTTCCTCTAACCTGCTCTGTTCGTTCAGTGCTGATGGGGAGTCTTGGCTCCTTCATGTTCTCCAGCCCCAAATGGTCGCTGCTCTTATAAATTCTTTCTTGTATTCCTCATACAACTGATATCAACTTCTCCCACACTCCCTAAGCCCTGCTGGCTCCTCCAGCCTCTTTGTCTCAGCAGATGGTCTTCTCGGCTTATTTACTGGCACTATCAAGTACAACATCTGCACTTGAATTTTCACAGCTCTTCAACTTAACATGTCCAAAACTCATCCGGTGCTTTCTACATCTACTCAGTTGTTTGTGCTTGATACATGAGGTCATCCTGACTTCCTCCCTCACTCACCTCACACTCAGCCAGTCTCCAGAGCGTGTTGATTCTACCTCCAGCATGGATCTGAAATCCTAATGGACTCCTTCGGATTAATATTTCTTCCCATCTATATCACTTACAATTATTCTAGTTCAGACCAACATCATATCTTGCCTGGACCACTGCAAGAGCTTCCCAAAAAGTCTGCCTCTGGGCCAGGTTCATTGGCTCATGCCTGTAATCCTAGCACTTTGAAAGGCCAAGGGAGGAGGATCGATTGAGGCCAGCAGTTCAAGACTAGTCTGGGCAACGTCACGAGACACTGCCTTTACAAAATAAATACATGTGTATATTAATTAATCAGGCATGGTGCATGCCTGTAGTTGTAGCTACTCAGGAAGCTGAGGCAGGAGGAAAACTTGAGCTCAGGAGTTCAAGGTTACAGTGAGTCTCTACACTCCAGCCTGGGCAACAGAGCCAGACCCTGGCTTTAAAAAATTAAAATAAGGTCAGGCGCAGTGGCTCACTCCTGTAATCCCAGCATTTTGGGAGGCAAAGGCGGGCAGATTACCTGATGTTAGGAGTTTGAGACCAGCATGGCCAACATGGTGAAACCCTGTCTCTACTAAAAATACAAAAATTAGCTGGGTGTGGTGGCGGGCGCCTGTAATCCCAGCTACTCGGGAGGCTGAGGCAGGATAATTGCTTGAACCCGAGAGGCAGAGGTTACAGTGAGCCGAGATCATGCCACTGTACTCCAGCCTAGGCAATAGAGAGAGACTCTGTCTCAAAAAAATAAAAATTAAAAATTTAAAAAAAAAAAAACTACCCCTTCTACTTTGCCCACTCCAGTTTGATTATTCTGCCCCACAGTGGCCAAAATGATATTTTTAAAATGCAAACCAGATCACACCATTCCACTGCTTTAAACCCCTCAATGACTTCCTGATACTGAGAGGAAATTTTTCAAAATTCTTAACATAGCCTAGAAGACTTTATTAGCCAAGGTAACTGTCTCTCTCTGTAGTGTCATCTCTGGCCATTCTTTCTTTTATTCTTTAAGATCTAGCTTTCCCTTTTTCCAATGCCAAACTCTACCATTTCATGGCCTTCTAACATGCTGTCCCTCCACATTTCCCACACCCTTTCACCCATCTCCACCTGGAAAATTCCCCTTCTCTCGGTTTTCAACCTAAATGACACTTCTTCAGGTGCTTTCCCCATTCCCCACTCAGGGTAAATTAGATGTTATATGATCTTAGTGTAGCCTATGTTTTTCCCTCATACTGTGTGTTACAAATGCAATGACATCATATTTTGTGATTACCTGCTTAATGACCATGTTTTCCACTATTCTATAAGCTCATCAAGAGCAGGGGCCATGTCTCATGTGCTCATTACTGTGTACCCAGACCTGGCACAGTGCCTGAGAGCAGAGTTGGGTTATAACTTCCAGGGAATGGGCCTACAGGTGGGCCCAGCAGCAGAGTGGGTAGAAGAAAGCAAGCCTGTGAAAGGGGGCACCCCTTTGATTTCATTCTTCACGAGTGTCTAAGTTCATTTTGTGCTGCTAAAACAGAATACCACAGGCCGGTTAATTTATAAACCAAGCTTATTTGGCTTATGGTTCTGGAGGCTGGGAAGTCCAAGAGTAAGGTGCTGTACCTGGTGAGGGCCTTTGTGGCAGAAGGTGGAAGAATGAGAGAACACATGCCCATGTGAGAAAGGGAAAGGGAGCCAAACTCATCCTTTTATCAGGAACCCACTCTCATGATAACTACCCCACTCCTGCAACAGTGGCATTGATCCTTTCACAAAGGCAGAACCCTCATGACCTAATCATCTCTTAAAGGTCCACCTCTCAACACTTGCATTGGGAATTCAGTTTCCAGCACATGAATTTTGAGAAACACATTCAAACCACAGCAATGAGCCTCCCAGTCTTGCTCCCTTACTGCTTTTTCTACTGCCTTTTCATTATCTATAACCATCATCATGTGAACACACTACCTTAAAATTGTTGAAAATATGCCACTTTAGGAGAATGTGCTCAGAGGAGGCAACTGATCTCCATACCCACTCCTCACCCCTCACGCCCTGGTCAGCTACTTTCTGTATATTATGTGTTAAAAATGTATGAATGAGGCAAGGTCTTGCATTTCCCCTGATTCCTCACCCTCTCTTCAATGTCTGTTTGGCCCCAAAGTATCCACTCACCACTCACTCCCTCCAGTCCTTCTCTCCTTCTCAAGGTTCATCAAGGGAAGGTGGTACCTTCCTTGATCCTCTAACTCCCCTCATCTAAAACTTCCTTACATTCATCCTTCTTCCCCTCAAGTTGAAAGTTGTTAAAAGAATTGTCTCCATTTGTAGCATTCACTTCCTCCCCACCTACTCACTGTTATTTAGTGCTTTATTCACTCAATTCCTGAATAGCTAATGCGTGTTCACAATATAGAATTCAAAACATTTCAGAAGGTTCACAGTTAAGCATCTTCTTTCTACTGGTCTCCCCAAGCTTCACATTTTCCTCAGAGGCAACCCCCACTACCAGCATCTTATCTTTCCAGAAAGCATATACTTACATTTATTCTTGTTTGTATTTCTTTATACAAATGGAAGCATTTCTACGCATTTTCTACCTTTTGCTTTTTTCACTTGAAGTATCTTAGAGAGTGTTCTATCTACATCACTACATCCAAAGCTGCCTCATTCTTTTAAAGGGCTGCCAAACCCCCACGGTGAGAATGGATCATAAATTGTCTACTCTGGACATTGAGTATATTACTAGTGCTTTGTTCTAACAAACATGCTGCAGTGAGCATCGTTGCACCTGCAGGATTTTTCCACCCTTGTGAGTGCATCTGTAGGATAAATCCATAGAAATGAAACTGCATTTTGCATTTTGGAATTAAATTGTTCTCCATAGAAGTTGTACCAATTCACCCACTACAGTAGTCCATAAATTCACTGCCCCTCATATTTTTCAACAGATTGTTTTAACAAGCGTTTTTATGTTTTTCCAGTCTCATAGGTGAACCAGTCTACTTTTAATTTGCATTTCCTTGTATGAATGCAGTTGTGGCCAGGCGTGGTGGCTCATGCCTGTAATCCCAGCATTTTGGAAGGTCAAGGTGGGCGGATCACTTGATGTCAGGAGTTCGAGACCAGCCTGGCGAACGTGGTGAAACCCTGCCTCTATTAAAAATAGAAAAATTAGTCAGGCATGGTGGCTGGCGCCTGTAATACCAGCCACTTGGGAGGCTGAGGCAGGAGAACCACTTGAACCTGGGAGGTGGAGGTTGCAGTGAGCCAAAATCGCACCACTGCACTCCAGCCTGGGCGATAGAGCAAGACTCTGTCTCAAAAAAAAAAAAAAAAAAAAAAAAAAAAAGGCAAAATAATGCTGTTGTTCATTCTTCTTACATTTAAGAGAAATTTCTACTTCTTGCTTCACCAACTCTCTGTTTCCATTCTTTGCCATTTTTTCTACTACATTTTTGGTCTTTTGGTTTTCCTAGGAAAACACTATATAAGAAAACTAGTTCCTTGTCTGTGGTATAAGTTGCAAATATTTTTAATCACTCTGTAACCCTTTGCAATGTGTCTTCTGTGCCCAGGGAAGCAAATGGAACTACTCTCTCGCTGGTTCCCATGGCCTCTTGGTTGTGCCCTTCCAAGGCCTTTCTCTGTGCTCATTTTTTTTCAGCATTTGACACTGCTGACCCACCCTTCTTGAATGTGCCTTTAAAATTACATGTACTACTTTATATTGTACCATCTCCCACCTCTCTGACAGTTACTTCTCTTATTCCTTCACCAAAATTCCTGTGAAGAATGCCCTTGTGAAAAGAGGTCTTTGAACTCTGCCTCAGCAGTGCCCCAGGGATGAGCCCTGGCTGGAGATCTTGCTGGAGTTTTTTCCAAGCACCTTAAGTCTAGTGTGATGTGCAGACAGCTGTTTCCATAGCTGATTCCAATGCAGGCTCAGGACATTTCCTTGGCTCTTTTACTTTTCATCCCCACATCAAGCTCAACATGTCTAAAACTGTTTCTTCCAATTTTTTCACTTCCCTAGGGTTCCTATCACTCTCCCAATCCTCCTAGGTCTGAAAACTCAGTTCCCACAGCCCAGGAATTGCCAAGTCCTATCGATTCTTCTGTGAAAGTGGTCTCCTCCACTTCTCCCCTCCTTCCCAGCCCCAGGTCATCATGCTTGTCACCTCATTCTTCATCACATGTCTTGGATGATTCTTCAACACTTTCTCCTTCTGCAGTCCTGCACATGCAATCTCCCGCTGCCCTTTGGGGAAGCCTCAATCCCTCTCATGCACTAGTGCTCCTCACTTACACCTCACCAGAGAGCTCTGCACAAAGCTAGAATCGAACGCAATTTAAGGAAGCCTGGATCCAAATGAAGTACCATGTATCCTGGAACTGGAAGATGGCATTTCCAAAAGTGAAAATTTTATATACATACATACATACACACACACACACACACACACACACACATTTGTGTTATTCCTTTGGATACATCAGTACTCTGTGTGTGTGTGTGTGTGTGTGTGTGTGCTTTGCCATTGTTGCTTTTGTTTGCACTTATTTAATTTATTCAACCAACCAGCATGCACTTTTATTCTGGTCTCCCCAACTCCTTCCCTCCAGCCCTGCTCTGCTTAGCTCTCACTTTTGCTGCAGTTGTACCCAGACCCTAGAAAAACTGGTGGCAAGGAGCCATCCCTAAGACCCTGCTCTGTTTTCCAGTCCCAGGGGCCATCCAGCAATGCCAGGCCAGTGAGAAGGTGGCCTAACCCTTACACTCTTAGGCCAGTGTCCCCTGTCCACCTGCACCACTCTGTTGTCTTCTCCTTCACCTTCCATGAGCCATCTTCCCCCCACCCCCACCCCAACACACACCTACAAAGACCCTGCAGGAAATGGCCTCCAGCCAGTTGTCACAGCAGAGCCCGCTGACATTCTAAGACATCCTCCGGTGCATGGCTAATTGCTCTGGCACTTGAGTATTTCTTTGGGTCCCAGGATTCAGCATCCCGCTCTGAGGGATGCAACCACCCCCACACATTCAGAGTCACCGGGATGCTGTTTGGGGGGCCAGTAGACAGGATAGAGTGAGGAGGAAAGGGGGCATCCGGGAGTGCAGGACGAGCTTCCCGCGGCGGGAGAGAGAAGGGAGGAGAGAGGTGAGGCGCTGGAAGGGGTGGGGACCGCTGGGCTGGCCCAGGCGGGACCGTGCACCGTGTGTGCGCGCGGCGTTGAAATGCCCTGCACGTCGGGGCAGCGGGACAGATCCCAGGGTGCCCAGGGAGTCTCCAAGTGCCTCACTCCTCCCGCCGCAAACATGACAGAGAACTCCGACAAAGTTCCCATTGCCCTGGTGGGACCTGATGACGTGGAATTCTGCAGCCCCCCGGTGAGTACCGCCAGGGATTCCACACGCAGGGCCTGGGTTGTGTGAGTATCAGGTTCCACAGTTCGGACTCAGGGGTGCGTGCCACCGAATGGGTGTGTTGGCGGGGGGATAAATTTGGGTCCCAAATGTGTGGGTGGGATGTCGCCCCACGCGTATGAGTGTGCAGGGGTCACGGCATCCACAGGCGGGTGCGGAGGGACGTCCCGTGGCCGGTAGAGGGTGCAGGTCCTGGGGCGAAGGCCCTGTGCTGCGGGGTTTGCTCATCCCACTTCCACGCCCGACTGCAAAGGACCCTCGGGAGGGAGCGCGGCGAAAGGGGCACCCGTAGGAGCCCGGGCGAGCTGTTTCCCGCCCGACTCCCCACTCCCTGGGGGCTACCGCGTGGGGCCCGGGTGCGCTGGGGGCCGCAGGTGCTGGCGGCACAAACGCGACGGTCCCTCTCCCGCCCCGGCCCGCAGGCGTACGCTACGCTGACGGTGAAGCCCTCCAGCCCCGCGCGGCTGCTCAAGGTGGGAGCCGTGGTCCTCATTTCGGGAGCTGTGCTGCTGCTCTTTGGGGCCATCGGGGCCTTCTACTTCTGGAAGGGGAGCGACAGTCACGTAAGTCCAGAGGGCGGCGCGCGGGGACCCCCGTGTCGCCCATGGTGCCCCTAGGGGGAGCCCGAGCGCGGGCCGGCGAGGGGCGCGCGGCTGCCGGCGGGCCCCTCGGGCCCAGCGTGAGCTCCCCTCTCCCATCCCACTCTGGCACGCGGCTTTCCGCCTTAGGTCAACGTTGTAGAAAAGCAAGTGAAGGTTTCACGGGAGAAGATTGAAGCGTAGAGTAGGGGAGAATGTAGTGGACGGTCCGAGAAAGGCCGTTCTCGGCTCATCTCCCACTAAGCAGTGGCGCGACCGTGGGGAAGGCACGTCACCTTTTGGCCTCAGTGTACTCGTCCTGAAGGGAAAAAATGGAACTGGACGATCTCTAAGGCCTGTCCCTGCTAAGAAAGGCTGTGGGTTTAAAATCCAGGACAAAGATAGTGGAGGAATATTCAGACCCATATTCAGACCCATTGGGAAGGAATTTTTGCCTTTCAGAAGGTTTTTTTGTGACCTAGCCATGAACATTCCCTTCTCTCTCTGGAAAACAAAAACAAAAAACAAACAAACAAACAAAACGTCTAACTTCCTTAAAGGTGGAAAATCTCTTTAACAATTAATTCTGGCCTAGTCATCACATGTGGTTTAATAGTAGGTGTTTTACTAACTGCTGTCCTACTTTCTTTGTATGCAACTATTTATTTTAAAGCTCCACGGCTCTCGAGGAGTATAAAGACTGTTTCTAAGTTGACTGGGCAGAGCTCCAGTGTGTTCTCTAAATACTCTGAAAGTGTTCACCTATGTAAAAGGGGGCATTTTATCTTGATGACCACTGCCAGGTCTGGTATAAGCTTATTTCAACTAATGGAAAAGAATTCCATCTCCAGGGCACACACAAAGGGCTCTTTCATAATCACTATCCTCAGAGGATTGGTGATTGCTGTTTTTTCCTCTCTCCTACCATGAAATGCAAAGCATGAACGAATTCCAGTACTTACAGAAAATGGTGCTGAAAGCAATTCAACCATTTTACACATCACGTCTTCTGCAGTCACTGCATAATTTGTATTTTTAACTCAAATGTCTAATGTAGATAAGCATGCCATTTAGCACCGAGTCTGTTTTAGAGACTATATCAAATTTACAAGCATCGATTTGTAAGATCAGAATTGCACTGTATTTTGTGGGTATTTGAAAAGTGCCTTAATGTATTTGTATTTTAAATATAGAAGCTGGGCCAGATGCTCATGTTTGAAACAGCAAATGTGAATAAGAGAATGATTTCAATATCTACATCTCCATTAATAGCAGGGTTTAGATTGTCATCTCTTTGGGAAATTCTGTGGTTTTAGAATGTAAATGCTATCTTTTAAATAACAAAGCCTCAATGGTATAGGTCAATGGGGGATAACAATAGCTATGCTTTTTTTTGGTAAAGATTCTGGACATGATATATTTTAAAATGAATACCATTTGTCATTTAATTATTCAAGGTAAACATCACTAACTGACAGGCTTCTAAAAAGAGAGATTAAACAATCATACTGAATAAGCACAGCTCCCTTTTTTCATATATTTTACTTTACTGCAAGATGGTTGGTTGTCTGGTTCAGGAGAGCAGTATTAAATGCTAAGAATTCAGAGGAATAGTGAATCACATTTTATTGTCAACAATCAAAATTATTGCTATATCCTATACAGACAGGAGAATGAAGAAAATCATGATAGTTTTTTTCTCCCTGATCCATATGACTTAAGTATGAAAAACAAATCACAAAATACTAAATAGAGTAATTTTTGCACCACCTAGGCATAGCACATGCACAGGTCTGCTTTGCCTGAATACAAATCTAAATAGCTCAGACAAAACGTAATCAAAAAAGGTAAGTCTTTGTCAAACAGAAAGACTTGTCAAACCAAATGGATTATCCACTCTTTGGGGATTATCTGTGCCTCGGCTCCTCTATATTGGTTTATAGAGGAGAACCAGCTGTAATTCACCTCCTATCCTTTTCATGTGGGTAAATCCCCTTAGGACAGGTTTACTGAAATTTAGCTGGAGGACTATGAAGCACTGGAGTAATAATAATCAGGGGACAACTGAACTGGGCTCCAATATTGAGGCCATTTTTCATCCACATTATTGTAAATGGAACAAGGCATTGAAATATGGGAAATTTCCACCAATATGAGATAACTGACAACCCCACCCTGTGAGATGAGGGAAGGAGATCATTGCTTGGGGCCTTTCCTCTCAGACTAATTTTTCTAGACATTTTCCCAAACATTATGTAATTAATCTTATAGAACATAGGCCTTATTAAAAACTCATTAGCAAATATCCTTGGCTGTAAAAGGCACCATATTGAGCAGAATTTTGGCAAATAATAAATTTCATCTTGTTTGGATAAAAATAGCCTTGGGTGTCCACAGCTCCACGGACTTAGAGCAGATAAGGTAATTGCTGCTCCAACAGCCCAGCCTCGTCCCCAGCTCAGAGTCTAGTATGTTAGAAACTGGACTGCCTCCTCCCCCCACATCCTCCCCTAGTAGCTTCAGGAGGGGGACAGCTTCACTGCTGTCCCCATGCAGATGGTGCAGTGCACATAAAAGGTGGGCTGCAGGCCAGGCGTGGTGGCTCACGTCTGTAATCCCAGCACTTTGGGAGGCCAAGGCAGGAGGATCACTTGAGGTCAGGAGTTCAAGACCAGCCTGGCCAGCATGGTGAAATCCCATCTCTACTAAAAATGCAAATAAAGGCCGGGCGCGGTGGCTCACGCCTGTAATCCCAGCACTTCGGGAGGCCGAGGCGGGCGGCTCACGAGGTCAGGAGATGGAGACCATCCTGGCTAACACAGTGAAACCCTGTCTCTACTAAAAATACAAAAAAATTAGCTGGGCCTGGTGGCGGGCACCTGCAGTCCCAGCTACCTGGGAGGCTGAGGCAGGAGAATGGTGTGAACCCAGGAGGCGGAGCTTGCAGTGAGTGGAGATTGTGCCACTGCACTCCAGCCTGGGCGACAGAGCAAGACTCCGTCTCAAAAAAAAAAAAAAATTAGCTGGGCGTGGTGGCGCATGCCTGTAGTCCCAGCTCCCTGGGAGGCTGAGGCAGGAGAATGGCTTGAACCTGGGAGGCGGAGGTTGCAGTGAGTCGAGATTGTGCCACTGCACCCCAGCTTGGGTGACAGAGCAAGACTCCATCTCAAAAAAAAAAAAAAAAAAAAGGTGGGCCGCAGCTGCACAACCAAGATGCCCTACGTCAAGCTTGTCCAATCTGTGGTCCTGCATGCGGCCCAGGGCGGTTTTGAATACAACCCAACACAAATTCGTAAACTTTCTTAAAACATTATGAGATTTTTTTTTTTTTTTAGATTTTTTTTAAAAATTCATCAGCTATCGTTAGTGTTAGTGTATTTTATGTGTGGTCCAAGACAATTCTTCTTCCATTGTGGCCCAGGGAAGCCAAAAGATTGGCTATCCCTGCACCTAGTTAGGGAGGCTTTCTGGGGAGAAGACAGCCAGGGGTAGTGGTGGAGGAATGTGAAATTCAAACCACAGGCCACTCTTCTAGTGTGACAACCTTATCTCCTTAAGAACTGCTAAGAATTTAGAAATGGTTATGTTCTTAAATGTTGCATTGCTTTACTAGTAAAAGCTTATGTGCAATGTTCTTAAAAAAAAACACAGAACCTCTTGTCATATGAGTGGAAGACACTCACATGGGTGTTTCCTGCCAGGCTCCTTCTGACAGTCATCACTGACCCATATGAACACTGGCTGCTCAGAGAGCACCGGACAGAACAGAGCCTTCTTTCCAAACTTCACCTGCAGGAGTCCCGTCTCAGCCAAAGAAAACAGGTTTCCCAAACCTGGCTGATCATAAGGGCCACCTGAGGGGAAAGGGGAAAAGAGACTGGTGGGCTGTGCTCTAGCTCCACTAAATCAGAACCCCCAGGAGTGGTTCTTGTGATCAGGGAAGCCTAGGAGACAGTAAATTGCAGACATCTAAGTTCTTCAGAAAGAGACAGGGAAGGAGGGGCAATGAGGGATGGTTGAGCTGAAAAAGGACACTGGTATTTTCTGTCCTGCTGAATGAATGCTGTTCCTAAAAGGGTGCTGGATAGCAAAGCCATTTCTGTATCTCTGCTGATAATAAAATAGTGCACTGTGGGTCTTGTAATAATGAGTTTTCTTCAAGAAATGGATCCAACAATAACAGATCCTTTTTCCAGTGTTTGTGCATGTAGCAGTCACTCTTCATAATGAGGAAGAAAAATCAGACTTGAATTGGATCTGAGCTATTTGCAGTTTTGACTGGCTGACCTGATATTAAGTAGCAACAGTTTTTCATCAGTTCTCATTCCTCCACTTTAAAGATTTATATATATGTGTATATATAATCTATAATTTATACATGATATGTAATATATCATATGTAAGATATATAGATATACCTATGCATCTAAATCCAAAAAAAAAAGAAACCCACCTCCTAGCTCTGCCACACAGAAAGGTCTACCAGGACAGCAGCACACTGAGCAGGAGCAGCGTCTGAGTTATTTTGAAACCAGTGCAGTAATCAGGTGTCTGAGCCCTTTAGGTCAGCTAATTAGTGGCAAACTTTAAAAAAGAAATGTTTTAAGTATTGAAATTTGTCTTTCTAACAAAATGTTACTCAGAAATGCAACACATAAGACAGAAAAAGCAGAGCCACTCTGGTTAGACTATGGATGGACAGGAGAGAACAGAGTGCCACAGTGCCATCCTCACCTCTAGGCCATGCCCGGGAGATCCCAACAGTTCTAAGGACATAGATGAAAGCCACCTATGAGGTCCAACTTCATTATACACTCGTGGCAACTCACAAGATCCAGAGATGAGTGGTGTGGCCACCTGTTTTCCTGATTACTGGACCGATGCTCTTCTGCAGTGCCAGGTCCCTTCCCCTCTTCCACACTCCCCACACATCTCATAACAAAATGCCCTACAGCACCATGGGCCTGCCCCATAGAATCGTTCAGGGAGTACTACCATTTTGAGCTGAAACAAACATGCACATTGGCCTTCCTCTCCACACATGCTGCTCTATATCAAGCATACCCTGGTCCTGTCTGCAGTCCTTTCCATATACCTAATACCATATACCATATACCTGAGACACTGCATGCCTAATCTTGACCAAAGGATGAAAACAACTTGTGAAACTGAGGTGCCACTGCAGACGTGTTCAGCTGGGAGCCCAATTAACCTTCTGCCTCCTCAATTTCCATTTATCCATCAATAGTGCTCAACCCAGATGCATAATAGAATTGAGCTTTAGAAAAAGAAAGACCTATGCCCAAGCGCCCTTCCCACAGCTTCTGATTTGATTTGTCCAGGGTGAAACCCAGGCATGGTACCCAGAGAGTCTACCCAGATGCTTCTAAAGTACAGCCAGCATTGCAAATTATGGAGCTATTGGAATAGGTGTCAGAGGCAACCAAAGTCTTTACTCTTAAGGTATTTTTAAGGAAATCATTGCATTAACTGATTGTTGTATGAATGAAGTCATCATATATAAATGTATTATTATTAAGGACTATCTCATGTATCTCTGAAACATATGGACACTACCTCATACACTGCCCTTCTAAAGATAAGCCCTGAATTGCTCAAAAAAGAAAGCATCACTAACTCTTATGCTCACTTTCAGATTTACAATGTCCATTACACCATGAGTATCAATGGGAAATTACAAGATGGGTCAATGGAAATAGACGCTGGGAACAACTTGGAGACCTTTAAAATGGGAAGTGGAGCTGAAGAAGCAATTGCAGTTAATGATTTCCAGAATGTAAGTATATTTCATGCATTTAGAGAATTTAACCAGGCAAGCCTGCGGGACTTTTCTAATTCAAGGAGGAGCAGCGTTTCTCACACACATCCAAATGGTAACTGTTCTTTATAGCAGTTGTAGTGCCACTAATCCACTACATGTAGCATATTCTCTCTGAGAAAGGACCAGACTTTGTCCTTCATATTTGCAAAAGAAAAAAACAACACTTCAGTTGTAAAATACCAAAAACAAAAAGAACCACCTTTACTGAATTCATGTACATAAGGATTTAGCTGTTTTGAAAAACATTTTTTACTTCTAGGAAATTAAAGGTATGTCCCTAGAAATCAAAATAAAACTTGATTTTTAAAACTGGAAGAAAAAAACCACAATACCATAGCATTGAAAAGAGCAGGTTCTTCTTGGAATTATATAAAAGTCTTGGCAGAAAGACTTGAAGGAGCTATTTCTTTTCAAGCGGATTTCTGTAACGTGATGAATAAAATGCTCAAAACAATCCAAGAATGTTGCAAGATTTGAAATTTAAATTTCTGAAGAAGAGGGAAATTTTAATGACCTAATAATCTCATCAACAACAGGTGGGATCTATTTGCATACTTTTCTCAATTCCAATTTCCTATTTAATCCAGAAAATGACCATGAGCAAATTCTCCTATTATAGCATATGTTTTCTGACCATAGCATGTTACCATAGCATATTAGAGATAAAACATTCACATCTCCTTTGAAAAGGAGACTGTTTTGTTTTGATTTTTTAACAAAAATTTCATTTACAGGCAATTTGAGACATTAAGCTGTGCAGCAATGTTTCGGTGTACATCTGCAAACCAAAGTGTCACTTCAGGCCGAATTTCCTGTTGGCCAACATAAATATTTTATGCTCTTTCATGTTTTACTATAAGGAAGAGGCATCACTATTTGTGTACTCCTGTTAAATCTGCAGATGGAGTAGGTGAAACTTCATAATGAAAAAAGCCTCTTGAAAATAATGTCTCTTCTGATAGTTTATTGGTCCACAAACACCTCATCGACCCATCTTCCTCTGATTGATGAGAAAAGCTAAAGATGCTTTTCATTTGAGTGAAAGCACTCCTCTTGTTGGTACCAAAATATACCTCATAAGTCCATTTGAATACCCAACAGATGCTAACATTAGAGCTATTGTGATGTCAGATATTATTTGATCATGACAAGGACTATGTTCAGAATGGTCTCTGCCCTGGGGACAGCCTCTGCTGCTCTGTATGTGCCCAGACGCACTTTGTTTAGTCATAGCTTTGCAGATGATTCTGCTCAATGCACAAGTATAATTTCTCTGCACTTATTAAAGGCTTTTACTGCAAGACCCAGGACAGGGTAAAATCATTTTTTCTTTGTACTACTCAATATAAGCTAATAAAATGTGACTCCCCAACACACATTATTCAATCCAGAAATTGAATGCCTGTGGTGTGCCACAATATTAAGATATGCAAAGGGAGCTACAAAGACGAATAAGAAACGATTCATCTTTCTTGAGATGTTCATGTATCAAAAATACTCTTTTAACATATTTTAATCCCAAACCTATATTTCTGTTTTATAATCCTTTGGTTCTTTTCTAATAATGGTATCGATTGTGTTTTGTTCTCATAGACCAACAGGGCCATAGATATTTTATAAACTGATCAATTCTCTTTGATAGCTTCCACATTTCTCTAAGTCAGAACTGGTGAGTAGAACATTTTTTTTGATGGATAGAACCTGTTATGGGTTTAAACAAGCCTGAACTTTTGAAAACACATGAATCAGCCACTATGGTACCTACACTATTACTTTCTCCTGTATTTTGAATCAACGGTCAAATTCAAGAAGCATTTATTGAGACATGCTGTGTGCAAGGGATGATGCTAAGCAGGCGGAATGCGAAAATGATGGACCCTTCCCTCAAGGACCCTTCAGTTCAGTTCAGGAGGCAGACGTACACACAGACATAGCTTCAGTTTAGCTTGGAAAACGTGTTCCAATGAGTTATGAACAGAGAGGGAACATCCTTCCTGAATAGGGGACTGGGGCAGGTCTTGCAGATGTAGTGATGACCAAATCAGGTCCTGAAGAATAATCAGGATTTCAACTGTCAGACAGGTAGGGGAAGGCTCTCCAGGCCCAGGGAAAAATAGTGAACATGAATGTGCAGTCTCGCTCCAGGGTTCTAATTCTAAGTAGCCCAGTTCAGCCCAACTTGGGGAAGGAAAAAAGATGGGGATGCAGGTGGGGCTAGATTATAAAAGGTTTTGAATTGTAAATGAACAGTCTCCCCGGTTCGTCCAGGACCCCACCAAGATTTTAGTAGAACCCCGTGGAAGAAAACAACCCCCGACGGAGGATAGCACTGAAAAAAGTGCTCCAGGCTCTCCACCCTGAGAGATAGAAAACCCAAGTTCATTCATACTTTATGAGTTACATTCTAGTTATACTCTCACAAGCACCAGTGCTGTTGCTTTAAGCCAACCCCCTTGGACTGAATGCCCCATTTATATAACAAAAAGCCTTAGAAATTGAAAGAATATCCCATCAAAAAGTGGGCGAAGGATATGAACAGACACTTCCCAAAAGAAGACATTTATGCAGCCAAAAAACACATGAAAAAATGCTCATCATCACTGGCCATCAGAGAAATGCAAATCAAAACCACAATGAGATACCATCTCACACCAGTTAGAATGGCAGTCATTAAAAAGTCAGGAAACAACAGGTGCTGGAGAGGATGTGGAGAAATAGGAACACTTTTACACTGTTGGTGGGACTGTAAACTAGTTCAACCATTGTGGAAGTCAGTGTGGCGATTACTCAGGGATCTAGAACTAGAAATACCATTTGACCCAGCCATCCCATTACTGGGTATATACCCAAAGGATTATAAATCATGCTGCTATAAAGACACATGCACACGTATGTTTATGGCAGCACTATTCACGATAGCAAAGACTTGGAACCAACCCAAATGTCCAACAATGATAGACTGGATTAAGAAAATGTGGCACATATACACCATGGAATACTATGCAGCCATAAAAAATGATGAGTTCATGTCCTTTGCAGGGACATGGATGAAGCTGGAAACCATCATTCTCAGCAAACTATCGCAAGGACAAAAAAGCAAACACCGCATGTTCTCACTCATAGGTGGGAATTGAACAATGAGAACACATGGATACAGGAAGGGGAACGTCACACACCAGGAACTGCTGTGGGGTGGGGGGAGGGATAGCATGAGGAGATATACCTAATGCTAAATGACGAGTTAATGGGTGCAGCTCACCAACATGGCACATGTATACATATGTAACAAACCTGCACATTGTGCACATGTACCCAAAAACTTAAAGTATAATAATAATAAAATTTTAAAAAAAAGAAATTGAAAGAATAAACTGATGGGCATATGGGGGTTCACTGTATAATCCTTTTAATTTTGTGAATATTTGAAATTTTTATTTAAAAAGCTAGAGAAAGTAAAGACAGCATAACCTGTCAATTCAGCCTCCAACTATAAGGTAAAGGAAAAATGAAATGAAACTAATTTATATTAAAAATATGGACTTCATATGTAAATGTTCAGCCAGATGCACTAGAAGATATAAAGTCAAACACTTATAGTAGTAGCTGAATGACTGTCAATGCCACAGCCCAAAATGCAGACAGACACAAGTGTGTGTTGGCAATTTAAATGCTATGTAATTTTCTCAAACAGTGAAGAAAAGTACTGTTTTCTCTCCATTTCACAGTAATTGCATTCCTAGGAAATTTGTTGTACATTAAGACTATGCCAAAAATTACTTTGTGTTTACATATAAAACAACACTGGGTTCTAGACACTGATATTTACAAACAGGTTTTTTTCCTCCAACCCGGGACAATTAGTTCTTCAGGACTGTCCCAGGCTCTGCAGGACCTGACATCCCTGGGCCCTGTGCAATAAAGGTCAGGAGTGCCCCCAATCTTTGTGACAAGAAACTTCTCCAAGGATTTCTAAAGTGCCCTCTTGGGGACACGAACTCCTACCATCCTTGGGAACCTCTGGTTTAAGCCATAGAAATAGATGAGATACCTTAGAAAGAAAAAAATGTGCAGCCAAGGTAAGATTACATCACTGTTTTGAAAAAAGAATGTTAGATTCTTGGACTCTCCACTCATCACCCTTGCTAGCAAATTTCTTCATTACCACCAGCTTCTAAAGCCTGTTTGTTTGCAAAAACAGGAGGTTTGCTTGGCTTTCTTGTGCTTCTTTTAGTTCCCTCTGTTTAATCTCTTAATATATCTGGCTGCTTGATGTGGAGTTTTTGCTAGACACGGTAGTTAATATGTGTGAATTCTTTCCCACACTTCCTACCCCATGGGGGTTTCAGTTCTCACTGCGGTGTGTCGACTGTCAGAACCAACTTAACACTAGATTCCCATTCAGTGCTGCGAATCATTCAGTAGAATCAGCTTTCCCCTTTGGGGATATGGTGACGGAGATGTGTGCATTCCCTCCACACATCTCACATTCAGGGGATGTGTTTGAAGTTAAGAGAAAATGTCACATAAGAAGGCATCATCTCCCTCCCTGCCTTCTGTTTTTCAAACTATGAGTCCTAAATTTACATGCCAAATAAGAGCAGCAGCCCTACAGGAGGTAGCATAAGAGAAAGCAGTTATTCTCCACGTGTATTCCTCAGGCTGCCAGTGGAGCATCACTTGGCTTGTTAGAAATGCAGATTTTAGGCCCCACCCCAGACCTACTGAATGGGAAACTGGGGGTGGGGCACAACACTGTTTAATTTAACAAGTCCTCCAAGTGAATTTTTTTTTTTTTTTGAGATGGAGTCTCGCTCTGTCGCCAGGCTGCAGTGCAGTGGTGCAATCTTGGCTCACTGCAACCTCTGCCTCCTGGGTTTCTCCTGCCTCAGCCTCCCGAGTAGCTGGGACTACAGGTGCACGCCACCACGCCCAACTAATTTTTGTATTTTTAGTAGAGATGGGGTTTCACCATGTTGGCCAGGATGGTCTCCATCTCTTGACCTCGTGATCCTCCTGCCTCGGCCTCCCAAAGTGCTGGGATTACAGGCGTGAGCCACCGCCCTGGCCCAGGTGATTTTTTAATTTGCCTTTTTAAAATTGTTACATAATATTTTATATATTTATGAGATATATGTGATATTTTGTTACATGAATAGGATGTGTAATGATAATGTTAGGGTATTTGGTTTTCATTTCTATGTGTTGGGAACATTTCAAGTCCTCTCTTCTAGCTGCTTTGAAACATACAATACATTGTTGCTAACTATAGTCACCCCACTCTGCTACTGAACATTAGAACTTATTTCTTCTGTCTAACTGCATGTTTTTACCACCCACTAACCAACCTGTCTTCATTCCCCCAGCTCCACCCATATATCCTTCTCAGCCTCTGGTATCTATCATTACTTTCTGCTTCCATGAGATCAACTTTTTTAGCTCCCACATAGGAGAGAGAACATATGACATTTGTCTTTCTGTGCCTGGCTTATTTCATTTAACATAATGACCTCTGGTTCCATCCATGTTACTGGAAATGACATGATTTCATTCTTTTCTATGGCCAAATAGTATTCCATTGTGGATATATATATATATACCAGTGATCCTTCTCCCTTCCAAGTAGCTGGGACTACAGGCACACACCACCACACCTAGCTAATTTTTAAAATTTTTTTGTAGAAATGGGGTCTCACCATGTTGTGCAGGCTGGTTGCGAACTCCTGGGCTCAAGCAGTCCTTCTGCCTCAGCCTCCCAAAGTGTTGGGATTACAGGCATGAGACACTATGCTTGGCCCTTTTTTATTCTTTTTTATTTATTTTTGTCTGACTGGGTTATTTCAAAAGACTTCTCTTCAAGTTCTGAGATGCCTGAAATAGTCTATTGTTGAATCATTTTTTTTTATTTGAGACGGAGTCTGGCTCTGTCACCCAGGCTGAAGTGCGGTGGTGCCATTTCAACTCACTGCAACATCCACCTCCTGAGTTCAAGCGATTCTCCTGCCTCAGCCTCGAGTAACTGGGATAACAGGCGTGCACCACCATGGCCAGCTATTTTTTATTTTTTTGTATTTTTAGTAGAGATGGGGTTTATAGTTGGCCAGGCTGGTCTCGAACTCCTGACCTCAGGCGATCCACTCACCTTGGCCTCCCAAAGTGCTGGGA
Source organism: Homo sapiens (assembly GCF_000001405.40). Classification (NCBI taxonomy): domain Eukaryota; kingdom Metazoa; phylum Chordata; class Mammalia; order Primates; family Hominidae; genus Homo; species Homo sapiens. The sequence goes on along the minus strand of NC_000013.11, from coordinate 52,727,011 downwards.
TTACAGGTGTGAGCCACTGTGCCTGGCTTCTATTGTTGAATCTTTTAAGTGTATATTGTATTTCATTCAATGAATTCTTCAGTTCTATAATTTCTATTTCGTTCTTTTTCATAATATACATCTCCTTATTAAATTTCTCATTCATATCCTAAATTGTCTTTCTGATTTCTTTGTCATGTTTTTCAGTATTCTCTTGTATCTCACGGAGCTTCTTTAATATCAATATTTAATTTTTTTTCTGGGATTTCATAAATTTGTTTTTGATTGTGATCTGTTGCTGGAGAATTATTGTATTCCTCTGGGAGTGTCATGTTTTATTGCTTTTTCATGCTTCCTGTGTCCTTGTGTTGATATCTGTGCATCTGATTTAATAGTTGCTTATTACAGTTTTTTAAATTTGCTTTCATAGGTGTGGACTTTTGGTGTTGGTTAGGTAGGGCACTTCAGCTTTCATTCTGGGTGCATGCAGTAGTATAGTCTCTGTATGTTTTTTTTTTTTTTAGCTGTAAACAGCGTCGGTGGTGTCTGTGATTTTTCTTGGTAGCTTAAGGTGTGGTTGTTAATGAAGACTGTTCTGAAGTTTTGCTGGGGACCCAGGGGATTTTTGATACAAGGGAAGGTTTGTGAACCACTGATAAAAAGAAACTTGGGTCCAAAGGTTATTGCCATCACTTTAAAAGCTTTGTTACCTTGAACACCTTTCTCTTTCATATGGTAGTCTTCAACCCTGGCATCAACCCTTTAAATTATAAACACCTGGGGAGCTTTTAAGGCTCCCAATACCTGGGCCCCAAAGCAAACCAATCAAATGGGAATCTCTGGGAAGGGACCCAGGCGTCTGTGTTCTTAAACCCTCTACAGTGAATTCAGGTGCAGTTAAGAGCCAAGCCTCAGCAGTGAGCCTCGGAGCTCCTCTTCTGTAAAGTGGGGATAATGCCCCTGTCTCTCTGAGTGAGCAGTAGTGCTGGGAGAAATAGGTGAAATGAGTTACATATGTATACATGATTAATTAAGCCACAAGACAAATAATAAAGAGCTTGAGGAAGAATGAGCCTTTTCTTCTGTGTTTTGCAGTCCTTTACTCACCAGCTTCTGTAGGGCTCCTGGCTCTGTGACTACATAAGGTAGAGCTATCCATTAATCCCCTCCAGCATGACTTACATTTAATTTTCTTCTTCATTGTAAAGGGCTGAATCTTGAGCCAGGATCCCTAGATTTTAAGTGTTTTCTACCCCCATTCTTTATCACTGGCCCTGGTACCATTTCTATATCATTCCAACACTTGCCTCAACTCAACAGAGGACTGATAAGGTTCAGATTTGTGCTAGTATCTCCATTATTATACCATAAAAATTGTAGGCCTTTATTTTAGATTCACTAGTCCTGAAACTAACAGCAGCAGGAGGAGAGTAAACATTCTTGGGACAGAGCATCCTGTTACCCCTCATGTCCTCTGTGGGTAGAATCGGGGCTGTGCTTTCAGCCAAGACTGGAGCTTTGTGGCTGATGTTTCCCTTGAGGCAGTCCCTAGGCAGACCAAGAGAAGATATTGTTTATATCTCTCAGGAGACAAAAAAAAAACATCTAAGTCCTTGGGTAAGGTATAGAAGGAAAGTTCAGAACCAGGTGCTGTAGAAAGTTTTACTGTTTACTCTGGGCTCAGTAACCTAGGAAAATTCTGAATTCACAGAATTAATTAATTTGACCAACATCTTTTGAATAGCTTTGTGGGGTCACCAAAAAAGAAAACAGAAAAGATTCAAATACTGATCTCAAGAAGCTTATAACTAAGTAGGCTGTGTATAGCTGAGTAAGCATCCCAGTTGAGGAATGAAGACAGGAGGACTTATGGGAAAGCAGAGGAAAGACAGCTGCTTAGGCTGAGATGTTCAGAGAAGGCTGCATGGAGAAGGTGGCATTTCATCTGAGCTTGTGAATATAGATGGAATAACTAACATATTCTGTCCCAGCTCAAATATCATCCCCTCATTGAGTCACCTCCCCTGACTATGCTGTCTGTCTAAATTACCACCTCATCATTCCTGTCTTATTTTTCTTCTTAACAGTTATTACCTGACTTTATCTCTATTCTTGTTTGTTTGTTTGTTTTTATTTTTTTGAGACAGCCTCGTTCTGTCACCCAAGCTGGAGTGCAGTGGCGATCTTGGCTGTCTGCAACCTCCACCTCCCGGGTTCAAGCGATTCTCCGGCCTCAGCCTCCCAAGTAGCTGGGATTACAGGAGCCCGCTACCACACCCGGCTAATTTTTGTATTTTTAGTAGAGACAAGGTTTCACCATGGTGGCCAGGCTGGTCTCAAACTCCCGACCTCAGGTGATCTGCCCGCGTCGGCCTCCCAAAGTTCTGGTGGCATAAGCCACCATGTCCGGCTGTTTTTGTTTGTTTTTTGTTTTTGTTTTGAGACGGAGTCTTGCTCTGTTGCCCAGGCTGTGGAGTGCAGTGGCGCAATCTTGGCTCACTGCAAGCTCCGCCTCCCCGGTTCACCCTATTCTCCTGCCTCAGCCTCCCAAGTAGCTGGGACTACAGGCGCCCGCCACCACGCCTGGCTAATTTTTTTTTTTTTTTTTTTTTTTTGTATTTTTAGTAGAGATCGGGTTTCACCGTGTTAGCCAGGATGGTCTTGATCTCCTGACCTCGTGATCTGCCTGCCTTGGCCTCCCAAAGTGCTGGGATTACAGGCGTGAGCCACCGCGCCAGGCCGCCCGGCTGTTTTTTATTATTGGTAAACAATGCTAAAAGGTAAGTTCCATGAGGGCAGTTCCATCTCTTTTGTTCATCCCTATCCCTAGCACCCGGAACAGCATCTGGAACACAGTAGACACTCAATAAATCGAATAAATGAACAAATGGATAGATAGATGGATACACTTTTGTTTCATAGGGCATCACAGGAATTCGTTTTGCTGGAGGAGAGAAGTGCTACATTAAAGCGCAAGTGAAGGCTCGTATTCCTGAGGTGGGCGCCGTGACCAAACAGAGCATCTCCTCCAAACTGGTGGGTACCAACATGCCTGAGACAGTGAGACTGCTTGGCAAACATTGTTTGAAGGCACAACCCTTTTGGTTTTTATTTTTTGTTTTTATTTTTATTTTTATTGAGACAGAGTCTCACTCTGGAGTGCAGTGGCGCTTTTGGCTCACTGCATCCGATTCTCCTGTCTCAGCTTCCTGAGCAGCTGGGACTACAGGGACACCACCACATCCAACTAACTTGTTGTATTTTTAATAGATACAGGGTTTCACCATGTTGGCCAGGCTCTTCTTGAACTCCTGGCCTCAAGTGACCTGCCTGCCTCGGCCTCCTAAAGTGCCAGGATTATAGGAGTGAGCCACCGCGCCCAGCCTAAAGGCACAACACTTTTGGTTTCTAGTACCTGGATAGGTTCATGACTAGATGGTAAATTCGATTTCTTCTCTGCCAAAGGAATTCAAACTGTTTTTGTCCTACTGGGGTCAAGGGATTCTTCTCACATGATATAGTATATTTAAACGTTTTGGGAAGCCACATTTTAAAGTGCATAAAGGGGCTGGGTGCTCATATGGCCTTATTTGCCTGAGGTTAGGGAACTATCTGATCTGTGGTTAAGACTCCACAATAGAGGCAGGCATGGTGGCTCATGCTGGTAATCCCAGCACTTTGGGAGGCCGAGGTGGGCAGTTCATTTAAGCCCAGGAATTCCAGACAAGCCTGGACAACACGGCAAAACCCTGTCTCTACTAAAAATACAAAAAATTAGCTGGCCATGGTAGTGCGTACCTATAGTCCCAGCTACTCAGGAGGCAGAGGTGGGAGGATCACTTGAGCCCAGGAGATTGAGGCTGCAGGGAGCTGAGATTGCACCAGTGCACTCCAGGCTGGGCAACAGAATGAGACTCTATCTCAAAAAATAAAAAAACCCGAAAGAGACTCCACAATAAAGACAAAGGACTCCACAAGACAGGGTCTTCATTAAAGGGACCCACAATAGCGGATCACACAGCCTCTGCTGGAAAGCAGCCACAGGGCACTCATCCCCCACCCCAACACCAGCCAGCATCACTGAGGGTGGTTCTAATTGTTTTGCCCTACATTAAGCTGAGATAGCTCCTCCTACAACTTCTTCCCATTGGTTCAGGTTCAGCCCATTGAAGCTACACAACATATATCTAATTCCTTTTCTATGTGTCAAACCTGTGAGTTTTTAAAACATGTTTCTTTCATTTATTATTAATAACTTGCCTTTGAGCTTGATTTTTTTAAAATTTACTTTAGGAATTGCATACAGAATTCTAAAGACACATTTAACAGTAATACCTTACTTTTAATGGTAGTTTAGGGCTTACAAAATGGTCCCATTGATTACTGTCTTTTATTTGAGTTGTGGCAGGATAGAGTGGAGAGAAAATGGGCTTTGAAGTCAGAAAAACGTGGATTTACATCTCAGCTCTCATACTCCCTATGGATATTGTCATCTGTAAGCTGGGGGTATGCATACAGTGCCCATGGCCCTCAAATCTACTTGATGGTTGACAGATGGCTGCTGCTCATTGTTGTTAATTTTATTATGATCATCTTTGATCCTCCCAGTATTCCTGAGAGGGAGGGAAAGCAAGTATCAGCTCCCTCAAGGCAAAAGAGGAAAACTATATGGGTTAGCAAAGGCGCCTGGAAACTGCCTGATTGTTTGCCCCCATAGGAGCAGCTGCAGGCGGTGTCTCAAAACAGAACAACACAAAAGCTAAAAAACAAACCCGTGAGTTTGTAAAGCTGACTACCATTTCCTGTTTTCTCTTTTCTACTCTGTTTCCCATCCATCCTGTGAGATGTATTCCAGACCTTCCTTGCTCTGGTCATTCTCTCCTGATGGTGTTCCAGCTGGTTCCTTATGAGCTGTGCTGTTCAGAATCAAAGGTCGTCTTCTCGGTGCAAGTATGTTATACCAAGTATAAAAATGGGACCAAGACCTCCTTTGTTCTGACCCTTGAACTTCTCTTATTGCATTACCATTTTTTATAGTCATATCCCTCAGTTTCTGTCATGAAGACTTCAGTGAACTATAATCCTTGCCATTTTCCCTACAAATGGACCCAGAACTTGTTCTCCTCTCCTGCCTTCTACAAGGACCAATTCCCCAACAATGGCTGACCCAGATTTAATCATAAGTTTGCAGTATATTTTCTGAGTTTTTAAATACATTTTTCCCTGATTTTTAAAAACAATACTGTGTTACTGTAGGAAATTTGAGAGATACATAAAAGTATATATAGAGATGGCCGAATAGGAACAGCTCCAGTTTGCAGCTCCCAGTGAGATCAACACAGAAGGCAGGTGATTTCTGCATTTCCAACTGAGGTACCTGGCTTATCTCACTGGGAGTGGTTAGACAGTGGGTGCAGCCCACAGAGGGCAAGCCAAAGCAGGGTGGGGCATAGACTCACCCAGGAAGCTCAAGGGGTTGGGGAACTCCCCCTGCTAGCCAAGGGAAGTTGTGAGGGACCATGCCATGAGGAACAGTGCCTTCCAGCCCAGATACTATGCTTTTCCCATGGTCTTTGCAACCTGCAGGCCAGGAGATTCCCTTGGGTGCCTACACCACCAGGGCCCTGGGTTTCAACTGGGTGGCCATTTGGGAAGACACCGAGCTAGCTGCAGAAGTCTTTCTTCATACCCCAGTGGGGCCAGGAACACCAGCAAGACAGAACCATTCACTCCCCTGGAAAGGGGGCTGAAGCCAGGGAGCCAAGTGGTCTAGCTCAGCAGATCCCACCCCCATGGAGCCCAGCAAGCTAAGATCCACTGGCTTGAAATTCTCGCTGCCAGCACAGCAGTTTGAAGTCGACCTGGGACACTTGAGCTTGGTGGGGGGAGGGGCATCAGCCATCACTGAGGCTTGAGTAGGCAGTTTTCCTCTCACAGTGTAAACAAAGCCGCCAGGAAGTCCGAACTGGGTGGAGCCCAGCAGCTCCTCAAAGCCGCTGTAACCAGACTGCCTCTCTAGATTCCTCCTCTCCAGGCAGGGCATCTCTGAAAGAAAGGCAGCAGCCCCAGTCGGGCTTATAGATAAAACTCCCATCTCCCTAGGACAGAGCACCTGGGGGAAGGGGCGGCTGTGAGCACAGCTTCAGCAGACTTAAACGTCCCTGCCTGCCAGCTCTGAAGAGAGCAGTGGATCTCCCAGCACAGCACTCAAGCTTGGCTAAGGGACAGACTGCCTCCTCAAGTGAGTCCCTGACCCCCCTGTGCCTGACTGGGAGACACCTCCCAGCAGGGATTGACAGATACCTCATACAGGAGAGCTCCGGCTGGCATCTGATGGGTGCCCCTCTGGGACAAAGCTTCCAGAGGAAGGAACAGACAGCAATTTTTGCTGTTCTGCAGCCTCTGATGGTGATACCCAGGCATACAGGGTCTGGAGTGGACCTCAGCAAACTCCAGCAGACCTGCAGCAGAGGGGCTTGACTGTTAGAAGGAAAACTAACAAACAGAAAGGAATAGCATCAACATCAACAAAAAGGACATCCATACAGAACCCCATCCAAAGGTCACCAACATCAAGGAAAAACCAGTGCAAAAAGGCTGAAAATTCCAAAAACCAGAACGCCTCTTCTCCTCCAAAGGATCACAACTCCTCGCCAACAAGGGAACAAATCTGGATGGAGAATGAGTTTGACAAATTGACAGAAGTAGGCTTCAGAAGATGGGTAATAACAAACTCCTCTGAGCTAAAGGAGCATGTTCTAACCCAATGCAAGGAAGCCAAGAACCTTGAAAAAAAGGTTAGAGGAATTGCTAACTAGAATAACCATTTTAAAGAAGAACTTAAATGACCTGATGGAGCTGAAAAACACAGCACGAGAACTTCGTGAACCATACACAAGTATCAGTAGCCAAATCCATTAAGTGGAAGGAAGAAAGGATATCCAAGATTGAAGATCAACTTAATGAAATACAGCATGAAGACGAGATTAGAGAAAAAAGAATGAACAGGAATGAACAAAGCCTCCAAGAAATATGGGACTATGTGAAAAAACCAAACCTACATTTGACTGGTGTACCTGAAAGTGACAGGGAGAATGGAACCAAGTTGGGAAACACTCTTCAGGATATTATCCAGGAGAACTTCCCCAACCTAGCAAGACAGGCTAACATTCAAATTCAGGAAATACAGAGAACACCACAAAGATACTCCTCAAGAAGAGCAACCCCAAGACACATAATCGTCAGATTCACCAAGATTGAAATGAAGGAAAAAATGTTAAAAGCAGCCAGAGAGAAAGTTCGGGTTACCCACAAAGGGAAGCCCATCAGACTAACAGCAGATCTCTTGGCAGAATCCCTACAAGCCAAAAGAGAGTGGGGGCCAATATTCAACCTCTTCAAGAAAAGAATATTCAACCCAGAATTTCATATCCAGCCAAACTAAGCCTCATAAGTGAAGGAGAAATAAAATCCTTTACAGACAAGCAAATGCTGAGAGATTGTGTCACCACCAGCCCTGCCTTACAAGAGCTCCTGAAGGAAGCACTAAATATGGAAAAGAAAAACCGGTACCAGCCACTGCAAAAACATACCAAATTGTAAAGACCATCAACACTATGAAGAAACTGCATCAACTAACGGGCAAAATAACCAGCTAGCATCAGAATGATAGGATCAAATTCACACATAACAATATTAACCTTAAATGTAAATGGGCTAAATCCCGCAATTAAAAGACACAGACAGGCAAACTGAATAAAGAGTCCAGACCCATCGGTGTGCTGTATTCAGGAGACCCATCTCACGTGCAAAGACACACATAGGTTCAAAATAAAGGGATGGAGGAATATTTACCAAGCAAATGGAAAGCAAAAAAAGCAGGGGTTGCAATCCTAGTCTCTGATAAAACAGACTTTAAACCAACAAAGATCAAAAAAGACAAATAAGGGCATTACATAATGGTAAAAGGATCAATGCAACCAGAAGAACTAACTATCCTAAATATATATGCACCCAATATAGGAGCACCCAGATTCATAAAGCAAGTTTCTCAGAGACCTACAAAGAGACTTAGACTCCCACATAATAATAGTGGGAGACTTTAACACCCCGCTTTCAATATTAGACAGATCAATGAGACAGAAAATTAACAAGGATATTCAGGACTTGAACTCAGCTCTGGACCAAGCAGACCTAATAGACATGTACAGAACTCTCCACTCCAAATCAACAGAATATACATTCTTCTCAGCACCACATCACAATTATTCTAAAATTGGAAGAAAAACACTCCTCAGCAAATGCAAAAGAATGGAAATCATAACAGTCTCTCAGACCACAGTACAATCAAATTAGAACTCAGGATTAAGAAACTCACTCAAAACTGCAAAACTACATGGAAACTGAACAACCTGCTCCTGAATGACTACTGGGTAAATAACAAAATGAAGGCAGAAATAAAGATGTTCTTTGAAATCAATGAGAACAAAAACACAATGTACCAGAATCTCTGGTACACAGCTAAAGCAGTGTTTAGAGGGAAATTTATAGCACTAAAATGCCCACAGGAGAAAGCAAGAAAGATCTAAAACTGACACCCTAACATCACAATTAAAACAACTAGAGAAGCAAGAGCAAACAAATTCAAAAGCTAGCAGAAGACAAGAAATAACTAAGATCAGAGCAGAACTGAAGGAGATAGAGACATGAAAAACCCTTCCAAAAATCATTGAATCCAGGAGCTGGTTTTTTGAAGAGATTAACAAATAGATAGACTACTAGCCAGACTAATAAAGAAGAAAAGAGAAAAGAATCAAATGACACAATAAAAAATGATAAGGGGGATATCACCACTGATCCCACAGAAATACAAACTACCGTCAGATAATGCTATAAACACCTCTACACAAATAAACTAGAAAATTCAGAAGAAATGGGTAAATTCCTGGACACATACACCCTCCCAAGACTAAACCAGGAAGAAGTCAAATCCCTGAATAGACCAATAAGAAGGTCTGAAATTGAGGCAGTAATTAATAGCCTACCGACCAAAAAAAGCCCAGGACCAGACGGATTCACAGCCAAATTCTACCAGAGGTACAAAGAGGAGCTGGTACCATTCTTTCTGTAACTATTCCAAACAATACAAAAAGAGGGACTCCTCTCTAACTCATTTTATGAGACCAGCATCATCCTGATACTAAAACCTGGCAGAGACACAACAAAAAAAGAAAATTTCAGGCCAATATCCCTGATGAACATCGATGCAAAAATCCTCAATAAAATACTGGCAAACTGAATGCAGCAGCATATCAAAAAGCTTATCCACAACGATCAAGTCAGCTTCATCCCTGGGATACAAGGCTGGTACAACATACACAAATCAATCAACATAATCCATTACCTAAACAGAACCAATGACAAAAACACATGATTATCTCAATAGAGGCAGAAAAGGCCTTCAATAAAATTTAACACCGCTTCATGCTAAAAACTTTCAATAAACTAGGTATTGATGGAACATATCTCAAAATAATAAGAGCTATCTATGACAAACCCACAGCCAATATCATAGTGAATGGGCAAAAACTGGAAGCATTTCCTTTGAAAACCAGCACAAGACAAGGATGCCCTCTCTTGCCACTCCTATTCAACATAGTGTTGGAAGTTCTGGCCAGGGCAATCAGGCAAGAGAAGGAAATAAAGTGTATTCTAATAGGAGGGGAGGAAGTCAAATTGTCTCATTTTGCAGATTACATGATTGTACATTTAGAAAACTCCATTGCCTCAGCACAAAATCTCTTTAAGCTGATAAGCAACTGCACCAAAGTCTCAGGATACAAAATCCATGTGCAAAAATCACAAGCATTCCTATACACCAATAATAGACAGAGAGCCAAATCATGAGGGAACTCTCATTCACAGTTGCTAAAAGAGAATAAAATACTAGGAATACAACTTACAAGGGATGTGAAGGACCTCTTCAAGGAGAACTACAAACCACTGCTCAATGAAAAAAGAGAGGACACAAACGCATGGAAAAACATTCCATGCTCATGGATGTGAAGAATCAATGTCGTGAAAATGGCCATATTGCCCAAAGTAATTTATAGATTCAATGCTATCCCCATCAAGCTACCACTGACTTTCTTCACAGAATTAGAAAAAACTACTTTAAATTTCACGTGGAACCAAAAAAGAGCCCGTATAACCAAGACAATCCTATGCAAAAAGAACAAAGCTGGAGGCATCATGCTACCTGACTTCAAACTATACTACAAGGCTATAGTAACCAAAACAGCATGGTACTGGTACCAAAACAGGTATATGGATCAATGGAACAGAACAGAGCCCTCAGAAATAATGCCACACATCTACAACAATCAGATCTTTGACAAACCTGACAAAAACAAGCGATGGGGAAAGGATTCCCTATTTAATAAATGGTCTTGGGAAAACTGGCTAGCCATACGTAGAAAACTGAAACCGGACCCCTTCCTTACACCTTATACAAAATTAACTCAAGCTGGATTAAAGGCTTAAATGTAAGACCTAAAATCATAAAAACCCTAGAAGAAAACCTAGGCAATACCATTCAGGACATAGGCATGGGCAAAGACTTCATGACTAAAATACCAAAAGCAATGGCAATAAAAGCCAAAATTGACAAATGAGATCTAATTAAATTAAAGAGCTTCTGCACAGCAAAAGAAACTATCATCAGCGTGAAGAGGCAATCTACAGAATGGGAGAACAAATTTTTGCAATCTATCCATCTGACAAAGGGCTAATATCCAGAATCTACAAGGAACTTAAACAAATTCACAAGAAAGAAACAACCCCATCAAAAAGTGGGTGAAGGATATGAACAGACACTTCTCAAAAGAAGACATTTATGTGGCCAACAAACATGAAAAAAAGTTGATCATCACTGGTCATTACAGAAATGCAAATCAAAACCACAATGAGATACCATCTCATACCGGTTAGAATGGCGATCATCAAAAAGTCAGGAAACAACATATGCTGGAGAAGATGTGGAGGAATAGGAATGCTTTTACACTGTTGATGGGACTATAAATCAGTTTAACCATTGTGGAATACAGTGTGGTGATTCCTCAAGGATCTAGAACCAGAAATATCATTTGACCCAGCAATCCCATCACTGGGTATATACCTAAAGGATTATAAATCATTCTACTATAAAGACACATGCATATGTATGCTTATTGCAGCACTATTCACAATAGCAAAGACTTGGAACCAACCCAAATGCCCATCAATGATAGACTGGATAAAGAAAATGTGGCACATGTACACCATAGAATACTATGCAGCCATAAAAATGATGAGTTCATGTCCTTTGCAGGGACACGGATGAAGCTGGAAACCATCATTCTCAGCAAAGTAACACAGGAACAGAAAACCAGACACTGCATGTTCTCACTCACAAGTAGGAGCTGAACAATGAGAACACATGGACACAGGGAGGGGAACATCACACACCGGGGCCTGTCAGGGAGTGGGAGTGCTAGGGGAAGAATAGCATTAAGAGAAATATCTAATGTAGATGACGAGTTGATGCATGCAGCAAACCACCATGGCATGTGTATACCTATGTAACAAACCTGCACATTCTGCACATGTATCCCAGAATTTAAAGTATAATTTAAAAAAATTAAAACAGTTGAACTCATGGAGATAGAGAATAGAAGGATGATTACCAGAGGCTGGAACGGTTTGGGGGAAGGGAGGATGGTAATGGGTACAAAAATTAGTTATAAAGAATAAAAAATAGAAAAACTAAATAAGACCTAGTATTTGCTAGCACAGCAGGGAGACTGTAGTAAAAAACAATTATACATTTTTAAAAAAACTAACAGTATAACTGGATTGTTTGAAACAAAGAATAAATGCTTGCAGTAATTACCCTGATGTGGTAATTATGCATTGCATGCTGGTATCAAAATATCTTAGGTAACCCATAAGTATATACCTACTATAGATCCACAAAAATTAAAAATAAAAAAAGAAAATAGGTGTAAGAATCTTGACTAAAATATTAGTAAAAGGAGTATAGCCATATGTTGAATAAGTAACATGTCATGACAAGGTAAGGTTTATTTCAGGGATGTACAAATGGTTCAATACTGGGACATCTTAGGGAAAAAAAGTATAGATAATAAAATTACCTACAATTGCATAATCCACAAAAAGCTAATGCTAATGTTTTGGTGAATTTTCTCCGTGTGTGTGTGTGTGTGATAGTCTTTCTATAAGGGAAATTATCCTGTTGTACATGCTTATTATTGTCATAACTTTAGTTCTTCTAAAATGTAGATTATAATGGACATATGCTTTATCATATGATTATAATTTTAAAAGTCTTTTATTCTTAAACACTTCAGGTATCTTCAATTTTTCATTATTTCAAATAATAATTAAAAATAACTATTTTTAAATACCATTATTTACCATGGTAAATAAATTCGCCGTGATGGTGAATGCTTTTATATTTAAATCTTTGTCTGCATCTGATTCTTAGGCCATAGAGGTAGATTATTTGTCCTGTGTTTTAGTTGTTTATGTCATGCATGATGGATCCTCTAGTGGACAAAAACAAATTCAGACAATACATTTGTGTGAATTAGGAATATGTTTGGCTGTCAGTAACAGAAAACTACCCTTAGAGTAACTTACACAAATCGGGATCTGTTTTTCTCCACAGTAAGCAATGTGGAGGCAGGTGGCTGCAGGCATTGGCTCGGTGGCCAGCATTTCTGTGATTTTTTAAAATCTTGCCTTTCAGCTCCAATCATGGTTGCCACTGCTCAACCTCTTCCTGACTTCCTTAGTTGGCATTCAAGTAAAAATGTCAGGAAGAAAGACATTGAGCAATGCCAACCACGACTTCCCTTTAATCAGGAAAAGCAGAAGGCCTCCCAAGCCCTCAGCATACTTTGGCCTGGATCTCACTGGCTACCACTGGGTCACCCGGGCACCCTGGACTGCAGGAGAACTAGAGAAAGCAAGTGTCTCTCCTGGGGCTGGGCTCATTGCTGCTTCCAATAAAAGAAGGACTATGTTACAAGGCAGGTGGGGGAGGAAGGAGATTGGGTAGGCAACCAAAAGTACATGCCTCAAGATTTATTTAACATTCTTAGCATGGAGGATGCATCTATATGCATTATCCCAATCACCCCACTCTTCCCCACACACTTTAGACTAAGATGGGGTAGATTTATGTACCACTTGCTTTCATAAATTTTTCATCAGTTTTGTATAACTTTAAAAAGCTACAGTACTCAAAGAGCATTCATTTCCTGGATGGAGCCATTTAATTTAAGGTAAATAACTGGATTACCTGACTGTTAGCTTCCTCCAATAACTTTAAGTTGTTTTAATGCAGCCATAAGCCTGAGGGAGAAAGCATAAATGAAGTACTGCTTTTAGCTAAAAATTAGGAGAAAACATTTTAATTTCTCCAAGCTATTGCAGACTAATAAGTACACGAAAGGAACAACCTGGCAGGATAAATTTGTCTCCTGGGTTATCAAACCATTCTCAGCATCTCACTGTGGAAGAAAATCCAGGGTTTAACTTTGAAATCTCAGTGGTGTGCTTGATGTGAGGAACATCTGAAATATGTGTTGTTATAGCTGGGAAGTGGAGAAATGGTTTATGTTAAATAATACTTTGAACTGAAGACATTAAAGAACCAATCACTTGCTTTTTCCATTGTTGTTCAGAAGCTGCAGAACAAAACCCCACAAGATTTTCACTTCAAATGAAGGGTTCCTCTATCCTTTGTAGGATTCCAGGGTTCGTTCAATTGCTTTTCCTCAAAAACATCTTTGATCAAAAACATCAGATTAACCTAAATCTCAAAGTTGGTATCAAGTAATTTTCACTTCAACTCAGGGCACTTATATTCACATGGTACAGCTATCCAGAGGCAGGGCAACAGGAGGAGGCGTGCTGAATATTGTGAAAAGAGCTACAAAGAGAAGAGATTAGAACCTTAAAGTGCACACATGTACACACGCATGCTCGGAATTCTCATTAATTTTTTATAAGGCAAAATAACCTTTTAGCAACACATGACTCTTAATACAATTTGTTTCACTGTCCTCTTTGCTCAAATGCAATCGTTTTTACTTTCAGGAAGGCAAGATCATGCCAGTCAAATATGAAGAAAATTCTCTTATCTGGGTGGCTGTAGATCAGCCTGTGAAGGACAACAGCTTCTTGAGTTCTAAGGTGTTAGAACTCTGCGGTGACCTTCCTATTTTCTGGCTTAAACCAACCTATCCAAAAGGTAACATTTTAAATTATCTTAAGCTGTTTACAACTTTCCCTGTTCATGCATGTGAGGTTCCTCCAACCCCCTCCACAGGCCTGAGCATGTTAACAAGGAGGATAAATCAGGATGCATGTCGCAGTGTCTCAGTAATTAGCATGAGAGATGAAAGAGCAGGAAAATGACAGCCCGTGACTATTGAAGGGAAGGGAAGGAGCAGTAGGGTTAACAGGAGGCAGATCAGGAAGACAATGCCATGGCATTACCTGCAGCTTTGGTTTATGACACTCCCACTTCTTTCCACTCTGCCCCTTTATCTCAGTTGTTTGCACCTTCCAATTTTACATTTTTTTTATTTCTAAGGCATAGAATCAAGGGACTAAGAAACTGTCATACCGCCGAGTCTTTATTGTGTTCAAACCTAGAATTATGGGACAGCCAAAAGCTGCTATGGGTATTGGCTGAGATTCCTCTCAAGTTCAGAGCTTGAATATTAGCTTCCAAGTCCAGTGAAAGTAAGTGCAGACTCCCTGGGGTTCACAGCTAGGCTGGAGCATATCTTTGAGCTATTTCTGGGTAATGAAGGGCAGGTGAGCCTGGTGGGCCTCACTCTCCCTCCTGAGTTTCTCCTGTCCCCTGAGTTGTCTCACTATTTCTACTGCAGTCACCACACTGGCCTCCCAAAGGCCTATTTTGTAGCTCTGGTTCAAATGTGGGGAAAAAAAAGGCCTTTCTCCTAGCACAGCTGAGATAGGCTGTTTTCTGAAAGATTTTATGGAAGACTAGCAGACAGCAGCATGGAAATAAAGAAAATATAGGCCTTTAAAACCACTAGGCTTGGTGGGCACACAGGGAAAAAACTGGGCAGTTAGTGTTTAATAGGTACAGTTTCATTTTTTGCAAGATGAAACATGTTCTAGATGGTGGTGATGATTGCACAGCAATGTGAATGTACTTCATGCCACTGAACTGTACACTTAAAAATGGTTAACATGGTAAATTTCGTTATGTATATTTTACAATTTTTAAAAATACCCACCAGGCTTAGGAAGTACAGGTTTCTGATCTGCCACGACTAACTTATTCTTATGGTTCACAAGTCTCATTCTGTCCCAAAGCTGGAGAAGATGGCTCCTCTCCAGCCTGGGTGAGGCAAATAGGATTCAGCGACAAGCCACTGGCAGTAGCTGCCCAGCACAGTGGGCTGAGAAACAGCTGGAGACCACATGCAGGCTCAGTAAGAAAGAATTCCAAACTCAGTCAGCAGGGGCTGGCTGGCTGAAGGGGGCAGGAGAGGGGCTGCCAAATGGGCTGTGCTGTTGCCATTCCTGCTCTTGCTCCTATGGGTGGTCACAACTCACAGTTCTATGATGGCTTGCCAAGTTCTGGCTTTCTGTTCCACACCTGCCACCACCTGGGTGGGCCTTCTTACTTTCTGTCGCCCAGGAACTCCCATCTTTTCCAGCTGAGGACAAGAGTCTGCAGTGTGCTACCAGTTAGAGCTCTCCCTAATCTCATTGAGGACAAGCCTCTTACCCAGAGAGTTCATTCACTCATTTGACAGACGTTCATGAGGGCCTAGTACGTGCCATAAACTTGTTGTAGGTATTTGAGGTGCATCCGTGAATAGAACAGACAAGAACCCGTGCCCTCAGGGAGTTTTGCATTGCAGCAAGGGGAGACAGTAAATAAACACTAAATTAAAATAAGAAAATTGTATAATATGATACAAGGTGCTATGGAAAATGCCAGTGCAGGGCCATGGGGTGGGCACTAGAGATCGGAACACAGCATTATTGGCAATGCTAAGACAACTGATAGGATGAGTAATTTCTCACTTGGGGAAAGAGCTTCTTCCCTACATATCCAAGATGTGGCTTGTTCCCTCCCAGCCCAATAGCGTGACCACATTTTAAGTATTCAATCACCACAACATCCATACAAGAATTACACATATTATGTACACAAGAAAAGTGGAAAACACCTCAATGCCCCCAGATTAGAAAAGGTAAATGTTGATTATATCCATAAAATGGAATATCATAGATATGAAAAATGGATTCCCCCATCTCTCATAAGTACAGTTATATTTTACAATACAATCAAGAAACTCTGATGATGCCAGGCTTCCTACCACCTAATTCTAATAAAAGCACCACACTCCAGGGTCCAGCGGCCCATGCCCTTGGATCTTGAAGCCAGCAGGTCATCAGTGTCACACAGCTGTATTATCAGAGACACGGGGAATGACAGCTGGACACAGGTCAGAGGGGAACGGGGAGAGCTGACACCTGCTGAGCTCTGTGTGTCAGGCATGGTAGTAGAGAATTACGCTTTGTCCTCATTTAATCTTTGCCAACAACTGTTGGGGTAACTACTCGTTCCCGTTTTATAGATGAAGAAACTAAGGTTCACAGAGATAAGTAATTTGCCTAAGGTCATTTAGTTAGTTAAAAGAAGCAGAACTGTGATCAAATCCAGGTCTCACTGGTGCCTCTCCAACCATGCTATCTGTGGAAGCTACCAATGGCTTTAAAGCACATCTTAGTTCTCCTAAATAACAAAGCATGATATAATCCTCATCACCTAATAGTTCAGTGCTTATTATATGCAACACACTGCTTAAACCTTTAGACAGATTCTCATTAACCCTATCACTACCCTATGAATTAGATATTACTATTATCCCCATTTTACAGATAACGAAACGGGCTCAGAGAGACACCAAAATCCAAGCTGTGTGGTACTTTCTACTTTTTTTTGAGATGGAGTTTCACTCGTCACCCAGGCTTGAGTGCAATGATGCAATCTCGGCTCACTGCAGCCTCTGCCTCCCAGGTTCAAGCGATTCTCCTGTCTCAGCCTCCCAAGTAGCTGGGATTACAGGTGCCTGCCACCACGCCCGGCTAATTATTGTATTTTTAGTAGAGATGGAGTTTCACCATGTTGACCAGGCTGGTCTCGAACTCCTGACCTCAAGTGATCCGCCTGCCTCAGCCTCCCAAACTGCTGGGATTACAGGCATGAGCTACTGCTCCTGGCCTGTATTTTGGTTAATTGGCAGCCATCAGCCCTGCTGCAGGGCCCATGAGGCTATGTGGTAAACTAGAGCCAGGGAGTTCGCACTGGGCACCTACCTATGCCACCCATTCTGTGATCTTGGCCAAGTCACTTGGCCTTTCTGAGGCTTGATGCCCTCATATATAAAAGCATTTGCTTTTTCTATCCCATAGGATTTTTAAAAAGAATAAACCAAGATATTTCCCTTGCAAACTGTAAAGCTTTATACTGATATAGTCAATCCATTAGAAATACTTAGGGCTACAATTAACAGAATATTTGATCAACAGTGGTTTCAACAAACACAGGTTTATTTTTTTCATATAGCCAGAAGTCTAGAGAGAGGAGGTTTTTGACACTATCAGCTACTCAATGATACCATCAAGTCTCTTTCCAGTTACCATTTTACTACCTGTAGCATGCTGGCTTATGGTGCCTATCACTTCATAGTCACAAGTTGACTCTCATAACTCCAGATATCACATCTGTGTTCAAGAAAGGAAAAACAAGACAGGGAAGCCTATCTGTCCCCTTTTACCGAGAAAGCAAAAGCTTTCCCAGAAACTGCACTAGCGTATTCTGCTGATGTCTCCCTGGTCAGATATGTCTCACCTGGCCACTTCTAATTGCAAAGGAAGCTGGGGAAATGAATGGTGTTTTATTTTCTCAGCCCCAGTAGTGAAGGCAGACCAAAAGAAAGGGGGGAGGTGGTCTTGAGGTTTGTCAGGCCATCTTACAATGTCATCTTCAATTAGTATTACAAAACCAAATTCAGATTATCTGTATGTTTAACTATTAGCCCAAGACTCTAAAACATGTTTTATTACTACAAACATCAGTACAAAAATTTTAAGCCATCTGGTTATGCACAAATTTTGATATCCTTTTCTTATGTTTTTCACCCTGATAAACACAGATCTAATTTCCTTAATTATTCAAATAAAGGGATTAATTTACAGAAATTTTTGCAGAAATCCAGAGGGAAAGAAGAGAAGTGGTAAGAAAAATTGTTCCAACTACCACAAAAAGACCACACAGTGGACCACGGAGCAACCCAGGCGCTGGAAGACTGAATAATGAAACCAGACCCAGTGTTCAAGAGGACTCACAAGCCTTCAATCCTGATAATCCTTATCATGTGCGTTCCGGTGCTTTTTGACATGATTAGACAAATGCATTAAACATAGTGCCAAGGCCGGGCGTGGTGGCTTACGCCTGTAATCCTAGCACTTTGGGAGGCAGGGGTGGGCAGATCACGAGGTCAGGAGTTCGAGGCCAGCCTGGCCAACATGGTGAAACCCTGTCTCTACTAAAGATACAAAAAATTAGCCAGGCATGGTGGCACACGCCTGTAATCCCAGCTACTCCGGAGGCTGAGGCAGGAGAATCGCTTGAACACAGGAGATGGAGGTTGCAGTGAGCCGAGATTGGGCCACTGCACTTCAGCCTGGGTGACAGGGCGAGACTCCGTCTCAAAAAAAAAAAATAGTGTTGAAATGGTG
This sequence comes from Homo sapiens, assembly GCF_000001405.40. Classification (NCBI taxonomy): domain Eukaryota; kingdom Metazoa; phylum Chordata; class Mammalia; order Primates; family Hominidae; genus Homo; species Homo sapiens. Next base: position 52,708,171 of record NC_000013.11, on the reverse strand, counting down.
TTTGTACTTGAGGTTTCAAACGCGCATATAAGTATTCAACTTAGACTTTTATTCAATTATTTTAAAAATACATTTTCATTTGTTGCAAAGTTGTTTTTTTGTTGTTGTTTCACTGCCTGGGAATCGCCTCCCAGGTTCAAGCAATTCTCCTGCCTCAGCCTCCCAAGTAGCTGGGATTTCAGGTGCCCACCACCATGCCCAGCTAATTTTTTGTATTTTTTTTTTTAGTAGAGACAGGGTTTCACCATGTTGGGCAGGCTGTTCTCGAACTCCTGGCCTCAGGTGATCCACCTGCCTTGGCCTCCCAAGATGTTGTTGGGATCACAGGTGTGAGCCACCGCGCCCAACCTTTTGCAAGGTTTATAATTAAGGGTAAGAACACTTAAGCATTACCTCTGTAGTGTAAAATCCTGATTGGCTGGTAACCCTTATTATTCAGTTGTTTTCTGTGCTCTCCTTTTTTTGAGTCACAGGCAAATTCATGAAAACAAATTCATATCAGGAATTTGATTATTTGAAAATGTTTCCTAGAGTGCTCCCTGGAGGCAACATATGGAATGGAAGTATTCTCTTTCCCCCTTTATATCCACTTTATTCAACAGGCAGTCATTTAGGCACCTGCTCTTTCCCAGGCTCTGTGCACAGGCAGGAGACTGTGCCCTCAGGGGCTCAGTCCAGTTAGAGGATAGAGCCACACTTAGATGTAAAATGCTTTAGGCTGAAACACTGAAAAGTGATGTTTGTGAGGATGACACGAGGTGTCATCTGCCCTCAGGGGCTCTCACTTCAGTTAGAGGATAGACCCACACTTAGATGTAAAACGCTTTAGGCTGAAACACTGAAAAGTGATGTTTGTGAGGATGACACGAGGTGCTAAAAACTCAAATCTTCCACAAAATATTTACCATTATACTTTTCAGGGAGCGAAAAAGTAGAATAGGTATTTATTTGTAGCTAGCTTTTAAAATAAAAAATACAGGCTGGGCGCGGTGGCTCACACTTGTAATCCCAGCACTTTGGGAGGCTGAGGTGGGTGGATCACCTGAGGTCAGGAGTTCAAGACCAGCCTGGCCAACATGGTAAAACCCCGTCTCTACTAAAAATACAAAAAATTAGCTGGCACAGTGACGTGCACCTATAGTCCCAGCTACTCAGGAGGCTGAGGTAGGAGAATCACTTGAACCCAGGAGACTGAGGTTGCGGTGAGCCAAGATCACGCCATTGCACTCCAGCATGGGTGACAGAGTGAGACTTCAACTAAAAAATAAATTAAATTAAAAATACATGCAGAAATTTTTTAAAAACAGTACAAAAGGATATATTAAGAAAAGTGTTTCCCTTCCACTCCAGACACCCTCCCCAAAGCAAACTATTAACAATGACTATTTGTCCAGTTTCTTTGCATAAGTACACACCCACAGACACACACACATACACACACACACACTTTTAACACAAAACTTTTATACCTTGCTTTCTTTCCAGTTACAATATTTTGGAGATTGTTTTCCTACATAGTACCTCATTCATTTAATGACTACTATTCATTTAATAGTAACTCATTGTATACATAAATGTACAGAAATTTAGTTATGCTTTCATGGCTATAAATTATTTCCCTGTCTTTTGCTGTTTGCAAATACTGTTACAGGATACAATCTTGTACATGACTTACAGGATTATGAGGAGTAAATAAAGGTAATGCAGGTGGAGCTCTTTTAGCACAGGGCTTGAGATACATAGGTGAACAGTAACTTTCTCAATATTAGCTATTAGTATTGTGCCTCTTTGTACACACATGGAAGTCTACCTTTAGCATAAATACCGAAGCATGAGTCTGCTGCATCGAAGTAGATTTACATTTTAATGGAGGATACCAAATTGCCTTTCAAGGAATTACATCAGCCCTATGTCTGCAAACAGTAATGAAAGGACCCACTTCTTACCAAACTTAAAAAAAACTTTCACCAATCTCTTGGGTGTAAATTCTATCTCCTGGTTGTTTATCTTGCTTGTCTTTAATTATGTGTAAGGGTGAGCATCTTTTCATATACTAAGTCATTTGCACGTTTTTCTATGTAGCCTATTCAGTCCAACACTATTTCAGGTGTTGCAAATATATTTCCTAGTTTATCATTTTAAAAATATTTTAGAAAAGCTTGGAGCAAGAAGTATTTTCTAAACAACCAAAGGCTTATCAGAAAATTCAGGATGCCACAATACTTTACTACCTTAGCTTGAAGAAGAATAAAAAGAATCTGAATAGGCAAATAAAATTTAATACTGTTTATTCCCTAGAGAGCTGGGCTGGCTGAATCTGGCTCAAGGGGTGAGGGCATCAGCCCCTTTATAGACAGGCAGGATATGACTTTGCCTTGGATCCAGTCTTGAGTGACCTTTATCCCTTGAAAAACTCCAATTATATCAATTTTTTCCTTTATTATATGTTGGACTTTAAGCAGAAATGGTTAAAGCATTTATCTCCATGATCTCATTCAGTTATTCCTTTAAAAAACATATCTTAGGGTAACAACATGAGATTTCCTCCCAACCTTTCAATCCTAAAACTTTTGTCAGGTCCTCAGATAAGGAAGTGCCTCAACTGACAGGCCTTTTAACTCTCCCTGCCTCATAATTAATAAATGAGGTTGTTGTCTTTTTGCTGTCCCAGATTAACCTATTCAAGAAATAAGGTAAAGAACAGAGTGAGTCTGATGAATTAAAAAATGAATGCTTTAAGAGTAAGATAATAAATATTTTGATGACATAACTTGAATATGGGTTGTATCAGATCATGTTGTTAATTTTGTGATAATGGCAATCTGGTTGTAAATTTAGGAAAATATCCTTATTTTGGGGGGCACATTCTAATGTATTTATGGAAGAAATGTCACAATTCCTCCAATTCTCTTTAAATTCACTTCAGAATTTACTTTAAAATACTAGTTTTGCTTTGATGGACATATAAATTATTTCCCTATCTTTTGCTGTTGCAGGAAGGGGAAAAGCAAATTTGACAATAGGTTAGCAATTGTCCAATCTAGATGAGTCTATTGGTGTTCAATCTATAATTTTCTCTACTCTCCAGTATGTTTGAAATTTTTTTTTTTTCCAAGACAGAGTTTCACTCTTGTTACCCAGGCGGGAGTGCAATGGCACAATCTCAGCTCACTGCAACCTCCACCTCCTGGTTCAGGAGATTCTCCTGCCTCAGCCTCCTGAGTAGCTGGAATTACAGGTGTCCACCACCACGCCTGGCTAATTTTTTAGTAGAGATGGGGTTGGTTTCACCATGTTGGCCAGGCTGGTCTCAAACTCCTGACCTCAGGTGATCCACCCACCTTGGCCTCCCAAAGTGCTGGGATTGCAGGCATGAGCCACTGCGCGTGGCTGAAATTTTTAATAACTCCCCCCACTCCCCGACATCCCAAATTAAGATTAAAGACTTTGTTTAAACACCAGAATCAGCTAACTTTAGGAAAGAATCTTAAATTGAATCAAGAATTTAAAGATAAGGGTTTCTTGGGAATGCACTTCAATACCATATTAAAAATAATGCAGAATCTCCACCCTTACAAGTCCCCAAAAAGGAAAACCAAATATGTAAACCGGGCAGGGTTGGAGGGATGGGAGTTCCTTCCAGTTCTGTAATCTCACCAGCAGTGAAAATGGAGATTTTTACTTCACCAATGTAATCTTGTGTTTATATATTTACATAAAAAACTAGAAGGCAAAGTTTAAGGCCTTGAATTTTACATGTTTTTGTGGAGTCTTTTCCTGAGACCCCTTTGTCCCTATAGAGATAACATCCCCATTCTGTTACTGAAATGAAAGCAGGAGAAAACTAAATGACTTGACAGTGTTCTCAGAGCCAGTGCAACTGGAATTGAAATCTGTCTTTAGCCTAGATTGATGAGTTTCAAAAAGTGCTTCTAGAGCCCTGGAAGCTATTACTGCAAGAAGCCACAAGCATTCCACTGACTTAGAATTAGCAGTGGCAGAAATGCTACTTTTTATCATAATGCTTCCTTCTTGCTTTCCTACTTAAAACAAGCTGAGTTACTAAGTGGTAACCATAGTTCATTAAAGGCATGGAGAAACTTCAGGATATCGTTTTAAAAGACAAAACAACTTTCTAGTCAGTGACAGGTGAGGTAGGTGTAGATTCCTTGGTGTCAAAAGGAATTATGAATGACAGCAGTGAACATGAATTATGAATGACAGGGTAAACAAGATCAAACCCTTTACAGATTACACCTTCCTGTAGCAGTGAAAAATTCAGAATCTTATTTAAAAATAACATGCATGCTATGACCTTCCCACTATGCAGTTATCACAAATAATTATCTTTTATTTCACAGCAGCAGGAAGGGGAAAGCATGACATTCGACCCTAGACTGGATCACGAAGGAATCTGTTGTATAGAATGTAGGCGGAGCTACACCCACTGCCAGAAGATCTGTGAACCCCTGGGGGGCTATTACCCATGGCCTTATAATTATCAAGGCTGCCGTTCGGCCTGCAGAGTCATCATGCCATGTAGCTGGTGGGTGGCCCGTATCTTGGGCATGGTGTGAAATCACTTCATATATCATGTGCTGTAAAATAAGAACTAGCTGAAGAGACAACCAAAGAAGCATTAAGGCAGGTTGATGCTGATAGGACCACAAAATATTTTTACACTCAACCTGAGCGGTTATTCTTGACACTCTTAACAGAATTTTTTCAATTGTTTTCCAGAACTTTAGTATATGCAAATGTACTGAAAGGGTAGTTCAAGTCTAAAATGCCATAACCCCTTTATTATTTGTTATTTTTTATTTGCATTGCTTTGCCATAAGTCTTCCCTTGCTTGTATCTTCCAAAGCTATTTTGAAATAAACATGAAAATTTACAGTTTGCCAAAAATCTCAATTGTACACTTGAGCTCCTTTTAATTAAGTCATGATGAAAATAAGTCATTGTTATTTGTACAGAATTCCTCAACTGTTCTTAATCTTTTTTGTCCCCAGAATTCCCAGATAAAAACACACAGAAAAAGGAAAGGATATATAATGGAATCTACCTAAAAGTGAACATTTTTAGCCTCAATCTGGAAGCTCATGGGGAATTATTTGAGTGCACTGGCATGTGACCTGTGTTAAGAGTCACCTCCAGGGAAACAGCACTAGGATAAAGAAAAATGCAGTCGAAGATAAATCAGACTTGTGGGGAGGAAGGACTTTATTGACATTCTGAAAAGCAGGTCTTCACACCTTTCTCAATCTGTTTTCAGTAAGTGGTCACTGGGCATGAAGAAGCATAATGATTTTTACCTTTGTAGTACAAATCAGGCTGCGGCTGTAGTCCAATTACCAATAAGTTACTCTCCTAGTTACAGGGCTGACAGTGTTGCTTGGCAGATACAGCTGAGGAGGAATAGCTTATTTATGTATAATGACATAAAGTCTCTCAGGAACAAGGACTGTCTTTAGAAATTGAAATATTAGATCAAGAGGATGAGCAGGTATTTTATATTTTTGACATTTCAGTTTTGCATCCCACCGTTTGATAGATAAACAACTTTCCTAAGGAAAATAGAAGTTTTCCAAAACACAGATTCTGAGACGACAGAAAGGTCTTGATGCCATGATCTCACTACACTCTCATATTCAGAATATACCTTATTATTGTGTATTCCACAGTAAATCCCTAATACTGGTGTTTTCCAATTAAAGTCTATAAAAATGATACAGAATTTTAAAAACCTGGTTTTCAGGTGAACACTCAGATCCCTCCATTTAATGAAATACACAGCAAGCCTAGGTCTCTGGAGAAAAGAGACGAAGGAAAGGCACCGTAATGACATGTAATGGTCACACTGTTCTCAGGAAGCAGCTACTTCCTGCAGTTATGAATTCCACGTTTAGTCTTTAAAACTGCTGTTACTCTATTAACGAAAGAAATATGCGTCAATGGTTCTGCATATCATCTCCCACCCCCATGGCTCAGCAACCTGTACTGGGTTCTAAAAATAAAGAGAATGATTTAGTGATCCCAGCCCAGAAGAGCATATGGTCTTATGAGAGATACAGATAATCAAGGCACACCAGACAAAGCCTTGATAAAGATGGAAGCAATGGGCTTCTTGGAGAATGTCTACTCTCTAGATTTTCAAGGATGAGCAGGAATTAGCCAAGTGAAGGTGACAGAAGATTTGCATTCCAGGCAGAGGGAGTTTGAGTAAGACCAGAGGTGTGAAGTGAAGCTGCATGGTACAAGCAGGAAAACAGCATTCAGGTCGGGGTAGGAAATATCAAGATGAAAATGTAGGCAGAAGCTTTAAGTGGCATGTTAATCTGGGGAGTGTGTGTGTGTGTGTGTGTGTGTCTGTGTGTGTGTAGGAAATAGGAAATGAAAAGTTGCAGGCAAGGAGGGAGCTGGTTAAGTTTTCACCTTAGATGAATCCCCCTTGGTAGCTTCCCATGTGAAAACTGAGCAGGTGCCATACAGGCCAAAGAGGCATCTTAATAAGGACAGCAGGTCATAAGGGAAGGCTGACTTTTGAAAAGATGCTCCCTTTCAAAGCTTCATAATTAGATGAAAATATAGGAGGTGCGTAATTTACTTCTAACAGGCCAAGGGATTATGTTGTGTTATGAAACGTCACTAAATACCCAAGGACATCAATTTAACAGAAAAAATCAGGATGATTTAATAACAGAGGAAAAATTCAAGGTTGGATTAAGGATAGGAATGACAAAGGAGACTTAAATTGTATTCAAGGATGAAAATAAGGGTCTACTTTGAAAGAGAAGTGGACAGATGAGCATTCAATAAAGGAAGAGAGGGCAACAGGGAAGAATTACAAATTTCTTCACAACTTGGTACTACTAATTTCTCAAATTACTTTTAACCAGGCCAGTCTAAAAGTTGCAAATACAGCCCAGTTTGCTGTGCTGAATCTTGACTGAAATGTTAGTATGTGTGTATAGACTTATGTGTATTATTGGTACTTCATTAGATACTCATTTAATTCTCAGTAGTGGTACAAACCAATCCTGATGGAACATCTCAAGTTAGATTTCAAGGTCCTAGTTTGACTCGGAATGGAAGGAAATATGTGACAGCTGCCATTTAGTCAGCACATGGAAAATGTTTTCATTTTCTGGCTGCAAAAACTTGTGTGTTTTTACACCTCCCCTTCCACCAGCACCTCAAATAACTGTGACACTAAAAAAGTAGATATAATACTAAGAATAACCACTTAACCCACTCAACAGTTTCTTACATCAGATTTTATTATACTGAAATACAAGCTACATTTTTACAAAATAGAAATTCTTTGTGAGTGGATTGACTTAATTTTATTTCTGTATAAGCTAAATATGTTGATCTGTTTTATGAACATGTATTTTATAAAAATGGTCACAATATATTTTTTAAGTTAACTGATTTATTGAGGGAGGAGGAGAGAGTTGACCAAAGTCTACATGCATAGACAGTCCTAAAAGCGTATCTCAAACATGAAGATGTAAATTTGAGAGTTAATGATACAAATTTCAGCAAAAACATTTTACAGGCAGAGAGTGTTTTGGTGTTTATAAAAGCTGAACTCCTTTTGAAGGGCTTTTGTACAAATACACATGCTCATATACTATATGCATATATAGGTGTACTTCATTTTGAGAAAGTCCAGTATAATACTAGCATCAAATTTACAAAACAGGTTTAGTGTTGACTGACTGAAGAACTCACTACAGGTTTTACTTCAACTGCTTACATTCAAAAGTATTCAATTTACAAATTTTAGGTACTTACTGTGTAAGGTAAGTACATCTATACATAAATACTTTTATGCAGGTATAATATAAACATAGCAAATAGCTGAGGCTATTTTCTAAGGTGTTTGGCTTAGTGAACCTTTTTTACATCTTTATAGTTTTAAAGTCAAATACATAGCAGTCTTTATTTGGGTGTATGTTATCACAGAGGAATAAAAATCAGTAATGGGACTGGGAACAGTATACCCACTAAGTTAAATTAAGTCATTGGTTAAAACACCAAATTATTCAAAACCATTTAAGAGATATGCCCCACTAAATTCCCTCTGAATTTAGTCATTTACAGATGTTGTGTTTCGTATTCCTGTTCTCACCTTTGTGCCTGCTCCTTTGCAAACATTCTTTTCACACCAAATTCTTAGAACTGAATCAGAACTGCAGAAAATCCAACACCTTTTCTCTCCTCTGCACATGGCTACAAAAATTCTAATAGTAACAAGATAGTGTGAAAGACATACCTCTATATACTTTTTACTAGCATTGCATTTGCAAACTTACTTGAAATTACTTTTTTAAAAAAACAGGATTTCTATGGCGTCCTGTCCTTCAGGGTTCCTTCTAAGGTATGAATTGCTAAGAATTTTCTTTTCAGCTGCCTATATTTCATCAGCCTTGATAATTAATCATCTTTTATACTAAATTTGCCATATACTGACAAAGTCAAAGACCTGTAATAAACTAGACAAGCAAAAACTTTCTCTTAGCGGGACTAATGCTGTTAAAGGCAAATGGTTTCCTTTCCATTAAAACCATATTCCTGCCTGTTAAGTTACTGAGGTAACTCCAAAAAATTAAGCAGTAAAAAAGATCTCCATGGGATGTGCCCTAACACAAATTCTACTCGGCCTACTCAACCAGCACCGTAATTTTTAACATTCACTTAGCACCTATGGGTAATTAAACAGGCATCATCGGAGAATATTCCAGTTGCTAAATGGTACCCCATTATTAATTAGTACTATGCCATGGCTCTCTCTGAGTATTTCTCTGCTCAGTTCTAGTAATATCTTAGCAGTGATAAAAGTGTTTTGCCCAAATAGTTATTCTCATTTTGTTTCACTTTGATTGAAACAAACATTTGATTTTCTTTCATCATGTGCTGTCATACGGTGATATGGATTCAATAACTTAATCATAATGACCCCCCAAGATTAAGAAGAAAAAAAGCATCATTCAGCATCTCTCCTCTACCTTTTAATTTCTGTGTTAAGAGGGAAACAAAACCTTCAAAGGAGCAAGCCAAGTAGCTTTTCCTCTTCTCTAAACTTTACTGGAAATAAGGCATTAGAGGTGATTAGTGCTAATCTCACTTCTGTTCTCTCCTTTACTCCTTGACATCACTGTGTTCTACATGCAGTCCTCCAGGTCACCTGCTTCAAAACCATCAGTTCATTCAAAACAAAGATTTACTGGACCCTCTCTCAAAGGTACTGATTCAAAATCTCAGGAGGAAAGTAATGAAGGTCTACATTTTTAAAAATAAGCTTCCCAAGTGAAGGTTACTCACCAATAAGCTTAAGAACCACTACCCTATATATCATACAAAATAGCTGCCCAATGTTATAATTTTAGTTGTCCGATATCAGAATGTCAGCAGAGGATTAGGGCAAATCAGCTAAGCATGGTGGCTCACGCCTGTAATCCCAGCACTTTGGGAAGCCAAGGCAAGAGGATTACTTGAGGCCAGGAGTTAAGAGAGCAGCCCGGGCAACACAGCAAGACCCTGTCTCTACAAAAAAAATTTAAAAATTAGCTTAGTGCACTAGTAGTGCAGTCCCAGCTACCTGAGAGGCTGAGGCAGGAGGATCACTTGACTCCAGGAGTTGGAGGTTACAGTGAGCTATTGTGTGCCTGGACAGCAGAGCAAAACCCTGTCTCTTAAAAAAAAAAAAAAAAAAAAGATTAGGATAAATAAGTTTTAAGAGAGAGTCTATCACCAACGATCTGAGTGAGTTACATTAAAAACCTGTATGAAGAAAAAAGTATATGAGATGACAGCACTCTGGAAAAAGTGCATCTGTAAAACCAAACGTTTGGACTACATAGTATTTAAGATCCATTCCAGCTCCAAAATCCTGACTTCGTTTTTGTCTCCTCATACTGACAGTGGATGAAATGCAAATACATGTTTGCATTCCAGGGAATAAGAGGTTCCAAAGCTACCTCTAGTCTTGTCAGATGGCCCATAAAAACATGCTCTGTTGATCTGATTTTAACAACTCTAAAATAAAATCCTATGCTACACATATTCCTAAGTCCCTGTTCACAACCGGTCATTCTCCAATCTTGCCTTGGTACTTATTCTGCTGTAACTGTACTTATATTCCAGAACAAGAAATAGCTTTGCTAAACAAAGATTAGACTAACATATGCTATTACCTATAGTTTAATGTGTTAAGGAATAAACGGCAGACATAAGTTGAGTATTCAGGCTGAGGGCTTCTTTCCACCACCACAAGCTAAGCTCCATGAAGGCAGGGAATTTTGTTTACCTAGTACCTAGCACCTAGCTCAGTGTCTGATGCGTATTTGGCAATCAATGAATATTTGCTAAGTGCATAAATGAATGAGTGGATGTCATGAACCAAGTTCTTTTTCAGATACCTATATTATTCTACTACATACCTTAAAGTAAAGGCTCACTCAAAGAAAAAGTGTATGGCTTTTGACTGCAAAGACTTGAAGGGCCTCAACGGTGTTGATACTGTTTAAAAATAAAGTATACAACCCTCATCAAAGAGGGTTTTCTAGTACTCAGTATCTCAAAATTTCTTCAGGGATTCCAGAAAAAAAATGGACACGTGAGCAATTCAAACTTTTGTCTCCAAGAAGATTGGTATGCTTATAAATTGACTCACTCTTTGTTTCCATATTGCTACATATGCTCAAACCTAATTCCACTCCTGGCTTTTAAGATCTGGCCTCTCCTGTACTCTCCCCAAGACATTTGGGCTCATAATTTTGTATGAATGGAGGGCTAACCTAGTTAGAAAGTAAACTTCAGTCCGTTCAATTAAAACACAAAACAAAACAAAACAAAAAACAGCCGGGCACAGTGGCTTACGCCTATAATCCCAACACTTTGGGAGGCCAAGGTGGGAGGACTGCTTGAACCCAGGAGTTTGAGAGACCAACCTGGGCAATGCAGGGAGACCCCATCTCTACACAAAATTTAAAAATTAGCTGGGAGTGGTGGCACACACCTGTAGTCCCAGCTACTCAGGAGGCTGAGGAAGGAGGATTGCTTGAGCCCAGAAGACGGAGGCTGCAGTGAGCTGCGACCATGCCATTACATTCCAGCCTGGGCAAGAGCAAGACCTTATCTAAAAAAATAAAAAATAAAAATAAATAAATAAAATAAATAAAATAAATCAGGACACCCCTCCAAAAAATGGTATCTCAAAATTAAATAGCAAAAAAAAAAAAAAAAAAAAGTACTTGGATATCACACTGGTTTTGATTAGTTATATAACTGTTACTACCTCTAACAATGTAGTTAAAATTAGCTCTCGTGGCTGTGGGTTAAAAACCTACTTAAAAATTAAAATCCTGTCAGAAACGGTGGTGCACGCCTAGTCTCAGCTACTCAGGAGGCTGAAGTGAGAAGATCACTCGAGCCCTGGACTTTGAGGCTGTAACACACAATTATCACGCCTGTGAACAGCCACTGCACTCCAGCCTGAGCACCACAGCAAGACCTCATCTTTTTGAAAACAAATTACTATTCTATTTACATTGACAAATAAATGATCAACTTTAAGGGCTTGACATTTTTAAAAAACCCCAATTTTAAACACTATGGTTTGGGATGAGTAACTTCCAATATTTGAGTACATACTATGTGAAAGGCACTACGCTATGTATCAAAGATCCAAAGCTTAAGTAAATAACACTAACTGACCAAGACACACAAGGTAAAACAGACACAGCCGCAACTAACCCTATAACATGTGACACCATGAAGGTGTCATAAATAGAGGCATAAACAAGGCACTCCCACATCACAACTAGAGTGGCAATGCATTTCAGTAGAGGGCATGGAGAGGGGAGTTCCACAAGAGTACTGACATTTTAATTGAGATCTCATAGAATGAATGGAAGAAAATAAGGGCATTCTGTGCAGTGATAAGACCATGAGCAAATCCATCCAATTCTGGGAGCCTGTTCTCTATGTACCAGGTGCTACACATACAAAGATGGAAGCTAGACCGCGCCCTCAAGAAACTCAGTCACACGGGGGAAGAAATGAACCAACTGTAATGTACTGGTCTGACAAACAAGGAATAGATTAGCACTCTCAAGCATGCTCATGACATGTTGTGGTTTTGGTATGACTCCATCAAAGGATCCAGTGATGTCTCAACCATAAGCAAATAACCCAATCCAATGCCACAAAAGTCAGTAACAGAGTTGCAAAAGATTAGACTGCTTTCCTGGAGGTAGCATACAAACTCAGTTTTGACACATCAGTAGGAAACTGGAGATGCCCAGGAGGGGCAGAAAAAGGAATGAAAATACACGACATATTCAGAAACAGCAGATGTCTGAACACTAAAAACAAAGAATATGCAATAGACTGTAAGTGCCCTTTGCAGAAAAAGTTTGACCATGACTAGAAGATTCTTGTGTGTCTGGGAGCTTTAGTACACAGCAAAGCAGTGACAAGAGATGTGGCCAAAAATTTTGGCTGGGGTTGAATTCTGAAAACTCTTGAATAGCAGGTAAATGCCAGACTCACCCTCCTTTGAAGAATTTCAACACTAAACAGGACTGAGGGGAAAAAATAAATCAAGGACTTTACATTTAAGTAGCATTTATTGGTAACATAATTTGAGTCAGGACTTAGTTATTAAATCCTCACAATCCTGAGGGTTAATTATCATCCAGTGTTATAAAAAAGAAAAAAGTTCAGATAAGTCACTTGCCCTCAAAACACACAATTATGAAAGTATCAGAACTGGGATTTTAAGAGTCTAGATTCATAAGTTACTACTCCTTCCATTACAAAACAACACCTGTCTCTGTGGTGAAGTATAATTTTTTAAAGTCAATTGTTTTGAAATAGCAAAATAATAACAATAATAAAGGAAATGCACTCAATTTCTTAAGCATGTTTCATCCCCCACTGGATATATATCCTCAGCCTAAGCTCATTACTTATGAATGTGTTCACTTTCAGTCACTTCAAGCCACAGAAAAAGTTTAGAAAACAGATAATCAGTAAAAAGTGGTAGTTGTGAGAACTCCCAGCTGACAGTGAGCCCATATTAATGTCTACACACTTGTATATGCTCCACACTGATTCATTTGGGGCAAGAATAATAAGATTGATGAATTAACTCATAAAAACATCTACCAGCAGGCTGGGCATGGTGGCTCACGCCTGTAATCCCAGCACTTTGGGAGGCCGAGGCGGGCGGGTCACAAGATCAGGAGATGAGACCATCCTGGCTAACACGGTGAAACTCTTGTCTCTACTAAAAATACAAAAAATTAGCCGGGCATGGTGGCGGACGCCTGTAGTCCCAGCTACTTGGGAGGCTGAGGCATGAGAATGGCGTGAACCGGGAGGCGGAGCTTGCAGTGAGCCAAAATGGCGCCACTGCACTCCAGCCTGGGCGACAGAGCAAGACTCCGTCTCAAAAACAAAAACAAAAACAAACACAAACAAATATCAGCTTCTTTTCACTGATGGGAATAACAAGACAATCTGTGGTTTATAAACTGCGTGATTTTGTACCTTGTATTTTTCACAAATCCTAATAGTTTTACCTTCTGTTTTGAGCTTTGAAATTGAAATGAAAACCAGAGAACTTCCGAAAGTTCCTTAACATTCTACATCTAGTTTATATTTTCTGCCACTATTTTATTTTACGATTCTTTATAAAGTGCTGACAATACTTACATAATTAAGCTCTGTTTAAGTAAAATTATTAAAAACTTTTCATGAATTCTTATGCTCTCCAAAGTACAAATTTTATAAATTACAGTAACAATTGTTAACTAGGTGATATACTTTCCTCAGACAGAATTCCACATCTTGAAAGACTGAACTTACAACACAAAAAAATCTTCTCTAGGATTTCCACCTTCCAGCCTAGGATCATCTGATGTTATCTGTCACATGAAGCACTGCTCTTTGCACTTCACACACATAGATACACAATTCCAAAACCCTCAGATGAGTTTTTGAAGTCAGAATTTTGGATTTTAGAAGATAATGCAATACAGATAGACTATTAATAGTTCCCCTTTATCCATGGTTTTGCTTTCCACAATTTCAGTGACCCACAGTCAACTGCTGTCCAAAAATAACTGTTCACATAAGTTTTATTGCGGTATATTGTATATTCTATTATTAATATCTTACTGTGCCTAATTTATAAACTTTATCATAAGTATACATGTATAAAAAATGTACATACAGCATTCAGTACTGGGGGTCTTGGAATGTATCTGCCACAGTTAAGGGGCAACTGCTGTATTTTGTAACAATTTCAGCAGGATCAGTGCTAGCATTCTATAATTAAACATTTAATATTTCTGCTGCAAAATGTGACTATTCATATTATAAATTCAGGTCACGTTTTATATCACTTGTCATACAGATGCACATGCACACACACACACACACACAAAACATTAGTATTTTGAGCCTTCTGGATTAAGATACCTGTGGAGTTACATGAATTCATTCAACTAAGACCATGAGGCATGAGGGGGATCCTATTATCTCCTTTACATAGACACAAAAACTGAGGCACAGAGACATTAAGCACCTATATCCATTGTCACACAGCTAGTAAGCAATGTAGCCAGGATGATCCCAAACAGGATGGCTTCAGAGTCCATGCATTTAACCACTATGCAATACTGTCTTTTCATGTACTTAACAAAAGCTCTAAATATATATTAATAGTATGCGCAATTGTTTATTATTTAGATCTTCTGTGGCTGCATTATAGGGTACAGTTTTTTAAAAAACCCTATATAGGTATTAAGGACCATTTTCCTAACTCCTTCTAAAGAAACTGAAAATTACCTTTAGGTAAATAGCAGTGTTTCTGAAACATCTTTTTGTATAACTGAATCCTTTAATCATAGGAAAAAATAAAGTCAATGATATAGGTAGAAGTCTCAATGTAAAAATAAAACTAAAAATCCAAATGTGAAGGCATACCAAATATTTAAGACTCCAGACAAGCCAAAATTCAAATATATATATATATACAAAATGCTAACATAAGTTAGGAAAAAGGAAATAACCTGAAATATTCAAATTTTATTGGAGAAATCAGTGATACACAAATCCTAACATGTCTGTAGGAATAAAACCTTGAAACAATCTCAGCATTTGTACAACGGAACTGGTATGAGAGCTCCCAAGTTAAAGGAAAAAAAGAATTTCATTGGCATCATGTACCAGTCTTCTTACACATGCAACAGTTGTTAAAAGTACACTGTTTCTCTGTAATGATCTAGATTTGAGAAAAACAGCACCCTCTCAAAAATCAGACTACTTCTTTGCATTACTTCCAGTATGAGGCAAAAGATTTGGATTCCTAATAAGCTTTCCTACTTAAGAAAGTGAGGATCTCTAGGAATTTATCTTCCCAGCTCCTATATAAGAATTAGTTCTTGGCTGGGCACAGTGGCTCACGCCTATAATCCCAGCATTTTGGGAGGCCAAGGTGGGCGGATCATGAGGTCAGGAGTTCAAGACCAGCCTGACCAACATGGTGAAACCTCGTCTCTACTAAAAATACAAAAATTAGCTGGGCATGGCGGCCCATGCCTGTAATCCCAGCTACTCAGGAGGCTGAGGCAGAAGAATTACTTGAACCTGGGAGGTGGAGGTTGCAGTGAGCCAAGATTGCACCACTGCATTCCTTCCCTGAACGACAGAGTGAGACTGTCTCAAAAAAAAAAAAAAAAAGAATTAGTTCTTTAACTTGAATATTCTCTGCTTCATTTCCAGTCAGCTGATTTGGTAATAAAAATCATTCATTCCACATCTAGCTTATTAACCTGATGAGAGGATTGCAGTTGTCAGAAGTATGGGTAATGGAGTCTGATAGGCCTGGGTTCAAATCCCAGCTATTGCAATTACTTACTAGTAGAGTGACCTGGGCAAAGAACTTTACTTTGGCCCCATCATCTTTCTGATTTGCAATAATGGGATGCTATTGAAGGGCGATTAAAAATGAGATAATGCCACCCAATCCATAAGAAATGCTAGTACACAGTAACTACCACTATTTGCAGTAATGAGTCAGCATTCATTGTATATGATTTTAGCTGATTTGGAGGAGCAACTTTACTAAGGTAGGAAGTGAGGCTAAGAGTTAAATTAATCTCAGAAACCAATCACAAGGATGGCTCCAAATAGTAACATTTGTAGGTAAATCAATATTTTCCCCACAAGTTCCCAAAATAAAATCTCTTGGTGTGTGTAAAATGATCTTACGATTTAAAAAATGCACAGATGGAGAAAGGGAAACCACATCAAAAGAGATGAACCCTTTTATTTAAAACTACATATGACCCTTCCCTGCACAGAAACCAGTATTTTGTCCTTTTAGCTTTTATCATCTAATTCCTCTAGGCAGAAATAACTTAAATCCATACTGTCATATGGTTACAGTAGCAGGTATGAGCAAAAGATGTACTTCTTTAGAGCTAGTTACAAAGGGTAAGTGGCTCTAGTAACTAACAAAAACACACACCACCTAGAAACCGTCTACCTTTTTTTGGAAATGTCAGTAAAGCTACAAGTTCAGAGAGATGCACACCAATCTGAACAGGAAAGATTCCAAGGGAATTTAAGTGCATTAGGCTGATTAGATGGTAAACTAATATGCAATTTTGCTCTGGGTCAGTGATATATCTCAGATATCAATAATCTAATCTGATATGTAGATAACTGAGGAAGGAATAGAGAAAGGTAAAGTGGGAAAGAAGAGCCAAAAAATATTTAAGTACTGAACTAAATTAAAATTTCTATCTAAATTATTCATAATAGCATTGTGATGTATCTCCATTTTAAATATTTACTTGAAGTTCATAACTGGGCATGGTGGCTCACTCCTGTAATCCCAGCACTTTGGGTAGGCTGAGGCAGGTAGATAACTTGAGCCCAGAAGTTCAAGACCAGCCTGGGCACATGGTGAAACCCGGTTCTACAAAAAAAATACAAAAATTAGCCAGTCGTGGTGATGCATGCCTGTGGTCCCAGCTACTTGGGAGGCTGAGATGGGAGAATCATTTGAGCCTGAAAGATTAAGGCTACAGTGAGCCAAGAATGAAAATGTGGGCCAGGCACAGTGACTCACACCTGTAATCCCAGCACTTTGGGAAGCCGAGGAAAGAGGATTACTTGAGCCTAGGAGTTGGAGGCTACAGTGAGCCATGATCGCACCACTGCACTCCAGCCTAGGTGATAGAAGAAGACCGTGTCTCTAAACAAATTTTTAAAAAAGGAATAAAAATGTTTTTAAAAACTAGAGTTATTAATGCAAGCCATCCTCTTTCTCCATTCCATTTCACTCCCTATAGACAGAAAACAGATTGGCCAGTAAGTGCCAGTGCTAAAGGCTGAGCTTGTTAGTTGGCAGTCAACTCTGAATGGGTATTAAGACATAAGACAGGAAATTATCAAAATTGACCTTGATGTTTCAAACTTGTGGTATAGATATCTAAAGAGATTACTAGATAGCAGAGTTCAAAAAGCAGATTATTCTATTCAAGATTCTTTGAAGACAGTGGGAGAATTCTGGATTCATCAAGGTGCAAATTATTATGGAAATCAGAAGAGATGAAGTCTACAAGACCAAGAAAAACATGTATTCCAGGACTAACCTTAAAAGGGAAAGGAAACATTTAAGAGGAAAAATACATACATTCTGAAGAAACAAAAGGCTACTAATACTAACAGCACTGAGAACCAAAATTTGAGAAATGAAAATTGGAGTCTAGAAACAAAGAGGGAACAATTAATAGCTACATTGAGATAGCAGAGGATAAGGATAGAGTTAAGAGGCTCTTAATCAGAAAGAAGTTTTTTGTTTTAACTTTCTGGAGGCTTACAAGCTTCCATTATCTAGAATGATTAAACAAAGCAGTACTTTAGAGTGGGATTCTTAGGCAGCAATCTAGCCTACTTTTCAAAATTCCCTTGACCTATAATGAATCTAATGTATTTGACAAGGTATGTTTTATAATGCTTTCAGTCATGTGTTTTACAAACTCCCTTCAGACCAGCAAAATCCCAAATCCCACAACACTTAGCAAATCTAGCCAATGGGTAAGCATATTCTAGATAATATATCCTTTAAAACCAACTAAAGATAGTACCAGATTTTTTTTTTTTAAACAGCTATTTATTTTTTTTGAGATGGAGTCGCCCAGGCTGGAGTGCAGTGGCATGATCTTGGCTCACTGCACCCCCTGCCTCCCGGTTCAAGCAATTCTCCCTGCCTGAGCCTCCCAAGTAGCTGGGACTACAGGTGCATGCCACTACACCCAGCTAATTTTTGCATTTTTAGTAGACACAGGGTTTCACCATGTTGGCCAGGCTGGTCTTGAACTCCTGACCTCAGGTGATCTGCCCACCTCCGCCTCCCAAAATGCTGGGATTACAAGCATGAGCTACTGCACCTGGTCAGAAACAGCTATTTTAATAGTGTCATCTTTAAGAAAGAAAAAGTTAAGCGGCAAAAATATGCTTCTGTATTTAGAACCATGGACCTTTAATTATAACTCTAAGACTCTATGGATTATTTACAAAGGAACTAAGAAAGGCCTAAACCTGCTGAAGATTATGAAGGTAGTCAATGACAGAAGACTTGCTAGAGCTAAGCATTCTTGTCTCTGGTATAGTGCTATACGTCCTCAACTATGCCTCTGCAGCAATAGCCTTCCTCTTCATCTTAGGATTAATGGTACTGAGAAAATTTAACATACAGAATACAAAAGTCACTATCCTATTTTCCTAAGAAGAAAACTTTAGAAATCCATCCAACCAAAACTTAATTTTGCCTTTTCCTTCAGTGTTCAAGAAGAAAAAAATGTATCTAGTAGCTCTAAGTGGACAGAAGGACAAGTGAAAACTCTAGAATGCTTAAACAAGCTATAACAACAGGTTTGGGCACCATCTGGTATCACCTTACTGAAACTTTCCTTAGTAACTCCCCTACACCCCACAACAAAGGACGAGAAGGAAGGAGCTGAATTCCTACTGTTTTGGAGGCTGAAATGATGACCCGTTTGCCTCCCACTCCCCCTGCTCTGAGGGTATAGAGTAGTGCTTTGCCATAAAAATGTTAGTGACACCTAACAGAGCTGAGACCAACATCTGGGGTATTACAGTTGAGAAAATCATGGTGAGAAAACAAAGTCAGATCTACAGGTCATCCATAGTCTATACTTTATAACAGCCTAGACTGTAAACAATTTTAATCACAGAACATTTTCCTGTCTCTAAAGTGTATTTATACCGAGTTCAGCATTCAATCTTTCCACAGTTCCTTCATGAATGTTATTTTTTTTCCCTGCTACATTTATAAGCTCTTTGAAGTTAATAATCATGTCTTTAATTTTTTGTATTCTCATGATATCTATATATTCTAGGCACAGAGTAAATACTAAACATATACACATTAATTTACTCTCACAGCAGTTACCATAAACCAATGAAACCAAAGTAATCATGGGGACGTGACAACAGAGATTTTCTAATAAAGAAAAAAAATACCAAAAAACCCACCAATGCTGTAATTTCAAGAATCCTGTCGTGATAAAAGAAGCAAGTGGAGTTGGGCTTTCCTAGAACCTTCTTTGCCCTACCTTCACAGATTATCCTTAGTATAAACTTGCAGTGTGTTAAAACTCAGGTATCTATGTTTTATACAGAAACTTGCAAGGTAACGACCAAAATATCTCAGTGCAATTAAATTTACAAATTCTTCCCATTAAAAGAACTACATGGGAATTCCCTGTGATAATTTCTCAAAGTTCTCATTAAAAACTTAAGAAAAAGGTAAATAAACCAAACATCTTCATAGAAAAATTGTATTTACAACTCCATTCAAAAGCAGTTTTTAAAAGCAAACACAATGTAACACTGAAGGTGAAAAATCTAAGCTCACCCAAAGCTGCCAGGTCTAATAAATTACTGACAGAATACTGTATCAAAAATAAGGCAATAACCGAAAATATACCATTAAAGATTTCTCCATCCCCACAACTAGATAGAATGAATCTATCTAGGAGCAAATGACATGCTTTATTCAGTTTCACCATGTCTGAAACCTTTAAGGACAGAAGTGATAAAATGTTATCTTCATTCTTCATTAGACTTGAACACTTGAAGGAAAATAATTTCTAAAGCACAAAGAGGTAAAGAAGTATAATCTTTCAAAAAGATATTCAGTGTTCAAAATTCAAGAATGCAATATCAATACACAATGGGCATTAGGTGAATATACACAATACGATGAGAGCAAATTAATTTATTTAGTACTTTTTCCATTCCATATCATCAGGAGGATTGATTTCAACTTTCCTTTTACCTACATCAGACCAGTTGGTACTCAAAACTGTACCACCCGACTCCATCTGCAATGAAAAATAAAAATAGATTAATTCCTGGACCATATAATCAAAATAGAATATTTTTCTTAAAATGTTCCAAGCATAGAGCCCCAAATATTGGCTATTATATACAGCTCAATATAAACTCTATGCAATACATATATAATAGATTATACAGATAAAATATATAGCTCAATATAAACTCAAAACAATATTTTTATTTAAACTTAGGCATTCCAGAGGTTAACAAGTTCCATAAAATCTGAAAAGGAAATCCTAAAGTAGTCAGGGAGGTGCACTACATCCTTTGCTAATGAGCATAGATGTGCATGTGGAAAAACTACCTTCAATTGAAAATATTATTAGCTCCCAAAAAAAATGATTATTATAATCTCTTTTGCTGAAGACCGTAAAGACCAGTCAAAATAATCTCTTCTTGTACCAGCTGAAGAGAACTTGAAGGGCCTCTACTTTGTGCTCTCTTTGTGCCAAACACATGCAAGTTTATCCAAAAATTTTTAAAAATCAAGGTACATAAATGCAGGTATAGAAAGTCAGTGTCTCACTGAAGAATTGGTCATTTATTTACCATCTACTGAATATACCACCTACCAACAACCCAAGCATATTCATTAATATATTTTAAAAAACCATCTGGACATTTCTTTTTTTTTTTTTTTTTTTTTTTTGAGACGGAGTTCACTCATTGCCCAGGCTGGAGTGCAATGGCACGATCTGGGCTCACCGCAACCTCTGCCTCCCAGGTTCAAGCGCTTCTCCTGCCTCAGCCTCCCGAGTAGCTGGGATTACAGGCATGCACCACCATGCCCGGCTAATTTTGTATTTTTAGTAGAGACAGGGTTTCTCCATATTGGTCAGGCTGGTCTCGAACTCCCGACCCTCAGGTGATCCGCCCACCTTGGCCTCCCAAAGTGCTGGGATTACAGGCATGAGCCACCGCACCCAGCCCCATCTGGATATTTCTTATTTTAACATGATAAAAATCAATGGATTTGAACCACATCAAAGAATAGAGCGAATTATTACAATATAAACATTTAAAAATAAACAACTGTGTTAGTGGCCAATGTATACAGTTACATATCCTACACATTGGAACCTCAATGTAACCCCATGTCCGACACGCTCTACCGAGCTCCCTTACATGGGCTTTTTTGCATGGCAGAGATTTTTGTGTCCTTAGTCATCTTCCAAACATGAAATGTCACCACCTCTATGTGGCTTTCTCTGACCTCTTATTTCTCTATTCCTGTAAATTTGTCTTCTGTGTGAGCCTAATTACCATTTACATAACATGTGTCACAGTGCATTGTTGCAATTTAAGGTTCTATCTTCTTAGATCTGCTTTCCACCCTTGACTTCAACTAATGCTGACAGCTCATTAAGGGCAAGGAGTACATTTTACTAATATTCATATCGTAGTTCTAAGCACAGTGGCCTAGCACACAGTGGGCTTTAAATAAAATGACTGAATTACATTTGACAAGTCTGTATAATAAACTACCCCAAGGCCAGGCGTAGTGGCTCACACCTGTAATTCCAGCATTTTGGGAGGCTGAGGCGGGCAGATCACCTGAGGTCAGGAGTTCAAGACCAGCCTGGCCAACGTGGTGAAACTCCATCTCTACTAAAACTACAAAAATTAGCCAGGCGTAGTGGCATGCGCCCGTAGTCCCAGCTACTCTAGAGGCTGAGTCACGAGAATCACTTGAACCTGGCAGGCAGAGGTTGCAATGAGCTGAGACAGCGCCACTGCATTCCAGCCTGAGTGACAGAGTGAAACTCTCTCTCAAATAAACAGACAAACACAAACTACCCCAAGAGGACCTTCAGTTGTGGATTTGGTTTACAATCTGACCATATTTGCTGATGACACTTATCGCCCCACCCCCGCATCTCTCCTAATAGACTGCAGGGCAATTTAGCATTTCCCTTTGATTATTTTGTATATCTTGGTCTTTTGTCCCAATTAGATAAGGAGATTATAGAGAACAAAGTCTAGTTTCTTTCATATTCTCACAAGGACAGAAGCCCCTCGTATATTCCAGATCAATGTTGCTGCACAGATGGCTTATTTTATGGGTATACACAATTTGGTTATAATTGTCAAAGTTTCTATATGAAAATGAGTTCAGATTCTATCTTTGATCTTTGATTTGACTTGACTTGACATCTTTGATCTGACATACTGCTAATTTTGTCTACCACACTTTTAAAAGTAGAAAGTGAGAATGACTTCTCCTGGGAAGATCAAGTAGATGTACTTTTCCTATTCTTCCCAGTAGTAAATCTAAACACCCTAGATGCTACATATGAAACAGAGGTAAAAAGACTCTAAAAGGGGCCAGGTGCAGTGGCTCACACCTAGAATCCCAGTACTTTGGGAGGACAAGGCAGGAGGACTGCTTAAGTCCAAGAGTTCAAGAACAGCCTGGGCAACATAGGAGACCTTATCTCTACAAAAAAAAAAAAAAAAAAAAGAAGAAGAAGAAGAAGAAGAAAAATAGCCAGGTGTGGTGGTGCACACCTATAGTGCAAGCTACTTAGGAGGCTCAGGTGGGAGGATCACTTCAGCTCAGGAGTTCAAGGCTGCAATGATTCATGATCGCACCTCTGTATTCCAGCTGGAACAATAGAGCAAGACCCTGACTAGAAAAAAAAAAAAAAGACACCAAAAGGTAAAGTGAAGATAGACCTACCAGGGACCTTGGGACTCAAGAAATGACGTGGTGGCAAATTCTGGGTTTTCTTTTTGCCTCATATATCCTAGACTTGGAGCTGAAGAAGCTGGAAACACCAAGGGGCACAAACAAGGAAAAAAAAAAAAAGTCCCAACAAACCCCTGCTCTCTCTTGCCAAGAGATCAGGGAAGGACGCTGCCTAGGAAAACAGAAAACTTTCAGACAACAGGCCAGGCGTGGTGGCTCATGCCTGTAATCTCAGCACTTTGGGAGGTCAACATGGGAGGACTGCTTGAGTTCAAGAGTTCAAGACCAGCCTGGGCAATATGGGGAGGCCTCGTCTCTACAAAAAATAAAAAAAAATTAACTGAGAATGGTGGCGCATGCCTGTGATCCCAGCTACTCAGGAGGATTACTCGAGCCCAGGAGGTCAAGGCTGCACTGAGCCACGATCGCACCACTGCACTCCCCTCTGGGCGACAGAGGGAGACCCTGTCTCAAAAATGAGTGAATAGATAGAAATAGATAATAGACAAATGTACATCTTAAGAACCTAGAAAAGTAAGAACAAAATGCACCTTAAAGCAAGCAGAAGGAAGAAAATAAAAATAGAAATGAATAAAAAAATGTAGAACAAAAAAATAGAGGAAAAAACGAAACAAAGAGCTAATTCTTTGGAAGAAAAAATTCAATAACATAAGCAAATCTAGCTAATGGGTAAGCATATGCTAGATAAGGTGTCCTTTAAACCTCTAGCAAGGCTGACAAAGAAAAAAGAGAAAAGACACAAATTACTATTATAAGAATGATAAAAAGATATCACTATAAACCCTGCAGACATCAAAAGAGTAGGGAGGCCAGGCATGGGGGCTCACTCCTGTAATCCTAGCACTTTGGGAGGCCAAGGTGGGCGGATCGCTTGAGCTCAGGAGTTACAGACCAGACTGGGCAACATGGCAAAACCCCATCTCTACAAAATAAAATAAAATTAAATTAAATTAAAATAAATTAGTTGGATGTGACGGCACATGCCTGTAGTCCCAGCTACTGGAGAGGCTGAGATGAGAGGATCACTTGAGCCTGGGAAGTTGAGGCTGCAGTGAGCTATGATCACACTACTACACTCTAGCCTGGGCGATAGAAAAATGCCGTCTCAAGAACAAAAGACAAAAAACAAAAAGAATAAGGGACTATACAAACACTGACAACTTGGACAAAATGGATAAATTTATCAGAAACAAACCACAAGTCACCCATATGAAATAGATAATTGGAACAGTCCTATAAAAACTTTTAGGTTAACTAAATTCATAACTGTAAATCTCCTAATAAAGAAATCTCCAGGCCCAGACCGTTTCACTGGTGAGTTCTACCAAATACTTAAGAAAAGTTAACACCAATTATACACAATATCTTCTAAAAAACAGAAGAGGATGCAATGCTTCCTAATTCATTTTATGAAGTATTACTCTGATGCCAAACCAAAGATAGCACAAAAAGAAAATTAGACTCATATTCCTCATGAATATAGACACAATAACCCATAACAAAACATTAGAAGATAGAATTAAGAGATACACTATATGACAAAGTAGGGCTCATGCAAGACTGTCTCAATACTTGAAAATCAATCATATTAATCATATAAAATCACCATATTAACAGGCTAAGGAAGAAAAATCATATAATCCTATCAATCAACACAGACAAAACATCTGACAAAAAGTTAATATTGAAAGTTAATGATAAAAAAATTTCAGAAAAATAGGAATACAACAGAACTTTCATAACTTGACAAAGATCATCTACCAAAAATTTACAGTTAACATTATACTTAATGATGAAACAACAGATACTTTTCCCTTAAAATGGGAAACAAGGCAAGGATGTCCACTCTCACTACTCTTATTCAACACAGTGCGGAAGTTGCAGCCAGTGAAATATAGCAAGAAAAGGAGATAAAAGGCATACAGATAGAAAAGGGAGAAATAAAACTCTCCGTATCTGCAGATAAATAAAACCTCCATATTTGAAGATGATTGTCCACATTAAAAAAATGACAATCTATCCAAAAATACTCCTAGAACTGAGTCCAGCAATGTCACAGAATACAAGATAAACATAAAATTAACTGTATGTCTAGATTCTAGTAATGAACACCAAAATTATATATAATCACTTTATTCTAAAATTTACATGGAAAGACAAATGAGTTAGAATATCTAAAAACAATTGTGAAAATAAAGGATAAAGTAGGAGGAATGAGTCTGCCCAATTTCAGACTTAAACAGCTACAGCTTAAGACAGTGGGACTGACAGAGGAACATACATATAGATCACATACAGCTCAATCTAACACAGTGGGGAACTTAGAAATAGACTCACACAAATACGCTCAACTGATTTTTAAGAAAGGTGCAAAAGCAATTCAATGAGAAAAGATAGGTGCCAGAACACCCGAACATACTATCCACCCCACAAAAAGGAACCTCAAGTTAAATCTCACACTTGACATAAAAATTCAAAATGCATCACAGACTTAAATGTAATATGTAGGCCAGGTGCTGTGGCTCACGCCTGTAACTCTAGCACTTCAGGAAGCCAAGGCCGAAGGACTGCTTGAGGTCAGAAGTTCGAGACCACCCTAAGCAATACGGAGACACCCCCACCTCTACAAAAAATTTTAAAAATTAGCCAGGCATGGCAGCATGGATGTGTAGTCCCATCTACTTGGGAGGCTGAGGCATAAGGATCACTTGAGCCCAGGACTTTGAGGTTACAGTGAACTGTGACTGTGCCACTGTACTTCAGCCTGGGTGACAGAATGAGACCCTGTCTCTAAATAAAAAATAAATGTAATATGTAAAACAATATTACTTTTATTTATTTTTTAAATAGGAGAGAGTCTTTGAGATCTAGGACTAGGCAAAGAGTTAATAAGACCTGAAACTAAAAGCATGATCCATAAAAAGCGGTAAATTAGACTTAATCAAAATGAAATATTTTGGTTCTATGAAAGACCCTATTAAGAAAATGAAAACTACATACTGGGAGAAAATATGTGTAAACTACATATCTGACAAAGATTGCCAGATTTGTGATCATCAGGGATCATGGAAGGGTGGGGGTGGGGTTAGTATGGCCATAAGATAGCAACATAAGGGATCCTTGGAATCCATGAAAATGTTCTATCTCTCTCTCTCTCTTTTTTTTTTTTTTAAAGAGATAGGGTCTCACTTTGCTGCCCAAGCTAAGTGTAGTGGCACGATCATAGCTCACTGCAACCTTGAACTCCTGGGCTCAAACAATACTCTTGCCGCAGACGCCTGAGCTGACAGGGGCACAACATCATGCCAAGGTAGCTTTTAAATTTCTTGTAGAGACCAGAACTTACCATATTGTCCAGGCTGGTCTAGCCTCAAGGGATCCTGTGGCCTCAGACTCCCAAAGCACTGGGATTAAAGGTTCCCTATCTTAACTGTCAGTATCATGGTTGTGATGTTGTAGCATAGTTTTGACAAAATGTTTCCATCAATGGAAACTTTGTAAAAGGTACAAAGAATCTCATTTCTTAGGATTGCATGTCAATCTACAATTATCTCAAAACTAAAAGTTTAATGAAGACTTTTTTTTTTTTTTTGAGACAGGGTCTCTGTTGCCCAGGCTGTAGTTCAGTGGCACAAAAAAACAGCTCACTGCAACCTTGACCACCCAGGCTCAAGAGATCCTCCCACCTCACCTTCCCAAGTAGCTAAGACCACAGACACATGCCACCAGGCCTAGCTAATTTTTTTTTTTTTTTTGTAGAGATAGGGTCTCTCTATGTTGCCCAGGCTAATCTCAAGATCTTTAGCTCAAGTGATCCTCCCACCTCAGTCTCCCAAAAGTGATGAAAAAAAATTTTTTAATCAATAGTGAGGCTGGTTGAGGTGCCTCACGCCTGTAATCCCAGCACTTTGGGAGGCTGAGGCGGCTAGATTGCTTGAAGCCAGGAGTTCGAGACCAGCCTGGGCAACGTGGCGCAACCCCACCTCTACAAGAAATAAAGTAGCCAGGCGTGGTGGTGCATGTCTATAGTCCCAGCTACTGCAGAGGCTGAGGTAGGAAAATCACTTGAGCCCGGCAGACAGAGGCTGCAGTGAGCCGAGATCACGCCACTGTACTCAAGCCTGGGCAACAGAGTGAGACCTTGTCTCTAAATAAATAAACTGTGAAAAGCACAATCATGACCAATTACCACAGATTTCTTAAGTGTGAAATACCTAAGCCTCAACCACATTAACTAAATATTAAATTAAAATACTAATTTTAACTTTCTACTGTAAATATGTCTTAAAAGAGTCATATTTCCAGAGCTACTGGTATTAATAAAAGTCACATGATTACAACTGCAAGCTAAATATACAATGACGAATTATTACTAAAATTTTGAGGTCTAATTTAGGTATTTATGCTGCCCTGACAAAAAGCCTGAATTTTCTTAATCAAGAGAGTTGTTAAACCAATGAATAACGTGCACCTTCTACTTGCAAACACTATTCTGAAAAGTTTCGTATCTATATTCTTCATCTCTAACACTGAGGCTACATATGAGTCTAGAAGGGAAACAACAGAAGTTCACTCAGCTACTGGGATAAATCCAAGTGAGATGACTCCATATCAATCTAACTCACTGATAAAAAATACCTATTTAAGATAAACCACTTGTTTCTCATCTCTTCCATAAGTTTTCAACTTCCTCAAAAATTACTCTTAGAGCAAAAAGAAACGTTCAGACAGACCTTATTCAAAAAGTTCTCCCAGCTATAGTACACGCAATTTGGTCTCACATTACCAATTTTCTCGTTTAAAATATGTAAAATTTGCTCCCATATATATTTCTTTAAGTTTATATTCTTACAAAGGATTTGTTCATGGCACGTTTCACTTCATCAGAACCATCTGAATAGATCTGCTGAAATAATCTGTTTAAAGCTGCATCTCCCTCCAACTTTTCATTCTTTTCTTCTTCTTTGATCTCACCAACCAATTTATCCCAATTTCTTGTATAAGGAGATGATGATGGATATAGGTTCTTTACATCTATGAAGTAAAAAAAGGCAGAAGTAATTAATCAACATGTTTCAATTATGTCGAGAATATGTAAACTTTGTGACCATGTATATGGAACATCTTAGCAAACAGTTTAGGTTACTGAATTTCAGGTATGCAATAAGTGTCTTTCTGGTATATAGGTCAATAACAAAATTCACATTTCTAAAAACTGAGTCAGTTACCATAATGTAAAATCTGGGGATTTCTTTTGAGCAAAATAACTCAATAAAGTGTAAACTTTTGATATGCTATACAAAATTAGATTAAAAGCAGATTCTTCATGTTGATAACAGAAACTAGATGAAAAGTATACAGAACTTTTATGTTTTCAGAAAAGTTGCAGAGACAGTACGAACAATTCTAAAAATGAAATTTTTTAAAGGATGCCTAAGAAATCTTTTGTAACTAAGATTTTAATAAATGTTAAAAATGTGACTTTTTCTAAAGTACTTAGTATCTTTCAGAGTATAAATAGCCTGAAAATATAAATAATCATCCATGCCACTCCATACTCTCCCATCAAAAAAGTAAGATTATTTTAATAGGCAATAACAGTAAGTAATTTCTAAATGTTTAAAGTACTACACTTGATGATCTAAAGTTCAATGCCCACATCCCATACACCTAGCAAATAATAGTATTTGTAGGGCACACTGGAGTAAACAGAGCTGCTTGCAGCGAGAGAGGCTACTGGCCCAGGGGCTCGGGGTACTGCCAAGATTGCTCCAAAGACCAAAGGCATCAAGATCTTGGCACACAAATAATTAGAAAATAACTAGACAACCTAGTAGCTATAGGAGCAGCTCTGTTGACTATCCAATGAAAATATAATGACAGCCTCAAATGTGAGTCACATATATAATTTAAAACTTCCTAGTAACTACATTACTAAAAAGAATCAGGTGAAATGCAGTTTAATAATACATTTTATTTAACCTGATATATCAAATATAGTATCATATTGACTTGAAACCAACAGAGGCCGGGCATGGGGGCTCACACCTATAATCCCAGCACTTTGGGAGGCCAAGTAGGAGGATTGCTTGAGGCCAGAAGTGTGAGACCAGCCTGGGCAACATAGTGAGAGCCCATCTCTATGAAAAAAAAATAATAATAATTAGCTGGGCGTGGTGGCACATGCCTGCAGTACCAGCTACTCGGAAGGTTGGGGTAGAGGACTGCTTGAGTCCAGGAGGTTGAGGCTACACTGAGCCATGACAGTGCCACTGCATTCCAGCCTGGGTGACACAGCAAGACTCTCTCTTAAAAAAAAAAAAAAACCAACAAAAAAAATGAAGATATTTTATATTCTTTTTTTCATACTAACTCTTCAAACTGTAGCATATATTTCACATAGCACATCATCTCAATGCAGACTAGTCATATTTCAAGTGCTCAACAGGTAACATGTGGCTAGCAGCTACTGTGTTGGACAAAAGAGCTACAGTTTTCAAAAAACCCAATTCAAAATTTCCCCATCAGTATGTATTAGGACACATTAGTACTAATCTAAATGTTCCTCCCAATACTGCTCTCTACATCCCTTTTGTCAAAATAGCTGAGAAACTAACATCCACTGTTTTTCTACGCTTTCTCTTCACTTGTAAACCGACTTTCTCCCTGCCCATTCCTCCTCAAAACAAAACAACACACACAACACCAACACATAGTTTTTTTTCAGGGCCAAATATATTGTTTTGAAAATCCTATCCACCTTCCTTCTACTAGATATCCTTCTATCTTTGTACATTTTCACTAGTAGCCAGGTAAAACAAAAAATGCGTGCCATGGTAAGTTAAGAGCCTGGGAAATATGGATTTAATTAATCCTAATGCTGACTCCCAGGAAGGATGAGAACAGAGGTTTTAATCTCTATTTTGTAGATAAGCAAGCTGGGTCAGATAGGTTAAGTGACTTGCCCTTATCTACAGTCTCCAGCTTGCAATACACAGGAATCTGACAAGTATATTAATTTCTTACAAAAACAGGACAGGAAGAGTATCATCTTGAATATCTAAGGTGTTGAGTTTAGAAAAAACATGGTAACTGTAACACTAAAAAGCCTTGATCTTTAATCTCAGAAAAACTTTTAACACCTGGAGATGGCAGATGAACTACTGAGAGATGAGTAATCTAACCTCCCTGCTCATTCACTATAATATCAAATAACTACTAGATACTCATGTCGGCAAAGACTGTTTCCATTGTTAGAAAATGCAACAACAAGCAGTATGCAACAAGTAGACAACGGGTTAACAGAATAACTGGACCCAACTGAGAAGACCTAGATTTTAGTCCTAGACAATGAGAACTGAGGGATAATCTTGAGCTTAACTTTTCTGAGCCTGCAAAATGGGAGGAATACTAAGGGGCTGCCTGTTATGCAGGGCTGTTAGAATTAAGTAAGATACTACATTTAAAGTGATTATATATTTTTTAAAGCTTTCAGCTACATATAAACCTCAGCCTCAAAATCTATTGGAGTCAGTCCTAAAAGAAACACATACATCTTTCAAATAAAGTGTGAAGCAGATGCTTAAATACCTTAAATACCAACTAGATATACTTCAGTCCTTAAAAAGTATCTGTTGGTGTTAATACCCTGATTTTGAAAATTATACCACAGACTACTTAAGAGGTAATCATTGGACTAGTTAAGACACTATCAATGGGGGAAACTGGGTGAAAGCTATATGAGAATCTCTTATTTTTGAAATTTCTAAACATCCAAAATTATTTCTTAAGAAATAACTATACACACACACACAAACACACACACAAATGATCTGTTGAATAACTCAGTGTTTTCTAAAAGGTGCCACAAGGAAATGTGTTTTCTGTTACAGAAGAAAGCAGTCAAAATCAGAAAAAGCTGAGACACATGTTAGCTTGTTTCAGTCATTAAATCAGACCATTACTTCCAATAAAAAGAAATTTCCCTCCACTCATTAATGAAGCTATTGCTATAAAATATAATCTTAGGTTGTAGTTCTGAGTGTGCTGTGAATTTGTCCACTAGAAAAATTCTTACCTAGTTATTGCACATACTTAAAATTGACCTCAACACAAAGTTCTGTTTCTTACAGGGTTATATATACAATGAAGCCTGGTTTTCTACTCTTCTCCTAGACTTTCCTTTGGCATTTACCACCTATTTGCGTCCATCTCTAAATTAGCAATAAGAAATGGGGTAGATACCTTACCCTGTAAAGCCCTGCAAATTCCAGGCAATTAGATGACAGTATCAGTAGAAGGAACAGAAAGGAATTAAGAAAGGGAGAGGGAAGAAGGGGAAATATATCCGCCGAGTAAACCAACTTACAACCCAAAAAGAAACAACAGGAAGGGCCAACACGCAAAACTAAACACCCTCCAACTGATGTCATAAACTTTACATGGTAAACAATAAATCCCAACTCCCTCTAGGATTTTGCTGCCATTCATTTGTATTCTTAGAATTTGAGAAGTCAGAACTTTCACAGAAAGGCTACTTTATATTCATTACGGAGCAACCTTATTATACTCAATGTATCTTATCTTGAGAACATAAATAATGAAAGTAAAAAGAATGTTCATTACTATTTAATTTCAATTACACAACACAATATGAATATAAAGCTCATCAAGGCCAGAAAACAAACCTGCTACGAATTGTTTTGGCGTAGGCACATCTCCTTGCCCCTCTAGCTTTTCCCATCTCACAGCCTCTGGCTTTTTCAGTTTAATTTCAATCTGGAGGAAACACCAAATAAACTCCATTACTCGACGTAAAATACACAAAACAGTAAAAAATGCAGTTTTCTTAAGTCATCAAAGTTTTGTTAAGAATAGTATCTTTGACAGTTTCCTTAAATTATACAAGGTTAAATTTGAAAAACTATGAAACAATTTTGTTTCTACACTCAAAATTCACCCTTGAAAAAAAACAACATACACACTATATATAAGCTATAATCAAGAAGAGACTTGAAATACATATGCTTTTTTTCATCCAAAGCAATGTTCTGAACCAGGGATGATTCTGCCACCCAGGGGACATTTAGCCATGTCTGGAGACATTGTGGGTTGTCATACTGCAGTGAGGGAAGAGGTGATAATGACATCTATTGAGTAGAGACCACGGTTGCTACTAAACATCCTACAATGTACTGGGCAATTCCCCAAAATGTCAATAATGCCATTACAGAGAAATCTGATTCTAAAAGAATTACTGCATTTACATGTGCATTAACCTGTTTTACAGTGGAGAAACTTATTTCACTGTATAAACACAATACAACTCATGTTAACATTCAGGCAATCTTTCATTCAACAAATAATTACTAAGCACCTACTATGAGACAGTACAGTCTTCAAGGCTGTGGGAGATTTTTGTTTTATTTTTAGAGACAGGGTCTTGCTCTGTCTCCCAGGCTGGAGTGCAGTAGAAGGATCATAGCTCACTCTAGACTTGAACTCCTGGGCTCAAGTGATCCTCCAGCCTCAGCTTCCCAAGTAGCTGGGACTACAGACAAGTGCCACCACTCCTGGCTAATGTTTTTAAAATTTTTCGTAGAGACAGAGTCTCACTAGGTTGCCCAGGCTGGTCTCAGACTCCTGGCCTCAAGCCATTCTCCCACCTCAGCCTCCCAAAGTGCTAGGATTACAGGCATGAGCCACCAAGCCCAGGTGGATTTTTAAAATATTAAAGACACATCCTCGACCATTTGGAAGTATGTGAGATACTTTAAGAAAGTTACTGAAGTTCTAAATAAGTAAATGTTCTAAAAGCTCAGGAGAGAGCACACCTGACTGTGAAGGGGAAACGCTTTATACATCTTGAAGGGCTCTGAAGGGTAGAAGCATTTGCAAGAGTGAAGGGGTAGGTCTCCAGAGCATAGGGAATGGCCTAACTGGAGCATGGGTATGAAAGGACACTGCATCGGGGAGTACTGAGAAGACTAAGTTCACTTACTTACCGAGAAGACTAAGTTCACTTATTAAAATGAAAAGTTAATAGTATCCTAATAGCATCTTTTACTATCTAATTAAGGCTAGGCCTCTGAGTCTATCCTTGCCCCCAACACACACAATCACATAGCATTTTATCTACCTTTTGTTTTCTTTATTCAAATAATGCTCTCACCTCTATTTTAACAGGCTAATATCAGCATTTTTAGTGCAAATATTAAAGTAAGCACTATAATAAACATTATATAAAACAGTTTAAATGAGCAATTGAATTAGAATTTTATATTCTCATGTTTTTTTCCTATGAAAAGGATCACTACTTTTGTAAATGGGATTAAAAAATCAAAAGGCAGACTTAAAAAAAGAAGTCTATTCACCCTTTGGTTCTTTTATCTTTTATCAGATGACTCATTAAACTAGCAATTCCAGGCCATCTTTATACCAAATGCATTTAGCAAAAGGACCTTCAAAATTTGCACCTTAAAATACCTTAACAAGCGCTAACACAGGGAAAAACTGCCAATATTTTTAATCAGAGATAAAATGATGGTATATGTATGTGGGGTATCTGGTCTCAAGCGTTTATTTTTATTTTCTTTTGGAGCAAAGAAATGTAATAAACGACTGTTTTCATAATAAGAGAAAAATATGAAGCAAACGTCACTGGGATAAGGGCAAAGAGTAGTAACCCCAGCACCTTAGGAGGCCGAGGCAGGCAGATCACCTGAGGTCAGGAGTTCAAGACCAGCCCGGCCAACATGGCAAAACCCTGTCTCTACTAAAAATACAAAAAATAGCCAGGCATAGTGGCATGTGACTGTAGTCTCAGCTACTCGGGAGTCTGAGACAGAATTGCTTGAATCTGGGAGGCGGAGGCTGCAGTGAGCCAAGATCGTGCCACTGCACTTCAGCCTGGGCAACAGAGCGAGACTCTGTCAAAAAAAAAAAAAAAAAAAAAGTATACTATCTTTGGTGTAATTTACATGTTTAAACTCTACATATATAAAAACATATTTCATAAGAATCTCTAGAATTCCCTAAAGTTAACTACAATTAATTTTTTATAAAGTAATATACCACCAATATCTTCTATATTCTGGTTACTTTAAGTTGTCACTGCTACGATATTTATCAAAAGGGACATAAATCAAATAGATGGCAATGACACAGCAATAGTTACTGAAAAGAACTGTTAATATTATCTGAAAAATTAAAATTGCATCTTCTTTAATTTTCAACTCATCTAAAAAATGAGGGCCTGGAAAGTACTGTGTACATCACCACATTAAACTTGGCCACAGGCCACCCTATATTCACACTTCATGTTCCTGTAACTATGAACATACTGTCTATAAAAAGTTCCTTGTTTCACCTGAAGAGCAGCACAGAGTAGCATTCGCATCTACTGAAAGCCACTATAACCTGAGTAACTGTGCAGTATGAACAAAGAGGACTTTATAAAGCAAAAGGCAAAGCTCTTAGTAACAACCTGCTTCAGCTGAGACAAGCTGACCTCAACTTGAAATTATACTTAATCCATTCATTAAAATAGCTGCATGTAATAAACCACTTAAAGTAGCTTTTTTAAAAAGGTAAAAGGGGCCAGGTGTGTTGGCTCACACGTGTAATCCTGGCACTCTGGGAGGCTGAAGTGGGAGGATCACATGAGCCCAAGAGGTTGAGGCCACAGTGGGCCATGATCACTCCACTGCACTCCAGCATGGGCAACAGAGTGAGACCCTATCTACCCCCACACAAAAAAAAAAAAAGTAAAAGAAGGGAGGGACTAATGTCCTATGAAATCCTTTTTACATTTAATTCACTTTCAATGTTTGTACATGCTTTTAAAAATGAAGTTTTAAGTCTTCATGATTCGGGCAGATAGTTCTAGAATTAGCACCAGTCCAATTTCAGAGGTTTTTACTGCAACCATTAACATACCATTCTATTTTCATTTAAGTCAAAAAAACTTTAAAAGTAACTTAAAACTTTGGTAGTTTGCTTGAATGTTGCTCTCATATGTACAGGGAAGGCTCTCAAGTTGCTAATATCCCAAAAGAGTATTCACAGATTACACTAAGAATCCCTAATGTGCTGGATCATTAGCTCTCAACAGCATAGGTACTACCATCCACTTCTGAAGTCTCCTCTGCATAGCAGAGAGTTTAATTCTTTCCAATGAAAGAAATTTCAGATTTAAAGAGATGGCATTACGCTTAAGCAATCATGATATCCAGACACCACCATCTTAAGTGGTAAGTAAGATCCCACCTACTATTACAGACTGACATGAAGGGATCTTTCCCAGAGACTAAAGAGCTGGGGCAATTTATTGGCAAACTTTTAAGAACCATACACTTCAAGACTGTACTCATTAAATAATTGTTCCCCTAATCTTCAGAATACAGCCTTCCCAACATACTCTTACTAAGCTCTTTTCACATTTAATTGCTACATCAAATTCCTTTGTCTGAAAATAGCTGCCTTCGAGCCCAGACTAATACATCTACCTTGATTTTACACTAAAATATTTCTATAATCATTTTTTAAATGCAAAAAAATGGCAATGAATGGAGAAGATTGAAGGTCTTCTCCAAACTTCTAACAGCTCATTTCAAATATTTGCTGAGTACCTACTCTGTGCCAGAAACAGTGCTGGTACATAAGGACACAGCCTCTGTTCTTCTTAAAGTAATTAATCAGGAGAGACATTCCCATAAACAAAAAGATTCCAGTATGTGTCAGGTGTAGTGACTGACCTATGTATCAGGAAATATCAGGTTATCTGAAAGGAAACATGCTAGAATGTCATCTGAGTGGTGAGTCTGAGTGATTACTTCCTAAACTCCTTTATCTTTTCCAGATTTTCTATGATAACGCATTTGCTGAGTTTACAGCCCGAATAAAAATCGAAATAACTAAAATAAAACAGTAAGAAAGGTACTGTAACATTTATTGAGCTCTTATTACATATCCTGCATGCTACATGCTTCACATATATCATCTTACTTAACGGAATCACCCTATTAAAAAAGATTGTTATCCATATTTTAGAGATGTGGGAGCCAAGATATGAAATAATTTGCTGTAAGCGCATTTTTCAGCTAGAATTTTAACTTATTTCCTAAGAAATAACCAGGGGTTGAGAATAACACAAAAACAATCAGTTGTATAGTTAGAAGAGTCACAAATAGGTGCCATTGGTTAGATATATGACCATAAGCAAGCAACTCAATCTCAGCGAGCCTCAGTTTCTCCTATAAAATGAGAACAGTAGGCCCTGACTCATTTAGGGTTCTCAAGAAGATTAAATGACACTATGTATGAAAAGAATAAAGAACCACGTCTGGCAAATAACAACAGAATGCTATTATCAATATCCTCAGCTAAAAAACCTGGGCAAATTATTGAACATCTCTGGGTTAAGTTTCTCTACCTGTAAACTAGGGATAAAAATACCTACACCATGCAGTAACTATGAGAATTACATGAGATAATTCATAGTACAGTGCCTGGAATGTGATAAAACAGTCAAAACACCTATTCTTATTCTCCACAGGTCAAACAAAATGGGACTGGCTAAATAAGCTACAGTACATGCATATGCCGAAATACTTTGCTGTTGAATATGTAAGGATGTGATAAAAATATCAACAAAATGTAGCTGTTTAAAAATTATGTAAAATTCTTTTAAAAATATATAAATATACATTACAAAATATATGAAAAGATAAGAATACATTCCAAGATCTACAATTTGTGATCTTTTTTTAAACTAATTCAGTTAAAAAAGAAATCTCACTATTATCACCACCACTGTACTAAAAAAGCAAAAGAAAACAATAATTTTAAAAACTCTCATATCTATGTATTCAGACAAGCAGAAGGAAGCATCATGCCCAGATACCCCATTCCATTATATTATCACCAGGATTTTTATTTAACATACATATATTCTTCTATGAACATTAAGCAATAGGATACGCTCTAAAACTTCTCAAAGTGGGAGAAGAGAAAAGGAGGCTATTTTGTTTCTAAGACAGACATTTTTATTTCTCACAATTCCAGGCCTTCGTATTTTATATTGTATAATCAGCAAAATTACTATGACTTAACTATGACTTAAGAATACAAGAACATTTCCACAAGGGCAAATTCACCCCAAAAGACTGAGAATTCTAATTCTTTTTTTTCTTTTGGAGACGGAGTCTCACTCAGTCACCCAGGCGGGAGTGCAGTGGCGCGACATGATCTCGGCTCACTGCAACCTCCGCCTCCCAGGTTCAAGCGATTCTCCTGCCTCAGTCTCCCGAGTAGCTGGGACTACAGGCACCCGTCACCACGTCCAGTTCATTTTTTGTATTTTTAGTAGAGACAGGTTTTCACCAAGTTGACCAGGCTGTTCTCGAACTCTTGACCTCAAGTGATCCGACCGCCTTGGCCTACCAAAGTGTTGGGATTACAGGCATGACCCACCGTGCCCGACTTGTGAATTCTAAATCTTAAAGGGAATGAAAATTAATTTTTAAAATGAGTATTTCACAATATGGGTGCCACTAAAGTCACAATTCTGAGACTGTGACCAGAGAATAGTGTCATGAAATCAACAAGATGAAAGACATATAGTTTCTTAATTTCTAAAAAATTAATAGGCTGACATTAAAGCTGATATTCAGTAAAAAGTAGCAATAACTATCAGAGATACTGAAAAAATATGAATCCTGGCTTGGAAAAACATATTGGATACTACACTGTAAAATAGTTAAGAAATGCTACTTCATTAATTTCAGGGTTTTACCTCTTACTACTTTCATCACAAATTACATATCACTCAAATAAATAATATTTAACCACTGGCTATACATGGATATGCAACATTCATTCAATCTTGAAGGTGGGAAAGAAAAGAGAATTCCCAAAAGCAAAGAAATCGCCCTTTTAAGCTGCAAATTTTACAGAATCTCTACTATTAAGCAGATTCTCCTCTGCAAAATGCGTCCTTTCTCAATTCACAAAGGTCCAAGATATCTCAACAATCAAGATATCTGAATACATGAAAAGCAAATTATTTTAGTACTGTTGTCTCTTAAGTGTCCACGAAGTAAGCCTCAGTAACCCAGATATTTTATTTTCAGTATTTTAATATTGTCTCCCTCTACTGTATGAAAAAGGAAATTCAAAGATTTTATCATTTATTTCCCTTAAGACATAATTAAGAAAACTTCTTTCAATTTGCTTCCCCCCAAATAGTTTAAGAGTTAGTAATCTAACAAGATTTTGTGTGTGCACATATATATATATATGGTATATAAAATACAGAGATTCCAGGGTCAGGACAAGAAAAATAATAATTCTTTAGGACACATCCTTAGAATCTAAGTTCTCCAATTCAAAACTTAGAAAAACCTAAGCAAAGATGCACTAGTTTGGTTGGCAATCAGAAGTGTATCTACGTCTCCTAGGCCAGGCTGAAGAATTTAGTTAACTAGGTAAACTTGGGGAAAGTATTTAAACTCCATTAACATGATTGTTTTTCCACCTGCAAAACTAAGAATAAACATTCTCTGCCAATGTCATGGGACTAAAACCAAAATCCAATTTTAATTCATTCACTGAACTAAGCACCCACTGTGCAATGTATGTGGTGAGGGCTGCCAAGTTTAGCAAATAAAATTATAGCATGAAACATATTTACATAATAAAAATTATTCATTGTTTATCTTAAATAGAAACTTAAATGAACATCTTGTAACTTTATCTGGGGACCCTAACTGGGGCACATACAAAGATACAAATAAAACATGCTTCTTATCCTCAAAGACTTACACAGAAACGAGGGACATGAAATGTATACATAAACTACTATATAAGGAAGAAAAGTCGTCACTTAGCATTTAAAGAGGAAGGGGCAGAAAAGGCAAACTGAGAACATAGTAGTATGGTTGAAGAATGGTTAAAATTAACAAATCCAAGACTCAAAAGAGAAAAAAGAATTGAGATAAGAGTGCTTAATTACATCCTCAACTCTAGCCACACATCTATGTATTTACCACACATGATATTCTTCCACTATAGGAGGTGGCTCAGTAATACAAGTTCTTAAGTCATTTATCATTAATTCACACTCAATTTAAATAACTCCAAATGGACATGCATTAACAATCTTTTTTTTTTTTTTTTTGAGACAGAGTCTCACTCTGTTGCCCAGGCTGGAGTGCAACGTAGTGATCTCAGCTCACTTGCATTAGCAATCTCGATAGACATATACCAAAAAAAGTCAAATTCATTATTTTATGAACTATATCCCTCTCAAATCTACCTATTTTGTGCTTGATTACTAAAAATTCTTTTATTAAACAAATTCTATACTATGTGGATAGGACCAGTGAGAGACCAAAATCCTGGTAAGATTTCATCCCTTTCCTCACTTTCTATTGTCCCAAGCAGCTATTTCAAAAATCTGCCTCATAATTAACCAGCTTTGTTCTTGACAATCTTCAAATAAGTAGGCAGATCCTTTTTAACTGGATGCAAAAAACTACTTCACTTTACACTTTCTTCTCCAACCCTCTGCAGCTGTGTCCTTTCTGCAGGCCCAATTATCATTCTTCACAACACAGGCCAACCCCGATCCTGTTCCACAACAGGAAACTTCACATGTCCTTAGAGCTTCAACCTAATAAATACTAACACAGTATGCTGCAGGACCTATGTATAAAAAAAGGAGTAATAGGCCAGGTGCAGTGGCTCACACCTGTAATCCCAGCAGTTTGGGAGG
Organism: Homo sapiens; assembly: GCF_000001405.40. Classification (NCBI taxonomy): domain Eukaryota; kingdom Metazoa; phylum Chordata; class Mammalia; order Primates; family Hominidae; genus Homo; species Homo sapiens. The sequence goes on along the minus strand of NC_000013.11, from coordinate 52,668,233 downwards.
CCAAGGTGGGCAGATCACGTGGTCAGGAGATCAAGACCATCCTGGCCAATATGGTGAAACCCCATCTCTACAAAAATACAAAAATTAGCTGGGCGTGGCAGTACATGACTGTAATCCCAGCTACTCAGGAGGCTGAGGCAGGAGAATCACTTGAACCTGATTCAAGAAGGCGGAGGTTGCAGTGAGCTGAGATCACAGCACTGCACTCCACCCTGGCAACAGAGCTAGACTACATCTCAAAAACAAGGAAAAAAAAAAAAAGTAGTAATGGAAAAAGCCTACCTACATCATTTATTCCCATTAACTCATTTATCATATACCTTCACACAATTCTACAGCTGAAAGGACTCCAGAGTTCATTTGGTCCACAGCCCTCCTTTCAAAGGTGCTGAAAATTCAGTCTTATAGTCATTTTGTGCCTAGACTAAATACACAGGGCAAGCAAAGATCCAGAGTCAGATTTTTAAATTTTCAGTTTTTTTCCTACTAAATTACACTATTATCTACATCTTTTGAGTGATACTCTCTGAATATTAATTCTGTTGTATATCTCTACTTCTTTTAGAAACTATAAAGGAATCTAAAAATTACTCAAACTATAATTTACTCATTGTTCCCTCATAATAGAGTAATCTAAAATTCAGTTTAAAAAAAAAAGTCAGGAGTTGGAGACCTGCCTGGCCAATATGGTGAAACCCCATCTCTACTAAAAATACAAAAATTAAGCAGGGCGTGGTGGTGCATGCCTGTAGTCCCAGCTACTTGGGAGGCTGAAGCAGGAGAATCACTTGGATCCAGGAGGCAGAGGTTGCAGTGAGCCGAGATCACGCCACTGCACTCCAGCCTGGGCAACAAAGCAAGACTCCGTCTCAACAACAACAACAAAAAAAACAAAAGGCAGATTCATCTTTCTTGTAGTTTGTATTTTTAACTGCATGAGGTAGGGTGACAAAAGTATTTGTACATCAAAACAGACAAAACTGACAAGTTCAAGGGAAGAGACATTGTCAGTATCAAATCTTAAAGACAGGCTGATTATTGTATCTTTTTAAAAAAACCCCTTTATTGAAAAACATTATATCTGTCTTAGTAAATACACAAATGCCACACACTCTAAGTGGATTTTTATTCTTTACTGTACTAGAATTTGAGAGGTAAAATAACCCTTATACTCAAAAGTTATCATTCTTATTTTCTTGTCCCTGTTAAAGGGCTGAAAGAATCTACAAGCTTATAAACACATGGGTGATTAGTTCACCAGTATTTCTATAATTTTGAAAATATTACTAGTAACAAACTTTTCAATGGTCTTACCTTTGTTGAAAGTACTTTAAACGTGCTCTGTTCTGGTATTATAGGATGAAGAAGTTCCAGTTTCAAATTGTAATCCTCTCCAGAAGGAAGTTTAACCAAAGCAGACAACTAATGAACACAAAATTAGCATCACATTTTGTAAATGTATATAATGGAGGGTAAAAAACCTACACAAAATAATGACAAATCTTCAATAATGTTACAAATTATTTTAAACATTATATATGGAATTTTAGATTTAAGAACCTCAAAAGGTTCTCAAAGATTTAAGAACCTTTTTTTTCCATCTGGTATCCTTGACATGAATTCTTATAGACATCATTAAACAGCAGAAAAGAATAAGTTTCATAATATTTGTCATATATTTAATCACACCTATTTGATATTTAGATTTCAAGAAAACATACAAAAGCAAAATGATATATAACAAAAAGTGATCCATGTGCAAAACATACAGTTCTATCACTACCTCTTTTAAATAATCTATTATAAGGTTCTCTACTAAATGGTAAGAAATCAAGTTGTTAAAAGTCATACTCAAGAGGCTGGGCACGGTGGTGCATGCCTCTAATCCCAGCACTTTGGGAGGCTGAGATGGGTAGATCACTTGAGGTCAGGAATTCGACAACAGCCTGGCCAACATGGTGAAACCCCGTTTCTACAAAAATTAGCCAGGCACGGTGGCATGTGCCTGTAGTCCCAACTACTCAGGAGGCTGAGGCAGGAGAATTGTTTGAACCCAGGAGGAGGAGGCTGCAGTGAGCCGAAATTGCGCCACTGCACTCCAGCCTACGCAAGAGCGAGACTCTGTCTCAAAAAACAACAACAAAAAAAGTCATACTCATTTAACATGGCTAGTCAATTCTAAGACATGTGTGATCACAAAACTAACTAGATCTTTTTCATGAAGTACACCACACAAGTATAACCAAAGCACATTATCTTACTAATATAACCAAATTCTGCTTTAAATTTCAAATCTAAAGAAAAAAATGCACATCCAGCTATAATTTACCAACATACATATTCTTACCTCAAAGCAATGGCTTCAGATTTTATTCAACATTTTCCAAATCATCTCAGGAAGAAATAGCATTTATCTGATAAACCGTTATCGATTATTCTGCAATATACTAAATTTGCAAATAATAGTAATCAACATTGAAAAATGATTCAGTCTACTGACCTCTTTTTCTGAAAATTCCACATTTACATCATTCTTCTGAACATTCTTGATCATAAGTGTAATGACTACTTGAGATTCTGTTTGATACCAGTCATACCTATTAAAAAAAAAAAAGAAACTTAGGTAACTCTTCTAATTTTTTTAAAGCTATTGTCAAAACAAAAACTAGTCTGATAAACAACAAGAGCCCCACCTGGAGGAAGAAAACAGCAAAGCAACTACTGATTCACAGAAACAACTTTATATAACTAGTTTTTTATGCTCTGTACTAATGGAAAAAAATGGTAAGGTAAATGATGCTCACACCTTTCCAGTAGACTTAAATACTTGCATGATTTTCTGGGTTCTGACTCATCTCTAGCACTGTTGTGCTTAAACTAATATAAATATTAAAGATGTCATTTATTTTAAACAAGCTAATATTTATATGCCATCAATAGAGTTTTTATACTCTCATTTCATCCAAATACTACAGATAAACACTTAAATCCCTATTTTACAGATGATAAAACTTAAGCTCAGAAAGGTGAAGCAATAAGCCTGAGTCAACACTCCAAGCTCTCAAAACTGATGTTGGAAGCAGATAGACTTGAGCACACAAAACAGGGGCAAATGAACTAAAATTAAAATCATATGAAGTTTAACTGTGTCAGGCACAACATCATATACAACACTTTCCTTCAATTTCAAGATACATGGAAAGACTAATGGGTCTAGATTCTAATTATGTGCATCTTTTGTACTGAAAGCTCTAGAAACGTAGGAATCCTCACTTTCAAATTAGACTAGATTAAAAGCTCTCTGAGGGCAGAGCTGTTTATCCTGTCGCTATTATATCCCTAGGACCAAGCACAGTGTCCGGTACACGTATATTAAGTTAGATGTGGGATTATTTTATGCTCTGAACACCTTAATTATTATTTCATGGTTATGTGCCCTACCCCTGCTGCTGCCACCAGGGCAAGTCAAAGTTCCTTATCTACTAGGTACTTGGAGTTTCATCCTGTATCTCCCCACAACTACCATGAATAGATGGTTTTTAACTTTTCCAGGCCATTTTAGGTAATTATATCCAAAACCACCTTGATTAAAGAAATGAACTTTAAGAGTCTCGGTTTCCCTTTGCAATTCAGTAAGGATGCAAAGCTCCAGATCAACGGCTTGTGTTTCTGTTACGGTCCTAAGAATACAAGCTGTACACAGGCTAATGAATAATTAAAAGTCAAAGACTTGCTAGTTGCTTATTCATTATTATAATTGCTGCCCTCAGCAATATTAACTTTCAACGCATACAGAATGTTCCTATGAAAAATTTGCTCCAAATATAAAAGGCAGGTTAAGTTACAATTCTGTTAGATCTACTACTAACTTGTTTACCTGTGTAGTAACATAAACTTAACTGGAAGAGACTCTCCTTAACATATGGAAAGGTAACATAATATGAAACCAAGTGAAGCAACTTTAAAGATGAGAAATGATTTGAATTTAACTGAAGTACAAATATTAATCCTTAAACAGCCTTAAAATTGGCTTTACATAAAGCTATTACACAATTTTAGAAAACAAACAAAAACTTAAAAATCACATGGTAAGAATTTGCTTACTATTAAACTACAGGGTTTCTTCCTCTTTAGGCATATTTATCATGCATTGTTTTATGAAAAAGAAACACTCACTTGATTTTTGACTGATGAGTCCACTGGGATGCAGATTGATTTTGGTAAGTTGAAAGAGAAAGATTTTTACAAGTCAGTTTAGCAACTGTATTATTAAAATGCATGTATTATTAATTTACCCAACACTGCAGTTATTTTGATATAAAATAACTACATGAAAATTTTCTTCAAAGACATAGTAACTGTAATTGTTAAATACCACTAGTTTTCGGAAAAAAATTAGAATGCTCAGCATTTAAAAAATCTTAGATTGAATTTCATAAAAGATTTTTGCTCTAAAATAACAGAACTTTAAATAACAGAAAACTTCTAAAGGCATGATTAGAAAAGGTTGCTTATATAAAATGGCCAGTTCTAAGATTCAGCAACTTCCTAAACTAAAATAACATTGTTTTAAAAATCGTTTTAAAGAAACAGAGTAATTAGCCAGGCTTGGTGGTGTACATCTGTAGTCCCAGCTACTTGGAAGGCTGAGGTGGGAAGATTGCTTGAGCCCAGGAGTTTGAAGCTCAAGTGCACTATGATGGCACCACTGCACTCCAGCCTGCATGACAGAGCAAGACCCTGTCAATTTCCAATTTTCTTTAACTTTTGTCTTAGCCTATCATAAAAAGCCCTACAAGTGATTCAAACTGTTGAACCTAAATAAATGCAATAAGGTTTTAGTAACGAAAAGATAAATGATCATCATGACCATATTAAAACACACGAAATCAACTTTAACCACACACTAAATTCATTAAAATAGGCCAATAATTTTCATGACTGGAAACTTCTATATTTATCAAAAAATGATTTTATTTCAGTGCCTAGAGGAACCAGCACTTAAATGGAATTGCTTAATATTTAAATATCAGACAGCTCATCCTGAGTCTTGTCTCAAATATATTTGGTAGCTGAAATTTAAAATAATAAAAACATGAAGAATGAAAACTTTGGACTTACCACCTCAGATTCTGAGCCTATTAAAACATAAAAAGGAAACATTTTCAGGGAACAGTGCATTTTTAAGCAAAGTTATTTGTATGATTTCTATAGCACAAACATACTGATTAAGCAAGCAAATTCTCCGTACCTTTCAACTAAAGAAAAGTGGTTTCATTTTGCATCCTGAATTCATTTTAGACTCCTTAGTAATTTCTTACTGATATACCATACAAGCAAATCCACCCAAATCCCCCTTTCAACATAAGAAGCTATGCAAAAACCAGTGTATCTTTGGAAGTCCACATCTAAGGAAACGTATACTATTTAAAAGAAATTATAAAGATAAAAACAAATTTGTTTAAACCAAAAAAATTTCAGATGTTTACTTCTTTTTAAATTGAAACAAATACCAAGGGAGACCCACATACCATTCTGAGCTTCTTGACACCTTTTAATCCAGACACTGAAATTAGCATCTGCACCTAGAAAGAAAAAACTGACTATAACATCACTCATCTGCACAACCTATAAATCAACAAATACTTACTGAATACCTACTACATCCCAGGCAGTGTTCTAGGCACTGGGGAGTCGGCAGCGAACAAAACCTGTCTTAACAGACCTTATCACCAACTCTACTATAGTTATAAATATACCAATAGTTTAACATTTAGTTGTTAATCATGAAACATTTTGATTTTTTAAAAATTTTAACTACAGTCAACCTTAATTTCACAGATACAAATAATCTGCATTTCCCCCAATCCCGCTGCTCTTAGAGAAGCTTCCTCACACACAGAACAAAATCAGATGTAAATCAGACTCCCAATATGCCATCAGTTAGGGTGGGGAGGAGGCTTGGTAACTGGGAGCTGAGTTGAGGTTCAAAAGCCGTTCCCAGCCCCAGCTTGCTCTTCAATGCAGATACCTATTCAGTCCACTATTCTCTCAGTGGCTTTATCTGTTACCATGCCTTTCCTACCAACACCAAGCATCTTTAAATTCCGTGAAGTTTTGTCCTATCTCCAAGTTACATGGCAGTCGAGAGGCTATAGGTGATGTATTATATATTTATAGATAACAGTGTAAATGTATGCATAAACAAATTATTCACTTCTGGAGACACAGAACAATGATTACATTTAAACAGTCACAGTGCATAGTAAGATATGTTAAAAGTATTAAAAGTACTCTAAATAAGAGCTTATTAATTCAAGTTAACTGCAGACAAGATAAATTTGAAAATCTTAAATTAAAAATTTCTTAACAAAAATTTCTACTTTACTAATTTATAAAAGAAATCCAACTATACCAGCATTAATAAAAAATTTAAATACACTCTCACACACACTGTATTCTAGAGAACTATTGTATCAAAATCTATTATATCAAAAAGATTTGAGTAACCTATTATTTTAAGTAATCAGTAACTAAAACCAAGCAATTTATCACACAAAGAGGGGAAAAGGTAACAATTCTTTACCCTGTCTGATAAAAATAGAAGCCTAAAAGTTTAACTTAACTTTTTCCCAGATTTTGGCCGGGCATGGTGGCTCATACCTGTAATCCCAGCACTTTGGGAGTCCAAGGCAGGTGGATCACTTGAGGTCAAGAGTTGGAGACCAGCCTGGCCAACACGATGAAACCCCGTCTCTACTAAAAATACAAAAATTAGCCAGGCTTGGTGGTGCATGCCTGTAGTCCCAGCTGCTCAGGAGGTTGAGGCAGGAGAATCACCTGAACTTGAGAGACAGAGAACTGCACTATGGCCTGGACAACACAGTGAGACTCAGTCTCAAAAAAAGAAACAAACAAACAAACAAACAAAAACAAAAAAAAACCCCAAAAAACAACAACAAAAAAAGTTTCCTGGATTTAAAGACAAATTTATTTTTAAGTAAAATATCCTCAACAGCAATTTTACCAAACAGGTCTTCCTCTGAAGGCCACCTCTGAAATAACTAAAGAATAAATGTCAATGGCATGATATTAAGATATTACTCAAGAAAATAATCTAGGGGCCAGACGCAGTGGCTCATGCCTGTAACCCCAGCACTTTCAGAGGCCGAGGCAGGCAGAACGCTTGAGTCCAGGAGTTCAAGACCAGCCTGGGCAACATGGCAAATCCCCATCTCTGCAAAAAATAAAATGCAAAAATTAGTCAGGTGTGGTGGCATGTGCCTGTAGCCCCAGTTACTCAGGAGGCTGAGGTGGGAGGATCACTTGAGCCCAAGAGGTGGAGGCTGCAGTGACCCAAGATCGCACCACTGCACTCCAGCCTGGGCGACAGAGCGAGACCTTCTCTCGCTAAAAAAAGAAAGAAAAATGAAAATGTAGAGAATGGTATGACTCATGTTTCTTCAGGATTTTCACATTAGGTACCAAGGCACTACATAACTTCACTCTAGAATTTGCTAAGAGTGCAGATGTCCTGTTTGCTGACTGAATAGGCCTACTATTCACATACCAAAACTGGGATAAGCAAGTTTGAGAATAAGCCTTATCACCCAGACCTCTCCTTTTTTAATTTGTAGCTTCCATTTGCATAATCAGTGCTAAAATCCTTTTTTCTGAATAGGTACACAACAGAAAGGCAAACATTCAAAACAGTACAGAGTAAGAATGTAACATAAAATACTAAGAGTGAAGTTTCTTAATTTCAGCACTACTGACATTTTGGACCATATACTTCTTTGTTAGGCAGAACTGTCCTGGGCATTATAGAATATTTAGTAGCACCCCTGGTTTATACTCATTAGATGTCAGTAGCACAACCCCCATCCACCATTCATGATTATCAAAAATCTCTTCAGACATTGCATAAAGTTTCCTGGGAAGCAAAACCGTTTCCAGTTAAGAACCACTTCTTTAGAGAACTGTGATAAAACTCTATCATAACATAAAGATAAAATGATAATACAAGTAGGATTATGTAGTCTCCAATTTTCTGAAATTACTCACAACCTCTTAGTATTTTTCAGATTTAAAAATTCTTGGCTCTCGGCTGGGTGCAGTGGCTCATGCCTGTAATCCCAGCACTTTGGGAGGCCGAGGAGGGTGGATCACAAGGTCAGGAGATTGAGACCATCCTGGCTAACATGGTGAAACCCCATCTCTACTAAAAATACAAAAAAATTGGCCGGGCGTGGTGGTGGTCGCCTGTAGTCCCAGCTACTCGGGGGGCTGAGGCAGAAGAATGGCGTGAACCCGGGAGGCAGAGCTTGCAGTGAGTCGAGATCGCGCCACTGCACTCCAGCCTGGGCGACAGAGTGAGACTCCGTCTCAAAAAAAAAAAAAAAAAAAAAAAAAAAAAAAATATATATATATATATATATATATATTCTTGACTCTCACAATTTCTATATGTCTAGATATCCACACCACTGTGATACTTTTCATATATTCCCTCAAGAATATAACATTAAAAGTCACAATACTCTCAAAACTGTGTTTCTTCTGTACCCTCTCATAATTTACCCAAACGTACACTTCACTTCTCCATAAAAACCTTTAATGTTAAGATTTCACATCTCAGCAATCTGAATAATTTAAAATGAACAGACTTCTGACCAAGGCAAATTAAACTTTCACTTCTCCATTAGAAAAAAACAAAGCCAGACTAAACAGAGAGAGCATGTTAGGTGTTTCCATAGTTTTTTTTACTTCTAATGGTGAAGTTCATCTATGATTTAAATGCCAAAAGGCTAATTTAATCGATTTTAAGTGATCTCATATCTGCAATCAATATGAAATATAATTTAGATGAGAAAAACAGGTATTGGGTTTCTACAATTAACTTGAAATTAACATTACCAAAATTCAGCTTTGGTATTTAAGACAGAAATAGATAAGTTTATTAAAGTATAATTTTTAATACTTACTATCTAATTTTTGTCCTTCTGTAAAAGTTTCTAGGGCAGCAGCATAGTTTTTTTCATGGTATTCACATATTCTGCATGAATATATTTAAAACAAATTAAGACACACAAAAAATCTGGAAAATACCTTCTTTCTAAATAAAAAACTTAGTATTTTCTACTGTTGAAAGAAAAAATTTATTTTAAGTGTATGTTAATAAACCTAGAGACTTTCTAATATACTGTTAAGATCTAGTACAATTCCTACTAAAATTCAATTTTAGAACTCACTTCAGAAGGAATCTGACTTTAATTGTACAGACTTGCTTACTCAAAAATATAATTATACAAAGGAATTAAAGAAGTTTCTTAAAGAATAGTTATACTTATCAACAGAAACAAGATGGGATATAAAGTATACAGATATAGCGCTTTCATAGCATTAAATGTAGCCTATTCAGCTTTGCTGAATAGGATGTTGTCCAGTCAATTAAATATAGTAAATTCCAAAAGATTGAAAAAAAAAAAAAAAAAAGCAATGTGAAATCTATCAGTTTCATCTATACCTTGCAAATACTTCAATCATCACTATTTTAAAATTTACTAAGTACAGATCTCCTATCACATACTTTGGTTAACAAAATAATAGAACTATAAGTTGTATTTAAAATTGAATCATATCTCTGCTATATAATGTATAAATACAGAATTTTACAACTTATATAAAGCTTGCAATGAACTCATTCAACAAATTAAATACCTACTATCTATACCAAGCTCAACAAGAAGAGTAGCTACTGCATACCCTTTTCTCAGCATAGCAGTGGAATTATTTGGATTGAGTTCTAGAGACTTCTTTGCATCAGCAACAGCAACTGTGTAGAAAAAGACGGGTTTTTAGTCAGTTATTTATAGATCCTAGCAAATACACACAACATATGAATCAGTTTTAGATTTCTAAGTTTTCAAGTTGGTAGAAATGCCAAATGGTTTTAAATTAGGAAAAGCTAATACAAGATAGAATTCAAATAAATATTACTCTTGTACCTTCCTTTTGGCTTAACATTTAGCTTCCTTCTTAAAGCTCTTCAATGAATACAGCTGTGTCACAAAATTCACCTCCTTGTCTCATTAACATTTTCTATGTAATTTTACTCAAGGTATTCAGTTTTTCCCTATTCAGAAGGTACAAAATACAGAAATACATTACTTTTTAAATACAGGTGGTCTTGTTATGTTGCCCAGGCTGGTCTTGAACTCCTGGGCTCAAATGATCCTCCTGCTTTGGTCTCCCAAAGTGTTGGGATTACAGGCGTGAGCCACCATGCCTGGCCACATTCTTTTTTATAAAAAAAATTTAAACGAGCATTTCATTTTAATAGTCTGTCAAATAGTAAATGTGATGCTATTTTTTATCAGCATACCCAATAACTATGAATGAAATCTGTATACATTCTCCACCCAATGAAGGAAAAAGCGACATCCATAAAATTTAAATGGGTGTTGCTCAACATGTCTGTCACATTTGAGCTACTTTACCTTGTATAAAAGACCAATTTAAAAATTCTCAAAGACAACTTTTAATTTGTCATGGGTAAAATGTATAAGTAACTTATTAAAAGGGGGCAATATACTTTATAAGAAACGTTACCACAGTAATTCCCAAGAAGAATGTGACAATAAGCTCTTTGACAATAATACTGTGCATCATCTGGTTTCTGTTCCAAAGCCTTAGTCAGCTCCTACAAAAACAAACATGTGGAGCGTCAGTAAAAGTTTGTAAGAAGCCATCAAATTCTAATTAAAACATAATTTTTAATCAAGTAACTTATTGTCAGAAGCTATTTGGAGGAAAGATAACACGGATATAATATTGGAGTTTTTCCTTATAAAAGGATCAATATCTCCCCCACTTCTCTTGCCCCTCCTCCCAAAAGTAGGCAATCTAATGTAGCATCTCTGTACCGTAAAGCTTTTAGTTCCTGGTCTATAGAACTTAATAAATGATCATTATTATCAGCTCATATATTCTGAAGAGTTTAATTGTTACACATTGACCATTACAGATTTCCTCCTACTAATTTGAAGAAGATTCAAACACCATATAGAATTTGAGATTCCTAGAAAATGTTAAGCTGTGCAATAAAAAAAGACCAGAAGTTAAATCTAGCACTCAGGGAGGTTAAGACAATCAATACATACACAATCAAGTGTACCTGGCCCTCTCCTAGCCTCTAACAATAGCACACAACTCTAATAAAACCCAACTAAATATTCTGTTCAAAGCCCAGATACAATCTAATAGATGGCTATGTCAACTACCAAGAGTTAACATTAGAGATTGAAACTTTTTTAACTTGTGCAGTCACAACATATAGGTGTGGTAGCTGGAAAAATAATGATGTAAGAGATTACACAATTAGGGAGATCAAAGACAAGTGCAGGAACACTTTTATTTTCTGCCAACTGCCTACAAACTCTAGGGATTTGGTAGTTTTCTTAAATGGTAAAATTATTTCAAGAGCCACATGTATCATTGACTTTGCTTTAACCTAGTAGTGTGACTCTCAGAAAGCAACATATACAGATGCTCCTCAACTCACATGGGGTTACAGTCAATCAACAGAAAGTAAGGCTCAAATCAAGAGAGCAAAGAAGCTGTAAGATGCTACTTTAAGGGCCTCACTTTGTAGCTTGCAGGCAGTTATAAGGAATTTGGACCTTACGTTTGATGGAAAGCCATGGAAAGTTCACTGTTAGTAAGGGGAACATGGTCCAATTTACTTTTTTTTAATGTCATTCTGGCTGCAGTATGGTAAATACATTATCAAATCAAGACTGGAAACGGAGACTTCTTAGGAAACTATTACATTAAGTCTAGGCTAGAAAAGGATGTTAGCCACAGAGGTGATGAAAAGAAATACGATTAAGTTGGAACATATTAGAAGCAGAGAGACTTGCTAATGGGTGAACATGTGGGATAAGAGAAACTGAAGATGACTCCAGGGTGTTGGGCTTGCCTAGATCTGTATGTGACATCCAGTAATCACTCAATGAAAAGTATTGATTTTTCTTCTTGCAGACTTTTTTCAGCCTTTTCCCCAGTCTCTACTTTGACTGCATCTCCTTTGCCATAGAATACAAAAATATTTGCCTCTCTAGTCTTAATCTTCTCAAAGTCACTAATAACCCCTTATAAAATCCAACTGATTCCTATCTGACTTGATCTCTCTGTGGCCCTTGACAATAATAACCAGGCCTTTCAGCTTACCATTCTGCTGCCTCTTAAAAACTAATGTTCTCCTTGGGCTCAGTACTTAAGACTTCTTCCCCTCTACAAACATTCTTTGATTCCTTAACTACTGGGGGGCTTCACATATGTGTTGATGCATGCTGATGACTCAAGTCTATCTTGAGCCTAGACAGTGGTCCTGGGCAACATCAGCATATAGTTTTCTCTAAACTTTACCTGAAATGTCCCAGAGGCAACTCATATACAAATATTCACAATCTAAAACTACTTTCTATCCTCAAACCTATTCCCCCATGCTGAAGGCAATCTTCTAAGTGCTATCATCCTAAGTGCTATCTAAATGAATGGCACCAGTTCCTACAACATTCCCCCAGCCAGAAACTCAGGAGACATCCCTTATATTCTAATCGTCACCAAGTCCGGTGCATTTTACATAAAACAACTCACCTCCATGCCCTCAATCACTGCCCTACATGCAAATATTCATCTTTGACCCGGTCTGCACTACCATCTTCCTGCTATCCACTATCCCTTGTGCCTCCTCCAATTCGCTATCTACTCTGCTTTTAAAGTAGGTTTTGTAATTCAGAAAATTTCATTTTCCTTCCTCCAAATTCTTGACGGATCTCCATAATCATATGATAAAACTGAAAACCCTGTGCTGGGATTTAATGCCTTTGATGGCCTGGCCTCACTGTCGCCTGGGCTGGAGTGCAATGGCGCGATCTCAGCTCACTGTAACCTCCACCTCCAGGGTTCAAGTGATTCTCCTGCCTCAGCCTCGCAGGTAGCTGATTACGGCTGCCCACCACCATGCCCGGCTAATTTTTTGTATTTTTAATAGAGACGGGGTTTCACCATGTTGGCCAGGCTGGTCTCGAATTCCTGACCTCGTGATCCGCCTGCCTCGGCCTCCCAGAGTGCTGGGACTATAGGCGTGAGCCACCGCGCCCGGCTGCACTTCTAATGAATTGCCAGGTGATGCTGATAATGCTGGTCCAAGAGCCATACATTAAAAACCAAGGTACTAATACTAGCCACATGACTATCCTAGGCAATTCTTCTCCTAGGTACATACAACCAAAAGAAATGCATGTGTTCACCAAAATACATGTACAAGAGTATTCACAGAAGCTTTTTGTTAGCTAATAACTAGAAATAACCCAGATGTCCACTGTTAGAATAAATTGCGCCGTACTTACGGCTATACAACATATATTTATACAATGGAATATTACACAGCAATGCGAAAGAACTACTACTTCACACAATATGAATGTATACTTATGTAATCATTAAAGCAAAAAGAGTGTCTACATTCAATAAAGCACCTACTGTATGATTCTGTTTATGAGTCAAGAACAAACAAAACTAACTGATGGTGATGGAGGTCAAAGCAGGAGTCAGCAGGACAGTAAGAAGAATTACTGGCTGAGAAGGCGCATTAAGGAGCATTATGAATGGAGATACTCTGTATCTTAATCTGGTGGTGTAAACATGTGAAAACTCATCAAACTATAGACTTAAAATCTGTGTTATTTACATAAATCATATATGCCTCCATAAAAATTTTTAAAGTAAAAGAAGATGGAAAGTGACAATAAAATTCATTATGTTAATACTGTTTAAAAGCAACTTTTATATAAACTGGATTCCCAAAGGAAGCACTAGGTCTAACACGACAATAACAAATGTAAATTAAAAGTCATAGCTGTCTAGCTAATACAAGAAATTATGGAGAAAAATTCTCAGTGCTTCCTGTAACATTATCCCCAAACTCATCCCAGAAGCCTTACTCCCAGTATCTAAAGGTCTATATATTTAGGTGTAAAAAACACACCTGGACCCTAAAAGGCCTTATAGGACCTGGCTCCTAGTTTCCTGTCCAACCTCTCTTAATCAAATGGGCCCTCTAATAAAAAGGGCCTTTTTGTTGCTTCACATACAGGCCAACTTCATTCCTACCTCAAGATCTGCACTGGCTCTTGGTCCTGCCTGGAATATTCTTTCCCCAGAGCTTCCAAGTTAATTCCCTTGTTCCTTCAAATCTCCACTCAAAGATCTCCTCAACGGAGGCTCTAGTACCATGTGGCACATTTCTTATAAAAGTCATAGCTAGAAAAGACGCTGTCTTGCCTCAAATTGTTAAACGTAACAGCAAAACAGGTTTCCTCTTTTCTGTGATTTAACGCAAAAACAAACAAAAACTCCTGGCTAAATTCTGTGACCCGCAGCATCATTTATCTTTAGGTTCTCCTTTAATTCTTATTATTTAACTCTTGATCTTTTACATTCCTTTACAGCTTTATGGTTTGCCTTCATTGCACACCTACAAAAAGTGATTTCTAGGTTAGCTGAGTATATAACCAAGACTTTAACCCACAGCAATCAGCGCCTTTGCACACAGCCACTCCAAAAAAAAATTTTGATGAATATACAAATGAGTGAATAATGAATTGTGATAAGACATCTGGAAAGTTTCAGGGACGTGAGGGAAAAGGGTTTTGCTCCAGTAGACTGACTTCATACCGACACTTTTACGTAAGAATGGCAAGAATTATTGTCAAACGAAAAAATTAACTTCATCGAGCCCAGAGTCCACTTCTCTAATCATAAATGTCATTAAAAAAAAAATCCTTTCAGCCAAACTACAAATGCCAACCATGCTCCCAAGAAATAGAGGAGGTTTTTCTCAGGAGCTGTAGGGAGTGGAAAGGGCAAGACAGGAGTCTGGGGTAACGCGGCTACCGTGTAACAGAGAAAAGAGACGGAGAATCTCAATACCGGAGCTGAGACGCAGCATCAACAAGAGCCTGGGTCCCTGTCCGGCGGTGCGGGGAGAAGGCGGGTCAGCGGGGACCCGAAGTGGCCCAGCTCCCCTAAGAAGAGTGGAGGAAGCAGAAATGGGCTCTCTCACCTCTAACGCCGCCTGGGGGTCCTCGTCGATTAGGGCATCCGAGAAGCTCTGGAAAAACCTGTCAGGAAAACAACGACTTCAGCAGGGCTCACTAGCCAAGGAAAGGGGGATAAAATAAATACCAAAGGGAAAGAAAAACATGCACCTCTGGGATGTTGCAGTTCCTGCTGCAGCCGCCGCCATCCCTCGTAGTCGCTGTTGCTGCCGCCGGAGCTGCTACTATCACGGTTACCACCTCCACCACCGCCCAAGGGGGAAACTTCTGGAGAAACACCAACCGAGCTTCCGTCCTAAATAGCCAGCGAGCAGCCACGCAGCGTGCTGCTAGGGGGACGGGAGGCGACACGCCGGCGCGGGGCCGGCTGGGACAGTGGAGGACCGATTCCTCCCAGCCGCACCCCGGCCCAGGACCCGCGCTCCCAGTCCCCGCCCCTCGCAGCCATGGTTACGGAGGCCTGGGGCGTACACGTTCTTCCTCCCTTCCACCGCGCCCACGCCAGCGGGCACTCCCACGGAGCTTTCAGTAGTACTTTAGAAGCACTTTTGTAACGTACTGTCATCCCTAAGGAACGTGTGGCGGTTAGGGGCGTTTGTATGTCTGTTAATAACGGAAGCTACTTCGAGCTCCCATTTTCCCTAGTTTTTATCATGGCTGCCACAGCTAGCCAAGCCCTTTCGCCTCCATTACGTCTTTAGCGGCTGCGTGGTCTCTTCCGGGAGCAGAGGCCCGGATGACGCGTGGATCCCCGCGATCTTTGGGCTGGGGATTCTAAACGACTGGGACTTGCCGGAAGTCATTCTGCACTAATAGCGGCAAAAAGCCTTCTGGTTCCTGGGGCGACGCGCCCGGCGGCCGTACTATTCACTTCCCCAGAACGCCACAGCCCAGGCTTTCTTCTTAGTGGGCTTCCCAGACCAAGAAGGGAAACCTTTCATCCGAAGGTACTGAGGGGAGGAAGGTGGCCTGAAGTTATCTCAGTGCCGCTTTGTTTCCCACCCCAGTCGGTCAGCCCTTCCTCAGCGCCCTTTAACCCTTGCAGATCGGATGGAGAAAGCTGCCAGCACGTTCTAGGGATGGGGGCAGATTGAGGAGCGGGAGGGAGTAGTCTTTGTCTAACTTTATACCAGTACCAAACTATGTTAATTTAATGTAGTTTTATAATAAATCTTTAAGTCCTGTAACTTATTCTCCCAAGATTGTTTTGGCTTATTCTACGGCCTTTGTATTTCTAGGTGAATTTTGGAATTAGCTTGTTAAAAAGGGGGGGGATTTTTTATTGGGCTCGCATTGAATCTATAGATCTGTTTGGGAAAACTAGTATCTTAACAACAAGTCCTTCAATCCATGAATATCATTCTTCCCCCACCATTTATTTAAGCGGTCTTTAATTTCTCCTGGCAATATTTTGTAGATTGCACATATATCTATATTTTAATGCAGCTGTGCTTGGATAGATTGCAGTATAGAGATCATATATATCTTTCATTAGATTTATTCTTGAGTATTTAGTGTTTTGTATACAATGTTAAATGGCATTTTGACTTTTTTATATTCTACTCGTAAGAATAAACAATATTGATTTTAACATACTGACCTTATATGCAAGCATCTTGCTAAGTTCCCTTGTTATTTGTAATACTCTGTAGATTCTTTCGGAATTTCTGTGATCAAAATCTTGCAATCCACGAATAAAGATGGTTTAACTTCTCTGTAACCTTTATACCTTTTATTTTTATTTATTTTTGCCTTTTGTTGCTGGCTAGTGTTTCCACTATTGAATAAAAACAGTGATAATGGACTTCCTTGTCTTGGTCATAACATCAGGAGGAAAGCATTGAATATCAACTGCTTTTTCTGCCTTTATTGAAATGTTCATTTGTATTTTTTAATGTTACTGTGAATTACCTTGGTTAGTTTTCAAATGTTATCTAAATGGCCAATTGTCCTTCTGGACCCCACTGACTCCAGTTGGGATGGCACTGTAAGAAGAGAGGCAGAGTCAGTGAAGGAGACAAGGTTTATTCAGGATTTACATACAAGGGTGGTCCGGTGGTGGAGGGCTGACCTGGAGAACTGCTACCATTTGTAAAAAGCACGTAGTCTATATAGCATTTTCACTTAGCACTCTCCTTCTAGCAACCTCCATTTAACCCCAAAGGGCCTTGATCTGTACAGCGTAAGATACGGGCCAGGGATGTGGATGTCCTTCATAGATAAGGAGTGAATCTCTGGGTTGGCTGCTCCTGGATTCCTTAGCCCAGGACTCCAAACGTAAGTTCTTCTTAGACCATAGGGTTAGTCTCAGGTATGCTCCGGTTATGGCTCAGCCATACACTAATGTGTGTACACCAGCCTCTGCCATGCACCAATACACATATATGTATGGCCTCTGAAAGGGTGAATTCCAAGACCGCCCTATGGGCCCAACATGAAAAGAAGTTCTATATATTATGGACATTGAAATCAATGAGATACCAAAACTACCACCAGAATGGCTTAAATTAAAAGGACTTCCAATACCAAGCACTGACAAGGATATGTAGCAACTGTATCTTTCATATATTGTTGGTGAGAGTTTAATCATTTTGGAAAACTGTGGTACCGTATGTCTGTTCTTGCATTGCTATAAATGAGACTAGGTAATTTATAAAGAAAAAATGTTTAATTCACTCATGGTTTTGCAGACTGTACGAGAAGCATAGCAGTTTCTACTTTTGCAGAGGCCTCAGGAAGCTTCCAATCACCGCACAAGGCAAAGGTAGAGCAGCCATCTTACATGGCAGGAGCAAGTAGGGTGGGGGTAGGTGCTACACATTTTTAAACAACCAGATCTCACAAGAATTCACTGTTGCAAGGACAGTACCAAGAGAGGTGGTACTTAACCATTCATGAGAAACCCACCCCTATGATCCAGTTACCTCCCACCAGGCCCCACCTCCGACATTGGGGATTGCAATTTGACATGTGATTTGGGTGGGGACACATATCCAAACTATATCAGACACTATCTACTAAAGCTAGTTATACACAGACCATAACCCAATAATTCTACCACTGGGCATATACCCAAGAGTATTTATTATTTATGATCATGTAGAAGAATATTCATTGCAGCATTACCCAAGGTAGCAAAAACTGGAAATAATCTAAATGTCCTTAAATAGGAGAAAAAAATATTACATAGCAATAGGAATGAACGACTACTACACACAACGATATGGATGAAGCTTATATACATAAGTTGTGGTAAAAAAAAAAAAAAGCCAGACGGAGTACATCATGATTGATTCCACTTAGATGAGAGGTATCATAAGGGAACCTCCTGGTTGTCAGGGAGGGTGGGGAACAGGAGCATGAAGAAATCTCGGATGCGGGAAATGTTACATATCTTGATCTGGCTGGTAATCACAGCAGTGTATTCAAACATAAAATTTTATCAAGTTATGCACAAGATTTGTGCAGGCTGGGTGCAGTGGCTCACGCCTGTAATCCCAACACTTTGGGAAGCCAAGGCAGAAAAATCACTTGAGCCCAGGAGTTCAAGACCAGCCTGGGCAAGATGGTGAGACCTCGTCTCTACAAAAAATAAATAAATAAAAAACATTAGCCAAGCATGGTGGCGCGTGCCTCAGCTACTTGGGAGGCTGAGGCAGGAGGATCGCTTGAGCCCAGGAGGTTGAGACTCTTATCGTGTTACTGCACTCCAGCCTACGTAACAGTGTGAGTCTCAACAACAACAACAAATTGTTCACTTTGATTTTGCAGATTCGTTTGAGGAGAAATGATATATTTCCCTTGTATTGCCTCTTCCAGTCCATGAACATAATTGCTTGTTTCATTCAGTTATTCGTATGTCTTTTAGTAAAGTTTTTATAATTTTCTCCATAAATTCTTGGCATCAGTTTATTGAAATCTTGGGAGGAAGGACAGACAAATGCTTAAGAAGTTATTAATAAATGTTTTCAGCCGGGCACAGTGGCTCACGCCTGTAATCCCAGCGCTTTGGGAGGCCGAGGCGGGCAGATCACCTGAGGTCAGGAGTTCGAGACCAGCCTGGCCAACTTGGTGAAACCTCATCTCTACTAAAAAATACAAAAATTAGCCGGGCATGGTGGCAGGCACCTTAATCCCAGCTACTTGGGAGGCAGAGGCAGGAGAATCGTTTGAATCCGGGAAGCAGAGGTTGCAGTGAGCCGAGATTG
Organism: Homo sapiens; assembly: GCF_000001405.40. Lineage (NCBI taxonomy): Eukaryota > Metazoa > Chordata > Mammalia > Primates > Hominidae > Homo > Homo sapiens. The sequence goes on along the minus strand of NC_000013.11, from coordinate 52,648,900 downwards.
AGCCATTGCACTCAAGCCTGGAGGACAAGAGCGAGACTTATTGCAAAAAAAAAAAAAAAGTTAAAAAAAAAAGTTTTCATGTGCAAATGACACAACTAAATATACCAATGTACTTAGCTTTGGTAATTTAAAGAAGGGGAGGAGTAACCATGCTGGATTAAGTGGGCATTTATTGAAGGATAATTGATCTTCAAATTGAAGAGTGAAAATAGTCACTTATACTGTGTTACCTAACATTTTCCTAGGAAAGGGATCCTTTTCATTTAAAAGAGAAAACCATCCCAGTCTAACATTGAAGCCATCCTTAAGTGTATTACACTTGATAATTTCAAACTGAATCTAACAAAATCTCTTATTTGTGTCTTTTTCACAATAAAGCTTTCCCAAAGAGAAGTTTAAAAAAAAGAGAGAAAATTTTTAAAAGATTTGTACACTTTACCAAGTTTATACTTCAACAGAAAAAAGATTTAAAACAAAATCAGTAACAATCAAAATTTTAAATGCAAAGAGTCATGACATGTATAGTAACATCAAAATATTAAATACTGAAAAATAAATCTGACAAAAGATATGCAAGATGTGCACCGAAAACTAAAAAATATTGCAGCCAGGCGTGGTGGCTCACGTCTGTAATCCTGGCACTTTGGGAGGCCCAGGCGGGTGGATCACCTGAGGTCCAGGCTGGCCAATATGGCGAAACCCCATCTCTATTAAAAACACAAAACAAATTAGCTGGACGTGGTGGCGGGTGCTTGTAATCCCAGCTACTTGGGAGGCTGAGGCAGGAGAATTGCTTGAACCCGGGAGGCGGAGGTTGCAGTTAGCCGAGATTGCGCCATTGCACTCCAGCCTGGGTAATAGAGCAAGACTCTGTCTCAAAAAAAAAAAAAAACCCAACAATATTGCCGAGAGAAATTAAAGAAAACTAACAAATGGAGAGCTACTCCAAATTCATGAGTCAAGAAGACTCAATATTGTTGAGATCTCAGTTCTTCCAAGATTGACCTATAGACTCAACATGATCCCAATCAAAATCCCTAGTCAGGCATGGTGGCTCATGTCTAATCTCAGTTCTTGTTGGGGCTGAGGCAGGAGAATCGCTTAGAGGCAAGGAGTTGGAGACCAGCCTAGACAACAGAGACCCCATCTCTGAAATAAAGTACATTTAAAAATCCCAGAGCTGGCTGGGCGCGGTGGCTCACGCCTGTAATCCCAGCACTTTGGGAGGCCGAGGCAGGCGGATCACAAGGTCAGGAGATCGAGACCATCCTGGCTAACACAATCAAACCCTGTGTCTACTAAAAATACAAGAAAATTAGCCAGGCGTCATGGCAGGCACCTGTGGTCCCTGCTACTTGGGAGGCTGAGGCAGGAGAATGGCGTGAACCCGGGAGGAGGAGCTTGCAGTGAGCCGAGACTGCACCAATGCACTCCAGCCTGGGCGACAGAGCAAGACTCCGTCTCAAAAAAAAAAAAAAAAAAAAAAAAAAAAAAAAAAAAAAAAAAAATCCCAGAGCTTTTCCCTTTTAGAAGTTGACAAACTGATTCTAAAATTCAAATGGGGGAAAAATTCAAATGAAAATGCAAAGGACTTACAATAGCCAAATCAGCTTTGAAAAATAACAAAGTTGGAGAGATAACATTACTTCATCTCAAGACCTGTCAACCTTGTGGTATTGGCACAAAAATAGACAGATTAATGGAACAGAGAATCCATAAATAGACCCATACCATATGTAGACAGCTGATTTTTAACAAAGGTCCAAAGGTAATTCAGTGGAGAAAAAACAGTTGAAAAGGAGAGACTTTAAAACAGACTGGATATACATGTGCCAAAAAGTGAGTTTCAGTGTGTATCTTTGCACCATGTACAACAATTCACTCAAAATGGATTATGGGGCTACAACTCCTATAAAACTTCTAGAGGAAAGAAAATCTTTGTGATCTTGGGTTAGACAAAGATTTCTTAGCACACCAAAAGCATGATCCATAAAAGAAGAAATTTGTAAATTAGACTTCACCAAAATTTAAAAGATTCTACACTATGAAAATATTTGCAATCACATCTCTGATGAAGAGCTTGCATCCAGAATATATGAAGATGTCTCAAAACTCAGAAACTGTAAGTCAATAGGGAAATAGAAATTAAAACCACAACCATATGCCACTACACACCCATTTAAACGGCTAAAAGGAGAAAGACTGACCATGTTGGCAAGGATGTAGAGCAACTGGAAGACTCATACACCACTGGTAGGAATGTAAAAAGGCACAACCATAAAATGACTTAGACCACTGCTACACAATTAGCACCCAAGAGATATGAAATAACATGTTCATGCAATGTTTGTACAAAATGTCTGTGTCTGTTTATAGCAGTTTTAATGGTTAACAGTTGAAAACTGGAAACAACCCAAATGTACATCAATAGGTGAATGGATAAACAGTAGTACAGCTGGCCAGGTGCAGTGACTCATGACTGTAATCCCACACTTTGGGAGGCGGAGGCGGGTGGATCACCTGAGATCAGGAGTTTGAGACTAGCCTGGCCAACCCTGTCTCGTCTAAAAATACAAAAAAATGTGGCACGCACCTATATTCCCAGCTACTCAGGAGGCTGAGGCAGGAGAACCATTTGAATGCAGGAGGTGGAGGTTGCAGTGAGCCAGGATCACACCACTGCACTCCAGCCTGAGCGACAGAGCGAGACTCCATCTCAAAACAAACAAAAAACAACAGCAGTATAGCCAGTATAGCCATACAATGGAATACTGCTCAGCAATAAAAGGAATGAAGTATTGCTACACACTATAACATGGATGAATCTCAAAATTATGCTAAGTGAAAAAAATCAGACAAAAATAGTACATTTTGTATGATTCCATTTATATAAAATCCTGAAAAATTTTAAAACTCATCTGTATGACAATCAGTGGTTTACTGGGTGGGGGTGGGGGCTGGAGAGCAGGGTGGAATTTCAAGAATAAAAGGGGCATGAGGAAACATTGGGGTAATAGGTATGTTCACTATCTTGATTATGGTGATGATTTTACGAGTGTATACATATGTAACACTTCAAACTGTACACTTTAAATAATGTGCATGGTTTGCTTTATGTCAACTATAGCCCTATAAAGCTATTTTATTTTATTTTATTTTTTGAGATGGAGTCTTGCTCTGTTGCCCAGGCTGGAGTACAATGGCGTGATCTCGGCTCACTGTAAGCTCTGCCTCCCGGGTTCACACCATTCTCCTGCCTCAGCCTCCTGAGTAGCTGGGACTATAGGCACCCGCCACCACACCCAGCTAATTTTTTGTATTTTTAGTAGAGATGGGGTTTCACCTTGTTAACCAGGATGGTCTCGATCTCCTGACCTCATGATCCGCCCGCCTTGGCCTCCCAAAGTGCTGGGATTACAGACGTGAGCCACCGCGCCCGGCCTAAAGCTATTTTTTTAAAACACATTTAGAGCTATAGATAAGAATTGATAGTCATCAGCATATGGATGGTGGTAAGCAACATAAGAACATGAGCACAAGGAGGCCAGGCGCAGTAGCTCACACTTGTAATCCCATCACTTTGGGATGCCAAAGCAGGAGCATCCCTTGAGCCCAGGAGCTCGAGACCAGCCTGGGCAATATGGTAAAACACTTTCTCTACAAAATACATTAGCCAGATGTGGTGGTGCATGCCTGTAGTCCACTGAGTGTACTGAGGCTGAGGTGGGAGGATTGCTTGAGCCCAGGTCGAGGTTCAGTGAGCTGTTATCATGCCACTGCACTCCAACCTGGGCAACAGAGCGAGACCCTGTCTCAAAAAAGAAAGAAAAAAAAGGCAAGGAGAATATGTAGTTTTCTCACTTAATAAATATTGAATCCCTCCTATGTATAGATATGCGAGGGACTGGGGATACTAAAATGACTGCAATCTTGGTGCTTAATAATCTAGTGTTGGAATCACGCATATCAACAGGCAGTTATTATAGTGTCATATATGTCTAAATGGGAGAGATTAAAGGGGTTCTGTGAAAGCAGTCAGAAGATTTTGAAAGCTCAGAGTAAGTAATGTCTCAGCCAAAGCCTGAAGAACATATAGGAGGTAACCAGCATGAGATAACCTGTGCTGAGCAGAGTGGGCTTGAAATCAGATCTAGCGGAGTGATTTGGAAAGTACAGCTTCAGGGGTGTTTATTTGCAAAAGCCCCTTCAAACCCTATCTAATTTGTTAATATAATTTTGTACGTATTTTTCCTAAATAAATCCCCTCCCCACTCCCACAACCCCAACAAATTGTGTAAATTTTGGCCCCACAAAACCTGGATTTGTCCTTAAGTAGGTCTTTCTTTTGGGTTACTTAGAATTCAGCTCCTTCTTATGTCTGGGGAATTCCTTGAGTCTTCCCACTGAGCCAGTCTCCCTCTATAAAAGCTGAAAATGCCAAACAACTTAAGCTGAACTTGCACATACTTTAAAATTGGTAACTGGTTAGCAACAACAAATCAAGGAAGGACCTTAGTGTATCCTCTCCAGATGCAGTAGCACATGTGTCAAGATCAAATTCCCAAAGCAGCAGATAGTGTTACAAAGCAGTGTGTCAGTGCTTGGCAACAGTGGCTACAATCTCCTCACCCGACCAGTTATGCAGTATGGTTCCAGGATTTATTCCCAGCCGTGTGGCTCAGACTGATGCTGATTCTCTAGTCCTTTTGGCCATTCTGCAAGCAGCACAATATTCTTCTAATACAATTTATCTTATGCTGAAAACCAGAATCCATCTCTGTTGCTTACGACTAAGAATCCAAACTGATAGACAATTTGGTATTTGGAAGTGGAGTGCTACAAAACAGACCTAGAATGGTGTGTAATTGGCCGGGTGGAAAAGGCAGGATGGAGGGCATTGAGACACAACTGTTTCGGGCTGGGAAACTAGTGACTCTGAGACAGGACACCAAGCTCACACCATCAAGAAATGTACTCTAAAGCTGAGCAGCCTTAGAAAGAGTCTTCTTCCCAGTGCTCATATTAGATGTGGCTGTTGAGGACAAAACACCAGAGAGCCACAGCCACCAGATGAAAAAGCAGCCTACGGATTCCACCAAAGATCTTTTTTTTTTTTAGAGACATTTATTCAGCGTCACAATCAGACTATTACATTTAGCAATCAACAGCATGGGTGCAAAAAAAAAAATCTACATTAAAACACTTTGTTGGAATGCTTTACACTTTCCACAGAACAGAAACTAAAATAACCTGTTATACAATTAGTCACAAATACAGTCCTCGAGTTTTTTGCCCATACACATGAGTATTTGTCTAAAACATGTCTTCTTTGTAGCAGCTAGGCCCTGCCACCACTGTGCTTGGCTGAGTTCACAAATCTGTTGTAACCTGTAGCTTCCCTGTCACTTCTCTGGCTCTCCTCTCCTGCTAAGCTTTGTTTCCTAATTAAAATCTTCTGCCACTGCCATAGCTACTGCTGCTGCTGGAAACGCCATAGCCACCTTGGTTTTGTGGTTTTGCAAAGTATTGGCCTCCACCGCCATAGGGGCCAGAGCTTCTGCCTCCAAAATTTCCTCCCTTCATGGGTCCAAAATTTGAAGACTGATTGTTGTAATTGCCAAAATCATTGTAGCTTCCACCACCTCCAAAATTGCTTCCATCATTACCAAATCCATTATAGCCATCCCCACTGCCACCATATCCACCACCACCACAGCTGCCACCAAAGCCACCACGACCACTGAAGTTTCCTCCACGACCAAAGTTGTCATTCCCACCGAAACCATCTCCACGACCACCACCAAAGTTTCCAGAACCCCTTCGACCTCTTTGGCTGGATGAAGCACTAGCCATCTCTTGCTTTGGCAGGGCTTTTCTAACTTCACAGTTGTGGCCCTTCACAGTATGGTATTTCTGAATGACAATCTTATCCACGGAGTCATGGTCGTCAAAGGTTACAAAGGCAAAGCCCCTTTTCTTGCCACTGCCTCGGTCAGTCATGATTTCAATTACTTCAATTTTTCCATACTGTTCAAAATAATCTCTTAGGTGATGTTCTTCAGTGTCTTCTTTAATGCCACCAACAAATATCTTTTTCACAGTTAAGTGGGCACCTGGTCTTTGAGAATCTTCTCTGGAGACAGCTCTCTTTGGTTCCACAACTCTTCCATCCACCTTGTGTGGCGTTGTATTCATAGCTGCATCCACCTCCTCCACAGTGGCATATGTGACAAACCCAAAGCCCCTGGAGCGCTTGGTGTTTGGATCTCTCATTACCACACAGTCTGTGAGCGTTCCCCATTGCTCAAAATGGCTCCTCAGGCTCTCATCAGTTGTTTCAAAGCTCAACCCTCCAATGAAGAGCTTCCTCAGCTGTTCGGGCTCTTTTGGAGACGCTGACTTAGACATGACGGCAAGGTGAAGAGAGACTTTAACGATGCTTCTTCAGCGGCGTCCACGGGCAGAAAAAGTCCACCAGAGATCTTAGATATGAAGCTGGATAGAGTATTTGGATGAGATTCTGGCTGATTCTCTTTGGGAAATAAATACATTTTTCATATGGGCCTGAACATTTTTTAGTGTATGTACAGGAAGAAAGACAAGTATACATAACAGTAGGATACTTCATTCCTCCCTTCTTCCTTGCTGTGAAGCCCTAATTTTGTTTCTCCAGCACATGACTAAGTCATTTGTGGTAATCCCACATCCCACATTGTTGGGATCACCAACCCCACATTGTTGGCCATATTGGCAAACAATATGGTTTAAGAAGGGGTATATAACTAATCTAGCCAATTGGGCCATGCATGAGGTGTCTGCTCAGGGATTCTGGGAAAGGTCTCCTTATTGATAAACAGAAACACAGAATAAATTACTGCAGCTACCTTTAGCAATAGCCATCCTGGAAGACCAAACCAATATCCCAAGGAAAGTGAAAGCATAAGGATGGAGAAACCTAGTTCATCAGTGATACCAGTGAGCTCCTGAGTTAACCAACCCAGAAGCCTCCAAACTCCTGACTTTTTGTTTTGTATTATTTAATAATTTTGAGTTGGGTTTTTCTGTTTGCTTCTTGCAATTGAAAACATTCTTATTCTAATTGCTATTATGTCTGGGAGTGCAGAATTTGATCATAAGGCTGGTGAGATAAAGAAGAGGTGAGACCACATAGGGCCTCAACTCCATCTGAAAAGATTTAAAAAACCACTGAAGGCTTGACATAATTAGACTGACACTCCTATTGCACTGGGGAGAACAGATTGGAAGCGGACAAGTTGAAAACAGAGAATAAGAACAGTGACCTTTAGACAAAACTTGGGAGAACTCCAATCTTTGAAAAAGTCTCTGGAGCAACCCAAAGGGAACATCAGGAAATTATTTTTTACATGGTAAAAGGGGGAAAATATTACAGAAGCAGGATAGGACAGTTGGGCACTTCAGATTGGGCAAAACTGAAGGCAATAGAGAGTTTAGAGGAAAAGTGAGTTATGAAAGGTTATCAATTGATCAAGAGGTCCAGGAAGAGAAGGAAGGATGGGATTCAGCAATATGGAAATTGGTTACTCTTAGTGACCTTTGTAACAACAAATTCAGGGTAATAAGTCAAATGCAATACTACAGAGGGTTAAAGAATAAATGGAAAGTGAGGAAGGCAGCAAGTTTACAGGTTAAGGACAATGACAACAGCATCACAGGTCCTTCTTTAATAAACAATCTTGAGTCAATGATTTGGTGTGGAGAGGCCAAGTACTGACAGCCATGTCTTATTCAGGAGTTGATGACTAGATTATGTTAGGGCTACAGAGAGTCAAGATGTAATATCGGGACAGATCATGCTGGTCCTTGTAAACCCTGTTCAGAAGTTTGCATATTCCTTGTAAGAAATGATGGTAACTTAAACTAAGGTAGAAACATGAAGACAAATGACAAATTAAAAGCTTTTGAGGAGGTAAATTACCTGGGCTGCATGATTGATTGGACGTGGATATCAGATGTGACTGAGCCATGGAAGTAAATGAGATTGTCAAAGAAGCATGTGCAGTGGGAAGAGAGCCAAGAAAGGAATCTTAAGAAATACCAGGACATAAGGCAGAGCTCCCCAACTAAGGTACTATGAATGGTTATGGGTGTGCCCAAAATACTGATCCCTTTAGTCTAAATGGACGGTGAGAGCCACTGGCTGGTCACCCGCAGCAGTAAGCAACTTCACTGGTTAACCCCAGTGTGTCTCTGGAGGGCAGACATTATATTCTGTCAACTTTGTACTAAGAGTTCCATGACTATGTGAAGACATCCTTGATACCTTACCCAATACATGTTGGTTGAATGAATAAATGTAGAGCAACATTGAGGGACAAACTTAAAATGACAGGTTGGGGCCAGATCAGTTATTCTTAAACTTCCAAGTGTACATTAAGATTACCTAGTACTTTTCTAACTTGAATGTCTATATTATTCTGATTCATTAGGTCTGGAGCAGGGCCTGGAGTTCTATTTTTCTAAAATGTTTCCAGTGATGTAGATGCTAATTTGGGACCACTCTGAGTAGCAAGAAATAAACAATACTAGTTAAAAATACAAACTGTACAGCTTTCCCATGAGATACAAATTCAGTAGGTATGGGGTGTAACCAAAGAATTTGCATTTTAAGAAAAACATCAGCTGGGTGCAATGGCTCACGCCTGTAATCCCACCACTTTGGGAGGCCAAGGAGGGGTGAATCCCTTGAGCCCAGGAGTTGGAGACCAGACAGGAAAACATGGTGAAAACCCCTTTCTACAAAAATACACACATCTATTAGCCAGGCATGGTGCAGGCCTGTGGTCCCAGCAACTCAGGAGGCTGAAGTGAGAGGATTGCTTGAACCCTGGGAGGTGACAGTTGCAGTGAGCCAAGTGAGAGGACTGCTTGAACCCTGGGAGGTGACAGTTGCAGTGAGCCAAGATTGTGCCATTGCACTCTAGACTGGGTAACAGAGCGAGACACTATCTCAAAAAAAAAAAAACAAAAAAAAAAAAAAAAAAACAAGAACAACATTAACTCTGAAATAGTTGGCCTAGGAACCCAGTTTGATGGAGAAATTTGAATGTTAAGCTAAGGATTTTGGACTTTATCCTACAGGTAGCAAGAAAGGCATGAGGGTTTCCATATACAAACATTATGTATTCCCAAGGGATAGTTTTGATTTTTTTTTTTTTTTTTTTTTTGAGACAGGGTCAACAAAAACAGAAGAGAACACACAAAACGAGAGAAAAATACAGGAAGGCCACTGTAGAACTGTTAAAAATTCAGGAGCTGGCAAGCAAAGACACACTCAGAGCACTTCTCTTTGCTTCCTTGCCCTCTGAACTGTTCAATAAATAGCGAAGAACACAAAGCTAACTGCAGTATTTGTTTCAGACCTGCTTCTGCTCTCCAATTTAAAAGCAATACAGGAACATTAAATTTGTCGCAGCTGAAATTGGTAAAGGCAGACCTCTACAGGTGCTTCTTGACTTACAATGGGTTTATTGGGAGGGGAAGATATCGTAAGTAAAAACGTCTTTAATACACCTAACCTACTGAGCATCAGAGCTTAGACTAGCCTACCTTAAACGTACTCAGAACACTTACATTAACCTACATTTGGGCAAAATCATCTAACACAAATTCTTTTTTATTATAAAGGGTTGAATAGCTCATGAATTTATGGGAACAATGTCCTAAACATGAAAAACAGGATAGCTTTATGGGGACTCAAAGTTCACTTTCTACTGAATGTGCATCGCCTTTGCAACTATCATAAAGTCAAAAAATTCTAAGTCAAACCATCCTAAGCCCCAGACCGTCTGCATGTGAAGTGCTCCCTAAGGGGCACTATGCCAGATACCATGCCTAAGTGTTTTCCAACTTTCTGTACCACATTCAAAAGGAGCATCTTCATAAAGATGTTACTGATCTCGTGGAAAATATTAGTCCTTCCTTTCCTTTGCAGCTGACAGGATTTTTAAAAGAAGCTCTAAACCACAAGCATATTCCAGCAGCTATTTGTTCTTCCTAGTATGAGTTACTTCCTCCCTCTGCCACCGTCACTTGTATTCTAGTTTGAGGAAATATTAAGCAGCACAGTAAATAAGTCTGTTTTCAGAAATTGCTTAGTCCTGGAATTAATATATTTTATAAAGCAGGTTAGCTTTAGCTCCTTAAGATTTGGTTACTTAGAATGAAATCTTCCCAATTTAATAGGCAATTTGCATACATGTATAAATGCATGAACTTTAAAAGCACCTTTAGGATTAAGAGGGTTTTGTTATCTGTATTTATAGAATTTAAAGCTGATTACCTCAGCAAGTTTTAGAGAAATTTTAAGAATAGTGGTAAGACAAGAATCTTAAGATAATACATTCTTTAGAACCAAGAATCTAAGGATAATACATTCTTTAGAACCAAATGTGTAAATGGTTAAATGAAGGATGTTTTAACAACATGGTCTCAACTGTGGAGGTATCATCTTTCAAAGCTACCTGCAAAAAAGGGACAATGTCCTCACTGGCTAGTAAAAATTAGAAAAATTTAAGGAATTCTCAGCAAATTTCTTATCTTTTAAAATACCCATGGTCATCCCCTAAGAGGGCAAATGCACCTGTCATTAATAAGCAAGTAAGTGAGTTCATAAGCAATACTAACCTCCAGGATTTTTAATTTCTTGGTAGGGATAACAGGGACATTAAAAGCAAGCTTATACTTTCCTATTAACAAGGAGTAGATTTATTTACAACCAATTTCTACTTCAAAACACTTCCAAGCATATAACAAATACCATCCTTAAAAGAGGGATTCCCTATTTGATTGTCTCAGTTTATTAGAATATGGATGGTCTTTTCATTCTAGATAACATGCCCTTTGTTTGCTTGTTTTTGTATAAGAATTATCTTAGAATCTGATAATGCTGGGACTCTACTGATGGCTAGGCACTGCATATCTTCATTATGTGCCCATTTCCATTCATTCCTTGAAATATTATGAAACATTGTTACAAACAAAAGAATATGTGTAATTATAATATGGATAACATATAGTATAATATATACAACATAAAACAACATAAAGGCATGATGAAATGACCACCTGTGAACCTGCCGTCCAACTTGAGGAACAGAATGATAGTACTGTCGAAGCCCCTGAGTGTCCCTACTCAATTACCCTGACTTCCTGAAATACCGCGTTATGTTGATCATTTTCTTTATAGTTTTATCGCCGTTAGAGCTAAGAAAGTATATTCAAAATTTGGTTTTTGAATTTCATAAAATTCTATTATATTGCATGGACTCTGCTGCAACTAACTGTCTTTAGGACACCGCGAAGATATCTACACAGTGTTTTGAAATTCATGTAAGTATCTACACTCTAAAAGTGAATATCTGGCAGAAATAATCTCAATCAATGAATTTTATAACCCCTGGAATTAACACTTACCTGCTTCATTATTAATTGGGAACTCTCAGTTTCCCCTCTTTTGTCCCCTGGATCAGTTCTTCAATCTCATTCTCAAGGGGTTGTTCATATTCTGTGGCTAACTGCTTATCAAATTCCATATCCCAAAGTGAAGGTGATGTGTCTGTATAGTAAGACATTTTAAATAAGAACAAGTCAATGTAAATATCTTTTTAAAAAATGTTATAACCAATCCTGAATTGATCGTGTATTTTTAATACCTTGACACTCATAATTACAGTATATAATAAAAAGTTACTCACGGAGAGATAACAGCAACAAAAATTATATTAAAGACTATAACTAGGCCAGGCACTGTGGCTCATGCCTGTAATCCCAGCACTTTGGGAAGCCAAGGTGGGGAGGTCAGGAGTTCAATACCAGCCTGACCAACATGGTGAAACCCCATCTCTACTTAAAATACAAAAAATTAGCTGGGCACAGTGGTGTGTGCCTGTAATCCCAGCTACTTGGGAGGCTGAGGCAGGAGAACCGCTTGAACCCAGGAGGCGGAGGTTACAGTAAGCCAAGATCGGGCCACTGCATTCCGACCTGGGTGATAGAGCCAGATTCTGTCTCAAAAAATAAATAAATAAATAAAGACTATAACTACAATAATGGCAAGCTTAACTTTGGTTTTACAACAATGCCAGGTAATCACTACCCCTTCTACTGGAAAAAAAAATAAATTTGTATTTTGTTTAAAGGTATTTTTATGAATATGAATATTTTTTATACAATATGTGACTTATTTTTAAACTCTAGACTGTTTATTTTAACTCTATCAAAATTAGTCACTAATGTACTACTGTTAACAACCAAAGAAGTTAGATCAACAGAATAACAATAAAACTGCTAATGAACACTTGAGTACTTCCTCTGTGCTTAAATTTTTTTATGCATTAGTACATTTAATCTGCACAACCAACCCTGTGAGTTGGCTAATTACCACCATCATATTACATGTTTCAATAACTTTTTTACTTTTGAAATTTCAGAACATCTTTTGAAAATGAGCCATATTCCGACCAGTTACTGCTGCTGGGAACGTAAAATGGTACAAACATCTTGGAAAACAGCTTGATGGCTTCTTAAAAAGTTAAAAATACATCTGTTATTCATCATAGCTATTTCATCGCTGGATATTTACCCAAGAGATAATACATGTCCACACAAAGACTTGTACACGAAAGTTCATGGCAGCTTTCTTTGTAATAGCCAAATGTGGGTTGTAATTTGGGAAACAATCCAAATGTCCACTAACAGGTGAATAGGTACAAAAATGTAATACATCAGCCGGGCACGGTAGCTCGCAGCTGTAATCCCAGCACTTTGGGAGGCCGAGGCGGGCAGATCACGAGGTCAGGAGTTCAAGAACAGCCTGGCCAACATGATGAAACCCCATCTTTACTAAAAATACAAAAATTAGCTGGGCATGGTGGCATGTGCCTGTAATCCCAGCTACTCGGGAGACTGAGGCAGGAGAAATGCTTCAACCGGGACCCAGGAGGTGGAGGTTGCAGTGAGCCGAGGTCGCGCCATTGCACTCCAGCCTGGGCTACAGAGCGAGACTCCGTCTCAAAAAAAAAAAAAAAAACAGTAATACAGCCATACAACTGTATACTATTCAGTAATAAAAATGCATTACTAGTACATGTTACAGCATGGATGAATCTCAAATCATTAGCTGAGTGAAACAAGCCAGATGCAAAAGAGTACGTACTGTGTGATTTCATTTATGTACAATTCTAAGAGATGCAACTTAATCTATTTTAACAGAAAGCAGATCAGTGGTTGCCTGCATTGTGTGTGTGTGTGTGTGTGTGTGTGTGTGTGTGTGTGTGTGTGTGTGTTGCAAAAGGACATGAAAATGTTCAGATTTCTAAGTGGCAGTTTCACGGGTGTATCTATTTGTCAAAACTAGTCAAGTTATATATTCTAAATGTGTGCAGTTCCTTGCACACAAATTATACCTTAATAAAGTTGTAAAAAGAAAATGAATATCACTCTCTATCCCTTGGCTACTTTTTTCCCTAATTTTTCATCCTTAATTATTTTTTCAAACATTTTTTATCTTTCTGGGCTAGAGGTGTACATTGCATATGATTTATCCTCCACTCTACCTGTTTACACACTTTTGTCAAGCCCCCTAAAGCATGTCAACAAATAGCTCATTTACTCTTCTACCTGGGTAAGCCTTATTTTATCTATTTGCTTTTTCTGAATCGGTTTCTATGAGCCTTTATGTGCAGAGATGTGTCTAACCACATACTGACTGGCAGATATTAAATATTTTGGCCTAGTTCATCTGATACTGGGTAACTATCACAACTGTTAGGCTTAACTAGCCACATTTACAGAGCAATCACACCAATGAAATAACTTAATTGTCTCAGTTATCTTTTATTTGGTGGACACTGACCGACCTATGTCTTTTCCATCATCATTAGGATCATCATATTTTACACTTGCTAATAGTTGCAAACATTTATTAAATGTGTACTATGTTCCAGGCACTGTGCCTCACACTTTTTTCAGATGACCTCATTTGATCCTTCAGATGTACATACTAACCCTCATTTTACAGTTGGGGAAAGGTTAGTGAGGCAGAATCGGAATTTGAATCCAGACCTACACAACACCAACACTCTTTCTGTTGAGCTATACTGCCTGTCGACTCTGGGATAACCAGTAGGGCCTATGACTATATCCTTTGTAGCAGTGGTAAGAACTTAGTGGGGAACAAGAAGTGGGAATCATGGAACAGAATAACTCATTCAATCGGTCAATAAAAAAAATTACTGAATGCCAATTATATTTCCAGCATTATTTGGGATGGTAAGATAACAACAATGAAAAATTGCTAAATTTAAGTTTCCATATGTTGCTATTCTTCTACTTAACTGGAAACAAAAAACATTCTTTAGACTCATGCAAGTATAGCACAAACAGTACTTTCAGAGTAAATTATTACATAAATTTGTGTGCTACTTTCCTCACTAGAGTATAATCATTTGATACTGTTTTATAAAATACATAAAATTTAAATGCCTTCTTGCCAACTAATTTCAGTTTTAGAAATAAGATTATTTTATTTTAAAAAGCAAGTGGGCTCCTTCCAGAATCCAAGTGTCTCTTTTGGCTGGACAACAGCAGCTGCCCTGACAAAAAATTCCTTTCTGATGCACACTTAACGGATACCATTTGAGCAGGGGAGAGGTGATTCATTGTCCCTATGCATTTTGCATTTCCTTTTTATCATACACAACAGAATGCAGTTTTTGTAATACAGGGGGTTGTTCTTTTAGCTTCACCTTCAGTTCTAATGAACAAATGTTAATTGAATTCACTACTTTCCTTTATAGATGTATATTTTATACTACAGTTTCTTCAAAAAAGAATTTAAGATTAAGATAACTAGTTCCTACGATCTGTAAGCCACATGAGTAGATGCTATAGGGTATACAGACATGAATGAGATCTAGCCTCTAACATAGTTTATTAAATAGGGGGAAAATCAGAAGTTCATATAAATAACTGGTAGAAAGATTAAATGAGTCATTGGAGGCTGGCCCAGGAACTTATCTATCACATACAACATTTTCTTTTTCCCCTTTGAGAGGGGGTCTCACTCTGTCGCTTAGGCTGGAGTGTTATGGCACAATTGTAACTCATTGCAGCATCGAATTCTGGGCTCCAGTGATCCTCCCACCTCAACCTCCCAGGTTGCTAGGACTATAGGCATGCACCACCATACCCAGATAATTTTTTTCTATTTTTTTACAGAAAGGATCTCACTATGTTGCCCAGGCTGGTCTTGAACTCCTAATCCCAAGCCATCCTGTTGTCTTAGCCTCCTAAGTCCATATACAACATTATTTCTATCAAAATCCAAAAAACTAACTTCTATTCGTCAGAAATGCTCATCACTTACACTCTGGAGACCATTTGTACTGAGTTTCTTCATTTATTTTACTAGTAAACCAAATTTAATGCCAAGCAAGAGGACACTCATTTCTCTTTTAGACTTAAAATGGTAAATTTCTTACCCAAAGAAAAGGGGAAGAATAGGGAACAAAGACCAACCATGTGTTAAGAAAAAAACACAAGTCTCTTAAATATATTCCTTGAATGTTCTTCCCATCTCCTGAACAATCACTAAATCACTTCAATAAGTTATTTTATAAATGCTATCTCCTCTTCTAGATAGCAAGCTGCCTAGGGACAGGAACCACTATGTCTTTATGTAATAGCATAGAGATATACTGCAAATGGTAGGTGATTAATAATGTTCTAACCCAAATTAGTGGCTAATCTGGACCTCTGGATTCATGTAATCAGTAGTACTCACCTCCCATTATCTCACAGAATGCAACATTTCAAGAGGGAAACTGAACCACAACTAGCAATGTCAATAACTGTAGTGTGGTATGTCTCCCACCAGGTTACTTAAGGGTATATGTGTGTTGGTTGAACCCTGAAGGCTGGGCAGGGAGCCAAGGCCATAGTGCCTAGCTGAGGAGCAGGTGTCCCTGAGAACCCAAACATCCCAGGACATACCTCAAAACATATCAAGGAAAACAGTTTCATTGTGCACACATGTAGGCAAACAGCCAGCATATAAGCTTAAAAGCAGTTTAGAGATAAGAGGCAGGGTGACTCTAGAGCTGCCCAGAAATGTCCAGTAGGTAAGTCCTAGTAAACTCATCTATTCATCAAGCTGGTCTTGCCCAAATTATTCTTTGGTCTCTCAATGCCTTCCCAATTTACAGTCCCAAGTTTTCCTTCTAACAACCGCCACATTCATGATTCGAATCCAGGCCAATGACAGGAGGGAATATTAAAATATCCAACTATTACACCATCAGAACACTAAGGACATCTTGAAAAGATGGAATATTTTTCCACCTGAGAAATAGTTATTCTTAACAAACCTGTTCACGTGCTTCTTTAGTAACTGCCATAATGTGAAATCTATTACATCTCTTCCCCCTGAATATATTTTTCCTAAAAAAAAGAACATTTTAATGAATATAAACTGTCAACAAAATTATGAGAAAAAAATTTAAGTGAAATATTCTATGTAAAAATTCAAAATAATTCCACTGACGTACATCAAACATCTTAGCTAAATTGCCACATTTTTAGGACTGATAGACTAAAAACAGAAATGTGCACTTGAAGTTTTGCTTCATAATACAACAAATCAGTTACAGCAACTTAATTTCCAAAATATCCAACTGAAAAGATTAGCTCAATTAGCATTAATTTTTATTTGTTCCCTTTTATATTAAGTTTTAAAAACTCCATGTTGTGAAAAATTATAAAACTATGCTAAAAAGAAGCTGTTAAAAAGAGTCAACACTTGTTTTTAAGGGCAGGAAACACTGCAATGTTTAATTACAAATTATAATTAAAAGAAGCTGTTAAAAAGAGTCAACACTTGTTTTTAAGGGCAGGAAACACTGCAATGTTTAATTACAAATTATAATTACAAAAGATTATATAGGTAAATCACAACATTCCCTTTCATAAAGCAATCATTCTGTAAAATAATTAACTTTCTTTACATGACTTTTTAACCATTGAAATTAATATCAGAGTTAACAGGTAACATTTTCTTGCAAACTTGATAATCAACTGTTTTATGCATCAATTTACATATTTACTTGAATAAACTTACTGGCAGATTAAAATCCAGTTTATAAACTGGAGGGCTAATTTTAAAAATAATTCTAAATTCTTTTTTTATGGACTAAACTACTTTTCTCTACTAAATAGAACCGGAAAAAATGAAAATATCATATGAACATTAAGTAATGTGATTTCAAGTCATACAAGTTTTCCTCTAGCAGGTTCCCAAGTTATTTGTAAACAAAGGCTTTTCTGCTCCAGAACTTTCCTCAGTGCCTTGCATTCTTCTTTCTCAACCGAACGTCCGGTGAACAGGATGGTGGATTAAAGCAAGTCACGGCAGAGAGGAAATGCCTTGGTAAAGCACTGAACTTCAAAAGAGGAATGCACAACAGAGAAAGGGAATGGACATTTGCTGAGCACCTACTATGTACCAGAGAGTTTATACGTGGTTTCTTTTCTATTCCTCAAGAAAGCCATTTAAGCTAGGTTTCACTTTCAGCATTTTACAGCTGGGGAAACAGGCTGATGGAGGCTATAAAAGGTGCCCCGGTCACAGAATTAGTCAGTGGCAGTGCCAACATTCTGAGAAAGGCCAGTGTGAACTGTCAATTTCCAACAGAAGCAATAAGTCCAGGCCTGGGTTGTCTGGGGTTGATACCCCAGACCCTGCCCAAGTCATATCAGGGTGAACAACTTGGCATCTCACCATTGCTTCCCCTTACTCCCCTTTAGCTGGCTTTTTAACACACTGAAGGCACAGGAACCCCTTTCCTACTTTTTTAGTTTCTCCTTTGCCACCTAATTTTTAAAATATTAAATATCAAATCTAATATTAAAAATCAAATATGCCATCCCGATGTAGCTGCACAGTATTATATGCAAGCTGAATGATTCAGTTAAATTTTCTCCGGTATTAACTGACTCAGTTAAACATTCTTAAGTAAAACTCCAAGAACACTTTCTACTTTATTCAATAATATGTAACAGATACTAAATCACTTTAAATTAGTAATTCAAATAATATTCCAAAGTCACCATAAACTCTTGAACTTCCTGTGTTAACTGCTAACCACCTTTTCCAACTTTCCTGTATAAATCACTAATTTAACACCCAGAAGGAGTTAACTCAAGTGCCTGATTTTACTTAAAACAAATCCACGGAATACACAATGTATTGAAAACACTCCAACTGTGAGCATATCCTGCTATAAAGACAGGTTAGGCCGGGCGTGGTGGCTCACACCTGTAATCCCAGCACTTTGGGAGGCCGAGGTGGGCAGATCACTTGAGGTCAGGAGTTACCAGCCTGGCCAACATGGTGAAACCCTGTCTCTACTAAAAATACAAAAATGAGCTGGGCATGGTGGTGCACACCTGTAATCCCAGCTACTGGGGAGGCTGTCAGGAGAATCGCTAGAACCCAGGAGGCAGAGGTTGCAGTGGGCCAAGATGGTGCCACTTCACTCCAGCCTGGGCGACAGAGTGAGACTCCGTCTCAAAAAAATAAACAAATAAATAAATAAAAGACACGTTAACTTTTGTCAGACCATGCCAAATATCTGGCTCCTCCTTCTCAACTACCACTTTCAGGGTTTAAAGGAGAGAAAGAATAGAAACTTTATGTAAATACAGAACAACTTTAGATTCTAAAATAACTATGTAAGACATGGCTCACCATCTTTAAGAACTTCAGTAATTTCAAATAGCCACAAATAATCTACCATTTTAAGCTATAGGGTACAGTGGCACGATCTTGGCTCACTGCAACCTCCACCTCCCAGATTCAAGCAATTCTCCTGCCTCAGCCTCCTGAGTAGCTGGGATTGCAGGAGCTCACCACCACGTCCGGCTAATTTTTGTATTTTTAGTAGAGATGGGGTTTCACCATGTTAGCCAGGTTGGTCTTGAACTCCCGACCTCGTGATCCGCCTGCCTCGGCCCTCTAAATTGCTGGGATTACAGGCGTGAGCCACCATGCCCAGCCTACGCCTTTCTTTCTTTTCGTTGATGGTGGGTCATTTCTCTAAGGTGTAACAAAAGATAAGCATGTATAGAGATATAAAGGGTAAATGAATACACAGTATTAGGCATTGATATTTAAAATGAAAAATAATGTTTCTTACAAAATACTCACTTGTTCAGAATTCAGTCAGCTCTATTTATTCTAAATCAAAGGAACCCTATTCATCATGGGTAGATATGAAGCATGGCCTATTTTGATTTAAGGTATAGAAAAATGCAGGACTGGCTAACTCCAGCACATGGTTCCCTCTCTAGGAAGTGGTATACAGAGAGTAAGAACACAGATGTAAATGCATTCATAATGCTCACATATCCAACAGCAATCATACACACCCACAATAAGGTAAATCTACAGTCAAGGTAAAACCAAACTATACAAACAAAACCCAGCAGACTACAAAGCCTGATACCTGTTTCTAAGATCAGCAGTCTTCTCCAGGCCAGGATAATTGTCATAGCCTTGGTCAAACTGAATCTGATGCTCTGGCCTTATATTAATTCTAGCTGTAGCACATCTGGCAATTTTCATATCTGATATTTTGTTATTGAAACTGAAATAATAAAAAGGTCAAGTGCATTAGAAATCTCAGCTACAGCCAGGATCGGTGGCTCACACCTGTAATCCCAGCATTTTGGGAGGCCAAGGCGGGTGGATGACCTGAGGTCAGGAGTTCAAGACCAGCCAGGCCAACATGGAGAAACCCCCCTCTCTACTAAAAGTACAAAATTAGCTGGGCACAGTGGCAGGCACCAGTAATCCCAGCTACTTGGGAGGCTGAGGCAGGAGAATCGCTTGAACCCAGGAGGTGGAGGTTGCAGTAAGCCGAAATCGCACCATTGCAGTCCAGCCGAGGAGACAAGAGTGAAACTTTGTCTCCAAAAAAATAAAAAAATAAAGAAACCTTAGCTACAGAACAGTAATAAACTTTCTGAAACAGGACAGTGATAACATTTAATTCTTATTTCATTTTTATCCACTAATTATACAGCATACAAAGTTATGTTTAAATTAAATTTTAAAAAGTCATCTATTAACATTCACATAACAGAACATTACAATTTTTGTTTACTTGTCTTTTAAAGATGTTCTTCAGAAATATTCATTTCAAACATAAAAGTGTCACATGAAAAATTATTCCAAGAAAATGAACAGAAAGTACAATCAGTATCTGTATGCCTATCACCTATATTCAATAACTAAATTAAAACCAAGATAGATGTATTTATTTATTGCCCTTGTATTTGTTCAAACACAAACAAAATGAGTCACTGAACTGACAGTACAGATATTTATGGTTTTCTTTTTTTTTAAATATAATTTCTTTCAGAGACAGGGTCTCTCGCTGTCGCCCAGACTGGAGGGCAGTGGTGCCTATCTTAACTCAATGCAGCCTCAAACTCTGGACTTAAGCCATCCTCCAGCCTTAGCCCCCAAAGTAGCTAGAACTGCCGGCACATGCCACAATGCCCAGCTAATTTTTTTATGGTTTGTAAAGATGGGGTCTTGTTTTGCTGCCCAGACTGGTCTCAAATTCCTGGCCTCAAGTGATCCTCTCACCTCAGCCTCACAAAGTGCTGGGATTACGGGCATGAGCCACCACACATGGCCATTTCTTTTAACTTCCCGAAATACATCTGGTACACACGCTCATTGGGAATAACAGATTTAGATCACTCTCCAAAATGAAGCAGTGTTACCACTTACTACAATGTAGGCAGCAAGGAGTCTAACGTAGCATAAAATAATGAGAGATGAAGAGAGTAAGTGGAAAGATGTCAGCTTAAACATAAGAATAGGAGGAAAAAGAGAAGGAAACAGACCTGAAGATTGCTATACCATGCATAAAACCAGCAAGCTATTTAACTGAAAAAAAAATTACTTTTCTCAGAAAAGCTATCTTATTCTGTTATTTTTAATAACATTACTGAATTTATCATTCCTTGTTTCATGGACAAGAAACTGTAACTTCCTAAAAGGACAGTAACTATTCAATTGGTCTCTTAAAACTATAATCTTACTTAAGACATAAGTTTTTTAAAAACTTGAATTGCTAAAATTCTACTTATATGGTATATTCTATATGTAAATTCCACTTATGTGGTATATATTATGTGTATTACTTACTAGCCACATGAAAATGGCCTATTTTGAGATATAAACATTACTAACCTAATGGTTTGATTCACTTACCTAACTAGGTCTCTCTCCATCTCTCTGTGCCCCTGACTCTTCCTCATGCTACGGAGCTGCCTGAGCAGTTCTGGCTTGTTTGCTTGTCAAAACAGAGCAGCAGATGCAGCTGCCACCAACTCAGGACTCAGGGGCTCATTTCTGAAAAAGAAAATGAAAACCAAATGAGAAAGAAAAAAGAGAGATTGCTTATTATGCCAGTAGTTTAGTGAAAAGCAAAATGATTTTGGGGGGAAAATTTTCTGTTGATCAAAAAAGTATCATTCAATTCAATATCTGACAAAAGCAGGAATTCTCAACTATTAGGTACCAGTTTTATATAAACTTTGAAATGCTAATTCAGAACAATATATTAAGGTGGAGGGATGAGGGATCAGCCTCAAAAATTATAAATTAGTGGAATTTTCAATTAGATG
Organism: Homo sapiens; assembly: GCF_000001405.40. Classification (NCBI taxonomy): domain Eukaryota; kingdom Metazoa; phylum Chordata; class Mammalia; order Primates; family Hominidae; genus Homo; species Homo sapiens. The sequence continues at coordinate 52,627,162 of NC_000013.11, read as the reverse complement.
CTATTGTATTTCAAAAACAATATATATTGCAAGCAAATATTAAGGCAGCTTAACCTGTTCACAGAAGCTTTACTCATAATAGCCCCAAACTGGAACCAACCTAAGGTCTGTTGTTAGAATGAAAAAACAAATTGTCAGATATCCAAACAATGGAAGAGTACTCAGCTCATGCCAACATGAATGATTCTCACAGATATTAGAGCAAGTGAAAGAAGTTGGACACAGAATATATTCTGTATGATTCCATTGCTGTCAAGTGCCAGAACAGGCAAAACTAATCTGAGGTGAAAAAACAATCAAGACAACAATTGCCTCAGGACAGAAGGCTACTAACTGGGAAGGTGAAAATGGGAAACACAGTGTCTTGGTTAAGTGTGTGGGTCACATGGGCTTATCCATTTGTCAAAATCCTCCAGCTAAGATTTGTACACTTTAATGTATGTAAATTTTACCTGAAAAAAAAAAGCCATCAATCATTATCAAGTAGGAGATGAAAACTGGGTGAAGGTATATATAATACAAGAATAGTAAAATGTTGATCATTGTTGAAGCTGGGTGACAGTATAAAGGGGTTCACTGTACCATTTTGCGTACTTTGCGTATATTTTAAATTTTTCATAAGAAAAAGCTTTTAAAAGCTTCCTAAATAAATTAGAGCAAGTTAATATAAAAACATCCTATTATGAAAAGAAAGTAAACTGTATACAACATTGTTTCCTTTTTTTTTTTTTTTTTTAAGAGATGGGATCTCAGTATGTCGTGAAGTCTGGCCTCGAAGTCCTGGGTTCAAGCAATCCTCCCACATCATCTTCCTGAGTAGCTTGGACTACAGGCATCTGTCACCATACCTGGCTATTTGCGACATTTTTAAACTCACTGAGAACTGCCATCTCAATAAGTGGGACCCAAATTAATATTTTATTATGCCTGGCTTTCTGTATTATGATCTATTACCTAATATTCAAATTAAAGCTCCCAAATTCCTAAAGTTCTTGGAGAAAGATTTTAAGGACTTAATTGAGATATATATGGAAGATCTAAAATCTGATAGGAATGGAAGAAAAATAGAAGAATGAAAAAAGGGGTTCAGCATGGTGGCTCATGCCTGTAATTCCAGCACTCTGGGAGGCCAAGGAGGGAGGATCGCTTGAGCTCAAGAGTTCAAGACCAGCCTGGGCAAGATGGCAAAACCCCATCTCCACAAAAAGAAAAAAAAAAATTAGCCAGGAGTGGTGGCACATGCCTACAGTCCCAGCTACTTGAGAGGTTGAGTGGAAGGATCACTTGAGCCTGGGAGGTTGAGGCTGCAGTGAGTGATGATTGTTCCACCACACTCCAGAATGGGCCACAGAGCAACACCCTGTCTCAAAAAAAGAAAAAGAAAAAAGGAAATATAATAGTTAAAATGAAATGTACTTTCAGAACTGTTATCTGTGAATAAAGCTTTAACCGTATTCCACATCATTGTTATTTCTTTCATAAACCACTTGTAAACTTCATTTTCAAATTTTAATATATGTATTTGATCAGAGTAGGCACAGAACATAGGTGAATATTCATTTTTCAGAATCATGCATTTCATAACAATAATTTCCTTCATAGTTATAGTCTCTGGCTTTATAATTTATAAAGTTCTAATTAATAAAAATTGTAGGGAGCCTGTGTCATTGAACAAGATAATTTTTACATACAAGGATCTTTCTTCATAGATTTTAACAATGTAATGAGAACTTGTTAAAGTATCTTTCAGGGCTTCGTGGTGGCTCATGGCAGTAATCCCAGCACTTTAGGAGGCCGAGGCAGGTGGATCACCTGAGGTCAGGAGTTCGAGGCCAGCCTGGTCAACATGGTGAAACCCCATCTCTACTAAAACCAAAAAAATTAGCCAGGCATTGTGGAGTGCACCTGTAATCCCAGCTACTCAGGAGGCTGAGGAAGGAGAATCGCTTCAACCTAGAAGGCGGAGGTTGCAGTAAGCCGAGATCACACCACTGCACTCCAGCCTGGGCAAAAAACAGCAAGACTCCATCTCAAAAAAAAAAAAAGTATCTTTTAACAATCTATTCAATCCTGTAATTAAAACTATTTCATGAATACATACTTTTCCCCTTCATAACTTTTTTTTTTATTTTGAGATAGGGTCTCACTCTGTTGCCCATGCTGGAGTGCACTGGCACAATCTCGGCTCACTGCATTGTCCACCTCCCGGGTTCAAGGGATTCTCCCACCTCAGCCTCCCGAGTAACTGCGATTACAGTCCCATGCCACCACACCCGGCTAATTTTTGTATTTTTGTGATAGACACAGGGTTTCACCATGTCGATCAGGTAGGTCTCAGCTCCTAACCTCAAGTGATCTGCCCACCTTGGCCTCCCAAAGTGCTGGGATTACAGGCATGAGCCACTGCTCCAGGCCCCTCGAGAATACTTTTAAATCATCTCTAGATTACTTGTAATACCTAATATAACAAATGCTACATAAGTAGTTGTTATACTGTATTTTTTAATTGGTATTTTTTTCTGTGTTTCTTAAAAAACGTTATCAGAAGTTATCTGTGGATGCAGAACCTACGCATACAGAGGGCCAAATGTATATTACTCCATTCCTATCAATGACATTATCCTTGTTAAGACGGTGTCTCAGAAGTGGTTGTGGTAAAAACAAATATCCTAGGAAAATCAATGTGGAAGAGGGTAAACATGGTAATGTCCAATCTTATTACAAGGCTAGGTCATTAAAAAGAAAATACAACTGGCCAGGCACGGTGGCGTGCCTGTAATCCCAGCACTTGGGGAGGCCGAGGAGGGTGGATCACAAAGTCAGGAGTTCAAGACCAGCCTGGCCAACATGGTGAAACCCCATCTCTACTAAAAATACAAAAATTTGCCAGGCATGGTGGCAGGCACCTGTAATCCCAGCTACTCGGGAGGCTGAGGCAGAGAACTGCTTGAACCCAGGAGGTGGAGATAGCAGTGAGCCAAGACCGCGCCACTGCACTCCAGCCTGGGTGACAGAGCGAGACTCCATCTCAAAAACAAAACAAAACAAAACAAAATACAACTTCCTCTTGGCTCACTTTCTCTTGAGACACCCACCCTGGAACCCAGCCACCATGCGGTGAGAAAGCCCAGGCCACAAAGAAAGCCACATGTAGGTGTTTCTGCTAACACCCTCAGCTAAGGTCTCAGCTGACAGCTGGCATCAACTGCCAGACCTATGAGTGGGCAAACTTCAGATGATTCCAGCCTCAGATTTCTAAGTCTTCCAACTGAGGACCCAGACATCATAGAGCACAGACTGGCCTTCCCCGCTGTGTTCCAGCCAAACTGCTAACCCACAGAATCTGTGAGCATAATGAGTGAATGTTTTATGCCACTAAGTTTGGGAGGTAGTGTAACTATGGTAACCATATCAATGGGGATTTAATATATAATACAAAGAAAGAAAAGCAGGCTATGCATGAAGCTATGATGACAGTGCCTCATGAAGCAAAGATCATGACTCATCTAATCCCATGCATCCTGGAAGTCCTTGAAAAGCGGGGAGGGGAGGCAAAAATCATTAAAAGACACCTTTTAAAAACTCAAAACAGATGCACCTTGTTCACCAGTCTTTTGATGTAGGACCAAAGCCTCTTTTTTAAACACAGGACCACTGATAAAAGGTTCTAAGGCATATATTTTACATACATCACACCCATCCTGCAATATTTTCAATTTTGGTTTAAGTGGAAAAGTGGAGCAAGAATGTGAGATAGCTTACAAAGCAATCTAAGGGTATGATGCTCCTGCGTATGTATATTTGTCTCACTCATGCCTAATTGGAAAGAAATTGTTTACGTGACCTTTACTGACTCTTTCCAAAGCATTCAACTCACTTTACCATTTCTGTAATAGTTAATTAAATTAAAATAAAGGGCATGAGGGGTCATAAACAGGTCTGGTAGCCTTAAAAATGCCATTCTTGATATGTATTTATATGTTTGTGTTATTTACTTCCACATACTTATATGTAACTGTTTTGTTTCTAAAGAGTAGGACGAGGAGGAAGTACCTATTATGGGTACTGATTGTCTGAATTAGCTTACTCTACCACCCAATTATACTTTCCAGAGGTATTTTTGATACCATGTAGAAACCAAGAAGTTCCATTAAAATGTTAAATCATTCTGGAAAACAGAAGCCTATATTATCTGTTTGTTCTGATAAGGGAAGTCAGTGATGGGTATCCTAAAGCCACACACCTTACTACTTGAATTAATGACATCCCTGAAATACATCATTATGTATCATTAAAAAAAAAAACTGCCATTTAACCTACAACACAATGCCAAGATATTACTGATTGCACTTAGAATTAAATACTCTTTTGACAAGCACAAGTAATTACAATGCTCTGAGGAAGCCAGGAAAGCTGAAAGCACGGATAGTTATTGGTCACAGGAAGTCATACAGAGCAGTTGTAATCAACGTGCTAAACTTTATTCCAGAAAAAATTTTTTAAATGGAAAATTTCAAATAAGTGAGTCCTTTACAGACATGAAGCTACCTTCAAATCAAGATGTAAATGATATTGTTAATTAACAGCTTAAAGAGGCAGTTAAGTAGCAGTTAATAACACCAATAAGTATGTAAGAGTGTAGAATTCTCAATGAGATCACTTCTCTCTTCCTTTCACTGGATTGTGTACAGATATCCTCTTGTTATTTAAATATAATACAATTACAGCATTTCTCAAGTAATTATTAGACTCCCTGTGTTTATTAGCTGATATTTTTTTCTTCATTAATTCAATATCTCCCAAGTACTTGTACTAAAAACATTTTTTGCAAAAAGAAAAAGCTTACTGGAATTTTAAAAATTACTTTCAAACAACATTCAAATTACAATTAAATTTACCTCTTCTTTGGAGCATGTCCTAAAGCTCTTTGAGGCCCGCCAGTTGTAGCTTTTAAGTGAACTTCTGTTGGGTGGCTTTGTTGTTTGTACATTTACTGTGCTCAATTCAACTTTCGTGCCCTTAATAATGTCTAACAAGTCTTTTTCTCTGTTTTCCTTTACACTGTCTTGGTTGTCTGAAGTCTCCTTGGAAGTCTCAACAGTTCACACTGCTCAACTTTCTTGCTACAGATAGCGCCGTTAGTGCCAAAATATCTTTGGATATTATTTTTTGTCCTGGAAAGATGCATTAAAGAAAAAAAATGAAAAATACAATGCAGGCTAATAAAGCAAAAAACCGTGTATCTAAATTTTTTTTCAATTCAAGCCCTTTCCATTTGCTTTTTATAATTATTAACAACCATAGCAGCAGCAACTTACCATTTATTAGCACATACTATATGCCTCAACCTCGTGCAATATGTTTTATGCACATTTCTCATACCCACATTAACTCCCTAAGGTCTCCATTTTGCAGATAAGGAAACTGAAAATCAGAGAAGTAACTTACCTAAGGTCATGCACCTCACAGCCCATTAAGGCCTAAGACACACTGGGGTGCCACAAATAAGTAGAGGTATGCTGAGATATTGATCACCTGCTCCTTGGGGTGGCCAGGGGAGGCCTGGGGGTGCTGGTGCTCCCAAATCTGTTCCTTCCCACCATTTACCCCAGAGTTCGGTAGAAAAACTCTGACATGGTTAATAAATGACAATTTATTATTCTCAAACCCAGATCTGACTGACTGCAAGTCCTTGATCTTAACATAACACCTCTTTAAAAAGTTATAATTAAATAATACAAAAATAAATTTCTATCAAAAAGATTACTTTAAAAAAAACTGAGTGGGTCTTGTTTTAATCTGATCAACATTCTCATCAAGCTACATGCCACTTAACCCATAACCACTTGTAAGCTAAGCTAAAATGGAACAGAAAAGAAAATAATCGATGGCTATAAATGTCATTTTTGCTTTCCTCATTAGATACATTTATGAAAGAGAACACCACAAATGATTACATCTATACTAGACTCATGCAAAAGATGTCCTAATTCTAAGTAACTCAAATATCCAGTTTTATTCTGTGGAGTTAAAAACCTCTTTTGGCACTTGATTACTAAAGAACTTTAAAAACTCTTTGAATGTGTTAGTTTCAGTAAGAGGGTATAATATATTTAAAAATCATTCATTAAATATAGTGAATATCTACTCTGTGCTGGGCACTATACTAGGTACTGACAATATATTAGTAAATAAGAATTTCATAGTCCCTACTTATATGAAGCTGATGTGCTACAGCACTGCTTCTCACACTTTAATATATATAGAAATTATTTTTTTTTTTTTGAGACAGGGTCTCGCTCTGTCACACAGGCTGGAGTGCAGTGGCGTGATCTTGGCTCACTGCAGCCTCGACTTCCCCAGGCTCCGGCGATCCTCCCACCTCAGCCTCCTGAGTAGTTGGGACTAATTTTTTGTAGAAATGGGTTTCCCATGTTGCACAGGAACTCCTGGGATCTGCCCACTTAGAACTCCCACCACCCACCTAGGCTTCCCTAAGTGCTGGGATTACATGCCTGGGCCACTGTGCCTGGCCCACAGAAAGTATCTATGCTCCTTGCTAAAATACAGATTCTTTGGTCCCACCAAACTACTCTGATTCAGTAGCTGTTTCCAGGAGACACTTGAGAATTTGCATTTCTAACAAGCTCCCAGGTGTTGCTAATTCTGCTGATCAGGGGACCACATTACAGTAGCTATGTTACCTATGTTACTTAATCCTTACAATCTTAAAGGATAGGTTTTATTATTCTCGTTTTACAGAACAAACTGCTGCCCACAGACGTTAGGTCAGTGGTTATGAATCTCTAGAGGTTATACAAATCACATAGGCAGCTGACTTAAAACACAGATTCCTAAGATTCTTAGTTTGTAAGTTTGGAATGGGGTTCAGGAATCAGCATGTTAAATAAGACCCAGGTGCTTCTGATGCAGGTGAGCTCAAGAGCCTGTATCAGACCTTAGGTTAAATACTATATCAAGTTCTCAAAGCCAGAAAATAGTAGCCACAGGCTAAGGACACTTGCATGAAAGAGAAAACGGCAATTTCAAAAAATGCTGAAACTATCTGATCTGCTTATGAAAACGTCAGAGGCTATCAAATCAGGCACTTTAAAATTAGAATGAAAAAACAATTGCCAAACTAGTATCCTCATAATAAGTACACAGGACTCTCATAATATTCAATATATGGTACAATCTAAGAAAATAATTATTATTCTTTTTTTTTTTTTTTTTTTTTTTTGAGACGGAATCTCGCTCTGTCGCCAGGCTAGAGTGCAGTGGCGCGATTTCAGCTCACTGCAAGCTCCGCCTCCCGGGTTCACGCCATTCTCCTGCCTCACCCTCCCGAGTAGCGGGGACTACAGGTGCCCGCCACCACGCCCGGCTAATTTTTTGTGTTTTCAGTAGAGACGGGGTTTCACCATGTTAGCCAGGATGGTCTGGATCTCCTTACCTTGTGATCCGCCTGCCTCAGCCTCCCAAAGTGTTGGGATTACAGGCGTGAGCCACCACGCCCAGCCTATTATTCTACACTTAAAGTTAACACTGGTCAGGTGCAGCGGCTCACGCCTGTAATCCCAGCATTTTGGGAGGCCGAGGCGGATGGATTACCTGAGGTCTGGAGTTCGAGACCAGCCTGGCCAACACAGTGAAACTCCGTTTCTACTAAAAATACAAAAATGAGCCAGGCGTGGTAACGTACGCTTGTAGTCCCAGCTATTCAGGAGGCTGAGGCACAAGAATCGCTTGAACCAGGGAGGCAGAGGTTGCAGCGAGCCAAGATCCTGCCACTGTACTCCAGCCTGGGCCACAGAGTGAGACTCCATCTCAAAAATAATTAGTAATAATAATAACAATAAATAAAGTTGGCCGGGCGTGGTGGCTCATGCCTGTAATCCCAGCACTTTGAGAGGCCAATGCGGGCCGATCACCTGAGGTCGGGAGTTGGAGCCTGGCCAACATGGAGAAACCCCATCTCTACTAAAAATACAAAATTAGCTGGGGCATGCCTGTAATCCCAGCTACTCAGGAGGCTGAGGCAGGAGAATCGCTTGAACCCGGGAGGCGGAGATTGTGGTGACCCGAGATCGTGCCATTGCACTCCAGCCTGGGCAACAAGAGCAAAACTCCGTCTCAAAAAAAGAAAATAAAGTTAATATTAAAGGTACTTTAACAGAAAGGTGGTAATCAGGGGAATGAATCTCACATATAATCTTTACTACAATGTTTCCTTTCAAGACTGCTTTCATACCACAGAAAGCAATCTACATTACAGGAAAATTATGTATAAGTAACTCCATAACACTAACATAAAATTCTAAACCTAACCTCCCACCTGAGTTTGTTTCCACTGACAGTATCTCATCAGTACTTCAAATGCAACACCTTCAAAACGACATTTAAGACGTCCCCTTTCAGACTGATTTTCCATTTTTCACACTTCTATATTAAAATGCCCCCTGACATAAACAGATTTTTTCTGTTTTCCAAAAATTATAACATACGTAAAAATCTTTCTCAACCCCGGATCTGCATTCTTCTGCTAACGTTAAGGATACCATAATCCTCCAAAGCAGCCAGTTGAAATCTTTGCTATCTCTGACCACCCTACCATTATCCCATGATGTCACATCCCCTTAATTCTACCTGGGCAATTTTTCTCCTCCATTCAGCTGGTCCTTCCCATCTTCACTGCTACTAACCTGCTTCAGCACTGTACTTAACTGGCTTCTGAGTGTTATGCATGGAAGTTACACAGTGGAATTAGGCTTTCATAACAATAAAGTACTCGGAGGATAAACAGCAAAACCAAGTATGCTGCAACACGTTTTCTTTCCTGGCTAACTTCAACCAGTGGTCCTTCAGATTTCATCAGACTTTTCTTCCAGAAAGGATATCCTGAGTCGCCCCTGCAATGGTTAGGTGTCCCTATTTGCTCCTCCAGCAATTACTTGTTGGATGAATGGTGTACTCTGTGCTTCCATACACTATCTCAGCAATTACTTCACTACACAGCACTTAAATTGTCTACTTGCTGGAACTACACGCTCCGTGATGACAAGACTGTCTTACTTGGGGTTTATGACCAGTACTGGCACGCTGTAAAGTTTTCCAATAATGAACTAAAGAATAAATGAAGGAAACAGAAATGAGACTATCACATAAATCTTGGGAAGCAAAAGCTAAAACAACTTCGCTTTTGGAGCTTGGATAAACTGACAGGAGTTGATGACAAGACGAATGAGGCACAGCGACCCGGCTTGTAATTGGAGCTCTGTCTTCCACGCACGCTATGTTTCCTTGGGCAAGTCATCTTATCTTTCTGGGATTTTTCTTTTCTCAGATTTAAAGCAATAGCTTCTAAAACCCAGCAGGTAATAACATCGACACCAGGAAGTTGGAGGATAACTGAATGTACAGCACGGGGCACAGGGATGCCCGAGGACCTGCGGAGCCAAAAGTGCTGAACTGCGGTACCTGACAGTTCCACGCCGAGCAGCGAGTAGCAAAATTGCAGCCGCTGATGTCTCCGGGCTTCCAGGGGACAAAGGGTGGCAGGAAAGGGTGCGAAGAGGTAGAAACGCCGAGACTCTAGGAAACACCGCGGAGACATAAAGCCATCCAGGAGAGCAACTGAACAGTGCGCCCCACGCCAAACACATCCCCCGCGCTCTCTTCCGTTTCTGGTCTGGCGGGTTCCTCTCCCTTTGCTTTCCGGTGGGCAACTGAGGTGGGTAACTGTATTCCGGACTCGCCCGCGGGCCGGGCGGAGCCAGCTACCTCCAGACGACCCCACCTACCCCGCGATTCTATTCCTAGAGGCGGAGTCCTCGCCAGTGTTCAGTAAGGTTCGCTGGCCTAGGAGGATTCCAGACCGCCGAGACCGCCGAACAAGATAGTGGAGGGCGTGATCAGTTGTGCAAAAACTACAGATGATCAGTCTGTTTTTATGTTGTTGTTTTTCTGAGACTGACTCTCCCTCTGTCGCCCAGGCTGGAGCGCAGTGGCGCGATCTTAGCTCACTGCAACCTCCGCCTCCCGTGTTCAACCAGTTCTCCTGCCTCAGTCTCCTGAGTAGCTAGGATTACAGGCGTGCGCCACCACGCCCGGCTATTTTTTTTTTCTTTTTTGTACTTTTAGTAGAGACGGGGTTTCAGCATGTTGGCCAGGCTGGTCTCAAACTCCTGACCTCGTGATCCGCCCGCCTCGGCCTCCCAAAGTGCTGGTATTAGAGGCGTGAGCCACCGCGTCTGGTGGTTTCTTCACCCACACATCTGATGCCTCAGCTGGAGTAACTGGAAGAAACAGGGGCTAGCTGAATCTCTCTCCACACCTTTGCCCCGTGCTTTTTTTTTTTTTTTTTTTTTTTTTTTTTTGAGATGAAGTCTCACTCTGTTGCCCAGGCTGAAGCACAGTGTCGTGATCTTGACTCACTACAACCTCTGCCTCCCAGGTTCAAGCTATCCTCCTGCCTCAGCCTCCAGATTAGCTGGAGATTAGCAGCCTCCAGATTAGCATACGACACCACACCTGGCTACTTTTTGTATTTTTTTAGTAGAGACGGGAGTTTCACCATGTTGTCCAGGCTGGTCTCAAACTCCTGACCTCAGGTGATCCACCTGCCTCAGCCTCCCAAAGTGTGGGATTACAGGCGTGAGACACTGCGCCAGCTTGCCCCATGACTTTTGTACCTGGCTGGGTTGCACTTCCTCACAGCATGGCATCTCAGCATATTTGGACTTCTTTTTATTATTATTATTATTTTTTTTTTTTAGTCTCTCTCTCTCTCCAGGCTGGAGTACAGTGGCGCAATCTCAGCTTACTCCAACCTCCACCTCCTGAGTTCAAGCAATTCTCCTGCCTCAGCTTCCCGAGTAGCTAGAACTACAGGCATGCACCACCACGCCCAGCTAATTTTTGTATTTTTAGTAGAGATGGGGTTTCACCACATTGGCCAGGATGATCTTGATCTCTTGACCTCGTGATCGGCCTGCCTCGGCCTCCCAAAGTGCTGGGATTACAGACGTGAGCCACTGGGCCTGGCCTATATTTGGACTTCTTACAGAGCAGCTGGCTTGCCTTAGAGTGAACATTCACACCAGACTAAAGCTGCACAGCATTGAAAGTCACATGACATCACTTTCATTTCATTCTATTGGTGCAAAATGGGTCACAGGGCCAGTCCAGATTCAAAGTGAAGGAACCACACTTCCCTGAAAGTACCAGCAGCAGTGGCCACTGGGGGACGATTTTCAGAGAGTTGCTACCACATCCTAGAAAACTTTGAATTAGTTAATTCCATTCATTTCATCAGTATTTTCTTTAAAAAACTGTTTTAAATTATTTTTAAATTTTTTGTGGGTACATAGTAGGTGTATATAGTTATGGAATACATGAGATGTTTTGATATAGGCATGCAATGCGTATTAATCACATCATGGAGAATGGAGTACTCAAGCATTTATCCTTTGAATTACAAACAATTCAATTACATTCTTTAAGTTATTTAAAAATATACAATTGTTATTGACTACAGTCACCCTATTGCGCAATTAAAATAGGTCTTATTCTTTCTATATTTTTTGTACCCACTAACCATCCCCACCTCCCCTCCAACTCCCCACTACCCTTCTCAGCCTCTGGTAACTATCCTTCTACTCTCTATGACCAGGAGTTCAATAGTTTTGATTTTTAGATGCCACAAATAAGTGAGAACATGAGACGTTTGTCTTTCTTTTCCTAGCTTATTTCATTTAGCATAATGACCTCCAGTTCCATCCACGCTGTTCCAAATGCCTGAATCTCATTCTTTTTCATGGCTGAATAGAACTCCATTGTGTATATATACCACATTTTCTTTATCCATTCCTTTGTTGATGGGCACTGAGGTTGCTTCCAAATCTTAGCCATTGTAAACAGTGCTGCAACAAACATAGGAGTGTGGATATCTTTTCTATATTCTGATTTCCTTTCTTTTGGGTATATACCTAGGAGTGGGATTGTTGGATGATGTAGTAGCTCAATTTTTAGTTTTTTGAGGAACCTCCAAACTGTTCTCCATAGTGGTTGTACTAATATACATTCCACCAACAGTGTACAAGTGTTCCCTTTTCTCCACATCCTTGCCAGTATTTGTTATTACCTGGCTTTGGATATAAGCCATTTTAACTGGGGTGAAATGATATCTCATTGCAGTTTTGATTTGCATTTCTCTGATGATAATGATAAGCACCTTTTCATATGTCTGTTTGCTATTTGTTTTCTTTTGAGAAATGCCTATTCAAATCTTTTGCTCGTTTTTTGATCAAATTATTAGTATTTTTCCTATAGAGTTGTTTTATTTATTTTATTTTATTTTATTTTTATTATTATTATACTTTAAGTTTTAGGGTACATGTGCACAATGTGCAGGTTAGTTACATATGTATACATGTGCCATGCTGGTGTGCTGCACTCATTAACTCGTCATTTAGCATTAGGTATATCTCCTAATGCTATCCCTCCCCCCTCCTCCAACCCCACAACAGTCCCCAGAGTGTGATGTTCCCCTTCCTGTGTCCATGTGTTCTCATTGTTCAATTCCCATCTATGAGTGAGAACATGCGGTGTTTGGTTTTTTGTCCTTGTGACAGTTTACTGAGAATGATGATTTCCAATTTCATCCATGTCCCTACAAAGGACATGAACTCATCATTTTTTATGGGTGCATAGTATTCCATGGTGTATATGTGCCACATTTTCTTAATCCAGTCTATCATTGTTGGACATTTGGGTTGGTTCCAAGTCTTTGCTATTGTGAATAGTGCCGCAATAAACATACGTGTGCATGTGTCTTTATAGCAGCATGATTTATAGTCCTTTGGGTATATACCCAGTAATGGGATGGCTGGCTATAGAGTTGTTTGAACTCCTTATATATTCTGGTTATTAATCCCTTGTCAGATGGGTGGTTTGCAAATATTTTCTCCCATTTGGTGGGTTGTCTCTTCACTTTGTTGACTGTATCCTTTTCTGTGCAGAAGGTTTTTAAACTTGATGTGATCCCATATGTTCATTTTCACTTTGGTTGCCTGTGTTTGTGGAGTATTACTCAAGAAATTTTTGCCCAGACCAATGTCTTAGAGATTTTTCCCAATGTTTTCTTGTAGTAGCTTTATAGTTTGAGGTCTTAAGTCTTTCATCCATTTCGATTTGATTTTTCTATATGGCGAGAGATAGTGGTCTAGTTTCATTCTTTTGCATGTGGATATCTGGTTTTCCCAGCACCATTTATTGAAGGGACTGTCTTTTCCCCAGTGTATGTCTTGGCACCTTTGTTGAAAGTGAGTTCACTGTAGAGTGTGGATTTGTTTTGGGGTTCTCTATTCTGTTTCATTGGTCTATGTTTCTGTTTTTATGCCAGTACCATGCTGTTTTGGTTACTATAGCTCTCTAGTATAATTTGAAGTCAGGTAATGTGATTCCTCCAGTTTTGTGCTTTTTGCTTAGGATCCCTTTGGCTATTCTGGGTCTTTTGTGGTTTCAGATAAATTTTAGGATTCTTTTTTTTCTATTTCTGTGAAGAATGTCATTGGTATTTTGATAGGAATTGCGTTGAATCTGTAGATTGCTTTGGGCAGAATGCACATTTTAACAATATCAATTCTTCCAATCTATGAATATGGAATGTCTTTCCATTTTTTAATGTCCTCTTCAACTTCCTTCATCAGTATTTTATGGTTTTCATTATACAGACTTTTCACATCATTCATTAATTCCTGAGTATTTAATTTTATGTGTGGCTATTGTAACTGGGAGTACTTTCTAAATTTCTTTTTCACATTGCTCACTGTTGGCATATAGAAATGCTACTGATTTTTTTTTTTTTTTTGAGATAGTGTCCAACATGGAGAAGCCCCATCTCTACAATGGGGCTCTAAAAATGCAAAATTAGCCAGGTGTGGTGGCATATGCCTGTAATCCCAGCTACTCCAGAGGCTGAGGCAGGAGAATCGCTTGAACCCGGGAGGCAGAGTTTGCAGTGAGCCGAGATCGCACCACTGCACTCCAGCCTGGGCAACAAGAGCGAAACTCTGTCTCAAAAAAAAAAAAAAAAGAAAGAAAAAGAAAAATAAATCAGAATATTGTTTCCAGCTATTAATAATTCATGGTGCTGCAGACCTCTTGAATCATCATTAAAAGTCAGAAATCTAAGTGAAAATAGTGTTGCTCTTGCATTCAATTGTATTATAAAGCACTTAGCACTGGATATTATGAAGAGTTTTTCTGTGTTCCAAAGTATAGCATATCTTTGGAGGAGTCCAGCATGAGAGCTTAGGATCAGTCCTATCCTGAGACACAGATAGGCATTCTTTGTTTTCTGCAGTGGGATGAGCAGATAGGAAGGACCAGCACCAAGAATCTGACTTGCTCTGGGGGTTGCATGGATGCAGAAGAACCACAGGGAAGGGGTTGGTCCAGCTGCCCAAAAGAAATCTTTGAAGCCCATGCTGACCAGTATCTAGAGTCCAGGACAACAGTTCTATTTACTGCCATACAACACAATAATGCTCACCCAACTTTTATAATCACCACCCTGATTCCAAAACACTCTATGAATAAATGATCATTTGAAAGTTGATAGCTAATGATTAGAGATGGGAGTCAATGACTAGTGAAAAGCTGAAAAACTATGTTATGCATGGTATTCATAATAGCGTAGAAATACTAAAAACAGGTTAACTCTTACAAAGTTACAAAATCACAGCAAAGATATTAAAATAGCACATTACCTTAATGGTACAAGCAATTTCAATTCACCTTAATGAATTTCTTTCTCATGATATTTAATGTACCCCAGATTCTTTTCTAACATTATTTAATTACTACATGAATTCTAAGAAACACTTTAGATCTAGTAAATAATACATCTTGGAAAGATCTAAGTGAATAAATAATACATCTACAAAGATTCAGAAAAATTGAGAATATTCTGTCCATCTGCATGAAGTAATCAGTAGTTCATGCTAGTGGATGACACACAAAAAGGTAAACCATGAAGCCACTTCTCCCAAGTGGCAGGATGGCAGAACACGAATGTCATGGCCCAGGTGAGGCTTACATGCTCTGTCACTACTTTGCTTTTCCAGCAAAATGTATCCTATTCTGCTGTTTGTTTTATACCATTTTCCATCATACTTGTCTATGTACTTGACAAGCAATCAAATGTAATTTTTAATTGCTTTTTAGTCACTAGAATTGCCCATATACGTGACTTCATTTCCCAATAAATGTCTGTAAATCTGTGTCTTTTATGTTCAAAGTAATCCTTTCCCCTAAAATCAACTATGAATTAACTTTCAATGCCTCTGTGTAAAAAAAGTACATAAGACTGTTTCCAACAAAATCAGGGGGCAGCATAAATAGCTGCAATGTGTTAATGAGACAATAACACCACTGACTGCCCACTGCACACTGAACAATTTACACCCTCATCTCATTTAATTTCCTCAATGACATCAGGATTATCCAACAAGGGCAGTCATGTGTCTCAGCAGGTGTATGAAAACCTGTAATGAGGAGTCCAGGAATGGTCAATATTTGGAAATCCAACTAGCCAGGCCAGCAATGGCCTCAGTTTTCTGAGGTTTGCGCTTTGTGAAATAAGCCTGCAGAATAAACCCAGTTGTCCAGCAGTTTCAGCTACCTACTTCTATTCACTTGTGGCTCTACTAGCAAAAGTATTAAAGGATTATGGACATCTTTCCAAAGGCAGTGTACTAGCTAAAGGCACAGAAAGAAGGAGAGAATGAGGCTGGATGGGCTTACTGGGGGCATAACTCATCGTGAGGTTTCCTGATCTGGGTGAGGGATGATGTGTGTGGTATATACTGGATGTGGTATTTCCTTTCTTTTTTCTTAGGTGGATTAAGAGCTGTTTCGTCAGGCCGGGCACGACAAAACAGGGATCACGCCTGTAATCCCAGCACTTTGGGAGGCCGAGGCAGGTAGATCACAAGGTCAGAAGATTGAAACCATCCTGGCTAACATGGTGAAACCCCGTCTCTACTAAAAATACAAAAAATTAGCCGGGCGTGGTGGCAGGCGCCTGTAGTCCCAGCTACTCGGGAGGCTGAGGCAGGAGAATGGCATGAACCCAGGAGGCAGAGCTTGCAGTGAGCCGAGATCACACCAGTGCGCTCCAGCCTGGGCGACAGAGCGAGACTCCATCTCAAAAAAAAAAGAGCTGTTTTGCCTCTGCATCTTCACAACACAGCCTAAAACAGCCTCAAACACAGCCTAAAACAGCACTTTAGGAGGCCAAGGTGGGTGATTACTGGAGCCCAAGAGCTCAAGACTAACCAGGGCAACATGGTGAAACCTCATCTCCACAAAAAATACAAATCAATAAACAAATTAGGTGGGCATGCCGGTGTGTGCTTGCAGTCCCACCTACTCTGGAGGCTGAGGTGGGAGGATTGTTTGAGCCCAGGAGGCAGAGGCTGCAGTGCCACTGCACTTCAGCCTGGGTGACAGAGCAAGAGCCTGTCTCAAAAAAAACAACAACAGCAAAAGATGAACATACGTGCATGTTTATATAATATATAGGTAGATGATATTAGTGTAACTGTATAACACTATGTGAAAAATGAAGCTTTAGTCCCCTTGGAACACACAGGTGAGTATGACTTGTTCCCTGCTTCAAGGGGCTGGTGATCTAGCAGAGATCACAGATGTGGAGCAGGTAAACTAACAAGATAGGCAATGCAACAGGTGCCAGGCCTGTGGAGGCCCAGAGAGGTTGCACCCAGATGGATGAGTTTCCTAGATTTCATTAGCTTCTTCACAAGCGCTTTAGTGCCCAAAGCCAAAGGACAAAGTAAGAGGGAGGAGCATGGAGAGGCCCACAGCAGGAGGACTTACGGGAGATGGGACTGAAGACGAAGTGGTTTCGTGTCCTTCAAATTAGATTGTCTAGGTACTTGTCTTTCCCCTCCACGTAAGATGACTCATTCTTAGTATATTCATGTGTAAAACTGCTTTGGATTTTAGGTACATGGAAGACCAGGATCATGTCACACTAGTGTGTATTGCACAGCATATGACATAGAACTATGTTGAAACAGTGCTTAGCACATGACTTTTGGAGACGACAGAGATATGACCAGGCAGAACTGTCCTCAGGTCAATTTCTAAAGTGCATGAGAGTACTCTGGTTCCCCCAGCCCATCCTCTTGCCTTCTTGTACTCATTCTCCCCCGTCCCTTGGCCCCTCTCTATGTTGCCTTTTAGCTTCTCAGAGCCTCCTTGCTTTGGGTCTCACCCAGACCTGACACCTTTGCCGAGACCTCTCTAAATTAGCCTTTCGTCCCCTCTCCTACCTGTCAAACTGCTCTCTCATCTATCCACCAAGGGGAGGGCTATGTTGTTAAACTAACACTAATGTATGAAAGCCCACATTGCTAGCTAACACTTGTACTATCTCATAAAAGTTAATTTTTAAAAGAGGTGCTTTCAAATTTCAATAAGCAAAGGCTACAGCTGAGATTATTTTCTTTTTGCTTTCCTGGCCTCTGAAGTTATGCTTTCAGGAAACTGCTTTCTGTCTAAGTGTTAACCCAAGCTGGCCCTTAGATGCATTTGTTATGTTCAAGTGCCCTCTGGAGGCAAAAATAGTCTCCTGTTAGATAAAAGACATGCCTGCCAATGACCCACAAATTACTGGCCCCTGTGCTGTGGGGTCCATTCATTCCCGTCTTTGTGCATTCCCAGCACAGCCCTGCCTCAGGGCCTTCAGCTTAGGCATGGAAAATTCTTTGGCCTGGAATAGCTGTCCCAAAGACTGTCCCATGACTGATTCCTTCATACCATCCACTTCAGCTCAGCAGTGCTTTCTCAGCCGTGCACCGCATCTAGCCAAGTCGACCTTCCCATTCTGTCATGTAGCGCTGTTTCCTTGTCTTCCGGCACTCAGCACTATCTGAAATAATCTTCCATTCACTCAACACGTTCATCAAGTGCCTGACCTAGGCCCTGTCTCATGCACTTGGGATAGATCAAGGTACAAATGCAACAAGTTCCCTGCCCTGGCGGAACGTACAGGTCTTGGGAATCACATTGTTTCCTTTTTCATCATCAGCCTCCCCGCTGGAATGTAAGCTCAGTGAGAGTAGGGATCCCTCATCGAGGGGGCAGCCTCATTTACTACCTTATCCCAAGAGCCTGGAACTGTGCCTGGTACATCCTTCATGGTCAATCAATATTTGTGGAATGAATAAACAAATGTTTATATTAGCCAGGCACAATGGCTGAGGTGAGAGGTTAGCTTGAGGCCAGGAGTTGGAGACCAGCCTGAGCAACATAGTGAGACCTCTGTCTCATGAAGAAATTTTTTTAAGTTTATATTTTCTATCAGGATACACAACTAACATTTTAAACTTATTTTGCTGTGACAAAGTTCATTCATTCCATTATCACAAGTCTACAAAATGAGACAAACTGTATACCTCATTATTATTCAAATGATCAATAACAACCATAGTTAGCATTTATTGACCACTAAGTATTAGACACTATAATAGTGCTTTATTTGTATTTTCTCATCTTCACAAAATTTCCTGAGGCAAGTAACACCATTTTTCACTTTTAAGATGAGAAATTTGAGGCTTACAGGAGCTTCTCACTATCACAAAGTCATCAGGTGGGAGAGCCAGCTTTTGAGGACCGGACAGTCGACCCAGAGTCCATGCTGTCAGCCTCCTCCACACAGCTACGTTCACATCAGGAAGTCTGTATTACTCAGCGGCTCCCTCTACCATCCTCTAAAGAAATCCTGCACTCTCTTAGCAGGGCCTGTGAGACCCCTCAAGATCAGCCCTGCCTCCTTCGCTAGTCTCCTTCCCATTACCTCTCCTCCCACCCTGACGGGAGCCCCTGCAGCTCCCAGACACGGCCATGCCTTCCCCCACCTCCTTGCCATCCAATGCTGCGTTTCCTTCTTCCTCCCTGCCTAACTCCTACTCCTACTTCAAGGCTCAGCTCTTGCCCCAAGCTCTAGAACCTTTCCTGGTCCTCTGGGCTGGGTTCTGTGCCCATGCTCTACTGCTCCCAGCCCCCTGTGCCTGGCTTTGTGATTCTCAGTGAACGAAATGAGGTGCGGCTTTTCATCTCCAAATTTCTGGTGCTTAATTGGAACAGAGAGATTGACTAAATACTTTGAATGACAGAGCATTTAAGAATTGGCCATGTTTTACAAATTTAGGCACAGTGAGGCAAACAATCCCATTGTAAATAAGAGGGTTAGTGCTGGGCACGGTGGCTCACACCTGTAATCACAGCACTTTGGGAGGTTTAGATGGGAGGATTGTTTTGAGGCCATGAGTTTGAGAACAGCCTGGTCAATATAGTGAGACCTCCTTCTCTACAAACAAACACACAAACAAAATAATTAAAAATTAGCCAGGCAGGGTGGCACAGGCCTGTGGTCTCAGCTACTTAGGAGGCTGAGGTGGGAGGATCATTTGAGTCTCGGAGCTCAAGGCTGCAGTGAGCTATGGTCACGCCACAGCACTCCAGCCTGGGTGACAGAGCAAGACCTTGTGTCTTAAAAAAATTAAAAAAGGTTAGAATGTGGCCCATGGAAGTCCTCAAAGGTACAATCGCATGAAGCTGAGAAGCAGCAGCATGGAGCAGGGGGTACTCAAAGCATCAACTGGCAGAACCAGATCTTTCCTCTCATTCCCACCCCAAGAGACTTTTCCGATTCATCCAGCTGGAAGCAGAGAGGCTAGGATTTCCCTCTCAGGTGTCTGATCCAGAGCTTGCATGCTAATCTCTAAGGCAATGGCATCTCAACTCTGCTGGACCTTTATTTGTGTGTCCTTTCAATGGTTATATTTGCCTGTGTTTGCCCAGAATAACTAATTTAATGAAAGCATTTTAAAAAGATGTTTATAAATGGCTAAATATCTAGTGATAGGTGCCATACAAATATTTAGATACCAACGGTCTAAATCCAGATTATTTTTACTGGGGGAACCATTATTAATGTAATTATAAAATAGTACATTGTGGAAATGTACACACAAGAGAGAAGGAGAGAGAGAAGAGAAAGAGAGAGAAGCTGCATACACTTGCTATTTCACAACAATGATGCAATCCAACAGTTTACAAAGATAATTCCTTTAGACAGATACTGACTAAAACTCACCAGGGGCAGGGCCCTGGGCCCAGCAAGGAGTTAATCACAGCTCCTGGGCCTCAGCAGGGAACACTGAGTAAGATACAGGTACTTGCCCTTGCTGGGCTTGATAGCTCACAACTGTAATCCCAGTGCTTTGGGAGGCCAAAGCAAGAGGATTGCTTGAGACCAGGAGTTCAAGAGCAGCCTGGGCAACATGGCAAAAACCCATCTCTACAGAAAAATACAAAAATTAGCTGGGGGTGGTGGCGCACGCCTGTAGTCCCAGCCATTCAGGACACGGACATGAACCTGGACCCAGGAGTTCGAGGCTGCAGTGAGCTGTGATCATGCCACTGCACTCAGGCCTGGGTGGCACAGCAAGACTCTGTCTCAAAAAAAAAAGTATTTTCCCTTGAGGTTGGAGCCACAAGGACCATGAGTTTAGCAGGGGCTCCTGCTGGCTGCACCAAGCAACTCTCCCAACACTCACTGCTCTCTTCTGCAGAAACAAACTGCTTCCATTTCCCCAAACATGCTCTGCCGGTTCACACCTCTGTGCCTTTGCATGTTTCCTCTGACTGGGATGCTTGGTCCATGCAGAGTGGACATGTGTCATGTTTTTTGGCTGCCTAGCATTGTTTGAAAACCCCGGCTATGTTCTGGGGATTTCCTAACACACGAGTGAGTCCTACCTCTCCAAGGCAGTTGCCAGAGATCCCAGTCAGCCAGGCTTCTATGCAGAGCAGGGTACAGGCACATGACCCAGCCTCCCTCCATCAGCTGCATCTACATGAGATACCAACTTAGAGATAAGCAATCCAAGGCAGTGGACGCAGTGTGTAAGTGATGTACCGGGCAAAGCTGGTAACGCAGGCACACAGCTTTGGAGGAGCAAAGGATACTGGGCTGTGGCCCTGGTATGAGAAGGGGCAGCATCACAAACCATCACATCCAGAGCTCTAGGGGGGCAGCAGCAGTGGTTTCCACTGCAGGCCAGGACTGCAGTGGGCATAGGGCCTTGGTGCAGGAAGCTATTCACGGCATTCCACCTCCCCATCCAGCAAGCAGAAGAGTCACTCTACAACCTTTTAATCCTTTTAATCAATCTCTTCTGTGCTTCTGTTGATTACAACTAAGAGCCTGGCTTAGTTGCAACTCTCCTGGCCCCTGGAGTAGATGATACACCAACTACATTCATCCTCTTAACAAAGGGCCAGATGCCATTTATGTTGGCACAGAGGTCTCCTGTGGGCCTCCCCTGAAACTTCTATTCCATCCCTCATTCATTCCCTCCAGGGATGCCCCCCTACCCACATGCCTCTTGCTGCATACCCACCCCTGAATTATAGTTCCTGGTTTCTTCCTCCTCTGCTTGGACAATGATTTCTGTTCTTTTCTTTTTTTTTTTTTGAGATTGAGTCTCACTCTGTCACCCAGGCTGGAGTGCAGTGGCGCGATCTCAGCTCACTGTAAGCTCTGCCTCCTGGGTGCACGCCATTCTCCTGCCTCAGCCTCCCAAGTAGCTGGGACTACAGGCACCCGCCACCACACCTGGCTAATTTTTTTTGCACTTTTAGTAGAGACGGGGTTTCACTGTGTTAGCCAGGATGGTCTCGATCTCCTGACCTTGTGATCCACCTGCCTTGGCCTCCCAAAGTGCTGGGGATTAGAGGCGTGAGCCACCGCGCCCGGCGACAGTGATTTCTTTGAGGCTAGCCATTGGCTCTTTCACTTCTGCATTTCCAGCAGTTAGTTTGGGTTGACAGCATCCAGCACAGGATAGGTGCTAAAGGGAAGTTTGTCATGGATAGGAAGGGATGCTCCAATTTGGCTTCTGAGAACCAGGAATCAGAAACAGGTGCTCTCGGGTGGCTGCGTCTAACATAGATTTCAGTGAATGGCAGGGATTTCAACAAGCAGAATTGGTTGGGATCATCCTGCCCATATTGACATGTAATTTGCTTTTTAAAAATTATCATAACCCTCAGCGTTTTTCCATAACCTTAATATGCTGTAGGAGACATTCTCAGTTGCCTAACAACACTTCCCTCACCCTTCTTTTTTTCAGGTGTGAGTGGTGATGTTTCAGGGAAGGTGGTCCCTTCCCACAGCCCCAAGGGGATGAGTCCTCATTGCTCTAAACCAGGGATTGACAAACTACAGCCTGCTAACCAAATCTGGCCTACCACCTGTGTTTGTATGGCCTCATACCATACAAAATGCTTTTTACACTTTTAATTCGCTGGAAAAAGAACCAAAAAAAATGCTTTGTAAGAGGTAAAAAATATATGAAATTCAAATTTCAGTGTCCACAGTGACATTGGAACACAGGCATATGTATTTGTTTCCAGTGTCTCTAGCTGCTTTGGCTCTACAAGAGCAGAGCTGACTAGATGTGACATGGACCCCATGCCCTGCAAAGCCTGAAATATTTACTGGCTGGTCCTCTTCAGAAGAACTTTGCTGACCCTATTCTCAAGCGATCATGCTAACACCAGTCTCCTCTGAGTGTTGATTTTTGGGAGGAGTATGAGACCCATTTCTAAGCCAATGAAACACAAGGGGAAGCCTGACAGAGGGCTGCTGGGAAAGATTGTTTTCTCTGATGAGAGGAAGATATGTGAGTGTGCTTCCTTCCTGCCTTTGGATGTTGCATGTGCGGATGTGATAGGCAGAGCTGTGGCAGCCATCTTGCAGTCATGAGGGAAAGGCTAAGAGACTTACAGAGAAGCTTCCCCAGATACTCTTGAGCTGTTAAATTAATCAGCTCTGGAAACTCCTACTTCTAGAATTTTTTAATTCTAGAATTTAAATTTCTAATCAGCAGCCAAGAACATGTAATGGGAACTAAAATTGCATAATCAAAAGGAAGTTTTCTTCTTTCTTGGTTTTTTTTTTTTTTTTTTTCCCAGATGGAGTTTCGCTCTTGTCGCCCAGGCTGGAGTACAATGGAGCGATCTCAGCTCACTGCAACCTTGGCCTCCCAGGTTCAAGCGATTCTCCTGCCTCAGCCTCCCAAGTAGCTGGGATTACAGGCACCCGCCACCATGCCCGGCTAATTTTTTTTTTTGTATTTTTAGTAGAGACGGGGTTTCACCATGTTGGCCAGGCTGGTCTTGAACTCCTGAAATCAGATGATCCACCAGCCTGGGCCTCCCAAAGTGCTGGGATTACAGGCATGAACCCCCGTGCTGGGCCCCTCTTCTTTCTTATTAACTAAAAATACATTTGAGTCAGAGATGTTTTATGCTCTTGATCTATTTGCAACCCCAATTAACTCACTTTGTTAAAACACGCCCCACGTGGTGTCAGGACCAGGGATACATTTTGTGAAATTATTTCTCCTTTTAGTGTCATTAACCAGTGCATTATGGAATTCTGTAGAATAGCAAATGCTCGCTTTTCCATGCAGCCATTCTGTCTGTCCTCTCACCTCTGACCCACATCACACCTGCCACCCATCACAAAGCCAGTTGCATTGAAGTCTCTGACTTGTGCAATCCCCAGTGTAGCAAACAGTCACCTGGAGCAGAGAGGTCAGTGTGTTGACATGTTTGCTGTCTGGAGCCTACATGTAAAATGCTCTTGAGTTGAGCTACCTCTATAGAGAGCAGTGATCCATGTCCCTAAAATGCTGTTCTCAAGAGGCCATAGGATCCCTAGGAAATTACACTCGGAACAAAGTTTGCAAGGACACTTTCTTGATTTAGTGCCAACCAGGTGATTTTGAAATCAGTTCTCTGAGCATCTGAGAGATAGGAAGCATTTTAACATCAGTATCTTCATTTCTCTTCCTAAAATAAAGACAGCAGAAAGAGCACCGTTGTGGGGGATTTTAAGCTGCTGAGGTGATTTTTATAAAATACTGTGGAAGGAGATCTATCCCGAAAGAAAGAACTTCCAGTTCTTGCAGCTCTCTTGCTTTTAACAAGAATCTCTGGGAGGGAGCACCACACAGTGTAGCGGCTGAGCACCTGACCTTCTGAGTTGGACAGAACTTTATTGAGTCCCCGCTCTTCTCTTCACACCTGTGTAACTTTGGGGAGTGACCTGGCCTCTCTAAGCCTTGGTTTCTCCCTCATCCTCATTCTTCCTGGCCATTGGGCTAGGCAAGAGGACACAGCAAGTAAGTTGGACAGTGGACAAATGGATGAGAGTTTGTGCAAAAAAAGAGGTAACTTTGTAGATTAGGGATTAAAAACCTGAGCAAAATTCAGATTGTTTCTTATAGAACAAATTGAGGCTGATGGTTGCAAAGGGGAGGCGTAGAGAGGAGAAATGTGGAAGGCTCGGCAATGATGAGAGTTTGGAACAGCCCTTGAGGACAGGAGAGGAAGGGGCTCAAGGAAGACAAGACAAAGCATTAGGCTGGGGCCCAATGGCTTGCAGAAAGTACCAAGCGCCCTGCACGGTGGATTCTTCCAGCAGACTGAGCACAGGGGGTTCAGAGGAGCTGGTAATGCAGTCATACTGTGGCTGGGGTTTACAAAAGGTTAAGTGACTCACTAAAGGTCACACAGGGACATTTACACAAACATCCTGGCCCCAAGTCCAGTGCTCTAATCTGTAACCGGGTCTATCCTTTTTTTTTTTTTTTTTTTTTTTTTTTTTTTTGAGACAGGGTCTTGGTCAGTCACACAGGCTGGAGTGCAATGATGTGAACACCGCACACTGCAGCCTCGCCCTTCCAGGCTCAAGTGATCCTCCTGCCTCGGCCTCCCAGTGTTGGGATTATAGGCATGAGCCACCATACTCAGCCAAGTCTGTCCTTAATCAGGGTTCTTTTGGGTCTCATTTTCTTAAGCTGCAAAAGCCACTGGACCAGCTGATACTGCCAACCCCTCTAGGCTGCTGTAACTGTAGTTTCGGCTCCTGGATCTGCTTCCAATTAGTTATGTTCCCTGTCACTTTGGGTAAGTCATCCCAGCTCCACGGCTTGCTTCTGGAACTCAATTATGGTCCAGAAGCCCAAGTTCTAAAGTGCTGATTCTGATGAGTGCCCATTTACCAGGCACTCTGATCCCATCATAGCATCTACTATAGCCTGGGAGGTCTATTCATGTGTGCATTCATGTTAAGCACTATCACCAATCAAATCACTTAAATTGCATAGGTAATAATCCAACAGCACATCCAAACAAGGCTGAAAGTTGTAAAAGAAAATTACACTCTGTGTGTGTGTGTGTGTGTGTGTGTGTGTGTGTGTGTAAGAGACAAGATCTCTCTCTGTCACCCAGGCTGGAGTGCAATGGTGCCATCATAGCTCACCGTGGCCTCCAATTCCTGGCCTCAAGCAATCCTCCTGCCTTGGCCTCCCAAATAGCTAAGACTATAGGCATGTGTCACCACGCCCTGTTTAAGGAAGAAAATTGTGTTGAAAATGAAAATCAATACACAAAGGCTGAACCAAAACAATAGGAGGGCAGTGGCTGCGTGTTATGTTGAGTGGCTGTCTCAAGTAGACCAAGACTCTTCTGACCCTTTGTCTTAGGGCATTAAAGAAAATTACTCTGGGCAGGCCGGGCGCGGTGGCTCATGCCTGTAATCCCAGCATTTGGGAGGCCGAGGCAGAAGGATCACTTGAGGTCAGGAGTTCGAGACCAGTCTGGCCAACATGGTGAAACCCCGTCTCTACCAAAAATATAAAAAATTAGCAGGGTGTGGCCAGGCACGGTGGCTCACGCCTGTAATCCCAGCACTTTGGGAGGCTGAGGCGGGCGGATCACAAGGTCAGGAGATCGAGACCATCCTGGCTAACACGGTGAAACCCTGTCTCTACTAAAAATACAAAAAATTAGCCGGGTGTGGCGGCGTACGCCTGTAGTCCCAGCTGCTGCGGAGGCTGAGGCAGGAGAATGGCGTGAACCCGGGAGGCGGAGCTTGCAGTGTGCCGAAATCGCGCCACTGCACTCCAGCCTGAGCGACAGAGTGAGACTGTGTCAAAACAAAAAGAAAAAAAAGAAAAAGAAAAGAAAAGAAAATTACTCTGGGCAAACAACAGCTTCCTTGAATACTTTCACTTGTTTAATAAAATGTCAGAGAACCACAGATAGAACCTATAATTCCTTAGGGACTACAAGATCAGAGCTGACAGTGTTACGGTTTTCATCAGTGCATTTACAGAAATGGCATCAGATGGATTTCCTTTGGAGAAGGGGATTGGGAAATGCTTTTTTTTTTTTTTTAAACTGGTAATAAAAGAATCTACTTTCCATCTTTACAATTCCAGTATTTTCATACTTAATTTTAACTTACAGCCTTGAATCCCGAGTATAATTTTGTACTCAAATATAAGTTATAATTAAGGACTTGGCCGCCCAACAAGGTCAAATTAACTAAAAACTTAAGTCCTCCCAATCACTGATATTCCCAGCCCCTAGCCCTCATCCCCAGCCCAGCGGACTAACTAGGGTCCGGCCTCAGAAAGGGTCTCGGGGAGCCCAGAGGTAGGAAAGCACCCGGAGACGCAGGCCTCCGCCTTCTCCAGGGTCTGCAGGCAGCGCTGCGCGGGGTCGCCGACTGGGCTGGGCTGGGCTGGGCTGGGCGCGCCGCGGCCTGGCGCCCACTTCCGCTCCTCGGCAGCTGCGGAGCGCCCCGGGCGGAGGGAGAGGGGCGCGGGGCGGGCCTCGGCGCCCAGGCGGCGTGACCTTCCCGGGCGTCCAGGGAAGCGGCGAGAGCTGCCACGCACGTGCCGCGGGACCCGCGCGCCGCCCAGGGATGGCCCGCCGGGGTCGCTGGAGAATCTCAGGGTCATCGGCCTCCTTCCCCCAGTGCCTACCTGGTGGGAACTGTTGTCCTCCTTTGCCCCCAAGTCGTGTCATTTGGCCGCGGGCTTCCGCGCCGCCAGGGCGCCATCGCTGGGCAGCACGGAGCCGCTTCTGAATGGAGACTTGCAGGCTGCCAGACAGTGGGCGGCTGGGCAGGGGCGGCGAGCGTTCAGGGCCGGGCAGAGAAAGTGGGAAATGTCTCCTTAACCTGTTCCTTGCGAGGCCGGGGAGGAGGCGCGCCTGTCCGGGTTCCTTGGCGGCAAAACTGGTTTGCATCCGGGCGCCCTAAAGCCCGGGCTCTGGGGACTAGATGGCGAGCTGGCCGGCAGCTCCTACCGCCCCAGCTTTAGCCAGAAGCTGGGATCTTCCCGCAGCAGTTAGTGTTCCCTGGTGGAAAATGCGGCCTCATCTGACTCTACCGTCCAAAAAAGTTTTTTCCCCAAGGATCGAGAAGGACGGGTGGTCAGCGCTGTTGTTTTCTCAATCGAACCCTGGTGTAGTGTGAGAGGGATCAAAGGCGCTGAAGAGTTTTTCTATTCCAAGTGCTACAGCAAGCTCATAAATCAGTTCTAATTCATGCTGAACAGTCTTGCCTCCTCCAAGCCCTGTTTCTTCTCCCAGCTAGAGCTACACATAACCTGAATTAACCCGTTAACTACCCACTCCTGAGTGAATCTGTTAGTACCCACCATTGTTTTCTATCTTAATAATTCCAGAAGTGGTTATTTGTAGAATTTAATGTGTTTAAGTTTGGCTCACCTAACGGGGTTGAATTCACACGGGCAGACAGAATGCAATGTGATGTGACTTTCATTCCTTCCAAGTTACAAAGGAAGTGGCTGCGCCAAAAGAAACAAACGCATTGAGGTTTATCTGGGAGGCCAGACTGGACATGCCCTGTCTTCTCAGTTGCCTTTGTTTTTTTCCTTCCTCCTTTTTCCTTTTTTTTTTTTTTTTCCTAAAATGCAGGGTTGGGTGTTTTGTGATGTTTTTGCCCAGGTTGGAATACTCGGATCAAGTATTGGTTTGTAGGCACAGACCTGAAGGACAGGACTGAACTGGCTCCTCTGTCACTGACTAGTTGTGTGGCCTAGGAGACCTTGTCTTGCTCTGGCCTTAGTTTGCCTTCTGGAAAAGGATTAGGACCCTGATATACTTTTTTAGGAAGATACCAGATGGCCATCACCTTTTCAGCCTAGTAAATGGTCCTGTCTCTCCAGGTCTATCAACAGCATATAAATCAGTGTCTTGCACTTCTAACTTAGCTGCTTTGTTAAGTACTGTGCCTTTGTTGCCATTGGTTTTAAATTTTTTTTGTAAATTAAGGAAGATTCTTGAAGTCTGGTCATTGGCAAAATGCTTCAAGTAGTTAAAAAATCTTCTCGGTGGCCACTGTTTTCTGTTGACGTTCAGGATGACACTGGTGTTAGGAAGTCACTTGGTGTTCATCTCTGATCCAGCACGACTGGGGTCACGCGGCTCCTCAGTGCGATGACAAATAAATTGTTCCTTATTATTCACAAAGAAGTTACTTGAAAATTATACAGGATTGGTTGTTGAACTGGATATTTTAGTCAACATTTATGAAACCCATGCCTCAGCAATAGTTGACTTTTGTCTAAAGGGAGAGGAATACATTCTAGTTTTCCCAAATGCCCAAGGCTCCAACCGAAACATACTGAATCAAGATTTCCAGAAGAAAGGCCTGATAATTAGAATATTTAATACGTGCTCCAGGCTGGGCAAGGTGGTTCACACTTGTAATCTCAGCACTTTGGGAGGCTGAGGTGGGTGGATCACTGAAGGTCAGGAGTTCAAGACCAGCCTGGCCAACATGGTGAAACTCCGTCTCTACTATAAATATAAAAATTAGCCTGGTGCAGTGGCATGCACCTGTAATCTCAGCTACTTGGGAGGCTGAGGCAGGAGAATCACTTGAACTCCGGAGGTGGCAGTTGCAGTGAGCTGAGATCGTGGCCGTTGCACTCCAGCCTGGGCGACAGAGCCAGACTCCATCACAAAAAAAAAGGGGGGGGGTGGGGGGTGCTTCAGGTTATCAAGCAAATTTGGACACAATGACCGAGGTGTTGTATTTCAAAGTGTGAGTCCGTGGACTGGCATTGTCCATCTCACTCGGGAGCTCATCAAGACGCCAAATCTCTGGTCCCATCCGAGGCTATTGAATCAGAAGCTGCATTTTATTTAGCAAGGCCCCCAGGCGACTCCTGTGCACATTGACAGTTGAAGGGCTAGTGGACTGTGGTCACAGGAAGATGCTTGGTGCTCTGTGCAGGGCCTTGTTCTGAGAACACATGATGCTTGTGCACAGTGGAGCATCCCATCAGTCTCATGTGGCTATTTGCGACTGCCTTTGTTTTGTAATAGTGTTATTATTTGCCTTGTACAGATGAGGACTCCCAGCTGTAGAGGCCAAAGGGGCCACAGGTAGAGGAGGCATTCACACCAAGGCGTGTGTGATTCCAGGGTGCAGCTCTCACCCTTGGCTGCCTGAGTGCTCCTTTCCAGACCTACTGTCTTGTGACATCCCCTTAGGCACCCAGCACAGGCTGCTGTCTGATTTTAGAACTGAGCCTATTCAATTGATAGCTCAACTTAGGCCTGTAAAAACAGTCTGCTGTGGTTTGGTACATCTGTGGTTGGCTTGTTTGGTGTTCATTTTACAGTTTTCAGAAAGGTTGGTTGAAGTGCTATTGGTGACAATAGCATTGATACGCAGGGAAGCTTTTTGATCTGTGACCTTTTTAGGGGGCAGTCACTTGCTAAGCTGCACTGATACTTTGAGCCCGTTTCCTTTGCAGCAATGTAGAGCCCAGTTCATGGATCCCAGAAGTTTAGGTTCAGTAATTTGGCTGCAGGCCTAGAGAACGGGAGGCTGCAGAGACTTGGACTAATGGTGAACTCTTGCCTCCCCCCAGGATATGTGGTGCCTGTCATAAGGTCCAGCGAGCTGCCTTCCACGAGACCAGCAGAAGAGTGGGCAAACGTGAAGTCCAGTCCTGCTGCCCAGGCTGCCATTGACCTCACGGCGGGGGCTGCAGGTACAGTCATGCGCTGCATAAACATGTTTCTGTCGGTGATGGACGGTGTATGTGGTCATGGTCCCATGAGATTATATCACCATATTTTCACTATACCTTTTCTGTGTTTAGATATGTTTAGATACACAAATACTTACCACTGTGTTACAGTTGCCTACAGTATTCAGTACTGTAACATGCTGCACAGGTGTGTAGCCTAGGAGCAGTGGGCCATACCGTACAGCCTAGGTGTGGAGTAGGCTATGCCACCTAGGGTCGTGTGTGTATGCTCTATGATAACACAATGACGAAATTGTGTAACGACGCATTTTTCAGAACACGTCCCAGTCACTAAGTGATGCCTAACTATAATCCCAGAGAAAACCCAGTCCTCTTTATTCCTCAAGCACCTTCTAAATGAGATCAAATGAAAGTAGTATGAAAATATTACCTTTCATCCGGGTGCAGTGGCTCACGCCTGTAATCCCCGCACTTTGGGAGGCCGAGGCGGGTGGATCACTTGAAGTCAGGAGTTCGAAACCAGTCTGGCCAACGTGGTGAAACCCCGTTTCTACCAAAAAATACTAAAAAGTAGCCGGGCATGGTGGCAGGCACCTGTAATCCCAGCTACTTGGGAGGCTGAGGCAGGAGAATCGCTTGAACCCGGGAGACGGAGGTTGCAGTGAGCCGAGATCGCGCCATTGCACTCCAGCCTGGGCAACACAGCAAGACTCAATCTCAAAAAAAAAAAAAAAAAGATACTACCTTTCTCCTTCCAGAAGCAATGTGCTTTACCTTTGGGATGAATCCATTTGATGCATAGTGTAGTGTTGTTCAAAGCATGGCAGAAGACAGAGTAGTGTCCATTATTATTAACACCTTGTGAGTCAGGGTGAGGGGTGGAATGTGCCCAGTACTGCTGGAATACAGCTCAGAGATGAAGCCCCTTGTCCATTGTCACCTGACTGGGATAGGCAGGTGATGTGGTTCTTCACTTCAAGCCTGGCAGTCTTCAGAACCCTTGTAGTGCAAAAATAACACCATACAGTCCCTCCCAGGAAACGCCACTTACTGTCCTTACTAGTGTTGGGAAAGAAAGGAGGACATTCTTAGAAATGTCTTTAAAAATGAGACTGATAATGGACTGTGTCTTAGAGCCATGAAAGGAAAGGAGAAGTTGTAGGATTTGCTGGGAATGTCAACTAACCAGAGCCTAGTGGCCTGAGCCCAAGGGCAGGCTGAAGCTTCCTTGGCACAGGAGGGTGCTGCCTGTGATACGGGGGGCAGTGCTGGCACCATGCAAGCTACTCCTTAGAAAGATCAGCTTGAATATGCAGGAAGAGCAGGACCCTCGGCTGAGGCACATGGCGGAATGGGAAGTGCATGGTGGTAATTTAGTTCTCCAGAGTTCTTGTTGTCTTGGGACCAGGAGGCACGGTTGGAATGCCGATTGCCCAAAGGGAAACCGTGGACTACTATGGCCTCCCACAGAATTCCCATAGTGGTTGCAGCTCCCTGGACTGGGGAGGCCAGAGGGGGCGTTGCCCAATGCTCTCCTTATCCAGGACACCCCCTACCCACCACCACCAAAGATGAGTATGGTCATGAGTGTGGCCACCTCTCATCCAGTCATTAGCTCAATTGGGAAAAGAAATTGTTGCTCAGAGAAGAGCAAAGTGTTTTTCTATGAGCCAAAGTTTGGCCAAGGTATGCTAATGAGGAGCACTAGAGAGAATGCCTCACAAACACTGATAAGGAGCACTGGGAAGGGCACTTCTCCCAGGACAGAGCTCACAAGGAGTGTCCTGGCCCCAGAAGCAGGAGAACCGAAGGCTGGCAGGAGTCTGCCCAGTAGTCTCTGCAGTGCCCAGTAGGCACTGCGTGCCTTCAGGCTACAGCCTCCCAGGCCCTGTGCCCCATCTTCTGCCCCACACCACACTGGGGAGGAGGCTGACCCTGAGAATGGTGCAACCATCTGCCTGCCCCTGGGCGCCTCTCACCAGCAGGTGAATGCTGTTGGGCTCAGTTCTGTCTGCAGTAGGAGGGTGTTTAGCCACATGAGAGAGTCTCACCTTTGACATTTTATATCCTTCAGTCAGTCTATCAAAGATCTAGAATTTATAGTGATAGAATTAAAAAGTTTACCTTTTCCTACTTATGGGCATACAGGTATTTGGGTGCCATCTTTATAATTTACAATTAGTTTGAAAGATAGAAATTGCAACCGTATGGTTGGGAGCCTGGTATGTAAGGCATTTGCTGGTGGGCATGTTTTGAACATGTATTGGGCCTTTATACATACTGTCACTTAACTGTTCCCATCACCATTGGACAGGTATTTCTCCCTGTGCTGGCAACACAGGCACACCCCTCACCAAGGTAGAGCTGCCACAGGTAGTCTAACTCCAGAGAACAACAAACCCCTTTGCTGGGGGGAAGGGATGGGAGGAGGAACAAGACTTGAGAGGCGGCTGGGCAGAGGACACAGAAACCTCCGTTCTACTGTGAGGCCCGAGGAATGCAAATGGAAAGTAGGACTCCCACTTATGAGATCTTGTAGAAAAGAGGCCCAGAGAATGGGCAGTAGATTTGTTCAAGGTTATACAGCTAGATGGTGTGAAGACAGGGCAGCACTGTGGTCCCTGGGTCCCTTGTCTGATGTTGTTGCCGTCTCTGCGTTAGTGCTCCCTAATGGGTCTGTGGTGTGCCCGGATGTAAGGGTTGGTTTGGAGCATTTCCAGCCTGGCTCTCTGGACGTGGAACTTGCTGGACTTTGGGATTTTTCTGTCAGCCATTGATAGGAGCAGAGTGTTGTTGTGTTTTGTGGCAGAAACCACCCATGGAAGTGATCGACTGTAAGCACAGAGCCAGCTGCAGCCCGAGGTGATGTGGATGGAGCCTAAATGTGTTGTTCTGTGTGTCTCTCCTTTTCCTTTTAAACAAAGTTTCCCTCACCACAAAGGTTTTCAGCCAGCTCATCTACTCTCAAGTGCTGGGAAGTTCGTATTTCCCTATCTGCAGTGGCTGTAAGAGATCTAGAGACCTAGAGAGCTAGTATGAAGGAGGATTTGAAGAAGTTAGTTAGGTAATTAGATAATTATTGAAACGAGGCAACATGGATACCGAAAGTTAAACAGTCTTAAAGGGAAACTTGGTACCACTTTAAGACTTAGTCATTCAACAACTCTGAAACAATGCAGTCACTACTTTGAGTACTGTTGCAGTGTGCCTTGTTTGGCATAGTTGGGGAATGTGGCATTTCAGATCATTGAAGTTTATCCCATCAAATGCCAAAATTAAAAACAACCCCAAACCTTTTTGGATTGGAGTTTCTTGAAAATGATATGCTTCCCTGCCCTGTTAAATTGAACCTTTATGGATGGCCTCCAGAGGGGTGTGAGGGTGTCATCTCTGCTTGGGTGGGCCTGGTCCTGTGATGTGAGTCTGCGTCTGTCTTCTCACCTCTCTGCCCTCTTCTTCAGAGCTGTCCCTTCCTTGAGACACTGTCCCTGCCCTGATAGGTTTCCTCTATATCTCATGATTTACCAACTCTATGTCAAGGACTGAAAATCCAAACCACCACCCTTGGTAAAGTGTTACGTATGACATAGTGTGAGTGCTGTGGAATAAGAGGCTTGGCTGGCCACCACACCGCCTAAAGAATGTTTTTATGTGTCTTGTAAGGAGAATAAGATCAGACTTCTGATCTTATTCTAGGCAAGGGGAGAAATATAATCTCTGTCATTTATTCATGGCTTTATGGACTTGATAGATCTTTGAGAACCTACTAGGTGTCAGGCTCCGTGGTTAGTACTGGCATTCAGAACAGTCTTCACTCACTTGAGGGCATAGTGAGTACCATGATGATGTCATCAGTGGTAAATTACATGGGAAGGTAGCTTACCCTCACAGAGGACGGGAGACAGTTGTTGCTAGCATTTGTATATTCATTAGTCTCCCACATCCTCCCAGTTGGGAATGTAACTGTCCCAGATAGACAGCATATGTGTATTGTAGGAACCTGTAATGCCCGAACTGTTCAGGATGATCACATTAAAATATTAATGTGCTGAGTTAAATGCTTTATTCAGCTTATCTGCATCGAGGCTATCTAAACTATGCAGCCACTTAAAAAATTCTGACCATCACCTCTTCTCTTGGAATAATTAAATTATTTTGATGTAATTCAGATCTCATTTTATCATAGCCCAGCAGTACCTGGGAGAGAATGACTCTAAATTTATGATAGTAAAATCACATTAAATTGTATTTCACTAATTCAGAAATGGGGATAATCTGACAATTAAAGGCAGAAGTGTGTCATTCCTCTCCTAGAAGAAATGAACAGTAATGATGGCATCACAGAGATTGTATTGCTTGTTGCTTAAAAAAGCGATCAAGCAGTTTTCAGACTCTTTGGAAAAGTTGGTTTATCTGCCAAGAAATAATTGAGAATTATTCTTAATGGCCCCTCCCCCAACTCCACTTTTCAGACTTTAGATGGAATAACTATGCATAATGTCAAAGTCAGGAAGTTGCATTTTTTTAATTATACTTTAAGTTCTGGGGTATATGCGCAGAATGTGAAGTTTTGTTACATAGGTGTACACATGCCACGGTGGTTTGCTGCACCCCTCAACCTGTCATTTACATTAGGTATTTCTCCTACTGTTATCCCTACCCTAGCCCCTCACCCCCCAACAGACCCCAGTGTGTGATGTTCCCCTCCCTATGTCCACGTGTTTTCTTTGTTCAACTCTCACCTGTGAGTGAGAACATGTGGTGTTTGGTTTTCTGATCTTGTGATAGTTTGCTGAGGATGATGGTTTCCAGCTTCACACATGTCCCTGCAAAGGACATAAATTCATCCTTTTTAATGGTTGCGTAGTATTTCATGGTATACATTTGCCACATTTTCTTTATCCAGTCTATTACTGATGGACATTTGGGTTGGTTCCAAGTCTTTGGTATTGTGAATAGTGCCACAATAAACACACCTGTGCATGTGTCTTTATAGTGGAATGATTTATAATCCTTTGGGTATATACCCAGTAATGAGATTGCTGGGTCAAATGGTATTTCTAGTTACAGATCCTTGAGGAAACGCCACACTACCTTCCACAATGGTTGAACTAATTTACACTCCCACCAACAGTGTAAAAGCGTCCTTATTTCTCCACATCCTCTCCAGCATCTGTTGTTTCCTGACTTTTTAATGATCACCATTCTAACTGGCATGAGATGGTATCTCATTGTGGTTTTGATTTGCATTTCTCTAATGACCAGTGATGATGAGCATTTTTCCATATGTCTGTTGGCTGCATAAAAGTCTTCCTTTGAGAAGTGTCTGTTTATATCCTTTGCCCACTTTTTGATGGGGTTTTGGTTTTTTCTTGTCAATTTCTTGTAAATTTTCTCGTAAAGTTCTTTGTAGATTCTGGATATTAGCCCTGTGTCCAATGGATAGATTGCAAAAATTGTCTCCCATTCTGTAGGTTGCCTGTTCACTCTGATGATAGTTTCTTTTGCTGCGCAGAAGCTCTTTAATTAGATCCCATTTGTTAATTTTTGCTTTCGTTGCCATTGCTTTTGGTGTTTTAGACATGAAGTCTCTGCCCATGCCTATGTCCTGAATAGTATTGCCCCAGTTTTTTTCTAGAATTTTTACAGTCCTAGGCCTTACGTTTAAGTCTCTGATCCATCTTGAATTGATTTTTGTATAAGGTGTAAGGAAGGGGTAAAGAGATCAATGCAGCAAGAAGAGCTAACTATCCTAAATATATATGCACCCAATATAGGAGCACACAGATTCATAAGGCAAGTTCTTAAGAGACCTACAAAGAGACTTAGACTCCCACACAATAATAGTGGGAGACTTTAACACCCCACTGTCAATATTAGACAGATCAACGAGACAGAAAGTTAACAAGGATATTCAGGACTTGAACTCAGTTCTGGACGAAGCGGACCTAATAGACATCTATAGAACTCTCCACCCCAAGTCCACAGAATATACATTCTTTTCAGCACCTCATTGCAGTTATTCTAAAATGGGCCAAATAACTGGAAGTAAAACACTCCTCAGCAAATGCAAAACAATGGAAATCATAACAAACAGTCTCTCAGATCACACTGCAATCAGATTAGAACTCAGGATTAGGAAACTCACTCAAAACCGCACAACTACATGGAAACTGAACAACCTGCTCTGGAATGACTATTGGGTAAATAACGAAATGAAGGCAGAAATAAAGATGTTCTTTGAAACCAATGAGAACAAAGACACAACATACCAGAATCTCTGGGACACATTTAAAGCAGTGTGTAGAGGGAAATTTATAGCACTAAATGCCCACAAGAGAAAGCAGGAAAGATCTAAAATTGACACCCTAATATCAAAATTAAAAGACTAGAGAAGCAGCAGCAAACAAATTCAAAATCTACCAGAAGACAAGAAATAACTAAGACCATAGCAGAACTGAAGGAGATAGAGACACGAAAAACGCTTCAAAAAATCAATGAATCCAGGAGCTGGTTTTATGAAAAGATCAACAAAGTAGATAGACTGCTAGACAGACTCATAAAGAAGAAAAGAGAGAAGAGTCAAATAGATGCAATAAAAAATGATATAGGGGATATTGTCACTGATCCCGCAGAAATACAAACTACCATCAAAGAATACTATAAACGTCTCTATGCAAATGAACTAGAAAATCTAGAAGAAATGGATAAATTCCTGGCAACATACAGCCTCCACAGTCTAAACCAGGAAGAAGTCGAATCCCTGAATAAACCAGTAACCAGTTCTGAAGTTGAGGCAGTAACTAATAGCCTACCAACCAAAAAAAGTCCAGGACCAGATGGATTCACAGGTAAATTCTACCAGAGGTACAAAGAGAAACTGGTACCAATCCTTCTGAAACTATTCTAAACAATAGAAAAAGAGGGAATCCTCCCTACTTCGTTTTATGAGGCCAGCATCATTCTGATACCAAAACCTGGCAGAGACACAACAAAAAAAGGAAATTTCAGGCCGATATCCCTGATGAACATAGATGTGAAAATTCTCAATGAAATACTGGCAAACCGAATCCAGCAGCACATCAAAAAGCTTATCCACTACGATCAAGTCGGCTTCATCCCTGGGATGGAAGGCTGGTACAACATATGCAAATCAATAAACATAATCCATCACATAAACAGAACCAGTGACAAAAACCACATGATTATCTCAATAGATGCAGAAAAGGCCTTTGACAAAATTCAACACCCCTTCATGCTAAAAACTCTCAGTAAACTAGGTATCAGTGAAACATATCTGAAAATAATAACAGCTATTTATGACAGACCCACAGCCAATATCATACTGAATGGGCAAAAACTGGAAGCATTCACTTTGAAAACTGGCACAAGACAAGGATGCCCTCTCTCACCACTCCTATTCAACATAGTATTATTGGAAGTTCTGGCCACGGCAATCAGGCAAGAGAAAGAAATAAAGCATATTCCAATAGGAAGAGAGGAAGTAAAATTGTCTCTGTTTGCAGATGACGTGATTGTATATTTAGAAAACCCCATCGTCTCAGCCCAAAATCTCCTTAAGCTGATAAGCAACTTCAGCAAACTCTCAGGGTACAAAATCAATGTGCAAAAATCATAAGCATTCCTATACACCAATAATAGACAAACAGAGAGCCAAATCATGAGTGAACTCCCATTCACAATTGTTACTAAGAGAATAAAATACCTAGGAATACAACTTACAAGGGATGTGAACGAGCTCTTCAAGGAGAACTACAAACCACTGCTCAAGGAAATAAGAAAGGACACAAACAAATGGAAAAACATTCTATGCTCATGGATAGGAAGAATCAATATCGTGAAAATGGCCATATTGCCCGAAGTAATTTATACACTCAATGCTATCCCCATCAAGCTACCACTGACTTTCTTCACAGACTTGGAAAAAACTACTTTAAACTTCATATGGAACCAAAAAAGAGCCCGCATAGACAAGACAATCCTGGGCAAGAAGTACAAAGCTGGAGGCATCACGCTACCAGACTTCAAACTATACTACAAAGCTACAGCAAACAAAACAGCATGATACTGGTACCAAAACAGATATATAGACCAATGGAGCAGAACAGGGGCCTCAGAAATAACACCACACATCTACAACCATCTGATCTTTGACAAACTTGACACAAACAAGCAATGGGGAGAAGATTCCCTATTTAATAAATGGTGTTGGGAAAACTGGCTAGCCATATGCAATTCTTAAATATTTTTTGTAAGCCTTCTTTTGCATTTTGATGAAGCTTTAAGGGCTCCTTTCAGGTACAGGGGGAGATGGTAAACACTAACCATTGGCAGTTATCATGACACTAACCCTAGTGTAGGTTCTGGGGATGTTGTAGGGTGGTTTCAGTTCAATCTTTTTCTTCTGTTTAGAATTTGTATTGAAATGATTTCACCTGGCTGGGCATGGTGGTTCACACCTGTAATCCCAGCACTTTGGGAGGCCAAGGCAAGTGGATCACCTGAGGTCAGGAGTTTGAGATTAGCATGGCCAACATGGTGAAACCCCATCTCTACTAAAAACACAAAAATTAGCTTGGCGTGGTGGCAGGCACCTATAATCCCAGCTACTTGGGAAGCTGAGGCAGAAGAATCACCTATACCTGGGAGACGGAGGTTGCAGTGAGCCGAGATTACAACACTGCACTCCAGCCTAGGCAACAGAGACTCTGTTTAAAAAAAAAAAAAAGAAAAAGAAAGGTGGGTTCCCTTGCATTTTCTCAGACATTTCTGACCCTTCAACTCCTCAAATCTGGTTCAGACAACCTCTTCCACTACTCTGCATGTTGCTAATGGTATAAAAGTGGCCAGACACGGTGGCACATGCCTGTAATTCCAACACTTTGGGAGGCCGAGACGGGTGGATCACTGGAGGTCAGGAGTTCAAGACCAGCCTGGCCAACATGGTGAAACCCCATCTCTACTAAAAATACAAAAATTAGCCAAGCATGGTGGCATGCACGTATAGTCCCAGCTACTGGGGAGGCTGAGGTGAGAGAATCACCTGAGCCCAGGAGGTTGAGGCTGCAGTGAGCCAAGATCTTACTACTGCACTCCAGTCTTGGCAACCAGAGTGAGACCCCATCTCAAAAAGTACAAAATAAAAATAAAAAATTTTGTTTAATTAGCCAGGTGTGGTGGCGTGCACCTGTAATCCCAGCTACTCAGGAGACTGAGGTAGGAGAATCACTTGAACCTAGGAGGTAGAGGTTGCAGTGAGCTGAGATCGTGCCACTGCACTCCAGCCTGGGTGACAGAGTGAGACTGTCTCAAAAAAAAAAAAAAAGTGTTTAATAAAAAAGTAGCATCCAGCACCAATGAGGAAATAATAATGATTCCCTGTGGACACAGGGCTAACCACTGTTTTCAATGAAAAGATTACCTCCCTTCAGAGTTCCCCCAGGGCTTAGGTGACATTGGTTGTGAGCAGGAGTAGTGGATTTCAAAATAATACACCTAAATTACTCTAAGAACAAATATTTCTTTTGACTTCACTTACAATTTTATACAAAAGCAGAAGTTACTGAAGGTTACTTCTCCTTCATATTTACTACGCCCTTCTTACCCCAACCCCCATGTCTGTGTGTAATTAAAGGAAGCTTGTTAAGTAAGCTACCCATTTAGTGCTTGGAACAAGAGAAAAGTGTGTGTTGGGAGTTGGGGGACTGCTTGTGTGAAATATTTCTCTCTTCTGGGTTTAAAACTTAGTCTTTGCTGCCAATCTGTTAACAGTTTGTAAATCGAGTAGAAGGAAAAATATAAATTAGCTTTCTAATAAACCTGAAATTACAAATGTGAAAAAAAGCAGGGAATAAATACCTGACCAAAAATGTATAAGTAAGTGGGTGTTGGGGGATCACAATTTTTAATTATCTCTCAATTATTTTGATACGAAAGTTCTATTTCAAAGTTCTTCAAAATGACGCCTAATGTTCCTAAGTACTGTGTTCCAAATGTATGTAAATACAAGATGCAAACTGTGAAATATATGCCTTCAAAAAGAAAAAAAACCTGACATTTTATCTGTATATATTTAATAGATTTATAAAGAACATGTGTATACATATATCAATATAGATGTACCAGCAAGGAAGATTTAGAACATATAACTATGTGGCAGGGTTAGAAAGAACATAATTCTTTCCCAGAAGGGGTGCAGGGAACTATACTTAATCAGCTACCAGTTACAACATAACTTAAGTCATTTCTCATCAAAATATGTCTCTACTGCATATTCTGGTTGATAAATTTTCCAGTTTTTTGTTTATGAAGATTATCCAATTCATTTCTTTGTAGATAAAGCCTAAGAATAGAAAAAAAATTGTTACATTTTATTTTGGAGTTAACTGAAAAGCCATGTAGTAGGCACCCTTGTTAGAGCTTGAAGAAACAAACAAAAAAAAGACTTGCTCACCATGAATAGAACCTCAGCCCCTTTTTTGTGTCTCAGTTGGCTCCTTCTACCTTTTCGGTGAGACTTAAAAATATCTTAATCTTCAGCAACACATCAGTAACACATGCTACTGATTCTTTTAACGTTGCTTTTTATGGAATTAATGACATCTAGGTTTAATACAGTATCTAAATTTCTATATGTGACAGAAATCAGTCTGATTAGACATGTATCAAAACCCAATAATAAAATACTATATCTCTTTTAATTTATGCCTGAGGTTGCAATTTTTTGAATTTTTGCAATCAGCCCTTGGCGATGACCTTGAGCAGTAGGATATAAATAAATCCCACATGCTTAGCATTCCAATAATGGAACACTAGGCATAAATTGGTTAACCCATTTATGCCTAGTGTTCTAAAAGACAGAAGTTGGCATTTTTGGCTAAACAACAATTTCACAACTAAGAAAAACAGCTTTACCAATAGTATATAAATTTAAATATTACAGAAATCTTTAGAAATTTATATAAAAGTGAAAATAAAGGTGATCTAACTTATTCCTTCCCCAAAATGAACATGGTGTTTCAAAGGAAAAAAACTGTATCCTTTACCAAGAATCAATCTGAGGAGCAGCAACAAATGAAGCTCCACCCAGCTCTCACATTTGAGGGACTTTGCTCATGTTAGGAATCAAAGCTTATTGTTTGTATGCATCCAAGAAACAAATTTGTAAAAAATTTCCATCCAATCCAAAGTTCACTCTATCAAAATCTATTAAATGTGTATGTATTGCAAGTGTGTAGACCAGAGGTTTAATTTACTGTTGCCTTGCTGGACTTAAGGAGTTATTAGATCCAGCTCAGATTTGAAGAAAAGACTAGAACTGGTTGTACCGATAACTACCAATTCATGCCACATGCAATCATAGCAACTGCCTCAACTGTGACCTGAAGCATTTTAAAAATATTTTCTCTTTTTGTATTGAAGAGTATGGTTGATACAAAAAAGTCTCAGTTTTTCACCAGCACAGAACAAATGCTACTTAAAGTGGAGAACTTCTAGACTGAGAAATAAGTTTCCAAATATGGCAGAAGGTTTTCTGGGAACAATAA
Source organism: Homo sapiens (assembly GCF_000001405.40). Classification (NCBI taxonomy): domain Eukaryota; kingdom Metazoa; phylum Chordata; class Mammalia; order Primates; family Hominidae; genus Homo; species Homo sapiens. The sequence goes on along the minus strand of NC_000013.11, from coordinate 52,585,605 downwards.
TCTCCAAATCCAAGTAATAGTTGTTCTGTTTTTTTGCTTTTTTCTTTAGACAGAGTCTCACTCTGTCGCCCAGGCTGGAGTGTAGTGGTGCGATCTCGGCTCACTGCAATCTGCCTCTTGGGTTCAAGCGATTCTACTGGCTCAGCCTCCTGAGTAGCTGGGATTACAGGCATGTGCCACCACGCCTGGCTAATTTTTGTATTTTTAGTAGAGACAGGGTTTTACCATGTTGGCCAGGCTGGTCTCGAACTTCCAACCTTAGGTGATCCGCCCGCCTCAGCCTCCCAAAGTGCTAGGATTACAGGCATGAGCCACCACACCCAGCCTCCAATTAATAGTTTTTAAGAAAGTTTTCCCAATTCAGTTATTAGAAACCCATGTTTAAATGGGAGACTATCAATTTTAATGATTTTTTAGCTGTATTTCTTAATACTTACTGTGTCTTGTAACTTCTCTTAGATATAAGTGTGTCAGTCAGCTTTTCAGCTAGCTGAAGCTTCCCTAGGTCCTCCCTTACTTTAGCACAAAATTTGGTGGTGGTTCGTCATTGGTAAATCAGCACCTACTGAGGACCTGACATGTTGAAGGTACTGAGCAGATTCATATTGAACTTCTCTGGGAGGAATTTACTTCCACACTTAAGATCTGATTATAATACTTTTGAGCTCATAACACAGTCCTATGGCATGGACCTTGAGGATGCTGCAACCGGGGGTCTCAAGAACAACTGTATTTTTAAAATAGCCAAAGTAAAAGGAGTAAGACAATGAACAATGGTGGCTCGAGGATTTTTTGTTTTCTATAAATTAAGCTTATGACAACCAGCAAAAGACTTGCCATTACATCTTATACATAGACATTGAAGATTAGGTTGTTTCTATGGGTTGATATTATATACATACTTGTTATTTTGTATTAAAGATGTGTTAAACCAGAAGAAAAAAGGGTAGTTGTGATAGTATTTAGGAAAATCCTAAAAAGAAAAAAAAAATATTTTAAAAGTAAAATTGATGCCAAGAACTAATCATTCCAAAGAAATCAAAGTTCCTTCCTTTATTCCTTTATATATTTATCAAATAATTATAACCATTCAATATGTAGCACTCTGCATTCTATAACAACACACTCAAGACACAGAGGAGGAGGCTTAAGAAAATGCTATTGCTTTCTCTTGCTATTTCTATCAAAATTTTCAAGGAATAGTTTATTTTCCATGATAGATATTTAATTTAAATGCTGAAATTTGAATCTGGTTTAGATAGTGCTAAACAGAATCTACTAAGGACCTATCCTTATATATAGCCAAGTATTTTTGTAGTGAATTCTTACAATTTTTTTGTGCCTCAGCATCCCTTTCAAATATAAATTGGACTTTCTGATATCAGAAGCAGGGTTCAGTCACCCTTGACAGTTTCCAGTTCACCTCCTCCAGGTTTCTCAATGTGACTGATCCCAGTATCTGCCTTATACAACCTTCTGTTGGTGACTACTTCATTATGGGACAGCTAGATATAACCTCCCTACAGACCCCCATACTCTGCATGGACCATGTGGATATATCAATGACCACCTCTCAGTCACAGCATGACTCCATGGAACTCATGACTGCTTGCATTAAATCCACCAGTTAGACCTCCCCGTAGGAAACCTGCTCAGGTAACACCTTACATCCCAATAAAGGCTTCCACTCTCAGGTCCCTCCCTCGTTCTCGCTATTGCTCCCCACCCATCAGTTGAGCACAGGTCTCCTGGATGGCTCCCCCTTCCAGTTAGCCCTGCGAGGTGTGCTGCCCTCTTCTCTCTGGAATTAATAAAAAACTGCTTTGGTTATTTCATGTGTTGTATTGTGCTGCCTTCTCTGTGCTTCACCCAACTGAGTCACCCAAACCTAACTCTCTTTCAAGTCAGTGCTCCCAGCTACTCAGGAGGCTGAGGTGGGAGGACTGCATGAGCCCAGGAGGTGAAGCTGCAGTTAGCTATGGTCACACCACTGCACTCCAGCTGGGGTGACAGAGTGAGAACCTGTCTCAATTTGTAATATTAAAAATGATGCAAAACAAAATGTAATCACTGCTATGCAGTAAAACATACCTTTGGTTTTTTAGCATCTTGGCTTTTATTTTTTTTGTATTTATTTTCTATTTTTTGGATTTGTGAATTAATACATGTAAATTTAGAAAAATTTAGAAAAATTTAGAAAATGTACAATTTAGAAAAAACAAATGAACAAAAATTATTCAAATTACATATGTTCTTTTAAAAAAATTGTTATAGATCTGATTTATTTTCTCCCCCTCCCTCTATGGGATGACATCTATCATCTCCCTTGTTGGGAACTGTAGTAAAGGAAACCTTAAATAAAACCATTCAAAAGTTCAGATAAGAACAGTGGCAGAGGCCGTTTCTTGATTACTCACCGAAGAGGAAGCTTGCACTTTCACATCATCATACAGAGGTGGACAGTTGAACACATCAATTATTACCCTGTCTGTTTCAGTGTCATGAAATACCTGTGAATGAACATGGAATTTAGAACTATAAACCTAGCTAATGATAACAATGAAGTTCCTTTTCACTTATCAAGACTTCCTATATTTATCAAGTACTTTTGGTCTCACAGACCAATCACTACATGTATAAATAATTATTAATAATCTTTTCTAGTTGCAATACTGTTGTTTATATGTATGTGTGTCTGTATGTGTGTATGTGTGCGTGTATATATATATACATATATATATATATATATATATATTTTTTTTTTTTTTTTTTTTTTTTGAGACAGTCTCACTGTCACCCAGGCTGGAGTGCAGTCGTGTGATCTCAGCTCACTGCAACCTCTGCCTCCCAGGTTCAAGTGATTCTTGTGCCTCATCCTCCCGAGTAGCTGGGACTATAGGCGCATGCCACCACACCCAACTAGTTTTTGTACTTTTAGTAGAGATGGGGTTTTGCTATATTGGTCAGGCTGGTCCCAAACTCCAGGCCTCAAGTGATCTGCCTACCTGGGCCTCCCAAAGTGCTGGGATTACAGGGGTGAGCCACCATGCCCACCCTGTTGTTTATGATTTTTAAAGGCCAACATGTTTGAGGGTTATCATGAGGCACTTTTCAAAAGTGTCTCCCTTTTCAAAACTATTGAATTTTCTATTAGACACTTTAATCAGTTAAATATTGTTATTTAATGTGTGTCATTTGATTTTCATACATTAGGGCCTCTTTTGAGAACATGCTGAGAAGCTCAATTTTAAAGCTAGCCTTGACATTCTAAAAACAATGCTTAACTCACGGTCTTTTATTTACTAAATTTAAAAAATAACAACAGGGGTCTGTAACACTTGGGGGGTGGGCCCACCTGCCCCTCCCAAGAGAGGGGAGGGTGGGGTCCCCCGATCATCGTGTTTTATCAGAACTCTTGTGTTTGTCAGTGGGATCTTTGGACTTGACCATTACCGGCTGCAGATGGAGTGACCAAAGATAGTTCAAGTTTTGGAATGAATGACTTTGAAGATATACTATTTCTTTGACTCACTCTCGTATAAATAATGGCACCCACAGTAAGAAGGATCTATGCTAGGCCCTGTGAAAAACACAAAAGGAGGTGCAGACTCAGTTGGTCCCTTCAGGGAGCTATACACATAAGAAACAATCGCAGAGGCCGGGCCTGGTGGCTCATGCCTGTAATCCCAGCACTTTGGGAGGGCAAGGTGGGCAGATCACAAGGTCAGGAGATCGAGACCATCCTGGCTAACACGGTGAAAGCCCGTCTCTACTAAAAAAATATAAAAAATTAGCCGGGCATTGTGGCGGGCGCCTGTAGTCCCAGCTACTCTGGAGGCTGAGGCAGGAGACTGGCGTGAACCCGGGAGGTGGAGGTTGCAGTGAGCCAAGATGGCACCACTGCACTTCAGCCTGGGCGACAGAGCGAGACTCCGTCTCAAAAAAAAAAAAAAGAAAAAAGAAAAAAAGAAACAATTGTAGAATGGAATATAATTCTCAATCTGTATGATGAAGACTGGGTGTGCTCTTATGCACCATTGAAGGCTAGTTAACAGGAGGTGCAGAAAATTTCATTGAGGAGGTAGAAACTGAATTGGGCATGAAAGCTCTGAAAATAGAATCTAGTCCATACAGAGGGAAAAAGACCAGCAATAACGCAAAGTAGAAATGAGAAAAACAACAAAAAAGGTCAGGCAGTGTGGCTCATGTCTATAATCCCAGCACTTTGTGAGGCTGAGGTGGAAGGGTTGCTTGAGCTCAGGAGTTTGAGACCAGCCTGGGCAACATAGCAAGACCCAATATCTACAAAAAATAAAAAAAATATTGGGGGACTGCTTGAGCTCAGGAAGTTGAGGCTGCAGTGAGCCATGATCGCGCCGCTGTGCTACAGCCTGGGACAGAATGGGACCCTGACTCAAGGAAAAAAAAAGGAAAGGAAGGAAGGAAGAAAAGAAAGAAATAACCAACTAACTAACTAAATAACTTAGAGTTGTGTTCCAAGAGCCAAAGGGGATGACCCAGTTTATTTGGAATGGAGTCTGCTGGTCGAGCTACTGATAAAAATAAGCTCAGGTATGTTAGGGCTATTATATCTTAAGAGTTCAAGAGCCAAGGAAATAAGAGTGAGGCTTTTGAAGAATATCGTGGGATATTTCCTATGTGACAAAGAGGCCTGATAATTATCACATATAACATTTAGTTAGTGATTTATAGTTTACAAAGCAACTTCATATATATATTATCTAATTTAATTCCCATAACACTTGAGGTGTGATATTTATTTTACAGGTAAGGATGTTAAGCCAAAGATGTTAACTGGCTTCGACCATGGGCATGCAGTGTGTCTTCTGCTCTACCTACAACTTTTCACAATGAGAGCAATATTTCAGTACGCATATTTCAGGATTCTATACATTGCATTATATAAGAATCAAGAAAAGGTAAGGAGAGGATTGTAGAAATCTAGGCATGAGCAAATGAGGTTCTGGACAGTTAGTGGCAGTGAGAACAGAAAGGAAGGCGAGCACAGAAACATTTCAAAGGCATCATCAACAGGGATTGATGCCTAACTGGATTTAGGGAGCCAAGGCAAAGAGAATCAAAGCCCAAGGCCTGAGTGGGAGAATGCTGCTACCATTTGCAGAAGCAGAGAAAGCTCCTTGATAATTCAGACTGGCTACTGCGTTTCAGTTCGAGTGGAAACTGTTCATGTTGCAGCTCTTGCATCTACAACTCAGTGGGCGACTAGAAATACCTCGTCAGTAAATGAACAAATAATAGTTTAAGTAAGGGAAATGGGTGATTCTTTAACCAAGAATAAAGCATTTGCTAAGAACAGAAAGCCAAGGATCAGGCCTGGGTGAATGCCCTCAGTTGGGAGAGGCCAAAAAAAGTGGGTGCAGTGCAGAGAGCCAGGGAATAGGATTAGTAATAAAAGAATTTGAGACAAAGACCTGGGTAGGAATTCTAAAAGTTTATGGTTATTAGACCCATGAAGGAAGCTTTCTCATTGTTTCAGAAAAGGTATATAGTTTTAGGCATTTCTTCATTGTAGCAAAACATTGACTACCAGGTCCCTTTTGCTTTGGATAAAGAGATTCCTCCCCAATTCATTCACTCGTGCATTGTTTCTCACAGGGTCATCCCACAGAACCTCTGACTTAGAAGAATCACTTGGGACACTGCTAAGTCTATAGATTCCTGCCCCCATTCCAGATTTCCTGAATCATACTTTAGAGTACAACCTAGGAATGTAAATCTTTACAAGCTTCTCAGTGGTTTTCATGCACACTAACATTTTAGAATCAGTGCTATATAATAAAAGATAAAATGACCGAGAAGAGGAGAATATGGCTAAAAATGACCAGACATGTAAATTAAAATCCTTAATACATTCCTGGGAACATGCTCAGCATTTGTGGAAAAGTGAAAGGCAAAGCAACACTGAACAGAAATAAATTCTGGAAAGTACCCTGAAAAAACTGTTTTGAACAAACAGGTTAATTTATCTCTGGTTTGCATTCAAATCCAGTGACACCACGATGGTAACCAGAAAGCATCGTGGAATCTCTTTATGGTAAGTGATAGTTTAGGGAAGTCAACATTGCTGGTTTGACATTCAGCCTTAAAACAAACATCAGATTTTTTTCTATTCACATGTTTTCTCTTACCCGACAACTGTTTAAGGAAGTGCAGGAAAAGACAATCTTTTTCTTCATTACTATTTGGACTTTTAGATCATATCCATCGCCTGTTCCAACACCTAAATGAAATTAAAAAGTTAGGTTGGTTAGTGTGAAGATCAAAATGTCTTGCCAATTAACATTATGGATTAAAAAGGGAAAAAAAATGGCTGGGCACGGTGGCTCACGTCTGTAATCCTAACACTTTGGGAGGCTAGGCAGGTGGATCTTTTGAGGTCTGGAGTTCAAGACCAGCTTGATCAACATGGTGAAACCCCGTTTCTACTAAAAATACACAAAAATTAGCCCGGTGTGGTGGTGCATGCCTGTAGTCCCAGCTACTTGGGAGGCTGAGGCAGGAGAATCGCTTGAACCTGGGAGGTGGAGGTTGAAGTGAGTCGAGATCGCACCACTGCACTCCAGCCTGGACCAGAGTGAGACTTAGAGCAAGACTCTGTCTCCAAAGTGAATAAATATATATATCTATATTTAGGGAATATATATATATATATTTAGGGAATAAATATAGATATATCTATATTTAGGGAAGGTGACTTGACACCTTTCTTGCTAATGTGTTGCTTCCTTCAGACTTCTAATCATAATGATTCTTAATAAGAAATACTGTGGTCTAAATTACTTTGGCCCTACTTTAAGTCTAGTTCCTGATGCAATCTCTATAAAAATATAGGTTATATCCAAAAATTCCCAAGGTATTCAATATATATTTACAGACAAAGGCTCTTTTGCCCTTTTTTTTTTTCAATTCAAATGACCCGCTTCCTTAGCATTTCCTCAAAGGCTTTGTTTCTCAGGCTCCAATTAATTTTTTATTGCTTTCATCTCAACTCTACATTATTTTTAATTTAAAATGGCACAAAACTAAAAGTAGAGAATTAAAACAAATATTCTAATAAACAAGTGTATTAATTATTCTTGATTGATCATCTCATATGCCGTTTGTTTTCTTTTCATTTAATTTTGTTTTCACTAACACCATGATATTCATTGGTCATTAGAAATCAGTTTCTTGCCTCAGTTCCCTCTTTCCCATTCCAGGTGCAGAACTTCTTTCTATTGATGTCCACCAGAAATCAGTGAAATGCAGAACGAAACTCAGGAGGCTAAAAATACTAGGCTCTCTGTGTGGACACAAGCACCCCGGCACCATGGCACCTATAACACCCAGCAGTGGCACCACCTCAGGTCCACACGCTGGCTGTTATAAGAGGTTTCCTTTAGGGGTTCAGATGCATCACCTCCCTGCTACCTCTCTGGCAGTGGGAGTGGTGAGACCCCATCCCCTCTACACAGACACATCCTGCTTTCCCACCTCTACTGAGTGTTAAGCTGTGCAGGGGAAGCAAGGTTGGTGATGGAGAAATGGACATGGAAATGGAGGCCAGTTTCTCTCTGCACTTTCTTTCTCAAGTCCCGAAGGTGTACGACTGACCAATTTGCCTGCGTCCCTGGGCAACAGTGCATCCCAGCTTTATCTCTCTGCTTACATTCTGGAAGCAGGCAAATAGCTCTCATGATGTTTATATGGATTTTTACAACTGCTAATACTCGGTAACAGCTAGGTGGGTGAAAGATACCTCCATAGAGCCCCACTCTCTCGCAACCCTTTCCATTTTCATGTAGATTCAGGCAGGGAAGACCTAAGCGCTCCTCCTAGGAGGCTCTTCTTGACCCCCAGCACTGTGGCTGGGAGTGAGAGCCACAAGGTATGGGAGTGGCTGGGAGTGAGAGGGTTACAGATGGAGGACAGAGGGGAAAGAGAGAGCCCAGGGGGATGAGAAAAAAATATGCCTCTGAAAGAAGGTAAGAAAATGATATGATATGGAGACACCTCCACCAAGACAAACTCTCAACTAGAGGTGGTTTGAGAAATAACCAGTCTTGAAGGCACATGGGACCTCCTCCTCCCTCATCAGAGGCTCACTCTGCCCTGAAAAGTCCACCTTGGGTTGTGACCAGAAGAGCAAAGAGAACAGGAGAGATGGGAAGGGGATGAAGTCCTCCAAATTGGTGATGGAAAAGAAAAAGTGAAGAACATCTAAGGGCTGGCAATCAATGGGCAATTCCAGGAGGAGGGGCATACCTAAGGAGGAGTTTATGCATGAGGATACGTAAAAAGACAGGTATAAGTTAGGATCATCTGTGTATATAACAATGAGCAAAACCCTCCCAGAGTGGGAACCTTGGCCCTCCTGCCCAATTCTTCAATTTTACATAAACACTTACCATGAATCGAATAAATAACTAATCTTTTTATAAACAGTGTTTTTCTTGGAGGGAGATTCCAGTTGTAGCTATGTTTCACTTGTGCAAAATATCCAACATATCTATTCTGAAAAGCAACAGAAGCCTTACTTTAAGTGGAGATGAAAAGCCTGAAGTCAGCATTCCTATTTTCAGTTTTCCCTTTTTTTTTTTTTTTTTTTTGCATAAAGGTTAAGGGCAGTAAATAATTAAGGAAACATTTACTGGATGCCATTATGTTACTAGATATTTTGAGGGATGCTGCCTCACAACTATCTACCTTGGGGAAAAAATACTGAATTAAGTGCTATGGGGAAGTGACAAGGATGGAGCCAGGTCTTGTTGACAGGCTGCTTATGGTTGAGAGGGCAACTAATCAGAACCAACAACAAAACAGTTACAGCATTAGCAGTGTGCAGATAGAAGCTTAGTTGTGACTGAGTTAGAGGAAGGTGTGTGGTTTAGTGAAGAGCAGGTTCCTGGGCATGAGAGAATGCCATATGTGAAAACTCAAGAGGAATACCTCCATATCTCAGTAGCAGGTTTCCTGTCATTCTTCTCTTGTTCCTGACAGCTAGGATTTCTTCACTTTCCATTTCCCCAATTCTGTTTTCACAAGGAAGCCCCGGAATTCCCTTAGCCTTGTCCTTTTCCTAGGGCAAGCTGTTCACAGTGGCTCTCCTTGAATCTATCTTCAAGGAGTTGAAGAGCTCTGGTACTGAATCAACTGGTTCAGAACTCAAAAGTTGGCTGCGCTGGTGGCTCACACCTGTAATCTCAGCACTTTGGGAGGCCGAGGTGGGCAGATCACTTGAGGTCAGGGGTTCGAGACCAGCCTGGCCAACAGGGTGAAACCCCGTCTCTACTAAAGCTACAAAAATTAGCCATGCGTGGTGGTGGGCACCTGTAATCCCAGCTACTTGGGAGTCTGAGGCAGGAGAATTGCTTGAACCCAGGAGGTCGAGGTTGCAGTGAGCTGAGACTGCACCACTGCACTCCAGTCTGGGTGACAGACAGATTCTGTCTCCAAAAAAAAAAAAAAGAAGAAGTACTCATAAGTTCATGGACTCTATCTTACCCATTGAGAAATGTTCATAGAAGTAACAAACTGCCATACTTTCCTTTAGAAAGGGCCAGTCATGAGGAAGGCTCATGAAAGTTCTTAACTTAGGAGTAGATGTAGTCAGTAGAATGGCCCACAATGCAGGATCAGAATGTGATGGTATCCGAGAATCACCACCAGACACAGAGGGCACTCTGTCCTGAGGTCTTGCCAACACATCTCTCAAATGTGCAGCTGAGACCCTGTGTTGCCTTCTCAGTCAATCAGAAGAGATTCAGTTGCAGCCTTTGGTGTGCTAGTTCTGGACTAAAGTTCGGGAAACTATGCATGACTACAGAAGAGATGGGGATGGGGAGACGTGTGGGGTGAGTTGCTGAAGGAGCTCTATCTAACATCTCCTTGGCTCCTGCCACCAGATTCTCCACCTTCCCCTAAAGGCTGTAACCTGCCAGGGCCCTCAAGCTGCTTTTGCTCCCATGCTTCTTTCTACTACAACTTAAAACAACATGGACTGGTAGTAGAAATTCATACAACCAACCCATAGGAGGTACTCACTACAAACAAAGAAGATATTATGAGGAAAGGGTGGAAAGATGGGTAAGCCATGGGCCTTGCCTTTAAAGGGGAAACAGAAGTCACCACTTCAAATAGCTAGAGAACAATGCAAAGTGATATCATCCCTAAGAGAAACACAAAGGGCTTTAGGAACTGAAAAAGCAAGAGACTACTTCAGGCTGGGAAGGGAAAGGGACTCTAGGAAAAGGGGCATGAGAAATGGCACGAGGGAATCAAGTGTCCATGGGCTGGGAAACAGCACACAGTCTAAATGTGTTAGAGTGTGGGATGTGTGCATGCACATAGTGGAAGAAAAGGTTGGAAAAGTCAAACTGTGGATCTTGAGTGCCAGGTTGAAACATTTAGTTTATTGCTACTGGCAGTGGGGACATACTCTGGATTTTGAGCATGGAAATGGCATGAGTAGGGCTGCACTTCAGTAAATCCACACATTCCTTTTCGCTTAGGGTCTATGACTGTTCTTTGTCTGGTTTTGTTTTTGGCTTGGGTGTGGGAGAAAAGTATCAGTGGATAAGGCTGAGTTCTTTTGCCCAAACTAAACGGGGACAGTAGTTAGTGTTCTTATAACAGGGCCAAGAGTACTTATTCAGTTCCCACCACCTAAAGAAAAACTCATTTACAGCCACATCCAAATCTATTTGAGAATTCCCAACCCACTCTCACTTCGGTTTGAGGGGCAATATAGAAAAGGCAATATAAATGAGAAGCTGTGCACAGCATGGGCTTCAGAGTCTGACATCTAGATTTCAGTCCTTGGTTCAAAAGTTAATTTCTCTGAACCTCAATTTTCTAATTTATAAGATGAGAATCATAGTAGTGCCTACTCATAGAGTTACTGAGAATATTAAATGAGATAGTGAATGTAAAACTCTTAGAATGGTTCAGCAAAGTCTAGAATGTTGTAAATGCTATACGATAAACATTCTGGTTTCTGCAGTAAACAAATTACAAGCAATAAAAAATGGCAAGAAATCTATGAACTAAAAGAGACTTAGGAGACATAGCGACCAAATGAAATGTGTGGATGTTGTTTGAATTCTGACTGAAACAAACTAAATTTTCAAAGATTTTAAGACAATTTTGGAAACAAACATGGACTAGAAATTTGATATTAAGGATTTTTAAGGTGTAATATTTCAGATATGATAAAAGTTATTAAGGGTTTTTTGTTGTTGTTTTAAGAGTACTTAGATGTCATACTAAAATACTTGTGGGATAAAATGATCTGATGACTGAAATTTCCTTCCAAATAATCCAGGTTTGGGGAAAGCAAGAGTGGAGAGTGGGGTTGGGGGTGTGAGTGGAGTGGGAAAAGTATGGATGAAACGTGGCCAGTTGCAGGCTGAAATGATTGTTGCAGCGAAGTGATGACTACATGGAGATATATTGTATGATTCTCTGGACTTTTGTATATGATTAAAGTTTTCCATAACGAAATTATTTTTAAAAGAAAAAACAGAGTAACAGCATATGTTTCATATAGGTGTTATGGGTTTTCAATGAGATATGTAAAAGTGCAGTACTGTCTGGTATATAAAAGGGTTTTTGAAAAGTTTATTTCCCCTTTTCTTTCTCTTTTAAAATACACCTCCCCCACCACACACACACACACACACACACACACACACACACACACACACACGGGAGTCACCCAAAAACAGTCTTTGTGATGTTCTGCAAGGGTTGAATTGCCCTAATAAGGATCTGTGAAAGACTTAGATCTTTTTTACATTGAAATCAAAGGCTGGTGATTTTAGATAAACTTCAGGGTCCTGGAGCCTTAGGTATTGGACTTTCCTGCTTTGGGAAAATAATCAACTCCTGAGCTCCGTAAACAATAACCAGTATAGAATAGAAAGCAGGATGCTCTGAGGAGAAGCCAGACCCCCCAACGTGTGGGTGGCACCTGAAGCATGACCCTTAGCATCAGGGAGGGACCAAGGCCTGTCGCAGGGTGCCCTAATGCTGCTGACTGATCACCAAAGGAGAAGAGTCTAAAATGAAACCAAATAACAGATGGCAATCTTAACCCACTCCCCTACAAAAGCTCCCTTTCTTAAAACGAAAACTTACCTGAGAAGGAGTTTCTACTCCCTGATATTTAGTGCCATTGGTTTTATCTGTTCGCCGTTCTCCAAAATAGTACAATCTTTCCTACAAAAAAGGAACCATGGTTCATCTGCACTCTTTCCTTTTCTATATTAGGTACCTTAGTCTTTCTAAAACCACCTTCTTTCCTAAAGTCAGTGATTTTTTTTTTTTTTATGGAGTCTCGCTCTGTCACGCACACTGGAGTGCAGTGGCAGAATCTCACCTCACTGCAACCTCTGCCTCGCGAGTTCAAGCGATTATCTTGCCTCAGCATCCTGAGTAGCTGAGACTACAGGCGTGTACCACCACACCTGGCTAATTTTTTGTATTTTTAGTAGAGATGGGGGCTTTGCCATGTTGGCCAGGCTGGTCTCGAACTCCTGACTCAAGAGATCCGCCTGCCTTAGCCTCCCAAAGTGCTGAGATTACAAGCATGAGCCACCGCGCCTAGCCGCAGTGGTCTTTTGGCAAAGGCTACCCAAATTACCAAAATTAACAAAGTCACATCAAAGACTTCTCTCATTCAAGGTTTCGTAAAGACATAAAAGTTTAGAGCTGGAAAGACCTTAGAAATCATCTGGTCCAACCCTTCTTTCCATCTTACAAATGAGAAGACTGAGACCAAAAGAAAACTACACAATCTGCCATGGAGATGCTGCAGCCAGTTAGAAGCAGCACAGGCCTGAAATACAAGTCTCTGGTTTTCAGTCTAGGGCTCTGTATCAGTGGCTTTCAAACTTTTCATTTTTTAAGTTGCAATCCACATTAATAAACCTCGGAGAAGTACACACACACACACACCAATACTTAAACCTTTTCAGATTTTCTATTCTGCTCTATTCCATTTTATTTAGTTTTAGCTTTAGTTTTTTTTTGTTTTTTTTTTTTGAGACGGAGTTTCACTCTTACTGCCCAGGCTGGAGTGCTATGGCCCGGTCTCAGCTCACCACAACCTCCACCTCCTGGGTTCAAGCGATTCTTCTGCCTCAGCCTCTCAAGTAGCTGGGATTACAGGCATGCACCACAATGCCCAGCTAATTTTGTATTTTTAGTAGAGACAGGGTTTCTCCATGTTGGTCAGGCTGGTCTCAAACTCCTGACCTCAGGTGATCCATCCGCCTCAGCCTCCTGAAGTGCTGGGATTACAGGCATCAGCCACCGCACCTGGCCGATTCCATTTTATTTTTAAGAGATGTTAGTCACAACCCAGTAACTTTATTTTACAACTCACTGATACATCATGATCCATAGCTTGAAAAACACCATCCTAGAACATCCATTTTCAAAATCTGTGTGTCTCAAATTAGAAAAACCAAAGGTGGTGGAATTAGAGTGCTGGGCATTGTGCAGAACCACCACTTCTTCCCTAGACTGTAGGCCAAACAACTCAAGCGGAGCTGCTGGAAATGGTAGCATCTCAGCAAGAAAATGGCAAAGAAAAATGACTGAGAACACTGCTGTAGGTGGAAACATCCCACCTTGTCTTATCAGAAATTTCTAGAGGCCACAGACTCCACATGTGTTGACTAAGCAGAGGTATTTACATGCAGGAGAGGCTTTGAGTTGTGAAATGTTGCCTTTTATCTACCTAAGAGGTGTGAGGATGGCCAAGGCCCTTTGGAGAATTTATCTAATTAAGCTTGATACTATTCTCATGAGGAAGGAAGAACAGCAGGGCCAGGTGAGGTGAGGGAACCATTGCGATTACTGAATGTTTTTTGTATCTGTGTAACATGGCTTTACTCCCCTCACCTTAATCCTGCCCCATCAGGTCTTGTCATTATTTAAAATGTTAATATTGTATACCTCATGGTTTTTTTGCATTAATTTTTATTTTTTAAATATTGCATGAAAAATCATTTATTTTAATTATTGCAATTTTTAGCATTCTCTTAAATTCTGCGCCTCATTGACCTCACTCTAGTCCTGGCCCAAAGAGATTCTTAAGCCAGCTACTAACCAGTGCATGTTAAACAAGGAAGTATCAAAAACAGACTTTTTAACAACCGCTTCTCCAATTACAATTTCACTAAGCACCATGACTAAAATAATCATCTTAACATCCTACCAGTGATGTTTCAGAACTAGCAAACTCAGTCATCCTAAGACAAAGTTTGTAGTAACATCTTTCATACCTCTGCAGTTAAAAATATTTCACTGGCAATCAGGCAGGCACAAACCATAGTTCCGGTTCTTCCTAGAAAAGAAAAGAAAAATTAGTTCAAGGAACATGCTTGGTATAAAAATACACTCAGAAATATTCCAGGAGTTCATTTTAAGTTGATTTTCTTTCTTTTTTTTTGGGACAGTCTCGCTGTGTCACCCAGGCTGCAGTGCACTGGCACGATCTCAGCTCACTGCAACCTCTGCCCCACAGGTGGAAAATAAATTACATTTACGGTAAAAATATTTCTCAACTACCTCTCCACGAAAGAACAAGATGAGGTTTTTACTAAATCTATTCGAAAGCAATAATTCATGTCTTATATAAATTCCTTTGGGTAACAGTAAGAAAGAAAAATTCCCAACTCATTTAGTAACACTAAAATAGCTGGTTCCAAAACTGCATAAATACAGTAGACGATTACTTTATACCAGTCTGACATATAAATGTAGATATAAAAATATATATATTTTTTCAAAGTGAATTCAGCAGTGTAGAAATACCACGTATCAATACCAAGTGCCATTTCTCTTAAGAATGCAAGGATTTTTTTCCAAGACGGCAGATTACAGGCTTTTAGCATGCCTCAGCCATTTGGAAATAGCAAGATAGTACATAAAGATCAACTCTGTGAACTTTAATTCAAGAAAGAAAACGACAACTCCCTGGAATTATGAAGGACACCCCAGATCCTTGGGAGGACAACGCAGGCAAACAGCTCTTGTGACAACATTCGACTGATAAAAGCGAGTGAAGCCTCAGTATGTGAGAGAGGCAGACAGCATCCCTCTGTCTTACCTTTCCACTGGGGATCCAAGCAACCCGGACCGAGGAGGGGCACTGTTTCTCCCAAGTCCTGGAGCTAATTTAACGAGAGACTTGGAGACTTTGTGAGGAAAGGACACAAGGAAAAGCTGCAGGCATTTTCCCAAACCTGGACTGAGAGCAGGACAACACTGGGGAACCTTCCCCATCTGGCTCCACCCATCTTCCTCCCACACCCCCACCTAACTCCCGTTCCCCTAGGGTTTAGGAGGGAGCTCAGATTAATGTGTACTCCAGGAATCAGCTCATTGCCTAAGGCAACAGAGAGCTCTTCCCAATAAACAAACAGCAAGTATATAGCCAGCACCACTGGCCACAGCCAGCTCTTACCCATCGCCGCCATCTACTGGCTTGTAGGTCAAACCACATACCCAATATAAAACCTGCTGATAGAAGTGCATATAGAAGCAAGGCCAAAAGACCTACCTAGCATTGCTCTAAAGTCACATCACCTAAGGAGGAGGGAAAGGGAAAGAATAATAATAATAATAATAATAATAATAATAATAATAATAATAATGATATAGGAAAGAAAAGATAAAGAAAAAATCCTACCCACATAAAAACAATTACAAAAATTAGAAGTGCTAGCATCTCCAGATGAGAAGAACCAGTACAAGAATTCTGGCACCATGAAAAACCTGCATGTAGTGATACCACCAAAGGATCACACTAGCTCTCTGGCAATGCTTTCTACCAAAATGAAAACTCAGAAATGACAATAAAGAATTCAAAGCATGGATTCCAGGGAAGCTCAATGAGATTCAAGGTTGAAATCAACAAAAGGAAACTTCTAAATCAATTCAGCAAATGAAGGAAGAGATAAACATCTTAAAAAGAAATCAATCAGAACTTCCGGAATTAAAAAACTCACTTAAGGAATTTCAAAATACAATGGAAAGATTTATCAATAAACTGGACCAAGTAGAGGACATAATTTCAGAGCCTGAAGACTGGTCTTTTGAACTAATGCAGTCAGACAAAAATAAAGAAAAACTATTTTTAAAAAGTGAGGAACGTCTTTGAGAAATAGGTTATGTGAAGTGACCAAACCTACAAATTACTGGCATTCCCTAGAGACAAGGAAAAAAAGAAAACAACCTGGAAAACATATTTGATGCAATCATTCAAGAAAATTTCCTGAATCTTGCTAGAAAGGTAGACATCTAGATACAATAAAGCCAGAGAACACCTGCGAGATACTATAAAAAAGTGGACATTACCAAGGCATATACCAAACAGTCCAAGGTCAACGTTAAAGAAAAAATCCTAAGGCCAGATCACATACAAAAGGAGCCCTATCAGGATAACAGCAGACGTCTCAGCAGAAACCTTAAAAATCAGGAGAGATTGGGAAGGTGTATTTTCAGAATTCTTAAAGAAAATAAATTCTAATCAAGAGCATCCTGCCAAACTAAGCTTCATGAGCGAAGGACAAATAAAGATCTTTTTTTCCAGAGAAGCAAGTGCCATGAGAATTCATTAAAACTAGACCAGTCTTACAAGAGATCCCTAAGGGAGTTCTAAACATGGAAATAAAAGAATGATACCTGCTACCATAAAAGCACACTTAAGTACACAGCTCACAGAGCCTATAAAACAACAATACAACAGAAAGTATAAAGCAACCACCTAACAATGTCATGATAGGGTGAAAAGCTCACGTCAATATTAACCTTGAATGTAAATAGTCTAAACACACCACGTAAAAGTCACAGAGTGGCAAGTTGGATAAAAAAACAAAACCCATCTGTCTGCTGTCTTCAAGACACCATCTCACATGTAACAACACCAACAGGTTCAACGTAAAGGGTTGGAGAAAGATCTCTCACACAAACAAAACACCAAAAAGAGCAGGGATCACTATTCCTAAAACAGATAAAACAGGCTTTAAACCAGCAATAGTAAAAAAGGACAAAGAAGGGCATTACATAATGATAAGGGGTTCAATTCAACAAGAAGCCTTAACAATCCTAAATATATATGCACCCAACATTGGATCACCCAGGTTAATAAAACAGGTACTTCTAGACCTATGAAAAGACTCAGCCACATAATAATAGTCAGGAGACTTTAACACCCCACTGACAGCATTAGACAGATCATTCAGATAGAACACTAACAGAGGAATTACGGACATAAATTCAACACTTGACCAACTGGATGTAATAGGCACCTAAAGAACACTCCATGCATCAACCACAGAATATACATTCTTCTCATTTGCACAGCGAATGTATTCCAAGATCAACCATATGTTCCACCATGAAGCAAGCCTCAATAAATTCAAAAAATGTTGAAATCATACCAACCATTTTTTTTGGACCACAGTTGAATAAAAATATAAATCAATATCAAGAAGATCTCTAAAAACCAAACAATTTCATGGAAATGAAACAACTTGCTCCTGAATGACTTTTAAGCAAATGATAAAATTAAGGTAGATATCAAAAAATTCTTTGAAATAAATGAAAACAGAAACACAACATACCAGAATCTCTGGGATGCAGCAAAAGCAGTGTTAATAGGAAAGTTTATGGTGCTAAATGTGTACCTCAAAAAGCTAGTAAAATCTCAAATTAATAATGTAACATTACACCGAGAGAAATCAGAAAAACAAGAACCCCAAACCTAGCAGAAGAAAAACAATAACTAAAATCAGAGCAAAACTAAACAAAATTGAGACCCCAAAATTAAAACAGAGATTCAAAGAAACCAAGTCATTTCTTTGAAAACATAAACAAAATTGATAGACTGCTAGCTAGATTAACAAAGAAAAAGAAAGAAGATCCGGATAAGCACAATCAGAAATCACAAAGACGACATCACAACCAATCCCACAGAAATACAAAAGGTCCTCAGAGACTATTATGAACACCTCTATGCACACACACTAGATAATGTAGAGGAAATGAATACATTCCTGGCAACACAGAACTTCCCAAGATTGAATCAGAAAGAAATTGAAACCCTCACCAGACCAGTATCAAGCTCCAAAATTGAATCCATAAGTTAAAACCCGCCAACCAAAAAAGTCCTAAATCAGATGTATTCACAGATGAATTATATCAAATATACAAAGAAGAACTGGTACCAGTTCTACTGAAACTATTCCAAAAACTCCAGGAGGGATTCTTCCCTAATTCATTCTATGAAGCCAGCATCACCCTGAAACCAAAGCCTGGCAAACACACAATTAAAAAAAAAAAAAGAAAACTAAAGGCTAATCTCAATGATGAAGATAGGCACACAAATCCTTAACAAAATACCAGCAAACTGAATCCAACAGCACATCAAAAAGTTAATTCACCATGGTCAAGTAGGCTTCATTCCAAGGATGCAAGGTTCTGCATATGCAAATCAATAAATGTGATTCACCACACAGAAACCATATGATCATCTCAATAGATGCAAAAAAAAACTTTTGATAAAATTCAACATCCTTCTTGACAATAAACACTCAAGAAACTAGGCATTAAAGGAATACACTTCAAAACAGAGCCTTCTATTATGAACCCACAGCCAACATTGTAACAGGCAAAAGCTGGACGCTTCTCCTTGTCAACTGGGACAAGACAAGGATGCCTAATCTCACCACTCCTATTTCACATAGTAGTAAAAGTCTTTGCCATAGCAATCAGGCAAAAGAAAGAAAAAAATGGCATCCAAATAGGAAAATAAAAAGTCAAACTATCTCTCTTCATCAACGATATGATTCTATATCTTCAAAATCCAAAAGACTCCACCAAAAGGCACTTGGAACTGATACATTACTTCAGTAAAGTTTTAGGATACAGAATCAATGTACAAAAATCAGTAGCATTTCTGTACACCAATAATGTCCAAGCTGACAGCCAAATCAAGGACATAACCCCCTTTACAGTAGCCACACAAAAAATAAAATACTTAGGAATACAGCTAATCGAGGAGGTGAATGATCTCTACAAGGAGAACTGCAAACCACTGCTGAAAGAAATCATAGATGACACAAACAAATGGAAAAACATTCCATGCTAATGGACTGGAAGAATCAATATCATTAAAATGGCCATGCTACCAAAAGCAATATACAGAATCAACATTTTTCCAATCAAGCTACTAACATCATTTTTCACAGAACTAGAAAAATCTAATTCACATGGAACCAAAAAAGAGCCGGAATAGCCAAAGCAATCCTAAGCAAAAAGAACAAAGCCAGAAGCATCACATTACCCAACTTCACACTACGCCATAAGGCTATAGAAACCAAAAGAGCATGGTACTGGCAGGAAAAAAAAATTGATCAAAGGAAGAGAATAAAGAACTCAGAAATAAAGCCAAACACAGAAAGCCATCTGATCTTTGACAAAGTCAACAAAAATAAGCAATAAGGAAATGACTTCCTATTCAATAAATGGTGCTAGGATATTGAGCTAGCAATATGCAAAAGAATGATCTGGACCTATACCTTTCACCATATACAAAAATTAACTAAAGATAGAAAGACCTCAAACTATAAGAATACTAGGAGAAAACCTAGAAAACAGCATTCTGGACGCTGACCTTGGGGAAGAATTTATGACTAAGTTTTCAAAAGCAATTGCCACAAAAAACTGACAAGTGGGACCTAATTAAACTGTAGAGCTTCTGCACAGCAAAGAACCTATCAACAGAGTAAACAGACAACCTATAGAATGGGTGAAAATATTTGCAAACTATGCATCTCACAAAGGTTTAATATTCAGAATCTATAAGAAACTCAACAATTAAGCAAAAAAAGCAAATAACCCCATTAAAAATGGGCAAAAGATATAAACATACACTTCTTAAAAGAAGACATACCAGTGGCCAACAAACATGAAAAATGCTCCACATCACTAATCATCCGAGAAATGCAAATCAAAACCACAACATGATTATATCTCATACCAGTCGGAATGGCTATTATTAAAGAGTCAAAAAACAACAGATGCTGACAAGGCTGCAGAGTATACACGTATACACTGCTAATGGGAATGTAAATTAGTTCAGCTACCTGGAAAGCAGTTTGGAGATTTCTCAAAAACTTAGAACTACCATTTGACATTGCAATCCTATTACTGCGTATGCATCCAAAAGAAAGTAAGTTGTTCTAACAAAAAGACACAGGCCCCGGCATGCTCTTCTCAGCACTACTGACAACAGGAAAGACACAGAATCAACCTAGGTGCCCATCAGTGGTGGACTGGCTTAAGAATATGTGGTACATATACACCATGGAATACTACACATTCATAAAAAAATAAAATCATGTCCTTTGCAGCATCATGGATGCAGCTGGAAGTCATTATCCTAAGCAAATTAATGCAGGAACAGAAAACCAAATACCATATGTTCTCACTTATAAGTGAAAGCTAAACAATAGATGCTCATGGATATCAAGGTGGCAATAATGGACACTGGAATTCTAGAGGGTGCACAGCAGAAGGGGACACAGGTTGAAAAACTATTGGGTCCTATGCTCAGTACCTGGGTGATGGGATCAATCATACCCCACACCTCGGTATCACACAATATACCCAGGTAATAAACCTGCACATGTACTTCCAAATCTAAAATCAAAGTGGAAATTATACCAAAAAACTAAGCTCAAAAAAAAAAAATTTCTTTGCCCATTAAAAAAACAAATAAAAATACAAGAATCATCCTAGGCCGGGCGCGGTGGCTCTTGCCTGTAATCCCAGAACTTTGGGAGGCCGAGGCAGGCGGATCACGAGGTCAGGACATCTAGACTATCCTGGCTAACACGGTGAAACCCCGTCTCTACTAAAAATACAAAAAAATTAGCCGGGCGTGGTGGCGGGCGCCTGTAGTCCCAGCTACTCGGGAGGCTGAGGCAGGAGAATGGCGTGAACCCGGGAGGCGGAGCTTGCAGTGAGCCGAGATCACGCCACTGCACTCCAGCCTGGGCGACAGGGCGAGACTCCGTCTCAAACAAACAAACAAAAAAGAATCATCCTATATCAGAAATCTATATTAATGTAATTTATCATATTCACAGATTAAAGTAGACATACCTTGCAATTATGTCAATTAATGCAGAGAAAGCATTAACTAAAATTCAACCTACAACTGTGACTTTAAAAATTAATAAAAACTAGGACACTTCTTTAACTCAACAAAGGGAATCTACCAAAACACCTACCAGGAACATCATATTAATGATGTAATATTGATAGCATTTTCTTTAAAGCCTGGAATTAAGCAAAAATGCCCTCTGTTCACTGCTTCCATTTAACAATGTACTGCAGAGCCTAGCCAGTGTAGTAAGTCCGTGTAGTCAGTAAATCTATAGAATAACTCATTAATCTAACGAGAGAGTTGAGAGAGTTTAGGAAGATCTCTAGATGCAGGCTCAACATAAACAAAAATTAATAGCTAAATCAAGGATTCAGGTTGAAATCTTTACAGTAATTACTAAAAAAATAGAAAAGGAGTATATAACTTCCAAGGCAATGGGAGAGAGTGAGAAGGAAAAAATTATCAAAATTCAATCAAACCAAAACACAAGTCAGTAAGAATATAGAAGAGTTAAATAAATTAACAAATGCACGTACATAGAACATTGTTCTCAACAATGCATAATACGTGTTTTTTTCAAGTGTACAGAAAACATTTAACAATATCAACCAAATTCTAGGCCATAAACCAAGTCTACACAAATTTGGAAGAAAAAAAAAATAGTATGTTCTGTGTCCACAGCACAATACAACCAGAAATAAAAAACTTTTTTTTTTTTTTCAGATGGAGTTTCGCTCTTGTTGCCCAGGCTGGAGTACAATGGTGTGTTCTTGGCTCACTACAACCTCCGCCTCCCGGGTTCAAGCGATTCTCCTGCCTCAGCCTCCCAAGTAGCTGTGATTACAGGCATGTGCCACCACACCTGGCTAATTTTTGTACTTTTAGTAGAGACGAGGTTTCTCCATGTTGGTCAGGCTGGTCTCGAACTCCTGACCTCAGGTAAACCACCTCCTCGGCCTGCCAAATTGCTGGGATTACAGGCGTGAACCACTGCGCCTGGCTTCACAAATAAAAAACTTAAAGATAAATGCAAAAGTCTCCTATGTTTGGAAATAAGGAAGTATACTTCTATACAACTCACGGGTCAAAAAAAAAAAAAAACACCAAGCACAGTGAAAATTGGAAAATAATTTGAACCCAATAAAATGAAAATATTACATATGAAAACTTGTGGGACGAAGCTAAAGCAACTCTTAGAAGAAAATGTATAGCCTTAAATGCTAAACAGAAAACAGAGTGGTCGACACTCTAAGAATTATTCATCTCAAGAAGTCAGGAAAAGAACAAATTAACCCATGGAATACAAAAGAAAATACTAAATATAATACTAATTCATGAAATAAAAAGTAAATAATAGAGTCCATTAGTAAGGCCAAAAATTTGTTATTTTATTTATTTATTTATTTATTTATTTTTGAGATGGACTCTCGCTCTGTAACCCAGGCTGGAATGCAGTGACGCGATCTCAGCTCACTGCAAGCTCTGCCTCCCGGGTTCATGCCATTCTCCTGCCTCAGCCTCCCGAGTAGCTGGGACTACAGGCGCCCGCCACCGCACCCGGCTAATTTTTTGTGTTTTTAGTAGAGACGGGGTTTCACCGTGTTAGCCAGGATGGTCTAGATGTCCTGACCTCGTGATCCGCCCGCCTTGGCCTCCCAAAGTGCTGGGATTACAGGCATGAGCCACCGCGCTCAGCCACATTTGTTACTTTTAAAAGACTAGTAAAATTGATAATTCCCTGGTGAGACTAATCAAAAGAAACAAAGGGAGAAGGCACCAAGAAAATAATGTAAGGAATAAAAAGGGAATGCCCCTGTAGACATTAAAATGGTAAAATGATATTGTGAATAATTTGATGCCAAGACATTCGCAAACTTAGATTAAATGGACAAATGCTGGGAAAACAATAACCTACCAAAACAGGCTAAGGAAATAAAATTAGAGAGAATTCTATATACGAAACTGAGCGATAATTTAAAAACTTCTCCCCAGAGAAAACTCTAGACAAATGTAGCTTCACTGGTGAATTTCACCGTACACTTAAAAAGAAAAAAAAAAACAGCACGCATAAATTCATCGAGGGAATAAAAAAAGAGAAAATAAAATCTAACTCATTTTATGAAGCCAAGATTTGAAAAAACTATGAGAAAGGAAAATTACAACCAATCACACTGGTGACATGAATTTGAAAATCCTAAACAAATATTAACAAATAGAACCCAGGAATTTAATAAAAAAAAGTTTAATAATTATTTAATAAAATAGTATAGCACAACTCAATCACATTTATTCCAGAAATATGTTGGTTTACCACTTAATCAATCATGTAATTAGCCACATTTATTTATAAGATAAAGGGGAAAAATTATCATCTCAAAGATTCAGAAAAATCTGGAAAAATTCAACATCCATTCATGATTAAAAAAAAAACTCTCTCAGCAAACTAAAGACATTGTTTTTTCTTTTCTTTTTCTTTCTTTTTTTTTTTGTTGAGCCAATGTCTCGCTCTGTCACCTAGGCTGGAGAGCAGTGGTGTGATATTGGCTCACTGCAATCTCTGCATCCTGAGTTCAAGCAATTCTCGTGCCTCAGCCTCTAGAGTAGATGGTATTACAGGCATGCACCACCACACCTGGTTAATTTTTTATTTTTTAGTAGAGATGGGGTTTCATCATGTTGCCCAGGCTGGTCTGAAATGATGTGCCCCACTGGGCCCCGCAAAGTGCTGGGATTACAGGCGAAAGCCATGGCGCCTGGCTAAGGAATTTCTTCATCTGATAAATGGTAGCTCACACACACACACACACACACACACACACACACACATGCTCGTAAAGCAATTGGAGAGACACTGAAAGCTTTTCCTTTGAGAATAGAAGTGTACACTGATGGCTGCTGTTGCCACTTCTAATTCAACACTGTACTGAAGGTTCTAGCCAGTGCTAGGGGGGAAAATGACTGAAAAGGAAAAAATACAATGTATTATTTTCACATGATATAACTGTGTACTATAAAATCCAAAAGAATCTATAGATAATTTAGTAGAACTAATAAGTGAGTTTAGGCTGGGCACAATGGCTCAGGCCTGTAATCCTAGCATTTTAGGAGGCAGAGGCTGAGGCTGGCAGATCACTTGAGCCCAGGAGTTTGAGACCAATCTGGGCAACATGGCAAAACCCCGTTTCTACAAAAAAATAAAAAAATTAGCTGGGCATGGTGGCACCTGCCTGCAGTCCTAGCTACTCGGGAGGCTGATGTGGGAGGGATTCCCTGAGCCCAGGGAGGTTGAAGCTGCAGTGAGCCATGATCGCATCACTGCACTCCCGCCTGGGTGACAGAATGAAACCCTATCTCAAAACACACAAACAAACAAACAAACAAAAAGTGAGTTTAGTCAAGTTGCTAAATACAAGATTAATGAATAAAATGAACTGCATTTAAATCAACAACATTTAGAAAATAAACATTTTAAAGGGATATCATTTAAATAACCACAAAATATCAAATATCTAGGAATAAATCTCATCAAAAATATGCAAGCTTTCTACACAGAAAATGAGAAAACATTGTAAAGAGAAATGGAAGGAAACCTAACTGAATGAGAGAACATCTCTCTTCATGGGTTGGATGGGTCAATATTGTAAAGATTCAATTCTCCCCAATCTATAGATTCAACGCAATTCCAAACAAATTTCTATCAGGTGTGTGTATTTGACCAGCTGACTCCCAAATTTTTTTTTTTTTTATACTTTAAGTTCTAGGGTACATGTGCACAACGTGCAGGTTTGTTACATATGTATACATGTGCCATGTTGGTGTGCTGCACCCATTAACTCGTCATTTACATTAGGTATATCTCCTAATGCTTTCCCTCCCCCCTCCCCCCACCCCATAACAGGCCCTGGTGTGTGATGTTCCCCTTCCTGTGTCCAAGTGTTCTCACTGTTCAACTCCCACCTACGAATGAGAACATGCGGTGTTTGGTTTTTTGTTCTTGCGATAGTTTGCTGAGAATGATGGTTTCCAGCTTCATCCATGTCCTTACAAAGGACACAAACTCATCCTTTTTTACAGCTGCATAGTATTCCATGGTGTATATGTGCCACATTTTCTTAATCCAGTCTGTCATTGATGGACATTTGGGTTGGTTCCAAGTCTTTGCTATTGTGAATAGTGCTGCAATAAACATGCGTGTGCATGTGCCTTTATAACAGCATGATTTATAATCCTTTGGGTATATACCCAGTAATGGGATGGCTGGGTCAAATGGTATTTCTCGTTCTAGATCCTTGAGGAATCGCCACACTGTCTTCCACAATGGTTGAACTAGTTTACAGTCCCACCAACAGTGTAAAAGTGTTCCTATTTCTCCACATCCTCTCCAGCACCTGTTGTTTCCTGACTTTTTAATGATCGCCATTCTAACTGGTGTGAGATGGTATCTTATTGTGGTTTTGATTTGTATTTCTCTGATGACCAGTGATGATGAGCATTTTTTCATGTGTCTGTTGGATGTATAAATGTCTTCTTTTGAGAAGTGTCTGTTCATATCCTTCACCCACTTTTTGATGGGGTTGTTTGTTTTTTTCTTGTAAATTTGATTGAGATCTTTGTAGATTCTGGATATTAGCCCTTTGTCAGATGAGTAGATTGCAAAAATTTTCTCCCATTCTGTAGGTTGCCTCTTCACTCTGATGGTAGTTTCTTTTGCTGTGCAGAAGCTCTTTAGTTTAATTAGATCCCATTTGTCAATTTTGGCTTCTGTTACCATTGCTTTTGGTGTTTTAGACATGAAGTCCTTGCCCATGCCTATGTCCTGAATGGTATTGCCTAGGTTTTCTTCTAGGGTTTTTATGGTTTTAGGTCTAACATTTAAGTCTTTGATCCATCTTGAATTAATTTTTGTATAAGGTGTAAGGAAGGGATCCAGTTTCAGCTTTCTACATACGGCTAGCCAGTTTTCCCAGCACCATTTCCCAGCACCATTTTTTAAATAGGGAATCCTTTCCCCATTTCTTGTTTTTGTCAGGTTTGTCAAAATCAGATGGTTGTAGATGTGTGGTATTATTTCTGAGGGCTCTGTTCTGTTCCATATCTCTATATGTCTATATCTCTGTTTTGGTACCAGTACCATGCTGTTTTGGTTACTGTAGCCTCGTAGTATAGTTTGAAGTCAGGTAGCGTGATGCCTCCAGCTTTCTTCTTTTGGCTTAGGATTGACTTGGCAATGCGGGCCCTTTTTTGGTTCCATATGAACTTTAAAGTAGTTTCTTCCAATTTTGTGAAGAAAGTCATTGGTAGCTTGATGGGGATGGCATTGAATCTATAAATTACCTTGGGCAGTATGCCCATTTTCACAATATTGATTCTTCCTACCCATGAGCATGGAATGTTCTTCCATTTGTTTGTAACCTCTTTTATTTCGTTGAGCAGTGGTTTGTAGTTCTCCTTGAAGAGGTCCTTCACATCCCTTGTCAGTTGGATTCCTAGGTATTTTATTCTCTTTGAAGCAATCGTGAATGGGAGTTCACTTATGATTTGGCTCTCTGTTTGTCTGTTATTGGTGTATAAGAATGCTTGTGATTTTTGCACATTGATTTTGTATCCCAAGACTTTGCTGCAGTTGCTTATCAGCTTAAGGAGATTTTGGGCTGAGATGATGGGGTTTTCTAGATATACAATCAAGTCATCTGCAAACAGGGACAATTTGATTTCCTCTTTTCCTAATTGAATACCCTTTATTTCTTTCTCCTGCCTGATCACCCTGGCCAGAACTTCCAACACTATGTTGAATAGGAGTGGTGAGAGAGGGCATCCCTGTCTTGTGCCAGTTTTCAAAGGGAATGTTTCCAGTTTTTGCCCATTCAGTATGATGAATGAACTTCTCTACACTGGTTACTCTAGTCAGCCATTCGTCTAATCTTCTTTCAAGGTTTTTAGCTTCCCTGCATTGGGTTTGAACTTCCTCCTTTAGCTCGGAGAAGTTTGATTGTCTGAAGCCTTCTCCTCTCAATTCTTCGAAATCATTCTCCGTCCAGCTTTGTTCCTTTGCTGGCGAGGAGCTGTGTTCCTTTGGAGGGGGAGAGGTGCTCTGATTTTTAGAATTTTCAGCTTTTCTGCTGTTTTTTCCCCATCTTTGTGGTTTTATCTACCTTTGGTCTTTGATGATGGTGACGTACAGATGGGGTTTTGGTGTGGATGTCCTTTCTGTTTGTTAGTTTTCCTTCTAACAGTCAGGACCCTCAGCTGCAGGTCTGTTGGAGTTTGCTGGAGGTCCACTCCGGACCCTGTTTGCCTGGGTATCAGCAGCGGAGGCTGCAGAACAACAAATATTGCTGAGCAGCAAATGTTGCTGCCTGATCATTCCGCTGGAAGCTTTGTCTCAGAGGGGTACCCGGCCGTGTGAGGTGTCAGTCTGCCCCTACTGGGCGGTGCCTCACAGTTAGGCTACTCGGGGGTCAGGGACCCACTTGAGGAGGTAGTCTGTCCGTTCTCAGATCTCAAACTCCGTGCTGGGAGAACCACTACTCTCTTCAAAGCTGTCAGACAGGGACATTTAAGTCTGCAGAGGTTTCTGCTGCCTTTTGTTTGATTCCCAAATTTATATGGAAATGTAGACGGCCTAAAATACACAAACAATTATGAAGAAAAAGATGATTGTCCTCACTTGACTGGAAATAAGGACTATTAGAAAGCTACAGTAAGATGGTTGTGCTATTGGCACACAGATGAAAAATCAATGAACAGAATAGAAAGGTCAGAAGCAGACTCATGTTCTGCAGGGAAGTAAAGAAATAAAAATCTTCTCAACCAGTGTGCTGGAATAATTGGATAGCCATATATGGAAAAAGATGAAACTTAACCTCTTCCTCACACCACACCTATAAATCAATTTTTAAATGAATGAACCATCTAGAAGAAAATATAGTAGTAGAATGTCTTTAAACTCAAGGAAAATTTTCTTAATCAGGACACAAAAACACAAACTTTATAAAGAGAAAGCATAATACCTATGATGGTAATACAACTAAGAACTTCTGTTAACCAAAAGATACTCCTAAGAGAGAGAAAAGGCAAATCACAGAGCAGAAAAGTTTTCTTGAAATACATATATGACCAATAACAGAATGGAAATCAGAATATATAAAAAACTGCAAATCAAGAGAAAAAAAGACAAATAATCCAGGAGAAAAATGGGTAAGAAAACTTAACAGTTACTTTACAAAAAAGGATATCCAAATACTTAATAATCTTAAGAAAACTTCTTCAATCTTATTAGTAATTATAGAAATGCAAATGAACACCACCATAATATGCCATCACACAAACACCCAATGGCTAAAAATCAAAATACTCAGAATTGCAAGTACTGGGGAAGATATGGAATGCTTCGAGTGTGCGATACCAGTGGAGTGAAAATTGGTACAACTGTTTTAGAAACAGGTGACATTATCAAGTATAAAGTTCAAGATTCATTACCTTAAGACAGAACCATTTTAGTCTGAGGTACATACTCAACAAAAATATGGCCACATATGCAACAAGAAACGTGTATTTTTAAAAGCAGCATTATTGGGCCAGGCGCAGTGGCTCACCCTGTAATATCAGCTCTTTGGGAGGCCGAGGTAGGCAGATCACTTGAGGTCAGCAGTTCGAGACCAGCCTGGCCAACATGGTGAAACCCTGTCTCTACTAAAAATACAAAACAGCCAGGCATGGTGGCAGGCGCCTGTAATCCCAGCTACTCCAGAGGCTGAGGGATGAAAATCACTTGAACCTGGGAGGCAGAGGTTGCAGTGCGCGAGATCATACCACTGCACTCCAGCCTGGGTGACAGAGTGAGACTCCGTCTAAAAAAAAAAAAAAAAAAAGCAGCATTATTTATCATAGTAAAAACTGGAAACAACCCAAATGTAACAGAAAAAAAAAAAAGAGATTCCACTTGCAGTCACAATTTGTGTAGGAATGAATTTGTGAAAAGATGTGCAAAGACATGATGAAGAAAATATAAAATATTTAATTAAAGAATGAACAAGATCAATCACATGTATAACTTATTATCACAAAGCTGTCAGTTCTCTCGAGTGAATCTATAAATTCAATGTAGTTCCAATGAAAATCCTAAGCGTGTTTTATAATGGAACTTGACAAAATGATTTTAAAATTTAATGAAAGAATAACGTTCCAAGAAGAGCAAGACAATTCTGCCTTTATCAAACTACAATATAAGGCTACAATAATTACAAAAGTGTGATATAGAGAACTTAGAAACAATTTTGAATATTTCTAGAAACTTGGTATATGATTGAGAGGAATCACAAATAAATGGAGAACAAAATAGCATGCAATTGATGCTGTTAGGACCGTTGGCTATCCATATGAAAAAAAAACCTCCCCCAAATTTCAATTAGATTTAAGACCCAAATATTAAAAATGCAACTTGAAGATTTTTGAAGAAATGTAGAATATCTTTACTACCTCAGTATAGGGGTGAATTTCTTAAACGTGACAGAAAAGCATGAAATACAAACACATCGATTAACACATTTTACCACATTCAAAATTACAAACTTCTTGCTGGCACAATGGCTCATGCCTATAATCCCAGCACTTTGGGAAGCTGAGGCGAGTGGAATATTTGAGTCCAGGAGTTCAAGACCAGTCTGGGCAACATAGGGAGACCCTGTCTCTACAAAAAATACAAAAATTACCCCGGCGTGGTGGCGCGTGCCTGTAATCCCACCTACTCAGAGGGGCTGAGGCGGGAAGATCACTTGAGTACAGGGAGGTTGAGGCTGCAATGAGCTGAGATTGAGCCATTGTACTCCAGCCTGGGTGACAGAACGAGACTGTGTCTCAAAACAAAACACAAATTTACAAGCTTTTATACAACAAAATAAATCACAATCAAATTTAAAAGACAACACAGTGGGAGAATATACTTGCAATACTAAGAAAAATTGGCATTTAGATTCTTTAAAGAACTCCTATAAATCAATAATAAAATATTTCTACTCTCATGATACTACTGATAACCTGCAGGCAGCAACCAATCAGAAGACAGCAAGATTAATATGAATGAACATTTTTAAAAAGAGGCTTCTCTGGTGCATACCAGCTGAATATTCTCTAAACAACCTAAAAAAATCAACAAAATATTATGTGAACCCAGAATTATGCAAACCCCCTCTCAGCAAAAGTTTTTAGAAAAAAGTCAAATTTGAAATCCTTCAAGCAAGGAATTAGTATCAGTTAATAGAAAACTGATGCTACTGCTTGAAAAATAACATGTTAGGTTAGGCAATGTGAAATGGCCATTTTTAAACCAAAAGATGGTTAAAAAACTGGGAACTTCAAATGATTCAACTTCTATATTCTTAATTTAACTATGGTATTGTAAATTGCCACTTTATACAGAATATTCAAACCTGTAGAGCTAAACACTGAACCTGTATATTAACTAATGGGCTTGAAACTAGTTCTCAATAAAACTAAAACTTCATTTTATTGAATTATATAAGTCAGTTTACAGTGTTATGTTTTCCTGGAATTTGATATAAAAATGGTTTTACAGCCCTCTAAGAAGGTAATTCTTTATGTTTATCAAAAATTGTGAAATATACTTAGATGATTATTCAAAGCCTAAACCTGAATGAGAGAAAATCTAACTGAACTTAAATTGATTGGATTTACAAGTGGCTTTTCCCCCCATTTTAACCCCACCAATATAAACTTCTTTGTATCATTACACTATCATAAGTCCAGTATAATTTTTGAAATAGCATCTCTGTGTTGGCTCCCTTAATCTAAAAGATTCTCACCAAGTTTAAGAACAACCTTAAATATTACTGGAACAAAAACAGACATATAGATCAATGGAACAGAATAGAAAGCCCAGAATAAATCCGTGCATTTTTCAGCTGATCTTCAACAAAGGTGCCAAGAATCCACGATGAGGAAAGGACAGTCTCTTCAATAAACAATACTGGGGAAACTGGACATCCACTTGCAGAAGAATGAAACTGCACCCTATCTCACCCAGTGTACAAAAATCAACTCAAAGTAAAGATTTAACTGTGAAACCTGAAACTGGAAAACTACTAGAAGAAAACACAGGGGAAAAGCTTCTTGACACTGGTCTGGGCCAAGATTTTTTGGATATGACTGAAAAGCACAGGCAACAAAAGAAAAAATAGACAAATGACATTGTATCAAACTGAAAAGCTTTTGCACAGCAAAGGAAACAATTATAAAGAGACCACCTACAGAATGGGAGAAAAATACCTGCAAAGCATATATTCAAGAACAGGTTAATTTTTTTTTTAAAGGAACTCAAACAACACAATAACAAGAGAACAAGTTACTTCTCTAAAAAATGGGCAAAGAACCTGAAAAGATATATCTCAAAAGAAGACATATGAATGGCCAAGAGGTATATGAAAAAATGCTCAACATCATTAATCATCAGGAAAACCAAATTAAAATCACAAAGAGATATCCTCATACCTGTTAGGATGGTGATTAACAAAAAGACAAAAGAAGAGTTGGTGAGGATGTAGAGAAAAGAGAACCCTCTTGTACACTGTTGGTGTGAGTGTAAATTAGTAGTTATTATGGAAAACAGCATAGGGACACCTCAAAAAACTAAAAATAAAAAAATAGAACTACCATATGATTTGGAGATTCCACTTCTGGGTATATGTCCAAAGAAAATGAAATCTGCACTCCCATGTTCACTGCAGCATTATTCATAATAGCCAAGCTATGGAGTCAATCTAAATGTCATCAATGGAAGAACAGATAAAGAATACCTGGTATATATAAATAAGAACACACTGTTCGGCGTTAGAGGATATCCTGTCCCTTGAGATAACAAGGATAAGCCTGGAGAACGTTATGCTAAGTGAAAGGAGCCAGGCATAGAAAGACAAATATTGGATGTCTCACTTCTTTGTGGACTCTAAAAATGTCAAATTCATAGAAGCAGAGAGTAGAATGGTGGTTACCAGGGGCTGGGGGGAACAAAAAGGAGGGATTGTGGAGATGTCAGTTAAAGGATGCAAAATTTCAGTTAGACAGGAATAAGTTCAGGAAATTTATTGCACAACATGGTGACCACAGTTAATAATAATATAGATTTGAAAATTACTGAGAGAGTACAATTTAAATGTTCTCACCACAAAAAAGTAAAAAGTATGTGGAGTAATGCATATGTTAATTAGGTTGATTTAGCCATTTTACAATGTTTACATATATCAAAACATCATGTGGTATACCATGAATATACTGATTTTTATTTGTTAATTTAAAAATAAAAAAGAGCAGCCTTAAATAAAACTACTCTGACACTCCAAAATTAAAGACTTTGTATTTTGAGAGATATAAACTGGCAAACCAAAAATAAAGATATCCAAATAGAAAAACAAGAGAAAATATGCTCAACCCTCCTTAGTTCTTTTTCCCTACTTTCTTCCCTTCCTTATCCTCTCCCTATCTCCTACTCTTCCTCCTCTCCTCTTTCCTTTCTCCTTCCCTTCTTTCAGTCTTACAGCTAATACTTTTAAATGCTAACAATTACTAATACTTATTAATAGCAACAGGTATCTTGTTCTTGTGCTTTACATATCCTTACACGTCTTTAGAATGGGAGGAATAAAAAGGAAAACGTTATTACCTTTGCCTCCTTTACAGTGAATCACTACGATGTTTTCAGAATCTTGAGCCATCCACTCCAACACTTCCTTGGAGAATGCTACCATCTCCCTGATTTCAAGGTTAGGATTTTTAGTTGAGTTAAAATATTTTCAAAAAATCAAGCCCAATAGATTTAGCCCCCTTCTCATAGTCAACTTAGCATAAAACTTACCGTAGAGTGGGGACATTATGATCATCGATCATGATTCTACTGACCCTATTATGGAAGTGCTTAGGATCATAAGCTCTTTCACCTAAAATAAATAATATGTATGTCATATCTCTATATATAATAACATAGTAAATGATGAAGTTATGAGCAACATAAAATATCTTATTAGAAATTCCCTATCCATCTTCAAAAGGAGCTTTCCAAGTTGCTTCTGCTGCTCTAAAATAAACTTAAGAATCTCAAAAACATAAGCATATGAGCAGATTATCCATCTCATGTCACCTAAACTCAACTTACTTTTGTTTAATAGGTGTAATTTTTAACTTTCTAGCAGACTATCATTATATTATTGCAGGGTAGTTAGAAACCACGCAAGAGATCGCGGAGCCAAGGAGGCCGAATAGGAACAGCTCCGGTCTACAGCTCCCAGTGTGAGCGACGCAGAAGACGGGTGATTTCTGCATTTCCATCTGAGGTACCGGGTTCATCTCACTAGGGAGTGCCAGACAGTGGGCGCAGGTCACTGGGTGCAGCGCACCAGGCGCGAGCCGAAGCAGGGCGAGGCATTGGCTCACTGGGGAAGCGCAAGGGGTCAGGGAGTTCCCTTTCCTAGTCAAAGAAAGGGGTGACACACGGCACCTGGAAAATTGGGTCACTCCCACCCCAATACTGCGCTTTTCCGACGGGCTTAAAAAACGGCGCACCAGGAGATTATATCCTGCACATGGCTTGGAGGGTCCTACGCCCACAGAGTCTCGCTGATTGCTAGCACAGCAGTCTGAGATCAAATTGCAAGGCGGCAGCGAGGCTGGGGGAGGGGCGCCCGCCATTGCCCAGGCTTGCTTAGGTAAACAAAGCAGCCGGGAAGCTCCAACTGGGTGGAGCCCACCACAGCTCAAGGAGGCCCGCCTGCCTCTGTAGGCTCCACCTCTGGGGGCAGGGCACAGACAAACAAAAAGACAGCAGTAACCTCTGCAGACTTAAATGTCCCTGTCTGACAGCTTTGAAGAGAGCAGTGGTTCTCCCAGCATGCAGCTGGAGATCTGAGAACGGGCAGACTGCCTCCTCAAGTGGGTCCCTGACCCCTGACCCCTGAGCAGCCTAACTGGGAGGCACCCCCCAGTAGGGGCAGACTGACACCTCACACGGCCGGGTACTCCTCTGAGACAAAACTTCCAGAGGAACTATCAGACAGCAGTATTCGCGGTTCACGAAAAACCACTGTTCGGCAGACACCGCTGCTGATACCCAGGGTCTGGAGTGGACCTCTAGCAAACTCCAACAGACCTGCAGCTGAGGGTCCTGTCTGTTACAAGGAAAACTAACAAACAGAAAGGACATCCACACCAAAAACCCATCTGTACATCACCATCATCAAAGACCAAAAGTAGATAAAACCACAAAGATGGGGAAAAAACATAGCAGAAAAACTGGAAACTCTAAAAAGCAGAGCGCCTCTCCTCCTCCAAAGGATCGCAGTTCCTCACCAGCAATAGAACAAAGCTGGATGGAGAATGACTTTGACGAATTGAGAGAAGAAGTCTTCAGATGATCAAACTACGAGCTACAGGAGGAAATTCAAACCAAAGGCAAAGAAGTTAAAAACTTTGAAAAAAATTTAGACGAAACGTATAACTAGAATAACCAATACAGAGAAGTGCCTAAAGAAGCTGATGGAGCTGAAAGCCAAGGCTCAAGAACTGCGTGAAGAATGCAGAAGCCTCAGGAGCCGATGCGATCAACTGGAAGAAAGGGTATCAGCGATGGAAGATGAAATGAATGAAATGAAGCGAGAAGGGAAGTTTAGAGAAAAAAGAATAAAAAGAAACGAATAAAGCCTCCAAGAAATATGGGACTATGTGAAAAGACCAAATCTACGTCTGATTGGTGTACCTGAAAGTGACGGGCAGAATGGAACCAAGTTGGAAAACACTCTGCAGGATATTATCCAGGAGAACTTCCCCAATCTAGCAAGGCAGGCCAACATTCAGATTCAGGAAATACAGAGAACGCCACAAAGACACTCCTCGAGAAGAGCAACTCCAAGACACATAATTGTCAGATTCACCAAAGTTGAAATGAAGGAAAAAATGTTAAGGGCAGCCAGAGAGAAAGGTCGGGTTACCCACAAATGGAAGCCCATCAGACTAACGGCGGATCTCTCGGCAGAAACTCTACAAGCCAGAACAGAGTGGGAGCCGATATTCAACATTCTTAAAGAAAAGAATTTTCAACCCAGAATTTCATATCCAGCCAAACTAAGCTTCATAAGTGAAGGAGAAATAAAATCCTTTACAGACAAGCAAATGCTGAGAGATTTTGTCACCACCAGGCCTGCCCTACAAGAGCTCCTGAAGGAAGCACTAAGCATGGAAAGGAACAACCGGTACCAGCCGCTGCAAAATCATGCCAAAATGTAAAGACCATCGAGACTAGGAAGAAACTGCATCAACTAACGAGCAAAATAACCAGCTAACATCATAATGACAGGTTCAAATTCACACATAACAATATTAACTTTAAATGTAAATGGACTAAATGCTCCAATTAATGACACAGACTGGCAAATTGGATAAAGAGTCAAGACCCATCAGTGTGTTGTATTC
Organism: Homo sapiens; assembly: GCF_000001405.40. Lineage (NCBI taxonomy): Eukaryota > Metazoa > Chordata > Mammalia > Primates > Hominidae > Homo > Homo sapiens. The sequence continues at coordinate 52,549,928 of NC_000013.11, read as the reverse complement.
AGGAAACCCATCTCACATGCAGAGACACATATAGGCTCAAAATAAAAGGATGGAGGAAGATCTACCAAGCACATGGAAAACAAAACAAGGCAGGGGTTGCAATCCTAGTCTCTGATACAACAGACTTCAAACCAACAAAGATCAAAAGAGACAAAGAAGGCCATTACATAATGGTAAAGGGATCAATTCAACAAGAAGAGCTAACTATCCTAAATATATATGAACCCAATACAGGTGCATCCAGATTCATAAAGCAAGTCCTGAGTGACCTACAAAGAGACTTAGACTCCCACACATTAATAATGGGAGACTTTAACACCCCACTGTCAACATTAGACAGATCAGTGAGACAGAAAGTCAACAAGGATACCCAGGAATTGAACTCAGCTCTGCACCAAGCAGACCTAATAGACATCTACAGAACTCTCCACCCCAAATCAACAGAATATACATTTTTTTCAGCACCACACCACACCTATTCCAAAATTGACCACATAGTTGGAAGTAAAGCTCTCCTCAGCAAATGTAAAAGAACAGAAATTATAACAAACTATCTCTCAGACCACAGAGCAATCAAACTAGAACTCAGGATTAAGAAACTCACTCAAAACCGCTCAACTACATGGAAACTGAACAACCTGCTCCTGAATGACTACTGGGTACATAACGAAATGAAGGCAGAAATAAAGATGTTCTTTGAAACCAACGAGAACAAAGACACAACATACCAGAATCTCTGGGACACATTCAAAGCAGTGTGTAGACGGAAATTTATAGCACTAAATGCCCACAAGAGAAAGCAGGAAAGATCCAAAATTGACACCCTAACATCACAATTAAAAGAACTAGAAAAGCAAGAGCACACATTCAAAAGCTAGCAGAAGGCAAGAAATAACTAAAATCAGAGCAGAACTGAAGGAAATAGAGACACAAAAAACCCTTCAAAAAATTAATGAATCCAGGAGCTGGTTTTTTGAAAGGATCAACAAAATTGATAGACCGCTAGGCAAGACTAATAAAGAAAAAAAGAGAGAAGAATCAAATAGATGCAATAAAAAATGATAAAGGGGACATCACCACCGATCCCACAGAAATACAAACTACCATCAGAGAATACTACAAACACCTCTACGCAAATAAACTAGAAAATCTAGAAGACATGGATAAATTCCTCGACACATACACTCTCCCAAGACTAAACCAGGAAGAAGTTGAATCTCTGAATAGACCAATAACAGGAGCTGAAATTGTGGCAATAATCAATAGCTTACCAACTAAAAAGAGTCCAGGACCAGATGGATTCACATCCGAATTCTGCCAGAGGTACAAGGAGGAACTGGTACCATTCCTTCTGAAACTATTCCAATCAATAGAAAAAGAGGGAATCCTCCCTACCTCATTTTATGAGGCCAGCATCATCCTGATACCAAAGCCGGGCAGAGACACAAGCAAAAAAGAGAATTTTAGACCAATATCCTTGATGAACATCCTTGATGATTGCCCCCTGTCTATTGAGTATACAGGTAGAGAAAAAAATCAAGACAGAGTGGTAAGCTGGGTTGCAACCTATTTTCTAAAGAGTTTGCTTTTTTCCCACCTAGGGCCCTGCTCTCATCACAACCCACTGCTAATGGGTCAGAGGACTCATTTGTTAAATTGTCTATGTCCTCATAACACAATCTGGCAGGAAAAACAGACAGATGTTCCTAAACCTAATATCACTAGAACAGATCTTCCCTAAAATGGTTTGCCTTCACTCTAGCCTCATTGGTCCTGCCAGAGCTGCCTCCTTCATAGGGTACTTTGTGCTCCTGGGCTAACTCCTTCTACCAAATGGGGCCAGTCCAAGACGGGGATTTTTAAATTCCTTCCTCACCACCACCAAATACTTATGATTAAATGCAATGTAAAAAACAAAATCATCTTCTTACATTCAGTAATCTGTTTTCTATCTACAGTAGCAAAATACAGAGTAAGGTACACACTGCATAGATTGTAGACTCGATAGTGGTTTGGATGTTTCTTGTCTAGAAACTGTACGACTTCCTAAAAAAGAGAAACACGTATTTTCCATAGTTACATGGCACCAACATAAGCCATTTCCACGAGGAACCTAAAATGGTTATTACTTTCTATTACTTTGTCTCTCACTAGCATCTTCTAGGGGAGACTCAGGGAATACAAGCGTATGCCAATTTCAAGTTCTAATCCACTGTGGTTTTTCAAATAGTCCACAAAGTGTGTTTGACTACTCAGATTAGCCTCTATTGTAAATACACACTGTTTAAAGCTATCAGAAAAGTAAATTAGATGGTTAACTAACTTTAAGTAAATTTGTTCCAAATCATAATTCACAGTTAATGTGGTTCTTATTTAAATCTAATTCATATTGCTTCTTATTTAAATTTAATTCTGATTAGGTATGTCTTTTAGATAGTGATTTGAATATTACATTCTACCTAAGCACTATGTAAACAAATAAATGCAAAAAGTATACACTATGATTGTGTGTGTATGCATGACAGAAAAAGATAAACATATTATATCAATTTATAAATAACTCGTAACAATATGGAAACTTTTTTGGCTCACCCGTTCTCCTAATTTTTTAATGAAGATATATATATACTGGTAAGTGTGTGTGTGTGTATATATATATATACCTTTTCAATGAAAAATAGTAATTATCTGAAATATAATTAATATCACTATACAAATCCAACAATTTTTTCAGGAAATATCTCTTTCTGAAACATACACACATATGTATATATCTCTGTGCAACAACAAAAATGACACAATTTCAAAAACTGATTAGTATGGTACTGTCAGAACAATGTTTACTGGCTTAATATGGAGAACACTAACATTAAGGTATCAAAGTCATCCATTTATTAAATTGGTTATCTATGTTAGGAGGAAATAATACGTCAAAAAGATGAACACTCCGAATCTGCATAGTGGCAGAGAGGAAGGATAAAACATTTCATATACTTTAGAATTCATGAAATTTCTTACCTAAAATCCATATACATTTAGAAAACACATATTAAAAACTACAAACATCTATGAGAAATTTAAGTGAATTTTAATTCTTTGAATGAGGAAGAACTAAAAGTGTTGAATCAATGGAAGATCTATAGCCTTAGGTTTAACTTCATAAAATTCTGAAATTTCTGTTGAAAAATGCTATAATGAACAACAGGGGAAAATATTTTTTCAGAAAAATGCACTGTTGGGGACTATGCCTAGGATAATAAATTAATAATTCATTAACAACAACTTAAATATTACTCCCTCATCTTATAGATAAATGGGCCAAGGACATAAACAATCCATAAAAGAGAAAATCAAACTGATTAACAACCTACATAATATTCAGTGTCGCCAATAAAGAAGTCAAAACAACAGTGACATGACATTTGCGCCCATGAAATTAGCCCTTTTCCTTTTAATGAGAAAATCCAATGCTGGCAAAATAAGGCATGACATTAAAAACTTTGATTTATTTTGATACAGTAATACAATTGCTCTTGGATTTGGCAATATATATTAAGAACCCTAAAAATATTCATTCTCTTCAACTAGGTAATTTCACTCCTAACAATCTGTACAGAAAAAGCCTTACACCCAAAGATATTTGTTGTTGTATTATTGATAATAGTGACACTTACATGTCCAACATTAGAGGTTCATCATAGCACTAATGAAATATCATGCAACCATTAGAATACTGTCCTGTTCTTCATTCTCTCAACCAGTAAATATCTCACTGCAGTAATTTATGTGCAGGCTTCTCTAGCGTACATATATAGGAAAACAGTTGGCCGGGCGTGGTGGCTCATGTCTGTAATCCCAGCACTTTGGGAGGCTGAGGCAGGTGGATCACGAGGTCAGGAGTTCAAGACCAGCCTGGCCAAGATGGTGAAACCCCGTCTCTACTAAAAATACAAAAATTAGCCAGGCATGGTGGTGGGTGCCTGTAATCCCAGCTACTTGGGAGGCTGAGGCGGGAGTATCGCTTGAAGCCCGGAGGTGGAGGTTGCAGTGAGCCGAGATTGCATCACCGCACTCTAGCCTGGGTGACACAGCAAGACTCCAACTCAAAAAAAAAAAAAAAGAAAAGAAAAGAAAAACAGGCAATATTTGCTTTTTCCTGGGAAGACAAATATACCTGGAGGGTTAAACTTTAGGGATTCTCTGAATCCCCTTCCTAGTTCTCTCAATGTCTAAAAAATTATATATATATATATGTGTGTGTGTGTGTGTGTGTGTGTGTGTGTGTACTTTTTATAATTATATATGTTTATATATACTTTTTATAATTATATGTGTATATATACTTTTTATAATTATATAGAGAGAGAGAGAGACTCAATATATTGATGATTTACTGCTGTGTTTCCTGATCTAAGTAGTTTACTAAAGGATCCAAATACCTCTTATTCAAAGTAGGTGAAAAGGGACATAAAGAATCTAGAGAAAAGGTGAACTCTGCCAAGAATCTACATTTTTCTGGTCACAAGCTGTCACCAGATAGACAGTTTCTGTTTTCAACCAGAATAAAGAGCATTCAATTCTACCAAGAACAGAAATCAAAAGATGGCTAAGAAGATTTTAGGACTGTAGGTAATTGTATATCTGATTTTTCTCATAGCTCAGCCTTTGCATGGGCTTACTAAGTTTATACTTTCTGATGCAACTTCCTTGTGATGCAAAAGTAGAAAATGCTACTCTGTGAAAGCCTTCTTTTCTTTTTTTTCTTATTTTCCGTATTTCTTTTTTTTTTTTTTTATTATACTTTAAGTTTTAGGGTACATGTGCACATTGTGCAGGTTAGTTACATATGTATACATGTGCCATGCTGGTGCGCTACACCCACTAACTCGTCATCTAGCATTAGGTATATCTCCCAGTGCTATCCCTCCCCCCTCCCCCCACCCCACCACAGTCCCCAGAGTGTGATATTCCCCTTCCTGTGAAAGCCTTCTTGCAACAACCTCCACCTTCGGTTTTCCTAAATCTGCTCAACTCTTCTCTCTGCCTATCTTAGTACATTCCTTGATTTGGAAGCAAAGGTACACCCTCTGTACCTGCATGAGGTGGTAGCAGTGGCCAAACTTCTTGATGCTTCCACCACAGTGCTTGTTTGTCCACTAACTCTATGGGTCCAACATCTCTAAAGTTTTTGCTACTTCAAGGCAGCATCTGACATTTCTCCACTAGTAAATTTACCACTTAGGAAATTGTAAGGTCTGCTTTGCATATTCAGTGTTGTTCAAAATGTAACCCTGCAAATTTATTCTCTTATAAGAATAAAGAGGAATCACATGACTGTTTAGCATCCTCTCAGAAGTTAAGTATACCCGGATTTGAATCATGTACCTTTGAGTCAACCTTGATTTAATATACATCGTGGATGGTTCTCAAAAATGACAAAGGCACTCCAAGTGCAGAATATGCTGTTGTCATTGAACATGCAATGACTGAAGTGCTCCATGGCCTAATTCTCGGCCTGTCCAGGTAGCTGAACTAGTAGCTTAGATTTGGGGCTGCGCTCTGGCAAAGATGAAAGACTAAATATTAATATGGACAGTAGATTTACTTTTTGGGTGGCTCATGATTTGTGGCATTTATTAAAACACATGATTTATCACCTCCTTTTTGGATACTCTGATTAAAAATGGTAAAGAAATCAGTGACTTATTAGTACTTTTGTCAATGCCCTAAGGAGATAACAGTTTAATAACGGATAGAAATCAATAGTCTAGCCATCACCCCACAAGGAAATAGTAATGTCTTTATATGCTAAGTGAGGTTTTTGGCTGTCAAAAACACCCCAGCTAATATTAAGTCTTCCCAAACTGATATTAGGCACCACCAAAACTACTAAAAGAAAATTGGCTCAGTTTAGACATGCCATAATTAACTCACAGTTATTAGCTCAACCAGCTTTAAAAAACAATATTAGCAATCAAGAGATGCTTTACCCATAAAGATGGAATTGGGAATTTGGGGATCGCTGCCCTCAAGTGGTATGACCCATCCAATGGACCCTGGTCACATTGCTCCATGACTGTTCCCATTATGGGAGAAGAAAAGTAATTCCACCTCAAATAAATAGTTTGAAACAATTTTCAAAATTGGCCAAGGGTGTGGTCGAATCATGTCTTAGCTGGGAGTAGCATAACCTGGGTGAGATGTGGGTCAGATCCTTCTCTTCAAGGTCTTTGGGTATTTACAAATGCATTTTTATACAACTGCTGAAGCCTTGAGTTTCTGACTATATATTAGTTATTTCTTGTAAACTATCTGCATGTATAAAAATGCTTCCCTGCCTGAGAATAAGGTAGAAAGATTCCATCAGTGGTCCCAATTCTTCATCTTTTCCTGAATCCCGGCCCTCACATTTCACCTTGTAGTGCCCTTTCACTCTAAATTTGGGCTCTATTATGTGAGTTGATTTGGTCAATGGGATGTCACAAAGGAGAGCCTTGCAAAAGCACTTGTAAGATTCCACTCTAGCTCTTTCCTTTTGCCATTACCCTGAAACATATCCATCATATTCATCCTGATGGAGGATGAAGATGAGTTTAGCAGATAGGAGTTATCCAAGACACCAAAGCTAAGGTAAATGTAGACCAACAGATAAAGACATTTCAAGGAAAGAAAATTTCATATCACTCATGCACATAGATGAAAAGTTCTAAATAAAATATTAGCAAACAGAATCTAGTGATATATAAAACGATAATACATTAAGACCAAAGGGATTTTATTCCAAAAATAAAAAAGGTCGGCTTAACATTTGAAAATCTCATTAATGGAAAAACACAAAAACATTTTGATTACCTTGATAGATGCAGAAAAAATATCCAATCTACTCAACAGCAATTCATGATTGAAAACTTTTAGCAAACTAGAAATAAAATGGATTGTCTGAATCTGGTAAAGAATGACTACAGAAGCCTATAGCAAACATCATTTCAAATAGTGAAGTATAAAATTCCTTCCACCTGAGTTTGGGAATAAGGCAAGGCTGTCTCCTCTTACCATTTCTATTCAGTATTACAGTGAAAGTCCTAGATAATTCAATAAGGAAAGAAAAAAGTATAAAAACTGGGAATAAAGTAGTAACTTTATGATTGTATACATAAAATCCCAGGGAATCTACACATTAATTATTAAAATGAATGTGTGAATTTATGAAGGAGGCTAGATATAAAGTTAATATACAAGGCCAAGTGTGGTGGCTCACACCTGTAATACCAGCACTTTGGGAGGCTCAGGTGGGAAGACTGCTTGAACCCAGGAGTTTGAGACCAGCCTGGGCCAGTGAGACCAGTGAGACTCCCTGTCTACAAAAATTAATTTTAAAAAAATTAGCCAAGTGTGGTGGTGCCTGCTTGTAGTCCCAGCTACACGGGAGACAGAGGTGGGTGAATTGCATGAGCCCAGGTGCCACTGCACTCCAGCCTGCGGTGACAGAGCAAGGCCCTGTCTAAAACAAACAAACAAATACAAAAACATTCCATGCTCATGGATAGGAAGAATCAATATTGTGAAAATGGCCATACTGCCCAAAGTAATTCATAGATTCAATGCTATTCCCATCAAGCTACCATTGACTTTTGTCACAGAACTAAAAAAAACTACTTTAAATTTCATACGGAACCAAAAAGAGCTCGTATAGCCAAGACAATCCTAAACAAAAAGAACAAAGCTGGAGGCATCACACTACCTGACTTCAAACTATACTACAAGGCTACAGTAACCAAAACAGCGTGGTACTAGTGCCAAAACAGATATATAGACCAATGGAACAGAACAGAGACCTCAGAAATAACACTACACATCTACAACCATCTGATCTTCGACAAACCTGACAAAAACAAGCAATGGGGAAAGGATTCCCTATTTAATCAATGGTGCTGGGGAAACTGGCTAGCCATATGCAGAAAACAGAAACTGGACCGCTTCCTTACACCTTATACAAAAACTAACTCAAGATGGATTAAAGATGTAAACATAAAACCTAAAACTATAAAAACCCTAGAAGAAAATGTAGGCAATACCACGAAGGACATAGGCATGGGCAAAGACTTCATGGCTAAAACACCAAAAGCAATTGCAACGACAGCCAAAATTGACAAATGGGATCTAATTCAACTAAAGAGCTGCTCAGCAAAAGAAACTATCATCAGAGTGAACAGGCAACCTACAGAATGGGAGAAAATTTTTGCAATCTACCCATCTGACAAAGGGCTAATATCCAAAATCTACAAATAACTGAAACAAATTACAAGAAGAAAACAACCCCATCAAAAAGTGGGTGAAGGACATGAACAGACACTTCTCAAAAGAAGACATTTATGCAGCCAACAAACATACAAAAAAAAGCTCATCATTACTGGTCATTAGAGAAATGCAAATCAAAACCACAGTGAGATACCATCTCATGTCAGTTAGAATGGCGATTATTAAAAAGTCTGGAAACAACAGATGCTGGAGAGGATGTGGAGAAATAGCAACACTTTTACACGCTGGCAGGAGTGTAAATTAGTTTAACCATTGTGGAAGACAGTGTGGCGATTCCTCAAGGATCTAGAACCAGAAATACCATTTGACCCAGCCATCCCATTACTGGGTATATACCCAAAGGATTATAAATCATTCTACTATTAAGACACATGCACACATATGTTCATTGCAGCACTATTTACAATAGCAAAGACTCGGAACCAACCCAAATGCCCATCAATGATAGACTGGATAAAGAAAATGTGGCACATATATACACCATGGAATACTGTGCAGCCATAAAAAGGAATGAGTTCATGCCCTTTGCAGGGACATGGATGAAGCTGAAACCATCATCCTCAGCAAACTAACACAGGAACAGAAAACCAAATACCGCATGTTCTCACTCATAAGTGGGAGCTGAATAATGAGAATGGACACAGGGAGGGGAAAGAGGCCTGTCGGGGTTGGGGGAAAGGGGAAAGAGAGCATTAGGACAAATACCTAATGCATGCACAACTTAAAACCTAGATGATGGGCTGACAGCTGCTGCAAACCACCATGGCACACGTATACCTATGTAACAAACCTGCACGTTCAGCACATGTTTCCCAGAACTTAAAATTTAAAAACAAAACTAAAGTCAATATACAAAAATTAATTATGTTCCTATATACCAATAGCAAATAATCAGAAAATGAAGATATTCAAATATTACTTAAAACAGCATAAAAACTTATCGAATGCCTAGAAATAAAACTAACAAAAGATGTGTAGGGTGGGCGCGGTGGCTCACGCCTGTAATCCCAGCACTTTGGGAGGCTGAGGCGGGCGGATCATGAGGTCAGGAGATCGAGACCATCCTGGCTAACACATGAAACCCCGTCTCTACTAAAAATACAAAAAAATTAGCTGGGCGTGGTGGCAGGCGCCTGTAGTCCCAGCTACTCTGGAGGTTGAGGCAAGAGAATGGCGCAAACTCAGGAGGCAGAGCTTGCAGTGAGCGGAGATTGCGCCACTGCACTAAAGCCTGGGCGACAGAACAAGACTCCGTCTCAAAAAAAAAAAAATGTGTAAAACCTGTACACTGCAAACATTGCAAAAAGAAGTCAAAGAAGACATAAGTAGAGAGATATATTATGTTCTTGAGTTGGAAATCTCAATATTTTTACATGTCAGTTCTCCCTAAATTAAGCAATGTAGTGAATGCCCAAGTCAAAATACTAGCAGGTTGTGTGTGTGTGTGTGTGTGTGTGTGTGTGTGTGTAAATTGCCAAGAAGATTCTAAAATGTATATGGAAATTCAAAAAATCTAGAAGAGCCAAGATAGTTTTTAAACAAAGAAGTACAAAGTTGGGGGACTTATAAACAAGTTTTCAAAACTCACTATAAAGCCATAATATTTAAAACTGTGGTCTGGACTTAAGTATAGACAAGTCATTAAGTCATAATAAAAGGAGAAAAAGCTGAGAAACAAACCTATACATATATGTTCACTTGATTTGCAATAAACACACCTCTACAATTCATTGGGGAAGTTATGCTCTTCACAGTAAGTGGTACAGGAAGCATTGATAGCTATATGAAAAACATTAATCTTGATATTTTATATCTTTACAACAATTAATCGGAGATCAGTCATACACCAATACATTGACAGAGGTGTTGGTTACATGCATATATACTTATGTGTAATATCATCAAGATACACACTTGATTAGTGCAACTTACCATCTATGTTATACCTCAATAAAATGTGATTATTTATTTTAGGTTCAGGGGTACATGTGCAGGATATGCAGGTTTGTTACATAGGTAAACCTGTGCCATGGTGGTTTGCTACACAGACATCTCATCCCTATGTATTAAGCCCAGCATCCATTAGCTATTCTTCCTGAGGCTCTCCCTCTCCCAACCCCTCCTTCCTGACAGGCCCCAGTGTGCATTGTTCCCCACCATGTGTCCATGTGTTCTCATTATTCAGCTCCCATTTATGAGTGAGAACATGCAGTGTTTGGTTTTCAGCTCCTGTGTTAGTTTGCTGAGGATAACAGCTTCCAGTTCCATCCATGTCTCTGCAAAGGATGTTATCTTCTTCATTTTTATGGCTGCACAGTATTCCATGGTGTTTATGTACCACGTTTTCTTTATCTGATCTATCATTGATGGGCATTTAAGTTGATTGCATGTCTTTGCTATTGTGAATACTGCTGCAGTGAACATGCACGTGCATGTATCTTTGTAAGACAGTGATTTATATTCCTTTGGGTCTATACTTGGTAATGGGATTGCTGGGTCAAATGCTATTTCTGCCTCTACGTCTTTGAGGAATTGCCACACCGTCTTCTACATGGTTGAACTAATTTACACACCCACTAACCGTGTAAAAAGCATTCCTTTTTCTCTGCAACCTTGCCAGCATGTTATTTTTGGACTTTTTAATAATAGCCATTCTGACTGGCGTGAGGTGGTATCTCATTGTGGTTTTGTTTGCATTTCTTTAGTGGTCGGTGATGTTGAGCTTTTTTTTTTCGTATTTTTGTTGACTGCATGTATGTCTTCTTTTGAGAAGTGTCTGTTCATGTCCTTTGCCCACTTTTTAACAGGGTTGTGTGTTTTTTTCTTGTAAATTTCATTAAGTTCCTCGTAGAATCTGAATATCAGACCTTTGTCGGGCGGATAGATTGTACAAATTTTCTCCCATTCTGTAGCTCTTTAGTTTAATTACATCCCATTTGTCAATTTTTGCATTTGTTGCAATTGCTTTTAGCATTTCGATCATGAAATCTTTGCCCATGCCTATTTTCTGAATGGTATGGCCTAGATTTTCTTCTAGAGTTTTTATACTTTGGGGATTTACATTTAAGTTTTTAATCCATCTAGAGTTAATTTTTGGATATGGTGTAAGGAAGAAGTCCAGTTTCAATTTTCTATATATGGCTAGCCAGCACTCCAGCACCATTTATTAAATAGGGAGTCCTTTTCCCATTGCTTGTTTTTGTCAAGTTTGTTAAAGATCAAATGGTTGTTGGTGTGAGGTCTTATTTCTGAGTTTTCTATTCTGTTCCATTGGTCTATACATCTGTTCTTGTACTAGTGCCATGCTGTTTTGGTTACTGTAGCCCTGTAGTATAGTATAGTTTGAAGTCGGGTAGCGGGATGACTCCTGCTTTGTTCTTTTTGCTTGGGATTGTCTTGAGTATTTGGGCTCTTTTATTGTTCTATATGAATTTTAAGATAGTTTTTTTTTAATTCTGTGAAGAATTTCAATAGCAGTTTAATGGGAATAGCATTGCATCCATAAATTGCTTTGGGCAATATGGCCATTTTCATGATATTGACTCTTCCCATCCATGAGCACGGGATGTTTTTCCATTTTTTGTGTGTGTCTTCTCTGATTTCTTTGAGCAGTTGTTGTTTTCTCTGTGTTTGTTTTTCCTTTAACAGGCCACTCTACCATAGTGCTTCTGCAATTTGCTGGTGGTCCATTCAAGACCCCAGTCGCCTGACTTTCTCCCGTCTACCTGGAGGTATTACCAGTGAAGGCTGTGAAATAGCAAAGATGGCAGCCAGCTCCTTCCTTTGGAAGCTCCATCCCAGGGGGATACTGACCTGTAGCAAGTCTACATACACCTGTAGGAAGTGGCTGGAGACCCCCATGGGGGAGTTCTTACCCAGTCAGGAGACATGGGATCAGGGACCCATCCAAAGAAGCAGTCTCGCTGCTTTTTGGTAGACCAGGTGTGCTGCGTTGCAGGGAACACTTCCTCCTCCTGACCACCTGTATTTTCCATAGCTGGCAGGCAGGAGTGGCTGAGTCTACAAACTGCAGTGATGCTGGCTGCCCCTCTCCACCTCCCGGGGAACTCAGACCCATCTGAGGTGGAATCCAACCTGTTGCTCTTGGTTGGCTAGGATTCCAAGCCAATGGGTCTTAACTTGTGAGGTACCGTGGAAATGGAGCCCACAGAGTGACACTGCTTGGCTCCCTGGATTCAGCCCCTTTCCAAAATATGTATGGACAGATTTCCCACCTTGCTGAGGATCTCGGGGCCAGAGTACGTAAAACGTCTGGGTTTCTGTGTGTGCCTGAGCAGCTGATCTGCTGAGACTCCACAGCTCTGTGTATCAGACACAAGGCCCTGGTGGCATGGGCTTACAAGGGGATCCCCTGATCCATGGGTTGCAAAGATCAATAGGAGAAGCACTGTTTCCTGAGCAGGATTGGACAATCACTCACTGCTTCCCTTGGCTGGGAGTGGGGGTTCCTTTGGCTCCACGCTGCTCTCAGCTGGGCCATCACACCCTCTCTCCACTTTTCTTCATTCTCCATGGGGCGAGCTGTTCTTCCAGTCAGTCCCAATGGGAGAACCTGGGTATCTCAGTTGAAGGTGCTGAATTCACCTGCCCCTTTTCATTCCTCTCCTTGAGTGCTGGGGAGTGCAGCTGCTTTTAATCGGCCATTCTGCATCACTCTAAACATTTCTTTTTTAGCCATAGTTCTTAATTCCCATAGCCCTTGGTTTATCATTAGTTTCTTAATTAAATAACCTGTCCACATTCTCCAGCCATGGGATGATGATTCAGGCTGGGGATCCAGGCCATTTTCTGAAAAGCTGCTGAAATTGAGGCCCTGTCCTGTTTGAACCTGAGCTAACACGCTGCAGAGAGGTACTCCTTCCACCTCTCAGCAACCGATGCCAGCCCTTAATAATTATAGTTTTATTGAGGTATAGTAAGTATTGTAAATTACATAAAATTAAACAATGACTTTCAGTTGGCATTTCACAGTAAACAGCATTATATGTTTGAAATTAGTTTAGTCATCCATGGAGCCTAAAGCAGTATGCTGCCACTATAATTGAGGATCTCGGCCAGGCACGGTGACTCAAGCCTGTAATCCTAGCACTTTGGGAGGCCAAGGCGGGTGGTTCACAAGGTCAGGAGATCGAGACCATCCTGGCTAACACGGTGAAACCCCATCTCTATTAAAAAAAAAAAATTAGCCAGGCGTGGTGGCGGGCGCCTGTAGTCCCAGCTACTCGGGAGGCTGAGGCAGGAGAATGGAGTGAACCCAGGAAGCAGAGCTTGCAGTGAGCCAAGATTGTGCCACTGCACTCCAGCCTGGGCAACAGAGTGAGACTCCATCTCAAAAAAAAAAAAAACAAAAAAACAGCAGCCATGATTCTTTACAATTCCTTCCACCAGGAGTTGGAGTCTATTTTCTATTCTGTATCTGGATTCAGATTCAGAATCGTAGTATAATTTGCATTGTCCAATAAAATCGGGTAGAAGTAATATTATACTAATTTTGAGCCTGGGCCTTAAAAGGATTTACATTGTTTTGCTTGCTGCTCCTGGTACTCTTGCCACTGCCATCATGTGAACAGGCCTGAAGTAGCCTACTAGAGAATGAGAGACCACATGGGACCATTCAGCCAAGCCATGTTATTTTCTTTTCTTTGATTTAAAAAAAAACTGTTTTTTTATTCTTTAAAACAATTTGAACTGACACATAATAGTTGTTCATATTTATAAGGTAGAGGGTGATATCTCAATACCTGTGTACAATGTGCAATGATCAAATCAGGATAATCAGCATGTCCATCACCTCAAATATTTATCATTCTTTGTGGTGGGAACACTCAAGAGCCTTTCTTTTTAAAAATATACAATAAATTGTTAACTGTAGTCACCCTCCAGTGCTATAGAATACTAAAACTTATTCCTCTCTGTAAGCTGAAATCTGACATTTCTTTGTTGATTTTCTGACTAGATGATCTGTCCAGTGCTACGAGTAGGGTGTTACGGGGTGTTAAAGACCCCAACTGTTACTAGACTGGAGGCTGTCTTTCCCTTTAGATCTAATATTTGCCTTGTTTATCTGAGTGCTCTAGTGTTGGGTACATATATGTCTGCAATTATTATATCCTATTGCTAAGTTGATCCTTTCATCATTATAAAATATCTGTCTTTGTCTCCTCATGCAGTTTGACTTAAAGTCTGTTTTATCTGATATAAGTATGGCTACTCCTGCCCACTTTTGGTTTCTGTTTGCCTGGAGTATCTTTTTCTATCCCTTCACTTGCAGTCTGCGTGTACCTTTACAAGTGAAGTTAGTTTCTTATAGGCAGTATGTAGTTGGGTTTTTTGTTTGTTTGTTTATCTTGGCAACCAACTCTGTATCTTTTAATTGGGAATTTGATCTGTTTACATTCAAGGTTACTATTAATAGATGAGGATTTATCCTGTCATTTTATTCTTTTTTTTTTTTTTTTGGTTGTTTTGTATATCCTTTGTTCTTTTCTTCCTTTGTTTTTTTTTTTTTCTAATCTTTATGGTTTGGTGGATTTCTGTAGAGATAAAGTTTGATTTCTCTCTCTTTCTTATGTATCTGCTCTACCAGTGAGTTTTATAGTTTGATGTTTTTCATGATGGTAGCCATCCTCTTGCTTTCATTTGTAGAATCCCCCTTAAGCATTCCTTGTAAGGCCAGTCTACTGGTGATGAATTCCCTCAGGTTTTGCTTGTCTGGGAAATATTTTATTTCTCCCTCATTTCTAGAGGATAGCTCTGCTGGGTATAGCATTCTTAGTTTATAGTTTTTTTGTATTTTTTTCCTTTCAGTACTTTGACTGTAACATCCCATTGTCTACTGACCTGTAAAGTTTCCACTGGAAAATCCACTGTTAACCTAAAGGAGTTTCCCTTACATGTGATTTGATGCTTTTTTTCTTGCTGTTTTTAATATTTCCTTTTTTTTTTTTTCAGACACTCCCACTCTGTTACCCAGGTTGAAGTGCAATGGTGTGCCCTCAGCTCACTGCAACCTCCACCTCCTGGGTTTAAGCATATCTCGTGATTCAGCCTCCCAAGTAGCTAGAACTACAGGTGCACGCCACCACACCTAGCTAAGTTTTTTTTGTATTATTAGTAGAGATGGGGTTTCTTCATGTTGGCCAGGCTGGTCTTGAACTCCTGGCCTTGTGATCCACCCACCTCAGCCTCCCAAAGTCCTGGGATTACAGGTGTGAGCCACCGCACCTGACCAATATTCCCTCTTTTTGACATTTGAAAGTGTGACTATCATGCACCTCAGAGAAGACCATCTTGAGTTGATTCTATATGAGAACCTTTGAGCTTCTGAGATTTCACCCATATGTCTCCCATGTCTGTTTTTAAAGCTCTTGATTACATATATATATATATATATATATATATATATAGTTTTTTTTTGAGACAGGGTCCCTCCCTGTCAACCAGGTTGGAGTGCAGTGGCATGATCTCAGCTCACTGCAACCTCCACCTCCTGGGTTCAAGCTATTCTCGTGCCTCAGCCTCCCAAGTAGCTGGGATTGCAGGCATGCACCACCACACCTGACTAAATTTTGTGTTTTTTTAGATATGGGATTTTGCCATGTTAATCACTCTTGTCTTGAACTCCTGGCCTCAAGTGATCCACCTGCCTTGGCCTCCCAAAGTGCTGGGATAACAGGAGTGACCTACTGCATCTGGTCTCTTGATTATTTTTTATTTTATTCCTTAAATTCTTCAGCTCCAAGATCTCTGTTTGGTTTTTAATGACATCTATATCTTTGTTGAATTTCTCATAAGATGATAAATTGTTTTTCTAATTTCATTGATTTGTCTATCTGTATTCTCTTGTATCTCACAGAGTTTCCTCAAGATCCTTATTTCAAATTCCTTCTTAGCCATTTGATATACTCTTAAAATTTAGGGTCTGTTAATGGGGGATTATTGTGTTTCTTTGGGGATGTAATGTTTCCTTGCTTTTTATGTTTCTTGTGGCCCTGAATTGATTTTTGCACATCTGGTGGAACAGGTGCCTCTTCCAATGTTATGGAGCTTTCATAGAGAAATATTTTTTCCAATAGTTGTCTCCTAGTGTTCATTATGGAGTAGGGCGATTTGACTTTGGTTCTAGGTGGGTGCGGTAATACAGTCTTCATGTGACTTCTTTGGCTGTAATCAGCATTTAGAGGTGTCTCTGAGTGCCTCAGTGGCCTAGATGGTGAGTGTTTGTGGAGACAGTGGTATGGCTTTTCTTGGGGTGGGAGCCATCAGTCGGATTCGTTCCAAGGCCCTAGAGGTATGCATGCTAGGTGCAGTGGCTTTGCTAGTGGTGGGGTGGCGCCACCAGCAGGGTGGGCACCAGGCAGGCCAGTCCTCAGGGTCTTAGAAGTGCATGCAGCATATGGCAGCTCTGCTGGTCAAGGGGGTGGAGCTGTTGGCAGCAGTGGATGCCAGATGGGATGGGCCTTGAGGGGTGCATGGAGCACGCAGTGGCTCTGTCAGCTGAGGACAGCCAAGTCATTTTAGACTAGCCAGTCCTCAGATGACTCAGTAGCTGCCCACAGATGCATGAATGAACTCAGTTGAGAGAAGCAATCCTCTCTGTGAGCACAGAATTGAACAGTTAAGCCCATCTCAAATTCACAAACCATAGTATCATGAGCCAAATAAATAGTTGCTGTTATAAGCCAGTAAGTTTGGGGGTGGTTTGTAACCACTGGTACAATTATAACTGGTATCAATCCATTATGATTGTTTTACTTGAAAGAGTACCTTTTGGAAAGAACATTGACATTTCTGGGTCAATATTAAACTTATGACTACACAGTCTACATTCACTGAGAAATTAGTATTTTTAAGATAAACACCCTTACCTTAATTGGATTCCGATAGAAAGACTGGCCTCCCGAAGATGGAAATGACATAGCGACAATACGTTCTGGAAGTCAAAATCATCACTATTACAAACATTATTATAGATTTAAAATAACATACAAAAGTTAATTTTATATGATCAGACTCCATTTTCACAGAAAAATACCTTTTAAGATTAAGGTTGACAGAAAAGAGCTAATACTCAGGGTAATCAAGATAACATATTAAATTATCCAACATAATGACCATTAAGCTGGCATGGTGTTCTTAACACTCCACTGGTTCAAACCATATGCCATGTACTTATGTTGGCCTCAGTCTGAAGTTCCCCCTGTTCTTGGAATTTATTTCTTATCTTAAATACCAAAGAAAATCCAAGAGTTCTGGGCACCAGTGATGGTGGGAACTCCCAACGTGCTTTATAGCCCTCTGACTCAGAACACCTGAGATCTACAAAGCTGTGACCTCATTCTCTGGGGTTCTAGGAAGAGAAGCGGTCTCTCTGGGATCCTTGGGATTCAGGATAACTACTAGAACTTAATAAACTGAAACTCAAATGGAGTCAGCTGAAAATCCATTCAAGTTTTTGTGCTGCAACCGAGTAGTCCTGAATTGAGATGACATGGAAATCTTCCTTGCCAGGGCTAAACCACAAATATGTCACACTATCACAATGGCATAGCATATAGCCTCACGAATAAAGAATACTTTGAATGAATGTGGCTTAGATGAGGCAAAAACAAAATAAAAATATAATTACAAGAAAAAGTGAAGTTAATGTAAGTAAATCAACAGTTAAGTGTCACAAACCTGTAATATAAGTGAGGTCTAGGTCAAATCCATCCCTTTCGTATCACCTTTTGTTTCCTGAAACCTGAGAGTTTAAAACCATTATTAGTTGGTGAAACATAAATCAACATAAAAATAAAGAACATTATACAGTATAGATATCAACCCTTGCCAATGGGTCCCAAAACACAAAATATTTTTCTGAATCGTAAGCATGTTTTGCCCACTTACCAGCCTTCTTATCAGCTTTCCAAGTTGTCTTTTTAGATGAGCCAGACGAAAAACTCTTATCAGAATGATAAGTCGTAGAAGTCGAAATAAACGTGTCCATCTAAAAATAAACTTAAAAGATCAATTTTTGCTTCAGAAACAGACAATTTTATGAATATAAATTAAGTTTAGAGCAGCAGTTGTTAACCAGGGACAATTTTCCCTCCTCTCCTCAATCACCTACATGGGGGATATTTGGCAGTGTCTTGAGGCATTTTTGGTTTTCACAACTGGTGTGCCTGTGTGTGCGCGCATGCATGCGCTACTTCCATCTAATGGATAGAAGCCAGGAATTCTGCTAAACATCCTGCAATGAATATAACTGCTCACCACCCTCCTATGACAATAATGATCTGGCCCAAAATGTTAGTAATGCTGAGGTTGAAAAATTCTGGTCTAGAGAAATAGTGAAACAATAGAGTCTTAGAATTTGTAAATTTAATTTTGGGATTTGAGACTAGCATTTTCAATTTTTCCACATCAAAACAAATTGAGGATTCTTGTTCACCTCTGTTACTCCCATCTGTAACAGAGGTTCACTACAGCTGCAAATGCACATTAGGCAGGCAACAGATTGAGATACTTCCCAAGTGTGCTAGCTGGTATCTCTCCTACCGTCAGAAACATCAAAGCAGATAACTGATGGTCTGGACTAAAGAAGAGTCATCTGGAAAAGCGTGTTAAGCTACAGATTGTTGGATCCCAGAGATATTGATTCAGTGGGTCCAGGGTGGGGCCTAAGGTATTTTTCTTGTATTTCTAGCAAGCTCTCAAGTGATGCTGAGGTTTCTAGTCAGAGGACCACATTGGCTGAGGTGATTTTCAAACAACTCCAAAAGCCTATCACTTAACATGCTTAGTTGGTGCCTGAGTTGTAGTCCAGGGAAGCTAGGGTACAGAAAGAAACCCGGTATTTGACCCATGAACAAGCTTAGGAAGCCACAAACATCTCCATCCCAGTATACGTTTGCTCTTCCATTTTCCTCATTGTCACAGTAGAAAAGAAGAACAAAAAGAGAGTCACCAGGTCCTCATACACCCTTTAGTTTCCTAATCCCTAACAGTTCTAACTTTGCCTTAGCTTTCTTTGTTTCTGCCACAACTATACTGCAAAACTCTACTGTTGTGTTGCTATACGTGTCATCTCCTAGTTTTCTGTTCTGTTTTCTATTTCTTAGAACATCATGATTGAGGCTGGGCATGGTGGCTCATGCTTGTAATACCAGTACTTTGGGAGGCCGAGGTGGGCAGATCACTTGAGGTCAGGAGTTAGAGACCAGCCTGACCAACATGGTGAAACTCGTCTCTACTAAAAATACAAAAATTAGCCAGGTATGGGGGTGCATGCCTGTAATCCCAGCTACTCGGGGGGCCGAGGCAGGAGAATCGCTTTAACCGGTGGGGCAGAAGTTGCAGTGAGCCCGAGATCATGCCACTGAACTCCAGCCTGGGCAACACAGTGAGACTCCATCTCAAAAGAAAAAAAAAAAAAAGGAAAAGAAAATCGTGATTCATGGACACAGGAAGGGGAATATCACACTCTGGGGACTGTGGTGGGGTGGGGGAAGGGGGGAGGGATAGCACTGGGAGATATACCTAATGCTAGATGACGAGTTAGTGGGTGCAGCGCACCAGCATGGCGCATGTATACATATGTAACTAACCTGCACAATGTGCACATGTACGCTAAAACTTAAAGTATAATAAAAAAAAATTTAAAAAAAAAGACCAAACTAGAAAAAAAAAAAAAGAAAGAAAATCGTGATTAAAGTCACTCAAATTTTGCATATGCTCAAATAAATTCCCTCTTGGCTGTGGGAAAAACCCAGACAGAACATTATGTGTAAGGGATCTGTAGTTGAAGCACAGAGGGGAATTGTTTTTAATATCAAATTTTTTTATGTATCACATATGAAACTAATAAGAATGTCACACTTGATCTTAGCCAAAAGGCCAAAAATGATACAAATGGGAATTTGACGAGAACTTCAAAATGTAGTGAAGTTAAAGTTAGTACAAGTAAAGTCCTTCTTTGGCTACTCCATCTTTTTTATTCAATGAATGGTACTTGGTGTGTATACTCTTCACTGGTCCCTAAATATCACAATCTTTTAGTTTCAACCTATGTGGGAATTTACCTAAACATTTCATTTTAAAGCAACATATTTGGTATAAAATGAGCCATTTGAAGTTGAAAAGATTATACAGAATAAAAGCCACAGAAAATGCAAAAAGTAAATGAAAAATTTTAAGAGAAGTGAGTCTTATATTTCATACCTGGGAATATCCTTAAGAAACTTAACGTCAAAAAAAATGTAAACGACATCAACCAGCAGAATAATCACAGTAACGGCAGTATCTAAAATGTTAAGTAAATCAGAAAAATAATGCTGTCTCCTGTAATATAAAACAGAAAAATATGAGTTCATCTCCCTGCAAGAAGAGATAGAAATATTTAAAGACCACAACTATTGACTGATCCCCATTAAGAATTCTACTTTCATACATTATTTAAAATGCATTTTCTAGAGTAGACTAAGGGAAAAATATGACATTCATGGGAAGTTTTCAAACAATAAATTTATATTCATCATTTGACACATATATATGACTAAAACACCAATATGGCAATTTAAGTATAGCAAGACATATAATTAAATGCATATTAACCACCCTTATCATAGATGATGAGGTATCTATCCCCTCAAGCATTTATCATTGTGTTACAAACAATCCAATTACACTTTCAGTCATTTTAAAATGTACAATTGTTATTGACTATAGTCACCCTGTTGTGCTAGCAAATAGTAGGTGTTATTCATTTTTTTCTATTTTTTTGTACCTATTAACCATCCCCACCTCCCCACCCCCAACCTCCTACTACCATTCCCAGCCTCTGATGACCATCCTTCTACTCATGTCTATGAGTTCAACTGTTAACCCTTTTAGAGCCCACAAATAAGTGAGAACATGTGGTGTTTGTCTTTCCGTGCCTGGCTTATTTCAGTTAACATAGTGATCTCCAGTTCCATCCATGTTGTTGCAAAAGGCAGGATCTCATTCATTTTTATAGCTAAATAATACTCTCTTGTGTATATGTACTATATTTTCTTTATCCATTCATCTGTTGATGAACACAGGTTGCTTCCAAACCTTGGCTCTCATGAACAGTGCTGCAACAAACATGGGAATGCAGGTATCTCCTCTATCTACTGATTTCCTTTCTTGTGGGTACATACCCAGCAGTGGGATTTCTGGATCATATGGTGGCTTTTAGATTTTTTGAGGAACCTCCAAACTGTTCCCCATAGCGGTTCTACTAATTTACAGTCCCACGAACAGTGTATGAGGGTTCTCTTATCTCCACATGTTTGCCAGCATTTGTTATTGCCTGACTTTTGGATATAAGCCATGTTAGCTGGGATGAGATGATATCTCACTGTAGTTTTCTCTAATGATCAATGTTAAGCACCTCTTCACATGCCTGTTTACCATCTGTATGTTTCCTTTTGAGAAATGTCTATTCAAATCTTATGCTCATTTAAAAAAATCATAGTATTAGATTTTTTTCCTATAGAGTTGTTGGAGCTCCTTATATATTCTGGTTATTTATCCCTTGTCAGATGGGTATTTTGCAAATATTTTCTCCCATTCTGTGGGCTGTCTCTTCACTTTGTTAATTGTTTCCTTTGCTTTGAAGAACCTTTGTAACTTCATGTGATCCCATCTGTCCATTTTTGCTTTGGTTACCTGTACTTGTAGGGTATTGCTCAAGAAATTTTTGCTCAGACCAATGTCCTGAAGATTCTTCCCAATGTTTTCTTGTTATAGTTTGAGGTCTTATCTTTAAGTATGTAATCCATTTTGATTGGATTTTTATATAAGGTGAGAGGTAGGGGTCTAGCTGCATTTTTCTGCATGTGGATATCCAGTTTTCCCAGAACCATTTGTTGAAGGGACTGCCTTTTCCTCAATGTATGTTCTTGGCAAATTTGTTGAAAATGAGTTCTCTGTAGGCGTGTGGATTTGTTTCTGGGTTCTCTATGCTTTTCCATTGGTCTACGTGTCTGTTTATGCAAGGGCCATGCTGTTTTGGTTACTATAGTTCTGTAGTATAATTTAAAGTCAGGTAATGTGATTCCTCCAGCTTTGTTCTTTGTGCTTAGAATAGCTGCTATTCTGGGTGTTTTATGGCTCCATATAAATTTTAGGATTTTTTTTCTATTTCTGTGAAGAATGTCATTGCTATTTTGATAGGGAGTGCATTGAATCTGTAAATTGCTTTGGATAGTATGGTCTTTTGAACAGCATTGATTCTTCCAATCCATGAACATGGAATCTCTTTCCATTTTGTGGTGTCCTTTTCAATTTCTTTCATCAGTGTTTTATCGTTTTCATTATAAAGATCTTTCACTTCTTTGGTTACCTCTTAGATTTTTAATTTTATTTCTGGCTATTGTAAATAGGATCACTTTTTAAAACTCTTTTTCAGATGGTCCACTGTTGGCATATAAAAATACTACTGATTTTTGTATGTTGATTTCGTATCCTGCAACTTTACTGAATTTATCAATTCTAATATTTTTTTGTGGACTCTTTAGTTTTTTCCAAATAAAATATATCATCTGCAAACACAAGGATAATTTTACTTCTTCCTTCCCAATTTGGATTTGTTTTTATTCCCTTTATTTCTTTATCTTCTGTGATTGCTCTAGCTAGGACTTCCTGTACTATGTTGAATAACACTGGTGAAAGTGGGCATCCTACTTGTGTTCTAGATCTCAGAGGAAAGCTTTTCCATTTTTCCCCACTCAGTATGATACTGACTGGGGATCTGTCATATATGGTTTTTATTATATTGAGGTGTGTTACTTCTTTACCCAGTTTTTTTAGAGTGTTTATCATGAAGAAACGTTGAATTTTATCCAGCACTTTTTCAGCATTAACTGAAATGATCTTACAGCTTTTATCCTTTATTGTGTTGATATGATGTATCACTTTGGTTGATTTGCATATTTTGAACCATCCTTGCATCCCAGGGATAAATCCCATTTGTCATGATGAATGATCCTTCCAATGTATTGTTACATTCAGTTTTCTAGTATCTTGTTGAGGATTTTTGCATCAATATTCATCAGATATATTGGCCTGTTGTCTTTTTTTTTTTTTTTTTTTGAGACAGAGTCTCACTCTGTCACCCAGGCTGGAGTGCAGTGGCATGATCTAGGCTCACTGCAACTTTCATTCCCAGGTTCAAGTGATTCTCATGCCCCAGCCTCCAGAGTAGGTGGGATGACAGGCACCTGCTACCATGCCCAGCTAATTTTTCTATTTTTAGTAGAGACAGGGTTTCACCATATTGGCCAGGCTGCTCTTGAACTCCTGACTTCAGGTAATCCACCTGCCTCAGCCTCCCAAAGTGCTGCGATTACAGGTGGGAGCCACTGCTCCCAGCCTGTTTCTTTTTTTGACGCATCTTTGTCTGCTTTTGATATCAGGGTAATACTGGCCTTGTGGAATGAGTTTGGAAGTATTCCTTCATCTTCTGCTTTTTGGAACAGTTAAAGCAGGAGTGGTATTCGTTCTTCTTTAAATGTTTGGTAAAATTCAGCAGGGAAGCCATTGGGTCTCAGTATATATATTGGCTATATATGTTGGATGAATATATACTTAAAATTGTTATAGCCTCTTGCTGAACTGATCCCTTTATCATGATATAGTGACATTCTTTGTCTCTTCTTATCGTTTTTGTCTTGCAATCTATTTTATCTGATACAAGGATAGCGACTCCTGCTCTTTTTTGGTTTCTACTGGAATGGAATATATTTTTCCATTCCTTTATTTTCAGACTAATGGGAGAAGAGTGTTTCTTGTAGGCAACAGATCAATGGGTCTTTTGTTTTTTGTTTTGTTTTGTTTTTATTTTTATTTTTTTGAGGTGGAGTCTCACTCTGTTACCAGGCTGGAGTGCAGTGGCATGATCTCGGCTCACTGCAACCTCCGCCTCCTGGGATCAAGAGATTTTCCTGCCTCAGCCTCCTGAGTAGCTGGGGCTACAGGTGTGCACCACTACGCCCACCTAATTTTTCTATTTTTAGTAGAGACGGGGTTTCACCATGTTGGCCAGGATTGTCTCCATCTCTTGACCCTGTGATCCACCCGCCTCAGCTCCCCAAAGTACTGGGATTACAGGTGTGAGCCACCGTGCCCAGCCGGGTCTTGTTTTTTCATCCATTCAGCCATTCTGTCTTTTGATTGAAAAGTTTAGTCTGATGACATTCAATGTTATCATTGATAAGCAAGGACTTACTCCTGCCATTTTGTCAATTGTTTTCTGGTTGTTTTGTAGTCTTCTCTTCCTTCTTTCCTTCCTGTCTTCCATTAATGAAGGTAATTTTCTCTGGTGATATAATTTAGTTTCATGTTTCTTATTTTTTGTGTATCCCTTGTATTTTTTTTGGTTTGAGGTTACCATGAGGCTTGCAAACACTATCTTATAACCCATTATTTTTAAGCTTATAAACTAACAGTTTGCATAAACAAACAATAAGAAAACTAATACAAAATCTACAACTTAGTCTCACTACTTTTTAACTATCTGTTATTTCTATTTATATCTTATTATACCATTTATGTCTTGAAAAGTTGTTATAGTCAATGTTTTTGATTGGCTCATAGTTGTCTCTCTACTTACAATAACAGTAGTTTATACACCATAGTTACAGTGTCATAACATTCTGTATTTTTCTGTGTATTTACTATTACCAGTGAGGTTTATACCTTCAGGTAGTTACTTATTGCTCACTAATGTCCTTGTCTTTCTGATTGAAGTACTCCCTTTAGCATTTCTTCTAGGACAGGTCTGGTGTTGATGAAATCCCTCAGCTTTTGTTTGTGTGGAAAAATCTTTCTTTCTCCTTCACTTTGAAGGATATTTTCACTGAATATATTGTTCTAGGGTAAATGTTTTGTTTCCTTCAGCATTTTCAATATGTCATATCACTCTCTCCTGGCCTGAAACATTTCTATTAAAAAGTCTGTTGCCAGCTGTATTGTAACTCCATTGTATATTATTGGTTTCTTTTCTCTTGCTGCTTTTAAGATCCTTTATCCTTGATCTTTGGGAGTGTGATTCTTAAATGCCTTGAGGTAGTCTTCTTTGAGTTAAATCTGCTTGGTGTTTTGTAACCTTCTTGCACTTGGATATTGATATCTTTCTATAGGTTTGGGAAGTTCTGTTACTATCCCTTTGAATAAACTTTCTAACCCCTCTCTCTCTGCACCTCCTCTTTAAGGCCAGTATCGCTTAGATTTGCCCTTTTGATGCTATTTTCTAGATCATGTAGGCATGCTTCATTGTTTCTAATTCTTTCCTTTGTCTCCTCTATGTATTTTGAAATAGCCTGCCTTCAAGCTCATTAATTCTTTCTTCTGCTTGATCAATTCTGCTATTAAAAGACTCTAATACATTCTTCAGTATGCCAATTACATTTTTTGGCTCCAGAATTTCTGCTTGATTCTTTTTAATTATTTCAATCTCTTTGTTAAACTTATCTAATAGAATTATGATTTTTTTATCTGTGTTATCTTAAATTTCTTTGTGTTTCCTCAACACAGCTATTTTGATTTGTCTGAAAGGTCACGTATCTCTGTTTCCCCAGGATTGGCCTCTGGTGTCTTATTGAGTTCATTTGGTGAGGTCATGTTTTCTCGGACAGTGTTGATGCTAGCAGATGTTCTTTGGTGTCTAGGCATTGAAGAATTAGGTATTTATTGTAGTTTTCCCTGTCAGGGCTTGTTTGTACCTATCTTTCTCGGGAAGGCTTTCCAGATATTGGAAAGAACTTGGATATTGTGATCTAAGTTTTATCTGCTTTAGGAGGCACCCCAAGCCTCCTAAACTCTGTGGTTCCTGCAGACTCATAGTGGTACTGCCTTAATGGTCTTGGACAACATGCAGGATAATTCTCTGGGTTACCAAAAAGAGAGTCTTGTTCTCTTCCCTTAATTTCTCCCAAACAAACAGAGTCTCTCTCTCTGTTCTGAGCCACCGTGACACAAACACCCCTGTGGCCACCGCTACTATGACTGCATTGGGTCAGACGTGAAGCCAGCACAGCACTGGGTCTTGCCCAAAACCTGCTGTAACCACTCCCTAGCTATTGCATAAGTTTGCTGAAGGCCCTGGGGCTCTACGATCATCACATGGTAAAAACAGTCAGGCCTGTGTCCTTCCCTTCACGATGGCAAGTTCTCCCAGGCTCCGGGTGGGTCCAAAGGTGCTGGGAATCAGGGCCTAGATCAGAAACTTATAATTCTCCCTGGTGTTTTATGTGCTATGGCTGTGCTGGTTGAGCTGTCACTCAAACCACAAGATGCAATCCTCCCTACTCTTTCAACCCCTCTCCAAAAGCAGAGGAGCATCAATCCATGGCCACCTCACTCAAACACAGACCCTGGGGGGTACTGCCAGACTACCACCAAGGTTCTCCTAAGGCCCAAAGGCTTTTAAGTCAGCTTGAGTTGAATGCTCCTGTTAATTATTCTAATATGCCTCTTTTTTTTTGGGACGGAGTCTCACCCTGTCACCCAGGCTGAAGTGCAATGGCACAATCTCGGCTCACTGCAACCTCTGCCTCCTGGGTTCAAACAATTCTCCTGCCTCAGCCTCCCGAGTAGCTGGCATTACAGGCTTCCGCCACCATGCCCAGCTAATTTTTGTATTTTTAGTAGAGACAGGGTTTCACCATCTTGGCCAGGCTGGTCTTGAACTCCTGACCTCGTGATCCACCTGCCTCAGCCTCCCAAAGTGCTTCTTAGAAAAGTACAAAATAGCTTTATGCATTATAAAAATAATCAAACTTACCCTTCTACAAATACTCGAAGAAGAACATCCATGAGAAAAAATAAAGCAATAGCTAGAGAAATAGAACGATACTCCAAAGGAATATAAACTTTGCTATCAGTGAAAATTAGGTCAGCAAAGATCAGAGCCACATCCAACAAGATCAGGAAAACTCCAAATATTCTACAACAAATAAATAAATGAATAAATAAGTAAGTAACAGCAAAGATAAAGGGGCTTTTGTCCCTATAGTTATACTATATTTAGGCCAATAATCAGGTACCAAAATGTTATTATTTAGTATTAAACTGCCCAGTGGCAGGAAAAACTGTAATGTCATAGAATCTCAGAAAAATCACTGTTTTCACCCAATAGAAGCAGTTCTTAATAAATAAAATTCCCACCAAACCACTTCACAAGACGTTATCATGCCCTTTTATAGCAGATCCATCAGACTAACACCTCAAGAGAGAAAAGTGAAACTGAACTAAAATTGCCTGTGTCTGTTTGTAAACTCTTCTTAAAATTTGAGAATTTCATAAGAAGTTTACACCCATTTCTCATAAAAAATAAAATCTTATTAATCTGGATAATTCTTAAGAATTTATTAATAAAAACCAAATGAAAGCATGAGTAACATAAGCTCTTAAAAGACCAAGATTTTTTTTGTCAGTGACATTTTCAGCAAGTACATGATTACATATTTATGGGCGATTCTAGTACAGTGATGGGTACATGAGAAAGAATTCAATTCCATAAATATTTATAGTATTGAACTCTAAGGTACCTCCTGAAACTTGCTGTTACATATTCTAAATACATTCCCCATAAATTGATTATACTATTTGCTTAATCTATGAAGATGAATTCATCTTCAAAGTACTTTTCAAAAAGTTGCAGCTCAAGTTAAAATATCATTAATTCAAAAGGAAACAATTATATTGCATAAATCTATATCATATTGCGTAAATCTATATCATAGTATGAAATCTTACTCTTACGTAGAGAAGAGTCTAAGTAAATTGTTTCCAGAATTAAAGAGTAATTCTAGATGTATAAGGTACTTAATAAAACACTTTACTTATAATTATAGAATTTTAACATTCGATTTTCATTAACTTTACTTGTGCAGATGGAAGAAAAATAATATTAATATGTTACTATTAATCTTATACAAAAGCCGTTTCTTTGCAAGTCTTAAAGTCCAGCTTAAACCAAATTTCCATGATAAATTAGATTACATTAGATGGGGCACATGGCTACTTAGAAACCGATGGACAGGAAATGCTTTTTGGTTTTGTTTTTTATTTCAGTCTTTCTCATTGAAAGAGTGATATATATATATATATCGCTCTGTCACCTGGGCTGCAGTGCAATAGTGTGATCTCAGCTCACTCCAATCTCCGCCTCCCAGGTTCAAGCGATTCTTCCACCTAGGCCTCCCGAGCAGCTGGCATTGCAGGCACTCGCCATCATGTCTGGCTAATTTTTTTATTTTTAATAGAGACGGGGTTTCACCGTGTTAGCCAGGCTGGTCTTGAACTCCTGACCTCAGGTGATCCACCTGCCTTGGCCTCCCAGAGTGCTGGGATTACAGGCGTGAGCTACCACACCTGGCCAAGTCTCAGATATATTTAATACGTGGTGTTTTTTATGCATTAAGTCTCACGTATATTTAATACATGGTGTTTTCTATGTCTCACATACCCAACTGCAAAGGATGACACAATTGAATGAACAATTTTCTTAATCTTGCTGCTGCAAAAACAAAGCAAAAATAAAATCAATCAGATTTCTTCTAACTTATAAATTTAACCAAAAAACAAAGGCCTTTATAAATACAATTTTAAAAGAAAATTATTCAGAAGTTGTATAACAAAATGCTTTTTACTAATAATTAAAATTTTATCTTTTCTGCTCCATGAGTATTTTACTTTCCTATCCAGAATATATGTGAATAAGACAGTAAACTTTGGATGTTTAGTAATATTTCCATTGCATGCAAAGCCCCAACTCCAACTTTATGGCAATACTAAGCTTAAACTTGTGGTCATCAACTCAAGGAATATAGCATGAAAAAAGAAAAGAGGGGTAGAAGAGAACTGTATTTTAATGCCAGCCTGGGCAAGTCATCAAACTTTGGCCAGATCTCAGTTTCAACAGCAATAAAATAAGGTATTTCAGGGATAAGCATAGGGAGTAAATGATGCTCTTGTCATCTCTTTCAAACTAGACACCTAGTGAACAGATACACATTAGTGAGAGTTGCCTTTGAGGTGGCATAGGAACTGCAGCGGTAAGACATTTTAGTAAGATACACTTCAAAGGAGAAACACCTGAAAGACTGGGCTCCTTCCATTAATCCAAGAAAGGAGAACCTGTTTGATGGAGCCCCCAGTAATGCCTCATTTTACCTTATGGCTGAAGACAAGGTAGCTGATGAGGAACAATTTTTTGTCTTACTGAAGCCTTCAGGAAGTTTCTGTCATACTGAAGCCTCCAACACAGGACTCAAATTTCACCCCAAGAGGCATGAATCCTAAGACAATGCTCACAGCCTGTGCCTAAGACTGGAGAAAAAAAGAGGACAGACACTGAGGAGAACTGGGGCACTGCCAAAATTGGCCTTCGACATGAACAGACATTTCTCAAAAGAAGACATACATGTGGCAAAGAAGCATACAAAAAAAAGCTCAATATCACAGATTAGAGAAATGCCAATCAAAACCACAATGAGATGCCATTTCACACCAGACAATAGTCAGAATGGCTATTATTAAAGTGTCAAAAAATAACAGGTGCTGGCAAGGTTGCAGAGAAAAGGGAACACTTATACACTGTTGATGGGAGTGTGAATTAGTTCAACCATTGTAAAAAGCAGTATGGCGACACCTCGAAGAGCTAAAAGTAGAACTACTATTTGACTGAGCAATCCCATTACCTAGTATATACCCAGAGGAATATAAATCATTCCACTGTAAAGCATATGCATGTGAATGTTCACTGCAGCACTATTTACAATAGCAGAGACATGGAATCAACACAAATACCCATCAATGACAGATTGGATAAAGAAAATGTGGTACATATACACCATGGAATACTATGCAGCCATAAAAAAGAATGAGATCGGCCGTGCACGGTGGCTCACGCCTGTAATCCCAGCACTTTCGGAGGCTGAGGCGGGCAGATCATGAGGTCAGGAGATCAAGACCACCCCAGCTAACACGATGAAATCTCGTCTCTACTAAAAATACAAAAAAATTAGCTGGGCGTGGTGGCAGGCACCTGTAGTCCCAGCTATTCGGGAGGCTGAGGCAGGAAGAATGGCGTGAACCCAGGAGGAAGAACTTGCAGTGAACCGAGACTGTGCCACTGCACTCCAGCCTGGGCAGCAGAGAGAGACTCCGTCTCAAAAAAAGAAAAAAAGAATGAGATCCTGTCTTTTGTGGGAACGTGGATGGAGCTGGAGGCTATTATCCTTAGCAAACTAGTGCAGAAAGCAAAAATCAAATACTGAATGTTCTCATCTGTAAGTGGTATAGCTAAGTGATAAGGATGTAAAAACACAAAGAGGGAAGCAAACACTGGGGTCTACCAAAGCGGGGAGAGTAGGAGGAGAGAGACAAGCAAAAAGGATCACTATTTGGGTACTGAGCTTAATACCTGGGTGATGAAATAATATGTAAAACAAACCACCCTGACACATGTTTACCTATGTAACAAACCTTCACGTGTACCTCGAAACCTAAAATAAAAGTTAAAAAAAGCAAAATTGGCCTTTGATGAATGATGTTAGGTTAACCTGAGATAAAGGAAATCCCCAATCCTTCTAATCTTCCCCTCATCCACCTGGACCCACCACCTCTACCCAGGCTTAGAAAGTTAAGGCTGATGTAGACAGAGGATCAGTTGGCCAAAAGAGGCGAATTCTCTCCGGAAGTTGCCATTCTCTTTTTACAAGAACCTCTGATCCCACACAGTCTACTGGATCTCTGGGTATCAAGGAAATGTCATCAATCTGAATTCACTTGACAATATCACCATACAGAACCAAGCCTGATAGATCATGAAGGCATGAAGGAGTGGCTTGGGTGGCTTTAGCCCCTTCAATCTGTTTCAGTGTCCCCTGAAACTGTACCAAGTAAATATACAATTGAGACTTATTTTGGTTAAAAAAGTGTACTATGTAAATGCAGCTTCAAGCAGTTACATGCAGAGTTTGCAGGGAAATAACTATGACTCAATATATCCATATCCAGGAAAAGTACTGTTCACATTTGAGAGCAACAGACAGACACTCCAACATGCAGCAACTCAAAGCATAGCCTCTATGTGCCTTTCCTAAAAATAATTACTCAAAGTGCTTGAGTCAGCTGAGCAATGAATCAAAATGAAGAACAGAGCAATAAGGAACATGACTTATAGAGAAAAGATGGTAAATAATATAAACTCAGAAGTAAGTCTAAATAACAACTGTTAATGTAGCATAAAAATGTAGGTGAAAATGTAAATAAACGATTCTAAAAGTAAAGATAATATAAAATTATCAATAATAGTATTGATTTAAATTTTAGGCATTCTTACACTAGGATTCAAGGTTTGGAAGAAGATAGAAGTAAAGGCAGATTGCATTTCTTATCTTCTACAGATACAAGTCCAGTTTTATTCTCGATATTGATGGAGAAAAATGGTATAATTATGTTTTCTAAATATTTAAATATAAACTGATGGACTAGAAATGGGCTTCTGACTTGCCTATCAGTAAAAAATGTAAGGGATAAAAACAAATCAATTACTAGCAAAATATAGACTAATTTAAAAAGAAAATATCAAAGTATTTTTCATAAAGAAAAAGACAATAAAGCCAAACATACCAGAAATCATAAATACAAACATATTCCTCCCATATTCCATGAGAAATACACTCAGATAACTTTAAAATCAAAGGCATTACATGCTATACACAAGAGACAAAAACTAAATTTAAATGACAGTTTAAAAATAAAGAGATAGAGGCCGGGTGTGGTGGCTCACACCTGTAATCCCAGCACTTTGGGAGGCTGAGGCGGGCAGATCACGAGGTCAAGAGATCGAGTCCATCCTAGGCGACCCCCCATCTCTACTAAAAATATCAAAAATTAGCTGGGCGTGGTGATGTACACCTGTAGTCCCAGCCACTCGGGAGGCTGAGTCAGAAGAATGGCTTGAACCTGGGAGGTGGAGGTTGCAGTGAGCCAAGATCATGCCAGTGCACTCCAGCCTGGCCACAGAGTGAGACTCCGTCTCAGAAAAAAAAAAAGAGAAAAAGAAAAGAGAAAAAGACATGAGATACTAAACCTTAAAATACTATAAGTTCCAATATTAATATCAAAGTGGAATTCAAAGCACAAATATTAACTATGACCATGACTTTATTTTTTATCAATAGAAGGTGGAAGCTACATGACACTAACAAGACCATTTTTAATGAAATGGGATTCGTATCGAGGGCAGGTGCTATCTCTCCCACTGGACACATTTTTCTCTGGTACAGACTCTGGCGGTACGGAGATGGCCATGATGCAAAGCAATGAAAACACTGTACTGACTCTCTGGTCTTCCTGATCTCACTCTAGATCACTAAAACAGGGTAAGGACAATACAGGGGGATGATATTTTGATGCTGTGAAAACTATTAGTCACACAGGAGAAAAGTAAATTTCTACACTTTATGCCTTAAGACAAAGTAAATTCAGGGCAGCGATTTTATTTAAATGAAGAAAATAAGCTCAAAACAGAAATCTTGATGAATATATTTAAAATCTTGGGGTAGAGAAGGACTTTCTGAGAATAACATTAAAGGCATAAATCACAAAGAAAAGTATAGGTACATTTGATTATATGAAGATTCAACATTTTTATATAGTGAAAAGCAAGACACCCTGGGAGAAACTACTTATATTACATAAAATAGAAAAAGGATCAACAGATTTAACTTTTCAGTCCAAAGACAGAAAAACACCCCAATTTTAACTGGCCAAAGGTAGTTTGGAAATGATGAAATATTAACTGAAAAAAGCATAAATGAAGGTATGTCAAAGAATGTGCATTAGAACAAATAGATTTACTAATATCAAAGAAATCAATGACAGCTAGCGTTAAGTATGGGAGGGGAGAAATGTACACTTTAGCATCTTGATGTTCAAGCACTTATCAATACCAATAGCATCATAATCATTCCCTTTGACACAGGATTTCCACTTCTGAGAATTTATAATAAGCAAATAACCAACGATATGCAAAGATTTAGCCTCAAATATTTTTTGTAACAGTAAAAACTTGTAAAAAACTTAATTGTTCAGCAATATCTGACTATTAAATGAATTATAGCACATCTACACCATGCAGTATTACAAAACTATTACAAATAATGTTGTAAGTGCACATGAATATACATTAACAAGAAAATATAGACATGATGTCATTAAGTAATAAGGTTATTTACAAAATAATATAAGTATGGTCTCGTATCTGTAAACAAAAAATGCATATGCTTAAAGAACTCAGAAGTGCATGTATCAAAGTTTAAGAATGACTACATGTGGGCAGATTTGTTGATTGGATTTTCTGATTTTCCTTTAATAAACTCTCACGTTATTTTCAGTTTTTCGCACAAAACCTATTCACAGAGCTACAGAGTTTTCAAAGTGTTTTTGCATGTTATTTTAGTTTTATTACTAATTTTTTACAATACAATATCCACTACATAGATAGCATTATAACCAGTTTACATTTGAATAATCTAAAACTAAAAGAGGTTCAATGACTTCCTGAGTATCAGATGAATGAATACATGATGTCAAAGCCAAGCACTGATTCCAGCTTTTACTATAAATCCAAGATCATCCCCCTGGTATGAAACACCAGTGTTTCTCACAGGGACCACTACCAATTCCTCCTATATTTATGCAATGAGACTTTGTAACTTAAAAATAAAACAAAACAAAAACCTGCTTTCTTTTGTTTGGAGAGGGGAAAGAAAAAGGAAATGCTTGCCTTGCTCAATCTGTCTAATTTTGCCTCAACCCTGGGCAGCTCCATTACAGAAAATGTATAGCTAGTATGCAGACACACAGTTTAATTAAGTGGTGCCGTGAATTCTTCACTGATGGCCCATGATAAAAATTTCTAGAAAATGAAAACTCAGGGTAATTTGAAGAACTATTTGTATTTGCCCTCTGTTTCCCATGTAATCTTTGTTTAGACACCAACAGCTTATAACCATGATGAGTTAACTTCCTCTATGGCAGCACTTCCTCTCCAACATTGACATAAGCTGGTGAATGGTTATACAACTGGGCAAGAAAGAAGCAGAAGAAAAATCTCCTGAATATGTCTGCAGTTCAGACACAAGCCAGTTTAAGAATGTGTTGTTTCGTTACAGTGAGTACATGGTAAAATGCCTTCAGGTCAGTGCAATAGGAGTACTCAGTACTCTAGTGAGATTAGAAACAAATAATAACAAAATCCCAGTGAGCATAAAGAGGTCTTTAGTCAGCAAAACATGTTTGCTTTTGCTATCAATACCACTTGCTCATAGGTGAAATCTACAAAACTGGGAATCGCACAATATCCAGTAAAAATGAGAAAGGTTCACTATTGATGAGTAAGTAACATTCTGCATTCCTGTTTTCTTTTAAAAAAAAAAAACTTCTAATGAAGTTAATTTCTTCTAAGGATACTTTTTACATTTTCAAGCTAGAAGAACATTTATTCCTGAATGGATGGAATTTTTTTTCAAAATAATACTTGTCTAAGAATTCAATTGGAGGAAATATGGTGTACTCTCCCACCCACACACCCATACATTTTGATATCCTTCCGTAGTTTCCCTTTTTCCTTTGTGCCTCAGCGTAAGCCCTGTTCAACTAAAGAAAAGAGATCCATCAATGGCTCCCTCCTTTCAAACTTCAAACTGACTTACTCATATGAAGCGACATATTCAGCATTTTCATAATCTTCAAACCTGGAAAGTCGTTCTGACACACTTTAGCCACCAAAAAAATGCAAAAATATATCATTAGATATTTGCTACACAAAACAGTGATGAAGAATTTATTTGAATAACAAGAATTCCATGAATCTAAAGGATATAGTAAACATGACTTAGCTCACTGGAAGACCTGACATTTAAGAAAGAAAATTACAGTCATTAACCAGAAACTATTCTCACAGATACTCCCAACGCTGAATTTTGCATATTTTTCTCTTCTTTTCTCTCTCTGTCTCTTTCTATATATGTATATAAAGGTAATTAAAAGAATATGTATATAGTTATAGAATACATAAATGTGTATAGACATATCACAAAGACATTGTGGGTTTCATTCCAGACCACTGCAATAAAGCAAAAACTGCATTAAGTGACTCACACAAATGTTTTGGTTTCCCTGTGCATATAAACGTTATGTTTATACTACACTGTAGTCTGTTAAGTGTGCAACGACATTATGTCAAAAAAAAATTATGTACATACCTTAAAGTAAAACTACTTTATTGGTTAAAAAAATGCTAATGATCACCTGAGCCTTTAGCAAGTCATAAACTTTTTGCTGGTGGAGGGCGTTGCCTCCATGTTGATGGCTGCTGACTCATCAGAGCTGTGGTTGCCAACGGTTGGGGTGGCTGAGGCAATTTCTTAAAATAAGACAACAACGAACTTCACTATATCAAATGACTCTTCCTTTCACAAGTGATTTCTCTGTAACATGTGATGCCATTTGATAGCATTTTACCCACAGTAGAACTGTTTTCAAAATTGGAGTGAATCCTCTCAAATCCTACCACTACTTTATCAACCATAGTTTACTTATATAGAATGAGTTAGGAAGACTTTCCTCTGCTTTAATTTTTTGAAATAGTGTAAGAATTGATATTAGTTCATTTTTAAAAGCAGGTGGAGTTAAGTGGTGAAGTCATCAGATCCTGGACTTTGTTGAAGGCCTTTTTGTTCCTGATTCAATCTCATTACTTCTTTTTGGTCTGTTCAGGTTTTCTATTTCTTCTTGGTTTAGTCTTGGCAGTTGTATGGGTCGAGGATTTTATCCACTTCCTCTAGGTTTTCAAATTTATTGTAGAGTTGTTCATAATAGTCTCTAATAATCCTTTTTATTTCTGTCATATCTGTTGTGAGGTCCCATTTTTTCTTTCTGATTTTATTTATATGGGTCTTCTCTTTTTCTTAATTAGTCTAGCTAATGGTTTGTTGATATTTTTAAACCTGCTTTTTGTTGTTAACCTTTTGTAAATTTTGCCTGAATTTTGTTTATTTCTGTCTGGTCTTTATTATTCAGTTCCTTTTAATAATTTGGGATTTAGTTTGTTCTTACCATACTAGTTTCTTGAGGTAGAATTGTTAGGTGGTTTATTGGAAATTTTTCTAGTTTTTTGATCCAGCCATTTATTGCTATGAACATGCTTCCTAATACTGCTTTTGCTGTGTCCCTTATGTTTTGGTAGGTTGTGTTTCTAGTTACAGTTGTTTCAAGGAATTTTTAAATTTCATACTTAATTTCTTTCTTCACTCCTTGTCACTCAAGAGCATGTTGTTTTATTTCCATATATCTGTATAGTTTTGAATGTTCCTCTTGTTATGGATGTCTAGTTTTATTCCATTGTGGTAAGATAAGATACCTGATATAATTTCAGTTTTTAAAAATGTGTTGAGACTTGTTTTGTGGCCTAACATATGGTCTATCTTGGATAATGTTCCATGTGCTGATGAAAAGAATGTATATTCTACAGCTGTTAGGTGAAACGTTCTGTAAATGTTTGTTATGTCCATTTGGTCTATGGTGCAGTTTAAGTCTGATGTTTCTCTGTTGATTTTCCATCTAGATGATTTGTCCAGTGCTGAGAGTGGGATAATGAAGTGCCCAACTCTTATTGTAATGGGGTCTAGCTCCCTCTTTAGATCTACTAATATTTGCTATATATATCTGGGTGCTCTGGTGTTGAGTGCATACATATTTACAATTATATTATACACATATTACAATTATGTTCTATTTCTTGCTGAACTGAACCCTTTATTATTACATAATAATCTTGTGTGTCACTTTTTATGGTTTTTAACTTAAAGTCTGTTTTGACTGATATAAGTATAGCTATTCCTGCTCACTTTTGGTTTCCATTTGCATGGAATATCTTTTTCCATCCCTTCATTATCAGTCTATGTGTTTCTTTAGAGGTAAGGTGAGTTTCTTTTAGATAAAATATAGTTGGGTCTTATTTTTATTATTATTATTTTTTGAGACAGAGTCTCGCTCTGTTACCCAGGCTGGAGTGCAGTGGCACGATCTCAGCTCACTGCAAGCTCTGCCTCCCGGGTTCATGCCATTCTCTTACCTCACCCTCCCGAGTAGTTGGGACTACAGGTGCCCACCACCACACCCGGCTGATTTTTTGTATTTTTAGTAGAGATGGGGTTTCACCATATTGGCCCGGCTGGTCTCGAACTCCTGACCTCCGGATCTGCCTGCCTTGGCCTCCCAAAGTGCTGGGATTACAGGCGTGAGCCACTGCACCCAGTTGGGTCTTATTTTTTAATCCACTCAGCAAGTCTATATCCTTCTTGGGGTATTTAATCTATTAACATTCAAAGTTGTTATTGGTAGGTGAGGAGTTATTTGCGACATTTTATTGTTTTCTGGTTGGTTTGTATATGTTTTGTTCCTTTCTGCCTCTCTGTTTACTTTTGTAGTTGGGTAGTTTTCTGTAGTGATAAGGTTTCATCCCTTTCTCTTTCTATGTATTGACTCTACCAGTGACGTTTAAAGTTTTACATGTTTTTATGATGGTGGTTATCATCTTTTTACTTCCAGAAGTAAGACTGCCTTGGGCATTTCTTGTAAGGCTGGTCTAGTGGTGATGAATTATCTTGGTGTTTGTTTATCTGTCACAGATTTTATGTCTCCTTCATTTGTAAAAGATAGCTGCACTGGGTATAATATTCTTGGTTGAAAGATTTTTTTTTTCTTTCAGAACTTTGCATATATCATCCCATTCTTTTCCAGCCTAAGGTTTCTGCCGGGAAATCAGCTGTTCGTCTAACGGGAATTCCATTATAAGCGTTTTCATGCTTTTCTCTTGCTATCTTAAAAAATCTTTGTC
This sequence comes from Homo sapiens, assembly GCF_000001405.40. NCBI lineage: Eukaryota > Metazoa > Chordata > Mammalia > Primates > Hominidae > Homo > Homo sapiens. The sequence goes on along the minus strand of NC_000013.11, from coordinate 52,511,662 downwards.
TTTGTGTCTGGGTTGAATGTATTTGGGGTTCTTTGATCTTCCTAGAACTAGATGTCTATCTCTCTCTCTTGAGTTGGGAAGTTTTATGCTATCACTTTATTAAATATGTTTTCCTCACATTTCTCTTCACTTTTCCTTCTGGAATGCCCATAATAGGAATATTTGTTCAAATTAACAGTGTCCAATAAATCCTGTAGGCTTTTTTCATTATTTTTTATTCTTTTTTCTCTGCCTGTGTTATTTCAAAAGACTTCTCTTCAAGTTCAGAAATTACTTCTTCTGCTTGTTCTTGTCTGTAAAGTCATTGATTTCATTTTTTATTTCTTTTATTGAACTGTTTAGCTCTTAGGGCTTGTTTGGTTCTTTTTATGATATCTCTATCTTTACTGAATTTCTCATTCAAATCATGTTTTCCTGATTTCATTGACTTGTCTATCTGTATTACCTATATCTCACTGAGTTTCCTTAGGATTATTCTTTTGAATTCTTTTTCTGGCATTTCATATGTTTATGATTGGGGTCCATTACTACATAATTATTATTTCCCTTTGTAGGTGACCTGTTTTCTTGCATTTTCATGGTTGATGTGTTTCTATGCTGATTTCTATGCATCTGGTGAAAAAGTCACCTTTTCCAATTTTATGGAGTAGGTTACTTGTATGAATTTACTTGTATGAATGGGTCTTGGGTGTCAGTTCATTGGGGTATATTGGCCTTGGTTCTACATGGATGCAGTAAAGTGTAGTCTCCATATAGTTCATTCCGCTGTGATCCACACTAGTAACATTTGCAAGTTTCTCAGTGGCCTAGGCTAAGGAAGTTTGTGGTAATGGTGGTGCACCTTTGCCAGGGGTGGGCTCTCTGGACTGTTTCTCAGGGTAGGGGTGTGTGCAGGTATACAGTGGGTCAGAAAACTTGGAGTATGGCTTTGTGGGGCTGGCCATGGTGCTGTTACTCTGGCCAGGAGCATGGGGATGCAGTTGCTCAAGCCCAGGATGCAGGCACACAGCTGTTTGCCTGGCCTGGAAGCACACACTCCAGGAGTGGCCTGAAGGGCTGTTTCCCATGCCTGGTATGTGGATACACAGCTGTTCATCTGGCCCGAGGCCAGTCTGCTGGGGGAAACTCATGGGCCAAATATAGAGCTGCACGGCTACTAAGCTGGACCGAAGGCATCTTTGCCAGGGCTGGCCAAGAGGGGGTGTTTCTCAGGCCTGGGATACAAATAATTTCTCAGCTGTCCTGGATGTGGGTCTGCTGGGGGTAGTCCACAGGGCTATTCTAGCTCAGGATGTGGGCACACTGCTGCTCAGCTGGCCTGGGTGGTGCCTGCCAGGGGAAGCCCAGGGGGCTGCTTCTATGACCCAGGATGTGGGCACAAGGCTGCTTGGCTGGCCTAGGGGCATGTCTTCTGGGAGTAGCCCATGGGGCTCTTTCTCAGGTCCAGGACATGGGCATTCATGGCTGATTGGCTGGTCTGGAGGTGCATCCGCTGGGAATGGGTACAGGAATGTTTCTCGGGCTCATGAAAGGTTGCACAGCTGCTTAGTTGGCCTGGGAGTGTTTCTGCGGGGGGTGGCCTACAGGGCTGTTCCTCAAGCTGGGACATAGGTATGTGGCTGCTTATTTGGCCTGAGGGTATGCTGGCCAGAGTAAGCTCCCAGGGTTGTTTCTCAGCCCTGAGACTCAGGCACACACAGCTGCTTGTTTCTCAGGTCTGAGACACAGGTTCAAGGCCCACTCAGTGCTGTGCCTGCTCGCGGCAGCCTGTGGGACTGTTTCTCAGGCCTTTATTAAAGGCGGAGGGCGGCTGGGCAGGTCAGGAGCATGTCTGTGGTGGATGAGGCCTGCAGGGCTGTTTCTCAGGTCCTGAGCATGCACTCATAGTCACTCTCTTGACCTTGGGGTATATCAGCTGCTCAGAGGCTTAGGGGACGCTCCCACTTGAGAGAAGGCATGTAGTGGTTTGGCTAGCTCAAGGGTGAGTTCACCCTGGATGGGAGTGCAGATTATTTCTCTGTCTGGAAGTGTAGTGGTGGGGGTTGATTTCTCCCTGCTCTTCAGGACTTGAGTTACCGCCAATTCTGGGACCAACCTCCACACAGCTGGGGTTGTGGCTTTAACCCACCCATGTGGGCTTGGTATACTGAAGGTAAAGCTCCAGTGCTGGAGACGCACAGTGGCTACTGGCCCCCAGAGGAGGGCACACTCAAGAGATGACTCTGGTCTCAAGATGGTGCTGTGTTGCTGCAACTTAGGTCTCTGGGGGTGGGAAGCCTTCACCTTGTACTCCTAGTCCAGGACATGCAGCTGTGTAAATTCCTGGCAGTACTCCATACTGGCCTCAGGGCTTGCAAATACTGTGAGATTTTCCTTAAGACGCTGTGTTTGTGATGGCAGTGGGGCTGGTGGGGATCTTCTGCTTACCTTCACCCTGCAGTGAGAAGTCCTTCCTGTCTCTGGGCCAGTTCAACCCAGGTGGGGGAGAAGGGGCTGCAGAGGCTGAGTGCTTCCATGCTGTGGGGTCTTCCAGTCACCACAGGTGTGTCTCCTCCACTCCTCTGCTGCACTCCAGGACTATCCCTTTGATACTCTAATCAGACCTTAGATGTGTATTTGTTCCTGGGTTTTCTTGCAGGGGAGATGAGCACAAGGCATCTCTAGTCACCCATCTTGCTTGATTTAGCATAACTCGTAAGGGCCCTAGGATTTTCAGAACAGTCAATGATCATTGGCCTCAACTTAAAGTCACCAGCTTCATTAGCCCCTAAAAGAGAATTGGCCTGTGCTTTGAAGCTTTGAAACCATGCATTGACTTCTCTCCAAATATAAAAGTCCTGGATGGCATCTTCTTCCAATAAAAGGCTATCTTGTCTACAGTGAAAATCTGTTGTTTCGTGTGGCCACCTTTATCAATTGTCTCAGCTACATCTTCTGGATAACTTGGCCACCTTCATCAATTGTCTCAGCTACATCTTCTGGATAACTTGCTGCTGCTGGATAACAGCACTTGCGTTTCACCTTGCACTTTTATGTTATGGAGATGGCTTCTTTCCTTAAACTTCATGAACCAACCTGTTAGCTTCAAGCTTTTCTTCTGCAACTTACTTACCTCTCTCAGCCATCACTGAATTGCAGAGAGAGGGGGCCTTGTCCTGGATTAGGCTTTGGCTTAAGGAAAGGCTATGGCTGCTTTGATCTTCTATCCAGACCGCTAAAACCTTCTCCATATTAGCAATCAGCCTGTTTTGCTTCCTCATCATTTGTATGTTCACTGGAGTAGCAGTCTTAATTTTCTTTGAGAATATATACACGTATTTTGCATTCGCAACTTGTCTGACTGGTGCAAGAAGTCTAGCCTTCCTCACAATCATTTTTAGCTTTTAGTTTAAAGTGAGAGGCTTCTGACTCTTCCTTTCACTAGGACACTTAGAAACCCTCATAGACTTATTAAATGGCCTACTTTCAATATTGTTGTGTCTTAGGAAGTAGGGAGGCCCAAGAAGAGGGAGAGAGATGGGGAATGGCTACTCAGTGGAGCAGTCAAAAAACACATGGCATTGATTAAGGTAGTTGTCCTATAGGACATGGTTCATGTTCATGTTGCCCCCAAACAATTACAATAGTAACGTCAACGATCACTGATCACAGATCATAAGAGATAGGATAACAACAAAAAAGTTTAAAATAGGCTGGGTGCGGTGGCTCACGCCTGTAATCCCACCACTGTGGGAGGCCAAGTCAGGCGGATCACGAGGTCAGGAGTTTCAGACCAGCCTGACGAACATGGTGAAACCCCGTCTCTACTAAGAATATAAAAATTAGCCGGGCGTGGTGGCAGGTGCCTGTAATCCCAGCTACTCAGGAGGCTGTGGCAGAGAATCGCTTGAACCCGGGAGGCTGAGGTTGCAGTGAGCTGAGATCGTGCCACTGCATTCCAGCCTGGGTGTCAGAGCGAGAGTCTGTCTCAAAAAAAGAGTTTAAGATATTGCAAGAGTTACCAAAATGTGACACAGAGACACAAAGTGAGCATGTGTTGTTGGAAAAATGAAACCAAGAGACTTGCTCAATGCAAGGTTGCTACAAACCTTCAGTTTATAAAAAAGTAATATCTGAGGGGCAATAAAGTAAAGCACAATAACATAAGGTATACATGTATACACACACACGTGTACATATATACTGTATATGTATACATATATGCTAAACAATATATCTACATATACGTATCTATATATATACATGCATGTCTATATGCTAAAGTATTATACATAAAAGACTACTGATGTTATTAATTGGGGTCAGTGCTATAGAATATATCTATATAGATACATATATGTACATAAAGATATGTATATATCTATATATGCACATATAGATATATGTATATAGATATGTTCATACATATACACACATACATGTATGTAGGTATCTATATATACTAAATATATATATAAAGGATATACCTATATATATATATACACACATACATATATTCACGTGTGTGTGTATGTGTGTGTGTGTGTATAGATATATTCTTTAGCAATGACCCAGATTAATAACATCAGTTGTCTTCAATGACACCACCATTGAAAGGTGAGTTACAGCAGATATATCAAAGTAGTGAAAGACTACTGATGTCATTTTATCTGGGCCAGTGCTAAGGATTAAAAAGGTACATGCCAGATCAAGCGACTTCAGAGACTTGCTTTTCTGGTTGAAGTTATGTACAATTGTTCTACTGCATTTATAAACTGGTTGAACTCTGAAAACGTATATGTCAATTAATTACTTGGAATCTAGTATTAATATATCATTTTTTTTCCCTAAAAGAAAGCCTTACATAATGTAAAAAAGCTTTTGGGCCTTAACAAACAGCCTAGTGAATCAAAATTTAAGTACAATTCTTTATTACTTCATTTGTGAGTGAATCTTACCAATCTCATTATCTCCCTCTTTTCTTTCTCCCCATATATTGATGACTCTACCACAGACTACTCTTTTTAGTTCAATGGGGTAATAGCTAAATGATTAAAAATGAATATAGGAAGACTCCACATGTCTTCCTAGACTATTTTTCTGACACAAATGAGTAATAATTACTCTACAATTTATAATTTAGTTACCCTAAAAATTGACATCTTAATCAGTTATTTATTTGAAACCTGGTATTTAACTTTTCTCTAGAAACGAGGTTTCAGATGTTTGCAATGAAATTCTTAGGCCTGTGGAAAAAAACTTAATGAGTGAAGTTTATATACATTTCTTTACTCCTAACCCTAATCCCCAAGTTACCATTTCTGGCAAAATTTACATAAGTTCAACTTCAGTTTGTAAACACCCACCTTGCTTGCACTTGTAAGTTTCTGCCTTCTCAAGTTCAAATACCAATAACTCTTCACCAATCATGGATGTCTTTTCTGCCCCTCAGATACGGTTAAGTAACTGCAGACCTAAGGCAGGGGCTCCATCCAATCTGATGGTGGGTTTGCCTTTGGGACAGTAACCTCATGTGGTAATAGAGGAAGAGATCAGGGTTCTACTAGCTTTGTTCTTTTCTGTTAAGAGCTCCTCAGCTCCCTGCCCACTGCTACCTCCTCCATGCTAAAAATAGGACTGTCTCCTCTCTTGGCTCACTCATATTTTCCTAAGGTTTTTGGCTACTGCTAAATAAGAGTGACCAATGCAATAGGAATAAGAAGCATTGCTCTTATGACCTGTTCCTTTTTTATCCAACTAGATCCAAAAAGGATAGAAAGGTAACTGCAGGTACTACAGTAATTAGACTTTAGAAAACAGTGTCTAAGACACTCTGTATTCTTATGGATGCTCCAGACAATGAACTTGCCAAATCTGAATCTCTCTTCTGTACATGTATGCTTTTGTGTGTGTGTGTCTATGTGTATATTTACATATATATGTTTACATCTAGCTTTTAATTTATTTAGACCTCACTTTTTGTTGAAGGATGCTGCATGAGTTATTGTCATTTCACTGAAGGCAGTGCTCATGGAGTAAAAAGGTACAGAGCCATATAAACACCACATGATTTTCTCTTTTTTTGACACTAGTAGCAAAAACAATTTTTGCACCAAAAGTAGTTTTTCCATAAAAATAAAATATCAACTATACACATATGTAATGGGTGAGGGTATGCAAATCCTACCACGTAAGTCCAGTAAGTAAATTCCAACAATTAACAAAGACTCATTTTTCAATGGCCAATTAATTAAACAATTAAATGACTATATAAAAATTAAACCTATCTACATATTAGAAATACATTTTAATTCACCCATGCCTCCACTGTACCATAAAATGAATAGAGAAAATTTTTATTTACTGGCTTAAGAAATCAATACTACATATTCAACTGATGTACTACTGCTTAATGAGCAATTACAGAATTCACAATCTTGATGTTTCCTTGCAAAAGAAGTGGTAATACGTAGCACAAAGAACCTCTTTAAAAATTAGTCACTGATCAAACACAATCTTTTTATAGCTTCTGTAACATCTAATTAATTTTGTAAATTTTCTTGAGCATTACACTATAATTAACTTGCATCAGGTTTTCCCTGTAACTTACATTTTTTATGATTTATTTCCAGTAGAAGTCTGAATATGCCTGTGAAAACCATCCATCATGTCCTTCCTTTCACCCATCATGCTAGTCTTTCCTGTCCATGAGACACAGGCAAGTAGCTGTGGGCCTAAAGAAGGGCTGCATCCAATGAGCTGGTGGGTTTGGGGTTGGGTCTGGGCACCAACCTCACATGTTGACAGAGGTCTGGACGGTGAGGGACAAGTCCATGTTCCATTAGCTCCATTCCTTTCTGCCCAGGGCTCCACTGCTCCTTGTCTGCTGCTATCTCCTCCATGTCGCAAATAGGATTCTCGCCTCCCCTGGGCCACTCTGGTAGGCTCTCGAACTCAGGAACTCTGAGTCCCTTAAAAAACTGCTTACTAAGAACTAAAGGTGATGAATACACTAACAGGAAGAAGCAACCTTCTATGACTTGCTCCTCTTTATATAACTCCATCAAAAAAGGATGCAAAGTTACCTACAAATGCTACAACGAGAAGAACTGGAAACCCTGTTAAAAAACACTGTATGGCCATGCAGGCTCCTGAGAGAAAATTCCACAAATGTCCATCTGTCTCCTTGTTTTAAGATTCAATTGTGTGCATGGGTTTGTTTGTGTACGTGTGTTGAGAGAAGTGTGTATAGATGGATGGACAGATTTGTTTACATGCCTGTGCATGTGTATATACTTCTATGCACACTTACGCATACATGTGTCTTTATTTATCTATTTATAACTCACCTTTCGTAGATACATGCTTCCTTGGTTCCTCCTGTCAGTTCACTTGTGTGGGGACTAGAGGATGATAAAAGAATACAGTCAGACAGGTGACATAATTCGAAATTTACTTTTCGGGAAAAACTAGCTTTCATTACTCTAAACATAAACTGGTTAATTTCTGACTATTCATGTGTACAGCACTATGTGGACCTGAAATATCATTTTTTATCAGAAATCAGGATTTATATGATGGCTACCACCATCTTAGGATGGAGAAAATAGTAATGCTTCCAGATTTAAGTGAACCTTTTCATTACAACCTCATCCCAACGTGTGACAGCCTTTGTGGTGGCAGTTATTTCAAACTCAACTCCAATTTTTAGGTAGTCACCCCTCTTAATCCATTGAATGTCCTGCTTCAAAAATCCTCCATTACCTCATTACTTTCACCCAGCATGGGCGTCTCCCCAGCCCCACAAAACGCATCAAGTAACTAGAGGTTTTTCACAGGGGCACAACCCGATATGGTGGTGATATAAGGTCCGGAGCACCAGCCTCCATGGTGGCAGAGTTCTGGAGGCTGGAGAACACCTCCAAGTCTCTTAGCTCTGTTCCTTTCTGCTGAGGACTTCACAGTTACCCAAGTACTCCTACCTCTTCCTTGCTCCAAATAGGATTTTCTCTTCCCTCGGCCCACTCTAGTATGTCTCATACACAGAAAATCTGAGTTTTCAAGGCATTTGGCTGCTACTAACAAATGGTGAAAAGACAGTAACAGCCAGATACTCTGTTCCTCTTTTATCCAAAACAATTGTAAAAATGTGGATGTTTAACTATAGGTGCTACAGTGAGAAGATGAACTGTGTCCAAGACACTCTGTATTGCCATGGACACTCCTGAGAGCAAATCCCACTAATCTGAATATCTTTCTCTGTCACTGTTTTGTTTGTGTATGTTTGTGTGTACATCCTTTATAACTCACATGTCATCGGTGTCTCTATCAATGATGACTTCCACCAGGTCAACAGGATGGGGACTGTGGGACAAATATGATCAGAGTCAGACAGGACACATTATTCTAATGCTTTGAATCAAAGAGCTACACTAACTCTATGAGTGATTCCTTGCATACACTCATTGAACTGGGATGAAATTTTTTCTTATTAGAAATGAGGTTTTATGTGCCAACAGTGAATATCTTGGGCTGTGAACATAGCGATGCATCCAGACTAAGTAACTGCAACTTCACCTCAATGTGTAACAACCTTTTTCGAGGGCAGTTAATTCCAGTTCAACTTTAGTATTAAGTCCCCTTCTTATAATTTCATCTGAGTACCTCATTCTCTATTACCTCCAATCACCTCCTCAGTTTTCACCCATCCTAGTTGTCATCGGGGGAACCAGCCCCCAATATGTCAACATAGATTCTTGTCTATTTTCCCTAAGTGTCAGCCAGTCTGAGAAATAAAGAGAAAGAGTACAAAGAGAGAAATTTTACAGCTGGGCCTCCAGGGCTGACATCACATGTTGGCAGGTTCAGTGATGCCTCCTGAGCCGCAAAACCAGCAAGTTTTTATTAGGGATTTCAAAAGGGGAGGGGGGTAGGAACAGGGAGTAAGTTACAAGATCACATGCTTGAAAGGCCAATAAAAGATCACAAGGGAAGACAGGCAGAGCAAGATCACAAGGCCAGGGCGAAATTAGAATTACTGATGAGGTTCCATGTCCCACTGGGCACCCATTGTCACTGATAAACATCTTAACAGGAAACAGGGTTCCAGAGCAGACAATGGGTCCGACTAGAATTCGCCAGGCTGGAATTTCCTAATCCTAGCAAGCCTGAGGGCACTGCAGAAGACCAGGGAGTATTTCATCCCTTATCTTCAACTGCGTAAGACAGACACTCCCAGAGCGGCCATTTATAGACCTCTCCCTGGGAATGCATTCCTTTCCCAGGGTTATTCCTTGCTGGGAAAAGAACTCAGTGATACTTCTCCTACTTGCTTTCTCCAAGAAGAGAAATAAGACTCTGTTCTGCCCGGCCCCGCAGGCAGTCAGACCTTATAGTTAACTCCTTTCTTCCCTGAAAATCGCTGTTGCCCTGATTTTGTTTTCTTTTTGTCTGGATTCTCGGTTTTTTTAAATTATATGGCTATATTTTACAAAATCAAGACTTCCTAGCACCCAAACCACTGGCTTAGCTAATTTAATCTCTCTACAACTTCATTTCCTCATCTGTAAGTTAAGACACATGCAGAATACACTCCACATCTGTCAACTTCATAAAACCATGCTGAATATTCAGCATTTTGCAAATATTGGTTTTTAGACCACCTGTTCTCTACACCATATATTATGTCATAAAAATCAGTATGTGGCAATATAAGCTGATACATAGTTTTAGTTTCAAATACACAAACATGCTTATCAAAGTAATACACTCCCAAGACTCAAGAATTAATGCTCTTTGCCACAATTTGCTAACTTTTCAAATGTTTAAATAAGTTTCAGAAACTGATTGCACGCTTTTTTTTTTTTGGCTGCTGCTGATAAAAACTGGGATTCCCTAGAGCATGCTGAGGTTTCTGGACTTATTTGACCACAGAACCTCGTTCTCACAGTGGAAATGTGTGAGAAACACATTTTAGAAGCAATATATTAAACGGTATCTTTTTATGTCTTTAAGTAAAAGTTCTCCTACACAAACTAATTTTGGACTGTGGTCGATAGCTCAAACCTTTAAGCGCAGATAGACATTAATACTGTGCTATTCTTTCAGCCTGTGAGGAAAGGAGTGCTGGAGTTCAAATTATCAAATCTCGTTAGCCCAGTCTGAGGGCCATGAAGGGAACCTCTCAAGTTCTAAGTGGGTGTTCTCATGCCCTTGAATGGCTCATGGAAATTCATCCAGGTCTCAGGAAAAACAATACCTTTTACAAAAAGAAAGGCATCTAGAGGTATCTGCTGCTTTTCTGCAGGAAGGACAACTGGGTTGTCTATGCAGAATACACTAATAAGTCATAACAGGGGAAAATGTTCAAAACGCCAAAAACATAAGAATTTGAGTTTCTGACATAAGCAGCCTTATTGAATGATTACTGGATTTTTCAGATATCTTCTACCGAGGAAGAGAATGGGAAGACACTCAAATTACTCTTCAGATCCAGGTGACAAGCCAGGACTGCTAAGCGAGTTCCTTGGGAAACTAATCTCCAAAAAGGACACAAGACATCCATACATGTTACCTGAACTCCTTTCAGGGAGAGTATTGCATGAAGTCTGAAATCATACTTTGATAAGCTGCTTGGGAGCACAGACTGACTTCCCTCATGGGACATGCATAAGTAGCTAGCTAAATTGCCTTCTAAGGAAGGTGAGAATGGCAAACTATCCTAAAATAACGTGATCACGCAGAATTCTTAAATGCTTTTTGGTAGACAGGAGAAACCACAGAAGTTTGAGTTAGGTGAAGGTTAGCTACACCTTTATAATCAGGCTACCAGGTTATAATGAAAAGCAGCTCTCCAATCAAATCTGCCACACATACAGATATTCATTTAACAAAACATTCAGTAGCAAGCAGGCACGGTACATAAGCTTCTGTAAGCTTTCTGTACTTTAGGTGCTCCAAGCATGAAAGGTTCATTCTCAACAGAATCCTAATATTCCAGAGGCCAAAATCTTCCTAAACCTTCCTGGAGATAGGACCATATGAGGATCAAGCCTGGGGTGTCATCTCTAAGTATACACTACAGGCCATATTCATAAACCTTTATCCTGTTTATGCAAGGGTGGGCTGTCTCCAAAACACTTTAGCTGATTCACAGATCTTAAAATGTCATATAATTGTAACAACCATCATGCTGCTTTGTAAGTCACCAATCTCACTAATAAAAGCCCATTTGTGGCCTTCACTGTAATAATTAACAATGTTTCAGGTGTTGAGATGGGACCACTGAAGCCCTTTCGGTGGCCATCTCTGTGGAGTGGCTTCCAGAGCTGAGCACTAGGTCACCATCCTGAACAGAGCATCCACCATTAGGGCAAGCAGCCACCCCTATAGGAAATATGAAAGCAACCAGTAGATGCATGTTATCACACTGCCTAAAAATGTCCTATTTTTAAGGACATTAACAGGCATAGAATGAAGCTTATTTTATTTTTACAATTTTTTTTCTATTTCTATTATTTTTCTACCTCATTACTTTCCTATTTCTATTTGCTGGGTCACAGACAGCAGCAAATTCCATACCTTTGGGGTTATACCAGCTCATGTGCAATAGAAATAGAAATATCAAAGCTCTCAGTCTACCACCTTCTGCTCCAGAGATGTGGCCCAAGCACACCTTTGGATGTGAACCAGGGCAACCCAAGGCAGAGCTGGATACCTGGGAGTTTCTCCCTGTAAGCCCTGGACCTGCTTACCTGAAAGCCAGACTGCTTCTGGCGCCACTGCCGCTCAGAAGAAGTTGGGGTCGGTTCAGCCGCTAAAATGACACAAGTCTCAGGTCTCGTGTCTTCAGTACAACTTTCTCTAAGAGGGAGAAATTTATTCAAGATCCTGTTAGCACTTTTCTCTCCTGTTGCCTTTCAGGATTATAGCTTTTCCTTTTTTCATTTTTTAATTCCCAAAACCAAGCTTGTTAGATCAAATCTTTACCCCATTCCTGGCAAATAACAAGGTTATTACTATTTGGCCCTACACCCACTAGTTGTCCCCCAGTACCCTGAGGATAAGGGGACTCCGTAAGGTCCCTGGGAGGGGAAAGGAATATCAATTAGTGGTCCCCCCAACTGGCTATAAGCAAACTTTCCTGTCTGTGGGCCCCAGAAACCACCACCTAGTTCCCCCACCAAAACTTTACATGATTTTAATTCTCCTGATGAGGATGAGAGGACAACATTAGCCAACAGAGAGGGCAGAGGATGGGATGGGACTACCTTGCTCAGAGACCCTCACCTCTAGGTCTTTACCTCGTATTGAGAATAAGCCAGTACTGGATTAAGAACTCTGTGTCCATGGCAACTCCAAACAGAATCCTGGTGCTCTTGAGATTCTCGTAGAGTAGGGAATAAAACGAGCTTGGTCCAAGACTGCAGAGACTTAAAAACACGCTGTTCTGCCACACATACAGATACTCATTAAAGATGAGGGAAAAGGGCATGGGGTCGGGGAGAACGTACCAAAACCAAAGACCACAGGATAATCACCTTAGAGCAGAGATGATCTCTCCAGTTATTTTTTCTTTTGTATGTAATGGAGGGGATTCTTCTTATTTACGCTGATGAACTTTTTATCAAGTGTTCGGCTTCCTTTGTGGGTTAGAGAGAATAACCAGAGGGCTCAGTGTTTTCTAGACCATATTAAATTTCACTAAAGTAAGCAAGGTTGATAGGACTTGCAGGGGAAACTTCATTGACTCAAGCTATCATTTTCTAGGATTGTGAGAAAATAAATAGGTGTACATTTAAAATACACCCATATTCTAGTTAGAAGAGAGGATTTTGAGTGTTCTTACAGCAAAGAAATGGTAAATGTTTAAGGCAATGGATATGCTAATTACCATGATTTGATCATTATACCATGTAAAATGTACTGAAACATCACACTGTACCTCATATGTACAATTTGTTATGTATACATTAAAATTTTGATTATAAGAAAAAATAAACTTCAAATGTAAGAAAACAACCCAACTTTTAAAAAATGGGCAAAATATGTGAACAGATACTTCACTAATAAAGATTTGCAACTGACAAGCCAATGAAAAGAGGGCCATCATAACTAGCTATTAGAGAAATGCAGATTCAAACTACAATAAGAAACCACTAGATACCTATTAGAATATCTAAAATTAGAAAGATGGCGTGTTGACAAAGATAGAGAGAAACTGAAACTCTCATACAATGCCAGGAATGTAAAGTGCTAGATCCACTTTGGAAAACAGTTTGGCAGTTTCTTAAGAAGTTAATTAGGTCTTCCAGTTCCCACTCCAACATGCAGAGAACTTGGAAGTCATCACTCCCATCTTCACAACAGGAAAAAAGATAATCAAACTGAAAATCAACAACTTTTCTTAGATCTGTCAGAGAATAGAGGTCACAGGGCAAACCACTTCCTCAAAAACTAGAGAGACACGTGACTACAGAACATCACAGTTTACCTGAGAGCAGAAGCCACAGGAGCCAGTAATTGGTAGGAACACTTAAATGCTAGTCAATTAATTACCGGTGGCTGAGTGTGGACTAGCTTGAGAGTTAAAAACTTGTTGAAGTCCCGCCTTGGGAACCCCTTATACTTTCATGAATGTTACTTCCAGAAACCCTAGCTGGTTCTCATGATGAAGGCTGAAGAAAATTTCCTCAGGCTCTTTAGGCAAGGAAAAGGGAAAAGCAACCATTTCAAAATATACCCTAGTTGGTGGATAGAGTGAGTGGGTACAGCAACCATTTTGAAATATGCCCAGAGCATTCTATTCTCTGTGTGAAAGCCCTGCCCTAAAGAAAAACTGCTTTATCAGGGCCTTGTCTGACATAGGGGAAAAGCAGTAAGACAACTCTAAACCCCTCTAGTTTTCCTGTCCCACATAAAAGGAGAGGAAAAAAAGAAATCATTACTAAGTCAGTATCAGAAAAATTTACACCTATGTTTTTGTCTAAGAGTACGGTTTGGGATCTTACATTTAGATATTTCTTCCATTTGAGGTTGATTTTTCTGTATGATGTGAGGAAGAGATCTAACTTCATCCACTTGCTGAAGAGACTGTTCTTTTCCACTGAATGGCCTTGATACCCTTGTGGAAAATCAATTGACCTTAAATGTATGAATTTACTTCTGGACTCTCAATTCTATTCCATTGATCTACATGTCTATCCTTATTCCAGTACTACACAATTTTAACCACTATAAGTAAGTTTTGAAATAATAAAGTGTGGACTCTGCAACTTCATTGTTCTTCTTCAAGATCATTTTGCTTCTTCGGAGTCCCTTGCATTTTCAAATGAATTTTAGGATCAGCAAGTCAATTTCTGCAAAATAGAAGCTAGGATTCTGATAGGAACTGAGTTGAATATGTAGATCAATTTGTGGAGTACTGTCATCTTAACAGTAATGTCTTCCATTCAATAAACCCAGAATGTGTATCTATTTATTTAGGTCTTTACTTAATCACTTTCAATAATGTTTTGTAGTCTTACATTTCTTTTGTTTTAGTCTTATTTTTTAATGCTATTGTAAATAAAATTACTTTCTTAATTTCATTTTCAGGCTACTCATTGCTAGTGTTTCTAAATATAACTTTTTGCACATTGATCTTATATCTTTTGTGAACTCAACTGTTGCTCCGGCAGGTTTGTTGTTGTTATCGTTGTTGTGGGTTCCTTAGATTTTCTATATACAACATTATTTATCTGCAAAAAATACAGTTTCACTTTTTCCATTCCAATCTAGATGCTTTTTCTTTTTTGTTGTTGGTTTTGTTTTGGTTTTTTTGTCTAATTATCCTGGCTAGAACCTCCAGTACAATGTTGAATAGAAAAAGCAAGAGCAGGCATCCTTGGCTTGTTCCTCATCTTAGGAGAAAAGCTTTAAGACTTTCACCACTAAGTTTAATGGTAGCCGTTGGTTTTCCATCACCACTCAACCAGGTATATAAGAAACATGTAAGGCAGTCCTACAGCTGGAAGCAAAAGGATGATATCTACCATCACAGAAACACATGAAAGTATAAAACCCACTGGTAGAGCAAGCACATAAATAAGAAGAACAATTCAAAAGTTATCACTAAAGAAAACCACCAATCCACAATGATCAACAATAAGAGAGAAAGAAAGGGACAAAGGACATATAAAGCAACCAGAAATCAATTAATAAAATGACAGGAATAACCCTCACATATCAAAAATAGTCTTCAATGTAAATAGATTAAACTTTCCACTGAAAAGACACAGACTGGCTGAACGGATTTAAAAAATAAACATGACCCAAATATATGCCAACTGCAAGAAACTCACCTCACCTGTGGAGACACACAGACTGAAAGGAAAGGACTGGAAAAAGATATTCTGTGCAAAGGGAAACCAAAAGTGATCAGGAGCAGCTATACTTATATCAGATAAAACAGACTTTAAGTCAAAAACAGTAAAAAGAGGCCAGGCACAGTGGCTCACGCCTGTAATCCCAACACTTTGGGAGGCTGAGGCGGGTAGATCACAAGGCCAGGAGTTCGAGACCAGCCTGGTCAACATGGTGAAACCCCATCTCTACCAAAAATACAAAAAATTAGCTGGGCATGGTGGCAGGCACCTGTAATCCCAGCTACTCAGGAGGCTGAGGCAGGAAAATCGCTTGAACCCAGGAGGCGGAGGTTGCAGTGAGCCGAGACCACACCACTGCACTCCAGCGTGGGCAACACAGCAAGACTCCATCTCAAAAACAAACAAACAAACAAAACAGTAAAAAGAGACAAAGATGGTCACTACAGAATGACATGGAGATACATTAGCAAGAGGATGTAACAGTTCTAAACATATATGCACTCAATACTGGGATACCCAGATATATAAAGCAAATGTCATTAGATCTAAAGGGAGAGATAGACTGCAATAATAGATGAGGACTTCAACACTCTACTCAGCATTAGACAGATCATCTAAACAGGAAATTAACAAAGAAACACTGATTTTAAACTGTGCTTTAGAACAAATGGATCTAACAGACATTTATAGAACATTTCATTCAACAGTTACAGAATACACATACCTCTTCACCAGCACATGAAACATTCTCCAAGATAGACCATATGTTAGGACATAGAATAAGTCTCAACAAATTTTCAAAAATCAAAATCATACCAGTATCTTCTCAGACCACAGTGACATAGGATAGGAAATCAATAACAAAGAAACTTTGGAATCTGTACAAATACGTGGAAATTAAACAACATGCTCCTGAATGACCTTTAGCTCAAGGAAGACATTAAAGAGGAAATCAAAAAATGTCTTGAAACAGGCTGGGTGTGGTGGCTCATGCCTGTAATCCTAGTACTTTGGGAGGCCAAGGTGGGTGGATTGCTTGAGCCCAGGAGTTTGAGACTGGCCTGGGCAACATAGTGAGATTCTGTCTCTACAAAAAAATACAAAAGTTAGCCAGGTATGCTAGTGTGTGCCTGTAATCTCAGCTACTCAGAAGGCTCAGGCAGAAGGATTGCTTGAGCCCAGGAGGTGGAAGTTCCAGTGAGCCAAGATCACGCCACTGCATTCCAGCCTGAGTGATAGAGAGAGAGACCCTGTCTCAAAAAATGAAATGTCTTGAAACAAGTGAAAATTGAAAACAACATAACAAAACCTATGGGATACAACAAAAGCAGTGCTAGGAGGGAAGTTTATAGCAATAAACACCTATATTTTAAAAGTAGAAAGATTTCAAATAAACAAACTAATGATAACTTCAAAGAACTAGAAAAGCAAGAACAAAGCAAACCTCAAATTAGTAGAAGGACAGACATAATAAAGATCAGAGCAGAACTAAATGAAATAGATTTCAAAAACAATATAAAGAATCAATGAAACAAAAAGTTCCTTTTTCAAAAAGGTAAGCAAAATCAATAAACGGCTAGTTAGACTAAACAAGAAAATGAAAAAGATGATCCAAATAAACAAAATCCAAGATGAAAAATAAGACATTACCAGACACAGTGGCTAATGCCTGTAATCCCAGCATTTCTGAGAGGCTGAGGCAGGTGGATTGCTTGAGCTCAGGAGTATGAGACAAACCTGGGCAACATGGCGAAACTCTGTCTCTAAAAAAAAAATACAAAAATTAGCTGGGCATGGTGGCATATGTTTGTAGTCCCAGCTACTCAGAAGTCTGGGGTGGGAAGATCTCGTCGGCCCAGGAGCTTGAGGCTGCAGTGAGTCATGATCACACCACTGCACTCCAGCCTGGGTGACAGAGTGAGACCGTGTGTCAAAAAATAAAGAAATAAATAAACGAATAAAAGTAGACATTACAACTGACACCACAGAAATACCAAAAGTCATCAGACAGTATTATGAACAACTATATATTAATAAACTAGAAAACTTAGAGGAAATGCATAAATTCCTTGACACATATAACCTACCATGATTGAATCAGGAATAAATAGAAAACCTGAAGAGACCAATCATGAGTAATGAAATTGAATCCATAATAAAAAAGAATCCAAACAGTGAAAAGCCCAGGACCCAATGGCTTCACTGCTAATGACTTCACTACCAAATTCTACCAAACTTACAAAGACAAACTAACACCAGTTCTCCTCAAACTAGTCCAAAAAATTGAAAAGGAGGGAATTCTTCCTCATTCTACTAGGCTAGCAGTACCCTGATACCAAAACCAGATAAGAATGCAACAAAAAAAAACAGTTACACTCTAATATCCCTGATAAACATAGATGTAAAAATCCTCAACAAAATACTAACCAACTGAATCCAACAGCATATCAACAAGATAACATACCAGGATCAGGTGGGATTTGTCCCAGAAATGCAAATGTAGTTCAACATACATCAATCAACAAAGATAACACACCACATCAACAGAATGAAGAACAAAACCATATGATCATTTCAAGAGATGTAGAAAAAGGGTTTGATAAAATTCAAAAGATCTTCATGATAAAAACTCTCAACAAACTAGGCATTGAAGGAGCCTATTAATACCTCGACATAATAAAGGCTACATATGACAAACCCACAGTTAACACCATCCTATCGTGGCTTTCAGCTTTTCCTCTAGGAACTGGAACAAGACAAGGATGTCTATTTTTGCCACTCCTATTCAACACAGTACTGGAAGTCTTAGCCAGAGCAATCAGACAATAGAAACAAATAAAAGACATCCAAATTGGAAAAGAGGAAGTAAAACTGTCCCTCTTTGTAGATGACATGATCTTGTATCTAGAAAAACCTAAAGACTCCACCAAAAACTCTTAGATCTGATAAGTAAGTTCAGTAAAGTTATAGGATACAGCCAGGTGCGGTGGCTCATGCCTGTAATCCCAGCACTTTCAGAGACCGAGGCAGGAGAATCACCCGAGGTCAGGAGTTCAAGACCAGCCTGACCAATACGGTGAAACCCCATCCCTACTAAAAACACAAAAATTAGCCAGGCCTGGTTGCGTGCGCCCGTAGTTCCAGCTACTCAGGAGACTGAGACAGGAGAATGGCTTTAACCCAGGAGGCGGACACTGCAGTGGGCCAAGATGGCACCACTGCACTCCAGCCTGGACTACAGAGCAAGACTCCATTCAAAAAAAAAAAAAGTTGGAGGATACAAAGTCAACATACAAAAATTAGTATCATTTCTACACACCAATAATAAACTAGCTGAGAAAGAAATCAAGAAGGAAATCCCATTTATCATAGCTCAAGAAAATAAAATACCTAGGAAAAAAATTTAACGAAGTAGGTGAAAAACCTCTACAAGGACAACTACAGAACATTGATGAAAGCAATTGAGAAGGACATAAAGAAATGGAACGACAACTCATGCTCATGGATCAGAAAAAAATCAATATTGTTAAAATGACCATACAACCCACAGCAATACACAGATGCAATAAAATCCCTATCAACATACCAGTGTCATTCTTCACAGAAGTAGAAAAAATAATCCTAAAATTCATATGGAACCAAAAAAGAGCTCGAATAGAGAAGCAATCCTAAGTAAAAAGAAAGCTGGAGACATTATACTATCTGACTTCAACATATATTACAAGGCTCTAGTGACCAAAACGGCATAGTATTGGTATAAAAACAGGTATAAAATGAAACAGAATAGAAAACTCAGAAATAGATCCATACATTTACAGCCAACTGATTTTCAACAAAGGTGTCAAGGACACTCATTGGGGAAAGGACATCCTCTTCAATAAATGGTACTAGGAAAATTGGATATCCATATGTATGCAAAAGAACACAACTAACCTCCTACCTTTCGCGATACACAAAAATCAACTCAAGATGGATTAAAGACTTAAGCATAAGCCCCAAAACCATAAAACTACCAGAAGAAAACTTAGGGGAACCACTTCAGGACACTAGGAAAAGATTTTATGGCTGAGACTTCAAAAGCACGGCAACAAAAACAAAAGTAGACAAATTGGACTATATTAAACTAAAAAGCTTCTGCACATCAGAGGAAACAGCAGAGTGAAGAGACAACCTGTTGAATGGGAGAAAATATTTGCAAACTATTCATCCAACAAGGAATTAATATCTAGAATACACGAGAAACTCAAACACCTCAACAGTAAAAAATAATAATCATTCCATTTAAAAGTGGGAAAAGGGTCAGGCATGATGGCTCATGCCTGTAATCCTAACACTTTGGGAGGCTGATGCAGGTGGACTGCCTGAGCCCAGGAGTTTGAGACCACCTTGGGTAACATAGTAAAACCCCGTCTCTACAAAAACATACAAAAATTAGGCTGGGTTTGGTGGCTCATGCCTGTAATCCCAGCACCTGGGGAGGCCGAGGCAGTAAGATTGCTTGAGCCCAAGAGTTCAAGCCCAGCCTGGGCAACATAGTGAGACCTCATCTCTACAAAAATCAAAAAACGAGGTGGGAGGATCACTTGAGCCCAGGAGATTGAGGCTAGAATGAGCAGTGATAGCACCACTGCACTCCCATCCTGTCTCCAAAAAAAAAACAAATACAAAAACAAAAACAAAAAGCACACACACACATACAAATTAGCTGGGCACAGTGGGACGTGCCTGTGGTCTCAGCTACTCTGGAGGCTGAAGCAGGAGAATCATCTGAGACCAGGAAGTGGAGGCTGCAGTGACTCGTGATTGCACCACTGCACTCCATCCTGGACAACAGAGCAAAACCCTGACTCCAATAAATGAATGAACGAATGTGGGCAAAGGACATAAATAGATATTTCTCCAAAGAAGACACACAGGTATATGAAAAAATGCTCGACGTCACTAATAATAAGGGAAATGAAA
Organism: Homo sapiens; assembly: GCF_000001405.40. Taxonomy (NCBI): domain Eukaryota; kingdom Metazoa; phylum Chordata; class Mammalia; order Primates; family Hominidae; genus Homo; species Homo sapiens. Next base: position 52,491,356 of record NC_000013.11, on the reverse strand, counting down.
ATTAAAACCACAATGAGATATCATCTTCACCCAATGAGAACGGCTATGATTAAAAAGACAAAATAATAATGGATGTGGGCGAGGATGCAGAGAAAGGGGAACTCTTATGTGTGGGAATGTAAATGAGTACAGTCACTATGGAAAACAGTATGGAGATTTCTCAGGAAACTGAAAATAGAGCTACCATACAATCCAGCAATGCCACTACTGGCTGTTTATCTAAAGGAAAAAAACCAGTATATCAAAGGGATGATACCTGTACTTCCATGTTTACCGCAGCACTATTCACAAGCAAAAATATAGAATCTGCCTAAGTGTCCATCAACAGACAAATGGATAAAGAAAATGCGATATATATAATCAAGTACTATTCAGCCATAAAAAAAGAATGAAATCATGTCGTTTGCAGCAACCTGGATGGAACTGGAAGTCATTGTTACGTGAAGTAAGCCAGGCACAGAGAGACAAATATTGCATGTTATCACATACGTAGGAGCTAAAAAAGTTGACGGTGGACAGATAGATACCAGAGGCTAGGAAGGGTGTGTGGGTTGGCAGGGAAGAGTGGTTGGTTAATACAGTTAGATAGAAGGAGTTAAGTTCTAATGTTCTATAGCAGAGTAGGGTGACTACAGTGAACAACAATGTATTGTATATTTCAAAATAGCTGTAAGAGAAGACTTGAAATGTTCCCAACATATGGCAATGACAAATACTCAAAGTGACAGATACCTTAAATACCCTGATTGATCCTTACATATTCTATGCATGTAACAACATATCACATGTACATATGTACCACACAAATATGTACAAATATTTGTTGTGTACCAATTAAAAATAAACAAAACTTGAAAAATACATTATATCTACACAATGAAATATTATTCAGCATTAAGACACTGCAAGTTGGATGAACCTTGAAAACATGCTACATGAAAGAGTGCATGAAAGATCACAAATTGGGCTGAGCGTGGTGGCTCACGCCTGTAATCCCAGCACTTTGGAAGACCAAGGCAGGCGCATCGCTTGAGCTCAGGACTTCCAGAGCAGCCTGGGCAACATGACGAAGGCCGTCTCTACAAAGAAATTAGGCAGGCGTGGTGGTGCGCGCCTGTGGTCCCAGCTACTGGCTACTCACCAGGGTGATACAGGAGGATCACTTGAGCCTTTCCTGCCTGCTTCGCTGAAGGCATCATGCACTTTCACGGCTGGGATCAACTCTTCTGGAAGCAGGTCCTAGCAGGACTGTGGGTGTCCACATCCAGGATTAGGGTCCTGCATAGAGCTTGGAATACTTACCCCTCAATCTGGGGGGAGGAGCAGGGGCTGGCGCCTTAAGGACTTACTGTCCTTCTGACCAATCCTGATGTTTCCAAGGCACTGGGGTTTTCAGGACTGGATAAGACTGTTCTAAGGCCACAGTGTGGCAACTGCAGTGTGGCAACTGCAGCGAGTCAGAGGCCAAATCCTCAACTCTGGCACTGTCTAAAGTGCCTTTCTTGGCACTTTCTGGTGAGGTGGCTCACACCTATAATCCCAACACTTTGGGAGGCCAAGGCGGGTGGATTAGTGGAGATCAGGAGTTCGAGACCAGCCTGGCCAACATGATGAAAACCCGTCTCTACCAAAAATGCAAAAATTAGCCAGGCATGGTGGCGCGCGCCTGTCATCCCAGCTACCCGGGAGGGTGACGCAGGAGAATCGCTTGAACCCGGGAGGCAGAGCTTGTAGTGAGCCGAGATCGCACCACTGCACTCCAGCCTGGGCGACAGATCAAGACTCCGTCTCAAAATAATAATAATAATCATGATTCTAAAAATCAAATAAATCGAGTGCCTTTCTTGCCCATTCCATGTCTCACCACAACTCTATTAAGCAGGTATTAATGGCTCTCCATGGCTATAATAGAGGAACTCTGGGCCTTATATTCCACCTCTCGCCCAACCCGTGACAGCCAGTGACTAGCGGAGGTTCAATAAACAGTAGTCGGTCTTATTACTATCTTATTACCAGTCTCTCCGTGGAGTTCCAGCAAGAAGGGGTTCCACACCTCGTTGGGGACCAGCTCCCGAGCAGGGCTCCGAGCACCCTCTTGAGGCAGTGACGCGAGGGCCTGCGGGGGCTCCGAGGCTCCTCCAGGCCTCGTGGGCCCTCACAGAAATGGCAGGGCATTGGGACAAGCTGCTCCGGCTGCGCAGGCCGAAAGGTCCCTCGAGCATCCAGAAAGCTCGCCTGACCCTTATAGGCGAGGTGAGGCCCCCAACTCATATCCTGGGGAAACCATGGAGGGGGAATTCGGTTTCCACAGGCGAAGTCAACCGAAACGGCCCGCCATGTTGAAGCCTGAGCAGAGCTCCCGTCAGGCCCCGCCCCCCGGCGCCAGGCTCGCTGGGCAGCGCCTCCTCCCGGAGGTCCCTCCGCTGGTTCCTTCATTCCGCTGGTTCCTTCATTTCGCTGAATGGTGAGTGAGCCAAGCACAAGCTGAACTGCGGGCAGGCAGTGAGCAGATACACAGGGGCCCCGAACTCAAGATAAATAAATGAATAAATACTCAAACTTGTTCTTATAACCCAAGGCAACTGATAGGCCCATTTAGGCTCTGGCTTCCAGTGACAATGAGTTCTAGATGACAAGCCTCAGAAGGAAGAGCCCCTCTCCTTGTCTGCGCTCCTGCCCTAAGCACGAAGACTCAGCTTTGGTCCTCACAGATAATCATTGCCATTCACCATTGGTGATTAACTCAGTCATCACTCTGGAGATTCCAAGGACTTCAGGAGCTGTGTGTCAGGAACTAAGGACAAGGACCAAATGTTATTTTTATTATAATATCAACAGCCAAAAATTTCAACACCCTTTGAATTTCAACATCTTTTGAAAAAGATGGGAGATGAATACTCTCATCTTTTACCACTGAGTTCTGATGCCATGTCTGTCATTTATATTTCCATATATGATTTGGGCTCTTTCTAGGCCCTCTTTCATTTCATTAGCTTATACATCTATCTCTGCACCAATACTACACTGTTTAACTTAACTTTTTAATAATTATTTAAATCTGGTAGAACAAGTCTCCCACTTTGGTGCTTTGTTTTTAAACATAGGCTCTTCCTCATGAATTGTGACATTAGCTTGTTCAGTATTGTAAAAAAATCCTCTTGAGTTTGTATTGGAATTGCATCAAGTTTATGGATTAATTTTGGGAGAATTGACATCTTCATGATTCCATAATGATTATGTTGTTATTTTTAGTAGTGTTGCATTTAAAATTATGTTTTCTGAGTTGTTGTTGCTGGTATATAGAAATGCAATCTTTTTTTGTATATCAATTCTGCATTCGGAAAACTTGTTGCACTCTTTTATTAACTTTGTCTATAGATTGTCCAAGAGAGGCAGCAAAGTGTGATGGTAAACAGTAGACAGCCCCTTCTACTTTCTTTATTTTGTTGCCCTTTATCTAACATCTTAAACTGAATACTTAACTCAATAAGTAGTCCTTATTCCTTTTCAATGCCAGCATCTGAAAAAAATAAATGCTTCTCTAATTACTTTATCTAGTGTGTTGAGGGACCCAATGCTGCCACCGTATTCAATAAGGAGCTAGAAGGACTCACAGAACTTAGACAAGCTGTTCTATTCACGGTTATGGTTTATTACGATGAAAGGCTATAGAATACATTCGGAAGGAAAAGGCACTTAGGGCAGAGTCCAGGCAGAACCAGGAGCAGCTTCCAGTTGTCCTCTCCCTGTGGAGTTATATGAACAGAACTTAATTCTCCCAGCAATGACGTGTGACAATATGGACAAAGAATTGTCAACCAGGGATGCTCACACAAACTTTTGTGTCCAAGGTCAGCTGCATAGGCATGAAGACCCCCGACTATTGACCCTTAATACTCAGTCTCCAACCCATTCCTCCCTATGAAGTCAAACTCATACAATATGACCCAGGGCTCCAGGCAAGCAAAAACAGGTGTTCACCATAAATTACATTATTAGCACAAACTCTGGCATTGCCCAAGGCCCGAGGTATACAAAGACACTCTTATCAGGCAGGATATTTCAAGAGCTAATAGTTGGTCAAGAGTCAGTCTTTTCTTTGAGGCATGCAATCCCATAGCTGCTGAGTCAACCCTTTACTATTCACTTATATTTTATGAGTTCGATTTATACTTCTATTGTTAATTTTATTTCTAAGTCTATAAAGTATATTTTTTACCTTTTAAAAAATATAAATGATAGATACTATATAATATTATACAACTCCTACACATTGCTTTTGTCACTTGAAGTTCTTCCATATTTGTAAAATAATTGTTTTTTATTCTTTTGGATGGCTGCATTTTATTTACCAATTTTCTATTGATAGATATTAGTATTTTTTGGTCCAATTTTTTGCTACTCAAAATAAGATTAATAACGTGTGTGTGTGTGTGTGTGTAATTTTACTTATGTTCTAACATATTTGTAAGATATATTCCCAAAGTAAAATTATTGGATTAAATGATATGTTCAGATGGTATATTCATCTGTAATATTAATAGATCTTGCCTTTCAGTAAACTATTGCCCTTAAAGATTTCACCAACTTTTATTCACCTGCAACGTAAGAAAGTACCTGCTTCCCCATACTCTTGCCAACTAAGTGTATTTTAAAATACTTCTATAATACCTGGTGTACTCCAGCACTACAGGAATAATATATTTGTAGCTTTCATTTTTATTTTATTCATCATGAGTGAGGTTGAGCATCTTTTCACGTTTGAGTCACTTTTTTTTTTTTTTTTTTTTTGAGACAGAATCTTGCTCTATCACCCAGGCTGGAGTGCCGGAGGTGATCTTGGCTCACTGCAACCTCTGCCTCCCGGGTTCAAGCCATTCTCCTGCCTCAGCCTCCCAAGTAGCTGGGACTACGGACCTGTGCCACCGCACCCAGCTAACTGTTGTATTTTTAGTAGAGACGGGGTTTTGCCATGTTGGTCAGGCTGCTCTCGAACTCCTCGGTCTCCCAAAGTGCTGGGATTACAGGCACGAGCCACCGCACCTGGCCTTGAGTCACTTTTATTTCTTTTCAATGAACTGTTTGTGTATACTTTTTGTCCATGTTTCTGGTGGCTTATTCATCTTTTCCTTATTGATCTGAAAGAGCTCTTTTACACTGGTGATGTTAGCTGTCTATATGCATTATGAATTGGAAATATTTTTCCCAATTTGTTATCTAACTTTTTATTTATTGTGGATTTTGCCACACATTTTTAAACAATTTAATTCATCAGTCTTCTAGTTTTAGGAGGTCTTTTGCTATATTGTGCTTTTTAAAAAGAACTGTAAAGTTATAAAAATTATTCTCAATGTTTCTTTGACTCATTTTATTGTTTTATTTTAAAATTTAAATCTTTTGGGCCTGGCACAGTGGCTCACACCTGTAATCCTAATGCTTTGAGAGGCTGAGATTGGAGGATCACCTGATTCCAGGAGTTTGAGACCAGCCTACGCAACATAGTGAGACCCAGTTTCTAGAAAAAAAAAACAAAACTAACAATTAGCCAAGCAGCCAGGTATGGTGATGCACACCTGTAGTCCCAGCTACTCAGCAGACTGAGGAGAGAGGATCACTTGAGTCCAGGAGCTCAAGGCTGTAGTGAGTCTCTGGACTCCAGCAGCCTGGATGACAGCGTAAGACTCTGTCTCTTAAAAAAATAAAAAGAATCTTTTATTCATCTGAAATATACCTTGGTGTAAGATATAAAGTAGAGCTAAACTAATTTTTATTATTCCAAATGGCTACTCATTTATCCCAACACCATTTGTTGAATTTTCTATTTATCACTAATTTGAAAAGCCACCTTTATCATTGTGTAAAGTGCCACATGTATTAGGATCTATTCATAGACATTCAGTTCTGTTTCATTCATCAGTCTATTTAATCACACTTTTTTTTTTTTTTCTTTGAGACAGAGTCTCGCTCTGTCACCCAGGCTGGAATGCAGTGGTGCGATCTCAGCTCACTGCAACCTCCGCCTCCCGAGTTCAAGCAATTTTTCTGACTCAGCCTCCTGAGTAGCTGGGATTACAGGCACGCACCACCACACCCAGTTAATTTTTGTATTTTTAGTAGAGATGGGGTTTCACCGTGGTGGTCAGGCTGGCCTCGAACTCCTGACCTTGTGATCTGCCTGCCTCAGCCTCTCAAAGTGCTGGGATTACAGGCGTGAGCCACTGTGCCCAGCCTTAATCACACTTTTTATGGTGTGCAGAGGTAGGTGACAAAGGCCAGCGTTGACTTCTTTGAGATGTAAAATTTTGGTTGAGGTATAACAAACATACCCAAAAGTGCACAAATCACAAGTATGAAGTTCAATGAGCATTCACAGTGTAAATACACAGTACAGTATGTACTCAGTACTCATAACCAGTACTCAGACCAAAGAGCAAAACATTACCAGTACTTAGAAGCCTCCTTCTAGTTACCGCCCTCCTGAGGCTAACCACTGCCTGACTTACTTCTGATTTCTAATAGGATAATTCATTTAGGAGTTGAATTATTCAGTATACTCTTCTCTACCTTCTTTCCCTCAATATTATGCTTATGAGATGCAGCTACTTTGATGCATATAGTTGTAGTTCGTTCAAACTCATTGCTGTAGAGTTTCCCACTATATAAATGTAACATGTTGTATTCTCAACATGGGATGTGCATCTAAGTTATGAAGCATAACAATTAAATAACATCCATAAACCCATGACCTCATGCAGTATGAAACATTTCTAGTCCTGTGGAAGCTACAGGACTGCTGGAATTTCTTCTCTGATCCAGTCCCCTTGCTTCGCAACAGAGGTGACCACTCTTCTGAAGGTTATGTTCATAATCCCTGTGCTTTTCTTTATAGTCTAGATATGTATCTATGTATAGACAGGGGAGATGTAGATGTAAATATAGATATATCTGAAAATATATTACTTTGTGACAGTTATTTTTAAGCTTTATACAAATGGATATCGTGCTGAAGTGGTATTTACCTTGAAGCACACTGTGATCATGACATATTTTGATGTTCACTTCCCATGTTTAGGTTCCTGCTTCTCCACGCCAATGACATGGTGAGAGAATACAGGGGGAGCTGAAGACAAACAACATAAACTTATGTTTGCAAAGCACCTTTTACTCTGTGAAATAAAGTGAGTGCAAGCAGTAAATGGAACAACAAGCTTTCAGAGTCACTGCAGGGCAAGAGCTGGGGAAGGAAGAGCTGGCTGGTCAGGGAGGATGCACTGGAGAGAAAAACCATCACTCAATTGGCTAGGACATTCCAGGACATCAGGGAGACCACACAACAGCCAGAGTGTCTCTTCTCCTCCAAATGAACGCAACACCTCTCCAGCAAGGGCACAGAACTGGGCTGAGGCTGAGTATTGCTGAGGCAATACCGTTTAGAACATAGGCACGGGTAAGGATTTCATGACAAAAACACCAAAAGCAATTGCAACCAAAGCAAAAATTGATAAATGGGATCTAATTGAACCTAAGAGCTTCTGCATAGCAAAAGAAACTATCATCGGAGTGAACAGACAGCATACAGAATGGGAGAAAATTTTTGCAATCTGTCTGTCTGACAAAGGCCTAATATCCAGAATCTATAAGGAACTTAAACAAATTTACAAGAAAAAAAACAACCCCATTAAAAAGTAGGCAAAGAACATAAACACACACTTCTCAAAAGAAGGCATTCATGTGGCCAACAAACATATGGAAAAAAAAAGCTTAACATCACTGATCTTTAGAGAAAGGCAAATCAAAACCACAATGAGATATCATCTCATGCCAGTCAGAATGGCAATTATTAAGAAGTCCAGAAACAACAGATACTGGCAAGGTTGCAGAGAAAAAGGAAAGCTTTTACACTGTCGATGGGAATGTAAATTAGTTCAACCCTTGTGGAAGACAGTATGGCAATTCCTCAAAGATCTAAAGGCAGGAATAGCATTTGACGCAGCAATCCCATTACTGGATATATACCCAAAGGAATATAAATCATTCTGTTATAAATATACATGCACCTGTATGTTTATTGCAACACTATTCACAATAGCAAAGACATGGAATCAACCCAAATGCCTATGAATGATAAACTGGATAAAGACAATGTGGTACACATACACCATGGAATACTATGCAGCCATAAAAGGGAAGGAGATCATGTCCTTTGTAGGGACACAGATGGAGCTGGAAGCTGTTATCTTCAGCAAACTAATAGAGGAACAGAAAACAAAACAACACATGTTCTCACTTATAAGTGGGCGCTGAATGATGAGATCACATGGACACATGGCAGGGAAGAAAACACACTGAGGCCTGTTGCGGGGAGGGCCTGATGGGGGGAGGGAGAGCATCAGGAAGAACAGATAATGGATGCTGGGCTTAATACCAAGGTGATGGGTTGATCTGTGCAGCAAACCACCATGGCACACATTTACCAATGTAACAAAACTGCACATCCTGCACATGTACTCCAGAACTTAAAATAAAAGTTGAAGGAAACAAAAACAAAAATGAGGCCGGACGTGGGAGCTCACCCCTGTAATCCCAGCACATTAGGAGACCAAGGTGGATTGTTCACGAGGTCAGGAGTTTGAGACCAGCCTGACCAACATGGTGAAACCCCATCTCTACTAAAAATACAAAAATTAGCCAAGTGCGGTGGGGGGCACCTGTAATCCCAGCTACTCAGGAGGCTGAGGCAGGAGAATCACTTGAACCTGGGAGGTGGAGGTTGCAGTGAGCCAAGATGGCGCCATTGCACTCCAGCCTGGGTGACAGAGCAAGACTTCATCTCAAAACAAAACAAAAAACAAAAATAAAAAACCCTTTATAAATATTTGTTAAATTGGTAGGATTGTTAGCATAATTTACAAAAATTTTATTCACATTATACTATAACATATCTAAATAACATTCGTGTTAACAAATATCAACGGTTCTTTGATTTAAAAGTGGTGAAAAACAAGCTAATCATAAGTTTTATATACACCCATATATTTTCCAATAGCATGACACTGTCCAGATATTTAGAAATAGGCTATCCGGAAAAGAAAGAACTTGCTGAACTCCAGAAAATATAAAGTAGATACAATTCAAGGTTTTTGAACCTTGGAAAAGGAAGGGTAATTTTCTATAAATAATTTTTTCACAACTGTGTTTCTTATATTCATACCCGGGTATCTTAATTGGTGTATTACCAATTTGCTTCGCTAGATAGAGATATGAGGCCCAAGAACTACAAATTTCTTCAAAAATGAAGCATAGCTCTTGATATTTTGAAAAACATAATTTATTTATAGAAGAGAAACTACAGCCTGTAAGACATCTTCTTAAGGGAGACGATCTTCCATGTAATAAATTGTTGGCCCCAGGGAGAAACGTTTGCTGGGATTGATGGTGAGTAGTTTACTAGTTAATATTTCATCAGTGTACTGAGTAGATTTTTTCATTTATTCGCCCACATATATATATATATATATATATATATATATATATATATATATATATATTTTTTTTTTTTTTTTTTTTTTTTTTTTTTTGAGACGGAGTCTCGCTCTGTCTCCCAGGCTAGAGTACAGTGGCGCGATCTCTGCTCACTGCAAACTCCGCCTCCTGGGTTCACGCCATTCTCCTACCTCAGGCTCCCCAGTAGCTGGGACTACGGGTGCCCGCCACCACGCTCGGCTAATTTTTTTTTTTTTTTTTGTATTTTTTAGCAGAGACGGGGTTTCACCATGTTAGCCAGGATGGTCTCGATCTTCCGACCTCGTGATCCGCCTGCCTCGGCCTCCTAAAGTGCTAGATTACAAGCGTGAGCCACCGTGCCCGGCCAACAATTCTTAATTAATGAAAATACGCCTATGTGTAAGGGGCCCTGGACAATTACTCATCATGAGCCCTTCTTTTTTAAGTCTTTCACAGATCGTCGCAGTAAACAAAACTGTAAGACAAATTAGATAAAGAAACATGCCCATCCGCTCTGAAAGCTTGGTTAAACCAATTTTGAAGACTAAATTGTAACTTTAGACCAGTTTGCCATCCAAAGGTTTCTCTTTCTAGTTTCAGTTTCCTCTAAGCCAGGAAGAAGTTTCAGGAGATTCACAGGTTATGTAAATGAGTAAAGCAAGATAATAGGGAGTGTTAGAAACTCTGGAAAACTGGATTGCATCAGCCCCGTCAAAAAAGAATTCAAATTAAAATGTTTTGTCCAAAATTCACGTGTGGGCCTGAGTCAGTGCTCAGGTAACCAGACATCAGCCTTTGTTTTTTAAAAAGTTAGTATACCTAACTGAATGAAGTTTACATTAACTGGAATCCAGAGCTGTTTTATACAGCTCTTTGCTCAACTTCTCTTACTAAATTCCTAGATGTTTATTCAGAATTGACCTCTCTCCTGCTTCATCATCTAGCAACCGTACTAACACCATACATAGCTTGCTGCTGTCAGCAGAAAGGTACTATTAAGGGATATGGCTAGCTGCTCTTAGGAACTCATTAAAGCTATAGAGGAACTGCAGTCATGCAACATTCATCCAACAGGTATTTATAGAGCACCTACTCTGAGCATAACGAAATATCACAAAGCCATCTAGGGCAGGTTTTTCCATTTGTCCACCCCTGTTGTACCAAAAGGATTTGGATTTAGCAAATCAAGGCGTCAGTTTCCTTTCTTAGTCCTTTGGATAAACTGGTGCCTTTCATTTACCAGGAGCAAAACATTTTTTCCTTGTTATTTATAACTAAAATCACAGCAAATCTGCTTCTCATCTTGTATTTCTGAAATTGCTATAAAGTTATTCTGAACACTATACAAGTCAGTTCAGCCGATATATGTGGAGTGCAGGTACTCTACTCAACCATATGTGGAGAGTCAAAAGGCCTTTGGCCCTTATGGAGTTTATGACCTAAAATGACCACTTAGGGCTGGACGTGGTGGCTCACGCCTATAATCCCAGAACTTTGGGAGGCTGAGGCAGGAGGATTGCTTGAGCCCAGGAGTTTGTCACCAGCCCAGACAACATAGTGAGATTTCAATGCTACTAAACATTTAAAAATTACCCAGACATGGTGGCGCATGCCTGCAGTCAGGGGGCTGAGGCAGGAGGACTGTCAGCCCAGTAGTTCAAGGTTGCAGTGAGTTACGGTCAAGCCACTACATTCCAGGATGGATGACAGAATGAGACCGTGTCTCTAAAAAATATAAAAATAAAAATAATAAAATGACTGCCTACAACTCCGGTACACATTAAATGAATATACAAAATTATAATTGCACAAAAAACACAGAGCTTATTTTAGGATGGTAAAGTTTATAAATTGGTTGCCAAAGCAGAGTATGGCTGATACTTTAGTTCCACTTTTCTGTTTAATCTCAGAACTCAGGTTATTCCTCTCCTCATTTTAGTTAAGGAAACTGAAGCCTGAAGGATTAAACGCCTCATAAAGTCCATAGAGGCCAAGAGACAATAACTCGGGCTTCTTGGTGGGTGACAAGCTACACTCTGCCACCACACTTAGATGGCATCTCCCTTTCTGCACTGAATAGCAACCGCCCAATCCTGGGCCACCGAGAAAGTGTCTTAGGAACATGTTAAATGAGAATTTCATGTTAAATGTGAGGTAATGATGAAGAGTAGTATTTTTATTGTTCAACTTAATAAACCAGAATAAAAATTCTGTGCCAAGAAAAAAGTTCAAGAAGATGGTTAGAATGAAGTTTATTCCCTCCTGGGGCTCACAGATGCTTGAGGAAGAGAGACATGTGAAAACCAATTCCTGCAAATGCAATCAGTGCTGTAATGAGGTACTTGTAGGAGAGGACACAGAGGAAGCTTCTGTTTCTGCCTGGGGATATCAGGGAAGACCTGAGTAGGAGCTCACCAGATAGACAAAGCATGGAACAGCATCTCTGCATTGGGAACAGCATGTACAAAGTACACTGGGAACAGCATGTACAGAGGAGATAAGAACGAGTGTGGCTTCTTTAAAGAATTATAAGTAGTCCATACCATATGCAGAATATTTGTGTCAGGGTAAAAGATGTGACAGATCTTGAAGGGCCTTCCATACTGTGCCAAGAAGTTTGGATGATTTCTGCAGACAGCTGAGAATCACAAAAATGGGGACTCTTTAAGGGGAGAAGCATGAACAGGTTGGCATTTTTAAATGAACGCTCTGGCTGCCACGTGTGGGATGAATTAGAGGAAGGCAAGACAAGGAGGCAAGGGAATTTTAGAAAATTAATGAAACAGGACAAGCAAGAAATGATAAGGCGGTGCAATGGGTATAGAGCGAGCCAGGATAACACGGACAGTTTGATGTCCTACTGCTTCAGAGTGCTGGTGAAAGGAAGAAGTTCAAGGTGACTCTTAAGTTTCTGACTTGGGGAATCAGTTGTGTGTTGGTGCTTAACCTAAATACAGAGCAGTTTGGGGAGGAAAAAAGTGTGTTGGGATTCAACATGGGAGGGCCATTTCAATGATGGAAGGAGCAAAGTCAAGAGCTGGAAATATATGCTTGAGAATTCTCATCTTGTGGATGGTATTCGAATCCCCAAGTGTAGATAAGCTTGTCTGGAAAAGCATAGAGTAGGAAGAGAAAGATAACAAGGACAACACCAGAATGGCCAATATTTAAGAGTAAGAAGAAAAGAAGCTGGCAAAGGGAAATAAGAAAGTGGTATGAAAACAGGAGGAACCCAAGAGAGAGTGTGGTCATGGAAGTTCACAGAAGCAAGTGTCAAGTGTCCCTGAGAAGTCAAGGAGGACATGGAAAAGGACACAATGAATCTGGAGATAAGAAAATGCATTTATTTGTCCAAGTCAGTGAATATGCATGAAGCACCCATTAGGTGCATCTCCTATTCAAGGCACTGGGGATAAAGCAGTGAACAAAATAGAAAATAAAAATCCTGGCCGGGCGCGGTGGCTCACGCCTGTAATCTCAGCACTTTGGGAGACCGAGGCGGGCAGATCATGAGTTCAAGAGATCGAGACCATCCTGGATAACACGGTGAAACCACGTCTCTGCTAAAAATACCCAAAATTAGCCGGGTATGGTGGTGGGTGCCTGTAGTCCCAGCTACTCAGGAGGCTGAGGCAGGAGAATGGCGTGAACCCGGGAGGCAGAGCTTGCAGTGAGCCGAGATCATGCCACTGCACTCCAACCTGGGCCACAGAGCAAGATTGCATATCAAAAAAAGAAAAAGGAATGAAAATCCCTGCCCTCTAGGATTAGATTCTAGTCGGGAACACAGACAATGAGCAAATAAATACGTGAATATTTAATTGAATAAGTGCTCTGAGGAAAAATAAATCAGGTAAGGAGGATATGGAATTAGGGTTGGGAGAGGTATGAATCTAATGTAATAGAGTGATAAAAGGTTTCAGTGAGCAAGTGCAAAGGCCATGTAATTAAACTGATTTTTCTGGAATGTGTTTCAATCTAGGGAAAGCAAAAGCTAGACTGCAATTAATTGAAGAGTGAATGGAAAAGAGGAAGAAAATTGCTAATAAAAGAGGAGCAATGGAGTAGATAACTTCTCCTTCTCCAAGAAGCTTGATGCTAAAGGGAAAGCATGAGTTCCTAAGCACAGGTAGAAGAGGTAAAGAAAAAGTAGGAAAAAAAGGCTTAGAAACAGATAGGTGTGTAGGTTGGAGGATACAAAGCCAGGATGTGAAGTTGCACAGTCTCTCAGAGGCCATCTTTCACTCTTGTCCGTGAGAATATTGCTCCCTAGAGTTGTGAAACAGGTGTTACCAACTCACCCCCTACACTGACTCCATCTTTGCTATAAATTGGAAAGAAAGAACATCTATTCTCAATAGAGCAAGTACAGGCATATCATGGTGGTTTTGACTGGTTGGGATACAGACAATAAACAAACACATATGTAGAATTTATCAAAAAAGCTAATGTCACAATGCAAAGGGAAGTTGAATCTAGGAATAAACAAAATGTTGGCCACATAGCATTGGAAGCTCAGAGGATGGTGGGCCACTCATGGGGCCCTTTACTTACACTGTCTCATTTAGTGTTACCAACAGTCCTGTGGCCGGGTGCGGTGGCTCACGCCTGTAATCCCAGCACTTCGGGAGGCCGAGACGGACAAGAATGGTGGTTTAGAGTTCAGTCCTGTTTCCCCTTACCTGAGGTCCACTTGACAGTGGTTGGCATTTTTATCTGGTATGGATCTGGGTTTCCAAAAAATTCAGCGTCAAGATGTTCTTTCATTACTATAGGAAACGAAACATTTTTTTCCTTATTCCAGGATGTTCAATTTACTTTTTTGAGGCTAGCTAGGTAGCTACCTGGAATTTCCCTTGAAGAGACTCAAGATTTTTCCTTTATTACTATACACGGGAAGATCCAAGCGGGCCCTTAAGAGGGGTCCCTGTTATGTCTCTACTGGATGCTTATGCACGGTATCACATCATTTAGCTTGGAACAAACCTAGGGGAGAGATAACATAGCTGTCCTTAAGCACCAGAAAAGGGGTTAGACCTCTGGTTGAATGTTAGAACTAGGAATATTTAGAGACAGATTTTCCCCTCAGGTAAAGGAGGAAAAAAAACACTCTTAAAAACTTGTCCAAACATAAAAGTTGTATCTTGAGTTCTCTAACAGAGGCATTTCAAACTCTGCTATACAGACAAATGAATTATATGGTACAGATATTAAAAAGCTGAGAGTGTATCAAAGCTTAAATTTTATTTCAAAATGGCATATTTTGGGTCAAAGTATGAAAAAACAAGGGCATAGTTATGTTTTTGTTAAAGTGAAAAAAATTAGGTAAAGTTTATGTAAGTAGACTGATGACTTTTGAAAATATATCATTAAGCATGTACTTAAGTGTCAAAAACCTCAAGTCAAATCTTACAATGTATTTCAAAAGCAAAGCTAAAATTCATTCACTGTGGTTAAACTGCATTTCATAAAATATCTGTTGAAATAAACTTCATTAAAACATAATTACACAGATATTTTAATTGTATATATATCAGGTACACGGAATAAAAGTCCTACTCTCTAGAACATGAGAAGTCAATAAATAGAAAAGATATACAAAGTGGAATGAACATAAAAATGACTAAGCATGTGATCTTCACATTCATACAGTTTTTCAACTAATCTTTTACAATTAAAAAGTCATTTATTTGAAACTGTAGAGTTGATATATGCCATATTAGTTTGGAACCTTACAAAACAACTTTAGTGGTGTTATTTATGTGTGGAGAGAAAACTGTGTATGTAACTATCATGTTTCAAGGGACATGACTTAACAGTGAAGTTTTTTATGTTATAGGGAAGAAAACAAGTATTAGTATCAGTTATCTTAGAAATGCTATCTAAACTAGAATGACATTTGTTCAGTATGATATGTTCTTTCCCTAACTCCATTCTAATTGCTTAAAAACTATCAAGTGAAGTTACAAAAGTTAAACCACTAAATGTGGCATCTTTTCTTACACAAAGTATCTTCTCTTAGAAATGCGGTATTTAATTAAGTAAACCTTCTTGGTGACCCCAGTTATAATCAAAAGAGGCCACGAAACTACAGACTACTGACGAAAAGTGTCAGTGCAGACACTTTCCATCAATCAACAGGCAGTCCAAGGGACGCAAGAGAACACAAGTCTGGGTAACATGAATTTGGTAAGAAAGCAGGCTAAACCTCCTGTGTCTTAGTATTCGAAGTGAGTCATTCTATAGAATTTTTGACTAATCTGAGAAAGGCCAAAAAAAAGAAAAAAGTATTCTGTTTAAAGGCAGGGAGGTACATCATAACTTTTAAAAACATGTCAAGGCAAACATACATTTTACCTAGAATACCTCATTTTCTAATTATGCATCATTACTGTACTTATATTTAGTAAAGTGAACAGGGTAGTATTATAACCTGTTTATATTCAAGGAACATAGTAAACTAGCTGACAAAATTTACCTTTCTTAAAGAAAAAACTCAGTTGGTTGAAACTGACAAGGTAGGATTAGCTTTCCAATGTAGAGGACAACTCTTGCCATAACATGAATGTTAGTAAAGGAGCTCACTGCCGTGAATGCTTAGGATACATAGGTACATGGCCAACTCCAGACCTAAGAGCAATATAAAGCTACTCAAAACAAAACACCCCACAAATAATAAAAACCCCATTCCCTAACAGAGCTTTATTTCTCTTATGTTGTATCAGCCTCATAGTACACCCGGCACAGTGCTGCATTAGGGCGGCATACAAAAGCATCAGTTTCTCTTCCCAACTCCGTTAGCTGTTCCAATGAAGACACACAAGGATAATGATCTTTTAACATATCTGGCAATTTAGAAGTTTTCTCTTGAAGACGTCGAGAACGTCTCACTGGTGTTAAAAACTTCAGCTCTTTAAATGCGGAATTTGTTCCATCAAACTGCACCTTTTTTTTCACACTGAAAATTAAAACAATATTCCAGAGTTCAAAAACATGTTAACATTTTTACTCTGTACTTTCATGATATGTACCATACTATATAGCTTGTATGTTATAAGCAGGTAAAAGCATTTAATTGTCTTTTAGAGAGGTACTATAAGCTCACCGAAGTGAGAAACTTATCCTTTTCTCAATTTGTCATTACAACTTGTATACAGTAGATACCTGAGTATCTGTAGAACTGGCTAATTCCTGAAAGCCAAAACCTACTGTTATTAATAACACACAGATTAAAGTAAATTCAAATAAAAGTTTTCTTTTTCAAAATGGCAATAGTTAGGGAAAGTAAATACAGTATTTAAGAGGTGAAATGTTCTAATGACATTCTATTTGTTTAAAAACTTTTCTGTTTTCTTTTTTGTTTTGAGACAGGGTCTCGCTCTGTCATCCAGGCTGGAGGACAGTGGCATGATCTTGGCTCACTGCAACCTCTGCCTCCTGGGCTCAAGTGATCCTCTCACCTCAGCCTCCCAGGTAGCTGGGACTACAGGCACACAGCACCTTGCCCAGCCAAAATTTTTTTTATTTTTTGTAGAGATGGGGTTTTGCCATGTTGCCCAGGATAGTCTTGAACTCCTGGGCTCAAGTGATCTGTCTGCTTCGGCCTCCCAAAGTGCTGAAATTACAGGCGTGAGCCACCATGCCCGTACTGAAATTTCTATATTAATAAATGGTAGCTGTAATCTGAAGCTATCTCAAAGATTTTTAAATGCCGTTATTTATTATCTCCAAGCATGAAAACAAATCATGGTACATTTTAAAAGTTTACCTTTGCAAGTATGGCGTAGTAGACACATTATATTTAATTAAGCAACTTGTCCTCGTTTCTGTATTGGGGGTTTTAACATCATGGGTTGGATCTTTTGTTTTGTTGTCTTGCTCTTTTTCACAATCTTGAAATAGCAAATTTCTATGAAGTTTACTCTCCATTTCCAGTTTTTCTGGATCTACATCAACACCTGTATCTTCAATACTGACTTCTTTGACTTCTTCCTTGCTTGCACAAGACTTCTCCATATTTTCTCCTATAGAAAATACATTTATAGATTAAGCTTTTGGCTGAATTTTAAGAACAAAATCAGAAGACATTAAAGTTGTTCCTAGTTGGCCACATTTTCAAAATAAAAGAACACGATTGCCATCTCTGAACCATTCCTTTTCCTCAGCAAATACTGCTGCCAACTATATAACAAATACTATTATAAAATGAAATAAATGCTATATATGAAATAAGAACAAAGGATTATTAAAACCCACAAAAAGAAACAACTAACTTTGCCTGTGGTATAGGGAGATGGTTAGGGAATGCTTCACAAGCGAGATTTAGGCTGGGTCTTAAAAATGAGTACTTGATCAAGACCAAGGAAGACAACCTTCATATGGCACATAAAAGAAAATGATCTATTAAATTAACATAACATTAAAGAGCCAGTGTGTTTAGAATATAGGGTAAGGAACAAGGTTAGGAGTGGGAGCAGGAGGTATTGAGCTTAGATAGGTAAACAAGAGCTAGATTGTAATGAGCTTTATATGAAAGAAGTTTGGTAAAAAAAATTCACCAGAGAGCTAGATTGTAATGAGCTTTATATGAAAGAAGTTTGGTAAAAAAAATTCACCAGAGACAGACATAATTAAATTTGGTCAATGTAAAGGACTGTCTAGAATGGCAGAGAATGAAAAGTAACAATCTGTGATGGCAAGAAGACAAGGTTGTTGTAATAGCCTAAGTAAGTTAGGAAGAGATCAGATAGGAAAGGAAGGGTCCAATCTGAGAAATATTTCTGAGAACATTTTTTTTTTTTTTTTAGAGACAGGGTGTCTGCCGTTCTGTCACCTAGGATGGAGTGCAGTGGCATAATCTTAGCTCACTGCAGCCTCAACTTCCCAGGTTCAAGTGATCCTCCTGCCAAAGCCTCCCAAGTAGCTGGGCCTAAAGGTGTGTACCACCATACCCAGCTAATTTTTACTTTTTGTAGAGATGGGGTCTCACTATGTTGCCAAGGATGGTCTCGAATTCTAGACCTCAAGCGATTCTTCCACCTTGGACTTCTGGTGTTGGGATTATAGGCGTGAGCCACCACACCCACCCAAGTCAGAACTTATTAACAAATGAATACATGACTGTGTAGGAATGAGTGTGCAAATGTATTAGGAGCGTCTTATCCAACATTTCTTAAGAGTCATAAATGCCAGAGAAGAGTTTTTTCTTTTCTTTTTTGGGAGAAAGGGATGTTGGGTATGGGAAAGGGATACTGGGCATGGGAAAGCAGTGAGGGCAGACAAAGAGTTCAAAATAAAACATGTTAGGCTGGAAATACTTGTGAGACATCCTGGTGAATCCATTGAGCTGGAAAAAAAAACCTCTGAATTTAATTATTAGGAAAATTATTAAAAATTTTTACTAAGAGAAGTTTTAGTTGCATGATAGTGACTGAGTTTTAAGTGGAAGCTGAAGGAGAGAAAAGAATATAGATTAATTCAACAAATATTTAAGTGCCAAATATGTGTCAGGCATTGCATTAGCACAGGAGACTCAATGGTCAGGAACATCAGACACTGTCCTTATCTACTGAGTTTACATATGCAAAAGACAGGACAAACAACTACATAGTACAATCAAATGCATCAAATATTGCATAGGGAAAAAAACAGGGAGCACAAAACAGGTGCACTAAACCTAGGTTGAGAGGAGAGGGGATGGTATATCAGGGAAATCATCAGGGAAGGCTACTCCAAGGAACTAACATTTGAATTGAAGTCTAAAGGATAAGCAGAAATTAAGAAAAAGTAGAAGATTGTCTTGGAGAGACCTGGAGGGAAAAGAGAGTAAAAACCTTTCAGGAAATGGAAAAAAAGAAAGAGAAATTCAGGGATGTAGGGGAGAGGGAAAGAGAAGAGGCTGGACTCAGGAATTTATGCAGATGAGTGACAGAACATTTTGGTTGCAGTGTTGAGAATGGATTGGAATGAAGAGCAGAGAGGCAGGAAACTTAAGTTTGAAGACCACTGTTATAGTCTAGGTAAGCGTGTAGGTCATCTTGACTATACAAAGGAGAGTAGGAATGGAGTGAAGTAGATAGATCTTAAGAAATACTTAGGAAGTTAAACTGAATTTGATTAGCTGGGGAAAAAAGGTTGGGAACTGGGAAAGAAAGAAGGAGTAAACAATCACACCAAGATTCTGACCTGGACAACCAAACAAGGCCATTCATTAAGACAGAGAACTAAAAGAATAATCAGGTTTAGGGGAAAATTATGTGTTCAAGTTTGGCTATTTGTGTTTCAGGTAGCTATGAAACACCCACGTGGTGCTTGTTTCTTATTATTTGTCCTTTTTTTTTTTTTAACCCTCTTCTGAACTACTTCGACCACTTATGTTCTTTTGCTGTTCACAAATAACTGATTTGTGAAATTGGTTTTATATCCAGAACTTACAATTATACATTTCAGAAAGCCAAGAGTTTATGGATACCTCCTTCCCCCATCTAAAGACTAATGATACCTGCTAGAAAACACCAACTAGTACTATCCTATAAGATAGGAAGAGCAACTTAATCAGAATACTGCTTTTATCTTTCCACATATCTCCAGAAATAGAATTATGAGAGATCTTTTTATGAAATTTGAATTTCCACGTCGCTGTCTTTTGTGAATAAGAGACAGGACTGGGTTATTCTTTTTTTTTATTTTTCTTTTTGACACGGAGTCTCACTCTGTCACCAGGCTGGAGTGCAGTGGTGCGATCTTGGCTCACTGCAACCTCCACTTCCCGGGTTCAAGAGATTCTCCTGCCTCAGCCCCCCGAGTAGCTGGGATTACAGGCACATGCTACCATGCCCAGCTAATTTTTGTATTTTTAGTGGAGACGGGGTTTCACCATGTTGGCCAGGATGGTCTCGATCTCTTGACTTCGTGATCCACCCGCCTAGGCCTCCCAAAGTGCTGGGATTACAGGCGTGAGCCACCATGCCCGGCCAGGACTGGGTTATTCTTAAACTTTTCTCCTCCTTTTGTTTGTGGTACACTAATCTTTCCTCGGTTTTCCCTTCTCTCCCTCCTTCTCAAGCTCCTTCACTAAATACTACTAGTAAGATCAGATCATATAGATGTTCTGTATGTTCCCTTGGTACATATTAGCAGTCACCATAAATTGAAATAATCCATGATGAACTAAGCATGCTGCCATTAGAAGCATGACCTCCAACACAGCCATTAGCATATTAACCCCAATGAACAAGTTTTTTTTTTCAGTTAATACATGTAATCAAAAGCTTACATAACATACTTAATTTAGAACTTTAGTATGCTCTTTGATTTTTTTTTAAGGTTTAGCCCTTCAACCTAGATCTCTACATCTTAAATTAATTTTGCATACTAAAAAGGTACTAATACTGTTCTGGAAAGCAATCTGGCAGCATGTATCAGGAGACTTTAAAAGTTCAAACTGTTGGCCGGGTGCGGTGGCTCACACCTGTCATCCCAGCACTTTGGAAGGCCAAGGTGGGCGGATCACCTGAGGTCAGGAGTTCAAGACCAGCCTGCCTAACATGGCAAAACCCCATCTCTACTAAAAATACAAAATTAGCCGGGCAAGGTGGCGCATGCCTGTAATCCCAGCTACTCAGGAGGCTGAGGCGGGAGAATCGCTTGAACCCAGGAGGCGGAGGTTGCAGTGAGCCGAGATTGCGCCACTGAACTCCAGCCTGGGCAACAGAGCAAGACTCTTTCAAAAAAAAAAAAAAGAAAAAGTTCAAACTGTTTGACTCTTGTTAAAATTAATCAAAAGAAAATAACTAGATATATAGGCGATGGTATATAATATGCACTCAAATATTTGTTGACTGTATAATATACAGTTACAGCAAATAATTGAAAACCATTTTTCTAAAGTTAATTAATATTAATGACTACAGTTTAATGACTTTACTATGTGTCATAGACTATGATACTTTATAAATATTATTTCACGGTGGCTCACGCCTGTAATCCCAGCACTTTGGAAGGCCGAGGCGGGTGGATCATGAGGTCAGGAGATCGAGACCATCCTGGCTAACAAGGTGAAACCCCGTCTCTACTAAAAATACAAAAAATTAGCCGGGCGCGGTGGCGGGCGCCTGTAGTCCCAGCTACTCGGGAGGCTGAGGCAGGAGAATGGCGTGAACCCGGGAGGCGGAGCTTGCAGTGAGCCGAGATTGCGCCACTGCAGTCCGCAGTCTGGCCTGGGCGACAGAGCGAGACTCCGTCTCAAAAAAAAAATAAATAAATAAATAAATAAATATTATTTCATTCAATGGTCCCAAAAAATCTGTATTTTACAGATAAGAGGGTATTTTTTGCCTAAAATCATATCAACTGGCATAAACTTTATCTGAATCTTAAAATGTTTTTATGACTGGCAACTAATGAATCTCTTATCTCCATCTACTATCCCCAGCAAAGAGAATTCTTAAATGAGCTTTTCTAGCCAACACAACAGATCACAGAATTTAACAGGTGAAAAGTCTGGATATCTAGTCAAACTGCCTCATTTTAAGGCAGACAAAGCCTAGAGAGACAATGCAACTTTCACAGACATTCAGTGACAAATCTAAATATTGAGCCAGATCTCCTAATTAAAAATTCTTTATACTACATAAAGCCACTTTATCTCAGAGGCAGGTCAACAGAAGTATGAGGAAAGAAACCTACATATTTTAAAAATTTAAAAAGATAAAAGAAAAACTAATTCAGCAAAGAAACAATAAAACTACAATTCACAATGAAATACCATCTCACACCAGTCAGAATGGCTATCCTTAAAAGGCCAAAGAAATAGCAGATGCTGGCAGGGTTGTGGAGAAAAAGGAATGCGTTTACATTGTTGGTGGGAGTATAAATTAGTTCAACCATTGTGGAAGACAGTGTGGCGATTCCTCAAAGACCTAGAGACAGAAATACTTTCAATCCAGTAATCCCATTACTGGGTATATACCCAAAGGAATATAAATCATTCTATTATAAAGATCCATGCACGCATATGTTTATTGCAGCACTAGTCACAATAGCAAAGACATAGAATCAATCCAGATGCCCATCAATGATAGACTGGATAAAGAAAATGTACATATACACCATGGAATACTATGCAGCTATAAAAAGGAATGAGATCATGTCCTTTGCAGGAACATGGATGGAGCTGGAGGCCATTATCCTTCGCAAACACAGGAACAGAAAACTAAATACTGCATGTGGGAGTTAAGTGATGAGAACACATGGACAGCTAAAGAACAACACACACTGGGGCACATGGGTTGGAGGAGGGAGAGGATCAGGAAAAATAATGGATACTAGGCTTAATACCTGGGTGATAAAATAATCTGTACAACAAACCCCCATGACACACATTTACCTTTGTAACAAACCTGCACATCCTGCACACGTACTCCTGATCTTAAAATAAAAGTTAAAAAACAACAACAAAAAAAAACTACAGTTCACATGAAGGAAATAAAATAACTAAAACTTACCTAAATTAGCTTTTTCTTGACTCTTCATTGTTAGAATATCTACAATCGTGTGTCGCATCTCTTCAATAGGCTTAATTTTTTTAATGAAGAAAGCAGATCCATGTAAGTTTTATTTTCTCTGACATTAACTAGGTATCCAAGTCGCGATTAAATTTTCATACTGTATTTTAAAGTAAGAGTGGCTCTTAAACCATGCTTCTCAGACCACTTACAATTAAGATTGAAAAATGGCTGTCTTGGCTGGGCACGATGGCTCACGCCTGTAATCCCAGCACTTTGGGAGGCCTAGACGGGCAGATCACGAGGTCAGGAGATCAAGACCATCCTGGCTAACACGGTGAAACCCCGTCTCTACTAAAAACACAAAAAAATGAGCCGGGCGTGGTGGCAGGCGCCTGTAGTCCCAGTTACTCGGGAGGCTGAGGCAGGAGAATGGCGTGAACCCAGGAAGCGGAGCTTGCAGTGAGCCGAGATCATGCCACTGCACTCTAGCCTGGGCGAGAGAGTGAGACTCCATCTCAAAAAAAAAAAACAAAAACAAAAACAAAAAAACCAAAAACGAAAAATGGCTGTCTTTTCCAATTTATAGAGTAAAAATGAAGGATAGAATTTCTTTTCCTTTTTTTTCTTTTTTCTTTTTTTGAGACAGTCTCCCTCTATTGCCAGGATGGAATGCAGTGGTGCGATCTCGGCTCATTGTAACCTCAGCCTCCCAGGTTCAAATGATTCTCTTGCCTCAGCCTCTCGAGTAGCTGGGATTACGGGTGGGCACCACCATGCCCAGCTAATTTTTTGTATTTTTAGTAGAGGCAGAGTTTCACCATGCTGGCCAGGCTTGCTTGAACTCCTGACCTCATGATTTGCCGGCCTCCCAAAGTGCTGGGATTACAGGTGTGAGCCACCACGCCTGGCCTAGAATTTCATATTTTAAAACTTCCTCCATAATTTTACTTAAGTCTTGCTCCTTTTCTCTTACATTTAAGTCTATGGTTATATTTTTGTTTCATATGCTATGAAATGTATCTCTGAAGAGCTAAGGTTGATCATCTCAACATACTTCATTCATTCAAAAATTTACAAAAAATTACTAAGTGACCATTATTTACCTAAGCATTTGCTATGTTCCACCCAACACAATCAAGATTAGGGAAGGTGTAATTCACAGTCTTAGTTCCAGAACTGAGTCCTGAATTACTCAGCTATCCTGCTTTCAGTTTTCTTGGCTAATTTTTTTTTTTTTTTTTTTTGAGACAGGGTGTTGCTCTGTTGACTCAGGATGGAGTTCAGTGGCATAATCATGGCTCACTAGTCTTGAACCCCAGAGCTCAAGCAATTCTCCCACTTCAGCTTCCCGTATAGCTGTGACCACAACTGTCTACCACCAAAAAAAAAACTTTAAAAATTTTATTTTTTGCAGAGATGGGGGGTCTCACCCTCTTGCCCAGGCTGGTCTTGAACTCTTGGACTCAAACGATCCTCCCGCCTCGGCTTCCCAACGTGTTGGGATTACAGCCGTGAACCATCATGCCTGGCCACTAATTTTAAGAGATGGGGTCTATGTTGCCCAGGCTGGACTCAAACTCCTGGGCTCAGGCAATCCTCCCACCTTGGCCTCCCAAGTAGTTGAGACTATAGGTATCCACTACTGTGCCCAGCCATGTTGGCTAATTTTGATTCTTGTTTTCCAGCAGCTTTTCCTCTGGTGTTACATCTTGCTGTTTACATTATTGCTTTCTATGTGAGCCTTGGCTCCAGTTTTGCATCCTTGCTACAATGTCCTTAGCTGCCTTAAGTAATGTCCCTTCTGATACAATGTAGTAGGGGCCTAACACTCCCCTCCAGGTAGCATTCTGTCAAATATAATTACCATTCTAGAAAGTTTTACACATGACAGCCACTGACAGACTATCTGCTGAATATCTGATTTTTTATTTAAGTGAAAAGTCAAATAGCGTTCGTTGATTTTGTTGAGACAAAGGTGAATAGATCTTTCTTAAAAGGGAGTTTTAAAAAATTATCTATGTAAACAATCTCCAAGAATGTGTTTCTGAGAAACCTGGTCAAAAGGAAACATATTTGAAGAACATGTATCCATAAAAACAAAAACCCAACCAAACAAAAAACTCAAGAAATGATTTATTCTATACCCAAAACTTTGTGTATCAATACGCTAGAAGAGATAAGGAGTATGGTATCGAGGCACTATAGAGGTAATAATGTTAGAGAAACCGGTTTATTGCCATTTTCTGTATGCAGAAAGGACCAATATATACAGTGTATACATATTATATATATATGTGTGTGTGTATATATGTGTATATGTGTATATATGTGTATGTGTGTATATATATGTGTGCATATATGTGTGCATATATGTGTGTATATATGTGTGCATATATATGTGTATATATATGTGTGTATATATATGTGTGTATATATATACATATATGAGTACATTCGGGTTTACTCTTAAAGAGTTCTCACACAAAACCAAGAGAGCTTGATAACATTTAAAAAGCGAATTTAATCCCTTTTGCTTTATATTCAATAAACAAATTTTAATATTACATTCAGTCTCCCAGTAAACTTCCAACCAGGAAATGCATACAATAATATGCTAAAACATTTCATGCAGAAAGTTTCATTAAATATACATTTCAGCTTATATCCATTTTCTAAAATCTGATTATTCCCAATACAGGAATAAAAGACTTAGAAAGCCAACAAACAGCTTTTATAATGCAATCCTTGCAGCCTTTAAACATTTATTACCACTACATATACAAAGAAAATTTTCTCAAGTTATGTTGTGATGTGTTTCAAATTAATTCCGAATTGTCTACTACACTGTAATTGTAAAGATCAGTAAATTTTTATCTTACCTGAGCCCCTGCCAGAATGGCTTTCTCATAGATTGCAATAATATTTTCAATAGGACTTGTGATTGGTTCAATAAGTGCAAGACATATCCAATACTTAACAAGCTTTTTGGCATCTGGAATATTTTTAATCAGGTCATTCAGTGTGACCAGTATATCTTCTTTTGGACATCCCTAAAAAAGC
Source organism: Homo sapiens (assembly GCF_000001405.40). Taxonomy (NCBI): domain Eukaryota; kingdom Metazoa; phylum Chordata; class Mammalia; order Primates; family Hominidae; genus Homo; species Homo sapiens. The sequence continues at coordinate 52,465,284 of NC_000013.11, read as the reverse complement.
AAGAAAAAATGTGTGTAATATTTTTTAGCTTACAAAGTGGGAACAATAATTGAGCCTACTATAGTCAAGATCAATGATAACGATAGCCCTAAGCATAAAGCAAAAAAATGAAACATTAGTTGAGAAATTTATTAGTAAAAAATGAACACTTATTTGATCTTGATTTTATCCTCATATATATTGTGGGATTCCATTTGTTAATACCTTCTACCAAATGTTTATGAGTAAGAATAGTCTGCGGAGTTTTTTTTCCTCGTCTTTATCAGGTTTTGATATTAAGATTAAAATGAATCTGTAATGGTTTATGTCACAGTTACATATAATTAAATAATAGGGCAGAAAAAGTTCATAGTATCAAAAGGAAAAACTTAAACTGAGCAGAAATAAACTCTAATTCTATTCTATTAGAGACTCAAGAGTTTTCCTGATTGTAACTTTTACTGGTGTTCAGAACCACAAGAAGTTAAAAGATGCTCATGAAGAGTAAAGTTTGAAATCATACCTTGAATTCAGTTTTGCTGTGGATCTTACACACTAGTGGGTGACCAAAACAAGATTAAAGAGCAGTCAGGAAACAAAGATATTATCTATTATTAAACAGAATATTGTTCTGGAGCTGATTATTATACTCCATAGGATTTTGGTCCAAATAGCAAAATTCTGCAATAAATTCAAAAACATGATGATGTTGGCTTAGATGAATGGGATTGTTTTTTTTTTTTTTTTTTTTTGAGACGGAGTTTTGCTCTTGTTGCCCAGGCTGGAGTGCAACGGCACAATCTCGGCTCACTGCAACCTCTGCCTCCCAGGTTCAAGCGATTCTCCAGCCTCAGCCTTCTGAGTAGCTGAGATTACAGGCACCCGCCTCCATGCCCAGCTAATTTTTGTATTTTTAGTAGAGACAGAGTTTTACCATGTTGGCCAGGCTGGTCTCAAACTCCTGACCTTGGGTGATCCGCCCGCCTTGGCCTCCCAAAGTGCTGGGATTACAGGCGTGAGCCACCCCACCTGACCAGATGAATGGGATTTTTTTTTTGAGTATTTTAGGTAACTTAATCTGTGATAATAATGACTCACACAGTATTTGTGTTGCTAGTCTTTGGTAAAATGTGTAATGAACGTAAAAAATAATGTGTAAATATAATGAATAGATGTAAGAAACAAAATATTAGAAGCAGTAAGTAAATATCACCTCAGTGTATTACATATTAATTAGCTCAGAGAAATCAAATATTTGTAATTCAGTAAAAAAACCCAATTATCCCTTTGATACAGGTTGAGTATCCCTAATCTGAAAATCCAAAATCTGAAATCCAAAACTTTTGAGTATCAACATCACAATGCAGATGACCATCATTAACACTGCAGAAAATGTACCTACAGGCGACAAGGTGAAAGTATGCAACAGGCTTACTGAAGAACTAGAGCAGCATTTATCCAGAACAGAAAAAGAAATCATGTCCCTTTATAAAATCAAAGAGAAACTTCTAAGACAAAAACCATTGCTAATGAGGCAGATGACTCTGAAGTAAATATCTTAAAAAGCCACCCAGCAGAATGCCTCCTTATCCCTAGAGAACCCACTTCCTGGTCCCTCAACTGCTTCTGGTGTTTCTTCTCACCTAAAAAAATAAAACACGGTGTAAAATACCTCTTAATTAAACACAACATCATAGATGGAGATTGAAAACGTGCTGCTGTTTGTTGTTGCTATTGTCTAACAGCTGATACAGGCGTTCTGATGATGCTACTGTGCTGCTTAATTACTCTGAACATATTTTTCACTGTATTAATGTGTCTTTTTTTAAACTGTTAATTAATTATGTGTGAATAAATGTAAGAGAATAATTGCTTATTGGTAGCATGGAAATTCAGAGTGAGGAATGATGGTGTTGCCAAACAACCAGACTGTCCCATGGGTGGCTGACAAAGTGACACCTTTGCTTTCTAATGGTTCAATGTATACAAACTTTGCTTCATGCACAAAACTATAAAAAGTATTCTATCTTTAGGCTACGTGTATAAGCTGTATATAAAACATGAATGAGGCCGAGCGCAGTGGCTCACACCTGTAATCCCAGCACTTTGGGAGGCCGAGGTGGGTGGATCACATGAGGTCAGGAGTTTGAGACCAGCCTGACCAACATGGTGAAACCCTGTCTCTACTAAAAATACAAAAAATTAGCCAGGCGTGTGGTGCACACTTGTAATCCCAGCTACTCTGGAGGCTGAGGCAGGAGAAGGGCTTCAACCCAGGAGGCAGAGGTTACAGTGAGCTGAGATCACACCACTGCACTCCAGCTTGGGTGAGAGTGACTGTCTCAAAAGCAAACAAACAAACAAAACGTAAATGAACTTTGTGGATCTCATCCCCAAGATAACTCATTATGTATATGCAAATATTCCAAAATCCAACAAAAAACATCTTCAATTACTTCTGGTCCCAAGCATTTTGGATAAGGGATACTCAACCTGTATATTTATATGAACTCAATGCAAAATGTAGTCAGTTAAAGGCTAATAAGCTCACAATTAATGAATGAAGCAGTGTATCTCGCAATTAAATAATTGTTAAAATAACCTCACAGTTAATGTTAAGTCAACATAGTATCACCAACATCACCTGGTCAAAAAGACTGACAATATAATTTAATGAAATAATGCTTATGAAGGTAATTTGCAAACTATAAAATGCTAAGCAAATATAAAGACTCTACCTCATTAATCAAGTTCAGGCATTCAGAAAATGTGTTGTTTACTTTTTCAGTAAATAATCTTTGTTCATCTTCTTCTGCCATGGTAGTCCAAAAAGACCCAACTGGTTTTTCATTTTGTCCTGCAGGCTCATGCTGAGTAACTACTGAATTAGGGGGCCTTTTTAGCACTCTTCCTTTGCCAGCTTTCCACTCACTCAGACGAGCTCTATAGTTAGAAGCAGATATAAACGTTACTTTGAAATTGCTGACAGAACTCTGTCAAATAAAGTTAAAAGAAAAAATCATATTTTTAAGTAATCTTACTTTAATGGCATATATAGTTCACAAGCTTGAAGAAATATTAAACATATCAACGTCAATTATGCTCAATGATTCCATGAATGCATTTTTTGATTTGAGATTATAAAGTATTTCCCAATTATTATTAAGCATTTACCTTAGATTTTAAAAAGCAACCTTATAAAACATACTCAAACACAAAAACTTTTAGGTCATATTGTTCCACAATATAAATTTGCCTGCATATGACAGAAGAGAAACCATGAAAGAAAATTCTAATGCAGTCAAGGAAATTATAATCCAAATCTACAAACAGTACTTTATTGAAAACTAATGTAATAAAGAAAATTATATCTACTTACTTTCTCTCTTCCGAGGTTTCTTTGGGCTGAGCTGATCTACTATCAACAATTGCTTTTCCTGCAGTATGTCTTCGCTGGTCAACGGGCTCTGACTTTTCCATCAGTTTATCATTAGACAATGAAGCAGGCCTGGCTATAACTTCAGATGCTATGGATCTTGATAGAGTCTTATTTCTTATTATACCTTGAGAAGAACTGGTTTTGACACTAGATAAAGCTGTTTTTGATTGTAATAGTTCTTTTTCATGAGGCCCTTTCCGGATTGTAACATTGGCAGAAGTTCTACTGATGCCTTGTTTCACAGTGTCCCGGGTATTACTGTGATGACTTCTAATAGGAGGTCGCACAAGTTGTGTGTTCTGAGATGTAGTGCTCACAAATTTAGTAGTGGCAGTCATATTGGAGGATCTATTACTTTTCACTGTTACACTGCTGGTGTTTACAGGCTGAGGTTTTGTGGCTTTAGGTATAGTGGCTGAAAGTTTCTTTGTTGCTGCAGAACTCTCATCTTTGACTTGTAGAGGTTTTCTAAATGAATTAATCTTAGACTGAACAATCTGGCCACGATAAGATCCAAGCACAGGTTTCTTGGGCATGTTAGCATCTTGCTTTTGTTTTTCTGTAGTCATTTGTTTCTTTTTACTATTGTTTTTAAGGTGAAATGCCTGGCTTAATGTCATATGTTGACTTTGGGGATCATCTTCAGTTAGTAACAAATGCGGAGTTTGATTACTATCCTTAGGTTTATGTGTGTCAATTACTACAGTTGAATTGGTTAGTTCATTTGAAGGTTTTAAAGGAATACAATGTTTCCCCACCACTGTATTATTTTTGCTCTCTGCAGGTCTCTTCATGTTTTCTTTATCAGCCTGAAAGAATTATTTAAGAAAAGTGTTTAGGAAAGGCAAAATGGAAAAGGGGACAGTTTAAGAGTGCTATGTCCACATCTTACCATTTTTGTTTTAAGTTTCAGCACTTTAGTCCCTTCTTGAACTTGGTCCTCAGATGTCACAACTCTCTGATCTCTACTACTTAAAAACAAACAAACAAAATGATCAATCAATCCTGTACCAAGGAGGCTTCCTTTTGGGGAGGAAGAAGAGGGCAATGTTAACAATTAACTGACTTACTAATTTTAAATTTAAAAAAGACCTGAGTTGAAATTTGTCCTAAGCGGCCAGGCGCGGTGGCTCATGCCTGTAATCCCAGCACTTTGGGAGGCCGAGGTGGGCAGATCACGAGGTCAGGAGATCGAGACCATCCTGACTAACACAGTGAAACCCCGTCTCTACTAAAAATACAAAAAATTAGCCGGGCATGGTGGCGGGCGCTTGTAGTCCTGTAGTCCCAGCTACTAGGGAGGCTGAGGAAGGAGAATGGCATGAACCCGGGAGGCGGAGTTCGCAGTGAGCCAAGATCGAGCCACTGCACTCCAGCCTGGGTGACAGAGAGAGACTCTGTCTCAAAAAAAAATAGTGTAAACAAATGGCTGAGGAATTTAAAGATATTTTCTAAAAGTCCTAACACTCTCTGCCCATAGAATTTGTAAATACTTAATAATCTTATTTCAAATCATTCTCAAGTCATTCAAACAAGTCTTCAAATAACCTTTAGTAAGTAATACCTCCTTGGGTTAGTTTTAAGTACTTAGTAACAGATGTACTACATTGAAAATACTTTTATTAAAGAGCCCTCCCAGAAGTGATCCAAAAATTACCATATGCCATTCACAGCTTAATTTATATTAGGATACATTAAGAATATGCACTGCTGGTTGTGGTGGCTCATGCCTGTAATAGCAGCACTTTGGGAGGCCGAGGTGGGGGGATTACTTGAGCTCAGGAGTTCGAGAGCAGCCTGGGCAACACGGCAAAACCCCATCTCTACAAAAAAATAAAAAATTAGTTGGGTGTGGTGGTGGGTGCCATAGTCCCAGCTACTTGGGAGGCTGGGGTGGAGGACTGCTTGAGCCTGGGAGTTGAGGCAGTGGGCCAAGATCCCGTCACTGCACTAGAGGCTGAGTGACACAGAATGAGATCATCTCTCAAAAAAAAGAACGTTAGTTTCTAGGCGGTATTGCAAAGAAAATCCCTCCTCAAGAAACTGACTTAACTTATTTTTACAGCTATAAACTGGCTAAGGCAGACTGTGAGCATCTCTTAGCAAGTGATTTTAACAATTTTGTGTACTATAACGATAGGAAAAAATACGGTCAATTAGACATGCCATTGATTTTAAGACAGATCCTAAGTTCAGAGATCACATTAAAATGCGTGATCTCTCATTCTCTGAAAAAAAAAATGAGGCCAGGAACAGTGGGTCACACCTGTAATCCTAGCACTCTGGGTAGAGAAGGTGGGCAGATCACCTCAGGTCAGGAGTTTGAGACCAGCCTGGCCAACACGGCGAAACCCTGTCTCTACTAAAATCAAAAATATTGGCCAGGCATGGTGGCAAATGCTTGTAATCCCAGCTACCCTGGAGGCTGAGGCAGGAGAATCGCTTGAACCCACGAGGCAGAGGTTGCAGTGAGCTGAGATCGCGCCACTGCACTATAGCCTAGGCGACAGAGCAAGGCTCCGTCTCAAAAAAACAAAACAAAACAAAATATATATATATATATTTTACATTTGACATAATTTAGTAGTTAATAATTTTGCTTACATTGCCTTTCATATCTATTTGTTCTGTCAGCTTGGAGAAGGAACAGAACTTTGACACAACCTGTACTATACATTTTGAACAATGGTGAAGGAAGATCAAAATGTGCCACTTAACAGGGTATCTTAGTAGCTAACTGCCAGCTAACAAAACAAAACTCAGGATGACAAGAAGAACCCATCTTACTCACCTGTCCAGTGGGGAGACTTAATCCTATTCTGTCTTATTATAAAACTGCCCTCAGAAGGGTTATCGGAAATGAGTCTTAGGATATCTATACTTTAGAGATTGTAAAATATAACTGTTTAATTCTGAAAAGCTGCAACACAGGTTGGTTGTCTTATTTAATGATTCACTGCTGAGGTGATAACATTTAAATTGACATCTGTTTTCCTTTTTTTTTTTTTTGAGACAAAGTCTCGCTCTTGTCACCCAGGCTGGAGTGCGATGGCCTGATCTTGGCTCACTGCAACCTCCGCCTCCCAGGTTCAAGCGATTCTTCTGCCTCGGCCCTCCCCGGAATTACAGGCGCCTGACACCACACCCGGCTAATTTTTATATTTTTAGTAGAGACGGGGTTTCACCATGTTGGCCAGGCTGGTCTAGAACTCTTGACCTCAAGTGATACACCCGCCTCAGCCTCCCAAAGTGCTGGGATTACAGGCATGAGCCACTGCACCCAGCCAACATCTGTTTTCTGAAAGGAATAAATGTAGTACTTAAGCCACATGAAGCGTTTTAGAATTTTCTTTTCTTCCTATTAAGAGTATTATAAACCCCTGACCTTGTTGGATTCTTTATTTAAATAAGTGGTTGAGAGTCACTGTCTGAATCCATATTATCTCTACTTATTCCCTAGTAATTTCATTCCATCCTAAGGTTTTTAAGTAAATATCATCTGTATACTAATCAATTCCTGAGTTTATGCTTCCAGCCCCAACCCCTCCCCTGAACTTCAGACACACAATTATTTGGCATATCTGCTTGGATGTCTGGTTGGTACCTCAAACATAGTCAAAACAGAACTCCTAATTCCCCAGCTCCTCCTTCAGGCTTCCTATTTCAGTATACGGTTATCACCATTCATTTACTTATTCAAATAAAAAACCTAGGATCACCTTTTTGTCTTAAACAAAGAAATAAAAGATTTATTTGTGAAGGATAAACTGTTTATTCCAAACTAAAGCAACTTATTAATATAAAGTTAGAAATTATTTTTAAAATTTTAGAATGCCAAACTTACACAAAGTTGCAAAAATATAAACAGGTCAAAGAATATCTGTACACTCTTTACCCAGGATCCACCTATTGTTAAAATTTTTATCCCATTTGCGTTATCATTTCCACTCTCTGAATATGTGTGTGGGTGGTATATACAATTTTGTTTACCTGAGACAATTTTTTTTTTTTTTGAGACGGAGTCTCGCTCTGTCACCCAGGCTGGAGTGCAATGGCACGATCTCGGCTCACTGCAACCTCCATCTCCCAGGTTCAAGCGATTCTCCTGCCTCAGCCTCCCCAGTAGCTGGGATTACAAGCACCCACCACCATGCCTGGCTAATTTTTTGTATTTTTAGTAGAGACGGGGTTTCACTGTGTTAGCCAGGCTGGTCTTGATCTCCTGACCTCGTGATCTGCCCACCTCAGCCTCCTAAAGTGCTGGGATTACAGGTGTAAGCCACAGCACCCAGCCTAAGCCTGTAAGGATGTTATTACTGGTTATCCCTAGAGAGTGAGGGGACCTTTTGCCTTTCTGCTTCATCTACTTTCATGGGTTTTTGTTTTTGCTACAGCTATGTACTATCTAAGATATTTTAACAAAATAATAAAGATATTTCTGTGGAGGGTTGAGACTACAACTAGTAATCTCTAAGCATTTGGGAGGGCCACCCAACCCTTCCCTGATGAACTCCCCCATACACTGAGTAAAAAGCTTTGCTAAATAATAGAAAGACTGACCTTTGTGTGGTGTAAACAGTAAGTTGATAATCTAGTCTATGCACATACTTTGCTTTATAATTGTTTTTTTCTCTTAGACTGTGAATTAATTTACGTAGAAAACGATAATCTAGGCCGGGCGCGGTGGCTCATCCTTGTAATCACAGCACTTTCAGAGGCTGAGGTGGGCGGATCTCAAGGTCAGGAGTCCAAGACCAGCCCGGCCAACATAGTGAAACCCGGTCTCTGTTTAAAATACAAAAATTAGCAGGGAATGGTGGCACTTGCCTGTAGTCAGTCCCAGGTATTTGGGAAGCTGAGGCAGGAGATTCACTTGAACCCAGAAGGTGGAGGCTGCAGTGAGCCAAGATCACGCTACTGCACTCCAACCTGGCAACAGAGTGAGACTCTGTCTCAAAAAAAAAAAAATTAATAAAACGATGATCTAATGCTGCACCATCCAATAAAGTAGCCACTAGCCAATGTGGCTACTGAGTGCTTGAAATGTGGATAGACCAAATGGAAATGTCCTGTAACTGTAAAATAGACACCAGATTTTAAAGACGTTGTACCACAAAAAGACGTAAAATAATATGTAAGCAGTTTTTCTAAATGTGGCTACTAGAAAATTTAAAATTACAGATATGGCTTACTTTACATTTTCATTGGACAGATCTGATACAATTTTACAGAAGTGAAAAGAAATAAACTTGACCTTACCTGGATAACATCTCATTTTCCTGCTTGTATGCAAAAAGCGTTTTTCTTCTCAACAGATGTTCCTTGAGTTTTTGTCTTCTTTGCTCTAGATAACAAAGGTAAGAGCTACAAGTCAATATTAGTTAAAACATCGATAACGGCAAATAAATCTTGTTGACTAAATGAAGAGTTTACTTCCAAAGCTGGTTCCACCTGAGGTCACATCTATATAACAGAAAATTCTCCAATTCAATATTGCCTTTGAGAAATCACCTTAGAAGAGACTGTTACCACAACAGGTCCCCAAAACCCCTCTGCATAAGAATCACATTCTCTACTCCCTGTGAAAAATCTGGAGAACATCATTTTCTACATACAGCTCCTGCTAGCCAAGCTTTAAGAAACTAAATGGTAGAAGTGAGGCACTAGACTCGAAAGTTCTAATTTACCAGAACTGGGTTAGATGAGAATTACTTTCTTCTGCTTTCCCGTGTGTAGAATAAGGGAATAACAATATTAGTTTTGAAGACCCAACCAACCCTCGGTTTCCATAAAGTCGAAGGAGAAGCTGTGAAATTGGAAATAACACATGATGCGACCCCAGCCCTGCAGAAATTCGCTAGGGACCTAAGAGGCGGAGGACCCAGCGCAGGCGCAGTCGGTCCCTGAACCTGTGCAGCCCCGCCCCCAAGCGGACCCAGGGTCTCCGACACCGACCCCGGCCTGAGGCCCGCGCGTTTCCCCTCGCCTAACGGATTCCTTCTTAGGAGGGCCCATCCCAGCCAGCAGCGACCGCACAGTAACACCACGCAGCGGTTCCTGTTTTTATGATCCGTTCCACAAGGCCAAGAATGAGGCAGGGCGAGGCCGACGCCGCGTTCAGGGATCTCACAGAGCGGGGGAGAGGTGAAGCGCGCCAGCGCGGCCCCGAGCCCCGACCGCCGGGCCCGCGCCCGCCACCGCCACCGCCACCGCCACCGCCACCGCCACCGCGGCCTTCACCTTTGAATGCGGACTGCGCCCTCTGACTCGGGGGCAGCTGCAGGTCCTGGGGCACGGCCGGTGTGCTCATCGTAGCCTCGGGTCGGGGGATGCGTCTCCGCTTTAGCGCCAAGATAGAACTTCCTCAGACCACCGCCGCCGCAGTCTGCACCGCGGCTAAGCCGTCAGACGGCGCGGCTGCCGTCTCCGCCCATTGGTTCCTGCGTGAATTGAATAAGCCAATGGGCGTAGGGAGGCGGAGCCTGGACTGCAGTTGCCGGGGCCGGTCTGGTGTCTGCCCAGTTCGGTTGGGACTGAGTCTGCAGGTTTCAAACCTAAACAGCGCTCTTCATCCTGGACGTGCGATGGGGGAGGAGTCGGCCTGCTCAGTCCCCACGACATAGCAGGACTAGGTTGACAAACAACCGAGATGGGACACATCTTGAGACCCTCACAGTCCTTGGAGGAAGGCAGACGAGAAAAAGACAAGAAAAGTGTTGATTGGCTGCCCTTCTTATTAAACATCGACGCGTTCACTGACGAGGACGTAAACACCGATCTGGCGTACCACGAGCGTGTGTATTTTCGTTTCACAAATACTGCTTCATTTTGAGCATCAATTCTGAGGTGGGACGTTATCACCACTTTTTCCACTGAGAGGTGACAGGTTCAGAGGTTGTTTGTCCACGTTTGCACAGCGTGTGAAGGGGAACTGAAATTGGGATCTACTTTCCATACCTTTATTCTAAGCAATTATCAAATGCAAAAAAGGGAGGAGAGGAGGAGAAACAGAAAAAAATGAAGATAAACCTCATCCCCTCCTCAAGGTTATATATAATTCTCCTTTGAAGATAAAATAGCATTTGTTACAGACGTTTTGTGTTTGTGTGGTTAAGTGTGCCGCCATAATCTTCGTTTTTCTCATCTAAAAATACCACCTTCATAAAACCCACACAAACACTCAATCCACATGACAGAACGAAACAAGTCAGGGCTAGAAGGTTTTAAGAGTGGCAGTGGGGAAGTGAGGGCGAGTCTGGACTGCACCTGCCTGGTTTCAAGCACTGGGTTTACATTTCTTGCCTGATCACTGCAGTAAGGCTGGACTGGACTCTTTCAGCCAGGTTTTAGGTGCTCCGGGCACACAGACGGGAGGATGTGATTTCCCCGTTTACCCTTCCCAGGTCTGAGGGCCTCCACAGCTGGCCCTCGGCTGTGGTCAGTTTTTCCCACTTCTGCCTGCTTTTTTCTTCAGACATCTTATGGTAGCGTCTTGCTAATGAGGAATTTGGTTTGAGATTTTGTGTAGTTTTTTACTTGATGAAATGTCCCAGTTTTAGTTTAACATTGTCCATCACCATCCTTAAGATATAACTTGCTGTTTAAATACGTCTGTCATTATTGTTGATTATTTACTAAAGTTTCATCAGACAGGTGGGGCAACCAGGGATTTCTATTAAGTGAGAACAAAATACAGCGTTAATAAGTGACTCAAAAACCTCCAAAACATTATGCTAAGTAAAAGAAGTAATATATGAAAAGTTACATATGGTATGATTCCATTTATATGAAAGATCTAAAATAGATACATCCATAGTGAAATAACTCAGAATAGTAGTTGCCAGAGGCTGAGGGTAGGGGGAGAATTGGGAGACAGTTTAATGGACAAGGGTTTCATTACCTTGAAGTAAGTGAAATGTTTTGGAATTAGAGGTAGTGGTTGGGTGACATTGTAAATGTATTAATGCCATTGAGTTGTTCACTTTAAAATGATTAATTTTATGTTATGTGAACCTCAATAATTTTTTATAAGTGGGCATGGTAAAAAAAGAAATTGACTCAAAGGATACCATGGAGATCTCAGTAGGCTGAGATGAATAGGAAAACCTGCCAAACTGCTAGGTTTTTCAAAATGGCAATTCTCCTCTAATCTCCAGACTCACCCACTCCAATGATATGTCTATTTTTGAGACACTTTTTAATATTACTGCTACACAATTATTGCAGAGAAAGCAGACCTTTTTCTAAAAGATCCAAAAAACAAACAAAAAAAACAAAACAAAAAAGATTTCCTTTCAGAACAGTTCTTTGCCAACACAGCTGACCATGAAACTGCAGGCACCTGGAGTACTGATGATTAATTAGTGTTAGTCGTTCCTCCTGTGGTCATGTGAAGAAGGTAAAGTGCCTGTGAGAGAACAGGGAAGGACAATCTGAAAGTTAGGAGGACAATGGGGACACAATGGGGTCACAAAGTCTGGGGAAGAGAGAAGCTGAAGAAAGAGGTAATGGACCACAGTGTTGGGCACTACAGAGGTCCAGTAGGATTGGGACTGAAAGGAACCATCTGATTCAGAAGGTGGGAGGTCCTGGCAAAAACATCCTGGGGATGGCTGGGCGTGGTGGCTCATGCCCGTAATCCCAGCACTTTGGGAGGCCAAGGCGGGTGGATCACCTGAGGTCAGGAGTTCAAGACCAGCTTTGCCAACATGGTGAAACCCTGTCTCTACAAAATATACAAAAGTTAGCCAGGCGTGGTGGCAGGCACCTGTAATCCCAGCTACTCGGGAGGCTGAGGCAGGAGAATCGCTTGAACCCAGGAGTCAGTGGTTGCAGTGAGCCGAGATTGTGCCATTGCACTCCAGCCTGGGCGGCAGAGTGAGACTCTGTCTCAAAAAAAAAAAGCATAGACCTAAATGTAAGAACCAAAACTATGAAGCTTCTAGAAGAAATTATAGGAGAAAATCTTAGTGACTTTGTGTTAGGCAAAGATTTCATAATCAGTATCAATATCTGGTTTGTGGAAAAAAGATTTCTTAAATAGGCAAATTCCATGAACTATGAAAGAAAAAAATACACTGAACTTCATAAAAATTAAAACCTTTTGTCTATTCATTTATTGCCATATATAAGCCACATGACGTTTCTCCTTGCTCCAGCCTGGATACAGGAAACCCTTATACGGTTGTCTATCCCAGCAGCTATCATATGCCAGGCTTCTATTTGTGTCCTACAGACTGTACATCCCTCAAGGGCAGAAAACATACCTTGCAAATGTCCTCACTGCCTAACATGTTGATAATTGCAAAGCCCAGGCATAACTGCACAGTTCCACATCTGATTAGGATGCTTAGGTCACATTACTTTCAATTAAAAAAGACTAAAAAGTTGGTAAACAATCAAATGCTCAAAAATCAGGCAATGATGGTAAATTGTGATATATATTGATAGCATATTACAGCAAATCAAATGTTTTCAAAGAACTTTTGGTTATTGGGTATATGGTCATGATGGAAATTGAAAGATATGAAATACAGAAGACACTGTTTAGAAATAGACCAAAATACACACAGGATTTTGGAACACGGTAAAAGTAGCAATTCATTTCGGGGGAGAGATGGCTTATACTCATTGGAAAGAGCCTTTCCTTTCTTTTAATGCCTAGCCACAGACCACTGACTCCACGACTGGGGGAAATGTGGAGCCCTGGGGGCAGAGAGCAAGCCTGCCCTCTGTCCCTCTGCCCCTGTGCCCCTCTGCCCACGTGGGCACGCAGCCTTAGTTAAGACCCCAATAAGTGGTAGGCTCTCTAAAATGTGTTCACAACCTTTAAAGCAGTCATTCTATTTTAGGAAGACACTGTAAGAAAATAATCCTAAAGAGAAAAATATGTATCAATTGTAGAAGGACATCTATAAGCTGCTCCATTTATTTATTTATTTATTATTTATTATTATTATTTTTGAAGCAGAGTCTCGTTCTGTCGCTCAGACTGGAGTGCAATGGTGCGATCTCGGCTCACTGCAACCTCTACCTCCAGGGTTCAAGCGATTCTCTTGCCTCAGCTTCCCGAGTAGCTGGGATTACAGGCACCCGCCACCACGCCGGGCTAATTTTTTGTATTTTTAGTAGAGACAGGGTTTCTCTATGTTAGCCAGGCTGGTCTCGAACTCCTGACTTGTGATCCGCCCGCCTTGTCCTCCCAAAGTGCTGGGATTACAAACGTGAGCCACCGCGCCCGGCCAGGTGTTCCATTTATAAAGCAAAATACAAAAATGAAATGGCTAGGGGCACGAGGCCGCCTGGTGGGTGAGAGCAGCGGCCATGGATGGCTTTGCGCAGACCAACAAACAGCTAAATTATAGAGGAACTACATATTGAAATGTAAATTCACGCATGAGGTCTGTATTAATATTGAAAATGCCTAAATAAAAATAATCTTTTTTTTCTGAGCCTGGGGGTGGGGGAGTGGAGTGGCGTGGGGGAGTTGGGGTGGAGGGGGAAAGGGTCTTTCTATGTCGCCCACTGGTGTCAAACTCCTGGGTTCAAGCAATCCTCCCGCCTCAGCTTCGGAAGCAGCTGGGAATACAGGCGCGCGCATCAAGCCCGGTTAAATAAAATCTGTTTCCCCCAGTTAAAAAAAAATTAATTTGTGTGGGTACATAGGTGTATATATTTCTGGGGTATATGGGATATTTTGATACAGGCATACACTGTATAATAATCACATCAGGGTAAATGAGGTATCCGTTACCTCAAGCATTTATCCTTTGTGTTACAATATAATCTTAAAGGGAAAAAAAGAGCAGCACAGGTAGTACTGACTGCAGCTGTACAGAAACAATGCGTGCCATAAATATTCATTTGAAAGAGAGGGGTTATGATTATTTACAATCATTAGCGAATGTAGCAACATTCTGGGCACTGACAAGAAAACTGCCACAAACATGCAGGCATAATGCACAATAAGCAAGTCCAAGCTGTGGTCGGGGCTCCCTCGCGTCCCTGTAAGCTCTGAATTTAGAATGGGGTGGACCGCCTGCTGATCAAGGGTTCTGAAAGGCCGGCGGCTAATGGACCGCCAGGGGGCGCTCCACGCACGTCTCCACGTCCCCGGGCGCACCTCGCAGCCGCGCCCGCTCGCTGCCAGGCCGCTCCCTCCGTCCCTCACCCGCCCCGACTCGCTTCCGTCCCGTCCGACGCTAGGGGGCGCCGCAGGCTGCCTGGCGCGCTGCTCGCGGCCTCGGAGGGCCGGGGCTGGGTGGCAGCGGCCATGGACCGCTTCGTTTGGACCAGCGGCCTCCTGGAGATCAACGAGACCCTGGTGATCCAGCAGCGCGGGGTGCGAATCTACGATGGCGAGGAGAAGGTAGGGCGTCTGCCAACCTTCCCAACGGGCTGGCGGAAGGGACCCCCGGTGGGCGCGCGGCCCGGCTCAGCGCGGCCCGGGTCGGCGCGGCCCGGTCCCCGGCTTAGCTCACGGCCCTCGGCGGCCCGGCAGGCCTCTGTGCGGGGTGCAGCGCTCTTGCGCTCCCCGCCGGTCGGTAGCACGTGGCGTGGGGCGCTCGGCTGCCTCCCCAGCGCGGGTCCCAACTTTGGCACGGTTCCCAGCAGGCGCGGATCGCGGCCGCTTCCCTCCGCCCGGAATGCTTCCGGGAGCGCACAGCTGCAGTGCCCGGGAGAAGGAGCGCTCGCCGTCTGCGGGCGCCGGGCGGCGATCCGGCAGTCGACTTCCTTGGCGTGGTTCCAGACCCCCTGACGACACCAACCTCGGCGTCGGCACCGGACAGCCCCGTTTCGCCTTTCTGTGAGGAGGGCGCGGTGGCCGTACAGTCCGTGCCCCAGCGGAAGCTTTAGCTTGGACCTTATGCAGTCGGAGGGATTAGCATATCTGGGCAGAGGGGTGAGGGATTGCTTCGAAAGGATTTCCTAAAGAGGTATCAGTGCTTCATTGGAATGCCCTTGCCAAAGGCTATTGGGTTTTTGTTTTGTTTTCTAATTGCTTTAGAAAGGCGTTCTGAGCGTGTTTTGTAAAGTGTTATATTAATAGTAGACCGTGCCTTGTAGTGCAAGCATAAATCTTAGAAGGTGCGTTTGCAAATCGAGAGGAGAAATAGGAAGTGTAAGTAAATATTTTGTAGATACTTTACTGAAACTATGAAATATCTTGTCCTGGATTGAAATGGATAAACTGGAATTAGAAAAATTTTAAAACTCATTTACCCACAAGCATTTTTGGTTTCCAGAAGTTTTAATTTGCTACCTCTCTTCCCTTGCCGTTTTATTAACGACACTTTCCGCTGTACTTTGATATAAGTTCCTCAACTCAGCTTTTCCTGGTAAGTGCTTACAGCTATTTAGAGGCACAGGTGACATTGGACCCAGGTCCTCTGACTCTCTTAGGGCATTTTCTATGGGCTGTGTTGCCTGTATTAGTGAGTAAAGGTCTTTTCCTTAAATAATTTGCTTGGACCTAACTTCACTTACTGCCTTAGCACTTCTTAATTTAATTAATTAATTTATTTATTTTGAGACAGAGTCTCGCTCTATCGCCAGGCTGGAGTGCAGTGGCGCGATCTGGGCTCACTGCAACCTCCGCCTCCCAGATTCAAGATCCTGCCTCAGCCTCCTGAGTAACTGGGATTACAGGCGCCTGCAACCATGCCCGGCTAATTTTTGCATATTTAGTAGAGACGGGGTTTCACCACATTGGCCAGGCTGGTCTCTAACTCCTGACCTCAAATGATCCGCCCGCCTGGGCCTCCCAAACAGCTGGGATTACAGGCTCTTGAGCCACTGTGCCCAGCCTGCCTTGGCACTTTAACTATCTTGATCTCAAGATGAGTCTTCCATCCCCGGATTGGAGTGACAAGCTATTTTTTTCTCCTTTCTTACCAATTTACATCTTTGTGACTATTTAAAATGGGAAGGTTAATCCACCTCCCCTTCCTCGGTGTTTTGATTTTGCCTCCCCTTTGAGAGGAACCGAATGTTGACAGTGTTAGATCTGTCCTCAGAGACTCCTCCAGTGCCACTCCCTGAGGGAGCACTAGGAAGTCATGCTTTTGCAGAGCATGGCATGATACTGTTCTATGGAACTCCAATTTGAAGACTAGGAACACCTTTGCTGGCAGGCAGTATAGCTGTGATAGATTTAAAACAGTGTAAAATAACAACCATTAGTAGTTTTATATGAAAGATACATTGTTGAAGCAGCAAGTTTTAATTTTTACTTTAAAATTTTTGCTGCTTGTATTAGCAGACAAGTATATAGATGTCAGAGGTTTAAGAAACAAATCATGGGGAAAACATTGCTTTAGACCCTGTGATCTAGTCCAGAATTAACTCTTCTAAAAGCTTGAAATTGGAGTGGAGCTCTAAGAGGAGTCTCCTTACCACTGTGCCCCAAAGCTGGACTTAGTGACTTGCTGAGCTGCCTTGCAGCTATGCGGTCCCTAGGCTGAATGGGGCACAGGCTGACTCCTGGGGGAAGGTGCGGTATCCTGGCTTCCTTCATCTTTTGGAAGGTTTCCAGACCTCCTGTGGTGCTAGAGACTTTACAAGGTTACACACATTAGCCCCCAAATCTGGTGAAATTAGTCTCCCTTTTAGGATGCCTCACTGGCTCCTTTGGCCTAGGGACTGCAGTCCAGATTGCTTAATATTCATAGTTTTGCATCCCAACCCATTCCCTGGGCAAGCATGTGCATGGCTGTCTTCTAGACTAGTCTGATGTTTCTGGAGCACAGAAGGTGTGCCTTGCTCATCCTTGTATCTCCTAGCTGGTTGTGGGTGTGAAACACATTTTTTTTAAACCCGAATAATTAAAGTACTATGAGCCAAGAGCTGTATATATCATCTCATTTAATCCTCTCATCAGAATATGAGGTATTTTACTGAATGAGAAAGTAACGCCAAGAGATACAGTGACTTGCCTAAGATCCACAGAGAGAAGATTTAAATCTCTGTTGATCAGACTCAAAGCCTGTGCTTTGTTCATGGAGCTACAGTGAGCCGAGATTGTGCCACTGCACTCCAGCCTAGGCAACAGAGCGAGATTCTGTCTCAAAAAAAAAAAAAAATGACTTCATAATGTAGCAGTCACCGGTGTCACCCTTGATATAATGTTTAATACAGCTAATCTTCCCAAAGATGGGGAACTGAGACCCCACAGGTGATAGCTGAGAAAACTGTGAGCTGTCTAAGGTCACACAACTAGTAACTGGTAGAGCTAGAATTGCAAACCAGATCCAATGGACTGCTCTTCCCACGCCCAAGTGCCTCTTATGAATACATGCAGACTCGCTTGTTTATACAGGCACAGTTTTCATGGGCTCATTATGACTAGATAATGTGTTACTTTCATAAGCAGTGTAGACAGGTCATTTGTTTGACTTCACAGACACTTCTGTAGCCTCAGCCAATTTAAAAAATAATGTAAGGTTAGTAATGTGTAAAGTGGCAAGTTGGCAGCATATATCAGAAGATTTAGAAAATTGTTTATTCTTTTTCAGCTAACTCACTTTTAGGAATTTACCCTTGGGAAATAATCAGAAATGCATAAAAATATTACATATGAGAATGCTCATCTCAGCATTATTATGTATTACATATAATATTATTATATATGGAAAAATTGGAAGCAATCTGAATGTCCACCATAGGGATTGGTTAATTAAATTATGGCATGGGGCCAGGCGTGGTGGCTCATGCCTGTAATCCCAGCACTTTGAGAGGCTGAGGCGGGTAGATCCTCTGAGGTCAGGAGTTTAAGACCAGCCTGGCCAACATGGTAAAACCCCGTCTCTACTAAAAATACAAAAAATTAGCTGGGCGTGGTGGCGGGTGCCTGTAATCCCAGCTACTTGGGAGGCTGAGGCAGGAGAATGGCTTGAACCCGGATGGCAGAGGTTGCTGTGAGCCCAGATCGCACCATCGCACTCCAGCCTGGGCAACAAGAAACTCCATCTCAAAAAAAAAAAAAAAAATTATGGCATGCCCTAATTAGCATGAGGAATTGCCAATGATAGGCTGCTAACTATATTTTCTAACTATACTATTAATAATAGTTATAAACCTATCATTCTATTTAAAGGTTATATATGTATACATAAACATCTGTGTATATATACATACACACTCTGGCTGGTATGAGTTATTATTTCATTTTCTTTTTCAGGCTCTAAATATTTTCGAGATTTTCAACACTGAACATGTATGACTTTTATAACAGAAAAAATGTAAATTAAAAAAAAAAGCAGGTTAAGAACTTTTCAGTGAGTGCTGAAGTTAGATCAATTTTTAAGCAGTTAAAATTATTCTAGGTTCTGAGTGGTGTAAGCAAACCAGCCTAAACTTGACTATCAGGTTTAGATCTTAATCCACTGGAATCCTGAAAGGGAACTGTTACACAATTTCTTCACTTAGAGCAGCAACATTTTACATTTGCACATTGTTAATTGAGGTAGCAGTGGAACATAGGCTGGCTCCAGCCTTAAATTAACATGTATGTGCTTGGATTTCAGTAAGATAACATACGAAGTTTCTTAATCAGAACTATATGTTCTATAATGCAGCATTATGTACTTTTTTTTTTTTTTTTCAGACGGAATCTCGCTCTGTTGCTCAGTCTGGAGTGCGGTGGTGCGATCTTGGCTCACCGCAACCTCTGCTTCCCGGGTTCAAGCGTTTCTCCTACCTCAGCCTCCCCAGTAGCTGGGATTACAGGCGCCCGCCACCACGCCCGGCAATTTTTTTTTTTATTTTTTATTTTTTATTTTTAGTAGAGACGGGGTTTCACCATGTTGGTCAGGCTGGTCTTGAACTCCTGACCTCTTGATCTGCCTGCCTCGGCCTCCCAAAGTGCTGGGATTACAGGCGTGAGCCAAGGTGCCCGGCCTTTTTTTTTTTTTTTTTTTTTTTTTTTTTGAGATAGAGTCTTTCTCTGTCGCCCAGGCTGGAGTGCAGTGGCGCGATCTCCGCTCACTGCAAGCTCCGCCTCCCGGGTTCACGCCATTCTCCTGCCTCCGCCTCCCAAGTAGCTGGGACTACAGGCACCCGCTACCACACCCGGCTATTTTTTTTTTGTATTTTTAGTAGAGACGGGGTTTCACCGTGTTAGTCAGGATGGTCTTGATCTCCTGACCTCGTGATCCGCCCGCCTAGGCCTCCCAAAGTGCTGGGATTACAGGCGTGAGCCACTGCGCCCGGCCTTTTTTTTTTTTTTTTTGAGACGGAGTCTCCCTCTGTCACCCAGGCTGGAGTGCAATGGCACGATCTCAGCTCTCTGCAAGCTCCACCTCCCGAGTTCACGCCATTCTCCTGCCTCAGCCTCCGGAATAGCTGGGACTACAGGTGCCCGCCACCAAGCCTGGCTAATTTTTTGTATTTTTAGTAGAGACGGGGTTTCACCGTGTTAGTCAGGATGGTCTCGATCTCCTGACCTCGTGATCCGCCTTCCTCGGCCTCCCAAAGTGCTGGGATTACAGGCATGAGCCACCGCGCCCGGCCAGCATTATGTACTCTTAAGATAATTAAATATTTGCTTTTGGAGAAGGGAAATTTACTCATTGGCAAAGAAGAGATTTAAAAAATATTGTAAACTTAGTTATTTGGTTTTGCATAGATGAGATTAACCAAAATGTTTGAAGCCAGACTGAACTAAGTGCCAGAAGTACATATGTTTTATTTCTGATTCTGAGAAAAACATGGACTCATAAGGTCTATTCTCTGACATGTTGAAGTTTGTTGGTGGGACAATCTCTCATGAAGTGTATTTAGACTAGATGGTTCAGAAGGTCTGTTATCATTAAAGTTTACTAACCATATTATTTACTACTTAATGCTATTAATAATACAATCAGACCTTACTCTTAGAAAACAGTTTTTTAAAATGTATGTCAAGAAGTGTGTTATTTATTATGCAAGGACTTTTTGACATATGTTCCTATGTGTGCTTGATTTAACAAAAAATGATTTATATATAGTTCAGAGTTACATGAAGTTATACATGCCTGTGATCGATTTTTTTATTTATTAGACATGTAACAAAGTTGTTAAATATGGATAGGCCAAAGGAGGAACTTGAAATAATCAATAATCCTACTACCCATAAGCAGTTACTTTTAGCGTATTCTGTGTGTGGAGTCATGCTATATATATTTTGAGACCTGCTTTTTTCTGTATTAATATCATAAGTCTCTTTATTATCAACCGCATAAATAATTTATTGTTTAAGAATGATATATAGTAATGCTCCAATTTATTTACTTTTCATATATATATGTGTGTGTGTATATATATGTGTATATATACATATATATGTATATGTATTTATATATAAATATATATATTTTTATACATATATATGTATATGTATTTATATAAAAATGTATATATATGTATTTTTTAAACGGAGTCTTGCTCTGTCACCCAGGCTGGAGTGCAGTGGCGCGATCTCGGCTCACTGCAAGCTCCGCCTCCCGGGTTCATGCCATTCTCCTGCCTCAGCCTCCCGAGTAGCTGGGACTACAGGCACCCGCCACCACACGTGGCTAATTTTTTGTATTTTTTAAAGTAGAGACGGGGTTTCACCATATTAGCCAGGATGGTCTCGATCTCCAGACCTCGTGATCCACCCGCCTTGGCCTCCCAAAGTGCTGGGATTATAGGCGTGAGCCATGGCACCCGGCCATATTTTTAACATATTATTTTAAACTCAAAACAATTCCAGTCTTATTTTAATAAACTGGACACTCACTAAAATGCTTTCCTTAGAATTTATGTTGTAAGGCTGCCTTATAAATGGGACTATCCTTGTAACTGTTTTTTGTTGTTGTTTTTCTTTTTTATTAGCTCAGACTTAGGATCAGATATAACTTTTAAAATAACTGGATATTCCTGGAAAGGACACAAGGAAGTCCTACCTTGTGGCAAATTCCACTTTCTGGTAACTCGAGTTAATAGCTTCCAATATATATCTTGCTTTTAACAGAAACACAGGGGTTTAATTTATTAATCTCTTGGGTTCCAACTCTAAAATTTGCTTATTTATGTAACTTTCAGGGCATAATAACAAGTAGTAAGGGTTAAAGTTTTGGTCCTGAAGACCCAGCTGGCATTTCTTTGTGATTGTATTGTAGTTTTGAAGAACATTTAAAAATTTATATTTTGAATAGGTGATACATACTCAAAGAGTATGTCCTAGTCAGCTCAGCTGCTAAAACAGAATAGCATAGCCTGGGTGGCTTAAACAACAGGCATTTATTTCTCATAGTTCTGGAGACTGGGAAGTCTAAGATCAAGGTGCTGGCAGATTTGGTTCTTGGTAAGGGCACTCTTCCTGGCTTGCAGATGGCCACCATTTCCCTGTGTACTTGCATGGTCTTTTGTCAGCACGTGTTCATGGAGAGGAAGCCCTCCTGTCTCTTCCTCTTCTTATAGGGATACTAGTCCCATCATGAGGGCCCCACCTCATGAACTTCTAAACCTAATCACTTCCCAAAGGCTCCATTGCCAAATACCATCGCATTGAGGGTTAGGGCTTCAACATATGAATTTGGGGGTTTTTGTTTAATGCTAATGGGTTTTATGCCTTCTTAGAAAGGTCTTCTCCCCTCAGATTATTTTAAAAATTATCTCATGATTTTTTTCGAGTGCTTTTATAATTTTTTTCGTTTTTTACTCAATTGTTTGATCCTTCTAGAATTCATTTTGGTGCATTGTATTAGGTATAAATCCAGATGTGTGGGTTTTTCTTTTTCCTACCTGGCAACCCAGTTGTCCCACTGCCATTGATTGAATCTCCATCCATATTTATTTTTGTATGTATTTGTGTCTATTCCTGGATTTTGTTTTCATTAAAAAATGTTATGAGTGTTATACATGAATTCAATTGCAAAGAAATTCAATCAGGGTAAAGTGTAGAGGTACAAAAGAGCTCTTTGCTTCCCTTCTACCCCTTTCCTCACACTTTTTCTGAGATAATGATTGTTAACAGATAATTGTGTTCCTTTTAGACCCCTTTCACTACTTGTGTGTCTGCAGACACACACATATACTGCATATGTAATATTATAAATTGCTGTAAATCACTTTCTTTCCCACTCATCCAATGTCTTAGAGTTCTATGGTAATCCATGCAGTTCTACCTCGTCATTTCTTTTTAACCTTTGCATGCATTGCAGAGTATGAATGTGTATCATACCTGGTTGTTGTTTGCATTTTTTTCTAATTCTGTCAAGACTATACAAATAGCTTATGAAGTATGTAGCATTGGTTCTCTTTAATTTGTGATAAGCCTATTCTAAAAGTAAAATGTTTGTTTATATGATTAATTTAGTGTGGTATAATTCATGAAGAAGAAAATCGGAACCACAATGAGTGATATGTTATTAATATTTTGTGATGCTCTTTCTTTCTAGATAAAATTTGATGCTGGGACTCTCCTTCTTAGTACACACCGACTGATTTGGAGAGATCAGAAAAATCATGTAAGATACAGTTTTTTGCATCTGTTGTAGGTTTTATTTTGTTTATTTATTTTTTAGAGACAGGGTCTCGCTGTATTGCCTAGGCTGATCTGTAACCTCTGGGCTCAAGTGATTCTCCTGGCCTCAACCTCCCGAGTAGCCGGGGCTACAGGAGTGAGCCACCATTGTAGGTTTTAAATCAACTGGAGCTTTTTCTTCTTTTTTCATTTCTAATAAAACTTATATAATGAATGCAATAATAAATTTTACTTTTCTGAATGACAAAAGAGTGTGTCCCATGTAATTTCTCTGAATGGAGTGCAAAAACAGGAGTTAGCGTGTCGTCCCTTATTCAGCTCCAGAAAAATCCATGTAGTTACTGGATGGAGAATCATGTTTTTTAAATACTAGTCAAATTCTACTCTATATCTAAATGTTCCATGTGTAACAGTGGAATAATTCCCCCATCAGTTGTGAGGGAGTCTTTACAAAGAGCTGGTATGTCCTTAAAACCACTGGTTGTCCTAGGTTGTTGAGAATCAGGAGGCTAGGCCTGCCATCAAGTGCATGCTTTTACCTAGATAATGAGATCTGTCTCTAAGTCACTCAGCAAGAGGAGTCCCCCACGCATCCCCCCCTTTTTTTTGAGATGGAGTCTCGCTCTTTCGCCCAGGCTGGAGTGCAGTGGCGCAATCTCGGCTCACTGCAACCTCCGCCTCCCAGGTTCAAGTGATCCTCCTGCCTCAGCCTCCTGAGTAGCTGGGATTACTGGTGCGTGCCACCACGCCCGGCTAATTTTTGCATTTTTTAGTAGAGACGGGGTTTAGCCAAGTTGTTCAGGCTGGTCTCTAACTCCTGACCTCGTGATCTGCCCACCTCGGCCTCCCAAAGTGCTGGGATCACAGTCGTGAGCCACCTTGCCCAACCTGTTTTTTGTCTTTTGTTTTTGGGAAGGAGGAGAATTATATGTATATAGAGCTGATATCTTTATTCCCAAGAGCTTCAACCTGAAAGTGTATATACATTAATCTCAGTGTTGCCAGTAAGATAGCTATCTCATCTGTTTTTATTTTCCTGATTGTTCCCCCAGACCCCTGTGAAATTTTAGTACCACAAATAAACTATATACTGTACTGTAGCACTTGAAGGGCTGCTAACCATTACAATATCTGACTTTTTTGTACCTGGGAACTAATTTTTGTCTCCTAGGTCTGATATTGCCCCTGTTGATAATGCATGCCTTAGAGCAGGGGTCCCCAACCCCCCAACCCCCAGTACTGGTCTGTGGCCTGTTAGGAACTGGGTCACATAGCAGGGATAAGTGACAGGTAAGCAAGCATTACCACCGGAGCTCCACCTCCCATCAGATCAGCAGACGCATTAGATTCTCATAGGAGCAGGAACCCTATTGTGAACTGTGCATGCAAGGGATCTAGGTCATGCCCTCCCTTTGAGAGTCTAATGCCTGATGGTCTGAAGTGGAACAGTTTCATCCTGAAACCACAACCCCTGCTCCCCAGGAAATACTGTCTTCCATGAAACTGGTCCCTGATACACAAAAGGTTGGGGACTGCTGCCTTAGACTGTTAATATTGTCTAATCCTTTTAAAAGTAATATATATTCAGAAAATAAATCTTTTTGGGGAGGATAGAGTGGATGTCCTTAAACCATATGTTGATAAGTTAATCTTAGTATAATTTTTTGATTATCATATAAAGAGGTCAATTTGGACAAATTTTAGACTTACTACATTGCTAGTCACATATAAAAATTAAACATAACTGTTTATATATGTTAAAAATTGGGCTAGGCGCAGTGGCTCATGCCTGTAATCCCAGCACGTTGGGAGGCTGAGGCGGGCGGATCACCTGATGTTGGGAGTTTGAGACCAGCCTGACCAACGTGGAGAAACCCTGTCTCTACTAAAAATACAAAATTAGCTAGGCATGGTGGCACATGCCTGTAATCCCAGCTACTCAGGAGGCTGAGGCAGGAAAATTGCTTGAACCTGGGAGGCAGAGGTTGTGATGAGCCAAGATTGCGCCATTGCACTCCAGCCTGGGCAAAAAGAGTGAAACTCAGTCTCAAAAAAATAAAAATTAAAAATTAAACATACTGGCTAGACACAGTGGCTCATGCCTGTAAATCCCAGTACTTTGGGAGGCCGAGGCAGGGGGGTCACTTGAGGTCAGGAGTTCGAGACTAGCCTCGCCAACATGGTGAAAGTCCTTCTCTCCTAAAAATACAAAAATGAGCCAGGCATGGTGGCTCACATCTATAATCCCAGCTACTTGGGAAGCTGAGGTGGGAGGATCACTTGAACCTGGGAGGTGGAGGTCGCAGTGAGCCTAGATTGTACTACTGCACTCCAGCTTGGGCAACAGAGCGAGACTCCATCTCAAAAAAAAAAAAAATTAAACATATGAATAAAGGGATACTACATCAATATTTTCTGTTTAAAACTGTTAATAATTGTATATGGGCATATGAGTGAAGTATGGAAAATTATAAAGAAGAGAAAGTCATCTACATAAATGCCCTCCTTAAAATTATCTTGATGTATCTGATTTGTTTTTTGCTTTCAGTGTAAGAAAATATTACGAGTAAAATGTTTTCATAGAAATATTACTCTTAGAAAATGCACCCATTGTGGCTGGGTGCGGTGGCTCACGCCTGTAATCCCAGCACTTTGGGAGGCCGAGCCAGGTGGACTACGAGGTCAGGAGATCGAGACCATCCTGGCTAACATGGTGAAACCCCGTCTCTACTAAAAATACAAAAAAATTAGCCGGACGTGGTGGCGGGCACCTGTAGTCCCAGCTACTCGGGAGGCTGAAGCAGGAGAATGGTGTTAACCCAGGAGGCAGAGCTTGCAGTGATCCGAGATCACGCCACTGCACTCCAGCCTGGGTGACAGAGTGAGACTCCGCCTCAAAAAAAAATAAATTAAAAAATAATAATAATAAAGAAAATACACCCATTGTAAAAACAAAAGCTAGTTACAGCTTCTTTTAAACTTCTTATGTTCTTCCATGCAGCCAAATGCCACCACATTACTGTTTTCATTTAATTTTTCCTTAAGTTCATTTAAGGAGTAAAATCATTATTGTTTTTCATTATTTTTATTATTAAGGCATATGGCACTGTAATGCTATAAAACAAGGATTTCTGACAAGTGTTATGGATGTTGTTTAGAGTCTTTCATTTAAGCTATTGATTTCCTCCTAGGAGTGTTGCATGGCCATTCTCCTTTCCCAAATTGTGTTCATTGAAGAACAGGCGGCTGGAATTGGGAAGAGGTAAGTCTGTGTATAGCACAGTCTTTATTCACAGAAAACATTTCCTGTTATGCTATTGGCCAAGAGGTCCTATCTTAGACTTGATGTACGAATCCATTCTTAAAGCATGAATAAAGCTAAGGTTTGCTGTAATATCCTTGTTTATTATACATGGGTCATAATAAAGAAATGTGGCCCAGTTATCATTGTCTTTCCGTAGACACTTTGCTTTCACATCCCTGTGTACCTGTCATTTCATACTTAAAATCGGAAATAACCTATTTGAGAAAAATAACTGACTTTGCTCCTGTTTCTAGCCTGATCATTAAGTTTGTTTCTCAAGTTTGACTTGTTCAGGTAGCAGAATTAAACAGCATATAATAATAGTTATTGTACAAAGCAGGACATTTATCAGAATAATAGGGGGTACAATGAACAATTAGACCAGGGTAACAGGGATACAATGGGACTATCCCAGGCACACCAGGAGATGAGGCCACTCTGGTATAAAGGCGTAAGTTCAAATGTTCCTGTTTATTCAAATGTACCGAAAACTTGGCTTTATATTTTAAGTGAATGTAATTGAGGAGACATGAACAAATATTATCGGCATGGGATATTTTTTTCCTATGTAGGCTTATCTTTAGGTTTAGCATAATTAGGCACTTCAGTAGAAGTTAAACAATGTTGAGCTTCACTGGACATGCAATGCATGCCTTGATCATAATGTTATGATTTACTGTAAAAGATTATTTATTTGATATAAAAGAAACTAACCAACGTTTTAAAAAGATTAATAAGCCATAGATTTTTTTTAAGCCATAGATTTTTAGGGTAGGTTGTTCTTATGATTTATATTTTCCCCTTATCAATTTTCTCCATTGTATTAAGTTCTAAAAAGTAAACTTTAAGGTTGTTCCAGGTTATCTGAATTTTCCTTTCCTGTGTTCCAAGGAAATCTAAACTAAAAAAAAAATTTAAAATATTTACCTTCACGTTAGTGTCTTATTTTTTAAACATGTCCAGTGAGGAGGACTTCAGTAATATGCCAAGTTACTTTTCAAGTATTCTCTTTAGTTCCCAGCCCCTCCCCTCAAACAGTTATATTTGCATTGATTTCAAGATGTGTACGTTTCACCTTTTAACATCTCTGAAGATGCTTTTTTTATTTCATAATTTTTTTTTTTTTGAGGCAGCGTCTTGCTTTGTTGCCCAGGCTGGAGTGCAGTGGCACTATCTTGGCTCACTGCAAGCTCCGCCTCCCAGGTTCACGCCATTCTCCTGCCTCAGCCTCCCGAGTAGCTGGGACTACAGGCGCCCACGACCATGCCCAGCTAATTTTTTGTATTTTTAGTAGAGACGGGGTTTCACCGTGTTAGCCAGGATGGTCTTGATCTCCTGACCTCATGATCCACCCGCCTCAGCCTCCCAAAGTGCTGGGATTACAGGCATGAGCCACCGCGCCCGGCTTTATTTCATAAATTTAAAATTTAATGAAGTATAGTAATTGGATGACTTGATAAAAGAATGTACACAAAACTTGGCATAGACTTTTTATGCTTACTGTGGAGCTTTTAAACTTTTTTCGATTATACTCATTAGTTTTTCATTGGGTGTCCTTTCACACAATCTGATAGTAGGGCTGAGCGTTTTTTTTTAGTTTCAGAGACTATGAAATGCTTTTGCTTAGTTATCTTAATTGTCATAGTTTTGTTGCTCTACTTGATGGTTTGTTTCAGACAGTTCTATGATTCTGCTCACATAGTTTATTTTCTCACTTCACTTAAAGAAGTTTACCACAAGGGAATAGGAGGAGTCCTTACAAGGCTGGCCCCACCCATTCACATTGAGGAGGCCCAATGCCTGGTGTTTCAATTTTACAGTGATCTTTAGGTAACCATATGGTTCCAAAAAAAGAAAAGTAAAATTGAGTGGTAGGTGTGTATCTATAGCATGATCAATAAAGAAAAAGCACTAAACTAGGTACCCGGGATACTTTGAGTTTTTTAGTTTCCCAAATCTTTATAGAAGATTGCTTATTGACTAGGTAGAAAAAAAAAAAAGGAGGAAAACAGACTTATTAAGCTGACCAAATATAGTGGTATTTTTAATAGCATAGAAGATTATGATAGTCATAAAGATAATGGTAGTTTGTGTTCTTAGAGCCACAGCATTTTGGGAATTGTTTTTGTTATTGGATATCTTTCTAGATCATGCTGTTGATTGAGTGGCATTTTCCAACAAATGATACTGTAGAATGTTAGTTTTGGATGGAATTTTAATAAAATATCAGCTGGCCATTTTTACAGATAAGTTTTCACATTTTGTTTTCAAATGAATAAGGGTGTATGCTTTGGCAGAAATTATAGGCCCCCTTATAACCTCTGGGGACGTTTGTAGTTGGAAAACCATAATCATAAACTCAAAATTTTGCAAATTTATTTTGACCTTATTTTCTAAAGTCACACTCTAATCTACAGAGCTAGTAACTTGAAGCTTTTTGGTTCATAGCTTTGGTTCAAGTTTTAAGTAGAGAGATTTTTGAAAGCTTCATTAATATTGAATTAATACACACTTTAAAAGGATGCTTTTTGGGATGTTTGTTTCTACATGAATTTTAAAAGTGATTTGAAATACATAAAAAGTTATAAAAGTAGAATTAGTTATATTTTTTTGAAAGACAATTCAATATATTACATTTGTTCTTTCTTCAGTGCCAAAATAGTGGTTCATCTTCACCCAGCTCCTCCTAACAAAGAACCTGGCCCATTCCAGAGTAGTAAGAACTCCTACATCAAACTCTCCTTCAAAGAACATGGCCAGATTGAGGTAAGTTTCTACATGAATAAAATCGTACTAGAAAGGTGTGTGTGTGTGTGTGTGTGTGTGTGTGTGTGTGTTGTGGCTTGTTAATATGATGGAAGGTAGTATTATACAACATACCAGATTTCACCATATTTTTACAATAAAATTTTTATTATATCTTAAGCCTTAGCAGTGAGTGGAGAATATGAAGTTTAGGTTTCAGTGGGAATGGGAAGCAGAGGTTGTGTTCCCAAGGAAGGAACAGAGGCTGGAAAATACACTAAGTCATGCCATTCGCCTGCTAGCAGAGTTTTCAGTGGTATAGTTTAGTTAAAGGAACAGAGTGTAAATGCAGTGGTATGTTGAACTATCTCAGTATCTGAAGGTTCCCCAGCTTTAAATCAGGCTGTCTGTCTTGATTAACTCCAGTTAATCTTAATCACTTAAGTACTTATTCTGCAGTATAATAGTTTGTATGTTCTGAATAAGTTGCTGTACAAGAATTCTTAAGATAATTAGAAGTGCGTATTTATTCTCCCCATCAATATCATAAATTATTATTAATTTTTTTCTATATCACCTCACCCAGTGCTCCTGACAAGTGATCACTAAGCAGATATAAGTGATTGACTAAAGTTTTTCTCATTGAAGTTGAAAAATATATTTGATTATTTGTGAGCATAGGTATGTTTTGGTCCTACTTTTTGGTTTTATATTTTAACTAGACAAATGATTCTCTGCTTCCTTCATGGAGAATGGTTGTATATTTTTCCTGGCACTGTGTTTGTTTCATTATAGATCGAAAACAATCCACATACACAGGATTGTTTAAAGTAAGTCTATTGATTTCATTGTCACTCATCTCTTTGTTGAGAATAGCCCACTTTATATAGAAGGTCAGTTCCTTCTCTTTTTTTTTTTCCCTTGTGCTTTCTGAAGCTGATCCAAGAAAAGAACTTCCTTTGATTTTCTTTGATGTCTCTGAGAATTCTGGGCTTGCTGCAAATGACTGAACAGACTTTTATACTGAAGAAATGTTAAGTGGCCGGGCGCGGTGGCTCACACCTATAATCCCAGCACTTTGGGAGGCTGAGGCGGGCAGATCACCTGAGGTCGAGAGTTCAAGACCAGCCTGACCAATATGGAGAAACCCCATCTCTACTAAAAATACAAAATTAGCTGGGTGTGGTGGCACATGCCTGTAATCCCAGCTACTTGGGAGGCTGAGGCAGGAGAATCACTTGAATCGGGGAGGCGGAAGTTGTGGTGAGCCTAGATCACGCCATTGCACTCCAGCCTGGGCAACAAGAACAAAACTCCACCTCAAAAAAAAAAAAAAAAAGAAAAAAAGAAAGAAATGTTAAGTAATGATTTATACAAGGATGTTACAATCTGACTGAGTCATTTAAAGTGTATTTATTTGCGTATCAGTTTTACAGGCGTTTATCAGAGGAAATGACACAAAGAAGATGGGAGAATATGCCAGTTTCCCAGTCATTACAAACAAATAGAGGACCCCAGGTATTTTTAAAACTATTTGCTAATCCAGTATTTTCAACTCTGTACTTACATCTTCATTAAGAAAAAGACTCTGTGATTGTAGAACTTGCCCAAAACAAAATACTGCAATGGTATTCTTATAAAGAATTTATTTTCGGTAGGGCGCGGTGGCTCACGCCTGTAATCCCACTACTTTGGGAGGCCAAGGCGGGGTGGATCATGAGGTCAGGAGTTCAAGACCAGCCTGGCCAACATTGTGAAACCCTGTCTCTACTAAAAATACAAAAATTAGCCAGGCAGGTTGGTGCACGCCTGTAATCCCAGCTGCTCAGAAGGCTGAGGCAGGAGAGTCACCTGAACCCAGGAGGCGGAGGTTGCTGTGAGCCAAGATTGCACCATTGCACTTCAGCCTGGGCGACAGAGCAAGACTCCGTCTCAAAAAAAGAAAAAAAAAATTATTTTCACAGCACCTAATTTAGTGCTGTCTATACAGCAGACGCTTAGTAAACATAAATGACTGCTTACCAGCGTAATTCTTAGGGTGATAGAAGGTAGGGTTCACTCACTGCATTCTGTTCTTCATAATCAGTGTGACATTTGAGAGAATAGACAGTACAGCTGGGTAATGTTTTCCAGGCCTGTCTAAATTAATCACCAACACTAGACAGGTACTCAAATGTATGAAAGTAGCTTGAATAATAACTTAATTAAGAACCAAAATTTAAACTGTGATTTTTTTTGTACATTTGAGACCCTATTAAGTATCTGATACGTAATAGCTTGCCAAAGAAGGAAAATGATAGGAAATTTAACTTATCTCTAAAATGCAGAGTAAAATATGCCATTTATTGTATATTTGGTTTTTCCTGAATGATTTTAAGATCATTATGTACAGCAAGAAACAAACACATGTTTTGAAGGGAAGCTAAATGTCCGTGTATGCTGTTTTTCTTTGGTTCTTTGTAGGTCCTTTCCCGCCATTGAAAACACAATGTGGTTGGTTACAAAAGATTTTGTTTCCTTCCTATTTTGTATGTTTTATTTTCTACCTCTTTTTTTTTTCAGCCAGGAAGAATAAGGGCTGTAGGAATTGTAGGTATTGAAAGGAAACTGGAAGAAAAAAGAAAAGAAACTGACAAAAACATTTCTGAGGTAACTGTTAAATTCTGGCTCTCCATCTATTCCAGCCATTTGTGTCTATTCTTTTAGATACAGCTGTGCCTAATTCCCTTCTGTAATTTAGAATATATTTCATTTGCCTGAAGCTACATAGTCTCCTATTCTCTTTAACAGGTCTACCTCGGGCTGGCAAAATCTAACCAAAACCTTTTTCTAAAAGGAATAAAAAAGAAATGCAAATTTGTTTGCTGTTAGAAAACATCATAAAATGTTGTGTGTAGATTTTACAGTCTAGATGAAATTGATTGGCGGATACTCCTAATGAGTTCAGGGTTCTCTGTATAATTATTTTGGAAGTTGAAGTAACTTAGTTGAGAGAAAAATGCTATTCTGTGGCCAGTCTGTGGCCAGATACCACACCATTTTATGTTGATGACCACCCAGGGATCAGACCAGACATCAGTAAGAACGGCTCAAAGCAGCCCATCACTTCTACTGGGGGACAACCCTGAGCATGTACATTCCAGTGTTTCTGAGGCTTCATGATATATGAGGAAATTCAAGAGAAGGGGAAAGAACTCTAGCTAAAAAGACCAGTTATGCATTAGATTCTGTAATTAGTTAATACAGCTAAACATATCACTGGTTTTTCCATGTTTATATAAAAATGGTCTTGGTTTTTTATGAAATGATGCTTTAAAGTAAATCTTTGGTTTTTATAGTAATTCATAAGTAAAATTCTGTTGATGGTTGCTTTTCAGAGAATTTCAAAGATTTATGTCAATCAAGTAAAGTCTAAAACTACAAATAGTTATTTAAATACTTATTTTGGGCTCACTAATTGAAAATATAGATTACTGTTGGGGAACCAAGGGCATTTGACCTATTAAGTGCCCATAGTAGGTTTTTCTGGATATGTATCTGTGGTGAAGTTGTATATTTTCCTCAACCCTGTATTTTCCCCAAATTGGCAGCTGGATCCAGAATCTCTGTCACACTCATGTTCTGTCCGTTTGGCAAAACTAGAGGTGATGCTGTGTTCTTTCGTCAGAGGCACATCTTATCTCTGTCATGTTAGCAGCTGTTAATATTCAGTGCCTAGATCTATTAGTTCATTGGTGGTGGTAAATAGTGATAATTCTGTGTTTATTTTTCATTTATTAGTTGGAATACTTTTTAAAGAAATGTTTCCCTTATCTACTATTTGGTTGTCCAGTTCATATAGGAAAGGCAGGATAATTGCATTTTCCTTTATCATCAGGGTAATAAATTGTTTCCTTATTATCTTTTGACGATGACTAATTAGGTTTGTTTGTTTTTTTGTTTTGTTTTGTTTTGTTTTTTGAGACAGAGTCTTGCTCTGTCGCCCAGGCTGGAGTGCAGTGGCTCGATCCTGGCTCACTGCAAGCTCTGCCTCCCAGGTTCACGCCATTCTCCTGCCTCAGCCTCCCGAGTAGCTGGGCCTATAGGCGCCCGCCACCAAACCTGGCTAATTTTTTGTATTTTTAGTAGAGACGGGGTTTCACCATGTTAGACAGGATGGTCTTAATCTTCTGACCTCGTGATCCGCCGCCGCGGCCTCTCAAAGTGATGGGATTACAGGCATGTGCCACCGCGCCCAGCCAACTAATTAGGTTTTTTTTAACATGTCATTATGAATTCATGGAGTTTAGCATATTTGATGGATTTCAATCAGTTATAATTATTATCCTATTTGAAGCTCAAATTGTCCCATCTTTGGCCAGTGGGAGCTGCTTCAAGTTGGCCCTCTAAGTGCTTTTGTTGTGACTAGGTGAACTTTGCTAGCTTCTTCACTATCTGGTGTTGCAAAAGCTCCAGGACCATCTTGTACATTTCCTGCCTCAGATCCGGAATCAACCATTTATCTGAGAAACTCTGGTTTCTTTCTTTCTTTTTTTTTTTTTTTTTTTTGAGACAGAGTCTTACTCTGTCGCTTAGGCTGGAGTGCAGTGCCGCTATTTTGGCTCACTGCAACCTCTGCTTCCCGGATTCAAGCGATTCTCCTGCCTTAGCCTCCCGAGTAGCTGGGATTACAGGCGCGCACCACTGTGCCCAGCTAATTTTTGTATTTTTAGTAGAGACGGGGTTTCACCATGTTGGTCAGGCTGCTCTCGAACTCCTGACCTCGTGAACCGCCTGCCTCGGCCTCCCAAAGTGCTAGGATTACAGGCATGAGCCACCGCGCCCAGACCGCTCTGGTTTCTTTTAGTGGGAAATGATATTTCAGAACCACAATCTGCCTGCTAGTAATATTCATCAGTATTGGGTTGATCTTTGTTTCTAGGCTTTTTCAATGGACAGAGCTAGAATTTTGTTGTTGTTAATATAAAGTGCCTAACAAGAGCGTACTTATCTTTTCTATTCAAATTTAAGATGACACTACCAGATAATTACTAAAGCAGTTGAAAAAAAATTTTATGTGTTTTCCCCATTCTTTGTACATTTGAAAAATAGGTGCACTGTGTTTACGCTGTCTGAGCATACAGCCACTACATACACTCTCTGCCTCAGCTCCAGCTCTCATTGACTCTTAGTTTTATAAGTACCTCCATGTTTAGTACCACTAGTCCTTATGCTGAGCTCTCTGTGGTCGCTTTGGTTGTCTGAAGCCTCATTCTGTAGTAGATTTTTAAGGAAATGATCATAGGAACAATATTCCCTGTATCTGCCATGTTTGTCTTCCTTATACATGAAGGTCAGTTTTCTTGGATTTAAAATCCTCAGCTCACATTTTCTTTCTTTGAGTGCCTTCATTATATTACTTTCTTTCTTTTTTTTTTGGTCTGGCATGAAGTGTTGCTATCAAAGAGTGATGATAATTTTATTTTTTCCCCTTAAAAGACACTTGCTGTTTTTCCTAGATGGGCAAAGGATTTTTAAATTTTACTTTAAAGCCCAGTAATTTTACTAGAATGTGTCTGTGTATTAGTCATTCTGAGTTGTTATTCTTAGGTGCGTGCTGTGCTTTTTCAGTATATAGTTTCAGGAATTTTTTAATTTCAGGGAAATTTTTCTGCATTATAACTTACTTTTTTTTTTTTTGAGATGGAGTCTTGCTCTGTTGCCCACGCTGGAGTGCAGTGGCGCAATCTTGGCTCACTGCAACCTCTGCCTCCCGGGTTCAAGCAATTCTCCTGCCTCAGCCTCCCAAGTAGCTGGGACTACAGGTGCGTGCCACCACACCCAGCTAATTTTTTATATTTTTAGTAGAGATGGGGTTTCACCATATTGGCAAGGCTGGTCTCGAACTCCTGACCTCGTGATCCGGTCGCCTCAGCCTCCCAAAGTGCTGGGATTACAGGCGTGAGTCACTGTGCCCAGCCTGTAATTTTCAATAATTGCTTTGATTTTTTTTCTTCTGGGACTCCTATTAGCTGTATGTTGCAGTTTCACTGCCTTTCTTCACAATTTGTGACTCTAATGCTTTTCATTTCTTTCCTCATTTCTTTTTTATTTAGAAAGTTTTCCTCTTTTTCACCTCTTTGAAGGTTTCATCTGTTGTGTTTATTCACTAATGTCTAGTGTAGACTTTATTTCTGAAATGATTTTTTTCTTTTATTTTTAATTCTTTCCTGAGTCCTGTCACCTATTTCTGATTTATATTGACCCTTCATAGCTTGTATCATCTTCTTAACATCTTTTAGATGTTAGATATTATTTTGAAATAAAAGGTTAATAGTGGACCCTCCCGTAATTGAAGAAGGCACCATCCTCCCCATTTTAGGCACTGTTCTCTAATTGGCCTGCCTTCCTTTCTGGTGAATCCCTATTGGCTCTCTTGGGGCTCTTGCATTCTCAGGTCTGTGGTTACATTGTTGCTTTTCTTTTCTTTCTCCTGCCTAGATCCTGGCATTGCTACTTGTATTTTTCTTTCTGATACTGCCATACTAACTCAATGTTATGTTGAAAATAATGTTTTTCTTAATTTATAAAGTAAGTTATTTTGTTTCAGTCTAATTTTTTTGGAGTCACATAGTTCAAAGGATTCTACATAAGCATTGTGCTCACCATACGGACCATTAATTTATTCAGCAGGTCATTAACCATGCAGATCATTAATTTATTCAGCAGATATTCCTCCCTACTTTGTGCCAGGCCTTGTATCAGAGGCTGTGGATACTGTGGTGATGCACAGACACAGGCAGGCAAAGAGGCATTATCCACGGTGGGAGAAACACCTTGCAAGGAGAAGATATAGGCTGCAGCAGGGGTGTATAACATGATCCCTAACTTCTGTTGAGGTCACGGAGGGCTTGCTAGCAGCAGGAATATGGAAGTCAAAGGCTGAAAGATGAATAGGCTCTAGCAGATGACCAGCATGGATAAGAAGAACCCAGGAAAAGGGAATGGAATATGCAAGGCACATTCAAGAGTACTGAAGTGGAAAATCAAGAATATACTGAGTTACTGATGCTAATAGCCAAAGTGATAACTAAAAGTAAGTAAGAAATCATGCTGTAAGTCAGCTTAAGGGGGTACTCCTGGTTTTAAAACAGGTGCTGTTTTTCTCAAAATTGGAGTGGAAATTTGACTATAGGTGTGGTAGAGGGATACAAGGTTCCATAAACTGGCAGATGCAATTATAGAATGGATATGTGCATCTCTTTTGCTTTAATTTTTATTGTAGGTAGTTTCTTTACTCATTTTTTGATAGTTGACTAATTCCAAATTTTATAATAATTATAAAAATAAAAGTGAGGAAGCTTTTCTCTGTGTTTTATAATCACTTAAAATATTTATAGACATTTCTTCTAAGGCACAAAAATATTTACTTTTTTTATTGCCTATGTATAAGTTTACAGGACTTATTTACATATTCTTTGTGGACTCTCAGCTTATTTTTTCTACAGCAACATAATATAATAAATACAGTGATTTACCATATACAATTTAAAAGTGTTATCTTTACCAGTTTTCTTTACACAGATAAAAAAATCTATTAATATCTTATATATTAAAAGTAAAAACCTAAGTGTGCAAAATGTGTGTTTTATTTTTGAAAACTAGGTTGGTGTGTG
The DNA here is from genome assembly GCF_000001405.40 of Homo sapiens. NCBI lineage: Eukaryota > Metazoa > Chordata > Mammalia > Primates > Hominidae > Homo > Homo sapiens. The sequence goes on along the minus strand of NC_000013.11, from coordinate 52,428,655 downwards.
ATTTGCCCTCTATTTAAATGTTAGAATTGACTTAGTTTCAGAGCTGGCGCCCAGAGTTTCTCACAAAGGGTTTCCTGCATCTGCTGGCTCTAGCTGATAAGAATCCAGTGTTTAAGCCTTTTGTTTATCTAAGGAAATTCCTGTTAGGTGTGTGCACATTCCCCTTTGTTTTCAGTTATTAACCTTAGTGAGTTGGCCATAAGAATACGCAACACACTATTCTTTTAGCAAAATCCTTTTGCAGATGGGGGATGCTTTCCTGCAGATGGGCATAAGCTGATCAGAGCCACTATTATATGTTTCAGACCACCATATGGACTGATATTTCAGTTAATGACAAGCTGCTTAACTGGTTTTAAAAAATAACATCTGTATGCATCAATTAGATAAGATTCTGCACTGGGAGTATATTTTCAGTAACTTGAAATAATTTATTATAAATATATTTAAATTCAAAGAGGCCTTTGAAGTAGTTTTTTGCTGTAGCAAATTAAACAGTTGATTCTATGTAGATACATTTAGATGGTATTTGAATGTTTTTCTTTTGTGATAGCCACCATATCTACAAGCATAATGAGTATGATAATCAGAGGCTGATTATCTTACTTAAACTGATTATCTTACTTGCTAAACTTACTGTTTCAGTTAAGTAATACCTGTTTAAAGCCAAAATTATTGTGCCCAGAGAACTATTCCTGCAGCTGTGTATTGCCATTTTCAACCAGGAAAGCTTTGTAGTGCTTTTGATTCTTAGAGACTTCCTATTAGAAAATGATTTTAGAAAAAACCAGTGACAGTGACAGAATTTCTTACTTTTCTCAAATAACAGTAAATAATATTTTCTGAACTACTGTTTATATCACCTTTTGCTTATTTAATCAATAATAATTATTTTCTTTGAAAATGTGAAGTTCTTTTGCAGTTTGTTTGGAAAATGTATGGTTTTTTAGCTAAAATGAAATTTTAGAATAAGGTAGATTTATTATTTATATAAATAGTTATTAACAAATTGATATTTGCAAGAAAATTTAAATTTTTTTTTTTTTTTTGAGACAGAATCTTGCTTTGTCGCCCAGGCTGGAGCGCAGTGGCGCGATCTCGGCTCACCGCAAGCTCCGCCTCCTGGGTTAACGCCATTCTCCTGCCTCAGCCTCCTGAGTAGCTGGGACTACAGGCGCCCGCCACCACGCCCGGCTAATTTTTTTTGTATTTTTAGTAGAGACGGGGTTTCACCGTGTTAGCCAGGATGGTCTCGATCTCCTGACCTCGTGATCTGCCTGCCTCGGCCTCCCAGAGTGCTGGGATTATAGGCGTGAGCCACTGCGCCCGGCTGAAAATTTCAAATTTTTATGGGGAAAAAATAGAGGGTGCTTCATTTTTTTAAGTCATTTTAATTCTTTAGATGGATTTCAACCAAAATTCATTTCTCATTTCAGGCCTTTGAAGACCTCAGCAAACTAATGATCAAGGTATATGTCATTTATGCCTATTAAATTCATACCAATTATGATACAGTTTTTGAAATATATTTTGTTAGCAGACATTTTGGGGACAATAGTGCTTTTCAGTCTTTACTTTTTATTTGACAGGCTAAGGAAATGGTGGAATTATCAAAATCAATTGCTAATAAAATTAAAGACAAACAAGGTGACATCACAGAAGATGAGGTAAATAAGTTGCTTTTTTTAAGGCATTTGAAACTAGATAACACAATGCAGTAAGGTTTTTGTGGTTTACATTGGCTTTCTGAATGTACTGTTTTATTTATTATTTATGTTTTATTTATTGTTTATTTATTTATGAGACGGAGTGTCGCTCCGTCGCCCAGGCTGGAGTGCAGTGGCACGATCTCGGCTCACTGCAACATCCGCCTCCCGGGTTCAAGCGATTCTCCTGCCTCAGCGTCCCGAGTAGCTGGGACTACAGGCACGTGCCACCACGCCCGGCTAATTTTTTGTATTTTTAGTAGAGACCGGGTTTCACCGTGTTAGTCAGGATGGTCTCGATCTCCTGACCTCGTGATCCGCCTGCCTCGGATTACAGGCATGAACCACCACGCCCAGCCTGTTTTATTTCTTTTAGGACTTGAGGATATGTGAAAGTGCCAAAGAAAAGTCAACCGTAAAAATTATATTAGTTCTATTAGGATTAAAGGCTATTTCAATGCCTTTTTTTGGAGTGTAGAAAACAGAAATACTGAAATGTACAAGGAGTGGCTGTTTTATACATATCCCTAAGTTTGATGTTTGTTTCATTCAGTTTGTCTACAGTCTAATCACAGCCATTTTCTTTTCAGTTGTACTATTTGGTTGGCATTAAATATAGCAGAGGCATTTTCTGAATCTCCTTTCACATCAAACTTATGAAGTAAACAGAATATGAGAGACCAGGAGAGAAGTAGGAAGGAGAATAATTAGATGTATGCAGGGAACTCCTGGAAATCTGCTCCCTTATAGTTCACAGCATAGAAACACAGTAGAAGGAATGGGGATATGTAGACATAATTGAGTGGAATTGAATTTGTGATGGAAGAATTTCAAATATTGAGGTGGAGAGACTAATTCTGCATTTTCTCCTTTTTTATTATAGACCATCAGGTTTAAATCCTACTTGCTGAGCATGGGAATAGCTAACCCAGTTACCAGAGAAACCTACGGCTCAGGCACACAGTACCACATGCAGCTGGCCAAACAACTGGCTGGAATATTGCAGGTGCCTTTAGAGGTAAAAACTAAACCTATGTGTTTTTTTTTAAACTGTGTTAAATTAGCCCTATGTCATTAGAAATGTTAACAAGAGCATAACTATTTTCATGATATGGTTATTGTCAACTGACATGTTTTTTTTTTCTTTCAGGTATATTAAATAAGTTCATTGTGCTTATTATTCTTTGTAATTTTCTAAGTTGTTTTTAATTTTCATTTTTGACATCTATAACTTTCTAAATCTATTTGATATGAAGTTTTCCTTATTTTTAAAAAGGAAATATATGATCTTTCTCTGAATAGATATATTTCCATACATCTAGTCTTTACTATTTAGTACTATTAATCATTCCATAATATAGATTCATCTTCTAGTCTGATAGTATTCAGGCAGTCAAGAGTTTATTAAAGCACTTGTATTAAAAAAGATTTCAAACCTATGCCAAATAGAATAGTATAATGAATCCTCTGTGGCCATCATCCAGCTTCTCCTGTAAACCAACCTCCACTCAAAATTATTTTAAAGCAAATCCCAGACATCACATCACTTTATCTGTAAACATTTCATTATGTAACTCTAATGATAAATACTCCTTTAAATACAACTATAATCCCCTTTCATAATCTAAAAAATTAAAATACTTTCTTAATGTTATCTAATATCTAGTGTTCACATTTTCTTTTTTTTTTTTTTTTTTGAGGCGGAGTCTCGCTCTGTCACCCAGGCTGGAGTGCAGTGGTGCAATCTCAGCTCACTGCAAGCTCCGCCTCCCAGGTTCACACCATTCTCCTGCCTCAGCCTCCAGAGTAGCTTGGACTACAGGTGCCTGCCACCCCACTGCGCCCGGCTAATTTTTTGTATTTTTAGTAGAGATGGGGTTTCACCGTAGTCTCAATCTCCTGACCTCATGATCCGCCCGCCTCGGCCTCCCAAAGTGCTACATTTTCTTTTTTTTTTTCTTGAAACAGAGTCTCACTATTGTCGCCCAGTCTGGAGTGCAGTGGCGCAATCTCAGCTCACTGCAACCTCTACCTCCCGGGTTCAAGCGATTCTCCTGCCTCAGCCTCCTGAGTAGCTGGGATTACAGGCGCCCACCACCACGCCCAGCTAATTGTTTTGTATTTTCAGTAAAGACAGAGTTTCACCATGTTGGCCAGGCTAGTCTCGAACTCCTGACCTCAGCTGATCCCCCTGCCTTGGCCTCCCAAAGTGCTGGGATTACAGGTGTGAGCCACCGTGCCGGCCTAGTATTCACATTTTCTCTTACAGTTGGTCTGTTTCAATCAGGATTCATTGCAGTTTGTTGGTTTGTTTCAAAAGTTTGTTTGTTTGTTTGTTTTTAATTTCATGGGTTCTTTCTTCTCCTGCCTCTTACCTCCCACCCCACCGTGTGTTTCCTGAAGAAATTAGTTGTTTAGACTATAGGGTGTGCTTTTCTGGTCCTATGTATTTCCTATAAACTGGTATTTATAATAAAGGTTTGTTAGGGTTTTTTTAAATTATTATTGCAGGACTATTTCATAGAGGCTGTTGTGTACTTCCATCAAGAGATACATAATGTCTGATTGTCTTTTTTTAATTTTTAAAAAATTTTTTGTGATGTTAACAGCCATTGACAGTCATTACCTAGATCTGTTATTTCACTGGAGGTTGCAAAATGGTAATAGTCTTATTTAATTCTATACTTTCTTCATTTATTAGCTGTAATAAGTTAAAACATTTAAATGTATTTTTTGAAACATGGTGTAGAGCCCCTTTTTTCATTTAAGTAAATGTTAAAATGGTAATGAGGCCAGGCACAGTGGCTCACGCCTGTAATCCCAGCACTTTGGGAGACTAAGGTGAGCAGATCATTTGAGGTCAGAAGTTCGAGACCAGCCCAACCAACATGGTGAAACCCTGTCCCTACTAAAAATACAAAAAAATTAGCTGGGTGTGGTGGTGCATGCCTGTAGTGCCAGCTACTCAGGAGGCTGAGGCAGGAGAATTGCTTGAACCCGGGAGGTGGAGGTTGCAGTGAGCTGAGATTGTACCACTGCACTCTGGCCTGGGTGACAGAGAGAAACTCCATCTCAAAAAAAATAAAAATAAAAATAAAAATAAAGTGGTAATGACATTAAAATGCAAGTATTGAATCTAAACTGCCTTGTGGTATCTGAATAGGTTCTCCTTTGTATAAATAAAGTTTTTTATAAGCTTCTTAAAAATTTTTCTGATTTCTGATTTCACTGTGATTATGATTTCTGTTAAGAAATGCTAACTGGTGTAATTGTAACATAATACTTTTTTAAAAATTTCATATTTGAACAGGAACGAGGGGGAATAATGTCACTCACGGAGGTGTACTGCTTAGTAAACCGAGCTCGAGGAATGGAAGTAAGGATAGAAAATTTAAATACTCTTTTAACCAAATGTAGATTTTCTTAATACAAATTCCGAATACAATTTGAGGAAGGGTTGTGAATATCAAAGCTATTTTGAGAAGCACTGTGGTACAGTGAAAGAATACTGTCCTGGGATCTAGGAGGTAGATTCTTTTCCTGGTTTTGATAGTGATTTGCTTAGTGACCTTCAGTAGCTTACTTAGCATCTCTGAGACTCAGTTTTCCTTCTTCCTCTTTTCTTTATTTTTATTTTTTGCTATTCAAAACTTTTTCTATTTTTCTTTATAATTGACACAATAATTGTACATATTCATGGGGTACTATATGGTGTTTCAGTGCATGTAAACACTGCATAATGATCAAATCAGGGTGTATTAGTCCATTTTCACGCTGCTGATAAAGACATACCTGAGACTGGGCAATTTACAAAAGAAAGATTTAATTGGACTCACAGTTCCACATGGCTGGGGAGGTCTCACAATCATGGCGGAAGGCAAGGAGGAGCAAGTCACATCTTACGTGGATGGTGGCAGTCAAAGGGAGCTTGGGCAGGCAACTCCTATTTTTAAAACCATCAGATCTCATCAGAAACATTCGCTATCACCAGAACAGCACAGGAAAGACCCGCCCCCATAATTCAATCATCTCCCACCAGGTCCCTCGAAAATATGTGGGAACTATGGGAGCTACAAGATGAGATTTGGGTGGGGACACAGAGCCAAACCATATCACAGGGCAATTAAGATATTCATCACTTTAAACATTTATCATTTCTTTCTGGTAATAACATTAAAAATCCTCTCTTGTCTGTTATATGCAGCCATAAAAAAGAGCAAGATAATTCTTTTGTGGGAACATGGATGGAGCTGGAAGCTATTATCCTTAACAAACTAGTGCAGCAACGAAAGCCAAATACCCATATTCTCACTGATAAGTGGGAGCTAAATGATGGGAACTTATGAACACAAAGAAGGAACAACAAACACTGGAATGTACTTAAGGGTAGAGACTAGGGGGAGGGAGAGGAGCAAAACAGATAACTATTGGGTACTAGGCTTAATATTGATACCTAGGCAATGAAATAATCTGTACAGCAAACCCTAGTGACACGAGTTTATCTGTGTAGCAAACTTTCACATATACCCCCTAACTAAAATAAACATTTTTTAAAAAAGCAAAGATAGAATCAACCTAAGTGTCCATCAGTGATGAACGGATAAAGAAAATGTCAGATACATACAAATGGAATACAATTCAGTCATAAAAAAAATGAAATCACATCATTTGCAGCAACATGGAGAAACTGGAAGTCCTTATGTTAAGTGAAGTAAGCCAGACACAGAAAGACAAATATTGCATGTTCTCACTCATGTGCGAGCTAAAAAAGCTAATCTCATGGAGGTAGAGAATAGATGATAGATATCAGAGACTGGGAAAGGTGTATAAGTGGGAGCGGGGAAGAAGAAATGTTGGTTAATAGGTACAAACATACTGTTAGATGGAATAAATTCGAATGTTCAATAGCAGAGTAGGGAGGCAACAATGTATTGTATATTTCAAAGTAGCTAGAAGGGAGGACTTGAAATGTTCCTAAAACATAGACATGATAAATACATCAGGTAATAGGTACCCCCAAATAACCCTGACTTGATCATTACACATTTTATGCATGTGTATTAATAAAAATAGCCCCTGTACCCCATAAATATGTAAGATATTATGTATCAATAAAAAGTACTCAGGGCTGGGCACGGTAGCTCACACCTGTAATCCCAGCACTTTGGGAGGCTGAGGCGGGCAGAATACCTGAGGTCAGGAGTTCGAGACCAGTCTGGCCAACATGGTGAAACCCTATCTCTACTAAAAATACAAAAAAATTATCTGGGTTTGGTGGTGTGTGCCTGTAATCCCAGCTACTCAGGAGGTTGAGGCAGGGGAATTGCTTAAACCAGGAAGGTGGAGGTTGCAGTGAGCCGAGATTGCGCCATTGCACTCTAGCCTAGGCGACAGAGCAAAACTCCATCTCAAAAAAAAAAAAAAAAAACCTACTCAGAAACAGAAAAAAAAAAAAGAATACACTGCATTGCCATTATCTAGTCACCCTGTGTAATATAGCAGCAGAACTCATGCTTCCTGTCTTAACTGTAACTTTGTATCTGCTGACCAACCTCTCTCCATCCCCTCCTCCCACCTACCCTCCCCAGCCTCTGGTAGCCACTCTTCTACTCTCTACTTCTATGAGATCAACTTTTTTAAGATTCTACATGTAAGTGAGATCAAGTGGTGTTTGTCTTGCTATGTCTGGCTTATTTCACTTAACATAATATCCTCCAGGTTCATCCATGTTGCTGCAAATGAAAGGATTTTATTCTGTTTTGTGCTGAATAGTATTTCATTGTATATATGTACCACATTTTTTTTAACCTTTAAAATTTTTGTTTTGTTTTGTATTTTTGAGACAGAGTATCACTCTGTAGAGTGCAGTGGCACAACCTTGGCTCACTGAAACCTCTGCCTCCCGGGTTCAAGCAATTCTTGTGCTTCAGCTTCTCAAGTAGCTGGGATTACAGCCGTGTGCCACCACACCAGGAGAATTTTCATACTTTTAGTAGAATCGGGGTTTCCCCATGTTGGCCAAACTGGTCTTGAACTCCTGACCTAAGGTGATCTACCCACCTTGGCCTCCCAAACAAAGTGCTGGGATTACAGGCATGAGCCGCCATGCCCGGCCCCCAAATTTTTATTTTTTCTTTTTTATGGATACATAATAGTTGTACGTATTTATGGGGTACATGTGAAATTTTGATACAAGCATATAATGTGTAATGACCAAATCAGGGAAATTGGGGGTCTGTCACCTCCAGTGTTTATCATTCCTTTGTGTTAGGAACATTCCAATTCCACTTTTGTAGTTACTTTGAAATATACAATAGGGCCGGGTGCGCTGGCTCATGCCTGTAATCCCAGCACTTTGGGAGGCTGAGGCAGGCAGATCGCCTGAAGTCAGAAGTTCGAGACCACCCTGGCCAACATGGCGAAACCCCATCTCTACTAAAAATACAACAATTAGCCGGGCGTGGTGGCAGGCACCTGTAATCCCAGCTACTTGGGAGGCTGAGGCAGGAGAATCGCTTAAAGTAGGGAGGTGGAGATTGCAGTGAGCCGAGATCACGCCACTGCACTCCAGCCTGGGCAACAGAGCAAGACTGCATCTCAAAAAATAAATAAATTTAAAAAAAAGAAATATACAATAAATTATTGTTAACTATGGTTTCCCTATTGTACTACTGAATGCTATATCTTATTCCCCCCCTTTTTTTTTTTGAGACAGTCTTAACTTTTGTCACCCAGGCTGGAGTGCAGTGGCACAACCTCGGCTCACTGCAACCTCCACCTCCCTGGTTCAAGCAATTCTCCTGCCTCAGCCTCCCAAGTAACTGGGAATTACAGGCGACGGCTACCACGCCTGGCTAATTTTTGTATTTTTAGTAGAGACGGGGTTTCTCCATGTTGGCCAGGCTGGTCTTGAACTCCTGCCTTCAGGTGATCCACCCCCCTTGGCCTCCCAAAGTGCTGGGATTACAGGCATGGGCCACTGCATCTGGCCTCTTATTCCTTCTAATTGTGTTTTTGTACCCATTAAACCAACCTCTCTTTATCCCTCCTTCCCCACTACTCTTCCCACCCTCTAGTGACCATTTTTCTACTCTCTATCTGCATGAAATCAATTTTTTTAACTCCCACATAATGAGTGAGAACATGTGATATTTGTCTTTCTGTGCCAGCTTACTTCACTAAACAATGTCTTCCAGTTCTATCCATGTTGTTGCAAATGATGTTGACTGTTGTGAATAGTGCTGCAATAACCATGGGAGTGCAGATTTCTCTTTGATACACTCCTTTCCTTTCTTTTGGATATATACCCAGCAGTGGGATTGCTGGATCATGTGATAGTTCTATTTACAGTTTTTTGAGAAATCGCCATACTGTTTTTCATAGTGGCTGTACTAATTTACCTTCCCACCAACAATGTGTAAGAGTTCCCCTTTCCCCACATCCTTGCCAGCATTTAGGGAGCTAGTTTTCTTACCTTTAATATAAGGGCTTGGACTGAATGAAACTGTTCAGCTCTAATATTTTCTCTCTGTATTGTGATAAATAAAGTTGTTCAGGAAGCCCTTCCTCTGCAATAGTTAACTCTTTTGAATCAACTCGGTTGGAACAAGTTGCCTTGTAGATAATGCAGAGGGAAAGCTGCCCTGCCCCTTTGGCTGGGTATCAGCAGTGGCTATTCTTCAGCTGTTCTTCCTCCTTCACATCCAGATGTCCTTAGCCTCCAAGGTTCTGTCTAGGTATTCTTTGTGCCCCAGCAGTCACCTCCATGCAAATGGCTCACCCAGTCCCATGAATTAAGCCCCTGCTCTGTGTTTTTATCTGAATGCTGATCATAGCTGCCATTAGTCAGTACTTACCATCCACTGGACACTCTGCATGTGTTACCTCATTTATCCTCCCAATAACTCAGTGACATGGCTACTTTTAGTGTAGGGGATAATTTGAAGAATAGGAAATTGAAACTTAGAAAGATGAAATAACTTGAGCAAGGCCACAGCCAGAGACAGTGGTTTGACAGGTATTTGGATCTGGGCTGGACTGGCTCTGGAGCCATCCTGTGGGACTGAAAGCTGTGCTTGTCATCACCACACTATGCTGATTTGTTAAGGCTGCACTGTCCACAAGGATAGCCACATCATGTGCTGACTGGGGACTTGAAATGTAGTTAATCCAAATCAAGATATGCTGCAAGTATAAAAATGCACCAGATTCAGAAGACTTCGTACAAAATAAGGAAATGTTAAATATCTCATTAATAATTTTTTGTATTGATTATATGTTGAATTGGTTCTATGTTCAATCTTAAAATATATGCATTAAAATTAATTTCATGTTTCTTTTTACTTTTTTACTTTTTTTTTTTTTTTTTTTTTTTTTGAGATGGAGTCTCGCACTATCGCCCAGGCTAGAATGCATGGTGCGATCTCGGCTAACTGCAAACTCCGCCTCCTGGGTTCAAGCAATTCACCTGCCTTAGCCTCTCGAGTAGCTGGGATTACAGGCACCCGCCACCGCGCCCGGCTAATTTTTATATTTTTAGTAGAGACGGGGTTTCACCATGTTGGCCAGGCCGGTCTCGAATTACTGACCTTGTAATTCACCTGCCTCAGCCTCCCAAAGTGCTAGGATTACAGGTGTGAGCCACTGTGCATGGCCTCTTTTTATTTTTTTAATGTGGCTACTATAAAATTTGCAGTGACATATGTGGCATGCATATTTTATTGGGTACCACTGCTTTAAGGAATAGAAGTCTTTGGTTCCTTTGTCAATCTTTTTTGCTTTGTAGTGATTAAATCACCTAAAATTATTGATAAATGGTAATTTTAAAATATACTCTTCTGTTTTAGTGATCATTACCATTGTATAGCATTACTGGATTTTTTTTCCCTATTAGTTGCTCTCACCAGAAGATTTAGTGAATGCGTGCAAGATGCTGGAAGCACTGAAATTACCTCTCAGGTAAAGGAACCTCTGCAGGAAGTTTGCCACCTGCAACCATGATTCTGCATGGGGTAGATGGGAAAGCCCAGCCAAGTTTGCCATCCCTAGTGTCAAGCCAGATTATTTCTCTTGAAATTATATTATTTCATGTTTATCAGGGCTGGGCATGTCCTAACAGGGCTAGGAGTCAGACTCTTGTGGATTTGGGGGAATGAAATAAGAATGTGGGTTCTTCCCATGAGATCAGAATAACTAGCCCCTCTTCCCTTAGACATTTTGTGTTAGTCTCTGGAGATGTTCAGCTGTGAATATTATTTTCCTTATTCTTAGGTTTAAAAAAGTAGCCAGGTGGCTGGGCGTGGTGGCTCACACCTGTAATCCCAGCACTTTGGGAGGCTGAGGCGGGCAGATCACCTGAGGTCGGGAGTTCGAGACCAACCTGACCAACATGGAGAAACCCCGTCTCTCCTAAAAATACAAAATTAGCCAGGTGTGGTGGCACATGCCTGTAATCCCAGCTACTGGGGAGGCTGAGGCAGGAGAATCGCTTGAACCCGGGAGGCGGAGGTTGCGGTGAGCCAAGATCATGCCATTTGCACTCCAGCCTGGGCAGCAAGAGCGAAATTCCTTCTAAAAAAAAAGCCAGTAATTTTATTTAGCATGTAGATTTTAGTTCATAATTTTATTATCTGTGTATTCATGAGCTGTTTATGCCATTGTTGCTTGGGTTTGATATGTTTTAAATGTTGTTTTGTTTAATATTGCCCTCATATCTGGGCATAAAAGAAGGTATAAAAGATGTCCTCCTTTTCAGCAGTTGAATATCCTAGATAATTCCTGGCTTTGTTCTCGCACCTGTGGTTTTCAGGCTCCGTGTGTTTGACAGTGGCGTCATGGTAATTGAGCTTCAGTCTCACAAGGAAGAGGAAATGGTGGCCTCGGCCCTGGAGACAGTATGTGAAGCCGATTTTCTCCAGTCTTTAGAGCTTGCTATGAAGACCCGAAGGCTTAGCAACTCAAAAAACAGGATTTCCTTTTGAATTTAACTTTACTGAAAAAGTAACATTCACACACCCAAATAAAAATGGTTTATCACTAACAATGAATCAATATTAACCAAAGTCATACATTAAGAGCTTTTTGAAACTTCTTGACACTCTTAACATCTTACATGTAAGGAGAATTAGAATTAGTGAGTGAGGTGCTTTCTTTTCTATTAAAGCTCAGTATTGAGAACAGGTTTTTAACTTTATCAGATGTTACAACACAATTAAACTTTGTCTTCCAGTAACACCTACATAAGCAGCTTGATAAAACGCCACAAGTTTTATGAAAATAATTGCTTCAAAAAATATAAAAAGCAACTGTAGTTTAGATGGATTTTACTGGCCAAACTGCCAATATTACTCATTAGGATGCTTGAAATAGTACTGTCTTCATAGCTTCTATGGTGAGCCTGTATAATTTGAATAACTTATATTTATTATCCTTCTCATTTTCAACTAGATGAAAACCCCAAGACTACAGATATTTCTACCACATATTTTAAACTAAACCCATATGTAAAGTCCCTTCGCTGGAGCGTTAATATGTACTCAGAATTTGTTACATATTCCTTTTCAGAATATCAAATAGTTCTTTTTAGGCTTTAGTACAGTGACTGTTACATTATAGAGAGCTTGATCTTGATATTTGAGCCTCTACTATGTCTCTTCTGGGTACTTCAACTTTTGTAGGATTAAGCATTAGTTAAAATTTAGTTATAGTGTGAATGTTCTTTGGATTTTAGTAGGACATTCAGTAAATTATTTCTTGCATATACTGGTATACATTCTGCCTACCATTAGAACCCAGAGTGTGTTTAAATTAGTGTCCTAAATTAATTACATTTTTTTTCTGCTGTGTGTTTCTATTAGGTTTCAGAAAAGGGATCCCTAACATCAGAAGAGTTTGCTAAGCTTGTGGGAATGTCTGTCCTCCTAGCCAAAGAAAGGTAAGTAAGGTTCTTACCTTTCATTACAATGTATGTTTGTGTGTCTGCATGAACAGATAATTGTGTGGGGGTTTTTTTGTTGTTTTTTTTTAGGTTGCTGCTTGCAGAGAAGATGGGCCATCTTTGCCGTGATGACTCAGTGGAAGGCCTGCGTTTTTACCCAAATTTATTTATGACACAGAGCTAAGGGTTTTGTATTTAAAATCCTTTTTGTCCATATGCTTGCGTCATGTAGAGGTTGTATGACATTGAGCTAAGAGATAAACCCCGATCAATTGAGAATTTATTGGAACTTCACAGTGCAATGTAAATCTCTTTTAATTTCTCACTAAATATGGTCCAGGAAATTTATTTAGTATACGCATAGGAAAATTCAGAAAAGTGAATGCCAATATGAATTTAAAATCATGCTATAGTGCAGAACCCTCAGAGTTTAACTTGGAATATAGTGGATTTTAACTTGATCCTCAAATCTAATCATTTTATAAAGAAGGGAATTTAGTTTTGCAGAGAATAAAAAGAGAAGTTGCATGTTCAGACAGGTTAGATTATTATTTTGGTGTAACTGAAATTCACTGATTGCACATGACAATGTTGGGACAAAATATACTGCAGCATGCTATATGAGGCTCCTCCCCAGGGCTTTTAGAAGCAGTCATAGACATGTCTTCAACATACCAAATAAAATACCTTTAAAAATGAAATAATTTTATTTGACACATATATTTATATATATTCTATCTAGTTTCTCTTTGTTTTTTTAAGTGATGATTTCATGACTGGCATTTAAAGAATGCAACTGTGTCATTTTGTTTCCAAATGCTGTGGATTTTGAAACTGAACTAGAGAGCTGTATAGACATGCCCAGAGTTATGATTACAAATTTAGGAGGTAGACGGCTCAGGAATTCCCTGGGATTGTTGTGCTGGTGGAATGGCAGAGGGAACTTCACAGGAACCTTAGTGTTCTTTTACCTCAAAGCCACAGACAGGAAATAGAAAGTGGAAAAGTAATATCTCCTTTTCTTTTCCATAAGGAGTTTCAACACTGAACTTTAAAAAGTCTATCATATTCCAGCAATATTTTTTCTTTGTCCTTTATGTTGTAAGTTGTGTGGAAAAACTACTTCGGTAAGAAATGTTACTGAGATAACAACAACTGGCTAATACTGCATGTAGATTGCTTAGGTTTTAAAGTGACTGCCTGACTTCACATGTTATTGCTACAGCCTCCAGTATGTTCGCATTATCTCAAACTCAGGGACCCCACAGGACAGGAGACACCCTTTCTGAAACTGAGTTGGAAGTGAAAGGGTGGTGATGGTTTTGGCCAAGCCTGCGGGAGGGAAAGTATTGTATTGGGAGCACCCTTGGGACCAGGAAGAGGGATGCCCAGGTTCACACTCTGGGACCCCTAAGACATTGTCAGTGGGTAAGGTGGAGGGCCACTGCCAGAGGCTGCTGCAGTGCCCTCTGGGAAGTGCCAGGGACCCTCAGCTGCAGACCCAGGGGATCCCAATCCCTTATCTCTGCCTGAAAAGTGGCTATTGCTGCTTCGTATCCTCCAGTGTCACAGGAATGCTGTGCCTGAGACATCCCACTTTAGTTTTTGTTTTCCAAACCTGTCACTGACTCTTCATTGTGGTGACAGATCCTCTGGTTCCCCCATTGCTCAGCCTCAGGTTTATTTTGAGGGTAACTCAGTGTCTGACTGCCCAAGTCTTTTAGGGGTTAGTTGGACCATTGTGTAAGCTTGTTTGTATGTCTCACCTCTTTCTGGTTGGTACTTACTGTCTCACACTGCTCTGGCAAACTTGTACACACACACACACTCTCTCTCTCTCTCACCTGGCTAAGGCTTTTAAAATTATGAAGATAAATAATCTGTTTCACCAGCTGGAGTGAGTTGCAAGGAAGATTGCTGGAGCTACTCAATCTAGCGCTAATGGTTTGGATTCATTACTGCAAACCTACATAATTTAACATATTTGTTTACTTTAGTGTGACAACTGATGAAAAAAAATGGAGCAATCTGAATTGTATAAAATAACTTAAGAAGGAAGAAAAGTGATATATAAATATATTTTGCAAATGTCACATTAATTTAAAAATGAGTATGATTGATTTTATTTTTAAAGTGGGCATTCTTCACTGTTTCGAGACCTTTGTATGTATTTGTGTATTTTTATCTTTTTTTTTCAGGCCATTATTATAAGGTGTTATTTTGGCCCTCTAATGTAGAAGTTATGTTTAAATACAACCAATCAGGCCCTAAGTGCAAAAAAGTTCTGTCTTGGTGCTTATCACTGGTATAATTATTATTTTTTTGTTTTCCTAACTTTGCTCTTAGGAGCATGAGCCTCTTTGTAGCTTTATGGTAATGCAATATTTCTGGTCATTTACTGTCAAAAAATTTTTTTACATTGTGTTAGTGAAGACTGTGTTTTCAGGGTTAAATGATTGGTATCAATGTATATAGAGTAAAATTATTGCAAAATTTAAAAATGATTTTTCTTGGCATTCTTTTTAAATACTCTGAAACATATATGCAAATGAGAAACCTTTAATCATACTAAAGCCAGTTATGTTAAGAATTTTTCCTTTGGATTTTATAATTAAGAGTTGCTTATAAATACTTATGACATTGAGCTCTTACTGTTTTAGTTGTCTTAAAACAATGGGACATGTCATGAACTGGTTTCTTTTTTTAAAAAATTCTTGATGTGAATTCCACTGTTACCTGACCATGTATATTCAGATGAATGTACTCTTTCTTGTTCCTTGTTACCAGATTAATCTGAGAGAATGTGGATTCATCCTGTCATCTTTCTCATACTCAAATACTTAAAATGGTTCTTTTGCCCAAAAGTCTCAGAGTCTTCATTTTGGTACAGTGGAGTCACAACTTGTAAGGTGGTTAGGTTTTAAAGACCGTGCCTAAGGACAAAATTGAGCATGCTCAGAATGGTCCTTGAAAATCTCCTAAATTACCAATAAATTTCTCTTTGTAGTCTTAAAGTTTAAATCCCTGTGGAGTGATATGTAGGTATGAATATATTATGCTTATATTAAGTACAAAAATACAAACTGCATATCAAGAGATTCTTATAGCATTAATAATTTCCATGCATGTGTCTTTTTCCAGTAGGTATGGTTGAATTTATGTAAATTTATTGCTAATCCCATCCCTTACGATCTAGAGTATAAGCTGCGCAAGGGCAGAAGTTTTTATCTGGTTTGTTCATGGATGTATTCTAAGAGCTGAGAACAGGGCCTGGACACAATAAGCATTCAATAAATATTTACTGAATGAATGAACTCCTACCTATATTCCTATTTATAATTTGGCTCCACTTTATCCTACTTTAGCTCCCATTCAATTCAATAAAAAAAACATTTTTTTGAACACATAGCAATTTTGTGTGAGCAGTTTTGTTGGGCACTGGTAGTGGGAGGGGATACAAAGATGAATAAGATACAGCTGTGTCCTTAAGAAAAGGGAAACCTAGTTGGGGAAACAGACATGTAAGCAACTTTCACTGAAGATGGAATGAAGTAAGTGCCATGGAAGGGGCATATGTGCCATGGAAGGGGCATATGTACCATGCTGGGGAAGACAGAAAAAGGAGCCCTTAGTCCTGGTGGAGGGCTTTGGAAGGGAAAGGAAGAACCTGGTAAACTAGGCTCACAAAGACCAAGAGATTGTCAGTAAGTGGAAGGTGTTGGGAAAAGGGAACAGCAGAGGTGTGCCCCTTCCTGCTCCTGGATATTTCCCTTGTCTGTCCAAACCTTTCTTTACTTCTTCCCACTCACCTCCCCTCTCCCACGCCCACCCCCACCAATCTAAATTATACTTTGCTCAATCCTGCCTGCATCAGAAATGTTTCCAATACACAGCTCTATTATTTCTAAACTCTACAAGAGTTACTGTCTTTTCCATATGCTTAACTATATTTTGTCTTGTTCTCTTAAATGTTGTCTTGATACCATAAGAAAATAGAGAAACTGGGTTTAAGTTCAAAGACTGTCGTGTAACATTTCTTTTGAATTCTCACTGACCTAGGTCAGTGACTACATGGTAGATTCCTAGTAAAGTATTAACTGAATTGAGTGATTTTTGAATTATAGTACTGAGTCATGCACGAGTTGCCTAGCAGACCAACTCTGTCTTTTACCCTCTTCCCAAGAGGTTTCTCAACCAGACTTGTCAAGGCTTAGCCTGTCTGAGTGAGATCTGCTCTGTCTTACTCAAATATGGCATGGGCCATGTCCATGATGTGGAAAGCACTCCAGAGTAGTTGTTATACACATGTAAGTTCTTGTTATTACAGTGTGGAAATTGAGCCATTCGTCTTCTTCCTTGTGTCCTGATACGAAATCATGAGTCAGTTATAGCTTTCATCTCAGAGCATTACCCAGAGACATAAAAGCTCTCTCCATTTGTATAAACGGAGTTATTGAGATAATGTATAAATTTTATACAATTTGCACAAGATTACTAGATCAGTCACTGACCCAGAAAGAAAACTGAAGGTATTTTGAGAGCCAGAACAGTTATAGTTCAATACTGACCATACCACTGTTTGTTTGAAAGCATTTTTTCCTTTGATTTTTATATTGCCTTCTTTTAGAAAACGTTAAACTATATCTTTTTTTTTTTTTTTAGTAGAGACGGGGTTTCACCATGTTAGCCAGGTTGGTCTCGATCTCCTGACCTCGTGATCCGCCCGCCTCAGCCTCCCAAAGTGCTGGGATTACAGGCGTGAGCCACCGCGCCCGGCCTGAAAACGTTAAACTGTATCTTAACTGTCCAATAAAGACAGCAGTACAGTTTGGCAAGAATTCTAATGGAGACAAAATTGACCAATCAGTTCAATAAAGCTGTTATTTAAAAAATGACCAAGCATATTGATAGAGCCACTTGTACCTGGATTTCCTCCCTTGAAGAGTAGCTTTTTGGGGAAAAAGTATGTGCCTGAAAGATTAATGCAGAGAAAGCTGCCTCCGATATGTTTCACTTAATCACTATAATATTTCACAATAACTATTATATGCTTTCTACAGTGAAGGGAAGGAGGGATTAAGAAATCTACCCAGATTTGCAGTGTCAGGGCTGGAATTTAATCTAGGCTTATCTAAAAGTGTATCTTTTTACTTGTATGCAGTGTAAGGAGGAGGTCCAACTTCATTCTTTTGCATGTGGCTATTTGGTTATGCCAGCACCATTAGTTGACCATTAAATGGTCTTGGCACACTTGTCAAAAAACAATTGACCATATGCTTGCATATGGGGTTTTTTGTTTTAAAAAGTAATTTTTAAAAACTCAATTGACCATAGATATGAGTTTCTGAACTTGCATTTCTAGCTATTTATCTATCTTTTTGCTAATATCACACTGTCTTGATTACTACTGCTTTGTAGTAAGTTACTTTTTTTTTTGAGACCGACTCTCACTCTGTCACCCAGGCTGGAGTGCAGTGGCACATTCTCGGCTCACTGCAACCTCCGCCTCCCGGGTTCAAGCAATTCTCCTGCCTCAGCCTCCTGAGTAGCTGGGACTACAGGTGTGTGCCACCATCCCCAGCTAATTTTTTTTTTTTTTTTTTTTTTTTAGTAGAGATGGGGTTTCGCTGTTGGTCAGGCTGGTCTCAAACTCCTGACCTCAAGTGATCCGTCTGCCTTGGCTTCCCAAAGTGCTGGGATTACAGGCATGAACCAGCCTGTAGTAAGTTCTGAAATTGGAAAGTGTGAGTCCTCCAAATACGCTCTTCATTTTCAAGATTGTTTTATCCTGTTCTGGGTTCCTTATACCCCCATATAATTTTTTTTTTTTTTCAGACAGGGTCTGGTTCTATTGCCCAGGCTGGAGCGCAGTGGCACAATCTCGGCTCACTGCAACCTCTGCCTTCTGGGCTCAAGCAGTCCTCCCGCCTCAGCCTCCTGATGGCTGGAACTACAGGTGCACACCACCACACCAGATAATTTTTGTACTTTTGTAACTCCAATGCCTGCTCTTTCCACTGAGCTTTTGCTTTTAAAACTGAAATGCCAGGGAGTGGGTGGTATGTATTTGAAAAAGAATCCTAGTGTAAATTGGTGAATGGAAATTAGACTAGATAATTCTACTGGCAGTGAAATTGGATGATCACCTTAAAGTCTTCTTTGAAACTTTGGATGGATTTAATTAGTATTGCTAGAAGTAACTATTTGACAAGATTGGTTGGTCTCACTCTGTCATGTAGGCTGGAGTGCAGTGGCGTGATCACTGTTCTCTGTAGCCCCAACCTCTCGGGCTCAAGTAATTCTCCCACCTCAGCCTCCAGAGTAGCTGGGACAACAGGTACATGCCACCACACCTGGCTAATTTTTTATTTATTTTATTTTTTGAGACGGGGTCTTACCCAGCCTGTGCAGTGGCATCATCTTGGCTCACTGAAGCCTCCACCTGGGTTCAAGTGATCCTCCTGCCTCAGCCTCCCAAGTAGCTGGGACCACAGGCACGTGCCATCACAGCCGGCTAGTACATTCTATTTTTGGTAGAGACAGGGTTTTGCCATGATGCCCAGGCTGGTCTTGAACTCTTGAGCTCAAGCGATCCACCTGCCTTGGCCTCCCAAATAATTTCTTATTTATTGTGGCGATGGAGTCTTGCTGTTTTGCCCAGGCTGGTCTAAAAGTACTGGGCTCATGCAAACCTCCTGCCTTGGTTTCCCAAATTGTTGTGATTACAGCCATGAGCCACTGCACCTGGCTGACAATATAAGTTCTTAGAAAATTTTATACCTCTGGTAACATATAAGTAAATACTTGTGCTACCTTTTTAAAAATGAAGTGATAGAGTCAAAGACCTGCAAATCACATATTTAAAAATTTTTTTTTAAATGAGGTACAGTTTACAAACTGTAATGCACAGATCTTCAGTCAGACAAGTTTTAACAAATGCTTAGTAAATCCATGTAACTCACACTCCAAACAGTAGAACATATCTGTCGCCCCCTAAAAGTTTCCTGGTGCCTCTTTCCTGTCATCGCTCTCCAAAGGCCACCACTGTGCTTTGATTTCCATTACCAGATATTAGTTTTGCTGTCAAATGGTATATTCTGCATACCGGATATTAGTTTTGCTGTCAAATGGTATATTCTGCATAAAAGAAAAGCAAGTGTTAAACCATACTGCATAGTTACTCAATTTAACAAGCACAGCTGTTAAGGTGGAATCTATCCTCTCATATATTCCCAAAAACTTAAAACTCTTTTTTAAATTTTAGTTTTAGATTTGGGGGTGCATATGCAGGTTTGTTACAAGGGTAATTGCATGTTGCTGAGGTTTGGGCTTCTATTGATCCTGTCACCTAGATAATGAACATAGTACTGAGAGGTGACAGCGTGCTGGCAGCCCTCACAGCCCTCGCTGGCTCTCAGCACCTCCTCTGCCTGGGCTCCCACTTTGGCGGCACTTAAGGAGCTCTTCAGCCCGCTGCTGCACTGTGGGAGCCCCTTCCTGGGCTGGGCTGGCTGAGGCTGGAGCTGGCTCCCTCAGCTTGCGGGGAGGTGTGGAGGGAGAGGCGCTGGCGGGAACCGGGGCTGCGCACGGTGCTTGCGGGCCAGCACGAGTTCCGGGTGGGTGTGGGCTCGGCGGGCCCGCACTCGGAGCGGCCGGTGGGCCCTGCCGGCCCCGGGCAATGAGGGGCTTAGCACCTGGGCCAGCAGCTGCAGAAGGTGTGCTGGGTCCCCCAGCAGTGCCGGCCCACCGGCGCTGCGCTCAATTTCTCGCAGGGCCTTAGCTGCCTCCCTGAGCAGGGCAGGGCTCGGGACCTGCAGCCCGCCATGCCTGAGCCTCCCCCACCTTCCATGGGCTCCTGTGAGGCCCGAGCTCCCTGACGAGCACCACCCCCTGCTCCACAGCGCCCAGTCCCATCGACCACCCAAGGGCTGAGGAGTGCGGGCACAGGGCGCGGGACTGGCAGGCAGCTCCACTTGCAGCCCCGGTGCGGGATCCACTGGGTGAAGCCAGCTAGGCTCCTCACTGGTGGGCACTTGGAGAACCTTTATGGCTAGCTAAGGGATTGTAAATACACCAGTCGGCACTCTATCTGGCTCAAGGTTTGTAAACACACCAATCAGCACCCTGTGTCTAGCTCAGGGTTTGTGAATGCACCAATGGACACTGTATCTAGCTACTCTTGTGGGGACTTGGAGAACCTTTGTGTGGACACTCTGTATCTAGCTAATGTAGTGGGGACGTGGAGAACCTTTGTGTCTAGCTCAGGGATTGTAAATGCACCAATCAGCGCCCTGTCAAAACAGACCACTCCGCTCTCTGTAAAATGAACCAATCAGCAGGATGTGGGTGGGGCCAGATAAGAGAATAAAAGCAGGCTGCACGCGCCGGCAGTGGCAACCCGCTGGGGTTCCCTTGCAAAGCGTGGGAGCTTTGTTCCTTGGCTCTTTGCAATAAATCTTGCTGCTGCTCACTCTTTGGGTCCACACTGCCTTTATGAGCTGTAACACTCACTGCGAAGGTCTGCAGCTTCACTTCTGAAGCCAGCGAGACTACGGACACACTGGGAGGAACGAACAACTCCAGACGCGCCGCCTTAAAAGCTGTAACACTCATGGCGAAGGTCCGCAGCTTCACTCCTGAACCAGCGAGACCACGAACCCACCAGAAGGAAGAAACTCTGAACACATCCGAACATCAGAAGGAACAAACTCCGGACAGGCCGCCTTTAAGAACTGTAACACTCACCGCGAGGGTCCGCAGCTTTATTCTTGAAGTCAGAAAGACCAAGAACCCACCAATTCCGGACACAGTACCCAATAGGATGTTTTTCAGCCCTTGCCCCTTTCTCTCCCTCCCTTGACTTGGAGTCTCCAGTGTTTGTTGTTGCCATCTTTATGTCCATGAGTACCCGTTGTTTAAGCTCCCACTTATAAGTGAGAACATTCGGTGTTTGGTTTTCTGTTCCTATGTTAATTCACTTAGGATAATGTCCTCCAACTGCATCCATGTTGCTACAGAGGACGTGATTTTGTTCTTTTTTTATGGCTGTTTAGTATTTCGTGGTGTGTATGTACCACATTTTCTTTACCCAGTCTACTGTTGATGGGCACCTAGGTTGATTCCATGTCTTTGCTATTGTAAATAGTACTGTGATAAACATAGTGCGGGTGTCTTTTTGGCAGAATGATTTATTTTCCTTTGGGCATACACCCAGTAATGGGATTGCTGGGTCGAATGATCTTTCTGTTTTTAGTTGAGAAATCTCCAAACTGCTTTCCACAGTGGCTGAACTAATTCACATTCCTATAAAAAGAACTTTAACACTTGCAGAGTAGAGTTTTTAAAATGTTTAGTTATTTTTAATACCAATTCTGACCCCAGGGAAAGAAAATGGAGATGCACTTTACCTGAACTATGTTCTTTTGAAACTCTTCAGTGACATTTGGGAAAGCAAGTTTACAGCCCACATGCTGTGCCGCTTCAAGGACTTATTTTTGTGGTCTCCCTGAAGAAAATGACACTAGAGTAGAAGTGATTGAATGTGAAGTGTCAGGAGATTGCTCGCTCGTCCTTCGTTAAACCCCTGGTCCGGCTGTGTGCTGTGGATGCGGGTGTGTGTTGAGGGGACCTGCGTCTGCCGGGGCCGCACCCCCTCCCGCAGGACCTTGGCTGGCCGCGCGTTTCCTGCCTGTTTCCTGTCCAGCAGCTGGCGAGCTGGGGACCGGCAGGAAAGGATGCGCTGCCCAGAAGGGGCGGGAACCGACCACGCCCGGTCCCGTGTGCCCCCCGCCCTCCCGGCGCCCGCCCTCCCCACGCCGTCGGGGGCGGGCCCCGCGGGGCTGTGGGAGCCGAACGCCGCGGGGTCAGGGCGTGCAGTCTGGGACGCGGGATGCTTGGCGCTCTACCTCGCCGCCCCTGAGCCTTCCCGTCCGCCTCGCCACGCGCCCGGACGGCCTGGGGTTGCTGCCCGTCAGTCTCGAAAGGTAAGAAGCGCCCTCCGCATCCTGGTGTTCGCGCCCGTGCCGCGAGACTCTTGGAGGCTCCTCTGGGGTCGGGAAATGCCTCCGGACTCTGCCACCTCACCGCAGCCTGAAGGCGCAGGTGGACGGTGGCGGCCCCTCCCCACACCCGCCTCGGCCCCAGGGGACGCTTTTAAGGGGTATTGGTCTCCACACTTCGGAGTCCCGAATTTAAGTGAACCTGGCTCTGCCTTGGCTCAGATGTTGCCGAGTGACTGAGACTGGCCACAGAACCTTGAAAAATCGCGTCTTGAGCTACTGTTTCTTTCCAAAAAGAAATCCTTTCTGATATACAAAAAGTATGAAATACAAGGATTAAATTAAATTAAAGACGGTCCTCATTAAGGAGGGCTTTAAGCTGACGACGCGAGGGGTAGACTTCCAGGCGTGAACTGGGCTTGCGGGCATTTGGGAAGCTGAGTAGATGGGGCGAGCCAGGGCGTCCCAGGAACGCTGCACCCAACCTGTGGGACCAGGGCAGAGCAAACTCGAATGAACAGATAAATGAAGCCTGTTTACACGAGCTGCTTTAGAACTAGAGATTTCCTCCCAATAAATACTATTGGTATATATACACACAAGCATGTGCATGTTGGTCAGAAGGGACAAAATAACTGCTTCGTTTTCCATTTTATTCTTTCACGAATCATTGGTCCCATGGACATTAGTGTAATTCATTTACTTTTTCTGCAGCTATGAAGGGAGATTTAGAAGCGTTTGTCCTAGCTGGTTTCAGCAAAAACATGGGGTCTCAGGTTGGGTGATGCTGTTAGCCATTGAGAATATTCACAACTTTTCCCCACCTTCTCAGCTGATGCATTTAGAATTTGTCTCTAAAGTTTACATACAAGAATGCTAGGTAGAAGTATTTTCAAATGTGTATAAAATATATCTAAGTTCTTAATTTCTTAGAACAATTCTCAATGCAAACATTGTAAGAAGTCAGTCGAGGTATTGAGAACAACATGTTGAAAGAAAATAAGCAAGGTAGAAAGAAATTAAAGAGACATATTATGACTAATGTTATGATCATATTCCATATTATGATTGACAAGTAGGCTGGTCTGTTTTATAAGTCTTTTTCCATTCAGCTCTAAATATAGATTGTCTCACCATTCTATGTTTTACCGATCATTTTCATAAGAAAGAAAATGTGTTATAATCACTAAATCAGTAATGATTTGGGGCTTCAAAAATAAAAATGTTATTGTCGTGGAAGCAAACAAATCTGAGAGAAGCCAGTTCAACTTTTGGGAGCTTGCTTCTTCTTAGTTTGGTTACCAGGTCTCAGTGACTTAAAAGAAGCATTGTAATTGTCTTAAGTGCTCACACTTGCCCAAGTGATGTGATGTGTTCTGCAAGGATCTTACTGGCTGACTTTGCCCAGGTTTCCCAGTCCATGTTCGAGGAAAGAATTGGGTCAAGTCTGTGGCTAATTCCACCCAAAACAATTTTCTTCTTCTTTCCTTTCTTTTCTTTTTTTTGGGTGGGGGTGGCGGGGAAGAGGAAGGAGCCCTAATCTGCATAGTTACACTTCAAATCTCTGTTTCCCTTTCAGGAAGTACAGTATTTCCTTTGTTCAGCAGCTCTTGCTGAAAGAAAGCTAATAAGACACACCAGTTTCCCTTCCATTGAATTCTGGCTTATTTCAATCAGTCTTCTTAATTCCACTAATTTGTGCTCTTATCTGAAAAGATGTAACATGTATTTGGAATATAATATACTTGCTTATTAAAATGATTAACTGTGGGCTGGGTGTGGTGGCTCACGCCTGTAATCCCAGCACTTTGGGAGGCCATGGTGGGCAGATCACGAGGCCAGACATCTGAGACCAGCCTGGCCAAAGTGGTGAAACACCGTTTCTACTAAAAATACAAAAATTAGCCAAGCGTGGTGGTGCACACCTATAATCCCCGCTACTCAGAAGCCTGAGGTGGGACAATCACTTGAACCTGGGAGGTGGAGGTTGCAGTGAGCCAAGATCATGCCACTGCACTCCAGGCTAGGTGACAGAGCAAGACTCTGTCTAAAAAAAAAAAAAAAAAAAAAAAAAAAATGTGAATAATGGGGGGGACCTTAAACATTAAGAAAGTACATATTTGGTTATATTTAATATTAATACATAGTTTGCTAGACTCTAGTATGAAAGAACTGTCTTAAATGCCCAGTATCTTATTCTATAGTTGAATAGTCTATATAAAAATAAGTGCCTTTTCCAGCCGGGTGCGGTGGCTTACGCCTGTAATCCCAGCACTTTGGGAGGCTGAGATGGGCAGATCACGAGGTCAGGAGATCGAGATCCTGCCTAACACAATGAAACCCCGTTTCTACTAAAAATACCAAAAATTAGCTGGGCATGGTGGTGGGCGCCTGTAGTCCCAGCTACTCGGGAGGCTGAGGCAGGAGAATGGCGTGAACCCGGGAAGCGGAGCTTGCAGTGAGCCGAGATCTCGCCACTGTACTCCAGCCTAGGCGACAGAGTGAGACTCCATCTCTAAATAAATAAATAAAATAAAATAAGTGCTTCTTCCAACAAATAACTGAACCACAGGCCAGCAAGGTCTTCCCTGCCCTCTTAGGTAGACTGGGAAGATTGCTGTGTGAACCACCGATCTCGTGATGCATACCAGCAGCAACAAGTATTGCAGGACTGATGAAGATGATTGTTATTTGTCTGTTTTCTCCTTAGGCTGCCCTAAACAAGGGAAGTCAGGGCCACATGGAGTTCATATTTAATTGTAGTATTCTGGGGTATCTTTTTTTTAAAAAAGCTTTGATCACTTGGATGTAGCTCCTAGGAATTGATAAATGAAGCAATCCTGGTAACACACCAATTGTGCAAGGAAATGTTAGCCCATTTGTGGACGCCAGGCAGGGAGCATTTGGGTATACACAGCACAATGCTAAATTAAAGTTTAGCAGAAATTTAGTAAATTGATCAGTGTGAAATGCCAAGCAGATAAATAATGTGAAAATGTATCCAAATTGGCTATTAACTTTGATAAAATTAAGCAAATAACAATAAACTCTCCACGTCAGGATGTGCTGTAAAGAGAAGAGACTTTGGTGTTGTGCAAAGATAATTTTAGTGGGTGTTGGGCATACCTGCATATTCTTGACCTGTGAGTTATAATGGAATGAAAAAGGCTTGTATAATTATAAGTCATTGCCCCAGGGAAAATTAGTGTCCTCTCTAGTTTCCTTTCAATATCACTTAGAAAGTTTGAGTTTTAGAATGGTTTTGTCATTTAATGATTACTATTTTATCAATCACATTGAACGGAGCCATCATTTTTTGAGGTTCTAATTTCAGGTGTTTTTGGGGAAAAAAATCACAATCTGGACGTGAGAAAGGACATGAGGAGACTAAAGACCTGGGATTTTGTCAATCAGAATGAAACCAATGTTGAAAGACTTTTCAAATCTATTGTTGGTGGTACTCTGTGACTATGGTGAGTATTGTGAGTATACTTAACGCTACTGGTAGCAATAAGACATAAAGATGACATTATAAATGCATTGATGTTGATGACTCTTCCTGAAGGAGGCAGGGTAGGGTATATAGTGCAGTGCTTTCTCAACTGTGACCCTTGCAACCCTGGGTTCTCTTATGCTTCAGTGATTCTGCATGATTGATTCGTATTTCATTTTATATTTTTAACTCTTAAAAAAATAAAAAAACCAACTCTCTCAAATTTTAACAAATTGGAGGCAAGCATGTTACCTTGAGTTCTCTTTGATTTCCCAGTAATTAAGTGTGATAAATCACTTCATACACACATGCAATGATGTTGTGTATATTAGGGTTCTACATAAGATTTCACTTGACCGAGTTTTGGTGCTAACATACATTTGGACCCAATCTGAATTTCAATCCTTGAAAGTTGCGTGCTCTTAGAAAAGTTTCTTAATCTCTTTCAATCTCAGCAATAATATTGACTTTACAGGGTTGTTATGATAATATCAAGAGTGCAAAACACCCTGAATGAGCAAATAGTAGGTGCTTAAAGTCTGTTCTCGTCATTCGTTTCACCTAAAAATTGAGTTCATTTCTCAGAGAGCTTTATACAACTACTGAACAATAGAGTCAACAATATGATATAATCTTCACTACTTTTGATGATTTCCAAATATTTCATAGACATCTAAGCAGTTGATTGCATGGCAGTGGAAGTTGTTTTTGAATTTGGTAAAGAAATTGTGATCCAAGATATAGAGGACACTGGCTTGTGTAATGTGAATGGCATAGCTGGTTAAATGGACCAGAGCCTGTGCTGTTCATTTCATTCAGTAGACCTCCTTTCTCAGTCTTTTCTTTTTTAAGAAGTTTATTTATACAAGAAGACACCGGATTTAAGGAAAGCCAGTGTGGGATTCATTTATTTTAAAGTAATTTGGCCGGGCGCGGTGGCTCATGCCTGTAATCCCAGCACTTTGGGAGGCCGGGGTGGGCGGATCACCAGGTCAGGAGACCAAGACCATCCTGGCTAACATAGTGAAACCCCATCTCTACTAAAAATACAAAAAAATTAGCCGGATGTGGTGGCAGGTGCCTGTAGTCCCAGCTACCCGGAAGGCTAAGGCAGGGAATGGCGTGAACCCGGGAGGCAGAGCTTGCAGTGAGCCGAGATCGCACCACTGCACTCTAGCCTGGGTGACAGAGCGAGACTCTGTCTCAAAAAAAAAAAAGTAATTTATCCCTTCTTAAAAACCGATTACTCTGGCTGGATGCAGTGGCTCACGCCTGTAATCCCAGCACTTTGGGAAGCCGAGGCGGGCAGATCACGAGGTCAAGAGATTGAGACCATCCTGGCCAACATGGTGAAACCCCGTTTCTACTAAAAATACAAAAATTAGCTGGATGTGGTGAGACGCACTTGTAATCTCAGCTACTTGGGAGGCTGAGGCAGGAGAATCACTTGAACCCGGGAGGCGGAGGTTGTGGTGAGCCGAGATCATGCCACTGCACTCCAGCCTGGGCAACAAGAGCAAAAGTCCGTCTCAAAAACAAACAAACAAAAAAACAAAAACAAAAAAACACAGATTACTCTACATGTAACAGCCTTCTACAAAAAAGTATGTGTTCTTGGTTTCATAATGATAAATAAAGCATCGAAATTCTCCATTTAAACAAATTATACAAGGGTGTTTGTTGTTAATAGCAAAATTTCTTACTGGAATATGAAAATGAAAGTTGAATGAGCATAAAAAAAGAGCATAGAGGTTGAGTGCACAAGCCACTGATAAAAAAAGTAGGTATTGTCGTAGATCTGTTTTACCCTGCTTTATCTCTACTTAATACTGATCAAAATTTAGCATTACCTGTATATTACAGTAGTCAGGATGTGGTAGAACCAAATTGTAGTTTTTTGTTTGTTTGTTTGTTTGTTTTTTTGAGATGGAGTCTCGCTGTTGTCGGCCCGGGTTGGAGTGCAATGGTGCAATCTCGGCTTACTGCACCCTCCACTTCCCGGGTTCCAGCAATTCTCCTGCCTCAGCCTCCTGAGTAGCTGAGATTACAGGCGCCCATCACCATGCCCAGCTAATTTTTGTATTTTTAGTAGATTCAGGGTTTCACCATGTTGGCCAGGCCAGTCTTGAACTCCTGACCTCAGGTGATCCACCCATCTCGGCCTCCCAAAGTGCTGAGATTACAGGTGTGAGCCACCGTGCCTGGCCCAAATTGTAGTTTTCTAACAGGAGCTCTAAAGTAGCAAATTCTCCCTCTAGTACATACCTCCTATCTGCTGCTGCTGGAACTCATCAATTGCATCTTTGTTTTCCATTTCCAACGGGGCATGTGTGTCTTTTTCATTGACTGGCTCCCATCAATCAGAATCTGATCTGCTTCACTGACAATCCCTGTCATACACAAGAGACTGCTTTTTTTTTTTTTTTAAGCCAGTCAAATTTAGTAGTTGGGGGTCATATACCAACTTTGGTGACACTAATGTTAATAAGTTCTGATAACCTGCTACCATCGGACCAGCCTGCAATAGACTTTCATTAGTTAACTAAGTGGTGTATGCCTCTTATTCTTAAATGGACCACAGAACCATCCTGCCCCCTTCAGATCCAAATTAGTATGACTTTGTTCTCAGTCTTAAGCACTTGCTTGGGCTGTGGTAAGTGCTGGGGTCTCTTTACACAGTAGTTCAAGAAAGGTACCAGGTTGGGTCTGATCCAGTACACAAGCTGCACCAGAATCAGCCACCTTCCTCAACTTTGAGTCATCTCCAAACAAAAGGGAATATCCCTCAACTTGTTTTTGCTTAATTGGAGAAAAAAAGAACTTTATCCTATTATGGTTTTCAAACAAGTGATAATCAAGCATTCAAGTCATCCAAGTTTTATGTCTTTTATTTCACCTCATCTCAAATGAGAACTAGGTGAAATGCTGTGCTAATTAAAAACTCCTCTGTGTGCCAAGGTATTCATGTGCTGATTCTAATAATCATTGATTGCATATATATAAGGGTATTTTAAAGACTGCAACCCCAAACAAAAAAACACATGGGCCCCTTTGGACATATATATTCATGAGGCATATATAATAAGAATAATAAATTCATACTTCCACAAGTTGTTTTTCAAACCTAAAGGGAACTTCAATCCCTTACATCTAGAACTGTTTCTTACCCTAGCCACGGGCCAGCTGACTGTTGTATTGCCAAATTCTGCCTCCTTTGATATATATTTGGATGGGATTCAAAATAGAAACAAGGATTCTTGTGTGTCTATTCTTTGCACTTTTCACTTAGGCTGCTCTGCTGGGTCTCTTTTTAAAAGATATGATTGATCCTTACAGAATGATACTTGAGAAGTAGTAGTCATCTGTCCTATTTAGGCAAATAAAAGTTGCTGTAATGTCATTAAATTGCCAAGGACAAGCCTAGTTATTTCAGAAATGTTCACCCTATCCCTTCGGTTATCCATGCAGCATAAAGTGTCAACATTTCTTATCCATCTAAATATGTCTGCCTCATACAAACTGAGGACACTGATTCCTTTATTGGTAAAAATTCCCCAGTGCTTGTCTTGAATATCAGTAAATAATAACTTTGAAATAAATTTAGGGTCTTACATTTAAAATAATCCAGAACAATTTGTATTGTGTCATTTAAATCAAGCTTTCTCTTCACTGTATATCCATTTTCCCCAAATATCTAAACACCAGAATCTTTGATTAACAATATGAGATACTGGGTTTTTAATCCTAAAAATTATTATTCTGGCTGTATAGATTTTCATTGCAGATATATCACATTGTTGAATGTTGTGAATTCAGAGTATTTACCACTAATTATTTTAAACCTAACTATGAAAGATGAAGAAGGAACAGAACCACTTCCATGGAAAGAGCACAATGGCCAGCTTCCAGGATCTGTGCTCAGTATCATTTTACATCATCCCTGGCTCAGTTCTAACTTCTCTTGTCTAAAATGCTGTTTTCTGCTGGGTGCAGTGGCTCATGTCTATAATCTTAGCAGTTTGAGAGTCTGAGGTGGAAGGATTGCTTGAGCCCAAGAGTTTGAAACCAGTCTCTACAAAAAGAAAATTAGCTGGGTGTGGTGGCATGTGCCTGTAGTCCCAGCTATTCGTGAGGGCGAGGTGGGAGATCGCTTGAGCCCAAGATGTTAGGGGTACAGCGAGCAGTGATTGCGCCACTGCACTCTAGCCTCGGTGACAGCATGAGACCCTGTCTCAAAAAAAAATTTAAAAATTCTGTTTTCATCAATGTCACTAATAGTTCTTCTCAAATGCACCTTTTAAAAACCAATTCTGACCACTTCATTTCAGTTCTTGGAGAAGCTGAATATCTTCTCTTGAGAGAGCCAGGCCATGTAGCACTAAGCAACGACACAGTGTATGTGGATTTCCAGTATTTTGATGGTGCTAATGGGACACTGAGGAATGTATCTGTCCTGCTGTTGGAGGCCAACACCAATCAGACTGTAACTACCAAGTACCTCCTGACCAACCAGTCCCAGGGAACACTAAAGTTTGAGTGCTTCTATTTCAAGGAGGCTGGTGACTACTGGTTCACAATGACTCCAGAAGCAACAGACAACAGCACTCCATTCCCCTGGTGGGAGAAAAGTGCCTTTCTGAAGGTGGAATGGCCTGTCTTTCACGTTGACTTGAATAGGAGTGCCAAGGCAGCAGAAGGCACCTTCCAAGTGGGCCTATTTACCAGTCAACCACTGTGCCCGTTTCCTGTGGACAAGCCCAACATCGTAGTGGATGTCATCTTCACCAACAGTCTTCCTGAGGCAAGAAGAAATTCAAGACAGCCGCTGGAAATAAGAACCAGCAAAAGGACAGAACTTGCTCAAGGTCAGTGGGTTGAGTTTGGCTGTGCACCCTTGGGGCCAGAAGCCTATGTCACCGTGGTGCTGAAGCTGCTTGGGCGAGACTCAGTCATTACCTCCACAGGACCCATTGACCTGGCCCAGAAATTTGGATACAAACTGGTGATGGTGCCAGAACTCACATGTGAGTCCGGGGTAGAGGTGACAGTGCTGCCTCCACCATGCACCTTCGTCCAAGGAGTGGTCACTGTCTTCAAGGAGGCCCCCAGATACCCTGGGAAGAGGACCATTCACTTGGCTGAAAACAGCCTGCCCCTGGGAGAGAGGAGGACAATTTTTAACTGTACTTTGTTTGACATGGGGAAGAATAAGTACTGCTTTGACTTTGGCATTTCAAGCAGAAGCCATTTTTCTGCAAAGGAGGAGTGCATGCTAATTCAGAGAAATACAGGTTTGTATTGAGATTTTTTTAACATTTTAAATCAAATCCTTCATGTAATCAAAATTATTTAGAATTTAGGTGAAATTTAGGTGAATTGTACCATCATTTTTATGGTTCATGCCTTATAATGTACCAATTGGCATTATCACCCTTAGCTGAAAAATTAAGAGTACTGGTAAACCTACTTAACCTCTTTACATCTCATTTCCCCATCAGTAAAATAGGGGCAATACAAGTACATACTTCAGAGTCGTGGAGATTGAACGAAATCAACATGTAACACTCTCAGGATAGTGCCTGGCATTTAGGAAGTGCTGAATAAACATTATATTAGATTTTTAAAATCCCATTATTAAATCATATGGTAAGTTAATGGCAGAGATTATTGGAATTCAAAGCCAAATCCCAAATTAGCAACTTCTGTCCTCCTCTAGCTGAGCATGTCTCTTCTCTTAAGTCATTCATTATAGGAATGGGGCCTTTTTAGTGAGAAATCAAAGCAAGAGTTCTAAAAATGTATTGGGATTCTGTATTCTTTATGTAATGCCCCACCTAATCATGAAGAAACAGGGTTATGACAATTCCATTAATTCCCTATGCTGCTCTTTGCATTTCTTTCCCTTTTCTTGGGGGAAAGTCTGGTCTTATTAAGTAGTTTAATTTGGCAGAAATGGTCTCGTTCGTTTTTTATCTTTGTTTTGTTTTGTTTTGTTTTGAGACAGAGTCTCGCTCTGTCGCCCAGACTGGATGGAGTGCAGTGGCGCGATCTCGGCTCACTGCAAGCTCTGCCTCCCGGGTTCATGCCATTCTCCTGCCTCAGCCTTCTGAGTAGCTGGGACTACAGGCGCCCACCACCATGCCCGGCTAATTTTTGTATTTTTAGTAGAGACGGGGTTTCACTGTGTTAGCCAGGATGGTCTCGATCTCCTGACCTTGTGATCCACATGCCTCGGCCTCCCAAAGTGCTGGGATTACAGGCATGAGCCACTGCGCCCAGCCTGCTTTTTATCTTTATCCCTGGTAAGCCCAGTGTCCCCTGACTACACAAGCCTGACTTTGTAACCCCCAGTGTTCCTTGCTGCAAATTTACCCACTTCCTCTCCTTAAGTCCCTTTCCTTTGGCTTTCTCCTCCGCCACTGGCCACTTCCCTCCTTGCACTTCCTTTTCTATCCAGCTTAGATTCCATGGTTCATCCCTTTAACCACCCTCCTGCCAATATCCTAAACTCCTTAGCTTCGTCCTTTTGATACGCCTGCCAGGACACACCCCAGCTCTGCCTGTATCCAGCCATCTGCCAGCCACCCACTGCACCCAAGTTGCTAAGGCTGAGTGACAAGGTTACATCATGGTGGCCTGATGCCACCGTGGGTGGATCATGCTTTCACCCTTGGCAGGGCCTGCATGCTGCTCAGCATGTCACCCAGGCCAGGTCTTGCTCCTGTTCTACACAACAAATGAGGTACAGGACTCCAAATCCAGGCACACTTCACCCAGTGTCTTCATTGACCTTGATTCTGTGACACCACACTCGCCCTGCTCACCTCCCACCTCCCTGCTTGCTTCTTCACAGTCTCCTTGGCCCACCAGTTCCACTGCCTATCTCCGTTAAGTGCTGGTTGTCTTCTCATTTACTCTTCACACACTTGCCAGGTGATTAGCCTTGATGCTGATGGCTCCAGATGGACGTCTCTTCCCTGCTCGTTCCCTGCCTCCAGGTGCTGCATCCCTCAGATGTCTCCCTGGCACCTCAGAAGCAGCATTTCTGGACTAAGACTCATCCTTGTACCCCCTAACACTGCTTCTCAGTGTAGGACTTCACCAACCATCTTACTGTTCAAACCAGAAGCCAGAAGTCTTCCTCTTCTTTACCTCCTATAAATGCTACATTACTGAGTCCTATGGCTTTGTCTCCTGAGTGTCTCAATCTCTCCACTTCTCCCCAGTTCCAGTGACACCACTTGGGTTAAATCTCCGTTACCCCTTGCCTAGACTCAGAACAGATTCCTAATTGGTTTCCATCTGTCCACTTCTTTCTCTCACTGCAGCCAAAGGGATTGTTTAAAATTCAGGTCAGCTGAGGCTATTCTCCTTCTTAAAACCTGTCATTTCACTAGGCATGAGGATGCAAATCCATAAAACCTTCCAAGGTCAGGCTGCCCCCACATCCCTGCAGTCACCATCTCTGCACTGGGGCCCAGGACACCCTCCTCTCTCCTTCTCCTGGCTAACATTAACCCATCCTTCAAGTCTCCACTTGGGTTACTCTTCCATGACCTCAGGTTCAGTTCCTCTCCTGGAAGCTGGGGCAGCATCTTTTCGTTCCTCTTTGATGGCATTTATCACTTCTGCCATTGCTTGTTTAATATCTTTCTCCCCCTATAAATCCCCTCTGCACAGCAGATGGGGGAAGCTCATTTGGTGGCAAAACCTGACTCGTGCTGCTATGAAGCTTTTTATGGTCTTTATTTGGCCCACTTAGTATGCCTGGCACATTCAGAGGTGCTCAATGCATGCTTATTAAGTGAAAACTGAACTCAGATTTGGCTAGTCTCAACTAGGTATTAGGAGAAAAACAATTAGGTTGAAAGAATTTACTCATCTAAGATATTCTTTTTTTTTTTTTTTTCTGGGACAGTCTTGCTCTGTTGCCCAGGCTGGAGTGCAGTGGCACAATCTTGGCTCACTGCAAACTCCACCTCCCAGGTTCAAGTGATTCTCCTGCCTCAGCCTCCTGAGTAGCTGGGATTATAGATGCGCCCCACCATGCCTGGCTAAATTTTGTATTTTTAGTAGAGACGGGGTTTTGCCATGTTGGCCAGGCTGGTCTTGAACTCCTGTCCTCAGGTGATCCACCTGCCTCGGCCTCCCAAAGTGCTGGGATTACAGGCATGAGCCACCGTGCCTGGCCCAATATTCTTGCCTTTTCAAAAGAAAATATTCATGGGGAAAAAAAACTGACTGAACTTAGCAAAAATGAATCAAAGGAAGTCAATAAATTGGGGCCATTTAATTAAGGTCACATGGGGGCAGGAGGGCCACCTTGGTGGTTTTCCCAGCTGCTGGGCTTTCCACAGATGCTTCCATTCCATGTCTAAAGGCTGGAGTTTTTCCCACACCAGCAGCAGCAGGAAGACGCTGGAAAAGGGCAGAACGGGAGTGGTTCTCTGTGTGTCTAGGTGGAGGGTAGTCAGGGGCTCCCTGTGGGGCTGCCCCATGCAGCCAACTGCGAGACACATTAGAACAATAGGGCTGGGGGCAGTAACTGGGGGAGCTAAACATGCCTGGAGACCCTGGCTCTTGGTGTGGCAGACCATCTCTGACTCTGTTGGTCTGAGAAATGAAATTTATGCTTGAGACAGGAACCTCAGTGACTTCCTGTGTTTTTAGTATAAAATTTATGACTGAACTGGGTTCTCCTTTTATTTTCTATCTCTGACCAGTAAAGAGTGTCTTTTTTGCCAAATGGTACCATTTAGGGACTCACCATAACTTGTGTAAGCCACTGACTCACACTGAATTTATTAGTTCCTTTTGAAACTAGAATAATAGTTTTTTGTTTGTTTGTTTTTGTTTTTTGTTTTTGAGATGGAGTCTCGCTCTGTCGCCCAGGATGTAGTGCAGTGGTGCGATCTGGGCTCACTGCACCTGCCACCTCCCGGGTTCTAGCAATTCTCCTGCCTCAGCCTCCCAAGTAGCTGGGAGTACAGGCATGCACTGCCATGCCCGGCTAATTTTTGTATTTTTAGTAGAGACGGGGTTTCACCATGTTGGTCAGGATGGTCTTGATTTCTGTGTTTTTATGTTTGTCTCTTCTTCCAAATATGTCTGAGGATCTTAGGATAATATGTAAATAACAATTGATAGCAAATACATAATGGATTTGCCAAAAATGACTATTTATAATCTTTATTCCACTTAATGGGATAAATATTTACACAGTGATTACTTTGCATCAGGCACTGTTCTAACTGTTTTATGGATATTAACCCATATAGTCCTCATAACAAGTTTATGAGTTCAACTCATTTCATTACATTGTCAATTTTATAGGTGATGAAATGGAGGCACAGAAAGGTTAGTAATTTGTCCAAGGTCAATGGTGTTTAAATAGAAGGGTCAGAACACAAATCCAGGTAGACTAGCTTGGGAGTTTAATTTGACCACTATTCTGTAACTGCCTTCTATGCAATTGACTGTCAATCCATGTATTAAACAGTACAAAGCTTTTAGATTGAAAAAAAAAAGGCTCTGTTTTTTCCTCCTTAACTTACTGTTTCATTTTGTGCCACCCATCTCTTGGAACACCCGTAACCACTTGGGAGCCCACAGGCC
This sequence comes from Homo sapiens, assembly GCF_000001405.40. NCBI lineage: Eukaryota > Metazoa > Chordata > Mammalia > Primates > Hominidae > Homo > Homo sapiens. The sequence continues at coordinate 52,392,907 of NC_000013.11, read as the reverse complement.
CAAGCATAAGTATGATTTGTTCAATATAAGGAAGCCTTGTCTATGCAAAGAAAATCTGAACTGCTTATCCCAGGTGCTACTGCTCTTCCTACTGCTTATAGCTACTCCCTTATGTCTATAGAATTTTCTTATAATCGTGATTTGTTTAGTTACCTTGGTTTCTTGAACAAAATGCCTTGCAGATGTGAATATTTCAAAGCTGTATTCCTTCAGATAGCTTTATGGGTAGAAACAAACCTCCCTTTTCACATTTAAGGCATATTTTGCTTATTCAAAATTAAAACCCTCTATAATAGGCTGAAAGGCATTTAGCCTGGACAAACAGGTTTGTTATGTAGTGTGAGCACATGTATGGATGTCTAAACAAGACAAAACAAAACAGCTTTTCATTCGTGAAGTAGGACTATTTGGAGTATTGGTCATTTTGCTCTTCATTTCTAACATATGAACTACAGTTATCTAATGAGTTCCCATTTTGCCAAGTATTTTCCTCAGAGTTATTAGCGGAGATCTCAGGGATCAGATGGAGTTACTTAAGACATTTACAAATATTTGCCTACTTAAATTTGATCATTGCTTTGAGTGATTTCCTGTGTTTACTGTTTGATTAATTTGATTTAGAAATGGAGACATAAAAGCTTAGCTTAAATGTTCATTTTGTTTTATTGTGTGGTATCCTACATGCTATGATTTTACTTTTTTTTTTTTTTTTTTTTTGAGAGGAGTCTCACTCTCTCCCCCAGGCTGGAGCGCAGTGGCGCGATCTCGGCTCACCGCAAGCTCCGTCTCCTGGGTTAACGCCATTCTCCTGCCTCAGCCTCCTGAGTAGCTGGGACTACAGGCGCCCGCCACCACGCCCGGCTAATTTTTTGTATTTTTAGTAGAGATGGGGTTTCACCGTGTTAGCCAGGATGGTCTCGAACTCCTGACCTTGTGATCCGCCTGCCTCGGACTCCCAAAGTCCTGGGATTACAGGCATGAGCCACCGTGCCTGGCCTATGATTTTACTTTCAAGGGAAAAGAACACAACATTTCAAAATGAGATTTTTTTGACATTAAGATTTTTGCCGGCTGCGGTGGCTCACGCCTGTAATCCCAGCACTTTGAGAGGCCGAGGTGGGTGAATCACTTGGTCAGGAGATTGAGGACCATCCTGGCCAACATAGTGAAACCTCATCACTACCAAATATACAAAAATTAGCCGGGCATGGTGGCACGTGCCTGTAGTCCCAGCTACTCAGGAGCCTGAGGCAAGGGAATTGCTTGAACCTGGGAAGCAGAGGTTGCAGTGAGCCAAGATTGCACCACTGCACTCCAGCCTGGGCTACAGAGCAAGACTCCATCTAAAAAATATATATATATATGTAAAATTATATATATATATACTTCTGGCAGGTATGGTGGCACACCCCTGTAAATCTCAGCACTCTGGGAGGCCAAGGCAGATGGATCACTTGAGCTCAGGAGTTTGAGACCAGCCTGGGCAACATAGCAAAAACCCATCTCTACAGAAAATGCAAAAATTAGCCAAGGATAGTGCCATGCACCTGTAGTACCAGCTACTCGGGAGGCTGAGGTAGGAGGATCACCTGAGCAGGGGGAAGTTGAGGCTTCAGTAAGGCACGATCACACCACTGCACTCCAGCCTTGGCAGCAGAGTGAGACATTGTCTCAAAAAAAAAAAAAATTTATTCTAAGTCCCCTGTCTATCATTACCCATCCAACCCCAAGATCTATCAGATCCTGCCAACACTAGCCACCAAAACATACTCTGCATAAAACACTCTCTCCATTCTTTATGGATGAAAACTTCTAATGCAGCCAAAGGTACACAAAGCACTACAAAACATAAAGAAAACGTGTAGGGCAGATGCATTCTCAGGTGAGCCAAGTGGTGCAATCTTTGGAGTGAGTAATGGAATATGAGTTCCATTATTTATATATACATATAATTTTTTAATCTAACAAATATACTTTTTTAAATCAAAACTGATTTTTTTTCTGATCCTCACTAGTGGAATTTTTATTTTTAGTTTGACAAATGACTTTATGCACTTAAATAAATTATATAAAGCAAAAGAGTTCAGAAGGAACAACAAAAGATTCTTAGCATGTGTAATTCTACCTTTTGTGGTCCTAAATATGAGCATGGAGAAGGATAAACTATATATTGACTTAATTTTTAATTCAGATTTTACAGTAGTCGGATTTCCAGTAGATTTTCCCAAAATAAATCACAATACTATAACTCAGAGAGACTTTAATAGGAGATTCTCAAAGCTTTTCAAGCAGAGGGGCTTAGTATGGGAACATCTCTGAAGCTTTGAAGACAAAGCCAGCTCATTGTTATGCTGTATGAGGAGCTCCAGTGTGATCTTGGAGGCACAGAACCAATATTGTGTTCACTTGGACCTCTAGATGGAACATAATTAGCACATCTCAGTTGATGTTGGTCCAGGATACTGGTTTGTAGTCCTCCCACTCTTGTGAAAATCCTTTTAATTGCTGTAAAGAACTCATATTCCATTACTCACTCCAAAGATTGCACCACTTGGCTCACCTGAGAATGCATCTGCCCTACACGTTTTATGTTTTGTAGTGCTTTGTATACCTTTGGCTGCATTAGAAGTTTCTGTCCATAAAGGATGAAGAGAGTGTTTTATGCAGAGTGTGTTTTGGTGGCCAGTGTTGGCAAGATCTGATAGGTCTTGGGGTTGGATGGGTACTGATAGACAGAATTATTAAAATAATTCTTTTTTTTTTTTTTGAGACAATGTCTCACTCTGCTGCCAAGGCTGGAGTACAGTGGTGTGATCGTGGCTTACTGAAGCCTCGACTTCCCCTGGCTCAGGTGATCCTCCTACCTCAGTCTCCCGAGTAGCTGGTACTACAGGTGCATGGCACTATCCCTGGCTAATTTTTGCATTTTTTGTAGAGATGGGTTTTTGCTATGTTGCCCAGGCTGGTCTCAAACTCCTGAGCTCAAGTGATCCACCTGCCTTGGCCTCCCAGAGTGCTGGTATTTACAGGAGCGCACCACCATGACTACCAGAATAATTATTTATAGGGAAATTACTCATTTGTTCTGTCTGGCAGTGATTACGTATCTGCTTGGATGAGAAATTCACATTTATCAATCAATAATGGCTGGGAGAGTTTTGTGTGTATTTTGAAGCTCCGGTGTTAGGTACATCCTCATTTAGGATTAAGGTTCCTTGCTGAATTGACCCTTTTATCACTATATAATGTTGCTCTTTATCCCTGGTAATATCCCTGGTTCTGCAGTCTATTTTGTTTGATATTAATGTAGTTACTCTAGTTTTCTTTTGATTAGTGTTCATAAGGCATATCTTCCGTTTTTTTACTTTTAACATATATATGTCTATACGTAAAGTGGGCTTTAAAAAAAATAGTTGGATTGTGCTTTTTTATCTAATCTGACAATCTATGTCTTTTAACTTAGTGTTTAGATTATTTAGTTTTATCATTATATGGTTGGATTTATTTTGCTGGATTTATATTTGTTACATCCATTCTGTTTTTTCATCTTTTTTTCTGCCTTATTTTAGATTAATTGAATATTTTAATGGTTTACTTTAACTACACTATTGGTTTATTATTTATACCTTAAAAATGTATTTAGTGGGCTGGGCGCCATGGCTCACACCTGTAATCCCAGCATTTTGGGAGGCCGAGGAGGGCAGATCACTTGAGATCAGGAGTTCAAGACCAGTCTGACCAACATGGTGAAACCCCGTCTCTACTAAAAATTCAAAAAACTTAGCTGGGCATCGTGATACACACCTGTAATCCCAGCTACTTGGGAGGCTGAGGCATGAGAATCGCTTGAACCTGGGAGGTGGAGGTTGCAGTGAGCCGAGATCACGCCATTGCACTCCAGCCTGGGCGACAGAGCAAGATCTGTCTCAAAAAAAAAAAAAGTGTTATTTAGTGGTTGTCCTAGAGTTTATAATATATATGTTTACTCTCAGTCTACCTCCAGGTATTATATTGCTTCACATGTAGTATAAGGACTTTTGAACAATACACTCCCAATTCACTCCTCCCATTCTTTGTGTGATCGTTGTCATAATTTTACTTTATATATGCTATTAAACACTTAATACGGCCAGTTGTGGTGGCTTATGCCTGTAATCCCAGCACTTTGGGAGGCCGAGGTGGGCAGATCACCTGAGGTTGGGAGTTCAAGACCAGCCTGACCAACATGGAGAAACCCCGTTTCTACTAAAAATACCATAAGTTAGCTGGATGTGGTGGCGCATGCCTGTAATTCCAGCTACTCGGGAGGCTGAGGTAGGAGAATCGCTTGAACCCAGGCGGGTGGAGGTTGCGGTGAGCTGAGATCGCACCATTGCACTCCATCCTGGGCAACAAGAGTGAAACTCTGTCTCAAAAACAAAAACAAAACAAATAATACATTGCCGCTATTTTGTTTTAGGCTATCAGTGATATTTTAGAGCATTTAAAAATGAGAAAAATGATTTTTACCTTTATATATACCATTGCTGGCACTCTTCATTTCTTTATATAAATGCAGATTTTTGTCTGGTAACATTTTCTTTCTGCCCAAAGGATTTCTTTGAACATTTCTTGTATTGAAGGACTGCTAGTAATACATGCATGATCTCCATTTTTGTTTTTCTGAAAAAGTCTTTATTTCTCCTTTATTTTTGAAATATATATATACATATATATTTTTTTTTTTACTGGGGTGGTAGCTTTTTCTTTCAGTACTTTAGAGATGACATTCTCTTATCTTCTGGCTTGGATAATTTTGTCAAGAAGTCAGCTGTAATTCTTATTGTCATTCTTCTCTGGTGGTATATTCTCCCACCCTTCAGCCACAGCCTTCAAACTTTTTGGTTTGGTTTTGGTTTTCAGCAGTTTGGGTACAGTATTGCTTTTTCTATTTATCCTGCATGGTGTTTTCTGAGCATCTTGGATATGTGGTTTGGAGTCTTTCATTAACTTTGGAGAGTTCTTGGACTTATTTATTGTGTCCTACTCTATCTTCTTCTCCTGGTATTCCAATTACATGTATGGGAGTCTGATATTGCCCCACAGCTCTTAGGTCTTCTATTCTGTTTTATGTACTCTTTTTTTCCTCTTTGTGTTTTTTAGTTTGGGACATTTCTATTTACTTGTATTCACATTTACTGTTTCTTTCCTCAGCTGTGTGTCAAGTCTATTGATGAGCCTTCTTCATCTGTGTTACCATATTTTAAAATTCTAATATTTCCATTTGACTTTTTAGTTTCTAACAGTCTGATGAAATTTTCCATCTGTTTATGCATCTTGTTCACCTTTTCCACTAAAGTTTTTGGCATATTTATCGTAGCTATTTTACATTCTCTCTCTGAGAGTTTTAATATCTGGGTCAGCTCTGAGTCTGGTTATCTTGATTACTTTGTCTCTTAATAGTTTTATGGTTTTTTTCCTTGCTTTTTGTGCCTAATAATTTTGAGTTGAAAGCTGGACACCTTGTTTGAAACTATAGACATGGAGGTATTTATGCCTGGAAATGGTCATACCTCTGTTTTTGCTAGGCCTTTAGTTTGGGTATTGGGTTAATATAGTAAAGAATTGAGCTATGTTTGGGTTTTTACCATTGTTATGGCTACCCTCAGTGCTTATCACATTTGACATTTTTTGAGTGTTATTTTGTGTTTAGGGAAGGCATTGCATGACTATAGGGGTTTCCTCCATGCTTCTGTCCCACCCTCAGCTTTAGGTGTGAGCCTGCACATCAGAGAGGCTTTCATCTTTTGCTATGCCTCTTCCCCAGAAGTAGACTGTTGTTATTTGATATTTGGCACTTGCTAGCCTGGAGTAGAGGGAGGGCATTCCCTTGTACTAGTTCAGCCTCAGTCTTAGGCAAGTGCTGTGTTCCTAAGTTTCAGGAATGGGACCTTCTTGATGATCCTGCGCCTCCCCAGTGGTAGATGATCTCTAATAGTCTGGGTCCAGGATATTTTTGGCTCTTCCCCAAGGGTGAAGGAGTTTCTTTTTCCATTCTCTAGAAGCAGTTGATATCAACTGGTGCTCTTAGGATAATAGGGTTTGAGGCCTTTCCCCAAGTGGTTGAAGCTTTTATTCAGTAGAGGAAATGGAGAGAGGACAGGTGAGGTTCTGTGTCTTTTCCACAGTGCTGCCCCTTCCCTCCTTGGGCCTCCACCATGAGGGAGGCTTTGTCTGGTCTTGCATCTGCCCCCAGTGCTTCTTGTATTTGATGAGATCTGTGGAGAAGAGTCTGCAAGTGGGTATAAATTCTGCTTGTGTATGTGAGTCGTAGGGGTTCTATATTCTGTGCTACTCCACTAGGCTTTTGGCAGTTCATTACATTTTTAAGTGAACTCTTCTTACCACCTTGTATGCAGCCTGGTGTCTGCCCCTGGTAAACAAGAGTTGCATCTCATTTTTCCTTGGAAGATGCTATCTTTCCTTTTATTGCAGCACAGTTAGTTGTCCTGCGACCTCAGCTCTTTTTTGGGTTCTGGAAAGGTTAAGATCTTTAAATTATACAGCTTTTCTTTGTTTTAAAGTTAGGAGCAACTCTTTTCAGCTTTCTTCATCTCTGGGAACGCTTTAACTCACGGGCTTTTCAAGACCTGAGATTTGAGTTTTGCTGTTTCATTTGGGTGCAGTTAAATACTGATTCTCAAATGAACTAGCATTAAAAGCATAACTTATATCCTTGCAGAAACTTGGGGACTGTGGCAGCCATGGAGCCAGTGTAGTGCCACATGTGGGGATGGTGTCAGAGAGCGTCGCCGAGTGTGTCTCACTTCCTTCCCCTCCAGTCCTGTCTGCCCTGGAATGTCCTTGGAGGCCTCCCTGTGTTCCCTGGAGGAGTGTGCTGGTAGGTATTCTTGCTTCCTTCGGGAGTCTCTCCTCAGAGCCTTCATCAGAAGGAATATTGAACCCAGGCCTGCCTGAGAGTTACCAGTCTAAGATCAGGAGTAGACTCATTAATGCTCTGTGATTGCTGTTGGTTGTACTAACCCTGTATTTGTTAGTGTATCTAAGACCGGGAATAGCTGGGAGAGTAGCTTACCAGTGAGATAATGGGATTTACCACTGTAGAAGATAAGGAAATAATAAGGAAATATTAAGGATTCAGACATATTAAATAATTTCTAAAAATGCAAAAAATGGGGAAAGGATCATTTCTTCATAAGATTTTTTTGTTTTTTCTCCCTCTGTTTCTCCCCACCAAAACTGTGGAAAAACAGTTTTCCTTAATTTTTCTCCCTATCAACCCAGAAAAGCCAGGGGACCACATAGACCATTATTTGTCAAAATGGGGCAAGACTCCCTGTCCTATACCCTGAGTGGCCTAAGTTATTCCTTACTGCCCCTACCCAGAGGGACATTTCTTCATGCTGTCATCCGAAGACTGGCCTTTCCTGTATCTTCTAAGCATCTTCAAGGCACATACTCGTAGCTGGTCAGTGAGTATTTGATCTAAATAGTCTATAGATATGTTGCTCACACGGCTCAGTTAGGTTTGCCCCAGCTTGTGGAGCTAAATCCTGTTCATTTACCATGAGTTACACACTGAATAGTCCTTGCTTTTTCCACACACCATCCCGCCTCCTGACAGACAATCCACATTTACTTTGCCAGCCTCTGCTCTGGTCCTGACTCTTAGATAAAAGTCCTTGTGTCAAGGATTTTATCTTGTCATTGTACTCTCCAATTCCAGGTTAAAAGACCATCTTAGCTCCTTGTTTCTTTGGGATATGGAGGAGTTATGTGCTTTTCTGTGTTTGGATCTCAGAGTACCTTTTAGCCCAAACCACAGGCACCTGGCAACATCTCAGCCAGTGTCCCCACCTGTGGCCTTAGAAAATCCTTTTTGCTATATCATTTTTCCAGCCAGTATCATAGGCTCTGTTCCCTTCATTCCAGCATTTTTAGGACATTATTCTTTCTCCTATTTTTTTTTTTCTTATTGTAGCTTCCTCTTCTCCTAGCCTCCATCTGCCTGTCTTTCATAGGCCCCACCCTGAATCCATTATTTCTTCAGTGATATACTGTTGTCCAAGGCTCTCTTCTCTGTCTGCTCTTTTCTTTATAAGTCCTCTTCACTTTCCACAGCACCTTCCTTGTGTATAACTTCCCTCAAATACACCTTATTCTCTCAATTCTGGGATGGGATCATGTGTTCAGACATTTCATATCTGAGTTCCATAACACTCAGATGAATTTAAACTCAGTGGCCACTGGTGACAACTAATCTTTTATATGTGACAATATTTATTTATTGTTATTACCATTAATTGGTTATCTGCTGTGTGACAACACTTAAAATACATTATCTCACTTAAGGCTCACCGTAATTCCACAAGGTAGGTATCATTATGCTGGGCTCAGACCTCTTGAGAGCTTACTGCCTGCCAGGCATTTTTCTAAGGACCTTGCACACATAAAGTAGGCATATTCTTATTTCCACATTGCAGATGAGGACCCTGTGGGATAGGGAGGGTGGGTGGCCTGTCCAAGATCATGAAGCTAGAAAGTAGGGGCACTGGATTTGACTTCTTGCTAAGCTATCGATCTTGAATACCTTGCCTTTATATACAGGCCAATCTGGCTTTCTAGAAGAAGTATCAACAACCTGGAATTAACAATCATTTTTGAGAAATGTGATATTATGTCATATTCTGGCATCTTCTTCTTCTTTTTTTTTTTTTTTTTTTGAGACGGAGTTTCGCTCTTGTTGCCCAGGCTGGAGTGCAATGGTGCGATCTCGGCTCACGGCAACTCCGCCTCCCGGGTTCAAGCGATTCTCCTGCCTCAGCCTCTGGCATGTGCCACCACGCCCAGCTAATTTTTGTATTTTCAGTAGAGACGGGGTTTCTCTATGTTGGTCAGGCTAGTCTCGAACTCCCGACCTCAGGTGATCCGCCTGCCTCGGCCTCCCAAAGTGCTGGGATTACAGGCGAGAGCCACTACGCCCAGCCGGCATCTTAATTCTTTAATACTGAGTAGGAACTGGAAATTTGTGCATTCTAAGTTAGCAAAAAGGTAAGTCCTACAGACTTGCCTGCCCCTACTGTAAATGGTCCTCAGATATTGCTTATGTGGATAAAAATGATCATTTCTTCCAAGTGTGCTCTTTGTCCTAGTCAACCTATTTTCCATTCTTTGGAAATGTAAAGATGTATTCACAGGCTGCATAGCATCAACAATCTCCTTTACTTCAGCTGAAAGAGGAAAAACTAGAGATACAGATGGGCGAGGCCAGCAGCTTTTGGGCTTTTCTCCAGCTGTGATTTTAAAGGAAGCCAGCCAGAGTAAAAAGATAACAGAGTCAAGTGAAGAGGTTCATGGTGTGTAATAGCAATGCTGCTACCCACTGTCATGAGCAGCCACTGCAGGTGAAGGAAGTGATACATCAGGGAACAAGCCTTTCATCATTCAACTGTTTTTACTTGTTTGGGAGTTCAGAGGTTGGTTTGGCTTTAAAAGAATGTTCTTATGCCAAGGTCTGAATGTAGTTCTACATTATATGGTCTATCTTATTCAACAAGAGAGTAGTATAATTAAATTGCTGTTGCACTGATGTTCCATCTGGTGGAATATTGATCATTTTGCTATTGCCTTTTTAATAATGAAGGAATGAATCAATCAGTTAAACTAGTGTTTATGAGCACTATGCAAGTTGCTGTGACTGTGGTCGGGAATGTATTAATAAGATATGACTGTCTTGAAGGGGCTTATAGTAGCTCAGAAGGCACATAAACAGGCTTAATACTCAGTACAATATTATAGGGCCTGCAATGAAAAATGTACCCACAGCTTGCTATAGAAGCTTTCAGGAGTGACAATCCAAGCCCAAGACATCTCCAGTCTTGGAGGAAGTGATACTTTTTTTTTTTTTGAGACAGAGTCTTGCTGTGTTGCCCAGGCTGGAGTGCAGTGGCATGATCTCAACCACTGCAACCTCCGCCTCCTGGGTTCAAGCGATTCTGCTGCCTCTGCCTCCCAAGTAGCTGGGACTACAGGTGCACACCACCACACCCGGCTAAGTTTTTGTATTTTTAGTAGAGACGAGGCTTCACCATGTTGGCCAGGCTGGTCTCGAACTCCTGGCCTCAAGTGATCCACCCACTTCAGCCTCCCAAAGTGCTGGGATTACAGGCATGAGCCACCACACCCGGCCAAGGAGGTGATATTTGAGCTGAAGTTTGGAAGCTGAGGTGTCCCTCAGGTGAAGCAGGTGAAAATGGGAGTTTTAGCAAAGGGAGCAATGAATGAAGGCAGGGAAGATGGCACATTAAGAGACCTGGAGAACTGAAAGTAGTTTAGTGTGTCTGGATGATAGTGTGCCAGGGAGGGGTGGGAGACGTGAGGCCAGCCAAGTAAACGGGATTAATATCCTGAGGGGCCTTGAAGGTTGGGACCTGTGTTTTCGTGGTATCTCTATCTGGTTGTAGCAAGGAGTATAAATCAGAAGGTTAGGCATGGCAGCAGATGTACCTGTTGAGAAAAATTTTTCAGGAACCTATGTGCAAAATGAAGTGCCAGCAATGGTGATGGAGGGAGAGGAGGATTCAGACTCTGTATGTGGCAAGTGATGGAGAGGGAGCATGAAGGATGAAACCCAGGATTTTAGTACTGGCAACTGTGTGAACTGTGATTCCATTCCTTTGAGATCAGATATATCAGAGGAAGCACAAGTTGTAGGGGAAGATGGTGAGTCTTGGGCATTTTGAGATGGAGGTCGTGGGACAGCCAATGGAGATAGTAGAGCTAGTGGAGCCAGGAATGGACTGTAGCTCTCCTTGGATCTAAAATTCATGCTCTTCTCTCTAAATTACATAAGTGAATGTTCTCATTGAAACCAAAAGGGAGAGAGAGAGTTGCAAGAGCTATATAACAGTAGCCAATGCTGCAGAACGAACTCCTTTGAATTTGACTATTGGGAGGTCATTCATAACCTTGGTGGGAACTGTTTAATTGGAATCTTGGGGATAGGTTGCAGGAGACAGGTGATGTAGGAGCAGTAAGCAAATGCAGACCCCTCTTTTCAGTAAGCATGGCTGGGAAGACAAGGAGCAAGATAGGTCTGAGAGCGTGAGAGGGCTGGAGAAGGGTCCTTTTAAAGTGCAAAGAGATTGAGTATGTTTATGTGCTGAGGAAAAGGAGCTAATAGAGGAGCAGCTGGAGATAATTGCTGCAGAGGAATGATGCCCCTGGACAAAGGAGTCCTAGAAAGCATTTGCTTGTGGCCTCACCTTTTATAGGAGGACAGTTCTCCCACTGATTATGTGGAAAAAAGGTAAATAGAGGTGTGGATGCTAATAAGTTTATGGGGCAGAGGAGGATTGCAGAAGAAGCTGGGCATGTACTTGCCTGATGGCTTCTATTTTGTGTGTGTGTGACCTATTAGAGTGCTAAGGAAGTGGATTGGATAGGGGGCTTAAGAAAGTGGTGAAATTGGAAGCAGGTGTTTTAGGGGACCCATGGAAGGATTTGTGGGCAGCTGAGGTTGGGTGCTGTGACTGCGCAGGGGCACTGACCTGCATGGTTGTTCATTTTCTCCACCAGTGCAGCAGCTAGGAATTCACGTGTCTGAGGTTCACATGTCTAGGGTCAGACTTCTGCTGCAGAGCAGGGGAAGGGGTATAGCTCAGTATTAGAGGTCAAGAGAATTGAGGTTGTTGGAAGGAAAATGGTTTCAGTAATGGATCATGGTTGTAAATTGGTTAGGGGGAGAAGTGAGGTTGGGAAGTGTCTGGCAGATGGGAGAAAATGGAGGGCTGGAGAATCAGAAGTCTTAATGTAGTAATAGTGAGTGAGTGAGAGTAGTGAACACAGCTAGAGAGTGGGTTGAGCGGTTTAAGATTTTAGAAGAGGAGCAGAGAGTGGGAAGGTACTATATGTTGGATGGACCTGAAGCCACCTGGATGGTCCTAGCTCTGGCATAGTGAGGGAGGCTGGGACCCAGGTGCTAGAGTGACTGATGGCTAGCAGGAGGTTGGGAGATGATGGTGTTGAGGGAGGAGTAGAACGGTGGTTGGCAAGGATGGCATGGGCATCAAAGGAATGGAAGTTTTTTATGGAGGTGAAAGAGCACAGGTTGGAAAGAGCAATAGGAATGAGCTTGGGGAACGCACTCTGCTTCTTGCCCTGTTTACTTATAAAGAAAGTATGTGTAATCCCAGCACTTTGGGAGGCCAAGTTAGGCAGATCACGAGGTCAGGAGATCGAGGCCATCCTGGCTAACATGGTGAAACCCCATCTCTACTAAAAATACAAAAAAATTTAGTGAGGCGTGGTGGTGGGTGCCTGTAGTCCCAGCTACTCGGAAGGCTGAGGCAGGAGAATGGCGTGAACCCAGGAGGTGGAAAAGAAAAAAAAAAAAAAGGAAAAGAAACTATGTGTGACAGCTTCCACTGAGAGGATTGGGGGAAACCATGCCCTGCAGGGTAGCCTGGCTTCAGTTGGGACAAGGAGGTGAAGGTGGTGTTCTGTGGAGCAGTTAGGGATGTTGGGGAATTTGTAATCAGCTGTCCCCTAGGGGACAGTACAAAGAGTGGGCAGTGGGAGGACGGGTGGAGAAGATGAAGCACAGAGCTGGTGGTGATACAAACATGGGAAAAAAAGCCATAGGACTGGTGACCAAAGGGGAAAGAGAGGGGAGGGTCAGGTGGCATTAGTTGGTCTCAGGTTTCCAGGTGTTTTGGTGGCAGTACAGGTGGAGGCTCCAGGTGGTGCCTGCATTTTGATGAAACATTTTGATGACCGTGGGACAAACCAGTTTGAGGAGGGAAAAAGAAGAAAAGTACCCCTCACAATGGAAGGTAGGAAGGGGAGTGGATGGCTGAAAATAGAAGAGAGAGAATGCAGAGGCTTTAACGCTTAGGAAAGACAATTTCTGGATAATAGAAGGGGGAAATGAGTTGTATTATGTATTGCCAAGTCTTACTTTCGTCAGTTAATTTCCCTTAAGATGTACATATGTAGGAACCTAAATTTGGCCTACCTAAATCATTTTGCATTTCACATTTTATACTTCCGATGTGCCTCTCAGAGGTACATTTAACAATAGGTACCATGTTTACATTATCGTAAGTGAACACTGACTTTTATCTTGAAAATTTCTGGCTGGGCGCAGTGGCTCACACCTGTAATCCCAGCACTTTGGGAGGCCGAGGTGGGCAGATCATGAGGTCTGGAGTTCAAGACCATCCTGGCCAACATGGTGAAACCCTGTTTTTACTAAAAATTAAAAAATGAGCCAGGGGTGGTGGCATGCGCCTATAGTTCCAGCTACTCAGGAGGCTGAGGCGGGAGAATCACTTGAACCGTGGAGGCGGAAGTTGTTGCAGTGAGCCGAGATCGTGCCACTGTGCTCCATCCTGGGCGACAGAGCAAGACTCCGTCTCAAAACAAAAAAAAAAAGAAAAAGAAAATTTCTACATGCTACTTCTGTGTGGAAACTTGGAGGCCAATTCCAGCAGGAGCTGGTGAGCATGGGAGTCACCTTGATTATGGCTTACCAGGTCACCTCGCTTCTGTGGGTCTCTGTTTTTGCAGTGTTTCCCCTTTGGTGATCTTGTTTGGCTTCAGCTGCCAGCAGAAATCCATATGTAAGACCAGAAATCCCAGTCCTTGTTTATTTTCCATCATTCCTTAACTGCTAGATAATTAGAGTGAGTGACTCAGAGACCTTAAAACCGTGCAGAGCAAACAATACTAGAAAATACATATTTGGGCTGGGCACAGTGGCTAACACCTGTAATCCCAGCACTTTGGGAGGCCAAGGCGGGTGGATCACAAGTCAGGAGTTCAAGACCAGCCTGCCCAATATGATGAAACCCCAGCTCTACTAAAAATACAAAAAAATTAGCCAGGCGTGGTGGTGCATGCCTGTAATCCCAGCTACTTGGGAGGCTGAGGCAGGAGAATTGTTTGAGCCTGGGAGGCGGAGGTTGCAATGAGCCGAGATCACACCATTGCACTCCAGCCTGGGCAACAGAGCAAGACTCCATCTCAAAAAAAAAAAAAAAAAGAAAAGAAAAAGTAAAAATACATCTGTTCCTCTGTGTTTTTTGTTTGTTTGTTTTGTTTTGTTTTTTTTTGCAGCTTTCCAGCCATCCAGCCCATCTCCTCTTCAGCCCCAGGGTCCAGTGAAGTCCAACAACATCGTGACTGTCACTGGTATATCCTTGTGCTTGTTCATCATCATTGCCACTGTGCTCATCACGCTGTGGAGGAGGTTCGGCCGGCCAGCCAAGTGCAGCACACCTGCTCGACACAACTCCATCCACTCCCCCAGCTTCCGGAAGAACTCGGACGAGGAGAATATCTGCGAGCTGAGCGAGCAGCGCGGGAGCTTCTCGGATGGGGGAGACGGGCCCACGGGGAGTCCAGGGGACACAGGCATCCCTCTGACCTACAGGCGGAGCGGGCCGGTACCTCCCGAGGATGATGCCTCTGGCAGCGAGAGCTTCCAGTCCAACGCCCAGAAGATAATCCCACCTCTGTTCAGCTACCGCCTTGCCCAGCAGCAGTTAAAGGAGATGAAAAAGAAAGGTCTGACGGAAACTACCAAAGTGTATCACGTGTCTCAGAGTCCCCTGACAGACACTGCCATTGATGCGGCCCCCAGCGCTCCCTTAGATTTGGAAAGCCCGGAAGAAGCTGCAGCAAACAAGTTCCGGATCAAATCCCCATTTCCGGAGCAGCCCGCGGTCAGTGCCGGGGAAAGGCCTCCCTCCAGGCTGGATCTAAATGTGACTCAGGCCAGTTGTGCCATAAGCCCCAGCCAGACTCTGATCCGCAAGTCACAGGCAAGGCACGTGGGCAGCAGAGGGGGCCCGTCCGAAAGGAGCCATGCCAGGAACGCCCATTTCAGGAGGACAGCGAGTTTCCATGAAGCCAGGCAGGCCCGGCCGTTCCGAGAGAGGAGCATGTCCACTCTGACTCCACGGCAGGCCCCTGCCTACAGCTCTAGGACGCGGACCTGCGAGCAGGCAGAGGACAGATTTAGGCCTCAGAGTCGAGGTGCCCACCTGTTTCCTGAAAAACTGGAGCATTTCCAAGAGGCAAGTGGAACCCGTGGTCCATTAAACCCTCTCCCTAAATCCTACACTTTGGGGCAGCCCTTGAGGAAACCAGACCTTGGGGATCACCAGGCAGGATTAGTGGCCGGAATTGAGAGAACAGAGCCCCACAGAGCTCGTCGGGGACCGTCCCCCAGTCACAAGAGTGTCTCAAGGAAGCAGTCTTCTCCCATATCCCCCAAAGATAACTACCAGAGGGTCAGTTCTCTGAGCCCTTCTCAGTGTAGAAAAGACAAGTGTCAAAGCTTCCCCACTCACCCTGAGTTTGCCTTCTATGACAATACGTCGTTTGGCCTCACTGAGGCTGAGCAGAGGATGCTGGACCTCCCAGGATATTTTGGGTCAAATGAAGAGGATGAAACCACAAGTACACTTAGCGTGGAGAAGCTGGTGATCTAGACTGAGAATCAGCCTGAGCTTTACACAGCTGGGGTCTGCTACTCGCGTTTTGTAGACTTTTGTGTAACTATTTGTACCGTAGGACAGAATGTGAGGAGGAAGTAACACACAGAGGAGGATGTGTGTGTATGCATGTGTTTGAATTCACAAGGAAGAAATTATTTATCTTGAGCTTTTTCCTTTGTTATTCAATTTCTATTGATTTATTAGTAATAACAATGATAATAAAATGTAAATGAGCAAATGGGGCTTGGTCTGTCATGTGGCTATGAAAGATAAGATGTGACTTTTGAGTAGAACATGCTCTGAACATTGCATTGGCAGTTTCCAACCTGAAGCAGAAATCTGGAACCTCAACTAAAAAGGGATGGAGCGAAGTTAACTTAGTGTCATAATTCTGAATTGCAATTTATTAAGTTATAAATACATTAAGAATTTGACTCCTACAATGGCAGCATCAAACAGATTTCATATTTGGCTGATTAAGTTAGTTATGACCATTAGACTGCTGAACTACTTAGAAATGGTGATACCACAGATATTCAAGAACTTTCAGATTAGAGTTGAGTCCAGGTGACTTGACAAAATTATATGAATTAATTCTGCTTTAAAGAGATAATGTAAGAAGCTGGTGGTTCAGGTAGTGAGTCAAATGAAGACCTATCTGTTCTGAGCAAATAAATAGTAAACATTTTGGAAAGGACAGTATTGTCTTCTGAGGAAATGGGCAGTAGGTACTGACCATGCCACTACCTGGGACCAGGATGCTGATTACATGTTCCTGGACCAAACTGGCAGCAGATACCTCAGCGTGAGAACTGGTGCATGTATGTTTTTCTTAAACATAACTTTATCATGTTGTTCAGAAAATGCATTAATTAGGTATATGTAAAGTAAGTAGAACAGTTTACAATTTTTTATAGTTTTTACAGTTTACAATTTTTTACAGTTTAAGCTTTTTTTTTTTTTTTGAGACGGAGTCTTGCTGTGTTGCCCAGGCTGGAGTGCAGTGGCGCGATCGCAATCTCAGCGCACTGCAACCTCCACCTCCTGGGTTCCAGCGATTCTTCTGCCTCAGCCTCCTGAGAAGCTGGGACTACAGGTGCTCACCACCAGGCCTGGCTAATTTTTGTATTTTTAGTAGAGACAGGGTTTCACCATGTTGGCCAAGCTGGTCTGGAACTCCTGACCTCGTGGTCTGCCTGCCTCGGCCTCCCAAAGTGCTGGGATTACAGGTGTAAGCCACCACGCCCAGCCAAGCTTTTTTAGTTAGAAGAATGAATTAAAGAAGGAAATAAGCCTTTTTAGACATTTAGAATCCCTTTTGTTTGTGTTTGCAATCTTCTACACTTTACAGACAAAGCTTTTTTTTTTTTTTTTTTTTTGAGACGTAGTCTAGCTCTGTCACCCAGGTGGGAGTGCGGTGGCATGATCTTGGCTCACTACAACCTCTGCCTCCCGAGTTCAAGTGATTCTCCTGCCTCAGCCTCCTGAGTAGCTGGGATTACATGCACCTGCCACCAGGCCCAGCTAATTTTTGCATTTTTAGTAGAGACGGGGTTTCACTGTGTTGGCCAGGCTGGTCTCGAACTCCTGACCTCGTGATCCACCTGCATCAGCCTCCCAAAGTGCTGAGATTACAAGCATGAGCCATTGCACCTGGCCACAGACAAGACATTTGAGATACAGGGAGAATAACAGGATTGGCTAGGACATGCACTGATAACATTATTGTAAATATCATGCTCTTTCCACTCTACCATCACAAACTTTACAAGTCTTTTTTTTTTTTTTTTTTGAGACAGAGTCTCCCTCTGTCACTCAGGCTGGAGTGCAGTGGCACAGTCTTGGCTCACTGCAACCTCCGCCTTCTGGGTTCAAGCAATTCTCGTGCCTCAGCCTCCTGAGTAGCTGGAATTACAGGCATCTGCCACCACATCCGACTGATTTTTGTATTTTTAGTAGAGACAGGGTTTCGCCATGTTGTCCAGGCTGGTCTTGAACTCCTGACCTCAAGTGATTTGCCTGCCTTGGCTTCCCAAAGTGCTGGGGTTACAAGCATGAGCCACCATGCTCAGTCTACAAGTCTTTTCTAATAGCAGAAACATCAGGAGAAACCTGGCCCTTTTTAAGAGGGTATGAAGAGACACTTCTATTAGCTTTTCCCAATGGAAAGAAGCTTTCCATTGCTTAATGAAATGTTAGGACTGGTTTTGCAACTTGCTTTTTTTGGCAGTAAAGGCCAAACAAAAGAATCTAAAGGTTTTGTTCCTTTATTAGAAGTCTGTCATTAGTTTTAGTTACCACATGGGCAGTCTGCAATCTCATGTACTCCTTTCAACCCTTGACCCTAATGACTTATCTGTATCCCTAGAGTAGCTGCATTTTTCTTCTTTTTCGTGGTGACCTCTCTAACTGCCACACCCACCCTGCCTTTTAGATTTTGTTTTCTGTCTTCCTTTTAGAGTTTATCAGGATGTCAGCCTGCAGGTGATGTTTCAGGGACCATTGGAGAGAGTGAAATTAGATGGGAAAAATATCACAAATGCAAATACTGCAGTTTTCTATTTTTCTCTCATATTTGTTGCATTGCCACTTCATTTGTGTCATTTTAATTGAAAATCAAAATATACCTCCTTTCGGCAATGTTTTAACATTAATTACCTTTTAGGAATAAGAGGAGTAGATTATTCAGAGTTCTCGGACAGCTGGTATTTGCTAATGCCAGGAAGAGGAAACCAGATTTTTTAATCTTCATTTTCTTTGTTTATCATGCTAGAAAGCTTTGTTGTCTTTCCAAGTTCACAGGCCTGCATGCCAACCTTTGAGGACAAAGGGTACATGCTTGCTTGTTTTTGATTTCACAGTGATGTACCCTACAGTGTCAGACCAAAACAGATATGGGAAAGGTGGAAAGTAAAGGAAAATACTATGAACAGAAAGATTTTCTGTTAAATTATGTTCTTATCCGTTATAATCAGACATCTAAATTAATATCGCAGTGAGCTAACACCAGCATCTAACATTTTCTCTATCTACCTAGCCCACTTTTCTGGAGCTCTAAGAATAAAATCTCTGGGCCAGGCATGGTGGCTCACGCCTGTAATCCCAACATTTTGGGAGGCCGAGGCAGGCAGATCACCGGAAGTCAGCAGTTCGAGACCAGCCTGGCCAGCATGGCAAAACGCGGCCTCTACTAAAAATACAAAAATCAGCCAGGCTTGGTGGCTGGCGCCTGTAATCCCAGCTATTTGGGAGGTTGAGGCAGGAGAATTGCTTGAACCTGGGAGGCGGAGGTTGCAGTGAGCCAAGATTGTGCTACTGCACTCCAGCCTGGGTGACAGAGCAAGACTGTCTCAAAAAAAATAAATAAATAAAATCTCTGTATTTCAAAGTTAAGCTAATTTGGTCTCTGCCTCTGAGAAAAAGGAAGATGCCTCAAGCATTGTCTTTGGTGGATATGTGGGAAACTTCATTAGAAATAATCTAGTCTTCACCATTGTGTCCCTAAGTCCTAGCCCTTGTGGCTGCCATAGAGTAGCAGCTCAATAAAATTTGTTCAGTAAATGACCAGCTATTCAAAAGCTTTCCAGAAACGGGAACACAAACTTCTACAAGAAACAAAAGGCATGCTGGCATTAGATTGATCATCAGCTGCACTAAAAATGGTGGAATAATAGCTTGAAAGTTCAGGGGGAAAATGATTTTCAACTTGAGACGCCTCTATCCAGTCAAATTACTTGCGAGGGCAATATAAAGACATTGTTACACATGCAAAGACTCAGAAAGCTTACCTGCCAGGCACCTTTTCTTGAGGAGTTATTAGAGCATGTACTCCATCAATAAAAGAGCAGAATATCCTGAGGAAGCCATGGGATTCAGGCAGCTGCAGATGTGACTCAGAATGTCAGTTTTGTGGGTGACTAAGCCACCAGTTCATATTTGAGCAAGAATGGGGGATCCAGGAAACAAAGGTGTTTCATGGAATATACAGTTGGAAGAACTTGAAGATATACTTCAGGCAAAGAAAAGGAAAATAAGCACCTAGAAATTTTATTTTCTGAAAGACTCTATAAGAAAACCATAAAACAAATATGAATTAAGTTAAACTGAGTCATCAATGGGCTTTCAAAAGAAAAATATTCCAAGAAATAGAATGGGTAAGATGGCACAGATTTCTTCTTTCAACAACAAAAAAATACTAGGCAAAGCAACAACAACAACAAAGTAAACTAACCATGATTTTGAGAAATAGAAGCACAGGGTTGAGACATTGTGATTACACAGAGGAAAATCAATCACAGCATACTACTTGGCTCTGCTGTGGACCAACATTTTCATAATGTTAATGCTGCTTATTGGTTATTGTCTATTAGAACCAACTTATGGAAGACAGGCCAGGCGCGGTGGCTCACGCCTGTAATCCCAGCACTTTGGGAGGCCAACGAGGGCAGATCACGAGGTCAAGAGACTGAGACCATCCTGGCCAACATGGTGAAACCCTGTCTCTATTAAAAATATGAAAATTAGCTGGGTGTGGTGGCACATGCCTATAGACCCAGCTACTCGGGAGGCTTGAGGCAGGAGAATCACTTGAATCTGGGAGGCGGAGGTTGCACTGAGCTGAGATCACGCCACTGCACTCCAGCCTGGCAAGAGAGTGAGACTCTGTCAAAAAAAAAAAAAAAAAGCAAAGAAAGAGAGAGAGAGGGAGGGAGGGAGGGGGAGAGAGAGAGAGAGAGAGGGAGAGAGAGAGAGAAAGAAGAAAGAAAGAAAAAAATAGTTACTGAAGGGAATATAAATGTTGTCAGTCATGGATATCTAGGAGAGTACAGCTTTGAAAAGTTTGGAGGTAGAGGGGTTTGAGGCTGCAATGAGCTATGATTGCACCAGAGGTACTCCAACCTGGGCAACAGAGGGAGGCCTCATTTCTAAAAAATAAGAAGTTTGGAGGTAGAAGCAAAGGTGGGGAGTTCAAGAGAAATAGGAGTTCAAATCTCCTGTCACAAAATGGAGAGCCAAGAGGTGCTGTCTGTATTTAATAGAACTAAAAACAAAAGTTTAAGGATATCAAAATTACTAGAGTGGACAATAGGACTAAAAATTGTGATGTTAACTATCATGTGCACCTTAGGGGGGTGAATTAAGCTGACTTTTTATCAGTCCTTGCAAGAGTCAATAGTGTCACAAAATAGCAGCTTAATCCTATTCATACAGTTGAAGATCATCAGGAGAATTTAAAACCACAAAGGTCAAAGTGGTTGCCCTTTGGAAGTGGGACTGAGGCTGGGGAGATAAAAAGCAAGGAACAATTGCTTTTTGTTCTAGGTCTTCCTCTACTCTTAACCTTTTTTTTTTTCTTTTTTTTACATTGACAAAACAAAAACCAAACATAACAATCCTGGTAGGTATCAGAGATAATCTATTTTAATGTCTGGAAATATATTCGGTGAGTCATCTTGTGGCTATTAGGGGGAGGATTTGCTCCTAGTGTTAATGGATCTCCAACCTCCCCCACACCATTTTTTCCCTTCCTTGGGGAGACTAGATGGTTCATGCCGACAGCTGCCCTGCCCTGCTGATGGTTCTCTGGTCATTCCAGCTGTGGCAGTCTCTCACTGCCTGCCTCTTCTCAGGATGCCACCTCTGCTGCCGGTGTGGGTGGGTGGGTGTGGTGCCCCCCCATCCTGCTGCTGCTGCTGTTACCAGTTTCTCCCTCAACTGTTGCCAAAACACATCACGTGGCATTTTATTATTATAAATTGATTGATAAAAGTTCAAATGTATGAACTTAAAAGTTTACTATTTAGCTGATAATTATATAATTACTTGTAATTAAAATTTTGCTTTTTCTGAGTTTTATACCGTAGAACCACTTTAAAAATAATTTTTCCTTAAAAATAATGTATGCTCATTATAGAATATTTGAAAAACAAAATTGCTCCATTCCTCTTCATCAGCTTGGGGTACAAAAAGAAATTTCATTTGGTCAATATTAAATTAGATGGCTATATAGGCTGAGTAGGGTGGTTGATGCCTATAATCCCAGCACATTGGGAGGGAAAGGCGGGCAGATCATCTGAGGTCAGGAGTTGGAGAGCAGCATGGCCAACATGGTGAAACCCCGTCTCTACTAAAAATACAATTAGCCGGCTGTGGGGAGGCGGAGCTTGCAGTGAGCCAAGATCACACCACTGTGCTCCAGCCTGGGCAACAGGGCAAGACTCTGTCTCAAAAAAAAAAAAAAAAAAAAAAAAAAATTAGCCGGGTGTGGTGGCGCGCGCCTGCAGTCTGAGCTGCTTCGGAGGATTCTCCCGAGGCAGGAGAATTGTTTGAACCCAGGAGGCGGAAGTTGCAGTGAGCCGAGATCAGGCCACTGCACTCCAGCCTGGGTGACAGAGTGAGACTCTGTCTCAAAAAGTAAAAAAATAAAAATAAGTAAATAATTAAATAATTAAATAAAAAGACGGCACTGAGTCCAATATACCACTGTTAAAGCTTCTCTTTAAGGTCTCTCTTTCCTTCAGTGCTTTGGCCTGAAATAACTCCTAACTCCCCAGGGATGCTTACGCTTTCTCTTCCTAAGGTGTCACTCTGGCCAGAAATGTGGAAGTCATCCTGAACTCTTTCCTCCTTATTCTTCATATTTACTTAATACTAAGTCCTTGGAGAATTAAGCACCTCGCCCAGGTCACAAAGCATCCACTTAGTGCGCCTTAGGAGCCAAAATCTAGTGCTTAGGAGGCTTGGGCTAAAGCACACTGTTTTTTAATTTAATTTAATTTAAATTTTTTTTTTACTGCTCCTTGCAGAGCAGGAGTACCCCATAGGCAGTATGCCCAGAGTAGCCAAGCACACTATTCTTAGGTAGGGTTATGCTTATTGTGGGTGGCAATAAGCCTTCTTAATGGAAGATGTGGATGGAATAAAGCTGCCTCAGGTGCCCCCAACAGCTCCCACCCCGGAAACTTCTCTTGGCATTGTTGCCATCATTAGGTACTAAGTGGTAAAAGTAGCATTCACTTCCTCCGTGAGTTTGATGTCAAACTTTTTTTCTTATTTTGTTTTTTTTCAAAACTTTATTAATAAAATTTCCAAGTAATCAAAAAAGTTGAAAGAATAGGATAGTAACATTCATATATTTATCACCAGGCTGAAACAACCATTAATATTTGCTATACTTATTTATCAGGTTGAAGTATATGAAATGATAATAAAAAGGCCGGGCGCGGTGGCTCATGCCTGTAATCCCAGCATTCTGGGAGGCTGAGGCGGGCGGATCACTAGGTCAGGAGATCGAGACCATCCTGGCTAACACGGTGAAACCCCGTCTCTACTAAAAAAATATCAAAAATTAGCCGGGCGTGGTGGTGGGCGCCTGTCGTCCCAGCTACTCGGGAGGCTGAGAGGCAGGAGAATGGCATGAACCCGGGAGTCGGAGCTTGCAGTGCACCGAGATCACGCCACTGCACTCCAGCCTGGGCGACACAGCGAGACTCCGTCTCAAAAAAAAAAAACAAAGAAATTATAATAAAAATTGAATAGAAACAATTTCATGTAGTTCAATTTACTGTACATGTGTTGTTCAACAATTTGAAGATTTCTTTCAGATACACATGACACTTCAGAGTGTATCTTCTAAGAATAAGGTTGTGCTTCGGCCGGGCGCGGTGGCTCACGCCTGTAATCCCAGCACTTTGGGAGGCCGAGACGGGCGGATCACGAGGTCAAGAGATCGAGACCATCCTGGCTAATACGGTGAAACCCCGTCGCTACTAAAAATACAAAAAAATTAGCTGGGCCTGGTGGTGGGCGCCCGTAGTCCCAGCTACTCCGGAGGCTGAGGCGGGAGAATAGTGTGAACCCGGGAGGCAGAGATTGCAGTGAGCCGAGATCGCGCCACTGCACTCCAGCCTGGACGACAGGGAGACTCGAAAAAAAAAATGAAGGTTGTGCTTCTACAAAACACATATTATTATTATTACACCTAAGAAAGCAATTCCCTAAAATAATCTAATATCCAGTCTATGTTCAGATTTCCCCAAGTGCCCACAAAATGTCTTTTATAGCCCTTCTTTTTCTGATTCAGAATCCAATTAAGATTCATGCATTGCACTTGATTATGCCTTCTTTTATTCTACATTATCCCCCAAAATACCCTTTTGTTAAAAATGACATTGACTTTTTAAATGGATGGAGCCAGTTGTCTTGTAGAATGTAGATTGCCCTTTATTTTTTTCTGGACTATCTTTTCAAGGATGTTTAGATAAAACAGCCTTAGATGGTGAAGATAGCATCTCCCTCTACAGCAAAGTAATTTAAAATGTTTTTATTGTAAAGAGCATATAAAATTTGCCATTGTTAATTGTAGAGTTCAGTAGTGTTAAGTATATTCACATTGTTGTGGAACCAATCTACGAAATGTTTTCATCTTGCAAAACTGAAACTCTATACCCATTAAACAACACCTCTCCATTTCCCTCTCCCTCCAGCTCCTGGCAACTACTATTCTGACTTTCTGTTTCTATGAATTTGAGCACTCTAGGGAACCTCACATGAGAGAAATCACACAGTATTTGTCTTTTTGTGACTGGTTTATTTCACTTAGCATGATGTCCTCAACGTTCATTCATGTTGTACCATGTGTCAGAATGTCCTTTCTTTCTAAGGCTGAGTAATATTCCATTGTGTATTTACAACATACATATTGTATGTTGCAAATATGCCACATTTTTCTTATGCATTCATTCATCAATAAACATTGGTAATGCTTCCATCTCTTGGCTATTGTGAATAATGCTGCTATGAACATGGCTGTAAAATATTTCTTTGAGATCCTGTTTTCAATACTTTTGGCTATATACTCAGAAGTGGAATTGCTGGATCATATGGTTATTTCTATTTTTAGTTTTTTTGAGAAACCGCCATGCTGTTTTTCATAGCATTACACCATTATACATTCACACCAACAGTGTACAAGACAGTGCACTCTGTTGGCCAGGCTGGAGTGCAATGGCACAATCTTGGCTCACTGCAACCTCCGCCTCCTGGGTTCAAGCAATTCTCCTGCCTCAACCTCCCGAATAGCTGGGACTACAGGTACATGCCACCACGCCCAGCTAGTTTTTTGTATTTTTAATACAGACGAGTTTTCACCATGTTAGCCAGGATGGTTTCGATCTCCTGACGTCGTGATCCACCCTCCTCGGCCTCCCAAAATGCTGAGATTACAGGCATGAGCCACCACACCCAGCGTAACTTGTATTTTTAGTAGAGACAGGATTTTACCATGTTGGCTAGGCTGGTCTTGAACTCCTGCCTCAAGTGATCTGCCCGCCTCGACCTCCCAAAGTGCTGGGATTACAGGTGTGAGCCACTGCGCCCAGCCTCATTGTGTTTTTGGTTTGTATTTCCCTAATCATTAGTGAAGTGCTTGTGGGCATGTGTATATCTTCTTTGGGGCAATGTCTTTTCAGATCTTTTGCTCATTAAAAAAATTGAGTTGTTTTGTGAGCCATAGGAGTTCATTATATATTTTTATATGAACCCCTTGTCGGATGTTTGATTTACAAATATTTTTTCTCATTCTGTGCATTGCCTTTTAACTCTGTTGATTGTGTCTTTTCATACACAGATCAATTCAGATTTTAACAATACATATTAGCTTCTATAATTTGATATATGAACACTTTTTCTCACACTGATCACCTTAGTTTCTAATAATATCAAAATATTTGCTTTGTCCTAAAACATACACAAAATAGTCACAAAATCAAAGTGCTATCTTTACTACTAAAAATAAGATACAGTATGAAGTTCGATATGTTTTTGAAATTCTTTTTGTCCTTAGAATATACAGTAGTAAGATGTATATCTTACACAGTGTTCAAAATTCATTCCAAATTTTTGTCTCTGTGTGGCTATATTATCAATTCAACACAGAGTTTGGGTAATTTGTTTCAGTCTGTTTTTAATTTTACTGTTAGCTTCTTTTTTCTTTTCTTTTCTTTTTTTTTTTTTTGAGATGGAATCTCTCACTGTCACCCGGGCTGGAGTGCAATGGCGTGATATCGGCTCACTTCAACCTTTGCCTCCCAGGTTCAAGCAATTCTCCTACCTCAGCCTACCGAGTAGCTGGGATTACAGGCATGTGCCACTATGCCTGGCTAATTTTTTGTAATTTTAGTAGAGATGGGGTTTCACTATGTTGGCCAGGCTGGTCTTGAACTCCTGACCTCGTGATCCACCTGCCTTGGCCTCTCAAAGTGCTGGGATTACAGGCATGAGCCACCATGCCCAGCACTGGTTTTTCCTTGAATATGTAAAATGGTTACATGGATTAAAAAGAAAATCTCTATACAAAGATATATTCAGAAAAGTCTTGCTTCCATTCCTATCTCTTTTAGCCCATTCCACAAACTTCTACCCCAGAGGTTTTTTATTTGACCTTCAGTATACATTTATGCACAAATAAGCTATATATTTATATGTTTATATTTATATTCTTATTTCCCCCCATTCCTTACACAAAATATAAAAATACTGGTATCTTGAAGCACTTTACTTTAAATGCATGAATCTTAAACTCTCTTTCTACTTAAAAAAATCTGCAAATAAGGGTCATAATAACCTCATAAACTTAAGAAATTTCTGATTCTAAATGGTAAATTATGAATACCTATTTAAGATGGCAATGAAGGATATTCACTGTATCATCATGGAAATGTATTACTATCTTGCCTTTGTCGTTCTTATTCTCCTTCCCTGTCTACGGTAAATATACAGCTGCCTGAGAGAATGGATTTACAAGCCTATATTCCCATAGTACTTTGCTCATAAACCAGTTTCCCATTCATCTCATTGTTTTACAGTTATTTATATATCTTTTCCCCTAATAGTGTGTGAGCTCTGAGAGCAGGGATCATATATCCTATTCTTTTTTGTATGTAAAGCCGCGTGCTACAGGGGAAAGTTCATTGTCTTTGGAATTTTGGCTCTATCACTTCCCAGCTGCATGAGTTTGTGCATGTTACTTCACCACTGTGGACTTCAGTTTTCTCATTTATAAAAAATAATATCCTATTGCAGGACTCTTGATAACACTAAATGAGACAGTGTAAGTAAAGGGCCCCATGAGTGGCCCACCATCCTCTGAGCTTCCAATGCTATGTGGCCAACATTTTGTTTATTCCTAGATTCAACTTCCTTTGCATTGTGACATTAGCTCTTTTGATAAATTCTACATATGTGTTTGTTTATTTTCTGTATCCCAACCAGTCAAAACCACCATGATATGCCTGTATTTGCTCTATTGAGAATAGATGTTCTTTCTTTCCAATTTATAGCAAAGATGGAGTCAGTGTAGGGGGTGAGTTGGTAACACCTGTTTCACAACTCTAGGGAGCAACATTCTCACAGACCAGAGTGAAAGATGGCCTCTGAGAGACTGTGCAACTTCACAACCTGGTTTTGTATCCTCCAACCTACACACCTATCTGTTTCTAAGCCTTTTTTTCCTACTTTTTCTTTACCTCTTCTACCTGTGCTTAGGAACTCATGCTTTCCCTTTAGCGTTGAGCTTCTTGGAGAAGTTATTTACTCCATTGCTCCTCTTTTATTAGCAATTTTCTTCCTCTTTTCCATTCACTCTTCAATTAATTGCAGTCTAGCTTTTGCTTTCCCTAGATTGAAACACATTCCAGAAAAATCAGTTTAATTTCAAACCTTTGCACTTGCTCACTGAAACCTTTCATCAGTCTATTACATTGGATTCATACCTCTCCCAACCCCAATTCCATATCCTCCTTACCTGATTTATTTTTCCTCAGAGCACTTATTCAATACATTAAATATTCACGTATTTATTTGCTTATTGTCTGTGTTCCCCACTAGAATGTAATACTAGAGGGCAGGGATTATTCTTTTTTTTTTTTTTTTTTTTTTTTTTTTTTTGAGACAGAGTCTTGTTCCGTGGCCCAGGCTGGAGTGCGGTGGCACGATCTCGGCTCACTGCAAGCTCCGCCTCCCAGGTTCACGCCATTCTCTTGCCTCAGCCTCCCGAGTAGCTGGGACTACAGGCACCCACCACCATACCCGGCTAATTTTGGGTATTTTTAGCAGAGACGTGGTTTCACCGTGTTATCCAGGATGGTCTCGATCTCTTGAACTCATGATCTGCCCGCCTCGGTCTCCCAAAGTGCTGAGATTACAGGCGTGAGCCACCGCGCCCGGCCAGGATTTTTATTTTCTATTTTGTTCACTGCTTCATCCCCAGTGCCTTGAATAGGAGATGCACCTAATGGGTGCTTCATGCATATTCACTGACTTGAACAAATAAATGCATTTTCTTATCTCCAGATTCATTGTGTCCTTTTCCATGTCGTCCTTGACTTCTCAGGGACACTTGACACTTGCTTCTGTGAACTTCCATGACCACACTCTCTCTTGGGTTTCCTCCTGTTTTCATACCACTTTCTTATTTCCCTTTGCCAGCTTCTTTTCTTCTTACTCTTAAATATTGGCCATTCTGGTGTTGTCCTTGTTATCTTTCTCTTCCAACTCTATGCTTTTCCAGACAAGCTTATCTACACTTGGGGATTCGAATACCATCCACAAGATGAGAATTCTCAAGCATATATTTCCAGCTCTTGACTTTGCTCCTTCCATCATTGAAATGGCCCTCCCATGTTGAATCCCAACACATTTTTTTCCTCCCCAAACTGCTCTGTATTTAGGTTAAGCACCAACACACAACTGATTCCCCAAGTCAGAAACTTAAGAGTCACCTTGAACTTCTCCTTCCTTTCACCAGCACTCTGAAGCAGTAGGACATCAAACTGTCCGTGTTATCCCGGCTCGCTCTATACCCATTGCACCGCCTTATCATTTCTTGCTTGTCCTGTTTCATTAATTTTCTAAAATTCCCTTGCCTCCTTGTCTTGCCTTCCTCTAATTCATCCCACATGTGGCAGCCAGAGCGTTCATTTAAAAATGCCAACCTGCTCATGCTTCTCCCCTTAAAGAGTCCCCGTTTTTGTGATTCTCAGCTGTCTGCAGAAATCATCCAAACTTCTTGGCACAGTATGGAAGGCCCTTCAAGATCTGTCACATCTTTTACCCTGATACAAATATTCTGCATATGGTATGGACTACTTATAATTCTTTAAAGAAGCCACACTCGTTCTTATCTCCTCTGTACATGCTGTTCCCAGTGTACTTTGTACATGCTGTTCCCAATGCAGAGATGCTGTTCCACGCTTTGTCTATCTGGTGAGCTTCTACTCAGGTCTTCCCTGATATCCCCAGGCAGAAACAGAAGCTTCCTCTGCGTCCTCTCCTACAAGTACCTCATTTACAGCACTGTTTGCATTTGCAGGAATTGGTTTTCACATGTCTCTCTTCGTCAAGTATCTGTGACCCCCAGGAGGGAATAAACTTCATTCTAACCATTTTTTCGAACTTTTTTCTTGGCACAGAATTTTTATTCTGGTTTATTAACTTGAATAGTAAAAATACTACTCTTCATCATCACCTCACTTTTAACATGAAATTCTCATTTAACATGTTCCTAAGACACTTTCTCGGTGGCCCAGGATTGGGCGGTTGCTATTCAGTGCAGAAAGGGAGATGTCATCTAAGTGTAGTGGTGGCAGAGTGTGGCTTGTCACCCACCAAGAAGCCCGAGTTATTGTCTCTTGGCCCTTATGGACTTTGTGAGGCATTTAATCCTTCAGGCTTCAGTTTCCTTAACTAAAATGAGGAGAGGAATAACCTGAGTTCTGAGATTAAACAGAAAAGTGGAACTAAAGTATCAGCCATACTCTGTTTTGGCAACCAATTTATAAGCTTTACCATCCTAAAATAAGCTCTGTGTATTTTGTGCAATTATAATTTTGTATATTCATTTAATGTGTACCGGAGTTGTAGGCAGTCATTTTATTATTTTTATTTTTATATTTTGTAGAGACAGGGTCTCACTCTGTCATCCATGCTGGAATGTAGTGGCTTGACCATAGCTCACTGCAACCTTGAACTACTGGGCTCACACAGTCCTCCTGCCTCAGCCCCCTGACTACAGGCATGCGCCACCATGTCTGGGTAATTTTTAAATTTTTAGTAGCAATAAAATCTCACTATGTTGTCCGGGCTGGTGACAAACTCCTGGGCTCAAGCAATCCTCCTGCCTCAGCCTCCCAAAGTTCTGGGATTATAGGCGTGAGCCACCTTGTCTGGCCATAAGTGGTCATTTTAGATCGTAAGCTCCATAAGGGCCAAAGGCCTTTTGACTCTCCACATATGGTTGAGTAGAGTACCTGCACTCCACATATATAGGCTGAACTGACTTGTATGGTGTTCAGAATAACTTTATACCAATTTCAGAAATACAAGATGAGAAGCAGATTTGCTGTGATTTTAGTTATAAATAACAAGGAAAAAATGTTTTGCTCCTGGTAAATGAAAGGCACCAGTTTATCCAAAGGACTAAGAAAGGAAACTGACGCCTTGATTTGCTAAATCCAAATCCTTTTGGTACAACAGGGGTGGACAAATGGAAAAACCTGCCCTAGATGGCTTTGTGATATTTCGTTATGCTCAGAGTAGGTGCTCTGTAAATACCTGTTGGATGAATGTTGCATGACTGCAGTTCCTCTATAGCTTTAATGAGTTCCTAAGAGCAGCTAGCCATATCCCTTAATAGTACCTTTCTGCTGACAGCAGCAAGCTATGTATGGTGTTAGTACGGTTGCTAGATGATGAAGCAGGAGAGAGGTCAATTCTGAATAAACATCTAGGAATTTAGTAAGAGAAGTTGAGCAAAGAGCTGTATAAAACAGCTCTGGATTCCAGTTAATGTAAACTTCATTCAGTTAGGTATACTAACTTTTTAAAAAACAAAGGCTGATGTCTGGTTACCTGAGCACTGACTCAGGCCCACACGTGAATTTTGGACAAAACATTTTAATTTGAATTCTTTTTTGACGGGGCCGATACAATCCAGTTTTCCAGAGTTTCTAACACTCCCTATTATCTTGCTTTACTCATTTACATAACCTGTGGATCTCCTGAAACTTCTTCCTGGCTTAGAGGAAACTGAAACTAGAAAGAGAAACCTTTGGATGGCAAACTGGTCTAAAGTTACAATTTAGTCTTCAAAATTGGTTTAACCAAGCTTTCAGAGTGGATGGGCATGTTTCTTTATCTAATTTGTCTTAAAGTTTTGTTTACTGCGACAATCTGTGAAAGACCTAAAAAAGAAGGGCTCATGATGAGTAATTGTCCAGGGCCCCTTACACATAGGCGTATTTTCATTAATTAAGAATTGTTGGCCAGGCGCGGTGGCTCATGCCTGTAATCCCAGCACTTTGGGAGGCCGAGGCGGGCGGATCACGAGGTCAGAAGATCGAGACCATCCTGGCTAACACGGTGAAACCCCGTCTCTACTAAAAAATACAAAAAAAGCCGGGCGTGGTGGCGGGCGCCTGTAGTCCCAGCTACTTGGGCGACTGAGGCAGGAGAATGGCGTGAACCCGGGAGACGGAGTTTGCAGTGAGCAGAGATTGCGCCACTGCACTCCAGCCTGGGAGACAGAGCGAGACTCCGTCTCAAAAAAAAAAAAAAAAAAAAAAAATTAACCAGGCATGGTGGTGGGCGCCTGTAATCTCAGCTACTCGGGAGGCTGAGGCAGGAGAATTGCTGGAACCCGGGAGGCAGAGGTTGCAGGGAGCTGAGATCCCGCCATTGCACTCCAGCCCAGGCTGATAACAGCAAGACTCCGTCTAAAAAAAAATAAAAAAAAGAATTGTTGATTTTGTGCATTCTATTTACCAGCCTAGGTGCGTGGGAGGCTTAGAGAGTAAGAACTTACTCAAGAGTACCCAAGAGTCACTAAGGCAGAGCAGGGACTCCTCCATCTGCTGATCTGAGCTCCATGTTCTATTCATTGCTCCACGAGGTAACACATGATTTTCTACTGTACTGGGCACTGAAAAGAAGGCTGCCAGGTACAGTGACTCACGCCTGTAATCCTAGCACTTTGGGAGGCCGAGGCAGGCATATCACTTGAGGCCAGCCTAGGCAACATGGTGAGATCTTGTCTCTACAAAAAACACAAAAATGAGCTGGGCATGGTGGTGTGTGACTGTAGTCCCAGCTACTCAGGAGGCTGAGGTGGGAGAATCACCTGAGCCGGGGAGGGTATGGCTGCTGTGAGCTGTGAGTGCCCTACACTCACTCCAGCCTGGGTGACAGAATGAGACCCTGTCTCACAATAAAAAAAAAAAAAAAAAGAAAGAGAAGGAAAGGGAGGGGGGAATGGGAGCAAGTTCATAATTTCTTTTCTTTTTTTTTTTTTTTTCAGGCGGATTCTCGCTCTGTTGCCCAGGCTGGAGTGCAGTGGCACGATCTTGGCTCACTACAAGCTCCGCCTCCCGGGTTCATGCCATACTCCTGCCTCAGCCTCCCGAGTAGCTGGGAATACAGGTGCCCGCCACCACGCCCCACTAAGTTTTTGTATTTTTAGTAGAGACGGGGTTTCACCGTGTTAGCCAGGATGGTCTTGATCTCCTGACCTCGTGATCTGCCTGCCTCGTCCTCCCAAAGTGCTGAGATTACAGGCGTGAGCCACCGTGCCTGGCGCATAATTTCTTTTCTTTTCTTTCTTTCTTTTTTTTTTTTTTTTGAGACAGAGTTTCACTCTGTTGCCCAGGCTGGAGTGCAGTGGCATGATCTTGGCTCACTGTAACCTCCACCTCCTGCGTTCAAGCAATTCTCATGCCTCAGCCTCCCGAGTAGCTGGGATTACAGGCGCCTGCCACCAGGCCCGGCTAATTTTTCTATGTTTAGTAGAGACATGGGTTCACCATGTTGGCCAGGCTGGTCTTCAACTCCTGGCCTCAAGTGATCCACTCACCTCGGCCTCCCAAAATGTTAAGATTATAGGCATGAGCCACTGCGGCCAGCCACAAATTCATAATTTCTAAATGAGCAGCCTAAAAAAGGTCTGCTGCAAGATTATAATGAAATAAAAATAAGTAACATTTATTGAGTGCCTACTATATGCTGACATTGTCTTAAGTGCTTACATGTATTAAATTAACTCACTTAATTCTCACATCCACTCTATAAGGTATTATTCTCATTTACAAATGAAGAAAGTGAAGTACAAAGAAGTTAAGTAAGTTCTTTGCCCACGTTAAGGAATGGTTGAATCAAGATTTGAACCCAGGCAGTCCAGCTCCAAAGTTTACATATACATAAGCTATGTTGTAGCTATTTGCCTTTTATTTCATGGAGGGTGGAGAGGAGGAGAGGTTGGAGACAGTAAATTAAATTCTACCCTGCATTTAAAATTCAATGAAATATTTCTGCTTAAAAGTCAATGATGTAATCTTTATTGGTATTCTCCTTGACATTCATCATTTTTTTGCTATAGCATCCCATTATACAAATGTTCAATTCTTTTGGAGAGCTCTGGAACTGTAAATTATTTTTTGAAGCTAATTAGATGGAGACAGGCTTTGTTTATTAGAAAAACAAGAGAAAAACCATGGGATATGCTGTTTTCAGTAGAAAAGTCACAGCCCCTCTTCCACAAAGCCACCATCTGTTTCTACTCTATCATCGCAGAATCCAGATGTTCTCACCCTCCTAGCGAATGCTTTCCAATTGGAACTTCTTGTTCAAGCAAATCAAAGCAGAGCCAAGTTTTCTGTAGGTTGGACTTTGGCTTGTTTTGAGCCATCCATTATGAAAAAAGTGCAAGGCAATTCTGTTGCTTTCATGCTGTGGTCTCAGTCAGCAACACAGACCCGTCATTTATTATATTGAACTTCAGTTTTTGTATCTCAAGGGAAAAAAATTTAAATTTTAAATCCCGGGTAGTATAGAAAAAATTCCTTCTAAAATATTAAAGGAATAGGGAATTGCTATGGGTTCCCTGCCCACAGCTGTAAAAATAACATTACGACAGGAGTGGGTTTTTTTTTTTTTATCTAGCTTTTTAAAAACCAGTTGATTATGAGGATTCATAAGGGGATATTCACAAGTAATGATTGTTGAAAGTTATATGAATAAAAAGAGGATAGACATTAGTGAGCAATTTTAACTTAGTCTCCATATATTTAAAATGTGATTGAAGAATAAGGGAAGCTTTCGAAAAAGAGAAAAGTTGCTCCGGATTCCTAACATCTTTTTATTTTTGGTATTCCTTTCCAGCCTGTGACATTGGCGCATAATTAATGGATATAAGGCAGGACACATATTTATAGTGCTCAAGTTCTATTACTTAGCTTAAGTTTCAGGACCCACCTTGTAAGACAACTCATGTGAAGCAGGAGACATCCCCTTGACCCCATTTAAAAACAAATTTTAGTACAATTTACATTTGGAAAATCTGGCTATGTTCTAGAGTTCAGGAGGGTATGGTGACTATTAAACTCAACAACTGTTTGCTTCTTTTTTGTAGAAGTTGTACAGACTTGGTAAAGCTTATGTCTGGCAGTATTGAAAAAAAGCAAGGCTGGTAAAACCGACGGCAAAGCTAGGGGATGATTGCAAATTTTGGATGGGCTAGGAGCCATCCTGAGACGGTTTTGCTATGGTTGGTGGTGGTGTGCTGATGATAGGACATGCTAACAGAGGACAAGAAGGGTGACAAGATCCAGCTGCAAGTCCATATACTACTTACATTTAAGGTATTCTAGGATGTTAAAGAAAGAACTTTCCAGTGTTTGTACAAGAACTCAGGACCACTATTTTTATTTCTAAATATTAAATCTAAATGGGTATCCTGCGGGCATTGAAAGGTTAACTCCAAAGACACTGGTCTGCTTGGCGTCTACATTAGGCCACCGGTATAAATAATGCCAGCTAACAAGCGTTGAGGCATTACCATGTGTGAGGCACTGGTGAAGATATTTGATGTGAATTTAATAATTTAATCTTTTTTATTGTGGTAAAAAATACATAACATGAAAGTTACTATCTTCTTTTTTTTTGAGACAGAGTCTTGCTTTGTTGCCCAGGCTAGAGTGCAGTGGTGCAATCTCAGCTCACTGCAAACTCCGCCTCCCGGGTTCACGCCATTCTCCTGCCTCAGCCTCCCGAGCAGCTGAGACTACAGGTGCCTGCCACCACGCTCGGCTAATTTTTTTTGTATTTTTAGTAGAGACGGGGTTTCACCGTGTTAGCCAGGATGGTCTCGATCTTCTGACCTTGTGATCTGCCCGCCTCGGCCTCCCAAAGTGCTGGGATTACAGGCGTGAGCCACGGCGCCTGGCCGAAAGTTACCATCTGAACCATTTTTTTGTTTGTTTGTTTTGAGATGGAGTCTTGCTGTTGTTGACCCAGGCTTGAGAGCAATGACGCGATCTCTGCTCACTGCAACCTCCACCTCCCGGGTTCCAGCAATTCTGCCTCAGCCTCCCAAGTAGCTGAGATTACAGGCGCCCACCACCACGTGCCGCTAATTTTTGTATTTTTAATAGACACGGGATTTCACCATATCAGCCAGGCTGGTCTTGAACTCCTGACCTCAGGTGATCCACCCGCCTTGGCCTCCCAAAGTGTTAGGATTACAGACATGTGCCACCATGCCCAGCCCATCTTAACCATTTCTAAGAGTACAGTTCAATGGCCTTAAGTACAGTTACATTGTTGTGCAGCCAGTTTCCAGAATATTTCATCCTTCCAAACTGAAACTCCATATCAATTAATTCCTCCATTCCTGTTCTTAGCCTCTGGCAACCACCATTCTACTTTCTGTCTCTATAAATTTGACTACTTATTATACCTCATATAAGTGGAATCATCTAGTATTTGTCCTTTTGTGACTGGCTTATTTCATATATATATGAATACACACACACACATGCACGCACGCATGCACCATTTTGTTTATCCATCAATAGACAATAGGTTGTTTTCACCACTTGGCTATTGTGAATAATGCTGCTATGAACATGGGTGTGCAAATACCTCTTCAAGATCCTGCTTTCAGTTCTTTTGGATATCTACTCAGAAGTAGAATTGCTGGATCATATGGTAATTCTATGTTTAATTTTTTGAGGACTCGCTATACTGTTTTCCATAATGTCTGCACCATTGTACGTTTCTACCAGCAATGTATAAGCCTTCCAATTTCTCTGCATCCTCACCAACACTTGTTATTTCCTGTTTTTGTTTTCATTTCTTAATAGTAGCTGAGAGGTTTTTCCTGACTCTAAATACACAGAGTTTTTTCCACACCAACAACCAATTCAACCAATTCTCTGGCACCAACTGGGTGTCCAGCAATTCAGGTCAGTTCTGATACGAACTTCTAAGATTAGCACAGACCTCATAGGTTAAAGACTCATTCCTATAAGACTGTCCCCACTTTGGTTGAAAGTCCCAGGGGTCACCAATATTTCTGACTGACCAGCTATAAATTTGGAGTTTCCACAACTCCTCAGGCTTGATAATTCACTGGAATGGCTCACAGAACTTAGGAAAACACTTTACTAAACATTTACCGGTTTATTATAAAGGATTCATACAACCCAGGAACAGCCAAATGGAAGAGATGCATAAGGCAAGGTACTGGGTGGGGGTTGGGGGTGGTGGGACGGAGCTTCCATGTCCCCTCTGGGCACACTACTCTCCCAGCACCTCGATGTGTTCACCAACCCAGAAGCTCTCTGAACCTCATCCTTTAGGGGTTTGATTGGTTTCATTACGTAGGAATGATTGATTAAATCATTGGCCATTGGTAATTAAATTTAATCTCAGGTCCCTCTCCCTACTCCAGAGACTGGGGAGGGAAAAGGAGTGGAGGTAATGGGAGCGGCTGAAGTTTTAATGATGTAATCCCCTGGTTGGTTTTTCTAGTGACTAACCCCTAACCTGAAGGTATCTAGGGGCCCCTGCTTTGAGTCATCTCATTAGCATACAAGACAGTAAATTCCAAGAGTTTTAGGAACTTTGTGCCAGGAACCAGTGGCAAAGACCAAATATTTATTTTTTATTATACCATAGTAGCCATCCTAATGGGTGTGAGGTGATATCTTATTGTGGTTTTGGTTTGCATTTCCCTAATGATTACTGATGTTGAGTTTTTCATGTGCTTGTGGGGCAAGTATGTATATCTTGAAATGTCTATTCAAGCCCTGTGCCTGTTTTTAATTTGAATTATATGGTTTTATATTGTTGAGTTGTACTTCTTTATGTATTCTAGATATAACCTTTTATTAAATATATGATTTGCAAATATTTTCTCCCATTCTGTAAGCTCCTTACATGTCTGTTGATCAGGTCCTTGAATGCACAGTAGTTTTCATTTTACATAGTTTGATTTATCTATTTTTACTTTTCTTGCCTGCACTTTTGATATCACATCCAGGAAATCATTGTCAAATCCAGGGTAATACAGCTTTTCTCCTATGTTTTCTTCTTATCGTTTTTATAGGTTTAGGTCTTATGTTTAGGTCTCTGATTCGTTTTCAGTTAATTTTTGTATACGATACGAGGTAAGGGTCCAACTTCATTCTTTTGCATGTAGATATTCAGTTTTCCCAGCACCACTTGTTGAAGATATTGTCCTTTCCCCATTGAATGGTCTTGCCACCCTTATCAGGAATTATTTAATCTTTACATCCACTTTGTGAGATAGATGTCCTCAGATGAGGACACTGACACCCAGAGAGGTTAAATAGCTGGTCCAAGGTCACATTGAGTAAATTGTGGAGTCAAGATTATAACCTAGACTAAAGTAAAAACTTTTGTGCATCACAGGACACTATCAACAGAGTAAAAGACAACCCACAAAGTGGGAGAAAGTATTTGCAGATCACACATCTGATAAGGGATTATTACCCAGAATATACAAAGAAATCTGAGAATTCAACAACAAAAAAGCCAAACAATCCAATTCAAAAATGAGCAAGGAACTGAATATATGTTTCTCCAAAGAAGATTGATAAATGGCCAACAAAAACACCTGAAAAGGTACTCAACATCTTTAATCATTAGGGAAATACAAATCAAAACTACAGTGAGCCTCCTCTTCACACCAATTAGGATGGCTGGTATCAGAAAACAGAAAACAACAAGTGTTGGTGAGGATATGTAGAAGTTGGAACACTTGTATATTGCTGTTGGGAGTGTAAAATGGTGCAGCCTTGTGGGAAAATAGTATGGCAGTCCCTCAAAAAAGTAAATGTAAAATTACTATATGATCCACTTCTGGGTGTGAATATATAAAAGCACTGAAAGCAGGAACTCAAATAGATATTTGTTTACTGACGTTTTTAGCAGCATTATTCACTGTAGGCAAAAGGTGGAAATAATGTTAATGTCTACTGACGAATGGATAAACAAAATATGATATATACATATAATGGAATACTATTAAGCCTTAGAAAGGAAGGAAATTCTGACACATGCTACAACATGGATGAACTGTAAGAACATATGCTCAGTGAAATAAGCCAGACACAAAAGGGCAAATATTGTATGCTTCCACTCATATGAGGTACCTGGAAAAGCCAAATTTATAGAAAGAGGAAGTAGACAGGTGGTTGTCAGGGGTTTGGGAAGGGAAAAAATGGGAGTTCATGTTTGATGAGTAAAGAGTTTCATTCAGGAAGATGAAAACGTTTTGCAGATGGATGGTGGGGATGGTTGCAGGACAATATGAATGTACTTAATGCCACTGAATTGCACATTTAAAAATGGTTAAATTGTAACCCACGCAATTTCCTCCACAGCCTACAGTCTTAACCACAGTATTATAGCTGCCTTTCTGGTGTGCGTCTTCTTACAGATTTACAACTAACATTAATGTGGTGGGTGCCCTGGCAAATCCACTGAGATGTCCTCTTCAGCCTGACTATATAGAGGTCCAGTCTGACTTGCGCCTGCTCAGTCTTTTGGCTTTGTCTTCTGGATCCCAGGAGCCTGAGGCAGGAGAATCACATGAACCCGTGAGGCGGAGGTTGCAGTGAGCCGAGATCGCGTCACTGCACTCCAGCCTGGGCGACAGAGCGAGATGCCATCTCAAAAAAAAATTAAATGTGATAGTAGATATTGAGCATCTTGTAGACTTTTTGCTAAACATAGCTTTTAAATACACACATTTATTTTTACTCCTGCTGAAACCCTGCCAAAATGACAATAAAGAAATACAAAAAGGCATGCATGCCCAAGCCCAAGTAAAATGGGAAAAGTAGAAAACAGTGAAGAAAAAAAAAAAAAAAAAAGATGTCACCAAAGTGTTAGAGAATAGAAATTGAATGGAAGCAGAGCAGATACTGAATTAGTACTCACTGTTCCACTCTGACATGACCCCACTGATTATTTACAGGCAGTGTCTGTTCTGTGCTCCTGCACCCCTTGTAATTAAATATTTTCGTGGTCACCCCTCAACAGAGGAATGGTAATTGAGTTCGCAAGTTGAAACCTAAACCTAAGAAAGCTAAACCTAACTGCCTGAGGAGAGGGATGCCAAAGAGAGGGAACCAATTTGTTCCAGAGAGCACCGGGCAAGTTCAGGATTTGGTATCACCAAACATCATGCAGAGTTGGAGTGAGGAGGAAAGGCTCAAAACAGGGAGATTTAGATTCAGAATCAGAATTCTTATCTGCAACTCTGAAGTCAAATAAGACAATGAAACAACTCTTTCAAACTGTAGGAGAAAATGTTTTCCAATGAGGTATTCAGTATCAATTAAACTATTAATCAAAACATTTTTAGATATGAAAGGTCTCACAATTTTACTTTCTATGTTCTGTTTCTCATTAAGTTACCAGATAATGTGTCCTATGAAAATGGGAGACAGAGAGAGAAAGAGAGAGAAACAAATTTCTGTTGTTTTAAACAATCCAGTCTGTGGTACTTTGTGTTATGGCAACCCTGCAAACTAATACAACAGGGTTAGCAAACAAGCCTCAAAGTTTCATTTGCAGAGCATATCTTATTCTTTAGACTGTATATTTAGTTGGAAGCTTTGATAAGAGGATGATGGAGATTTTAGGAATGATTTAAGCCTCCCGAAACTGTCACTTGGTATTACCACTGGCTAGATCCCAAACTGGATGAGTCCAGTGAAATGAATGTGTTTTAAAGTTATTTCACATGCATAAGCTTGTTATGCAATATATTTTAGGGCAGTAACATCTCTACACCACTGTGTAGTAAAGACCTTGAGTGTTTCTCTATTTCATCAAAGAGGCAGATATGAAGCCAAGAGAAGTAGGTCTGTGAGCCCATACTTCTAATAAAGCTTAATAAGACTGGCTACAGTAAGACATCACTCATTGATATCTCATGTCTCTGTTTTAGGTCTGAATTTTTGATACTTAAAATAAAATGATTTAATGTCTTTTTCTACCTCATTATTTGCTTTTAAATTTACCAATTCTCCTTAGCCTAATTTCTTTTAGCTGTCCTGGAAAGACCTCTTTCAATAACTCACAGAAAAGCATCAGCCCCATCACCGCCACAAAAAATAACAAATTAAGATTTCAGAATTATCACTTGGTAATTTACTTGAATTTTTTATTGTTTTGTTTTTTACGATGAATATTCGTTTGTTTTTGTAGATGCCATAAGCTCAAATTCTACTTCCAAAATATGTTTCAATTTGCCCAGGTCTTTTCATCTCTACCCTAATGCATGTCCATCTCTCTGAAGATTTACTACAGGAGCTTCTTCTGTTCTCTTTCTTTTCTTTTTTTCTTTTCTTTTCTTTCTTTCTTTTCTTTCTTTTCTTTCTTTTTTTTTTTTTTTTTTTTTGAGAAGGAGTCTTGCTCTGTCGCCGAGGCTGGAGTGCAATGGCGCAATCTCGGCTCACTGCAACCTCCGCCTCCCGGGTTCAAGTGATTCTCCTGCCTCAGCCTGCCGAGTAGCTGGGATTACAGGCACCTGCTATGATTTCCAGCTAATTTTTGTATTTTTTTTTAGATGGAGTCTCACTCTGTCCCCTGTCTGGAGTGCAGTGGTGCAATGTCGGCTCACTGCAACCTCCAACTCCCTGGTGTAAGTGATTCTCCTGCCTCAGCCTCCTGAGTAGGTGGGATTACAGGAACGCACCACCACGCCCAGCTAATTTTTGTATTTTTAGTAGAGACGGGGTTTCACCATGTTGGCCAGGATGGTCTCGAACTCCCGACCTCAGGTGATTCACCCACCTCGGCTTCCCAAAATACTGGGATTACAGGCATTAGCTACCGTGCCCAGCCCCTTCCCCTTTTATATTTGCATTCCCTCCACAGAAAATAATGAACCATATGACTCTACTTCCTAAAAGTATTCATCAAGCGCACATGCTTAATGTGGCCTACTAGGCTGTCTTTTTTTTTTTTTTTTTTTTCTGATAAGGAGTCTTCCTCTGTCGCCCAGGCTGGAGTGCAGTGCCGCGATCTCGGCTCACTGCAAGCTCCGCCTCCCGGGTTCACGCCATTTTCCTACCTCAGCCTCCCGAGGAGCTGGGACTACAGGTGCCCGCCACCAGGCCCGGCTAATTTTTTGTATTTTTAGTAGAGACAGGGTTTCACCGGGTTAGCCAGGATGGTCTCCATCTCCTGACCTCGTGATCCGTCCACCTCGGCCTCCCAAAGTGTTGGGATTACAGGCCTTAGCTACCGCGCCCAGCCCTTTCCCCTTTTATATTTGCATTCCCTCCACAGAAAATAATGAATCACATGACTCTACTTCCTAAAACTATTCATCAGGCGCACATGCTTAATGTGGCCTACTAGGCTGTTCTTCATTGGACTCCAGCCATCCTCCCCTCCTACCACTATTCTTTTCAAACACTGTACTCTAGTCACATGGTCTCAGGTTCTTCAATACACCAAGCTGTTTCCTCCTCAGGGCCTCTGCACATGCTGTTCCTCTTACCTACCATGCTCTTTTCTCCACTGTTTAGTCTCTTCTATAATTATAGTTACATTTCACTTGTTTTGTCTATAGGTTAGAAAAGTTAAAAGCCAATAAATAGCGTTTAAGAAATTATTTTGTGCATATGAGTCATTATAAAAACAAGTAGTGGTCGGGCGCGGAGGCGCAGGTCTCTAATCCCAGCACTTTGGTAGGCCCAGGCGGGTGGATCACAAGGTCAGAAGATCGAGACCATCCTGACGGTGAAACCCCATCTCTACGAAAAATACAAAACGTTAGTTGGGCGTAATGGCGGGCGCCTGTAGTCCCAGCTACTCGGGAGGCTGAGGCAGGAGAATGGCGTGAACTCGGCTCTTGCAGTGAGCCGAGATCGCGCCATTGCACTCCAGCCTGGACGACAGAGCGAGACTCCACCTCAAAAAAAAAAAAAAAGGTAGTAAGATTGGACCCTTTAAATAAATAAAAATTCCACTCTGCCCGGGGCGGTGGCTCACGCCTGTAATCCCAGCACTTTGGGAGGCCGAGGCGGGCAGATCACAAGGTCAGGAGATTGAGACCATCCCGGCCAACACGGTGAAAACCCGTCTCTCCTAAAAATACAAAAAAATAAGCCGGGCGTGGTGGCGGGAGCCTGTGGTCCCAGCTACTGGGCAGGAGAATGGCGTGAACCCGGTAGGCGGAGTTTGCAGTGAGCGGTGATCGCGCCACTGCATCCAACCTGGGCGACAGAGCGAGACTCCGTCTTAAAAAAAAAAAAATTCCACTGTTAAGTATTTACCCAAGAGAAATAAAAGCGTATGTCCACAAAAAGACTTGTACTTAAATATTCATAGGGCTATATTCCTAATAGCCCCAAGTTGTAAACAACCCAAATTCTGTCAGCTGAAGAATGGATAAACAAAGTGTACTATATTGTACAGTGTACTATTAGTCAACAAAGCAAGAGAACCTTGAATACATGCAACAATGTGAGCCTCCAACATAATATATTGAACAAAAGAAGCTAGATAATATGTTAATAGAAGAGTGCTTATGGTACGATTTTTTTTTTTTTTTTTTTTTTTTTTTGAGATGGAGTCTTTCCCTGTCATCCAGGTTGGAGTGTAATGGCATGATCTTGGCTCACTGCAACCTCTGCCTCCTGGGTTCAAACGATTCTCCTGCCTCAGCCTCCCAAGTAACTGAGATTACAGGTGCCTGCCACCATGTCCGGCTAATTTTTGTCTTTTTAGTAGAGATGGGGTTTCACCATGTTGGCCAGGCTGCTCTCGAACTCCTGACCTCGTGATCTGCCCGCCTCAGCATCCCAAAGTGGTGGGATTACAGGTGTGAGCCACCACTCTGGGCCATGATATGATTCTATCTACGTAAAGTTAAAAGGCAAGCAAACCAATCTATAGCTATGGAAATCAGAACAACTATTGCCTCTGGGTGTGTGTGTGTAGGGTGTGGGCATTGGCAAGAAAGGGCGCAAGGGAGCTTCCAGGGGGGATGCCAATGCTCTGTATCCTGCTTTGGGTTACGAAGGTGTATACATTTGTCAAAACTCATTA
This sequence comes from Homo sapiens, assembly GCF_000001405.40. Lineage (NCBI taxonomy): Eukaryota > Metazoa > Chordata > Mammalia > Primates > Hominidae > Homo > Homo sapiens. The sequence continues at coordinate 52,349,981 of NC_000013.11, read as the reverse complement.
AACTGTAAACTGAAGATCTGTGCTTTTTATTGTGTGTGAAATATATCTCAAAGAATAACATAATCTTATGTTTTTGTAACTTGGCTGCTCAAAAAAGACAGTTTCAAGAATCAAGTCCAATGAATCATTTTATTTTCTTTCTAGCTTCCTTCACTTCTCCTGGATCATACTCAAAGCTCATGTATGTTATTAATGAGAGAGGTTATCACACATGCCTCTCTATAGGACTCTTATTTTACATGTTATTTTATGATCTCACATATTTCATTTTCAAGCCTACATCAAATTAGAAGTAGCTGAAAAGTACAATGCGGCACACTGGTAATAGTGAGTAGGGTGATACCTTGACAGCGAAGGTGAAAAAAAAACACTAAAAGTATGACCTAAGAATTAAAAAAGAGTGTGGGCCTAGAATAATTGAGCCATGAATCAGACATGGCTATATATTTTTCTAGACAAAGGGCATCACACTTTATAATAGGACTCATCCAGAAATGTTAAATTAAATGTAATATACTCTATTTTAAATGTGAGGAAGGATAAATACATGAAAATTCCACAGAGAACAGTTTAGAAAATATTTTTGTTTTGGTGCTCAAAGGGCTAAAACATCAGCTATCTGGATTAATCCAGGCAACAATTAAAGCCACTCCATGGTAGAGCCTGGCACTGGTGGTAAAAGAGCAACCTTCAAGAAAATGACTGACATTAAACAACTATGTGGAGCTTTAGGCAACTAAAGCGAGTCATGCAGTACCAACAGGTAATGACTTAGCACCATTACTGCCCACGTGTCATTCTCTTATTGCTATAATGATGCTGAGTAATTCAGAGAGCATGTGCTTTCCTTGAGTCACGTGGGTGTGAGCACTTCATAGGGTGAGGTCGTAAAAAGGTCTTGCTAGTTCTTCTGAAAGCAAACCATTCTAAAGGGGCTCTCAGAGAGTTTTCTGGATTATTTCTACTCTATATTTATTTTTGTTTTCAGTTTTTATATTTTTTAGAGACAGGGTCTCACTATATTGGCCAGGCTGGTCTTGAACTCCTGGCCTTAAGTGATCCTCCTACCTCGGCGTCCCAAAGCACTAGGATTGCAGGAATAAGCCACCATGCTGGGCCAATTTTTTTGTTTGGTTGTTTTAAGAGATGAGGTCTCACTTTGTCACCCAGCCTGGAATGCAGTGGTAGATCATAGCCCCCTGCAGCCTCGAATTCCTGGGTTTAAGCAATCCTCCTGTCTCAGCCTCCCAGTTAGCTAGGACTACAGGCCCAAGCCACCACACTCAGCTCAGCTCTCTGAAGATTTGATCATAGAAATTTTCCAGTAAACTTGAAAAAATAAAAGAAAAAAACTAAACTTCCTATAACAAACACTGTACAAGGAGAGGTAAAGTATTAAAGACACTTTGTTGTGTTGAAGAAGAAGCATGATAAGTAGAATTTTGAAATAAGAGAAAAAGGTGGAATGGCCAAGAGGAAGAGGTCTTCTGATTTTAAAGACTAAAGAAAATCTTGCTGAAATTAGATAGCCTAATGAAAAGGAGAACCCTCCTAGTTTGAGGTATTGCATCCCTGAACTCAGATTTCTATTTTAATTAGATGCTGTGTTTCTGCAGGGATGAAGGCCCCATGGAAGAATTCTCACAGGGAGGCAGATGCTGTTGGAAGGAGAGAGCCTGGAATGTCCGTAGTGGTCAAGAGAAATGTGTATGTGGGCGTGTGGGAGGGTATCAAGGGAAGTGATCACTGCCAAGCTGATTTATTTTTTAACTGCCAAAGCATTCCCGGGATATTCTTCCTGGTTGCTAGGATCAGAGAGCTGGTAAGTTTCAACAATACGTCTATCTATTCCAAGTACAAGCATTTTTTTGGTAAACATATTTTTAATCCTAAAAAGACAACGATAAGATTAAGGAAACTTTGAAACAAAATGACCACTCATAATTCCACTACTCTTTAGTAGGTGATATTGTATTTTTGTGTTTTCTTCTAGTCTAAACACTCTCTTTAACAAGACTTTTAGGTGAATTTTCTGTTGGCATAATATCTGTTAAAGCAGCTTCTAACACCCAACAAGCTGGGAATAATTCTACAGTCCTGCATCACTCTGCATTTAGGTGGAAAGTTGAACCTCAGAGATAAATTATTAATACCTGTAAATAAAATTTCATGACAATTTTCAAGATTCTGCATTTCCACAACTGCTGATCAGTGACTGTGTAGCTTGCTGAAGTAAAGGAAGGCAAACATTGTGGGTAAGAGAACCTCTCCATAGCTCTCCAGAAGGAGCCGAAGGGTCGTCCATCCTAACTCACTGTTTAGTAAGAAAATTGAGCCCCAGAAAGGTTACAGAGCTAATAAGTGTTAGAGCTCAGACTCGAGCCAAGGTCTTAAAAAATAAAACTTAAAATTTTAAATAACGTGAGACTTATGGAAAAGTTACAAAAATAGTGCAGAGACTTTATGTATAACCTTCACCCAGCTTTCCCTAATGTTAATAATTATGCAGCCATAGTTAAATGATCAAAACCAGAAAATTAACTTAATTCACACTGGTACAATACTATTAAATTACAGACCTAATTTGAATTTTATGAGTTTTCTCCCTTGTGTCTTTTTTTTTTTTTTCTGTATGTTCTGATTCAGAATCCCATGTTGCATTTAGGTACCACTTGTCCGACTTCTCCAATCTGAGAGATTGTCTCACACTCTGCCTTCTATGACCTTGACCCTTTTGAAGAGTCAGGGTCAGCATTTTGGGAGGCCGGGGTGGGTGGATCACCTGAGGTCAGGAGTTAAAGACCAGCCTGACCAACGTGATGAAACCCCATCTCTATTAAAAATACAAAACAATTAGCTGGGCATGGTGGCAAATGCCTGTAATCCCAGCTACTCGGGAGGTCGAGGCAGAAGAATCGCTTGAACCAGGAGGCAGAGATTGTAGTGAGCCAAGATGTTGCCACTGCACTCCAGCCTGGGCGATGAGTGAGACTCTGTCTCAAAAAAAAAAAAAAAAAAAAAAAAAGATTTAAAAAAAAACACTGGCATCTGGCAGGTCTCTCCACTGTACACCTACTATGTTTTCTTTTGTGATTGACAGATATCTTGGAGGAGATACACTGAGACTATGCTAATATCCTGTTTTACCTCAAACTTTCACCCAATGATTTTAGACTACCAGTAGATCTTGTCTGCAACAATTATTATTGTGCTGTCCACCCAACAGTGACTTTGTATTTTCCTCATTTCTCCTGCATTCATTAATTACAATTCTCCTGTAAGGTAGAAGTATCACTTCTCCCCCATTTATTTATGTATTTATTCATTCACTTATTTATTTATGCTGATATATATGGACTGATGGATATTTATTTTATTCCACTAGTTTAGAATCAAATATTGTCATTATTTTCTTGGTCAAACTGTTCCGACTTTGGCCATTGGAAACTCCAATGGTGGGCTCTTCATCCTTTTGACTCTGTCATTGGGGAGTAGCTGTTGTTGTTTTGAGTCCTTCTTTATTTTCTGATATCACAAGATTTTCATGCTCAATTAGATTTTCCCTGACCCAGACCTGGAATCAACCACTTTTCCAAGGAACTCTATGAACCAAGACCTTCTAATGTAAACCTCTTGTGCTCCTTCCATTGGCTCACGTTATATCTGAAACAATTTAGACTTGAACCCTGTACAAAGTTTTTCAAAAATATACTGCAAAGACAGGTGGAGTCTGTACTTGTTGAGCTTGTTCCAGTCGTCAAACATAGTTTATGTTACTCCCAGTGCTCCTCTGTCCACCCTATTTGTACCACCAGCATGATCCAGACATGAGGAAGATGAGAAGCTAATGGAAGTAGATTAAAGCGTAGACAAGGGTATAGATGTAAACAGAGATGATGTGGATACAGATGACGAGATGGATAGGGAGGCTGGGAGAATCTCTAGATGGAACTCAAATATGCACAGCTAAATTCTTTTTTCTTCATCACTATGCAAATAAAAAACACAAAGCTTTTAAAAGCAAGTCCAGAATTTTTGAAGTTTACATTTTTCTGCCTCTTTTGACTCTGCCTGTAGGGAAAGTGCTCTCTGTGACTTCAACTTTTCTTCTCTCTCTCCCCCCACCTCAAGTTGCCTCTGTCAGCTGTCTGGGCTGGTTTATGGGGTCATGGCAAACCTGCTTCTCCATGAGTCTCACACACTCACTGGGTGTGTATTATTATATGCCCTGTGTTAGGGATGAATAAAATTAAACACATGAATGTTAGATAAGAACCGAGTTAAATTCACGGAAATTAAGAGAAAGACTGGAAACAAACAAAAAACTCTAGATTTCCAATCTTTCCATAAATAATAGGACTTTACAAAAAAAAAAAACCTAGAAGAACTATTCCAAATAGATGAGTATGAAATGTCTGCAGTAAGTCCTATCTTCCATTTCAGAATCCAAGAACACTCGAGAGTAACAACTGCACAGTTTCCTGGGGTATGTTATGAGTACAGGATTGTTTCTCTGCTTTATGCACAGTAATTCCATACATTTTCTATAAAGATGACACTATACTTTTTCTATATCCTTGTCAGTGTGTGTGCATGTATGTGCATGGTGTGTGTCTTTGACAGAGATAGAGGAAAAGGGGGAAAGAGAGAGAGATAATGTACTAGTTTCTTATTTTTACAGGAAATTTAAGACATGTCAGCACAAATCTAGACTGAGACTGACTCATTCGGCAGGAAGAATATGTCTACATGCCAGAGTAAGCAGAAAATGGGGTGAGATCTCAAGAAAAGGGAGTGGGAAGGCAGTTTACAATTTAAGATATGAATAGAGGTGGCTTATTAAAATTATTTTCAGCCGGGAAGAGGTGGGTGGCTCACACCTGCATTTTGGGAGGCCAAGACGGGTGGATCACAAGGTCAGGAGATCAAGACCATCCTGGCTAACACTGTGAAACCCCGTCTCTACTAAAAATACAAAAGAACTTAGCTGAGCTTGGTGGCGAGCACCTGTAGTCCCAGCTACTTGGGAGGCTGAGGCAGAATGGCGTGAACCTGGGAGGTGGAGCTTGCAATGAGCCAAGATGGCGCCACTGCACTCCCCCTTGGGCAACAGAGCGAGACTCCGTCTCAAAAAACAAAAATTATTTTCAATTTCTCCTAGTCATGTTGAATTTTTATCCTGACTTCCACAGTGCTTTTTTCAAACTATCTAGAAAATTTCCTCCTCCCGTTTGATTCCAACAATCATTGAGCCATTAAGTCTAACGTATTCTACCTTCTCTACATCTTGTGCACTCATCTCCTCCTTTCTATTCCCACAGGTACCCACCTGATCTCAGCTCACTGCAACCTCTGCCTCCCGGGTTCAAGAGATTCTCCTGCCTCAGCCTCCTGAATAGCTGGGATTACAGGTGCGTGCCACCTCGCCCAGCTAATTTTTGTATTTTTAGTAGAGTTGGGGTTTCACCATGTTGGTCAGGAAGGTCTCAAACCCCTGACCTCGTGAACCGCCCTCCTCGGCCTCCCAAAGTGTTGGGATTATAGGCGTGAGCCTCAGCGCCCGGCCTTATTTTTGGTTTTGTTTTTGTTTCCTTCAAGCGAACTCCCTCACCAAGTGTTGTCTGGACTGCTATAGTCTTATTCTCATTCTGGACTGCCTCTGAATTATTCACCCCTTGAAACTCATCCTAAGCATGTTCTCTTACTCAATAAGAGCCAGCTGTTTCTCTCTTCGTGCAGCCAGCAAACCTTGTGTTAACCCATTCTATAATTCTGCCCTGAACGTATTCTAATTAATAGTTTACATACTTTTCTCCCCTACTTGACGGAGACTGTGAGCTTCTTGAGGAGTGGGGATTGTGTCCTTATTTTTGTATCCCAATGCCTAACAGTGTCGGGCAAACTAAGTGTTTGGTCAATGAATAAAAAAATGAACATATAGGTGGAGGGTTGTGGCTCACGCCTGTAATCCCAGCACTTTGGGAGGCCGAGGTAGGCGGATCACGAGGTCAGGAGATCGAGACCATCTTGGCTAACACGGTGAAACCCCGTCTCTACTAAAAATACAAAAACTTAGCCGGGCTGTGGTGGGGGTGGGGGGGGGCGCCTGTAGTCCCAGCTACTTGGAGGCTGAGGCAGGAGAATCACTTGAACCCGGGAGGCGGAGCTTGCAGTGATCCGAGATGACGCCACTGCACTCCAGCCTGGGCGACAGAGCAAGACTCCATCTCAAAAGAAAAAAAAAGGAACATATAAGTGGGTGAATAAATGAAAAAATCTACTCAGTACACTGATGAAATATTAACTAGTAAACTACTCACCATCAATCCCAGCAAACGTTTCTCCCTGGGGCCAACAATGTATTACATGGAAGATCGTCTCCCTTAAGAAGAGTCTTACAAGCTGTAGTTTCTCTTCTACAAATAAATTATGTTTTTCAAAATATCAAGAGTTATGCTTCATTTTTGAAGAAATTTATAGTTATTGGGCCTCATATCTCCATCTAGTGAAGCAAATTGGTAATACACCAATTAAGATACCCGGGTATGAATATAAGAAACACAGTTGTGAAAAAATTATTTATAGAAAATTATCCTTCCTTTTCCAAGGTTCAAAAACCTTGAATTGTATCTACTTTATATTTTCTGGAGTTCAGCAAGTTCTTTCTTTTCCGGATAGCCTATTTCTAAATATCTGGACAGTGTCATGCTATTGGAAAATATATGGGTGTATAGAAAACTTACGATTAGCTTGTTTTTCACCACTTTTAAATCAAAGAACCATTGATATTTGTTAACATGAATGTTATTTAGATATGTTATAGAATAATATGAATAAAATTTTTGTAAATTATGCTAACAATCCTACCAATTTAACAAATATTTATAAAGGATTTTCTATTTTTGCTTTTTGTTTTGTTTTGTTTTGAGATGGAGTCTCACTCTGTCACCCAGGCTGAAGTGCAATGGCGCGATCTCGGCTCACTGCAACCTCCGCCTCCCGGGTTCAAGTGATTCTCCTGCCTCAGCCTCCTGAGTAGCTGGGATTACAGGTGCCCCCCACCGTGCCTGGCTAATTTTTGTATTTTTAGTAGAGATGGGGTTTCACCATGTTGGTCAGGCTGGTCTCAAACTCCTGACCTCGTGAACAATCCACCTTGGTCTCCTAATGTGCTGGGATTACAGGGGTGAGCTCCTGCGTCCGGCCTCTTTTTTGTTTTTGTTTCCTTCAACATTTATTTTAAGTTCTGGAGTACATGTGCAGGATGTGCAGTTTCGTTACATTGGTAAATGTGTGCCATGGTGGTTTGCTGCACAGATCAACCCATCACCTTGGTATTAAGCCCAGCATCCATTATCTGTTCTTCCTGATGCTCTCCCTCCCTGCATCAGGCCCTCCCCGCAACAGGCCTCAGTGTGTTTTGTTCCCTGCCATGTGTCCATGTGATCTCACCATTCAGCGCCCACTTATAAGTGAGAACATGTGTTGTTTTGTTTTCTGTTCCTCTGTTAGTTTGCTGAAGATAACAGCTTCCAGCTCCATCTGTGTCCCTACAAAGGACATGATCTCATTCCTTTTTATGGCTGCATAGTATTCCATGGTGTATGTGTACCACATTGTCTTTATCCAGTTTATTATTGATAGGCATTTGGGTTGATTCCATGTCTTTGCCATTGTGAATAGTGTTGCAATAAACATACAGGTGCATGTATATTTATGACAGAATGATTTATATTCCTTTGGGTATATACCCAGTAATGGGATTGCTGCGTCAAATGCTATTCCTGCCTTTAGATCTTTGAGGAATTGCCATACTGTCTTCCACAAGGGTTGAACTAATTTACATTCCCATCGACAGTGTAAAAGCTTTCCTTTTTCTCTGCAACCTTGCCAGTATCTGTTGTTTCTGGACTTTTTAATAATTGCCATTCTGACTGGCATGAGATGATATCTCATTGTGGTTTTGATTTGCCTTTCTCTAAAGATCAGTGATGTTAAGCTTTTTTTTCATATGTTTGTTGGCCACATGAATGCCTTCTTTTGAGAAGTGTCTGTTCATGTTCTTTGCCTACTTTTTAATGGGGTTGTTTGTTTTTTTCCTTGTAAATTTGTTTAAGTTCCTTATAGATTCTGGATATTAGGCCTTTGTCAGACAGACAGATCGCAAAAATTGTCTCCCATTCTGTAGGCTCTCTGTTCACTCTGATGATAGTTTCTTTTGCTATGCAGAGGCTCTTAGGTTCAATTAGATCCCATTTATCAATTTTTGCTTTGGTTGCAATTGCTTTTGGCGTTTTTGTCATGAAATCCTTACCTGTGCCTATGTTCTAAATGGTATTGCCTCAGCAATACTCAGCCTCAGCCCAGTTCTGTGCCCTTGCTGGAGAGGTGTTGCGGTCATTTGGATGAAAAGAGACACTCTAGCTGTTGTGTGGTCTCCCTGATGTCCTGGAATGTCCTGGCCAATTGAGTGATGTTTTTTCACTCCAGTGCATCCTCCATGACCAGCCAGCTCTTCCCTCCCCAGCTCTTGCCCTGCAGTGACTCTGAAAGCTTGTTGTTCCATTTACTGCTTACACTCACTTTATTTCATAGAGTAAAAGGTGCTTTTCAAACATAAGTTTATGTTGTTTGTCTTCAGCTTCCCCTCTATTCTCTCACCATGTCATTGGCGTGGAGAAGCAGGAACCTAAACATGGGAAGTGAACATCAAAATATGTCATGATCACAGTGTGCTTCAAGGTAAATACCACTTCAGCACGATATCCATTTGTATAAAGCTTAAAAATAACTGTCACAAAGTAATATATTTTCAGATATATCTATATTTACATCTACATCTCCCCTGTCTATACATAGATACATATCTAGACTATAAAGAAAAGCACAGGGATTATGAACATAACCTTCAGAAGAGTGGTCACCTCTGTTGCGAAGCAAGGGGACTGGATCAGAGAAGAAATTCCAGCAGTCCTGTAGCTTCCACGGGACTAGAAATGTTTCATTCTGCATGAGGTCATGGGTTTATGGATGTTATTTAATTGTTATGCTTCATAACTTAGATGCACATCCCATGTTGAGAATATCTCCTATAGAAACAAAGCACTTGTATTTAAGAATGTGTAAAAAAAACAAAGGGAAAATAAAATAAAGAAATATAGTTACTATATAAGCTTCATGTTTGTTCTACTTATACATGCTTATCTAAGTGTGATACTTTATTTTTTATAAAGGCCAAGTTTAATGATTAAATATTATGAGCATTATCCTATAATACACAACAATAAAAATAATTTATGTTCTAAAACTAGTTTTTTAAAAAAACTTTAAGCAATATAACAAGCACATTATTCAGTTAAAAATAAATACGCATGCATAAATATAATAAGGTGTATTATGCCGATAAAAGAATATTGAATATGAAAGAGTGGAGAAAGTCTGGAAGCATAAAAAAGAAGTAAATTATAATGCTTTCATATGAGGATTTAAGAAAGTTCCAGGGCATGGGGGCTCATGCCTATAATCCCAGCACTGTTGGAGGCTGAGGCAGGCAGATTGCTTAAGCCCAGGAGTTCAAGATGGGGTTTCACCATATTGGCCAGGATGGTCTTGATCTCTCGATCTCAGCTGATCCACCCGCCTTGGCCTCCCAAAGTGCTGGGATTACCGGCATGAGCCACCATGCCCGGCATTATTTAAGACTTACTAAAGGCTGGGCACAGTGGCTCACGCCTGTGATCCCAGCACTTTCGGAGGCCAAGGTGGGGAGATCACTTGAGCTCAGGAGTTTGAGACCAGCCTGGCCAACACAGTGAAACCTCATCTCTACTAAAAATACAAAAATTAGCACAGTGTGGTGGCGTGAGCCTGTAATCCCAGCTACCAGGGAGGCTTAGGTGAGAGAATCGCTTAAGCCCAGGAGGCAGGGGTTGCAGGGACCCGAGATGGTGCCACTGCATTCCAGCCTGAGTGACAGACTGAGACCCTGTCTCAAAAAAAAAAAGTCTTACTATAGAGGTATAGTAATCTATAGGTATGATATTAGCATAATAATAGACAAAGAAGCCAACAGAACAGAATAGAAACCAGAATGATGCCCATATATATGTATATATATCAATTGTATTTCTATATACTAGCAAGAGACAATTGAGAAATGAAATAAAAAGGACCATTTGCAATAACATCAAATACATAGACCTATTTATTAAAAAATCATAAACCCATATAAATGAAAAAATATGCCATGTTTATGGGTTGGAAGAATCAAGTTTGTTGGGTAACAGAGTGAGACCCTCAAAAAAAAAAGTCTTACTGTAGAGGTGTAGTAATCCATATGGTATGGTGTTAGCATAATAATTGATAAAGAAGCCAACAAGCTAATAGAACAAAGACCAGACTATACACATATTATATATATATATGCCCATATATATACATAGTCAATTATTACTGACATGGTGTTAAGGCAATTAGTTCAATGGGGGAAAAAGTCTTTCCAATAGATGGTGCTTTTCCAATTGGATAAACATATGCAAAATAGAAAAGAAATAAAGAAACCGGACCCCTCCCCTTACACTATACACAAAAATAAAATTGATACGAATCGTATATCTAAGCCAGTTTTTCTCAACTGTTCTTGCATTATCACCATCCCCCATTAGGAGTGTTTTAAGACATATTCTCCCTCTAATCACCCCCGGCTCCACCATAGCCAAAATAAAGAAAAATAGATTGTCCTTAGTTTGGATTCCCACAGAAGTGAACTCTGTGAGACAAGGATTTAAAATACCTGCAGGGAAGTGGAAAACAGACAGGGAGGGGAAGGCCACAGATACCAGCTATATTATCAAGCATGTCATCACCAGTGCCAGCTAGAGCTTTCTCCCACTGCAGAGCTCTGACAGCAAGTGTAGAGCATGTGCTTCAGAGTCTTCCTGTCCCAAGGTCAAGGGAGCTAGGGTATGCATAAACCACGGCGCATCAGTCATTGGTTGAGATCTCTGCTCAGGGCTTATTAATCCCCTTCCCTTCTGGCCTGTTTTGAGTGAGGACCTAGAAGGTTCTGATGGCCAGGGAAACCCTCAGGCAGAGATTAAGGTGCAGGTGTGAACTGAAATAGGGAAGCTTGAGTGGAAATGGATGGCCACCGACATCTTCTGCTACAAATACCAAGTGTGAGCCGGGATGTGGAGTACTGGAAACTCTGACACTGGCATGATCACTTTGGAAGAACCGTTTGATTATTTAGGCTGAACATATGTATACCCTCTGGTCCAGTAATTCCACTCCTAACTCCACATCCAACAGAAACATGAACACAAGTTCATGAAACAATATGTATAAATGTTCACATAAGCACTATTCTTAATAGCAAAAAATCAATAATTCCCAAATGTTCATTAGCAGTAGAATGAATAAATACAACATGTTACATTTATACAGTGGGAAACTCTACAGCAATGAGTTTGAACGAACTACAACTATATGCATCAAAGTGGCTGCATCCCATAAGTGTAATATTGAGGGAAAGAAGGTAGAGAAGAGTATACTGAATAATTCAACTCCTAAATGAATTATCCTATTAGAAATCAGAAGTGAGTCAGGCAGTGGTTAGCCTCAGGAGGGCGGTAACTAGAAGGAGACTTCTAGGTACTGGTAATGTTTTGCTCTTTGGTCTGAGTACTGGTTATGAGTGCTGAGTACATACTGTACTGTGTATTTACACTGTGAATGCTCATTGAACTTTATACTTGTGATTTGTGCACTTTTCTGTATGTTTGTTATACCTCAACCAAAATTTTACACCTCAAAGAAGTCAATGCTGGCCTTTGTCGCCTACCTCTCCACACCATAAAAAGTGTGATTAAGGCTGGACACAGTGGCTCACGCCTGCAATTCCAGCACTTTGGGAGGCTGAGGCAGGCAGATCACAAGGTCAGGAGTTCGAGACCAGCCTGACCACCACGGTGAAACCCCATCTCTACTAAAAATACCAAAATTAACTGGGTGTGGTGATGCATGCCTGTAATCCCAGCTACTCAGGAGGCTGAGGCAGGAGAATTGCTTGAACTTGGGAGGCAGAGGTTGCAGTGAGCTGAGATCGCACCACTGCATTCCAGAGCGAGACTCTGTCTCAAAAAAAAAAAAAAAGCGTGATTAAATAGACTGATCAGTGAAACAGAACTGAATGTCTATAAATAGATCCTAATACATGTGGCACTTTACACAAAGATAAAGGTGGCTTTTCAATTTAGTGATAAATAGAAAATTCAACAAATGGTGTTGGGATAAATGAGTAGCCATTTGGAACAAAAATTAGTTTAGCTCTACTTTATATCTTACACCAAGGTATATTTCAGATGAATAAAAGATTCTTATTTTTTTTTAAGAGACAGGGTCTTACGCTGTCATCCAGGCTGCTGGAGTCCAGAGACTCACTACAGCCTTGAACTCCTGGACTCAAGTGATCCTCTCTCCTCAGTCTGCTGAGTAGCTGGGACTACAGGTGTGCATCACCATACCTGGCTACCTGGATAATTGTTAGGTTTTTTTTTTTTTTTTCTAGAAACTGGGTCTCACTCTGTTGCCTAGGCTGGTCTCAAACTCCTCCAATCTCAGCCTCTCAAAGCATTAGGATTACAGGTGTGAGCCACTGTGCCAGGCCCAAAAGATTTAAATTTTAAAATAAAACAATAAAATGAGTCAAAGAAACATTGAGAATAATTTTTATAACTTTACAGTTTTTTTAAAAAGCACAATATAGCAAAAGACCTCCTAAAACTAGAAGACTGATGAATTAAATTGTTTAAAAATGTGTGGCAAAATCCACAATAAATAAAAAGTTAGATAACAAATTGGGAAAAATATTTCCAATTCATAATGCATATAGACAGCTAACATCACCAGTGTAAAAGAGCTCTTTCAGATCAATAAGGAAAACATGAATAAGCCACCAGAAACATGGACAAAAAGTATACACAAACAGTTCATTGAAAAGAAATAAAAGTGACTCAAGGCCAGGTGCAGTGGCTCGTCCCTGTAATCCCAGCACTTTGGGAGACCGAGGAGTTCGAGAGCAGCCTGACCAACATGGCAAAACCCCGTCTCTACTAAAAATACAACAGTTAGCTGGGCGCGGCGGCACAGGTCCGTAGTCCCAGCTACTTGGGAGGCTGAGGCAGGAGAATGGCTTGAACCCGGGAGGCAGAGGTTGCAGTGAGCCAAGATCACCTCACTGCACTCCAGCCTGGGTGACAGAGCAAGATTCTGTCTCCAAACAAACAAAAAAAAAGACTCAAACATGTGAAAAGATGCTCAACCTTACTCATGATGAATAAAATAAAAATGAAAGCTACAAATATATTATTCCTGTAGTGCTGGAGTACACCAGGTATTATAAAAGTATTTTAAAATACACTTAGTTGTCAAGAGTATGGGGAAACAGGTAGTTTCTTACATTGCTAGTGAATAAAAGTTGGTGAAATCTTTATGGGCAACAGTTTACTGAAAGGCAAGATCTATTAATATTACAGATGAATATACCATCTGAGCATATCATTTAATCCAATAATTTTACTTTGGGAATATATCTTACAAATATGTTAGAACATAAGTAAAATTACACACACACACACACACACACGTTATTAATCTTATTTTGAGTAGCAAAAAATTGGACCAAAAAATCCTAATATCTATCAATAGAAAATTGGTAAATAAAATGCAGCCATCCAAAAGAATAAAAAACAATTATTTTACAAATATGGAACAACTTCAAGTGACAAAAGCAATGTGTAGGAGTTGTATAATATTATATAGTATCTATCGTTTATATTTTTTAAAAGGTAAAAAATATACTTTATAGACTTAGAAATAAAATTAACAATAGAAGTATAAATCGAACTCATAAAATATAAGTGAATAGTAAAGGGTTGACTCAGCAGCAATGGGATTGCATGCCTCAAAGAAAAGACTGACTCTTGACCAACTATTAGCTCTTGAAATATCCTGCCTGATAAGAGTGTCTTTGTATACCTCGGGCCTTGGGCAATGCCAGAGTTTGTGCTAATAATGTAATTTATGGTGAACACCTGTTTTTGCTTGCCTGGAGCCCTGGGTCGTATTGTATGAGTTTGACTTCATAGGGAGGAATGGGTTGGACACTGCGTATTTAGGGTCAATAGTTGGGGGGCTTCATGCCTAGGCAGCTGACCTTGGACACAAAAGTTTGTGTGAGCATCCCTGGTTGACAATTCTTTGTCCATATTGTCACACGTCATTGCTGGGAGAATTAAGTTCTGTTCATATAACTCCACAGGGAGAAGACAACTGGAAGCTGCTCCTGGTTCTGCCTGGACTCTGCCCTAAGTGCCTTTTTCCTTCCGAATGTATTCTATAGCCTTTCATCGTAATAAACCATAACGGTGAATAGAACAGCTTGTCTAAGTTCTGTGAGTCCTTCTAGCTCCTTATTGAATACGGTGGCGGCATTGGGTCCCTCAACACACTAGATAAAGTAATTAGAGAAGCATTTATTTTTTTCAGATGCTGGCATTGAAAAGGAATAAAGACTACTTATTGAGTTAAGTATTCAATTTAAGATGTTAGATAAAGGGCAACAAAATAAAGAAAGTAGAAGGGGCTGTCTACTGTTTACCATCACACTTTGCTGCCTCTCTTGGACAATCTATAGACAAAGTTAATAAAAGAGTGCAACAAGTTTTCCGAATGCAGAATTGATATACAAAAAAGGATTGCATTTCTATATACCAGCAACAACAACTCAGAAAACATAATTTTAAAAGCAACACTACTAAAAATAACAACATAATCATTATGGAATCATGAAGATGTCAATTCTCCCAAAATTAATCCATAAACTTGATGCAATTCCAATACAAACTCAAGAGGATTTTTTTACAATACTGAACTAGCTAATGTCACAATTCATGAGGAAGAGCCTATGTTTAAAAATAAAGCACCAAAGTGGGAGACTTGTTCTCCCAGATTTAAATAATTATTAAAAAGTTAAGTTAAACAGTGTAGTATTGGTGCAGAGATAGATGTATAAGCTAATGAAATGAAAGAGGGCCTAGAAAGAGCCCAAATCACATATGGAAATATAAATGACAGACATGGCATCAGAACTCAGTGGTAAAAGATGAGAGTATTCATCTCCCATCTTTTTCAAAAGATGTTGAAATTCAAAAGGTGTTGAAATTTTTGGCTGTTGATATTATAATAAAAAATAACATTTGGTCCTTGTCCTTAGTTCCTGACACACAGCTCCTGAAGTCCTTGGAATCTCCAGAGTGATGACTGAGTTAATCACCAATGGTGAATGGCAATGATTATCTGTGAGGACCAAAGCTGAGTCTTCGTGCTTAGGGCAGGAGCGCAGACAAGGAGAGGGGCTCTTCCTTCTGAGACTTGTCATCTAGAACTCATTGTCACTGGAAGCCAGAGCCTAAATGGGCCTATCAGTTGCCTTGGGTTATAAGAACAAGTTTGAGTATTTATTCATTTATTTATCTTGAGTTCGGGGCCCCTGTGTATCTGCTCACTGCCTGCCCGCAGTTCAGCTTGTGCTTGGCTCACTCACCATTCAGCGAAATGAAGGAACCAGCGGAATGAAGGAACCAGCGGAGGGACCTCCGGGAGGAGGCGCTGCCCAGCGAGCCTGGCGCCGGGGGGCGGGGCCTGACGGGAGCTCTGCTCAGGCTTCAACATGGCGGGCCGTTTCGGTTGACTTCGCCTGTGGAAACCGAATTCCCCCTCCATGGTTTCCCCAGGATATGAGTTGGGGGCCTCACCTCGCCTATAAGGGTCAGGCGAGCTTTCTGGATGCTCGAGGGACCTTTCGGCCTGCGCAGCCGGAGCAGCTTGTCCCAATGCCCTGCCATTTCTGTGAGGGCCCACGAGGCCTGGAGGAGCCTCGGAGCCCCCGCAGGCCCTCGCGTCACTGCCTCAAGAGGGTGCTCGGAGCCCTGCTCGGGAGCTGGTCCCCAACGAGGTGTGGAACCCCTTCTTGCTGGAACTCCACGGAGAGACTGGTAATAAGATAGTAATAAGACCGACTACTGTTTATTGAACCTCCGCTAGTCACTGGCTGTCACGGGTTGGGCGAGGGGTGGAATATAAGGCCCAGAGTTCCTCTATTATAGCCATGGAGAGCCATTAATACCTGCTTAATAGAGTTGTGGTGAGACATGGAATGGGCAAGAAAGGCACTCGATTTATTTGATTTTTAGAATCATGATTATTATTATTATTTTGAGACGGAGTCTTGTTCTGTCGCCCAGGCTGGAGTGCAGTGGTGCGATCTCGGCTCACTACAAGCTCTGCCTCCCGGGTTCAAGCGATTCTCCTGCGTCACCCTCCCGGGTAGCTGGGATGACAGGCGCGCGCCACCATGCCTGGCTAATTTTTGCATTTTTGGTAGAGACGGGGTTTCATCATGTTGGCCAGGCTGGTCTCGAACTCCTGATCTCCACTAATCCACCCGCCTTGGCCTCCCAAAGTGTTGGGATTATAGGTGTGAGCCACCTCACCAGAAAGTGCCAAGAAAGGCACTTTAGACAGTGCCAGAGTTGAGGATTTGGCCTCTGACTTGCTGCAGTTGCCACACTGCAGTTGCCACACTGTGGCCTTAGAACAGTCTTATCCAGTCCTGAAAACCCCAGTGCCTTGGAAACATCAGGATTGGTCAGAAGGACAGTAAGTCCTTAAGGCGCCAGCCCCTGCTCCTCCCCCCAGATTGAGGGGTAAGTATTCCAAGCTCTATGCAGGACCCTAATCCTGGATGTGGACACCCACAGTCCTGCTAGGACCTGCTTCCAGAAGAGTTGATCCCAGCCGTGAAAGTGCATGATGCCTTCAGCGAAGCAGGCAGGAAAGGCTCAAGTGATCCTCCTGTATCACCCTGGTGAGTAGCCAGTAGCTGGGACCACAGGCGCGCACCACCACGCCTGCCTAATTTCTTTGTAGAGACGGCCTTCGTCATGTTGCCCAGGCTGCTCTGGAAGTCCTGAGCTCAAGCGATGCGCCCGCCTTGGTCTTCCAAAGTGCTGGGATTACAGGCGTGAGCCACCACGCTCAGCCCAATTTGTGATCTTTTATGCACTCTTTCATGTAGCATGTTTTCAAGGTTCATCCAACTTGCAGTGTCTTAATGCTGAATAATATTTCATTGTGTAGATATAATGTATTTTTCAAGTTTTGTTTATTTT
Organism: Homo sapiens; assembly: GCF_000001405.40. NCBI lineage: Eukaryota > Metazoa > Chordata > Mammalia > Primates > Hominidae > Homo > Homo sapiens. The sequence goes on along the minus strand of NC_000013.11, from coordinate 52,332,750 downwards.
TAATTGGTACACAACAAATATTTGTACATATTTGTGTGGTACACATGTACATGTGATATGTTGTTACATGCATAGAATATGTAATGATCAATCAGGGTATTTAAGGTATCTGTCACTTTGAGTATTTGTCATTGCCATATGTTGGGAACATTTCAAGTCTTCTCTTACAGCTATTTTGAAATATACAATACATTGTTGTTCACTGTAGTCACCCTACTCTGCTATAGAACATTAGAACTTAACTCCTTCTATCTAACTGTATTAACCAACCACTCTTCCCTGCCAACCCACACACCCTTCCTAGCCTCTGGTATCTATCTGTCCACCGTCAACTTTTTTAGCTCCTACGTATGTGATAACATGCAATATTTGTCTCTCTGTGCCTGGCTTACTTCACGTAACAATGACTTCCAGTTCCATCCAGGTTGCTGCAAACGACATGATTTCATTCTTTTTTTATGGCTGAATAGTACTTGATTATATATATCGCATTTTCTTTATCCATTTGTCTGTTGATGGACACTTAGGCAGATTCTATATTTTTGCTTGTGAATAGTGCTGCGGTAAACATGGAAGTACAGGTATCATCCCTTTGATATACTGGTTTTTTTCCTTTAGATAAACAGCCAGTAGTGGCATTGCTGGATTGTATGGTAGCTCTATTTTCAGTTTCCTGAGAAATCTCCATACTGTTTTCCATAGTGACTGTACTCATTTACATTCCCACACAACGGTGTGTAAGAGTTCCCCTTTCTCTGCATCCTCGCCCACATCCATTATTATTTTGTCTTTTTAATCATAGCCGTTCTCATTGGGTGAAGATGATATCTCATTGTGGTTTTAATTTTCATTTCCCTTATTATTAGTGACGTCGAGCATTTTTTCATATACCTGTGTGTCTTCTTTGGAGAAATATCTATTTATGTCCTTTGCCCACATTCGTTCATTCATTTATTGGAGTCAGGGTTTTGCTCTGTTGTCCAGGATGGAGTGCAGTGGTGCAATCACGAGTCACTGCAGCCTCCACTTCCTGGTCTCAGATGATTCTCCTGCTTCAGCCTCCAGAGTAGCTGAGACCACAGGCACGTCCCACTGTGCCCAGCTAATTTGTATGTGTGTGTGTGCTTTTTGTTTTTGTTTTTGTATTTGTTTTTTTTTGGAGACAGGATGGGAGTGCAGTGGTGCTATCACTGCTCATTCTAGCCTCAATCTCCTGGGCTCAAGTGATCCTCCCACCTCGTTTTTTGATTTTTGTAGAGATGAGGTCTCACTATGTTGCCCAGGCTGGGCTTGAACTCTTGGGCTCAAGCAATCCTACTGCCTCGGCCTCCCCAGGTGCTGGGATTACAGGCATGAGCCACCAAACCCAGCCTAATTTTTGTATGTTTTTGTAGAGACGGGGTTTTACTATGTTACCCAAGGTGGTCTCAAACTCCTGGGCTCAGGCAGTCCACCTGCATCAGCCTCCCAAAGTGTTAGGATTACAGGCATGAGCCATCATGCCTGACCCTTTTCCCACTTTTAAATGGAATGATTATTATTTTTTACTGTTGAGGTGTTTGAGTTTCTCGTGTATTCTAGATATTAATTCCTTGTTGGATGAATAGTTTGCAAATATTTTCTCCCATTCAACAGGTTGTCTCTTCACTCTGCTGTTTCCTCTGATGTGCAGAAGCTTTTTAGTTTAATATAGTCCAATTTGTCTACTTTTGTTTTTGTTGCCGTGCTTTTGAAGTCTCAGCCATAAAATCTTTTCCTAGACCAGTGTCCTGAAGTCGTTCCCTTAAGTTTTCTTCTGGTAGTTTTATGGTTTCGGGGCTTATGCTTAAGTCTTTAATCCATCTTGAATTGATTTTTGTGTATCGCGAAAGGTAGGAGGTTAGTCGTGTTCTTTTGCATACATATGGATATCCAATTTTCCTAGTACCATTTATTGAAGAGGATGTCCTTTCCCCAATGAGTGTCCTTGACACCTTTGTTGAAAATCAGTTGGCTGTAAATGTATGGATCTATTTCTGAGTTTTCTATTCTGTTTCATTTTATACCTGTTTTTATACCAATACTATGCCGTTTTGGTCACTAGAGCCTTGTAATATATGTTGAAGTCAGATAGTGTAATGTCTCCAGCTTTCTTTTTACTTAGGATTGCTTCTCTATTCGAGCTCTTTTTTGGTTCCATATGAATTTTAGGATTATTTTTTCTACTTCTGTGAAGAATGACACTGGTATGTTGATAGGGATTTTATTGCATCTGTGTATTGCTGTGGGTTGTATGGTCATTTTAACAATATTGATTTTTTTCTGATCCATGAGCATGAGTTGTCGTTCCATTTCTTTATGTCCTTCTCAATTGCTTTCATCAATGTTCTGTAGTTTTCCTTGTAGAGGTTTTTCACCTACTTGGTTAAATTTTTTTCCTAGGTATTTTATTTTCTTGAGCTATGATAAATGGGATTTCCTTCTTGATTTCTTTCTCAGCTAGTTTATTATTGGTGTATAGAAATGATACTAATTTTTGTATTATGTTGACTTTGTATCCTACAACTTTTTTTTTTTTTGAATGGAGTCTTGCTCTGTAGTCCAGGCTGGAGTGCAGTGGTGCCATCTTGGCCCACTGCAGTGTCCGCCTCCCGGGTTAAAGCCATTCTCCTGTCTCAGTCTCCTGAGTAGCTGGAACTATGGGCGCACGCAACCACGCCTGGCTAATTTTTGTGTTTTTAGTAGGGACGGGGTTTCACCATATTGGTCAGGCTGGTCTTGAACTCCTGACCTCGGGTGATTCTCCTGCCTCGGTTTCTGAAAGTGCTGGGATTACAGGCATGAGCCACTGCACCTGGCTGTATCCTATAACTTTACTGAACTTACTTATCAGATCTAAGAGTTTTTGGTGGAGTCTTTAGGTTTTTCTAGATACAAGATCATGTCATCTACAAAGAGGGACAATTTTACTTCCTCTTTTCCAATTTGGATGTCTTTTATTTGTTTCTATTGTCTGATTGCTCTGGCTAAGACTTCCAGTACTGTGTTGAATAGGAGTGGCAAAAATAGACATCCTTGTCTTGTTCCAGTTCCTAGAGGAAAAGCTGAAAGCCACGATAGGATCGTGTTAACTGTGGGTTTGTCATATGTAGCCTTTATTATGTCGAGGTATTAATAGGCTCCTTCAATGCCTAGTTTGTTGAGAGTTTTTATCATGAAGATCTTTTGAATTTTATCAAACCCTTTTTCTACATCTCTTGAAATGATCATATGGTTTTGTTCTTCATTCTGTTGATGTGATGTGTTATCTTTGTTGATTGATGTATGTTGAACTACATTTGCATTTCTGGGACAAATCCCACCTGATCCTGGTATGTTATCTTGTTGATATGCTGTTGGATTCAGTTGGTTAGTATTTTGTTGAGGATTTTTACATCTATGTTTATCAGGGATATTAGAGTGTAACTGTCTTTTTTTTGTTGTTGCATTCTTATCTGGTTTTGGTATCAGGGTACTGCTAGCCTAGTAGAATGAGGAAGAATTCCCTCCTTTTCAGTTTTTTGGACTAGTTTGAGGAGAATTGGTGTTAGTTTGTCTTTGTAAGTTTGGTAGAATTTGGTAGTGAAGTCATTAGCAGTGAAGCCATTGGGTCCTGGGCTTTTCACTGTTTGGATTCTTTTTTATTATGGATTCAATTTCATTACTCATGATTGGTCTCTTCAGGTTTTCTATTTATTCCTGATTCAATCATGGTAGGTTATATGTGTCAAGGAATTTATGCATTTCCTCTAAGTTTTCTAGTTTATTAATATATAGTTGTTCATAATACTGTCTGATGACTTTTGGTATTTCTGTGGTGTCAGTTGTAATGTCTACTTTTATTCATTTATTTATTTCTTTATTTTTTGACACACGGTCTCACTCTGTCACCCAGGCTGGAGTGCAGTGGTGTGATCATGACTCACTGCAGCCTCAAGCTCCTGGGCCGACGAGATCTTCCCACCTCAGACTTCTGAGTAGCTGGGACTACAAACATATGCCACCATGCCCAGCTAATTATTGTATTTTTTTTTTAGAGACAGAGTTTCGCCATGTTGCCCAGGTTTGTCTCATACTCCTGAGCTCAAGCAATCCACCTGCCTCAGCCTCTCAGAAATGCTGGGATTACAGGCATTAGCCACCGTGTCTGGCAATGTCTTATTTTTCATCTTGGATTTTGTTTATTTGGATCATCTTTTTCATTTTCTTGTTTAGTCTAACTAGCCGTTTATTGATTTTGCTTACCTTTTTGAAAAAGGAACTTTTTGTTTCATTGATTCTTTATATTGTTTTTGAAATCTATTTCATTTAGTTCTGCTCTGATCTTTATTATGTCTGTCCTTCTACTAATTTGAGGTTTGCTTTGTTCTTGCTTTTCTAGTTCTTTGAAGTTATCATTAGTTTATTTGAAATCTTTCTACTTTTAAAATATAGGTGTTTATTGCTATAAACTTCCCTCCTAGCACTGCTTTTGTTGTATCCCGTAGGTTTTGTTATGTTGTTTTCAATTTTCATTTGTTTCAAGACATTTCATTTTTTGAGACAGGGTCTCTCTCTCTCTCTATCACTCAGGCTGGAATGCAGTGGCACGATCTTGGCTCACTGGAACTTCCACCTCCTGGGCTCAAGCAATCCTTCTGCCTGAGCCTTCTGAGTAGCTGAGATTACAGGCACACACTAGCATACCTGGCTAACTTTTGTATTTTTTTGTAGAGACAGAATCTCACTATGTTGCCCAGGCCAGTCTCAAACTCCTGGGCTCAAGCAATCCACCCACCTTGGCCTCCCAAAGTACTAGGATTACAGGCATGAGCCACCACACCCAGCCTGTTTCAAGACATTTTTTGATTTCCTCTTTAATGTCTTCCTTGAGCTAAAGGTCATTCAGGAGCATGTTGTTTAATTTCCACGTATTTGTACAGATTCCAAAGTTTCTTTGTTATTGATTTCCTATCCTATGTCACTGTGGTCTGAGAAGATACTGGTATGATTTTGATTTTTGAAAATTTGTTGAGACTTATTCTATGTCCTAACATATGGTCTATCTTGGAGAATGTTTCATGTGCTGGTGAAGAGGTATGTGTATTCTGTAACTGTTGAATGAAATGGTCTATAAATGTCTGTTAGATCCATTTGTTCTAAAGCACAGTTTAAAATCAGTGTTTCTTTGTTAATTTCCTGTTTAGATGATCTGTCTAATGCTGAGTAGAGTGTTGAAGTCCTCATCTATTATTGCAGTCTATCTCTCCCTTTAGATCTAATGACATTTGCTTTATATATCTGGGTATCCCAGTATTGAGTGCATATATGTTTAGAACTGTTACATCCTCTTGCTAATGTATCTCCATGTCATTCTGTAGTGACCATCTTTGTCTCTTTTTACTGTTTTGTTTGTTTGTTTGTTTTTGAGATGGAGTCTTGCTGTGTTGCCCACGCTGGAGTGCAGTGGTGTGGTCTCGGCTCACTGCAACCTCCGCCTCCTGGGTTCAAGCGATTTTCCTGCCTCAGCCTCCTGAGTAGCTGGGATTACAGGTGCCTGCCACCATGCCCAGCTAATTTTTTGTATTTTTGGTAGAGATGGGGTTTCACCATGTTGGCCAGGCTGGTCTCGAACTCCTGGCCTTGTGATCTACCCGCCTCAGCCTCCCAAAGTGTTGGGATTACAGGCGTGAGCCACTGTGCCTGGCCTCTTTTTACTGTTTTTGACTTAAAGTCTGTTTTATCTGATATAAGTATAGCTGCTCCTGATCACTTTTGGTTTCCCTTTGCACAGAATATCTTTTTCCAGTCCTTTCCTTTCAGTCTGTGTGTCTCCACAGGTGAGGTGAGTTTCTTGCAGTTGGCATATATTTGGGTCATGTTTATTTTTTAAATCCATTCAGCCAGTCTATGTCTTTTCAGTGGAAAGTTTAATCCATTTACATTGAAGACTATTTTTGATATGTGAGGGTTATTCCTGTCATTTTATTAATTGATTTCTGGTTGCTTTATGTGTCCTTTGTCCCTTTCTTTCTCTCTTATTGTTGATCATTGTGGATTGGTGGTTTTCTTTAGTGATAACTTTTGAATTGTTCTTCTTATTTGTGTGCTTGCTCTACCAGTGGGTTTTATACTTTCATGTGTTTCTGTGATGGTAGATATCATCCTTTTGCTTCCAGCTGTAGGACTCCCTTACATATTTCTTATATACCTGGTTGAGTGGTGATGGAAAACCAATGGCTACCATTAAACTTAGTGGTGAAAGTCTTAAAGCTTTTCTCCTAAGATGAGGAACAAGCCAAGGATGCCTGCTCTTGCTTTTTCTATTCAACATTGTACTGGAGGTTCTAGCCAGGATAATTAGACAAAAAAACCAAAACAAAACCAACAACAAAAAAGAAAAAGCATCTAGATTGGAATGGAAAAAGTGAAACTGTATTTTTTGCAGATAAATAATGTTGTATATAGAAAATCTAAGGAACCCACAACAACGATAACAACAACAAACCTCTCGGAGCAACAATTGAGTTCACAAAAGATATAAAATCAATGTGCAAAAAGTCAGTTATATTTAGAAACACTAGCAATGAGTAGCCTGAAAATGAAATTAAGAAAGTAATTTTATTTACAATAGCATTAAAAAATAAGACTAAAACAAAAGAAATGTAAGACTACAAAACATTATTGAAAGTGATTAAGTAAAGACCTAAATAAATAGATACACATTCTGGATTTATTGAATGGAAGACATTACTGTTAAGATGACAGTACTCCACAAATTGATCTACATATTCAACTCAGTTCCTATCAGAATCCTAGCTTCTGTTTTGCAGAAATTGACTTGCTGATCCTAAAATTCATTTGAAAATGCAAGGGACTCCGAAGAAGCAAAATGATCTTGAAGAAGAACAATGAAGTTGCAGAGTCCACACTTTATTATTTCAAAACTTACTTATAGTGGTTAAAATTGTGTAGTACTGGAATAAGGATAGACATGTAGATCAATGGAATAGAATTGAGAGTCCAGAAGTAAATTCATACATTTAAGGTCAATTGATTTTCCCCAAGGGTATCAAGGCCATTCAGTGGAAAAGAACAGTCTCTTCAGCAAGTGGTGCTGGAACAACTGGATATCCACATACAAATGAATGAAGTTAGATCTCTTCCTCACATCATACAGAAAAATCAGCCTCAAATGGAAGAAATATCTAAATGTAAGATCCCAAACCGTACTCTTAGACAAAAACATAGGTGTAAATTTTTCTGATACTGACTTAGTAATGATTTCTTTTTTTCCTCTCCTTTTATGTGGGACAGGAAAACTAGAGGGGTTTAGAGTTGTCTTACTGCTTTTCCCCTATGTCAGACAAGGCCCTGATAAAGCAGTTTTTCTTTAGGGCAGGGCTTTCACACAGAGAATAGAATGCTCTGGGCATATTTCAAAATGGTTGCTGTACCCACTCACTCTATCCACCAACTAGGGTATATTTTGAAATGGTTGCTTTTCCCTTTTCCTTGCCTAAAGAACCTGAGGAAATTTTCTTCAGCCTTCATCATGAGAACCAGCTAGGGTTTCTGGAAGTAACATTCATGAAAGTATAAGGGGTTCCCAAGGCGGGACTTCAACAAGTTTTTAACTCTCAAGCTAGTCCACACTTAGCCACCAGTAATTTATTGACTAGCATTTAAGTGTTCCTACCAATTACTGGCTCCTGTGGCTTCTGCTCTCAGGTAAACTGTGATGTTCTGTAGTCACGTGTCTCTCTAGTTTTTGAGGAAGTGGTTTGCCCTGTGACCTCTATTCTCTGACAGATCTAAGAAAAGTTGTTGATTTTCAGTTTGATTATCTTTTTTCCTGTTGTGAAGATGGGAGTGATGACTTCCAAGTTCTCTGCATGTTGGAGTGGGAACTGGAAGACCTAATTAACTTCTTAAGAAACTGCCAAACTGTTTTCCAAAGTGGATCTAGCACTTTACATTCCTGGCATTGTATGAGAGTTTCAGTTTCTCTCTATCTTTGTCAACACGCCATCTTTCTAATTTTAGATATTCTAATAGGTATCTAGTGGTTTCTTATTGTAGTTTGAATCTGCATTTCTCTAATAGCCAGTTATGATGGCCCTCTTTTCATTTGCTTGTCAGTTGCAAATCTTTATTAGTGAAGTATCTGTTCACATATTTTGCCCATTTTTTAAAAGTTGGGTTGTTTTCTTACATTTGAAGTTTATTTTTTCTTATAATCAAAATTTTAATGTATACATAACAAATTGTACATATTTATGAGGTACAGTGTGATGTTTCAGTACATTTTACATGGTATAATGATCAAATCATGGTAATTAGCATATCCATTGCCTTAAACATTTACCATTTCTTTGCTGTAAGAACACTCAAAATCCTCTCTTCTAGCTAGAATATGAGTGTATTTTAAATGTACACCTATTTATTTTCTCACAAGCCTAGAAAATGATAGCTTGAGTCAATGAAGTTTCCCCTGCAAGTCCTATCAACCTTGCTTACTTTAGTGAAATTTAATATGGTCTAGAAAACACTGAGCCCTCTGGTTATTCTCTCTAACCCACAAAGGAAGCCGAACACTTGATAAAAAGTTCATCAGCGTAAATAAGAAGAATCCCCTCCATTACATACAAAAGAAAAAATAACTGGAGAGATCGTCTCTGCTCTAAGGTGATTATCCTGTGGTCTTTGGTTTTAGTACATTCTCCCCGACCCCATGCCCTTTTCCCTCATCTTTAATGAGTATCTGTATGTGTGGCAGAACAGCGTGTTTTTAAGTCTCTGCAGTCTTGGACCAAGCTCGTTTTATTCCCTACTCTAGGAGAATCTCAGAGCACCAGGATTCTGTTTGGGGTTGCCATGGACACAGAGTTCTTAATCCAGTACTGGCTTATTCTCAATACGAGGTAAAGACCTAGAGGTGAGGGTCTCTGAGCAAGGTAGTCCCATCCCATCCTCTGCCCTCTCTGTTGGCTAATGTTGTCCTCTCATCCTCATCAGGAGAATTAAAATCATGTAAAGTTTTGGTGGGGGAACTAGGTGGTGGTTTCTGGGGCCCACAGACAGGAAAGTTTGCTTATAGCCAGTTGGGGGGACCACTAATTGATATTCCTTTCCCCTCCCAGGGACCTTACGGAGTCCCTTTATCCTCAGGGTACTGGGGGACAACTAGTGGGTGTAGGGCCAAATAGTAATAACCTTGTTATTTGCCAGGAATGGGGTAAAGATTTGATCTAACAAGCTTGAGTTTTGGGAATTAAAAAATGAAAAAAGGAAAAGCTATAATCCTGAAAGGCAGCAGGAGAGAAAAGTGCTAACAGGATCTTGAATAAATTTCTCCCTCTTAGAGAAGGTTGTACTGAAGACACGAGACCTGAGACTTGTGTCATTTTAGCGGCTGAACCGACCCCAACTTCTTCTGAGCGGCAGTGGCGCCAGAAGCAGTCTGGCTTTCAGGTAAGCAGGTCCAGGGCTTACAGGGAGAAACTCCCAGGTATCCAGCTCTGCCTTGGGTTGCCCTGGTTCACGTCCAAAGGTGTGCTTGGGCCACATCTCTGGAGCAGAAGGTGGTAGACTGAGAGCTTTGATATTTCTATTTCTATTGCACATGAGCTGGTATAACCCCAAAGGTATGGAATTTGCTGCTGTCTGTGACCCAGCAAATAGAAATAGAAAAGTAATGAGATAGAAAAATAATAGAAATAGAAAAAAAATTGTAAAAATAAAACAAGCCCCATTCTATGCCTGTTAATGTCCTTAAAAATAGGACATTTTTAGGCAGTGTGATAACATGCATCTACTGGTTGCTTTCATCTTTCCTATAGGGGTGGCTGCTTGCCCTAATGGTGGATGCTCTGTTCAGGATGGTGACCTAGTGCTCAGCTCTGGAAGCCACTCCACAGAGATGGCCACCGAAAGGTCTTCAGTGGTCCCATCTCAACACCTGAAACATTGTTAATTATTACAGTGAAGGTCACAAATGGGCTTTTATTAGTGATATTGGTGACTTACAAAGCAGCATGATGGATGTTACAATTATATGACATTTTAAGATCTGTGAATCAGCTAAAGTGTTTTGGAGACAGCCCACCCTTGCATAAACAGGATAAAAGTTTATGAATGTGGCCTGTAGTGTATACTTAGAGATGACACCCCAGGCTTGATCCTCATATGGTCCTATCTCCAGGAAGGTTTAGGAAGATTTTGGCCTCTGGAATATTAGGATTCTGTTGAGAATGAACCTTTCATGCTTGGAGCACCTAAAGTACAGAAAGCTTACAGAAGCTTATGTACGGTGCCTGCTTGCTACTGAATGTTTTGTTAAATGAATATCTGTATGTGTGGCAGATTTGATTGGAGAGCTGCTTTTCATTATAACCTGGTAGCCTGATTATAAAGGTGTAGCTAACCTTCACCTAACTCAAACTTCTGTGGTTTCTCCTGTCTACCAAAAAGCATTTAAGAATTCTGCGTGATCACGTTATTTTAGGATAGTTTGTCATTCTCACCTTCCTTAGAAGGCAATTTAGCTAGCTACTTATTCATGTCCCATGAGGGAAGTCAGTCTGTGCTCCCAAGCAGCTTATCAAAGTATGATTTCAGACTTCATGCAATACTCTCCCTGAAAGGAGTTCAGGTAACATGTATGGATGTCTTGTGTCCTTTTTGGAGATTAGTTTCCCAAGGAACTCGCTTAGCAGTCCTGGCTTGTCACCTGGATCTGAAGAGTAATTTGAGTGTCTTCCCGTTCTCTTCCTTGGTAGAAGATATCTGAAAAATCCAGTAATCATTCAATAAGGCTGCTTATGTCAGAAACTCAAATTCTTATGTTTTTGGCGTTTTGAACATTTTCCCCTGTTATGACTTATTAGTGTATTCTGCATAGACAACCCAGTTGTCCTTCCTGCAGAAAAGCAGCAGATACCTCTAGATGCCTTTCTTTTTGTAAAAGGTATTGTTTTTCCTGAGACCTGGATGAATTTCCATGAGCCATTCAAGGGCATGAGAACACCCACTTAGAACTTGAGAGGTTCCCTTCATGGCCCTCAGACTGGGCTAACGAGATTTGATAATTTGAACTCCAGCACTCCTTTCCTCACAGGCTGAAAGAATAGCACAGTATTAATGTCTATCTGCGCTTAAAGGTTTGAGCTATCGACCACAGTCCAAAATTAGTTTGTGTAGGAGAACTTTTACTTAAAGACATAAAAAGATACCATTTAATATATTGCTTCTAAAATGTGTTTCTCACACATTTCCACTGTGAGAACGAGGTTCTGTGGTCAAATAAGTCCAGAAACCTCAGCATGCTCTAGGGAATCCCAGTTTTTATCAGCAGCAGCCAAAAAAAAAAAAAGTGTGCAATCAGTTTCTTAAACTTATTTAAACATTTGAAAAGTTAGCAAATTGTGGCAAAGAGCATTAATTCTTGAGTCTTGGGAGTGTATTACTTTGATAAGCATGTTTGTGTATTTGAAACTAAAACTATGTATCAGCTTATATTGCCACATACTGATTTTTATGACATAATATATGGTGTAGAGAACAGGTGGTCTAAAAACCAATATTTGCAAAATGCTGAATATTCAGCATGGTTTTATGAAGTTGACAGATGCGGAGTGTATTCTGCATGTGTCTTAACTTACAGATGAGGAAATGAAGTTGTAGAGAGATTAAATTAGCTAAGCCAGTGGTTTGGGTGCTAGGAAGTCTTGATTTTGTAAAATATAGCCATATAATTAAAAAAACCCGAGAATCCAGACAAAAAGAAAACAAAATCATTCTAAACATATAATGTACTTTAAGTTCACAAAAAGTTTTAAACATAATTTAGGCTATCCTTGACTTACCTACTTGTTTATTTCCTACCAAGGATGACCAGGAACTAGCCATTGATAGAGAAACATTCATTATTCTTACACTTTCTTTCTTTTTTCTGTGTCTTTTCACACACACACACACACAGTCTCAGAAGTACTAGTGTTTTGCCCTGAAATTGTTTGTTTAGTTCCTGTCAAAATTCCTCTGATTTTATTTTTCATGTCCTGAAATACTGTCGAGATTAACATCCTGATTGCCTTCCAAAATATCTGACTTTATTTTTTGTATGTGCTTTTTACTCTTTGGTAGAATTCTGGATTCATTACCAGCGTCTACCATATGCTCTGACAACTATGACCACAATGGGTGAGTTGACTGATCTAAGTGGTGAAAAATGCTGGCAGCATCAATGGCAAAAACAGCTTTCCATAAGAGAGTTTAAGCATCTTTAGGTAGCGTTGTTTTTGAACCTATGTGGAAAAAATAAGGTCAGGTCAGAAGAGGGACATTTGGTACTTGAAGATTGTTTGTGACTCTTAGTAATTGGCAGCCAAAACCCTTAGGAGACTATCAGAATGCCTGTGTATGAGACTCTATCAAGAGCAATTCAAGAGAGGAGAGAATCCTACTTGGAAAAAGGTGGTGGTAGCATTGGACAGGCAGCAGAATAGCCCTTAGCAGAAAGAAAAGAGCTAAGAGACCCTGTATCTGTCCCTCACCCTTCAGAGCTGGTGCCCAAACCCAAAGCCATCATCACATTGGATGGAGCCCCTGCCTCAGGTTTAGTCACTTGATCCTATTTGAGGGGAAGCAAAGATACCTGTGACTCATGAAGAGCATGAGTCACATGGTGGAGGGACTTGAGAATTAGGAAATCAAAATGGGCAAGAACGATGTGTGCCTTCAAATGGAACATGAATTTGAAGCAAATTTCGGTTCAATTTGCTGTCACACATAATGATCAGGTTCAGTAATAAAGAATTGTACTTAAATTTTGATTCATTAAACTTTCTGGAGAGTCCTAAACAATTTATATTACTAACACATAGAGACTTCTTTCTGGAGAAAAATGAAGTACCAGGTGCCAAGTAACAGATTTACATGAGAATTTTTTAGGGACAACACATTGCAATTTGTAGCACAGTCATAGCCAATTTGAACCAAAAAAAAAAAAAAAAAAGGAGTGTATGAATTTATGTTGTTTCTTCCTGTTTGCTTTTAATCCTTTGCACTGATCCCAATGAATTGACATCAGAAATCTGTGCTGGAGCTAACAATGAAAGGTGATGTGATAATATATATTGGAGATGGGAGGAATTCAGGTTCCTGAAAATTGGTCTCAGAATTATTCATGGGAAAATAGTGTTCTGGACACTGATTCTAAAATTCTTTCTAAAAAGTTAGGTCTTAAGTGAGCTAAGTCATATTTACCATATCCTTCAGATTCAAGGAATTTTGATGTTCAAATACATTGGTCGTATCTCCACTCCATGTGGCAAATCTGTAATATGTTTTTACATTTGGTGTTTAGAGTAAAATACAGCACCCTTACATAGAACTTTATAATAAGCTTCATGTGTTCAGATATAATTGCTACTTTTATGACTAATGCTGTTTCTGTTATACTCAGAAACTTCTTTCCTATCCTAAGATTATAAATATATTCACAAAAATATTTTTTTGTATTTTAATTAATTTTCTACATTTAAATAAAAGAAGTGCTGCTGTTGTTACTATTGTCTCCCCAAATTACTGTTATTTTCTATACACTTCATGCAATGCCAGCTTAACAATGCCTTTAATATGGCCCAAGGATGCTACAAAAGGAAATGCTGGTGTGTATGTCAAAAGACTTTCCTGGCTGGGCATGGTGGCTGACGCCTGTAGTCCCAGCACTTTGGGAGGCCAGGGCGGGTGTATCATGAGGTTAGTAATTCAAGACCAGCCTGGCCAACATGGCGGAACCCCATCTCTATGAAAAATACAAAAATTAGCCAAGCGTGGTGGTGCGTGCCTGTAGTCCCTGCTATTTGTGAGGCTGAGGCAGGAGAACTTGCCTTGAACTTGGGAGGCCGAGGTTGCAGTGAGCCGAGATCGCGCCACTGCACTCCAGCCTGGGCCCCAGAGCGAGACTCTGTCTCAAAAAAAAAAACAACACAAAAACAAAGCAAGCAAAAGAAAAGTAATTGGAACTAGTTTAAACGGAAAACATTAAGTCTAGGAAGTTACATGTTGTCTTACTATGTACGTTTTAAGTTCTTTGGCACTGCTCTGTGTGTGAACTGAGAGTGTCTTCCAGTAGGCTGTCCATTGCAACATGTGATATAAAGGAATACAATTGTACGTGTACATATGAATATACAAACACACACATCCATGCATTCATACACACACGAGAGAAAGAGATTTGGACTATTCACTGTCAGGAGCATCCATGGGAACAAGGAGTTTCCTTGAAACTATTTCTAGAGTCTTCTCAGGGTGAGCTTTGTACGGAATATACTTTTGCTTTTTTGGATGGAGGCAGGAAAATGGGGAAGAACTCAGAGGGAGGCTTATTATGTGAGTGATTGTCACCTTTCCTTTCTGTGGGAATGAGAGTGTACTCGTAGTATGGACCAAGGGAGAAGTGAATCCTGCTTGGAGTGAGAAGGAGATAGGAGGGGACAAAGAGCAGGGAAACCCCAGCAAACAAAAGAACGGAGCTAACAACCCTGGAAGCATTTCACACCCTCCAGAGCTCTGCCATAATGTGAGGCTGACTCCCTTGGCCCATACCCCCCATCACATGGGATGAAGCCCTTGCTTGAGGCCTGCAGCTACTTGGCTATAACTCTTGGGCAGGAAAGACTAGTAGGATGGGTGCAAATTGAGGAGGTGATTGGAGGTGATAGAGAAGGAGGAACTCGGATGGGATTTTAAGAAGGGGACCTACAAACTAAAGTTGAACTGGAATTAAATGCCCTCCAAAAATGCTGTTATACATTGAGGTGTAGATACAGTTACTTAGTCTGGATGGATCGATATGTTCACAGCCTAAGATACTCACTGTTGGCACATAAAACCTCATTTCTAATAAAAAAAAATGCCATCTCAGGTCCTTTTAGTGATATAATACGTGTGAATAATCAAAGTGCAACTGGGGAATAACTCATAGACTAACTGTAGCTATTTGTTGCAAAACATTAGAATGACGCATTGTGTCTGACTCTGACCATATTTGTCCTTTAATCCCTATCCGAATGACCTGGTGGGAGTCATTATTGATCGACCCACCGATGACAGGTGCATTATAAAAGATGGACACATGGCCAGGAGCAGTGGTTCACACCTGGAATCTGAGCACTTGGGGAGACCAAGGCGGGCAGATACCCTGAGGTCAGGAGTTCGAGACCAGGCTGGCAAACACGGTGAAACCCTGTCTTTAGTAAAAATACAACAATTAGCCAGGTGTGTTGGCAGGTGCCTCTAATCCCAGCTACTCGGGAGGCTGAGGCAGGAGAATTGCCTGTACCTGGGAGGTGGATGTTGCAGTGAGCCGAGACTGTGCCACTGCATTCCAGCCTGGGCAGCAGGAGCGAAACTCTTCTTTCGAAAACGAGAAAAAGATGTACACACAAACACACACACAAATCAGTGACAGAGCAGGAGGCTGAGATTACTGGGATTCACTCTCAGGAGTGTTGACGGTATTACAGCGTATCTTTGACACCATTTCTTTATCGTCTCACTGTATCACGTATAGGTAACTTTCATATTTTTACAGTTGTTTAGAAAGAAAGAGAAACACACTATAGAGAGAGGCTTCCGTCTGTTACTGTCTTCTCACCCTTGGTTAGTAACAGTGAAATGCCTTGGAAACTCAGATTTTCTGTGTCTGAGACATACTGGAGTGGGCCACGGGAATAGAGACTCCTATTTGGAGCAAGGAGAAGGTACGCATACTCGGGGAACCGTGAAGCCCTCAGCAGAAAGGAACAAAGCTAAGAGCCTAGGAGGTGTTCTCCAGCCTCCAGAACTCTGGCACCATGGAGGCTGGTGCTCCAAACCTGCTATCACTGTCGTATTGGATTGTGCCCCTGTGTCAGACTTCTAGTGACTTGACTCTGTTTGTGGGACTGGGGAGACACCCATGCTGGTTGAAAGTAAGGGGGTAATGGAGGGCCTTTGAAACAGGACATTCAATGAAATAAGAGGGCTGACTACCTCCAGACAAAATTGAGTTTGAAATAACTGCCACCACAAAGACTGACACGCATTGGGACAGAGGTCATAACGAAGTTTTTTTAAAGCTGGAAGCATTACTATTTTCCCCAGCCTAAGATGTTGGTTGCCATCATATAAATCCCCCTTTCTAATGAAAAAAAAAATGACATTTCAGAACCAAATAGTGCTATACACATGCATAGTCAGAACTTCACTGGTTTATGTGCAGAGTAATGGAAGCTAGTTTCTCCAGAAAAGTCAATTTCAAATTGTGTCTCCTGTCTGACTGTATTCTTTTATCATCCTCTAGTCCACCCACAAATGAATTGACAACAGCAAACCCAGAGGCACGTATCAATGAAAGGTGAGTTATATTTAGACAAATAAAGACACACGTATGCATAACTGTGCATAGAAGTAGTCACACACACACAGGCACAGAAACAAATATGTCCATCCATTCACCCATGCATCCATCCATCCCCACTTCTCTCAAGACACATCCACTAACAAACCCATGCACACAATGGAAACATACAGTAGGACGGATGGACATATGTGGAGTTTCTTCTAGAAGCCTGCATGGCCACAGAGAGTGGTTTTTAACAGGGTTTGCAGTTCTTCTCATGGTAGCCTTTGTAGGTAACACTGCATCCTTTTCTAATGTAGTTGTATAAAAAGGAGCCAGTCATAGGAGAGCTGCGACTTCTTGTTGGTGTATTTGTCACCCTTAGTTCCTACTAAGCAGCTTCTTAAAGGACTCAGTTTTCCTGAGTTTGAGAGCCTACCAGGTTGACACAAGGGAGGAGAGAATCCTATTTGCAACATGAAGGAGATGGCAGCCGACAAGGAGCAGAGAATCCCTGGGCAAAGAATGGAGCTAATGGAACATGGACTTGTCCCTCACACTCCTGAGCTCTGTCAACATGTGAGGTTGGTGCTAAAACACAAACACAAGTACACCACCTCATTGGATGCTGCTCTTCCTCAGGCCCGCAGCTAGTTGCCTGTGTCTCATGGATGGGAAAGACTAACATGATGGGTGAAAGGAAAGACATGATGGAGAGATCCAGGAGGGGGGCCATAGATGGGATTAAAAGGATGACTGCCTACACAGTGAAGTTGAATTTAAAAGAAATTCACCCACAAAAGGCTGTCATGCATTGGTCAGCTCCGGTGGTACAGAGTTTGGTTAACTCTTGAGTCAGTGAGTCTTGGATAGGTGTAAAATGTGTGCTGCAATCGTAGAAAGTATGATGTGTAGGGTAAATGGCATGGCAGATTCCAAAGAACCAAATACACATGTGAATTCCGTAGGATCCAGCAGTTTACAGGTTGAAAAGTAATTGGAAGGCTGGTCACATTGGCTGACGCCTGTGGTCCCAGTGCTTTGGGAGGGCAAGTCAGGTGGATCATGAGATCAGGAGTTCAAGACCAGCCTGGCCAACATGGTGAAACTGCCATCTCTGCTAAAAATACAAAAATTAACCAGGCATGGTGTTGCGTGCCTGTAGTCCCTGCTACTCGGGGGGATGAGGCTGGAGAATTACTTGAACCCGGGAGGCCGAGGTTGCAATGAGCTGAGATCACACCACTGTACTCCAGCCTGGGCGACAGAGCGAGACTCTCTCTAAAAAAAAAAAAAAAAAAAAAACACCAAGCAAAAGAAAAGTAATTGGAACTAGTTTGAACTGTAAACGTTAAGTCTAGGAAGTTACATGTTGTCTTACTGTGTACGTTTTAAGTTCTTGGGCACTGCGCTGTGAGTGAACTGAGAGTGTCTTCCAGTAGGCTGTCCATTGCAACATGTGATATAAAGGAATACAATTATACATGTATATATGCATATACAAACACACACATCCATGCATTCATACACACACGAGAGAAAGAGATTTGGGCTATTCACTGTCAGGAGCATCCATGCCTACAAGGAGTTGCCTTGAAACTATTTCCAGAGTCTTCTCAGGATGAGCTTTTTAAGGAATATTCTTATGCTTTTTGGATGGAGGTGGGAACATGGGGAAGGACTCATAGGGGGAGGCTTATTATGTGAGTGTTTGTCACCTTTCCTTTCTGTGGGAATGAGTGTACTTGTAGTGTGGACCAACGGAGAAGTGAATCCTGCTTGGAGCGAGAAGGAGATAGGAGGGGACAAAGAGCAGAGAAACCCCTGCAAAAAAAAAGAACAGAGCTAATAACCCTCGAAGTTTTTCCCACCCTGCAGAGCTCTGCCATAATGTGAGGCTGACTCCCTTGGCCCATACCCACCATCACATGGGATGAAGCCCTTGCTTGAGGCCTTCAGCTACTTGGCCGTAACTCTTCGGAGGAAAGACTACTAGGATGGGTGCAAATTGAGGAGGTGATTGGAGGTGATAGAGAAGGAGGAAATCAGATGGGATTTTAAGAAGGGGGACCTACAAACTAAAGTTGAACTGGAATTAAATGCCCTCCAAAAATGCTGTTATAAATTGAGGTGTAGATACAGTTACTTCGTCTGGATGGATCCATATGTTCACAGCCTAAGATACTCACTGTTGGCATATAAATCCTCATTTCTAATAAAAAAAAGAAATGCCATCTCAGGTCCATTTAGTGATATACATGCATGTGAATAATCAAAGTGTAACCGGGGAGTAACTCACAGACTAACTGTAGCTATTTGTTGCAAAACATTAGAATGACGCATTGTGTCTGACTCTGACCATATTTGTCCTTTAATCCCTATCCGAATGAAATGGCGGCAGTCATTATTGATCAATCCACCGATGACAGGTACGTTATAAAAGATGTACACATGGCCAGGAGCAGTGGTTCACACCTGGAATCTGAGCACTTTGGGAGACCAAGGCGGGCAGATACCCTGAGGTCAGGAGTTTGAGACCAGGCTGGCAAACATGGTGAAACCCTGTCTCTACTAAAAATACAATAGTTAGCCCAGCATGGTGGCGGGTGCCTCTAATCCCAGCTACTCAGGAGGCTGAGGCAGGAGAATTGCTTGTACCTGGGAGGTGGACGTTGCAGTGAGCCGAGACCGTGCCACTGCATTCCAGCCTGGGCAGCAGGAGCGAAACTCTGTCTCAAAAACAAGAAAAAGATGTACACACAAACACACACACAAATCAGTGACAGAGAAGGAGGCTGAGATTACTGGGATTCACTCTCAGGAGTGTTGACGGTATTACAGCATATCTTTGACACCATTTCTTTATCGTCTCACTGTATCACGTATAGGTAACTTCCATATTTTTACAGTTGTTTAGAAAGAGAAACAGACATAGAGAGAGGCTTCCATCTGTTACTGTCTTCTCACCCTTGGTTAGTAACAGTGAAATGCCTTGGAAACTCAGATTTTCTGTGTATGAGGCATACTGGAGTGGGCTGCAGGAATAGAGACTCCTATTTGGAGCAAGGAGAAGGTATGAGTACTCAGGGAACTGTGAAGCCCTCAGCAGAAAGGAACAAAGCTAAGAGCCTAGGAGGTGTTCTCCAGCCTCCAGAGCTCTGGCACCATGGAGGCTGGTGCTGCAAACCTCCTGTCACCATCGTATTGGATTGTGCCCCTATGTCAGACCTCTAGTGACTTGACTCTGTTTGTGGGGCTGGGGAGACAGCCATGCTGGTTGAAAGTATGGAGGTAATGGAGGGCCTTTGAAACAGGACATTCAATGAAATAAGAGGGCTGACTACCTCCAAACAAAAGTTGAGTTTGAAATAACTGCCACCACAAAGACTGACACGCATTGGGACTGAGGTCATAATAAAGAAGTTTATTTAAATCTGGAAGCATTACTGTTTTCCCCAGCCTAAGATGCTGGTTGCCATCATACAAATCCTCCTTTCTAATGAAAAAAAAATGACATTTCAGAACCAAATAGTGCTATACACATGCATAGTCAGAACTTCACTGGTTTATGTGCAGAGTAATGAAAGCTATTTTCTCCAGAAAAGTCAATTTCAAATTGTGTCTCCTGTCTGACTGTATTCTTTTATCATCCTCTAGTCTACCCACGAATGAATTGACAACAGCAAACCCAGAGGCACGTATCAATGAAAGGTGAGTTATATTTAGACAAATAAAGACACACGTATGCATAACTGTGCATAGAAGTAGTCACACACACACAGGCACAGAAACAAATATATCCATCAATCCATCCATGCATCCATCCATCCATCCCCACTTCTCTCAAGACACGTCCACTAACAAACCCATGCACACAATGGAAACATAAAATAAGGAGTCGGATGGACATATGTGGAGTTTCTTCTAGAAGCCTGCATGGCCACAGAGAGTGGTTTTTAACAGGGTTTGCAATTCTTCTCATGGTAGCCTTTGTAGGTAACACTGCATCCTTTTCTAATGTAGTTGTATAAAAAGGAGCCAGTCATAGGAGAGCTGCGACTTCTTGTTGGTGTATTTGTCACCCTTAGTTCCTACTAAGCAGCTTCTTAAAGGACTCAGTTTTCCTGAGTTTGAGAGCCTACCAGATTGACACAAGGGAGGAGAGAATCCTATTTGCAGCATGGAGGAGATAGCAGCCGACAAGGAGTGTGAAGCCCTGGGCAAAGAATGGAGCTAATGGAACATGGACTTGTCCCTCACACTCCTGAGCTCTGTCAACATATGAGGTTGGTGCTAAAAAACAAACACTGGCACGCACCTCATTGGATGCTGCTCTTCCTTAGGTTCGCAGCTAGTTGCCTGTGTCTCATGGACGGGAAAGACTAGCATGATGGGTGAAAGGAAAGACGTGATGGAGAGATCCAGGAAGGGGGCCATAGATGGGATTAGAGGGATGACTGCTTACACAGTGGAGTTGAATTTAAAAGAAATTCACCCACAAGAGGCTGTCATGCATTGGTCAGCTCCGGTGGTAGAGAGTTTTGGTTAACTCTTGAGTCAGTGAGTCTTGGATAGGTGTAAAATGTGTGCTGTAATCATAGAAAGTATGATGTGTAGGGTAAATGGCATGGCTGATTCCAAAGAACCAAATACACACGTGAATTCTGTAGGGTAGAGCAGTTTACAGGCTGAAAAGTAATTGGAAGGCCAGGCGCGTTGGCTGATACCTGTGGTCCCAGTGCTTTGGGCGGTCAAGTCGGGTGGATCACGAGGTCAGGAGTTCAAGACTAGCCTGATCAACATGGTGAAACCCTGTCTTTACTAACAATACAAAAATTAGCCAGGCGTGGGGCATGCGCCTGTAGTCCCTGCTACTCGGGAGGCTGAGGCAGGAGAATTACTTGAACCTGGGAGGCAGAGTTTGTAGTTAGTCGAGATCATGCCACCGGACTCCAGTGTGGGTGACAGAGTGAGACTCTGTCTCGAAAGAAAAAAAAAAATAAAGAAAAAGAAAATTAATGCAAACTACATTGAACTGAAAATGTTAAGTGTAGGAAGTTACATGTTGTCTTACTATAAACGTTTTAAGTTCTTTAGCACTGCGCTGTGTGTGAACTGAAAGTATCTTCTAATAGGCTGTCCATTGCAACATGTGACATGAATACAATTGTATATGTATATATGCATATACAAACACACACATCCATGCATTCATATACACTAGAGAGATTGCGATTTGGGCTATTCACTGTCAGGAGCATCCATGGGAACAAGGAGTTCCCTTGAAACTATTTCCAGAGCCCTCTCAGGATGAGCTTTGTACGGAATAGTCTTTTGCTTTTTGAATGGAGGTAGGAAAATGGGGAAGAACTCATAGAGGGAGGCTTATTATGTGAGTGATTGTCACCTTTCCTTTCTGTGGGAATGAGACTGTTCCAGTAGTGTGGACCAAGAGAGAAGCAAATCCTCCTTGGAGTTAGAAAGTGATAGGAGTGGACAAAGAGCAGAGAAACACCAGCAAAAAAAGAGAACAGAGCTAATAACCCTGGAAATATTTCACACCCTCCAGAGCTCTGCCATAATGTGAGGCTGACTCCCTTGGCCCATACCCACCATCACATGGGATGAAGCCCTTGCTTGAGGCCTGCAGCTACTTGGCCGTAACTCTTGGGCAGGAAAGACAACTTGTTGCTGGAAATCAGGGACCCTGAGTGGAGGGACTGGTTGAAGCTGTGGCAGAAGAACATAAGTTATGAAGATTTCATGGACATTTATTAGTTCCCCAAATTAATACTTTTATAATTTATTCTGCCTGTCTTTACTGCAGTCTCTGAACATAAATTATGAAGATTTCATGGACATTTATCACTTCCCTAGTCAATACTCTTATAATTTCCTATGCCTGTATTTACTTTAATCTCTTAATCCCGTCATCTTCGTAAGCTGAGAAGGTAGGTCGCCCCAGGGTCCTGTGATGATTGCATTATCTTTGCAAATTGTTTGTAAAACATGTGTGTTTGAACAATATGAAATCTTGGCATCCTAGAAAAGAACAGGCTAACAGCGATTTTCAGGGAACAAAGGAGATAACTATAAGGTCTGACTGCCTGCGGGGCCGGGCAGAACAGAGTCTTATTTCTCTTCTTGGAGAAAGCAAGTAGGAGAAGTATCACTGAATTCTTTTCCCAGCAAGGAATAACCCTGGGAAAGGAATGCATTCCCAGGGAGAGGTCTATAAATGGCCGCTCTGGGAGTGTCTGTCTTACGCAGTTGAAGATAAGGGATGAAATACGCCCTGGTCTCCTGCAGTGCCCTCAGGCTTGCTAGGATTAGGAAATTCCAGCCTGGCGAATTCTAGTCGGACCTGTTGTCTGCTCTGGAACTCTGTTTCCTGTTAAGATGTTTATCAGTGACAATGGGTGCCCAGTGGGACATGGAACCTCATCAATAATTCTAATTTCGCCCTGGCCTTGTGATCTTGCTCTGCCTGTCTTCCCTTGTGATCTTTTATTGGCCTTTCAAGCATGTGATCTTGTAACTTACTCCCTGTTCATACCCCCCTCCCCTTTTGAAATCCCTAATAAAAACTTGCTGGTTTTGCGGCTCAGGAGGCATCACTGAACCTGCCAACATGTGATGTCAGCCCTGGAGCCCCAGCTGTAAAATTTCTCTCTTTGTACTCTTTCTCTTTATTTCTCAGACTGGCTGACACTTAGGGAAAATAGAAAAGAATCTATGTTGACATACTGGGGGCAGGTTCCCCCGATAACAACTAGGATGGGTGAAAACTGAGGAGGTGATAGAGAATGAGGTACTCAGATGAAATTATAAGAAGGGGACTTAAAACTAAAGTTGAACTGGAATTAACTGCCCTCGAAAAAGGTTGTTACACATTGAGGTGAAGATGCAGTTACTTAATCTGGATGCATCGCTATGTTCACAGCCCAAGATATTCACTGTTGGCACATAAAACCTCATTTCTAATAAGAAAAAATTTCATCCCAGTTCAATAAGTGTATGCAAGGAATCACTCATAGAGTTAGTGTAGCTCTTTGATTCAAAACATTAGAATAATGTGTCCTGTCTGACTCTGATCATGTTTTTCCCACAGTCCCCATCCTGTTGACCTGGTGGAAGTCATCATTGATAGAGACACCCATGACATGTGAGTTATAAAGGATGTACACACAAACAAAACAGTGACAGAGAAAGATATTCAGATTAGTGGGATTTGCTCTCAGGAGTGTCCATGGCAATACAGAGTGTCTTGGACACAGTTCATCTTCTCACTGTAGCACCTATAGTTAAACATCCACATTTTTACAATTGTTTTGGATAAAAGAGGAACAGAGTATCCGGCTGTTACTGTCTTTTCACCATTTGTTAGTAGCAGCCAAATGCCTTGAAAACTCATTTTCTGTGTATGAGACATACTAGAGTGGGCCGAGGGAAGAGAAAATCCTATTTGGAGCAAGGAAGAGGTAGGAGTACTCGGGTAACTGTGAAGTCCTCAGCAGAAAGGAACAGAGCTAAGAGACTTGGAGGTGTTCTCCAGCCTCCAGAACTCTGCCACCATGGAGGCTGGTGCTCCGGACCTTATATCACCACCATATCAGGTTGTGCGCCTGTGAAAAACCTTTAGTTACTTGATGCATTTTTTGGGGCTGGGGGAGACGCCCATGCTGGGTGAAAGTAACAAGGTAATGGAGGATTTTTGAAGCAGGACATTCAATGGATTAAGAGGGCTGACTACCTAAAAATTGGAGTTGAGTTTGAAATAACTGCCACCACAAAGGCTGTCACACATTGGGATGAGGTTGTAATGAAAAGGTTTACTTAAATCTGGAAGCATTACTATTTTCTCCATCCTAAGATGGTGGTAGCCATCATATAAATCCTGATTTCTGATAAAAAATGATATTTCAGGTCCACATAGTGCTGTACACATGAATAGTCAGAAATTAACCAGTTTATGTTTAGAGTAATGAAAGCTAGTTTTTCCCGAAAAGTAAATTTCGAATTATGTCACCTGTCTGACTGTATTCTTTTATCATCCTCTAGTCCCCACACAAGTGAACTGACAGGAGGAACCAAGGAGGCACGTATCTACGAAAAGTGAGTTATAAATAAATAAAGACACATGTATGCGTAAGTGTGCATAGAAGTATATACACATGCACAGGCATGTAAACAAATCTATCCATCCATCTATACACACTTCTCTCAACACACGTACACAAACAAACCCATGCACACAATTGAATCTTAAAACAAGGAGACAGATGGACATTTGTGGAATTTTCTCTCAGGACCCTGCATGGCCATACAGTGTTTTTTAACAGGGTTTCCAGTTCTTCTCGTTGTAGCATTTGTAGGTAACTTTGCATCCTTTTTTGATGGAGTTATATAAAGAGGGGCAAGTCATAGAAGGTTGCTTCTTCCTGTTAGTGTATTCATCACCTTTAGTTCTTAGTAAGCAGTTTTTTAAGGGACTCAGAGTTCCTGAGTTCGAGAGCCTACCAGAGTGGCCCAGGGGAGGCGAGAATCCTATTTGCAACATGGAGGAGATAGCAGCAGACAAGGAGCAGTGGAGCCCTGGGCAGAAAGGAATGGAGCTAATGGAACATGGACTTGTCCCTCACCGTCCAGACCTCTGTCAACATGTGAGGTTGGTGCCCAGACCCAACCCCAAACCCACCAGCTCATTGGATGCAGCCCTTCTTTAGGCCCACAGCTACTTGCCTGTGTCTCATGGACAGGAAAGACTAGCATGATGGGTGAAAGGAAGGACATGACGGATGGTTTTCACAGGCATGTTCAGACTTCTACTGGAAATAAATCATAAAAAATGTAAGTTACAGGGAAAACCTGATGCAAGTTAATTATAGTGTAATGCTCAAGAAAATTTACAAAATTAATTAGATGTTACAGAAGCTATAAAAAGATTGTGTTTGATCAGTGACTAATTTTTAAAGAGGTTCTTTGTGCTATGTATTACCACTTCTTTTGCAAGGAAACATCAAGATTGTGAATTCTGTAATTGCTCATTAAGCAGTAGTACATCAGTTGAATATGTAGTATTGATTTCTTAAGCCAGTAAATAAAAATTTTCTCTATTCATTTTATAGTACAGTGGAGGCATGGGTGAATTAAAATATATTTCTAATATGTAGATAGGTTTAATTTTTATATAGTCATTTAATTGTTTAATTAATTGGCCATTGAAAAATGAGTCTTTGTTAATTGTTGGAATTTACTTACTGGACTTACGTGGTAGGATTTGCATACCCTCACCCATTACATATGTGTATAGTTGATATTTTATTTTTATGGAAAAACTACTTTTGGTGCAAAAATTGTTTTTGCTACTAGTGTCAAAAAAAGAGAAAATCATGTGGTGTTTATATGGCTCTGTACCTTTTTACTCCATGAGCACTGCCTTCAGTGAAATGACAATAACTCATGCAGCATCCTTCAACAAAAAGTGAGGTCTAAATAAATTAAAAGCTAGATGTAAACATATATATATGTAAATATACACATAGACACACACACACAAAAGCATACATGTACAGAAGAGAGATTCAGATTTGGCAAGTTCATTGTCTGGAGCACCCATAAGAATACAGAGTGTCTTAGACACTGTTTTCTAAAGTCTAATTACTTTAGTATCTGCAGTTACCTTTCTATCCTTTTTGGATCTAGTTGGATAAAAAAGGAACAGGTCATAAGAGCAATGCTTCTTATTCCTATTGCATTGGTCACTCTTATTTAGCAGTAGCCAAAAACCTTAGGAAAATATGAGTGAGCCAAGAGAGGAGACAGTCCTATTTTTAGCATGGAGGAGGTAGCAGTGGGCAGGGAGCTGAGGAGCTCTTAACAGAAAAGAACAAAGCTAGTAGAACCCTGATCTCTTCCTCTATTACCACATGAGGTTACTGTCCCAAAGGCAAACCCACCATCAGATTGGATGGAGCCCCTGCCTTAGGTCTGCAGTTACTTAACCGTATCTGAGGGGCAGAAAAGACATCCATGATTGGTGAAGAGTTATTGGTATTTGAACTTGAGAAGGCAGAAACTTACAAGTGCAAGCAAGGTGGGTGTTTACAAACTGAAGTTGAACTTATGTAAATTTTGCCAGAAATGGTAACTTGGGGATTAGGGTTAGGAGTAAAGAAATGTATATAAACTTCACTCATTAAGTTTTTTTCCACAGGCCTAAGAATTTCATTGCAAACATCTGAAACCTCGTTTCTAGAGAAAAGTTAAATACCAGGTTTCAAATAAATAATTGATTAAGATGTCAATTTTTAGGGTAACTAGATTATAAATTGTAGAGTAATTATTACTCATTTGTGTCAGAAAAATAGTCTAGGAAGACATGTGGAGTCTTCCTATATTCATTTTTAATCATTTAGCTATTACCCCATTGAACTAAAAAGAGTAGTCTGTGGTAGAGTCATCAATATATGGGGAGAAAGAAAAGAGGGAGATAATGAGATTGGTAAGATTCACTCACAAATGAAGTAATAAAGAATTGTACTTAAATTTTGATTCACTAGGCTGTTTGTTAAGGCCCAAAAGCTTTTTTACATTATGTAAGGCTTTCTTTTAGGGAAAAAAAATGATATATTAATACTAGATTCCAAGTAATTAATTGACATATACGTTTTCAGAGTTCAACCAGTTTATAAATGCAGTAGAACAATTGTACATAACTTCAACCAGAAAAGCAAGTCTCTGAAGTCGCTTGATCTGGCATGTACCTTTTTAATCCTTAGCACTGGCCCAGATAAAATGACATCAGTAGTCTTTCACTACTTTGATATATCTGCTGTAACTCACCTTTCAATGGTGGTGTCATTGAAGACAACTGATGTTATTAATCTGGGTCATTGCTAAAGAATATATCTATACACACACACACACATACACACACACGTGAATATATGTATGTGTGTATATATATATATATATAGGTATATCCTTTATATATATATTTAGTATATATAGATACCTACATACATGTATGTGTGTATATGTATGAACATATCTATATACATATATCTATATGTGCATATATAGATATATACATATCTTTATGTACATATATGTATCTATATAGATATATTCTATAGCACTGACCCCAATTAATAACATCAGTAGTCTTTTATGTATATATACTTTAGCATATAGACATGCATGTATATATATAGATACGTATATGTAGATATATTGTTTAGCATATATGTATACATATACAGTAGATATGTACACGTGTGTGTGTATACATGTATACCTTATGTTATTGTGCTTTACTTTATTGCCCCTCAGATATTACTTTTTTATAAACTGAAGGTTTGTAGCAACCTTGCATTGAGCAAGTCTCTTGGTTTCATTTTTCCAACAACACGTGCTCACTTTGTGTCTCTGTGTCACATTTTAGTAACTCTTGCAATATCTTAAACTCTTTTTTTGAGACAGACTCTCGCTCTGACACCCAGGCTGGAATGCAGTGGCACGATCTCAGCTCACTGCAACCTCAGCCTCCCGGGTTCAAGCGATTCTCTGCCACAGCCTCCTGAGTAGCTGGGATTACAGGCACCTGCCACCACGCCCGGCTAATTTTTATATTCTTAGTAGAGACGGGGTTTCACCATGTTCGTCAGGCTGGTCTCAAACTCCTGACCTCGTGATCCGCCTGCCTTGGCCTCCCACAGTGGTGGGATTACAGGCGTGAGCCACCACGCCCAGCCTATTTTAAACTTTTTTGTTGTTATCCTATCTCTTATGATCTGTGATCAGTGATCGTTGACGTTACTATTGTAATTGTTTGGGGGCAACATGAACATGAACCATGTCCTATAGGACAACTACCTTAATCAATGCCATGTGTTTTTTGACTGCTCCACTGAGTAGCCATTCCCCATCTCTCTCCCTCTTCTTGGGCCTCCCTACTTCCTAAGACACAACAATATTGAAAGTAGGCCATTTAATAAGTCTATGAGGGTTTCTAAGTGTCCTAGTGAAAGGAAGAGTCAGAAGCCTCTCACTTTAAACTAAAAGCTAAAAATGATTGTGAGGAAGGCTAGACTTCTTGCACCAGTCAGACAAGTTGCGAATGCAAAATACGTGTATATATTCTCAAAGAAAATTAAGACTGCTACTCCAGTGAACATACAAATGATGAGGAAGCAAAACAGGCTGATTGCTAATATGGAGAAGGTTTTAGCGGTCTGGATAGAAGATCAAAGCAGCCATAGCCTTTCCTTAAGCCAAAGCCTAATCCAGGACAAGGCCCCCTCTCTCTGCAATTCAGTGATGGCTGAGAGAGGTAAGTAAGTTGCAGAAGAAAAGCTTGAAGCTAACAGGTTGGTTCATGAAGTTTAAGGAAAGAAGCCATCTCCATAACATAAAAGTGCAAGGTGAAACGCAAGTGCTGTTATCCAGCAGCAGCAAGTTATCCAGAAGATGTAGCTGAGACAATTGATGAAGGTGGCTACACGAAACAACAGATTTTCACTGTAGACAAGATAGCCTTTTTTATTGGAAGAAGATGCCATCCAGGACTTTTATATTTGGAGAGAAGTCAATGCATGGTTTCAAAGCTTCAAGGCACAGGCCGATTCTCTTTTAGGGGCGAATGAAACTGGTGACTTTAAGTTGAGGCCAATGATCATTGACTGTTCTGAAAATCCTAGGGCCCTTACGAGTTATGCTAAATCAAGCAAGATGGGTGACTAGAGATGCCTTGTGCTCATCTCCCCTGCAAGAAAACCCAGGAACAAATACACATCTAAGGTCTGATTAGAGTATCAAAGGGATAGTCCTGGAGCGCAGCAAAGGAGTGGAGGAGACACACCTGTGGT
The DNA here is from genome assembly GCF_000001405.40 of Homo sapiens. Taxonomy (NCBI): domain Eukaryota; kingdom Metazoa; phylum Chordata; class Mammalia; order Primates; family Hominidae; genus Homo; species Homo sapiens. Next base: position 52,303,491 of record NC_000013.11, on the reverse strand, counting down.
GACTGGAAGGCCCCACAGCATGGAAGCACTCAGCCTCTGCAGTCCCTTCTCCCCCACCTGGGTTGAACTGGCCCAGAGACAGGAAGGACTTCTCATTGCAGAGTGAAGGTAAGCAGAAGATCCCCACCAGCCCCACTGCCATCACAAACACAGAGTCTTAAGGAAAATCTCACAGTATTTGCAAGCCCTGAGGCCAGTATGGAGTACTGCCAGGAATTTACACAGCTGCATGTCCTGGACTAGGAGTACAAGGTGAAGGCTTCCCACCCCCAGAGACCTAAGTTGCAGCAACACAGCACCATCTTGAGACCAGAGTCATCTCTTGAGTGTGCCCTACTCTGGGGGCCAGTAGCCACTGTGCGTCTCCAGCACTGGAGCTTTACCTTCAGTATACCAAGCCCACATGGGTGGGTTAAAGCCACAACCCCAGCTGTGTGGAGGTTGGTCCCAGAATTGGCGGTAACTCAAGTCCTGAAGAGCAGGGAGAAATCAACCCCCACCACTACACTTCCAGACAGAGAAACAATCTGCACTCCCATCCAGGGTGAACTCACCCTTGAGCTAGCCAAACCACTACATGCCTTCTCTCAAGTGGGAGCGTCCCCTAAGCCTCTGAGCAGCTGATATACCCCAAGGTCAAGAGAGTGACTATGAGTGCATGCTCAGGACCTGAGAAACAGCCCTGCAGGCCTCATCCACCACAGACATGCTCCTGACCTGCCCAGCCGCCCTCCGCCTTTAATAAAGGCCTGAGAAACAGTCCCACAGGCTGCCGCGAGCAGGCACAGCACTGAGTGGGCCTTGAACCTGTGTCTCAGACCTGAGAAACAAGCAGCTGTGTGTGCCTGAGTCTCAGGGCTGAGAAACAACCCTGGGAGCTTACTCTGGCCAGCATACCCTCAGGCCAAATAAGCAGCCACATACCTATGTCCCAGCTTGAGGAACAGCCCTGTAGGCCACCCCCCGCAGAAATACTCCCAGGCCAACTAAGCAGCTGTGCAACCTTTCATGAGCCCGAGAAACATTCCTGTACCCATTCCCAGCGGATGCACCTCCAGACCAGCCAATCAGCCATGAATGCCCATGTCCTGGACCTGAGAAAGAGCCCCATGGGCTACTCCCAGAAGACATGCCCCTAGGCCAGCCAAGCAGCCTTGTGCCCACATCCTGGGTCATAGAAGCAGCCCCCTGGGCTTCCCCTGGCAGGCACCACCCAGGCCAGCTGAGCAGCAGTGTGCCCACATCCTGAGCTAGAATAGCCCTGTGGACTACCCCTAGCAGACCCACATCCAGGACAGCTGAGAAATTATTTGACTGTATCCCAGGCCTGAGAAACACCCCCTCTTGGCCAGCCCTGGCAAAGATGCCTTCGGTCCAGCTTAGTAGCCGTGCAGCTCTATATTTGGCCCATGAGTTTCCCCCAGCAGACTGGCCTCGGGCCAGATGAACAGCTGTGTATCCACATACCAGGCATGGGAAACAGCCCTTCAGGCCACTCCTGGAGTGCGTGCTTCCAGGCCAGGCAAACAGCTGTGTGCCTGCATCCTGGGCTTGAGCAACTGCATCCCCATGCTCCTGGCCAGAGTAACAGCACCATGGCCAGCCCCACAAAGCCATACTCCAAGTTTTCTGACCCACTGTATACCTGCATACACCTCTACCCTGAGAAACAGTCCAGAGAGCCCACCCCTGGCAAAGCTGCACCACCATTACCACAAACTTCCTTAGCCTAGGCCACTGAGAAACTTGCAAATGTTACTAGTGTGGATCACAGCGGAATGAACTATATGGAGACTACACTTTACTGCATCCATGTAGAACCAAGGCCAATATACCCCAATGAACTGACACCCAAGACCCATTCATACAAATAAATTCATACAAGTAACCTACTCCATAAAATTGGAAAAGGTGACTTTTTCACCAGACGCATAGAAATCAGCATAGAAACACATCAACCATGAAAATGCAAGAAAACAGGTCACCTACAAAGGGAAATAATAATTATGTAGTAATGGACCCCAATCATAAACATATGAAATGCCAGAAAAAAAATTCAAAAGAATAATCCTAAGGAAACTCAGTGAGATATAGGTAATACAGATAGACAAGTCAATGAAATCAGGAAAACATGATTTGAATGAGAAATTCAGTAAAGATAGAGATATCATAAAAAGAACCAAACAAGCCCTAAGAACTAAACAGTTCAATAGAAGAAATAAAAAATGAAATCAATGACTTTACAGACAAGAACAAGCAGAAGAAGTAATTTCTGAACTTGAAGAGAAGTCTTTTGAAATAACACAGGCAGAGAAAAAAGAATAAAAAATAATGAAAAAAGCCTACAGGATTTATTGGACACTGTTAATTTGAACAAATATTCCTATTATGGGCATTCCAGAAGGAAAAGTGAAGAGAAATGTGAGGAAAACATATTTAATAAAGTGATAGCATAAAACTTCCCAACTCAAGAGAGAGAGATAGACATCTAGTTCTAGGAAGATCAAAGAACCCCAAATACATTCAACCCAGACACAAAGACAAAGATTTTTTAAGATAGCAAGAGAAAAGCCTGAAAGCGCTTATAATGGAATTCTCGTTAGACGAACAGCTGATTTCCCGGCAGAAACCTTAGGCTGGAAAGGAATGGGATGATATATGCAAAGTTCTGAAAGAAAAAAAAAAAATCTTTCAACCAAGAATATTATACCCAGTGCAGCTATCTTTTACAAATGAAGGAGACATAAAATCTGTGACAGATAAACAAACACCAAGATAATTCATCACCACTAGACCAGCCTTACAAGAAATGCCCAAGGCAGTCTTACTTCTGGAAGTAAAAAGATGATAACCACCATCATAAAAACATGTAAAACTTTAAACGCCACTGATAGAGTCAATACATAGAAAGAGAAAGGGATGAAACCTTATCACTACAGAAAACTACCCAACTACAAAAGTAAACAGAGAGGCAGAAAGGAACAAAACATATACAAACCAACCAGAAAACAATAAAATGTCGCAAATAACTCCTCACCTACCAATAACAACTTTGAATGTTAATAGATTAAATACCCCAAGAAGGATATAGACTTGCTGAGTGGATTAAAAAATAAGACCCAACTGGGCACAGTGGCTCACGCCTGTAATCCCAGCACTTTGGGAGGCCGAGGCGGGCGGATCAGGAGGTCAGGAGTTCGAGACCAGCCGGGCCAATATGGTGAAACCCCATCTCTACTAAAAATACAAAAAATCAGCTGGGCGTGGTGGTGGGCACCTGTAGTCCCAACTACTCGGGAGGGTGAGGTAAGAGAATGGCATGAACCCGGGAGGCAGAGCTTGCAGTGAGCTGAGATCGTGCCACTGCACTCCAGCCTGGGTAACAGAGCGAGACTCTGTCTCAAAAAATAATAATAAAAATAAGACCCAACTATATTTTATCTAAAAGAAACTCACCTTACCTCTAAAGAAACACATAGACTGATAATGAAGGGATGGAAAAAGATATTCCATGCAAATGGAAACCAAAAGTGAGCAGGAATAGCTATACTTATATCAGTCAAAACAGACTTTAAGTTAAAAACCATAAAAAGTGACACACAAGATTATTATGTAATAATAAAGGGTTCAATTTAGCAAGAAATAGAACATAATTGTAATATGTGTATAATATAATTTTAAATATGTATGCACTCAACACCAGAGCACCCAGATATATATAGCAAATATTAGTAGATCTAAAGAGGGAGCTAGAACCCGTTACAATAAGAGTTGGGCACTTCATTATCCCACTCTCAGCACTGGACAAATCATCTAGATGGAAAATCAACAGAGAAACATCAGACTTAAACTGCACCATAGACCAAATGGCCATAACAAACATTTACAGAACGTTTCACATAACAGCTGCAGAATATACATTCTTTTCATCAGCACATGGAACATTATCCAAGATAGACCATATGTTAGGCCACAAAACAAGTCTCAACACATTTTTAAAAACTGAAATTATATCAGGTATCTTATCTTACCACAATGGAATAAAACTAGACATCCATAACAAGAGGAACATTCAAAACTATACAGATATATGGAAATAAAACAACATGCTCTTGAGTGACAAGGAGTGAAGAAAGAAATTAAGTATGAAATTTAAAAATTCCTTGAAACAACTGTAACTAGAAACACAACCTACCAAAACATAAGGGACACAGCAAAAGCAGTATTAGGAAGCATGTTCATAGCAATAAATGGCTGGATCAAAAAACTAGAAAAATTTCCAATAAACCACCTAACAATTCTACCTCAAGAAACTAGTATGGTAAGAACAAACTAAATCCCAAATTATTAAAAGGAACTGAATAATAAAGACCAGACAGAAATAAACAAAATTCAGGCAAAATTTACAAAAGGTTAACAACAAAAAGCAGGTTTAAAAATATCAACAAACCATTAGCTAGACTAATTAAGAAAAAGAGAAGACCCATATAAATAAAATCAGAAAGAAAAAATGGGACCTCACAACAGATATGACAGAAATAAAAAGGATTATTAGAGACTATTATGAACAACTCTACAATAAATTTGAAAACCTAGAGGAAGTGGATAAAATCCTCGACCCATACAACCTGCCAAGACTAAACCAAGAAGAAATAGAAAACCTGAACAGACCAAAAAGAAGTAATGAGATTGAATCAGGAACAAAAAGGCCTTCAACAAAGTCCAGGATCTGATGACTTCACCACTTAACTCCACCTACTTTTAAAAATGAACTAATATCAATTCTTACACTATTTCAAAAAATTAAAGCAGAGGAAAGTCTTCCTAACTCATTCTATATAAGTAAACTATGGTTGATAAAGTAGTGGTAGGATTTGAGAGGATTCACTCCAATTTTGAAAACAGTTCTACTGTGGGTAAAATGCTATCAAATGGCATCACATGTTACAGAGAAATCACCTGTGAAAGGAAGAGTCATTTGATATAGTGAAGTTCGTTGTTGTCTTATTTTAAGAAATTGCCTCAGCCACCCCAACCGTTGGCAACCACAGCTCTGATCAGTCAGCAGCCATCAACATGGAGGCAACGCCCTCCACCAGCAAAAAGATTATGACTTGCTAAAGGCTCAGGTGATCATTAGCATTTTTTTAACCAATAAAGTAGTTTTACTTTAAGGTATGTACATAATTTTTTTTGACATAATGTCGTTGCACACTTAACAGACTACAGTGTAGTATAAACATAACGTTTATATGCACAGGGAAACCAAAACATTTGTGTGAGTCACTTAATGCAGTTTTTGCTTTATTGCAGTGGTCTGGAATGAAACCCACAATGTCTTTGTGATATGTCTATACACATTTATGTATTCTATAACTATATACATATTCTTTTAATTACCTTTATATACATATATAGAAAGAGACAGAGAGAGAAAAGAAGAGAAAAATATGCAAAATTCAGCGTTGGGAGTATCTGTGAGAATAGTTTCTGGTTAATGACTGTAATTTTCTTTCTTAAATGTCAGGTCTTCCAGTGAGCTAAGTCATGTTTACTATATCCTTTAGATTCATGGAATTCTTGTTATTCAAATAAATTCTTCATCACTGTTTTGTGTAGCAAATATCTAATGATATATTTTTGCATTTTTTTGGTGGCTAAAGTGTGTCAGAACGACTTTCCAGGTTTGAAGATTATGAAAATGCTGAATATGTCGCTTCATATGAGTAAGTCAGTTTGAAGTTTGAAAGGAGGGAGCCATTGATGGATCTCTTTTCTTTAGTTGAACAGGGCTTACGCTGAGGCACAAAGGAAAAAGGGAAACTACGGAAGGATATCAAAATGTATGGGTGTGTGGGTGGGAGAGTACACCATATTTCCTCCAATTGAATTCTTAGACAAGTATTATTTTGAAAAAAAATTCCATCCATTCAGGAATAAATGTTCTTCTAGCTTGAAAATGTAAAAAGTATCCTTAGAAGAAATTAACTTCATTAGAAGTTTTTTTTTTTTTAAAGAAAACAGGAATGCAGAATGTTACTTACTCATCAATAGTGAACCTTTCTCATTTTTACTGGATATTGTGCGATTCCCAGTTTTGTAGATTTCACCTATGAGCAAGTGGTATTGATAGCAAAAGCAAACATGTTTTGCTGACTAAAGACCTCTTTATGCTCACTGGGATTTTGTTATTATTTGTTTCTAATCTCACTAGAGTACTGAGTACTCCTATTGCACTGACCTGAAGGCATTTTACCATGTACTCACTGTAACGAAACAACACATTCTTAAACTGGCTTGTGTCTGAACTGCAGACATATTCAGGAGATTTTTCTTCTGCTTCTTTCTTGCCCAGTTGTATAACCATTCACCAGCTTATGTCAATGTTGGAGAGGAAGTGCTGCCATAGAGGAAGTTAACTCATCATGGTTATAAGCTGTTGGTGTCTAAACAAAGATTACATGGGAAACAGAGGGCAAATACAAATAGTTCTTCAAATTACCCTGAGTTTTCATTTTCTAGAAATTTTTATCATGGGCCATCAGTGAAGAATTCACGGCACCACTTAATTAAACTGTGTGTCTGCATACTAGCTATACATTTTCTGTAATGGAGCTGCCCAGGGTTGAGGCAAAATTAGACAGATTGAGCAAGGCAAGCATTTCCTTTTTCTTTCCCCTCTCCAAACAAAAGAAAGCAGGTTTTTGTTTTGTTTTATTTTTAAGTTACAAAGTCTCATTGCATAAATATAGGAGGAATTGGTAGTAGTCCCTGTGAGAAACACTGGTGTTTCATACCAGGGGGATGATCTTGGATTTATAGTAAAAGCTGGAATCAGTGCTTGGCTTTGACATCATGTATTCATTCATCTGATACTCAGGAAGTCATTGAACCTCTTTTAGTTTTAGATTATTCAAATGTAAACTGGTTATAATGCTATCTATGTAGTGGATATTGTATTGTAAAAAATTAGTAATAAAACTAAAATAACATGCAAAAACACTTTGAAAACTCTGTAGCTCTGTGAATAGGTTTTGTGCGAAAAACTGAAAATAATGTGAGAGTTTATTAAAGGAAAATCAGAAAATCCAATCAACAAATCTGCCCACATGCAGTCATTCTTAAACTTTGATACATGCACTTCTGAGTTCTTTAAGCATATGCATTTTTTGTTTGCAGATACGAGACCATACTTATATTCTTTTGTAAATAACCTTATTACTTAATGACATCATATCTATATTTTCTTGTTAATGTATATTCATGTGCACTTACAACATTATTTGTAATAGTTTTGTAATACTGCATGGTGTAGATGTGCTATAATTCATTTAATAGTCAGATATTGCTGAACAATTAAGTTTTTTACAAGTTTTTACTGTTACAAAAAATATTTGAGGCTAAATCTTTGCATATCGTTGGTTATTTGCTTATTATAAATTCTCAGAAGTGGAAATCCTGTGTCAAAGGGAATGATTATGATGCTATTGGTATTGATAAGTGCTTGAACATCAAGATGCTAAAGTGTACATTTCTCCCCTCCCATACTTAACGCTAGCTGTCATTGATTTCTTTGATATTAGTAAATCTATTTGTTCTAATGCACATTCTTTGACATACCTTCATTTATGCTTTTTTCGGTTAATATTTCATCATTTCCAAACTACCTTTGGCCAGTTAAAATTGGGGTGTTTTTCTGTCTTTGGACTGAAAAGTTAAATCTGTTGATCCTTTTTCTATTTTATGTAATATAAGTAGTTTCTCCCAGGGTGTCTTGCTTTTCACTATATAAAAGTGTTGAATCTTCATATAATCAAATGTACCTATACTTTTCTTTGTGATTTATGCCTTTAATGTTATTCTCAGAAAGTCCTTCTCTACCCCAAGATTTTAAATATATTCACCAAGATTTCTGTTTTGAGCTTATTTTCTTCATTTAAATAAAATCGCTGCCCTGAATTTACTTTGTCTTAAGGCATAAAGTGTAGAAATTTACTTTTCTCCTGTGTGACTAATAGTTTTCACAGCATCAAAATATCATCCCCCTGTATTGTCCTTACCCTGTTTTAGTGATCTAGAGCGAGATCAGGAAGACCAGAGAGTCAGTACAGTGTTTTCATTGCTTTGCATCATGGCCATCTCCGTACCGCCAGAGTCTGTACCAGAGAAAAATGTGTCCAGTGGGAGAGATAGCACCTGCCCTTGATACGAATCCCATTTCATTAAAAATGGTCTTGTTAGTGTCATGTAGCTTCCACCTTCTATTGATAAAAAATAAGTCATGGTCATAGTTAATATTTGTGCTTTGAATTCCACTTTGATATTAATATTGGAACTTATAGTGTTTTAAGGTTTAGTATCTCAAGTCTTTTTCTCTTTTCTTTTTCTCTTTTTTTTTTTTCTGAGACGGAGTCTCACTCTGTGGCCAGGCTGGAGTGCACTGGCATGATCTTGGCTCACTGCAACCTCCACCTCCCAGGTTCAAGCCATTCTTCTGACTCAGCCTCCCGAGTGGCTGGGACTACAGGTGTACATCACCACGCCCAGCTAATTTTTGATATTTTTAGTAGAGATGGGGGGTCGCCTAGGATGGACTCGATCACTTGACCTCGTGATCTGCCCGCCTCAGCCTCCCAAAGTGCTGGGATTACAGGTGTGAGCCACCACACCCGGCCTCTATCTCTTTATTTTTAAACTGTCATTTAAATTTAGTTTTTGTCTCTTGTGTATAGCATGTAATGCCTTTGATTTTAAAGTTATCTGAGTGTATTTCTCATGGAATATGGGAGGAATATGTTTGTATTTATGATTTCTGGTATGTTTGGCTTTATTGTCTTTTTCTTTATGAAAAATACTTTGATATTTTCTTTTTAAATTATTCTATATTTTGCTAGTAATTGATTTGTTTTTATCCCTTACATTTTTTACTGATAGGCAAGTCAGAAGCCCATTTCTAGTCCATCAGTTTATATTTAAATATTTAGAAAACATAATTATACCATTTTTCTCCATCAATATCGAGAATAAAACTGGACTTGTATCTGTAGAAGATAAGAAATGCAATCTGCCTTTACTTCTATCTTCTTCCAAACCTTGAATCCTAGTGTAAGAATGCCTAAAATTTAAATCAATACTATTATTGATAATTTTATATTATCTTTACTTTTAGAATCGTTTATTTACATTTTCACCTACATTTTTATGCTACATTAACAGTTGTTATTTAGACTTACTTCTGAGTTTATATTATTTACCATCTTTTCTCTATAAGTCATGTTCCTTATTGCTCTGTTCTTCATTTTGATTCATTGCTCCGCTGACTCAAGCACTTGGAGTAATTATTTTTAGGAAAGGCACATAGAGGCTATGCTTTGAGTTGCTGCATGTTGGAGTGTCTGTCTGTTGCTCTCAAATGTGAACAGTACTTTTCCTGGATATGGATATATTGAGTCATAGTTATTTCCCTGCAAACTCTGCATGTAACTGCTTGAAGCTGCATTTACATAGTACACTTTTTTAACCAAAATAAGTCTCAATTGTATATTTACTTGGTACAGTTTCAGGGGACACTGAAACAGATTGAAGGGGCTAAAGCCACCCAAGCCACTCCTTCATGCCTTCATGATCTATCAGGCTTGGTTCTGTATGGTGATATTGTCAAGTGAATTCAGATTGATGACATTTCCTTGATACCCAGAGATCCAGTAGACTGTGTGGGATCAGAGGTTCTTGTAAAAAGAGAATGGCAACTTCCGGAGAGAATTCGCCTCTTTTGGCCAACTGATCCTCTGTCTACATCAGCCTTAACTTTCTAAGCCTGGGTAGAGGTGGTGGGTCCAGGTGGATGAGGGGAAGATTAGAAGGATTGGGGATTTCCTTTATCTCAGGTTAACCTAACATCATTCATCAGAGGCCAATTTTGCTTTTTTTAACTTTTATTTTAGGTTTCGAGGTACACGTGAAGGTTTGTTACATAGGTAAACATGTGTCAGGGTGGTTTGTTTTACATATTATTTCATCACCCAGGTATTAAGCTCAGTACCCAAATAGTGATCCTTTTTGCTTGTCTCTCTCCTCCTACTCTCCCCACTTAGGTAGACCCCAGTGTTTGCTTCCCTCTTTGTGTTTTTACATCCTTATCACTTAGCTATACCACTTACAGATGAGAACATTCAGTATTTGATTTTTGCTTTCTGCACTAGTTTGCTAAGGATGATAGCCTCCAGCTCCATCCACGTTCCCACAAAAGACAGGATCTCATTCTTTTTTTCTTTTTTTGAGACGGAGTCTCTCTCTGCTGCCCAGGCTGGAGTGCAGTGGCACAGTCTCGGTTCACTGCAAGTTCTTCCTCCTGGGTTCACGCCATTCTTCCTGCCTCAGCCTCCCGAGTAGCTGGGACTACAGGCGCCCGCCACCACGCCCAGCTAATTTTTTTTGTATTTTTAGTAGAGACGAGGTTTCATCGTGTTAGCTGGGGTGGTCTTGATCTCCTGACCTCATGATCTGCCCGCCTCAGCCTCCGAAAGTGCTGGGATTACAGGCGTGAGCCACCGTGCGCAGCCGATCTCATTCTTTTTTATGGCTGCATAGTATTCCATGGTGTATATGTACCACATTTTCTTTATCCAATCTGTCATTGATGGGTATTTGTGTTGATTCCATGTCTTTGCTATTGTAAATAGTGCTGCAGTGAACATTCACATGCATATGCTTTACAGTAGAATGATTTATATTCCTCTGGGTATATACTAGGTAATGGGATTGCTCAGTCAAATAGTAGTTCTACTTTTAGCTCTTCTAGGTGTCGCCATACTGCTTTTTACAATGGTTGAACTAATTCACACTCCCATCAACAGTGTATAAGTGTTCCCTTTTCTCTGCAACCTTGCCAGCACCTGTTATTTTTTGACACTTTAATAATAGCCATTCTGACTATTGTCTGGTGTGAAATGGCATCTCATTGTGGTTTTGATTGGCATTTCTCTAATCTGTGATATTGAGCTTTTTTTCGTATGCTTCTTTGCCACATGTATGTCTTCTTTTGAGAAATGTCTGTTCATGTCGAAGGCCAATTTTGGCAGTGCCCCAGTTCTCCTCAGTGTCTGTCCTCTTTTATTCTCCAGTCTTAGGCACAGGCTGTGAGCATTGTCTTAGGATTCGTGCCTCTTGGGGTGAAATTTGAGTCCTGTGTTGGAGGCTTCAGTATGATAGAAACTTCCTGAAGGCTTCAGTAGGACAAAAAATTGTTCCTCATCAGCTACCTTGTCTTCAGCCATAAGGTAAAATGAGGCATTACTGGGGGCTCCATCAAACAGGTTCTCCTTTCTTGGATTAATGGAAGGAGCCCAGTCTTTCAGGTGTTTCTCCTTTGAAGTGTATCTTACTAAAATGTCTTACCGCTGCAGTTCCTATGCCACCTCAAAGGCAACTGTCACTAATGTGTATCTGTTCACTAGGTGTCTAGTTGGAAAGAGATGACAAGAGCATCATTTACTCCCTATGCTCATCCCTGAAATACCTTATTTTATTGCTGTGGAAACTGAGATCTGGCCAAAGTTTGATGACTTGCCCAGGCTGGCATTAAAATACAGTTCTCTTCTACCCCTCTTTTCTTTTTTCATGCTATATTCCTTGAGTTGATGACCACAAGTTTAAGCTTAGTATTGCCATAAAGTTGGAGTTGGGGCTTTGCATGCAATGGAAATATTACTAAACATCCAAAGTTTACTGTCTTATTCACATATATTCTGGATAGGAAAGTAAAATACTCATGGAGCAGAAAAGATAAAATTTTAATTATTAGTAAAAAGCATTTTGTTATACAACTTCTGAATAATTTTCTTTTAAAATTGTATTTATAAAGGCCTTTGTTTTTTGGTTAAATTTATAAGTTAGAAGAAATCTGATTGATTTTATTTTTGCTTGTTTTTGCAGCAGCAGGATTAAGAAAATTGTTCATTCAATTGTGTCATCCTTTGCAGTTGGGTATGTGAGACATAGAAAACACCATGTATTAAATATACCTGAGACTTAATGCATAAAAAACACCACGTATTAAATATATCTGAGACTTGGCCAGGTGCGGTAGCTCACGCCTGTACTCCCAGCACTCTGGGAGGCCAAGGCAGGTGGATCACCTGAGGTCAGGAGTTCAAGACCAGCCTGGCTAACACGGTGAAACCCCGTCTCTATTAAAAATAAAAGAATTAGCCAGGCATGATGGCGAGTGCCTGCAATGCCAGCTGCTCGGGAGGCCTAGGTGGAAGAATCGCTTGAACCTGGGAGGCGGAGATTGGAGTGAGCTGAGATCACACTATTGCACTGCAGCCCAGGTGACAGAGCGAGATATATATATATCTCGCTCTTTCAATGAGAAAGACTGAAATAAAAAACAAAACCAAAAAGCATTTCCTGTCCATCGGTTTCTAAGTAGCCATGTGCCCCATCTAATGTAATCTAATTTATCATGGAAATTTGGTTTAAGCTGGACTTTAAGACTTGCAAAGAAACGGCTTTTGTATAAGATTAATAGTAACATATTAATATTATTTTTCTTCCATCTGCACAAGTAAAGTTAATGAAAATCGAATGATAAAATTCTATAATTATAAGTAAAGTGTTTTATTAAGTACCTTATACATCTAGAATTACTCTTTAATTCTGGAAACAATTTACTCAGACTCTTCTCTACGTAAGAGTAAGATTTCATACTATGATATAGATTTACGCAATATGATATAGATTTACGCAATATAATTGTTTCCTTTTGAATTAATGATATTTTAACTTGAGCTGCAACTTTTTGAAAAGTACTTTGAAGATGAATTCATCTTCATAGATTAAGCAAATAGTATAATCAATTTATGGGGAATGTATTTAGAATATGTAACAGCAAGTTTCAGGAGGTACCTTAGAGTTCAATACTATAAATATTTATGGAATTGAATTCTTTCTCATGTACCCATCACTGTACTAGAATCGCCCATAAATATGTAATCATGTACTTGCTGAAAATGTCACTGACAAAAAAATCTTGGTCTTTTAAGAGCTTATGTTACTCATGCTTTCATTTGGTTTTTATTAATAAATCCTTAAGAATTATCCAGATTAATAAGATTTTATTTTTTATGAGAAATGGGTGTAAACTTCTTATGAAATTCTCAAATTTTAAGAAGAGTTTACAAACAGACACAGGCAATTTTAGTTCAGTTTCACTTTTCTCTCTTGAGGTGTTAGTCTGATGGATCTGCTATAAAAGGGCATGATAACGTCTTGTGAAGTGGTTTGGTGGGAATTTTATTTATTAAGAACTGCTTCTATTGGGTGAAAACAGTGATTTTTCTGAGATTCTATGACATTACAGTTTTTCCTGCCACTGGGCAGTTTAATACTAAATAATAACATTTTGGTACCCGATCATTGGCCTAAATATAGTATAACTATAGGGACAAAAGCCCCTTTATCTTTGTTGTTACTTACTTATTTATTCATTTATTTATTTGTTGTAGAATATTTGGAGTTTTCCTGATCTTGTTGGATGTGGCTCTGATCTTTGCTGACCTAATTTTCACTGATAGCAAAGTTTATATTCCTTTGGAGTATCATTCTATTTCTCTAGCTATTGCTTTATTTTTTCTCATGGATGTTCTTCTTCGAGTATTTGTAGAAGGGTAAGTTTGATTATTTTTATAATGCATAAAGCTATTTTGTACTTTTCTAAGAAGCACTTTGGGAGGCTGAGGCAGGTGGATCACGAGGTCAGGAGTTCAAGACCAGCCTGGCCAAGATGGTGAAACCCTGTCTCTACTAAAAATACAAAAATTAGCTGGGCATGGTGGCGGAAGCCTGTAATGCCAGCTACTCGGGAGGCTGAGGCAGGAGAATTGTTTGAACCCAGGAGGCAGAGGTTGCAGTGAGCCGAGATTGTGCCATTGCACTTCAGCCTGGGTGACAGGGTGAGACTCCGTCCCAAAAAAAAAGAGGCATATTAAAATAATTAACAGGAGCATTCAACTCAAGCTGACTTAAAAGCCTTTGGGCCTTAGGAGAACCTTGGTGGTAGTCTGGCAGTACCCCCCATGGTCTGTGTTTGAGTGAGGTGGCCATGGATTGATGCTCCTCTGCTTTTGGAGAGGGGTTGAAAGAGTAGCGAGGATTGCATCTTGTGGTTTGAGTGACAGCTCAACCAGCTCAGCTATAGCACATAAAACACCAGGTAGAATTATAAGTTTCTGATCTAGGCCCTGATTCCCAGCACCTTTGGACCCACCCGGAGCCTGGGAGAACTTGCCATCGTGAAGGGAAGGACACAGGCCTGACTGTTTTTACCATGTGATGATCGTAGAGCCCCAGGGCCTTCAGCAAACTTATGCAATAGCTAGGGAGTGGTTACAGCAGGTTTTGGGCAAGACCCAGTGCTGTGCTGGCTTCACGTCTGACCCAATGCAGTCATAGTAGCGGTGGCCACAGGGGTGTTTGTGTCACGGTGGCTCAGAACAGAGAGAGAGACTCTGTTTGTTTGGGAGAAATTAAGGGAAGAGAACAAGACTCTCTTTTTGGTAACCCAGAGAATTATCCTGCATGTTGTCCAAGACCATTAAGGCAGTACCACTATGAGTCTGCAGGAACCACAGAGTTTAGGAGGCTTGGGGTGCCCCCTAAAGCAGATACAACTTAGATCACAATATCCAAGTTCTTTCCAATATCTGGAAAGCCTTCCTGAGAAAGATAGGTACAAACAAGCCCTGACAGGGAAAACTACAATAAATACCTAATTCTTCAATGCCTAGACACCAAAGAACATCTGCTAGCATCAACACTGTCCGAGAAAACATGACCTCACCAAATGAACTCAATAAGACACCAGAGGCCAATCCTGGGGAAACAGAGATACGTGACCTTTCAGACAAATCAAAATAGCTGTGTTGAGGAAACAGAAATAAATTTAAGATAACACAGATAAAAAAATCATAATTCTATTAGATAAGTTTAACAAAGAGATTGAAATAATTAAAAAGAATCAGGCAGAAATTCTGGAGCCAAAAAATGTAATTGGCATACTGAAGAATGTATTAGAGTCTTTTAATAGCAGAATTGATCAAGCAGAAGAAAGAATTAATGAGCCTGAAGGCAGGCTATTTCAAAATACATAGAGGAGACAAAGGAAAGAATTAGAAACAATGAAGCATGCCTACATGATCTAGAAAATAGCATCAAAAGGGCAAATCTAAGCGATACTGGCCTTAAAGAGGAGGTGCAGAGAGAGAGGGGTTAGAAAGTTTATTCAAAGGGATAGTAACGGAACTTCCCAAACCTATAGAAAGATATCAGTATCCAAGTGCAAGAAGGTTACAAAACACCAAGCAGATTTAACTCAAAGAAGACTACCTCAAGGCATTTAATAATCACACTCCCAAAGATCAAGGATAAAGGATCTTAAAAGCAACAAGAGAAAAGAAACCAATAATATACAATAGAGTTACAATACAGCTGGCAACAGACTTTTTAATAGAAATGTTTCAGGCCAGGAGAGAGTGACATGACATATTGAAAATGCTGAAGGAAACAAAACATTTACCCTAGAACAATATATTCAGTGAAAATATCCTTCAAAGTGAAGGAGAAAGAAAGATTTTTCCACACAAACAAAAGCTGAGGGATTTCATCAACACCAGACCTGTCCTAGAAGAAATGCTAAAGGGAGTACTTCAATCAGAAAGACAAGGACATTAGTGAGCAATAAGTAACTACCTGAAGGTATAAACCTCACTGGTAATAGTAAATACACAGAAAAATACAGAATGTTACGACACTGTAACTATGGTGTATAAACTACTCTTATTGTAAGTAGAGAGACAACTATGAGCCAATCAAAAACATTGACTATAACAACTTTTCAAGACATAAATGGTATAATAAGATATAAATAGAAATAACAGTTAAAAAGTAGTGAGACTAAGTTGTAGAGTTTGTATTAGTTTTCTTATTACTTGTTTGTTTATGCAAACTTATTTTATAAGCTTAAAAATAATGGGTTATAAGATAGTATTTGCAAGCCTCATGGTAACCTCAAACCAAAAAAATACAAGGGATACACAAAAAATAAGAAACATGAAACTAAATTATATCACCAGAGAAAATTACCTTCATTAATGGAAGACAGGAAGGAAAGAAGGAAGAGAAGACTACAAAACAACCAGAAAACAATTAACAAAATGGCAGGAGTAAGTCCTTGCTTATCAATAATAACATTGAATGTCATCAGACTAAACTTTTCAATCAAAAGACAGAATGGCTGAATGGATGAAAAAACAAGACCCGGCTGGGCACGGTGGCTCACACCTGTAATCCCAGTACTTTGGGGAGCTGAGGCGGGTGGATCACAGGGTCAAGAGATGGAGACAATCCTGGCCAACAGGGTGAAACCCCGTCTCTACTAAAAATAGAAAAATTAGGTGGGCGTAGTGGTGCACACCTGTAGCCCCAGCTACTCAGGAGGCTGAGGCAGGAAAATCTCTTGATCCCAGGAGGCGGAGGTTGCAGTGAGCCGAGATCGTGCCACTGCACTCCAGCCTGGTAACAGAGTGAGACTCCACCTCAAAAAAATAAAAATAAAAACAAAACAAAACAAAAAACAAAAGACCCATCGATCTGTTGCCTACAAGAAACACTCTTCTCCCATTAGTCTGAAAATAAAGGAATGGAAAAATATATTCCATTCCAGTAGAAACCAAAAAAGAGCAGGAGTCGCTATCCTTGTATCAGATAAAATAGATTGCAAGACAAAAACGATAAGAAGAGACAAAGAATGTCACTATATCATGATAAAGGGATCAGTTCAGCAAGAGGCTATAACAATTTTAAGTATATATTCATCCAACATATATAGCCAATATATATACTGAGACCCGATGGCTTCCCTGCTGAATTCTACCAAACATTTAAAGAAGAACGAATACCACTCCTGCTTTAACTGTTCCAAAAAGCAGAAGATGAAGGAATACTTCCAAACTCATTCCACAAGGCCAGTATTACCCTGATATCAAAAGCAGACAAAGATGCGTCAAAAAAAGAAACAGGCTGGGAGCAGTGGCTCCCACCTGTAATCGCAGCACTTTGGGAGGCTGAGGCAGGTGGATTACCTGAAGTCAGGAGTTCAAGAGCAGCCTGGCCAATATGGTGAAACCCTGTCTCTACTAAAATTAGAAAAATTAGCTGGGCATGGTAGCAGGTGCCTGTCATCCCACCTACTCTGGAGGCTGGGGCATGAGAATCACTTGAACCTGGGAATGAAAGTTGCAGTGAGCCCAGATCATGCCACTGCACTCCAGCCTGGGTGACAGAGTGAGACTCTGTCTCAAAAAAAAAAAAAAAAAAAAAAACAGGCCAATATATCTGATGAATATTGATGCAAAAATCCTCAACAAGATACTAGAAAACTGAATGTAACAATACATTGGAAGGATCATTCATCATGACAAATGGGATTTATCCCTGGGATGCAAGGATGGTTCAAAATATGCAAATCAACCAAAGTGATACATCATATCAACACAATAAAGGATAAAAGCTGTAAGATCATTTCAGTTAATGCTGAAAAAGTGCTGGATAAAATTCAACGTTTCTTCATGATAAACACTCTAAAAAAACTGGGTAAAGAAATAACACACCTCAATATAATAAAAACCATATATGACAGATCCCCAGTCAGTATCATACTGAGTGGGGAACAATGGAAAAGCTTTCCTCTGAGATCTAGAACACAAGTAGGATGCCCACTTTCACCAGTGTTATTCAACATAGTACAGGAAGTCCTAGCTAGAGCATTCACAGAAGATAAAGAAATAAAGGGAATAAAAACAAATCCAAATTGGGAAGGAAGAAGTAAAATTATCCTTGTGTTTGCAGATGATATATTTTATTTGGAAAAAACTAAAGAGTCCACAAAAAAATATTAGAATTGATAAATTCAGTAAAGTTGCAGGATACAAAATCAACATACAAAAATCAGTAGTATTTTTATATGCCAACAGTGAACCATCTGAAAAAGTTTTAAAAAGTGATCCTATTTACAATAGCCAGAAATAAAATTAAAAATCTAAGAGTTAACCAAAGACGTGAAAGATCTTTATAATTAAAACGATAAAACACTGATGAAAGAAATTGAAAAGGACACCACAAAATGGAAAGAGATTCCATGTTCATGGATTGGAAGAATCGATATTGTTCAAAAGACCATACTATCCAAAGCAATTTACAGATTCAATGCACTCCCTATCAAAATAGCAATGACATTCTTCACAGAAATAGAAAAAAAATCCTAAAATTTATATGGAGCCATAAAACACCCAGAATAGCAGCTATTCTAATCACAAAGAACAAAGCTGGAGGAATCACATTACCTGACTTTAAATTATACTACAGAACTATAGTAACCAAAACAGCATGGCCCTTGCATAAACAGACACATAGACCAATGGAAAAGCATAGAGAACCCAGAAACAAATCCACACGCCTACAGTGAACTCATTTTCAACAAATTTGCCAAGAACATACATTGAGGAAAAGGCAGTCCCTTCAACAAATGGTTCTGGGAAAACTGGATATCCACATGCAGAAAAATGCAGCTAGACCCCTACCTCTCACCTTATATAAAAATCCAATCAAAATGGATCACATACTTAAAGATAAGACCTCAAACTATAACAGGAGAACATTGGGAAGAATCTTCCGGACATTGGTCTGAGCAAAAATTTCTTGAGCAATACCCTACAAGTACAGGTAACCAAAGCAAAAATGGACAGATGGGATCACATGAAGTTACAAAGGTTCTTCATAGCAAAGGAAACAATTAACAAAGTGAAGAGACAGCCCACAGAATGGGAGAAAATATTTGCAAAATACCCATCTGACAAGGGATAAATAACCAGAATATATAAGGAGCTCCAACAACTCTATAGGAAAAAAATCTAATACTATGATTTTTTTAAATGAGCATAAGATTTGAATAGACATTTCTCAAAAGGAAACATACAGATGGTAAACAGGCATGTGAAGAGGTGCTTAACATTGATCATTAGAGAAAACTACAGTGAGATATCATCTCATCCCAGCTAACATGGCTTATATCCAAAAGTCAGGCAATAACAAATGCTGGCAAACATGTGGAGATAAGAGAACCCTCATACACTGTTCGTGGGACTGTAAATTAGTAGAACCGCTATGGGGAACAGTTTGGAGGTTCCTCAAAAAATCTAAAAGCCACCATATGATCCAGAAATCCCACTGCTGGGTATGTACCCACAAGAAAGGAAATCAGTAGATAGAGGAGATACCTGCATTCCCATGTTTGTTGCAGCACTGTTCATGAGAGCCAAGGTTTGGAAGCAACCTGTGTTCATCAACAGATGAATGGATAAAGAAAATATAGTACATATACACAAGAGAGTATTATTTAGCTATAAAAATGAATGAGATCCTGCCTTTTGCAACAACATAGATGGAACTGGAGATCACTACGTTAACTGAAATAAGCCAGGCACGGAAAGACAAACACCACATGTTCTCACTTATTTGTGGGCTCTAAAAGGGTTAACAGTTGAACTCATAGACATGAGTAGAAGGATGGTCATCAGAGGCTGGGAATGGTAGTAGGAGGTTGGGGGTGGGGAGGTGAGGATGGTTAATAGGTACAAAAAAATAGAAAAAAATGAATAACACCTACTGTTTGCTAGCACAACAGGGTGACTATAGTCAATAACAATTGTACATTTTAAAATGACTGAAAGTGTAATTGGATTGTTTGTAACACAATGATAAATGCTTGAGGGGATAGATACCTCATCATCTATGATAAGGGTGGTTAATATGCATTTAATTATATGTCTTGCTATACTTAAATTGCCATATTGGTGTTTTAGTTATATATATGTGTCAAATGATGAATATAAATTTATTGTTTGAAAACTTCCCATGAATGTTATATTTTTCCCTTAGTCTACTCTAGAAAATGCATTTTAAATAATGTATGAAAGTAGAATTCTTAATGGGGATCAGTCAATAGTTGTGGTCTTTAAATATTCCTATCTCTTCTTGCAGGGGAGATGAACTCATATTTTTCTGTTTTATATTACAGGAGACAGCATTATTTTTCTGATTTACTTAACATTTTAGATACTGCTGTTACTGTGATTATTCTGCTGGTTGATGTCGTTTACATTTTTTTTGACGTTAAGTTTCTTAAGGATATTCCCAGGTATGAAATATAAGACTCACTTCTCTTAAAATTTTTCATTTACTTTTTGCATTTTCTGTGGCTTTTATTCTGTATAATCTTTTCAACTTCAAATGGCTCATTTTATACCAAATATGTTGCTTTAAAATGAAATGTTTAGGTAAATTCCCACATAGGTTGAAACTAAAAGATTGTGATACTTAGGGACCAGTGAAGAGTATACACACCAAGTACCATTCATTGAATAAAAAAGATGGAGTAGCCAAAGAAGGACTTTACTTCCTGTACTAACTTTAACTTCACTACATTTTGAAGTTCTCGTCAAATTCCCATTTGTATCATTTTTGGCCTTTTGGCTAAGATCAAGTGTGACATTCTTATTAGTTTCATATGTGATACATAAAAAAATTTGATATTAAAAACAATTCCCCTCTGTGCTTCAACTACAAATCCCTTACACATAATGTTCTCTCTGGGTTTTTCCCACAGCCAAGAGGGAATTTATTTGAGCATATGCAAAATTTGAGTGACTTTAATCACAATTTTCTTTCTTTTTTTTTTTTTCTAGTTTTAGTGGTCTTTTTTTTTTAATTTTTTTTTTATTATACTTTAAGTTTTAGGGTACATGTGCACATTGTGCAGGTTAGTTACGTATGTATACATGTGCCATGCTGGTGCGCTGCACCCACTAACTCGTCATCTAGCATTAGGTATATCTCCCAATGCTATCCCTCCCCCCTTCCCCTACCCCACCACAGTCCCCAGAGTGTGATATTCCCCTTCCTGTGTCCATGAATCACGATTTTCTTTTCCTTTTTTTTTTTTTTCTTTTGAGATGGAGTCTCACTGTGTTGCCCAGGCTGGAGTTCAGTGGCATGATCTCGGGCTCACTGCAACTTCTGCCCCGCCGGTTAAAGTGATTCTCCTGCCTCGGCCCCCCGAGTAGCTGGGATTACAGGCATGCACCCCCATACCTGGCTAATTTTTGTATTTTTAGTAGAGACGAGTTTCACCATGTTGGTCAGGCTGGTCTTGAACTCCTGACCTCAAGTGATCTGCCCACCCCGGCCTCCCAAAGTACTGGTATTACAAGCATGAGCCACCGTGCCCAGCCTCAATCATGATGTTCTAAGAAATAGAAAACAGAACAGAAAACTAGGAGATGACACGTATAGCAACACAACAGTAGAGTTTTGCAGTATAGTTGTGGTAGAAACAAAGAAAGCTAAGGCAAAGTTAGAACTGTTAGGGATTAGGAAACTAAAGGGTGTATGAGGACCTGGTGACTCTCTTTTTGTTCTTCTTTTCTACTGTGACAATGAGGAAAATGGAAGAGCAAACGTATACTGGGATGGAGATGTTTGTGGCTTCCTAAGCTTGTTCATGGGTCAAATACCGGGTTTCTTTCTGTACCCTAGCTTCCCTGGACTACAACTCAGGCACCAACTAAGCATGTTAAGTGATAGGCTTTTGGAGTTGTTTGAAAATCACCTCAGCCAATGTGGTCCTCTGACTAGAAACCTCAGCATCACTTGAGAGCTTGCTAGAAATACAAGAAAAATACCTTAGGCCCCACCCTGGACCCACTGAATCAATATCTCTGGGATCCAACAATCTGTAGCTTAACACGCTTTTCCAGATGACTCTTCTTTATGCATGCTTAAACCAGATAAGCACTAGTCCAGACCATCAGTTATCTGCTTTGATGTTTCTGACGGTAGGAGAGATACCAGCTAGCACACTTGGGAAGTATCTCAATCTGTTGCCTGCCTAATGTGCATTAGCAGCTGTAGTGAACCTCTGTTACAGATGGGAGTAACAAAGGTGAACAAGAATCCTCAATTTGTTTTGATGTGGAAAAATTGAAAATGCTAGTCTCAAATCCCAACATTAAATTTACAAATTCTAAGACTCTATTGTTTCACTATTTCTCTAGACCAGAATTTTTCAACCTCAGCATTACTAACATTTTGGGCCAGATCATTATTGTCATAGGAGGGTGGTGAGCAGTTATATTCATTGCAGGATGTTTAGCAGAATTCCTGGCTTCTATCCATTAGATGGAAGTAGCGCATGCATGCGCGCGCACACACACACACACACACACACACACACACAAGCACACCAGTTGTGAAAACCAAAAATGCCTCAAGACACTGCCAAATATCCCCCATGTAGGTGATTGAGGAGAGGAGGGAAAATTGTCCCTGGTTAACAACTGCTGCTCTAAACTTAATTTATATTCATAAAATTGTCTGTTTCTGAAGCAAAAATTGATCTTTTAAATTTATTTTTAGATGGACACGTTTATTTCGACTTCTACGACTTATCATTCTGATAAGAGTTTTTCATCTGGCTCATCTAAAAAGACAACTTGGAAAGCTGATAAGAAGGCTGGTAAGTGGGCAAAACATGCTTACGATTCAGAAAAATATTTTGTGTTTTGGGACCCATTGGCAAGGGTTGATATCTATACTGTATAATGTTCTTTATTTTTATGTTGATTTATGTTTCACCAACTAATAATGGTTTTAAACTCTCAGGTTTCAGGAAACAAAAGGTGATACGAAAGTGATGGATTTGACCTAGACCTCACTTATATTACAGGTTTGTGACACTTAACTGTTGATTTACTTACATTAACTTCACTTTTTCTTGTAATTATATTTTTATTTTGTTTTTGCCTCATCTAAGCCACATTCATTCAAAGTATTCTTTATTCGTGAGGCTATATGCTATGCCATTGTGATAGTGTGACATATTTGTGGTTTAGCCCTGGCAAGGAAGATTTCCATGTCATCTCAATTCAGGACTACTCGGTTGCAGCACAAAAACTTGAATGGATTTTCAGCTGACTCCATTTGAGTTTCAGTTTATTAAGTTCTAGTAGTTATCCTGAATCCCAAGGATCCCAGAGAGACCGCTTCTCTTCCTAGAACCCCAGAGAATGAGGTCACAGCTTTGTAGATCTCAGGTGTTCTGAGTCAGAGGGCTACAAAGCACGTTGGGAGTTCCCACCATCACTGGTGCCCAGAACTCTTGGATTTTCTTTGGTATTTAAGATAAGAAATAAATTCCAAGAACAGGGGGAACTTCAGACTGAGGCCAACATAAGTACATGGCATATGGTTTGAACCAGTGGAGTGTTAAGAACACCATGCCAGCTTAATGGTCATTATGTTGGATAATTTAATATGTTATCTTGATTACCCTGAGTATTAGCTCTTTTCTGTCAACCTCAATCTTAAAAGGTATTTTTCTGTGAAAATGGAGTCTGATCATATAAAATTAACTTTTGTATGTTATTTTAAATCTATAATAATGTTTGTAATAGTGATGATTTTGACTTCCAGAACATATTGTCGCTATGTCGTTTCCATCTTCGGGAGGCCAGTCTTTCTATCGGAATCCAATTAAGGTAAGGGTGTTTATCTTAAAAATACTAATTTCTCAGTGAATGTAGACTGTGTAGTCATAAGTTTAATATTGACCCAGAAATGTCAATGTTCTTTCCAAAAGGTACTCTTTCAAGTAAAACAATCATAATGGATTGATACCAGTTACAATTGTACCAGTGGTTACAAACCACCCCCAAACTTACTGGCTTATAACAGCAACTATTTATTTGGCTCATGATACTATGGTTTGTGAATTTGAGATGGGCTTAACTGTTCAATTCTGTGCTCACAGAGAGGATTGCCTCTCTCAACTGGGTTCATTCATGCATCTGTGGGCAGCTACTGAGTCATCTGAGGACTGGCTAGTCTAAAATGACTTGGCTGTCCTCAGCTGACAGAGCCACTGCGTGCTCCATGCACCCCTCAAGGCCCATCCCATCTGGCATCCACTGCTGCCAACAGCTCCACCCCCTTGACCAGCAGAGCTGCCATATGCTGCATGCACTTCTAAGACCCTGAGGACTGGCCTGCCGGGTGCCCACCCTGCTGGTGGCGCCACCCCACCACTAGCAAAGCCACTGCACCTAGCATGCATACCTCTAGGGCCTTGGAACGAATCCGACTGATGGCTCCCACCCCAAGAAAAGCCATACCACTGTCTCCACAAACACTCACCATCTAGGCCACTGAGGCACTCAGAGACACCTCTAAATGCTGATTACAGCCAAAGAAGTCACATGAAGACTGTATTACCGCACCCACCTAGAACCAAAGTCAAATCGCCCTACTCCATAATGAACACTAGGAGACAACTATTGGAAAAAATATTTCTCTGTGAAAGCTCCATAACATTGGAAGAGGCACCTGTTCCACCAGATGTGCAAAAATCAATTCAGGGCCACAAGAAACATAAAAAGCAAGGAAACATTACATCCTCAAAGAAACACAATAATCCCCCATTAACAGACCCTAAATTTTAAGAGTATATCAAATGGCTAAGAAGGAATTTGAAATAAGGATCTTGAGGAAACTCTGTGAGATACAAGAGAATACAGATAGACAAATCAATGAAATTAGAAAAACAATTTATCATCTTATGAGAAATTCAACAAAGATATAGATGTCATTAAAAACCAAACAGAGATCTTGGAGCTGAAGAATTTAAGGAATAAAATAAAAAATAATCAAGAGACCAGATGCAGTAGGTCACTCCTGTTATCCCAGCACTTTGGGAGGCCAAGGCAGGTGGATCACTTGAGGCCAGGAGTTCAAGACAAGAGTGATTAACATGGCAAAATCCCATATCTAAAAAAACACAAAATTTAGTCAGGTGTGGTGGTGCATGCCTGCAATCCCAGCTACTTGGGAGGCTGAGGCACGAGAATAGCTTGAACCCAGGAGGTGGAGGTTGCAGTGAGCTGAGATCATGCCACTGCACTCCAACCTGGTTGACAGGGAGGGACCCTGTCTCAAAAAAAAACTATATATATATATATATATATATATATATATATATATATATATATATAATCAAGAGCTTTAAAAACAGACATGGGAGACATATGGGTGAAATCTCAGAAGCTCAAAGGTTCTCAAATAGAATCAACTCAAGATGGTCTTCTCTGAGGTGCATGATAGTCACACTTTCAAATGTCAAAAAGAGGGAATATTGGTCAGGTGCAGTGGCTCACACCTGTAATCCCAGGACTTTGGGAGGCTGAGGTGGGTGGATCACAAGGCCAGGAGTTCAAGACCAGCCTGGCCAACATGAAGAAACCCCATCTCTACTAATAATACAAAAAAAACTTAGCTAGGTGTGGTGGCGTGCACCTGTAGTTCTAGCTACTTGGGAGGCTGAATCATGAGATATGCTTAAACCCAGGAGGTGGAGGTTGCAGTGAGCTGAGATCACACCATTGCACTTCAACCTGGGTAACAGAGTGGGAGTGTCTGAAAAAAAAAAAAAAAGAAATATTAAAAACAGCAAGAAAAAAGCATCAAATCACATGTAAGGGAAACTCCTTTAGGTTAACAGTGGATTTTCCAGTGGAAACTTTACAGGTCAGTAGACAATGGGATGTTACAGTCAAAGTACTGAAAGGAAAAAAATACAAAAAAACTATAAACTAAGAATACTATACCCAGCAGAGCTATCCTCTAGAAATGAGGGAGAAATAAAGTATTTCCCAGACAAGCAAAACCTGAGGGAGTTCATCACCAGTAGACTGGCCTTACAAGGAATGCTTAAGGGGGATTCTACAAATGAAAGCAAGAGGATGGCTACCATCATGAAAAACACCAAACTATAAAACTCACTGGTAGAGCAGATACATAAGAAAGAGAGAGAAATCAAACTTTATCTCTACAGAGATCCACCAAACCACAAAGATTAGAAAAAAAAAAAAAAAACAGAGGAAGAAAAGCACAAAGGATATACAAAACAACCAAAAAAAAAAAAAAAAAGAATAAAATGACAGGATAAATCCTCATCTATTAATAGTAACCTTGAATGTAAACAGATCAAATTCCCAATTAAAAGATATAGAGTTGGTTGCCAAGATAAACAAACAAACAAAAAACCCAACTACATACTGCCTATAAGAAACTAACTTCACTTGTAAAGGTACACGCAGACTGAAAGTGAAGGGATAGAAAAAGATACTCCAGGCAAACAGAAACCAAGAGAGGGCAGGAGTAGCCATACTTATATCAGATAAAACAGACTTTAAGTCAAACTGCATGAGGAGACAAAGACAGATATTTTATAATTATGAAAGGATCAACTTAGCAATAGGATATAATAATTGCAGACATATATGTACCCAACACTAGAGCACTCAGATAAACAAGGCAAATATTAGATCTAAAGGGAAAGACAGACTCCAATCTAGTAACAGTTGGGGTCTTTAACACCCCGTAACACCCTACTCGTAGCACTGGACAGATCATCTAGTCAGAAAATCAACAAAGAAATGTCAGATTTCAGCTTACAGAGAGGAATAAGTTTTAGTATTCTATAGCACTGGAGGGTGACTACAGTTAACAATTTATTGTATATTTTTAAAAAGAAAGGCTCTTGAGTGTTCCCACCACAAAGAATGATAAATATTTGAGGTGATGGACATGCTGATTATCCTGATTTGATCATTGCACATTGTACACAGGTATTGAGATATCACCCTCTACCTTATAAATATGAACAACTATTATGTGTCAGTTCAAATTGTTTTAAAGAATAAAAAAACAGTTTTTTTTAAATCAAAGTAAAGAAAATAACATGACTTGGCTGAATGGTCCCATGTGGTCTCTCATTCTCTAGTAGGCTACTTCAGGCCTGTTCACATGATGGCAGTGGCAGGAGTACCACGAGCAGCAAGCAAAACAATGTAAATCCTTTTAAGGCCCAGGCTCAAAATTAGTATAATATTACTTCTACCCGATTTTATTGGACAATGCAAATTATACTACGATTCTGAATCTGAATCCAGATTCAGAGTAGAACATAGACTCCAACTCCTGTTGGAAGGAATTGTAAATAATCATGGCTGCTGTTTTTTTTTTTTTTTTTTTTTGAGACGGAATCTCACTCTGTTGCCCAGGCTGGAGTGCAGTGGCGCAATCTCGGCTCACTGCAAGCTCTGCTTCCTGGGTTCACGCCATTCTCCTGCCTCAGCCTCCCGAGTAGCTGGGACTACAGGCGCCCGCCACCACGCCTGACTAATTTTTTTTTTTTTTTTAATAGAGATGGGGTTTCACCATGTTAGCCAGGATGGTCTCGATCTCCTGACCTTGTGGACCACCCGCCTTGGCCTCCCAAAGTGCTAGGATTACAGGCTTGAGTCACCGTGCCTGGCCGAGATCCTCAATTATAGTGGCAGCATACTGCTTTAGGCTCCATGGATGACTAAACTAATTTCAAACATATAATGCTGTTTACTGTGAAATGCCAACTGAAAGTCATTGTTTAATTTTATGTAATTTACAATACTTACTATACCTCAATAAAACTATAATTATTAAGGGCTGGCATCGGTTGCTGAGAGGTGGAAGGAGTACCTCTCTGCAGCGTGTTAGCTCAGGTTCAAACAGGACAGGGCCTCAAGTTCAGCAGCTTTTCAGAAAATGGCCTGGATCCCCAGCCTGAATCATCATCCCATGGCTGGAGAATGTGGACAGGTTATTTAATTAAGAAACTAATGATGAGGAGGAGCCAAGATGGCCGAATAGGAACAGCTCCGGTCTACAGCTCCCAGCGTGAGCGACGCAGAAGACGGGTGATTTCTGCATTTCCATCTGAGGTACCGGGTTCATCTCACTAGGGAGTGCCAGACAGTGGGCGCAGGCCAGTGTGTGCGCGCACCGTGCGCGAGCCGAAGCAGGGCGAGGCATTGCCTCACCTGGGAAGCGCAAGGGTCAGGGAGTTCCCTTTCCGAGTCAAAGAAAGGGGTGACGGACGCACCTGGAAAATCGGGTCACTCCCACCCGAATATTGCGCTTTTCAGACCGGCTTAAACAACGGCGCACCAGGAGACTATATCCCACACCGGGCTCAGAGGGTCCTACGCCCACGGAATCTCGCTGATTGCTAGCACAGCAGTCTGAGATCAAACTGCAAGGCGGCAACGAGGCTGGGGGAGGGGCGCCCGCCATTGCCCAGGCTTGCTTAGGTAAACAAAGCAACAGGGAAGCTCGAACTGGGTGGAGCCCACCACAGCTCAAGGAGGCCTGCCTGCCTCTGTAGGCTCCACCTCTGGGGGCAGGGCACAGACAAACAAAAAGACAGCAGTAACCTCTGCAGACTTAAGTGTCCCTGTCTGACAGCTTTGAAGAGAGCAGTGGTTCTCCCAGCACGCAGCTGGAGATTTGAGAACGGGCAGACTGCCTCCTCAATTGGGTCCCTGACCCCCGAGCAGCCTAACTGGGAGGCACCCCCCAGCAGGGGCACACTGACACCTCACACGGCAGGGTATTCCAACAGACCTGCAGCTAAGGGTCCTGTCTGTTAGAAGGAAAACTAACAACCAGAAAGGACATCTACACCGAAAACCCATCTGTACATCACCATCATCAAAGACCAAAAGTAGATAAAACCACAAAGATGGGGAAAAAACAGAACAGAAAAACTGGAAACTCTAAAACGCAGAGCGCCTCTCCTCCTCCAAAGGAATGCAGTTCATCACCAGCAATGGAACAAAGCTGGATGGAGAATGATTTTGACGAGCTGAGAGAAGAAGGCTTCAGACGATCAAATTACTCTGAGCTACGGGAGGACATTCAAACCAAAGGCAAAGAAGTTGAAAACTTTGAAAAAAATTTAGAAGAATGTATAACTAGAATAACCAATACAGAGAAGTGCTTAAAGGAGCTGATGGAGCTAAAAACCAAGGCTCGAGAACTACGTGAAGAATGCAGAAGCCTCAGGAGCCGATGCGATCAACTGGAAGAAAGGGTATCAGCAATGGAAGATGAAATGAATGAAATGAAGTGAGAAGGGAAGTTTAGAGAAAAAAGAATAAAAAGAAATGAGCAAAGCCTCCAAGAAATATGGGACTATGTGAAAAGACCAAATCTACGTCTGATTGGTGTACCTGAAAGTGATGTGGAGAATGGAACCAAGTTGGAAAACACTCTGCAGGATATTATCCAGGAGAACTTCCCCAATCTAGCAAGGCAGGCCAACGTTCAGATTCAGGAAATACAGAGAACGCCACAAAGATACTCCTCGAGAAGAGCAACTCCAAGACACATAATTGTCAGATTCACCAAAGTTGAAATGAAGGAAAAAATGTTAAGGGCAGCCAGAGAGAAAGGTCGGGTTACCCTCAAAGGAAAGCCCATCAGACTAACAGCGGATCTCTCGGCAGAAACCCTACAAGCCAGAAGAGAGTGGGGGCCAATATTCAACATTCTTAAAGAAAAGAATTTTCAACCCAGAATTTCATATCCAGCCAAACTAAGCTTCATAAGTGAAGGAGAAATAAAATACTTTATAGACAAGCAAATGCTGAGAGATTTTGTCAACACCAGGCCTGCCCTAAAAGAGCTCCTGAAGGAAGCGCTAAACATGGAAAGGAACAACCGGTACCAGCCGCTGCAAAATCATGCCAAAATGTAAAGACCATCGAGACTAGGAAGAAACTGCATCAACTAATGAGCAAAATCACCAGCTAACATCATAATGACAGGATCAAATTCACACATAACAATATTAACTTTAAATATAAATGGACTAAATTCTGCAATTAAAAGACACAGACTGGCAAGTTGGATAAAGAGTCAAGACACATCAGTGTGCTGTATTCAGGAAACCCATCTCACGTGCAGAGACACACATAAGCTCAAAATAAAAGGATGGAGAAAGATCTACCAAGCCAATGGAAAACAAAAAAAGGCAGGGGTTGCAATCCTAGTCTCTGATAAAACAGACTTTAAACCAACAAAGATCAAAAGAGACAAATAAGGCCATTACATAATGGTAAAGGGATCAATTCAACAAGAAGAGCTAACTATCCTAAATATTTATGCACCCAATACAGGAGCACCCAGATTCATAAAGCAAGTCCTGAGTGACCTACAAAGAGACTTAGACTCCCACACATTAATAATGGGAGACTTTAACACCCCACTGTCAACATTAGACAGATCAACGAGACAGAAAGTCAACAAGAATACCCAGGAATTGAACCCAGCTCTGCACCAAGCGGACCTAATAGACATCTACAGAACTCTCCACCCCAAATCAACAGAATATACATTTTTTTCAGCACCACACCACACCTATTCCAAAATTGACCACATACTTGGAAGTAAAGCTCTCCTCAGCAAATGTAAAAGAACAGAAATTATAACAAACTATCTCTCAGACCACAGTGCAATCAAACTAGAACTCAGGATTAAGAATCTCACTCAAAGCCGCTCAACTACATGGAAACTGAACAACCTGCTCCTGAATGACTACTGGGTACATAACGAAATGAAGGCAGAAATAAAGATGTTCTTTGAAACCAACGAGAACAAAGACACCACATACCAGAATCTCTGGGACGCATTCAAAGCAGTGTGTAGAGGGAAATTTATAGCACTAAATGCCTACAAGAGAAAGCAGGAAAGATCCAAAATTGACACCCTAACATCACAATTAAAAGAACTAGAAAAGCAAGAGCAAACACATTCAAAAGCTAGCAGAAGGCAAGAAATAACTAAAATCAGAGCAGAACTGAAGGAAATAGAGACACAAAAAACCCTTCAAAAAATCAATGAATCCAGGAGCTGGTTTTTTGAAAAGATCAACAAAATTGATAGACCGCTAGCAAGACTAATAAAGAAAAAAAGAGAGAAGAATCAAATAGACACAATAAAAAATGATAAAGGGGATATCACCACCGATCCCACAGAAATACAAACTACCATCAGAGAATACTACAAACACCTCTACGCAAATAAATTAGAAAATCTAGAAGACATGGATACATTCCTCGACACATACACTCTCCCAAGACTAAACCAGGAAGAAGTTGAATCTCTGAATAGACCAATAACAGGCTCTGAAATTGTGGCAATAATCAATAGTTTACCAACCAAAAAGAGTCCAGGACCAGATGGATTCACAGCCGAATTCTGCCAGAGGTACAAGGAGGAACTGGTACCATTCCTTCTGAAACTATTCCAATCAATAGAAAAAGAGGGAATCCTCCCTAACTCATTTTATGAGGCCAGCATCATTCTGATACCAAAGCCGGGCAGAGACACAACCAAAAAAGAGAATTTTAGACCAATATCCTTGATGAACATTGATGCAAAAATCCTCAATAAAATACTGGCAAACCGAATCCAGCAGCACATCAAAAAGCTTATCCACCATGATCAAGTGGGCTTCATCCCTGGGATGCAAGGCTGGTTCAATATACGCAAATCAATAAATGTAATCCAGCATATAAACAGAGCCAAAGACAAAAACCACATGATTATCTCAATAGATGCAGAAAAAGCCTTTGACAAAATTCAACAACCCTTCATGCTAAAAACTCTCAATAAATTAGGTATTGATGGGACGTATTTCAAAATAATAAGAGCTATCTATGACAAACCCACAGCCAATATCATACTGAATGGGCAAAAACTGGAAGCATTCCCTTTGAAAACTGGCACAAGACAGGGATGCCCTCTCTCACCACTCCTATTCAACATAGTGTTGGAAGTTCTGGCCAGGGCAATCAGGCAGGAGAAGGAAATAAAGGGTATTCAATTAGGAAAAGAGGAAGTCAAATTGTCCCTGTTTGCAGACGACATGATTGTTTATCTAGAAAACCCCACCGTCTCAGCCCAAAATCTCCTTAAGCTGATAAGCAACTTCAGCAAAGTCTCAGGATACAAAATCAATGTACAAAAATCACAAGCATTCTTATACACCAACAACAGACAGAGAGCCAAATCATGAGTGAACTCCCATTCACATTTGCTTCAAAGAGAATAAAATACCTAGGAATCCAACTTACAAGGGATGTGAAGGACCTCTTCAAGGAGAACTACAAACCACTGCTCAAGGAAATAAAAGAGGACACAAACAAATGGAAGAACATTCCATGCTCATGGGTAGGAAGAATCAATATCGTGAAAATGGCCATACTGCCCAAGGTAATTTACAGATTCAATGCCATCCCCATCAAGCTACCAATGACTTTCTTCACAGAATTGGAAAAAACTACTTTAAAGTTCATATGGAACCAAAAAAGAGCACGCATCGCCAAGTCAATCCTAAGCCAAAAGAACAAAGCTGGAGGCATCACACTACCTGACTTCAAACTATACTACAAGGCTACAGTAACCAAAACAGCATGGTACTGGTACCAAAACAGAGATATAGATCAATGGAACAGAACAGAGCCCTCAGAAATAATGCCGCATATCTACAACTATCTGATCTTTGACAAACTTGAGAAAAACAAGCAATGGGGAAAGGATTCCCTATTTAATAAATGGTGCTGGGAAAACTGGCTAGCCATATGTAGAAAGCTGAAACTGTATCCCTTCCTTACACCTTATACAAAAATCAATTCAAGGTGGATTAAAGATTTAAACGTTAGACCTAAAACCATTAAAACCCTAGAAGAAAACCTAGGCATTACCATTCAGGACATAGGCATGGGCAAGGACTTCATGTCCAAAACACCAAAAGCAATGGCAACAAAAGCCAAAATTGACAAATGGGATCTAATTAAACTAAAGAGCTTCTGCACAGCAAAAGAAACTACCATCAGAGTGAACAGGCAACCTACAACATGGGAGAAAATATTCGCAACCTACTCATCTGACAAAGGGCTAATATCCAGAATCTACAATGAACTCAAACAAATTTACAAGAAAAAAACAAACAACCCCATCAAAAAGTGGGCGAAGGACATGAACAGACATTTCTCAAAAGAAGACATTTATGCAGCCAAAAAACACATGAAAAAAT
Organism: Homo sapiens; assembly: GCF_000001405.40. Taxonomy (NCBI): domain Eukaryota; kingdom Metazoa; phylum Chordata; class Mammalia; order Primates; family Hominidae; genus Homo; species Homo sapiens. The sequence continues at coordinate 52,270,403 of NC_000013.11, read as the reverse complement.
GCTCATCATCACTGGCCATCAGAGAAATGCAAATCAAAACCACTATGAGATATCATCTCACACCAGTTAGAATGGCAATCATTAAAAAGTCAGGAAACAACAGGTGCTGGAGAGGATGTGGAGAAATAGGAACACTTTTACACTGTTGGTGGGACTGTAAACTAGTTCAACCATTGTGGAAGTCAGTGTGGCGATTCCTCAGGGATCTACAACTAGAAATACCATTTGACCCAGCCATCCCATTACTGGGTATATACCCAAATGACTATAAATCATGCTGCTATAAAGACACATGCACACGTATGTTTATTGTGGCATTATTCACAATAGCAAAGACTTGGAACCAACCCAAATGTCCAACAATGATAGACTGGATTAAGAAAATGTGGCACATATACACCATGGAATACTATGCAGCCATAAAAAATGATGAGTTCATGTCCTTTGTAGGGACATGGATGAAATTGGAAACCATCATTCTCAGTAAACTATCGCAAGAACAAAAAACCAAACACCGCATATTCTCACTCATAGGTGGGAATTGAACAATGAGATCACAAGGACACAGGAAGGGGAATATCACACTCTGGGGACTGTGGTGGGGTCGGGGGAGGGGGGAGGGATAGCAGTGGGAGATATACCTAATGATAGATGACACGTTGGTGGGTGCAGCGCACCAGCATGGCACATGTATACATATGTAACTAACCTGCACAATGTGCACATGTACCCTAAAACTTAAAGTATAAAAAAAAAAAAAAAAAAAAACTAACGATAAACCAAGGGCTATGGGAATTAAGAACTATGGCTAAAAAAGAAATGTTTAGAGTGATGCAAAATGGCCGATTAAAAGCAGCTGCACTCCCCAGCACTCAAGGAGAGGAATGAAAAGGGGCAGGTGAATTCAGCACCTTCAACTGAGATACCCAGGTTCTCCCATTGGGACTGACTGGAAGAACAGCTCGCCCCATGGAGAATGAAGAAAAGTGGAGAGAGGGTGTGATGGCCCAGCCGAGAGCAGCGTGGAGCCAAAGGAACCCCCACTCCCAGCCAAGGGAAGCAGTGAGTGATTGTCCAATCGTGCTCAGGAAACAGTGCTTCTCCTATTGATCTTTGCAACCCATGGATCAGGGGATCCCCTTGTAAGCCCATGCCACCAGGGCCTTGTGTCTGATACACAGAGCTGTGGAGTCTCAGCAGATCAGCTGCTCAGGCACACACAGAAACCCAGACGTTTTACGTACTCTGGCCCCGAGAACCTCAGCAAGGTGGGAAATCTGTCCATACATATTTTGGAAAGGGGCTGAATCCAGGGAGCCAAGCAGTGTCATTCTGTGGGCTCCATTTCCACGGTACCTCACAAGTTAAGACCCATTGGCTTGGAATCCTAGCCAACCAAGAGCAACAGGTTGGATTCCACCTCAGATGGGTCTGAGTTCCCCGGGAGGTGGAGAGGGGCAGCCAGCATCACTGTAGTTTGTAGACTCAGCCACTCCTGCCTGCCAGCTATGGAAAATACAGGTGGTCAGGAGGAGGAAGTGTTCCCTGCAACGCAGCACACCTGGTCTACCAAAAAGCAGCGAGACTGCTTCTTTGGATGGGTCCCTGATCCCATGTCTCCTGACTGGGTAAGAACTCCCCCATGGGGGTCTCCAGCCACTTCCTACAGGTGTATGTAGACTTGCTACAGGTCAGTATCCCCCTGGGATGGAGCTTCCAAAGGAAGGAGCTGGCTGCCATCTTTGCTATTTCACAGCCTTCATTGGTAATACCTCCAGGTAGACGGGAGAAAGTCAGGCGACTGGGGTCTTGAATGGACCACCAGCAAATTGCAGAAGCACTACAGTAGAGTGGCCTGTTAAAGGAAAAACAAACACAGAGAAAACAACAACTGCTCAAAGAAATCAGAGAAGACACACACAAAAAATGGAAAAACATCCCGTGCTCATGGATGGGAAGAATCAATATCATGAAAATGGCCATATTGCCCAAAGCAATTTATGGATGCAATGCTATTCCCATTAAACTGCTATTGAAATTCTTCACAGAATTAAAAAAAAACTATCTTAAAATTCATATAGAACAATAAAAGAGCCCAAATACCCAAGACAATCCCAAGCAAAAAGAACAAAGCAGGAGGCATCCCGCTACCCGACTTCAAACTATACTATACTACAGGGCTACAGTAACCAAAACAGCATGGCACTAGTACAAGAACAGATGTATAGACCAATGGAACAGAATAGAAAACTCAGAAATAAGACCTCACACCAACAACCATTTGATCTTTAACAAACTTGACAAAAACAAGCAATGGGAAAAGGACTCCCTATTTAATAAATGGTGCTGGAGTGCTGGCTAGCCATATATAGAAAATTGAAACTGGACTTCTTCCTTACACCATATCCAAAAATTAACTCTAGATGGATTAAAAACTTAAATGTAAATCCCCAAAGTATAAAAACTCTAGAAGAAAATCTAGGCCATACCATTCAGAAAATAGGCATGGGCAAAGATTTCATGATCGAAATGCTAAAAGCAATTGCAACAAATGCAAAAATTGACAAATGGGATGTAATTAAACTAAAGAGCTACAGAATGGGAGAAAATTTGTACAATCTATCCGCCCGACAAAGGTCTGATATTCAGATTCTACGAGGAACTTAATGAAATTTACAAGAAAAAAACACACAACCCTGTTAAAAAGTGGGCAAAGGACATGAACAGACACTTCTCAAAAGAAGACATACATGCAGTCAACAAAAATACGAAAAAAAAAAGCTCAACATCACCGACCACTAAAGAAATGCAAACAAAACCACAATGAGATACCACCTCACGCCAGTCAGAATGGCTATTATTAAAAAGTCCAAAAATAACATGCTGGCAAGGTTGCAGAGAAAAAGGAATGCTTTTTACACGGTTAGTGGGTGTGTAAATTAGTTCAACCATGTAGAAGAGGGTGTGGCAATTCCTCAAAGACGTAGAGGCAGAAATAGCATTTGACCCAGCAATCCCATTACCAAGTATAGACCCAAAGGAATATAAATCACTGTCTTACAAAGATACATGCACGTGCATGTTCACTGCAGCAGTATTCACAATAGCAAAGACATGCAATCAACTTAAATGCCCATCAATGATAGATCAGATAAAGAAAACGTGGTACATAAACACCATGGAATACTGTGCAGCCATAAAAATGAAGAAGATAACATCCTTTGCAGAGACATGGATGGAACTGGAAGCTGTTATCCTCAGCAAACTAACACAGGAGCTGAAAACCAAACACTGCATGTTCTCACTCATAAATGGGAGCTGAATAATGAGAACACATGGACACATGGTGGGGAACAGTGCACACTGGGGCCTGTCAGGAAGGAGGGGTTGGGAGAGGGAGAGCCTCAGGAAGAATAGCTAATGGATGCTGGGCTTAATACATAGGGATGAGATGTCTGTGTAGCAAACCACCATGGCACAGGTTTACCTATGTAACAAACCTGCATATCCTGCACATGTACCCCTGAACCTAAAATAAATAATCACATTTTATTGAGGTATAACATAGATGGTAAGTTGCACTAATCAAGTGTATATCTTGATGATATTACACATAAGTATATATGCATGTAACCAACACCTCTGTCAATGTATTGGTGTATGACTGATCTCCGATTAATTGTTGTAAAGATATAAAATATCAAGATTAATGTTTTTCATATAGCTATCAATGCTTCCTGTACCACTTACTGTGAAGAGCATAACTTCCCCAATGAATTGTAGAGGTGTGTTTATTGCAAATCAAGTGAACATATATGTATAGGTTTGTTTCTCAGCTTTTTCTCCTTTTATTATGACTTAATGACTTGTCTATACTTAAGTCCAGACCACAGTTTTAAATATTATGGCTTTATAGTGAGTTTTGAAAACTTGTTTATAAGTCCCCCAACTTTGTACTTCTTTGTTTAAAAACTATCTTGGCTCTTCTAGATTTTTTGAATTTCCATATACATTTTAGAATCTTCTTGGCAATTTACACACACACACACACACACACACACACACACACACACAACCTGCTAGTATTTTGACTTGGGCATTCACTACATTGCTTAATTTAGGGAGAACTGACATGTAAAAATATTGAGATTTCCAACTCAAGAACATAATATATCTCTCTACTTATGTCTTCTTTGACTTCTTTTTGCAATGTTTGCAGTGTACAGGTTTTACACATCTTTTTTTTTTTTTTTGAGATGGAGTCTTGTTCTGTCGCCCAGGCTTTAGTGCAGTGGCGCAATCTCCGCTCACTGCAAGCTCTGCCTCCTGAGTTTGTGCCATTCTCTTGCCTCAACCTCCAGAGTAGCTGGGACTACAGGCACCTGCCACCACGCCCAGCTAATTTTTTTGTATTTTTAGTAGAGACGGGGTTTCATGTGTTAGCCAGGATGGTCTCGATCTCCTGACCTCATGATCCGCCCACCTCAGCCTCCCAAAGTGCTGGGATTACAGGCGTGAGCCACCACGCCCACCCTACACATCTTTTGTTAGTTTTATTTCTAGGCATTCGATAAGTTTTTATGCTGTTTTAAGTAATATTTGAATATCTTCATTTTCTGATTATTTGCTATTGGTATATAGGAACATAATTAATTTTTGTATATTGACTTTAGTTTTGTTTTTAAATTTTAAGTTCTGGGAGACATGTGCTGAACGTGTAGGTTTGTTACATAGGTATACGTGTGCCATGGTGGTTTGCAGCAGCTGTCAGCCCATCATCTAGGTTTTAAGTTCTGCATGCATTAGGTATTTGTCCTAATGCTCTCTTTCCCCTTTCCCCCAACCCCCGACAGGCCTCTTTCCCCTCCCTGTGTCCATTCTCATTATTCAGCTCCCACTTATGAGTGAGAACATGCGGTATTTGGTTTTCTGTTCCTGTGTTAGTTTGCTGAGGATGATGGTTTCAGCTTCATCCATGTCCCTGCAAAGGGCATGAACTCATTCCTTTTTATGGCTGCACAGTATTCCATGGTGTATGTATGTGCTACATTTTCTTTATCCAGTCTATCATTGATGGGCATTTGGGTTGGTTCCAAGTCTTTGCTATTGTAAATAGTGCTGCAATGAACATATGTGTGCATGTGTCTTAATAGTAGAATGATTTATAATCCTTTGGGTATATACCCAGTAATGGGATGGCTGGGTCAAATGGTATTTCTGGTTCTAGATCCTTGAGGAATCGCCACACTGTCTTCCACAATGGTTAAACTAATTTACACTCCTGCCAGCGTGTAAAAGTGTTGCTATTTCTCCACATCCTCTCCAGCATCTGTTGTTTCCAGACTTTTTAATAATCGCCATTCTAACTGACATGAAATGGTATCTCACTGTGGTTTTGATTTGCATTTCTCTAATGACCAGTAATGATGAGCTTTTTTTTGTATGTTTGTTGGCTGCATAAATGTCTTCTTTTGAGAAGTGTCTGTTCATGTCCTTCACCCACTTTTTGATGGGGTTGTTTTCTTCTTGTAATTTGTTTCAGTTATTTGTAGATTTTGGATATTAGCCCTTTGTCAGATGGGTAGATTGCAAAAATTTTCTCCCATTCTGTAGGTTGCCTGTTCACTCTGATGATAGTTTCTTTTGCTGGGCAGAAGCTCTTTAGTTGAATTAGATTCCATTTGTCAATTTTGGCTGTCGTTGCAATTGCTTTTGGTGTTTTAGTCATGAAGTCTTTGCCCATGCCTATGTCCTTCATGGTATTGCCTACATTTTCTTCTAGGGTTTTTATAGTTTTAGGTTTTATGTTTACATCTTTAATCCATCTTGAGTTAATTTTTGTATAAGGTGTAAGGAAGCGGTCCAGTTTCTGTTTTCTGCATATGGCTAGCCAGTTTCCCCAGCACCATTGATTAAATAGGGAATCCTTTCCCCATTGCTTGTTTTTGTCAGGTTTGTCGAAGATCAGATGGTTGTAGATGTGTAGTGTTATTTCTGAGGTCTCTGTTCTGTTCCATTGGTCTATATATCTGTTTTGGCACTAGTACCACACTGTTTTGGTTACTGTAGCCTTGTAGTATAGTTTGAAGTCAGGTAGTGTGATGCCTCCAGCTTTGTTCTTTTTGTTTAGGATTGTCTTGGCTATACGAGCTCTTTTTGGTTCCATATGAAATTTAAAGTAGTTTTTTTTAGTTCTGTGACAAAAGTCAATGGTAGCTTGATGGGAATAGCATTGAATCTATGAATTACTTTGGGCAGTATAGCCATTTTCACAATATTGATTCTTCCTATCCATGAGCATGGAATGTTTTAGTATTTGTTTGTTTGTTTTAGACAGGGCCTTGCTCTGTCACCGCAGGCTGGAGTGCAGTGGCACCTGGGCTCATGCAATTCACCCACCTCTGTCTCCCGTGTAGCTGGGACTACAAGCAGGCACCACCACACTTGGCTAATTTTTTTTAACTTAATTTTTGTAGACAGGGAGTCTCACTGGTCTCACTGGCCCAGGCTGGTCTCAAACTCCTGGGTTCAAGCAGTCTTCCCACCTGAGCCTCCCAAAGTGCTGGTATTACAGGTGTGAGCCACCACACTTGGCCTTGTATATTAGCTTTATATCTAGCATCCTTCATAAATTCACACATTCATTTTAATAATTAATGTGTAGATTCCCTGGGATTTTATGTATACAATCATAAAGTTACTACTTTCTTCCCAGTTTTTGTACTTTTTTCTTTCCTTATTGAATTATCTAGGACTTTCACTGTAATATTGAATAGAAATGGTAAGAGGAGGCAGCCTTGCCTTATTCCCAAACTCAGGTGGAAGGAATTTTATACTTCACTATTTGAAACGATGTTTGCTATAGGCTTCTGTAGTCATTCTTTACCAGATTCAGACAATCCATTTTATTTCTAGTTTGCTAAAAGTTTTCAATCATGAATTGGTGTTGAGTAGACTGGATATTTTTTCTGCATCTATCAAGGTAATCAAAATGTTTTTGTGTTTTTCCATTAATGAGATTTTCAAATGTTAAGCCAACCTTTTTTATTTTTGGAATAAACTCCCTTTGGTCTTAATGTATTATCGTTTTATATATCACTAGATTCTGTTTGCTAATATTTTATTTAGAACTTTTCATCTATGTGCATGAGTGATATGAAATTTTCTTTCCTTGAAATGTCTTTATCTGTTGGTCTACATTTACCTTAGCTTTGGTGTCTTGGATAACTCCTATCTGCTAAACTCATCTTCATCCTCCATCAGGATGAATATGATGGATATGTTTCAGGGTAATGGCAAAAGGAAAGAGCTAGAGTGGAATCTTACAAGTGCTTTTGCAAGGCTCTCCTTTGTGACATCCCATTGACCAAATCAACTCACATAATAGAGCCCAAATTTAGAGTGAAAGGGCACTACAAGGTGAAATGTGAGGGCCGGGATTCAGGAAAAGATGAAGAATTGGGACCACTGATGGAATCTTTCTACCTTATTCTCAGGCAGGGAAGCATTTTTATACATGCAGATAGTTTACAAGAAATAACTAATATATAGTCAGAAACTCAAGGCTTCAGCAGTTGTATAAAAATGCATTTGTAAATACCCAAAGACCTTGAAGAGAAGGATCTGACCCACATCTCACCCAGGTTATACTACTCCCAGCTAAGACATGATTCGACCACACCCTTGGCCAATTTTGAAAATTGTTTCAAACTATTTATTTGAGGTGGAATTACTTTTCTTCTCCCATAATGGGAACAGTCATGGAGCAATGTGACCAGGGTCCATTGGATGGGTCATACCACTTGAGGGCAGCGATCCCCAAATTCCCAATTCCATCTTTATGGGTAAAGCATCTCTTGATTGCTAATATTGTTTTTTAAAGCTGGTTGAGCTAATAACTGTGAGTTAATTATGGCATGTCTAAACTGAGCCAATTTTCTTTTAGTAGTTTTGGTGGTGCCTAATATCAGTTTGGGAAGACTTAATATTAGCTGGGGTGTTTTTAACAGCCAAAAACCTCACTTAGCATATAAATCAAAACAAAGACATTACTATTTCCTTGTGGGGTGATGGCTAGACTATTGATTTCTATCCGTTATTAAACTGTTATCTCCTTAGGGCATTGACAAAAGTACTAATAAGTCACTGATTTCTTTACCATTTTTAATCAGAGTATCCAGAAAGGAGGTAATAAATCATGTGTTTTAATAAATGCCACAAATCATGAGCCACCCAAAAAGTAAATCTACTGTCCATATTAATATTTAGTCTTTCATCTTTGCCAGAGCGCAGCCCCAAATCTAAGCTACTAGTTCAGCTACCTGGACAGGCCGAGAATTAGGCCATGGAGCACTTCAGTCATTGCATGTTCAATGACAACAGCATATTCTGCACTTGGAGTGCCTTTGTCATTTTTGAGAACCATCCACGATGTATATTAAATCAAGGTTGACTCAAAGGTACATGATTCAAATCCGGGTATACTTAACTTCTGAGAGGATGCTAAACAGTCATGTGATTCCTCTTTATTCTTATAAGAGAATAAATTTGCAGGGTTACATTTTGAACAACACTGAATATGCAAAGCAGACCTTACAATTTCCTAAGTGGTAAATTTACTAGTGGAGAAATGTCAGATGCTGCCTTGAAGTAGCAAAAACTTTAGAGATGTTGGACCCATAGAGTTAGTGGACAAACAAGCACTGTGGTGGAAGCATCAAGAAGTTTGGCCACTGCTACCACCTCATGCAGGTACAGAGGGTGTACCTTTGCTTCCAAATGAAGGAATGTACTAAGATAGGCAGAGAGAAGAGTTGAGCAGATTTAGGAAAACCGAAGGTGGAGGTTGTTGCAAGAAGGCTTTCACAGGAAGGGGAATATCACACTCTGGGGACTGTGGTGGGGTGGGGGGAGGGGGGAGGGATAGCATTGGGAGATATACCTAATGCTAGATGACGAGTTAGTGGGTGCAGCGCACCAGCATGGCACATGTATACATATGTAACTAACCTGCACAATGTGCACATGTACCCTAAAACTTAAAGTATAAAAAAAAAAAAAAAAAAAGAAATATGGAAAATAAGAAAAAAAAAAAAGAAGGCTTTCACAGAGTAGCATTTTCTACTTTTGCATCACAAGGAAGTTGCATCAGAAAGTATAAACTTAGTAAGCGCATGCAAAGGCTGAGCTATGAGAAAAATCAGATATACAATTACCTACAGTCCTAAAATCTTCTTAGCCATCTTTTGATTTCTGTTCTTGGTAGAATTGAATGCTCTTTATTCTGGTTGAAAACAGAAACTGTCCATCTGGTGACAGCTTGTGACCAGAAAAATGTAGATTCTTGGCAGAGTTCACCTTTTCTCTAGGTTCTTTATGTCCCTTTTCACCTACTTTGAATAAGAGGTATTTGGATCCTTTAGTAAACTACTTAGATCAGGAAACACAGCAGTAAATCATCAATATATTGAGTCTATATATATATATATATATATATATATATATATATATAATTATAAAAAGTATATATACACATATAATTATAAAAAGTATATATAAACATATAATTATAAAAAGTATATACACACACATATATATACATATACATATATGTATATATATATAATTTTTTAGACATTGAGAGAACTAGGAAGGGGATTCAGAGAATCCCTAAAGTTTAACCCTCCAGTATATTTGTCTTCCCAGGAAAAAGCAAATATTGCCTGTTTTTCTTTTCTTTTTTTTTTTTTTTTGAGTTGGAGTCTTGCTGTGTCACCCAGGCTAGAGTGCGGTGACGCAATCTCGGCTCACTGCAACCTCCACCTCCGGGCTTCAAGCGATACTCCCGCCTCAGCCTCCCAAGTAGCTGGGATTACAGGCACCCACCACCATGCCTGGCTAATTTTTGTATTTTTAGTAGAGACGGGGTTTCACCATCTTGCCCAGGCTGGTCTTGAACTCCTGACCTCGTGATCCACCTGCCTCGGCCTCCCAAAGTGCTGGGATTACAGACATGAGCCACCACGCCCGGCCAACTGTTTTCCTATATATGTACGCTAAAGAAGCCTGCACATAAATTACTGCAGTGAGATATTTACTGGTTGAGAGAATGAAGAACAGGACAGTATTCTAATGGTTGCATGATATTTCATTAGTGCTATGATGAACCTCTAATGTTGGACATGTAAGTGTCACTATTATCAATAATACAACAACAAATATCTTTGGGCGTAAGGCTTTTTCTGTACAGATTGTTAGGAGTGAAATTACCTAGTTGAAGAGAATGAATATTTTTAGGGTTCTTAATATATATTGCCAAATCCAAGAGCAATTGTATTACTGTATCAAAATAAATCAAAGTTTTTAATGTCATGCCTTATTTTGCCAGCATTGGATTTTCTCATTAAAAGGAAAAGGGCTAATTTCATGGGCGCAAATGTCATGTCACTGTTGTTTTGACTTCTTTATTGGCGACACTGAATATTATGTAGGTTGTTAATCAGTTTGATTTTCTCTTTTATGGATTGTTTATGTCCTTGGCCCATTTATCTATAAGATGAGGGAGTAATATTTAAGTTGTTGTTAATGAATTATTAATTTATTATCCTAGGCATAGTCCCCAACAGTGCATTTTTCTGAAAAAATATTTTCCCCTGTTGTTCATTATAGCATTTTTCAACAGAAATTTCAGAATTTTATGAAGTTAAACCTAAGGCTATAGATCTTCCATTGATTCAACACTTTTAGTTCTTCCTCATTCAAAGAATTAAAATTCACTTAAATTTCTCATAGATGTTTGTAGTTTTTAATATGTGTTTTCTAAATGTATATGGATTTTAGGTAAGAAATTTCATGAATTCTAAAGTATATGAAATGTTTTATCCTTCCTCTCTGCCACTATGCAGATTCGGAGTGTTCATCTTTTTGACGTATTATTTCCTCCTAACATAGATAACCAATTTAATAAATGGATGACTTTGATACCTTAATGTTAGTGTTCTCCATATTAAGCCAGTAAACATTGTTCTGACAGTACCATACTAATCAGTTTTTGAAATTGTGTCATTTTTGTTGTTGCACAGAGATATATACATATGTGTGTATGTTTCAGAAAGAGATATTTCCTGAAAAAATTGTTGGATTTGTATAGTGATATTAATTATATTTCAGATAATTACTATTTTTCATTGAAAAGGTATATATATATACACACACACACACACACTTACCGGTATATATATATCTTCATTAAAAAATTAAGAGAACAGGTGAGCCAAAAAAGTTTCCATATTGTTACGAGTTATTTATAAATTGATATAATATGTTTATCTTTTTCTGTCATGCATACACACACAATCATAGTGTATACTTTTTGCATTTATTTGTTTACATAGTGCTTAGGTAGAATGTAATATTCAAATCACTATCTAAAAGACATACCTAATCAGAATTAAATTTAAATAAGAAGCAATATGAATTAGATTTAAATAAGAACCACATTAACTGTGAATTATGATTTGGAACAAATTTACTTAAAGTTAGTTAACCATCTAATTTACTTTTCTGATAGCTTTAAACAGTGTGTATTTACAATAGAGGCTAATCTGAGTAGTCAAACACGCTTTGTGGACTATTTGAAAAACCACAGTGGATTAGAACTTGAAATTGGCATACGCTTGTATTCCCTGAGTCTCCCCTAGAAGATGCTAGTGAGAGACAAAGTAATAGAAAGTAATAACCATTTTAGGTTCCTCGTGGAAATGGCTTATGTTGGTGCCATGTGACTATGGAAAATATGTGTTTCTCTTTTTTAGGAAGTCATACAGTTTCTAGACAAAGAAACATCCAAACCACTATCGAGTCTACAATCTATGCAGTATGTACCTTACTCTGTATTTTGCTACTGTAGATAGAAAACAGATTACTGAATGTAAGAAGATGATTTTGTTTTTTACATTGCATTTAATCATAAGTATTTGGTGGTGGTGAGGAAGGAATTTAAAAATCCCTGTCTTGGACTGGCCCCATTTGGTAGAAGGAGTTAGCCCAGGAGCACAAAGTACCCTATGAAGGAGGCAGCTCTGGCAGGACCAATGAGGCTAGAGTGAAGGCAAACCATTTTAGGGAAGATCTGTTCTAGTGATATTAGGTTTAGGAACATCTGTCTGTTTTTCCTGCCAGATTGTGTTATGAGGACATAGACAATTTAACAGATGAGTCCTCTGACCCATTAGCAGTGGGTTGTGATGAGAGCAGGGCCCTAGGTGGGAAAAAAGCAAACTCTTTAGAAAATAGGTTACAACCCAGCTTATCACTCTGTCTTGATTTTTTTCTCTACCTGTATACTCAATAGACAGGGGGCAGTCATCAAGGATGTTCATCAAGGATATTGGTCTAAAATTCTCTTTTTTGCTTGTGTCTCTGCCCGGCTTTGGTATCAGGATGATGCTGGCCTCATAAAATGAGGTAGGGAGGATTCCCTCTTTTTCTATTGATTGGAATAGTTTCAGAAGGAATGGTACCAGTTCCTCCTTGTACCTCTGGCAGAATTCGGATGTGAATCCATCTGGTCCTGGACTCTTTTTAGTTGGTAAGCTATTGATTATTGCCACAATTTCAGCTCCTGTTATTGGTCTATTCAGAGATTCAACTTCTTCCTGGTTTAGTCTTGGGAGAGTGTATGTGTCGAGGAATTTATCCATGTCTTCTAGATTTTCTAGTTTATTTGCATAGAGGTGTTTGTAGTATTCTCTGATGGTAGTTTGTATTTCTGTGGGATCGGTGGTGATGTCCCCTTTATCATTTTTTATTGCATCTATTTGATTCTTCTCTCTTTTTTTCTTTATTAGTCTTGCTAGCGGTCTATCAATTTTGTTGATCCTTTCAAAAAACCAGCTCCTGGATTCATTAATTTTTTGAAGGGTTTTTTGTGTCTCTATTTCCTTCAGTTCTGCTCTGATTTTAGTTATTTCTTGCCTTCTGCTAGCTTTTGAATGTGTTTGCTCTTGCTTTTCTAGTTCTTTTAATTGTGATGTTAGGGTGTCAATTTTGGATCTTTCCTGCTTTCTCTTGTGGGCATTTAGTGCTATAAATTTCCGTCTACACACTGCTTTGAATGTGTCCCAGAGATTCTGGTATGTTGTGTCTTTGTTCTCGTTGGTTTCAAAGAACATCTTTATTTCTGCCTTCATTTCGTTATGTACCCAGTAGTCATTCAGGAGCAGGTTGTTCAGTTTCCATGTAGTTGAGCGGTTTTGAGTGAGTTTCTTAATCCTGAGTTCTAGTTTGATTGCACTGTGGTCTGAGAGATAGTTTGTTATAATTTCTGTTCTTTTACATTTGCTGAGGAGAGCTTTACTTCCAAGTATGTGGTCAATTTTGGAATAGGTGTGGTGTGGTGCTGAAAAAAATGTATATTCTGTTGATTTGGGGTGGAGAGTTCTGTAGATGTCTATTAGGTCCGCTTGGTGCAGAGCTGAGTTCAATTCCTGGGTATCCTTGTTGACTTTCTGTCTCACTGATCTGTCTAATGTTGACAGTGGGGTGTTAAAGTCTCCCATTATTAATGTGTGGGAGTCTAAGTCTCTTTGTAGGTCACTCAGGACTTGCTTTATGAATCTGGATGCACCTGTATTGGGTTCATATATATTTAGGATAGTTAGCTCTTCTTGTTGAATTGATCCCTTTACCATTATGTAATGGCCTTCTTTGTCTCTTTTGATCTTTGTTGGTTTGAAGTCTGTTGTATCAGAGACTAGGATTGCAACCCCTGCCTTGTTTTGTTTTCCATTTGCTTGGTAGATCTTCCTCCATCCTTTTATTTTGAGCCTATGTGTGTCTCTGCATGTGAGATGGGTTTCCTGAATACAACACACTGATGGGTCTTGACTCTTTATCCAATTTGCCAGTCTGTGTCATTAATTGGAGCATTTAGTCCATTTACATTTAAAGTTAATATTGTTATGTGTGAATTTGAACCTGTCATTATGATGTTAGCTGGTTATTTTGCTCGTTAGTTGATGCAGTTTCTTCCTAGTCTCGATGGTCTTTACATTTTGGCATGATTTTGCAGCGGCTGGTACTGGTTGTTCCTTTCCATGTTTAGTGCTTCCTTCAGGAGCTCTTGTAGGGCAGGCCTGGTGGTGACAAAATCTCTCAGCATTTGCTTGTCTGTAAAGGATTTTATTTCTCCTTCACTTATGAAGCTTAGTTTGGCTGGATATGAAATTCTGGGTTGAAAATTCTTTTCTTTAAGAATGTTGAATATTGGCTCCCACTCTGTTCTGGCTTGTAGAGTTTCTGCCGAGAGATCCGCTGTTAGTCTGATGGGCTTCCATTTGTGGGTAACCCGACCTTTCTCTCTGGCTGCCCTTAACATTTTTTCCTTCATTTCAACTTTGGTGAATCTGACAATTATGTGTCTTGGAGTTGCTCTTCTCGAGGAGTGTCTTTGTGGCGTTCTCTGTATTTCCTGAATCTGAATGTTGGCCTGCCTTGCTAGATTGGGGAAGTTCTCCTGGATAATATCCTGCAGAGTGTTTTCCAACTTGGTTCCATTCTGCCCATCACTTTCAGGTACACCAATCAGACGTAGATTTGGTCTTTTCACATAGTCCCATATTTCTTGGAGGCTTTATTCGTTTCTTTTTATTCTTTTTTCTCTAAACTTCCCTTCTCGCTTCATTTCATTCATTTCATCTTCCATCGCTGATACCCTTTCTTCCAGTTGATCGCATCGGCTCCTGAGGCTTCTGCATTCTTCACGTAGTTCTTGAGCCTTGGCTTTCAGCTCCATCACCTCCTTTAGGCACTTCTCTGTATTGGTTATTCTAGTTATACGTTTCGTCTAAATTTTTTTCAAAGTTTTTAACTTCTTTGCCTTTGGTTTGAATTTCCTCCTGTAGCTCGTAGTTTGATCATCTGAAGACTTCTTCTCTCAATTCGTCAAAGTCATTCTCCATCCAGCTTTGTTCTATTGCTGGTGAGGAACTGCGATCCTTTGGAGGAGGAGAGGCGCTCTGCTTTTTAGAGTTTCCAGTTTTTCTGCTCTGTTTTTTCCCCATCTTTGTGGTTTTATCTACTTTTGGTCTTTGATGATGATGATGTACAGATGGGTTTTTGGTGTGGATGTCCTTTCTGTTTGTTAGTTTTCCTTGTAACAGACAGGACCCTCAGCTGCAGGGCTGTTGGAGTTTGCTAGAGGTCCACTCCAGACCCTGGGTATCAGCAGCGGTGTCTGCCGAACAGTGGTTTTTCGTGAACCGCGAATGCTGCTGTCTGATAGTTCCTCTGGAAGTTTTGTCTCAGAGGAGTACCCGGCTGTGTGAGGTGTCAGTCTCCCCCTACTGGGGAGTGCCTCCCGGTTAGGCTGCTCAGGGGTCAGGGGTCAGGGACCCACTTGAGGAGGCAGTCTGCCCGTTCTCAGATCTCCAGCTGCATGCTGGGAGAACCACTGCTCTCTTCAAAGCTGTCAGACAGGGACATTTAAGTCTGCAGAGGTTACTGCTGTCTTTTTGTTTGTCTGTGCCCTGCCCCTAGAGGTGGAGCCTACAGAGGCAGGCGGGCCTCCTTGAGCTGTGGTGGGCTCCACCCAGTTGGAGCTTCCAGGCTGCTTTGTTTACCTAAGCAAGCCTGGGCAATGGCGGGCGCCCCTCCCCCAGCCTTGCTGCTGCCTTGCAGTTTGATCTCAGACTGCTGTGCTAGCAATCAGCGAGACTCCGTGGGCGTAGGACCCTCCAAGCCAGGTGCAGGATATAATCTCCTGGTGCGCCATTTTTTAAGCCCGTCGGAAAAGCGAAGTATTGGGGTGGGAGTGACCCAATTTTCCAGGTGCCGTGTGTCACCCCTTTCTTTGACTAGGAAAGGGAACTCCCTGACCCCTTGCGCTTCCCCAGTGAGCCAATGCCTCGCCCTGCTTCGGCTCGCGCCCGGTGCGCTGCACCCAGTGACCTGCGCCCACTGTCTGGCACTCCCTAGTGAGATGAACCCGGTACCTCAGATGGAAATGCAGAAATCACCCGTCTTCTGCATCGCTCACACTGGGAGCTGTAGACCGGAGCTGTTCCTATTCGGCCTCCTTGGCTCCGCGATCTCTTGCGTGGTTTCTAACTACCCTGCAATAATATAATGATAGTCTGCTAGAAAGTTAAAAATTACACCTATTAAACAAAAGTAAGTTGAGTTTAGGTGACATGAGATGGATAATCTGCTTATATGCTTATGTTTTTGAGATTCTTAAGTTTATTTTAGAGCAGCAGAAGCAACTTGGAAAGCTCCTTTTGAAGATGGATAGGGAATTTCTAATAAGATATTTTATGTTGCTCATAACTTCATCATTTACTATGTTATTATATATAGAGATATGACATACATATTATTTATTTTAGGTGAAAGAGCTTATGATCCTAAGCACTTCCATAATAGGGTCAGTAGAATCATGATCGATGATCATAATGTCCCCACTCTACGGTAAGTTTTATGCTAAGTTGACTATGAGAAGGGGGCTAAATCTATTGGGCTTGATTTTTTGAAAATATTTTAACTCAACTAAAAATCCTAACCTTGAAATCAGGGAGATGGTAGCATTCTCCAAGGAAGTGTTGGAGTGGATGGCTCAAGATTCTGAAAACATCGTAGTGATTCACTGTAAAGGAGGCAAAGGTAATAACGTTTTCCTTTTTATTCCTCCCATTCTAAAGACGTGTAAGGATATGTAAAGCACAAGAACAAGATACCTGTTGCTATTAATAAGTATTAGTAATTGTTAGCATTTAAAAGTATTAGCTGTAAGACTGAAAGAAGGGAAGGAGAAAGGAAAGAGGAGAGGAGGAAGAGTAGGAGATAGGGAGAGGATAAGGAAGGGAAGAAAGTAGGAAAAAAGAACTAAGGAGGGTTGAGCATATTTTCTCTTGTTTTTCTATTTGGATATCTTTGTTTTTGGTTTGCCAGTTTATATCTCTCAAAATACAAAGTCTTTAATTTTGGAGTGTCAGAGTAGTTTTATTTAAGGCTGCTCTTTTTTATTTTTAAATTAACAAATAAAAATCAGTATATTCATGGTATACCACATGATGTTTTGATATATGTAAACATTGTAAAATGGCTAAATCAACCTAATTAACATATGCATTACTCCACATACTTTTTACTTTTTTGTGGTGAGAACATTTAAATTGTACTCTCTCAGTAATTTTCAAATCTATATTATTATTAACTATGGTCACCATGTTGTGCAATAAATTTCCTGAACTTATTCCTGTCTAACTGAAATTTTGCATCCTTTAACTGACATCTCCACAATCCCTCCTTTTTGTTCCCCCCAGCCCCTGGTAACCACCATTCTACTCTCTGCTTCTATGAATTTGACATTTTTAGAGTCCACAAAGAAGTGAGACATCCAATATTTGTCTTTCTATGCCTGGCTCCTTTCACTTAGCATAACGTTCTCCAGGCTCATCCTTGTTATCTCAAGGGACAGGATATCCTCTAAGGCCGAACAGTGTGTTCTTATTTATATATACCAGGTATTCTTTATCTGTTCTTCCATTGATGACATTTAGATTGACTCCATAGCTTGGCTATTATGAATAATGCTGCAGTGAACATGGGAGTGCAGATTTCATTTTCTTTGGACATATACCCAGAAGTGGAATCTCCAAATCATATGGTAGTTCTATTTTTTTATTTTTAGTTTTTTGAGGTGTCCCTATGCTGTTTTCCATAATAACTACTAATTTACACTCACACCAACAGTGTACAAGAGGGTTCTCTTTTCTCTACATCCTCACCAACTCTTCTTTTGTCTTTTTGTTAATCACCATCCTAACAGGTATGAGGATATCTCTTTGTGATTTTAATTTGGTTTTCCTGATGATTAATGATGTTGAGCATTTTTTCATATACCTCTTGGCCATTCATATGTCTTCTTTTGAGATATATCTTTTCAGGTTCTTTGCCCATTTTTTAGAGAAGTAACTTGTTCTCTTGTTATTGTGTTGTTTGAGTTCCTTTAAAAAAAAAATTAACCTGTTCTTGAATATATGCTTTGCAGGTATTTTTCTCCCATTCTGTAGGTGGTCTCTTTATAATTGTTTCCTTTGCTGTGCAAAAGCTTTTCAGTTTGATACAATGTCATTTGTCTATTTTTTCTTTTGTTGCCTGTGCTTTTCAGTCATATCCAAAAAATCTTGGCCCAGACCAGTGTCAAGAAACTTTTCCCCTATGTTTTCTTCTAGTAGTTTTCCAGTTTCAGGTTTCACAGTTAAGTCTTTACTTTGAGTTGATTTTTGTACACTGGGTGAGATAGGGTGCAGTTTCATTCTTCCGCAAGTGGATGTCCAGTTTCCCCAGTATTGTTTATTGAAGAGACTGTCCTTTCCTCATCGTGGATTCTTGGCACCTTTGTTGAAGATCAGCTGAAAAATGCACGGATTTATTCTGGGCTTTCTATTCTGTTCCATTGATCTATATGTCTGTTTTTGTTCCAGTAATATTTAAGTTTGTTCTTAAACTTGGTGAGAATCTTTTAGATTAAGGGAGCCAACACAGAGATGCTATTTCAAAAATTATACTGGACTTATGATAGTGTAATGATACAAAGAAGTTTATATTGGTGGGGTTAAAATGGGGGGAAAAGCCACTTGTAAATCCAATCAATTTAAGTTCAGTTAGATTTTCTCTCATTCAGGTTTAGGCTTTGAATAATCATCTAAGTATATTTCACAATTTTTGATAAACATAAAGAATTACCTTCTTAGAGGGCTGTAAAACCATTTTTATATCAAATTCCAGGAAAACATAACACTGTAAACTGACTTATGTTATTCAATAAAATGAAGTTTTAGTTTTATTGAGAACTAGTTTCAAGCCCATTAGTTAATATACCGGTTCAGTGTTTAGCTCTACAGGTTTGAATATTCTGTATAAAGTGGCAATTTACAATATCATAGTTAAATTAAGAATATAGAAGTTGAATCATTTGAAGTTCCCAGTTTTTTAACCATCTTTTGGTTTAAAAATGGCCATTTCACATTGCCTAACCTAACATGTTATTTTTCAAGCAGTAGCATCAGTTTTCTATTAACTAATACTAATTCCTTGCTTGAAGGATTTCAAATTTGACTTTTTTCTAAAAACTTTTGCTGAGAGGGGGTTTGCATAATTCTGGGTTCACATAATATTTTGTTGATTTTTTTAGGTTGTTTAGAGAATATTCAGCTGGTATGCACCAGAGAAGCCTCTTTTTAAAAATGTTCATTCAAATTAATCTTGCTGTCTTGTGATTGGTTGCTGCCTGCAGGTTATCAGTAGTATCATGAGAGTAGAAATATTTTATTATTGATTTATAGGAGTTCTTTAAAGAATCTAAATGCCAATTTTTCTTAGTATTGCAAGTATATTCTCCCACTGTGTTGTCTTTTAAATTTGATTGTGATTTATTTTGTTGTATAAAAGCTTGTAAATTTGTGTTTTGTTTTGAGACACAGTCTCGTTCTGTCACCCAGGCTGGAGTACAATGGCTCAATCTCGGCTCATTGCAGCCTCAACCTCCCTGTACTCAAGTGATCTTCCCGCCTCAGCCCCTCTGAGTAGGTGGGATTACAGGCACGCGCCACCACGCCGGGGCAATTTTTGTATTTTTTGTAGAGACAGGGTCTCCCTATGTTGCCCAGACTGGTCTTGAACTCCTGGACTCAAATATTCCACTCGCCTCAGCTTCCCAAAGTGCTGGGATTATAGGCATGAGCCATTGTGCCAGCAAGAAGTTTGTAATTTTGAATGTGGTAAAATGTGTTAATCGATGTGTTTGTATTTCATGCTTTTCTGTCATGTTTAAGAAATTCACCCCTATACTGAGGTAGTAAAGATATTCCACATTTCTTCAAAAATCTTCAAGTTGCATTTTTAATATTTGGGTCTTAAATCTAATTGAAATTTGGGGGAGGTTTTTTTTTCATATGGATAGCCAACGGTCCTAACAGCATCAATTGCATGCTATTTTGTTCTCCATTTATTTGTGATTCCTCTCAATCATATACCAAGTTTCTAGAAATATTCAAAATTGTTTCTAAGTTCTCTATATCACACTTTTGTAATTATTGTAGCTTTATATTGTAGTTTGATAAAGGCAGAATTGTCTTGCTCTTCTTGGAACGTTATTCTTTCATTAAATTTTAAAATCATTTTGTCAAGTTCCATTATAAAACACGCTTAGGATTTTCATTGGAACTACATTGAATTTATAGATTCACTCGAGAGAACTGACAACTTTGTGATAATAAGTTATACATGTGATTGATCTTGTTCATTCTTTAATTAAATATTTTATATTTTCTTCATCATGTCTTTGCACATCTTTTCACAAATTCATTCCTACACAAATTGTGACTGCAAGTGGAATCTCTTTTTTTTTTTCCTGTTACATTTGGGTTGTTTCCAGTTTTTACTATGATAAATAATGCTACTTTTTTTTTTTTTTTTTAGACGGAGTCTCACTCTGTCACCCAGGCTGGAGTGCAGTGGTATGATCTCGCGCACTGCAACCTCTGCCTCCCAGGTTCAAGTGATTTTCATCCCTCAGCCTCTGGAGTAGCTGGGATTACAGGCGCCTGCCACCACGCCTGGCTGTTTTGTATTTTTAGTAGAGACAGGGTTTCACCATGTTGGCCAGGCTGGTCTCGAACTGCTGACCTCAAGTGATCTGCCTACCTCGGCCTACCAAAGAGCTGATATTACAGGGTGAGCCACTGCGCCTGGCCCAATAATGCTGCTTTTAAAAATACATGTTTCTTGTTGCATATGTGGCCATATTTTTGTTGAGTATGTACCTCAGACTAAAATGGTTCTGTCTTAAGGTAATGAATCTTGAACTTTACTTGATAATGTCACCTGTTTCTAAAACAGTTGTACCAATTTTCACTCCACTGGTATCGCACACTCGAAGCATTCCATATCTTCCCCAGTACTTGCAATTCTGAGTATTTTGATTTTTAGCCATTGGGTGTTTGTGTGATGGCATATTATGGTGGTGTTCATTTGCATTTCTATAATTACTAATAAGATTGAAGAAGTTTTCTTAATATTATTAAGTATTTGGATATCCTTTTTTGTAAAGTAACTGTTAAGTTTTCTTACCCATTTTTCTCCTGGATTATTTGTCTTTTTTTCTCTTGATTTGCAGTTTTTTATATATTCTGATTTCCATTCTGTTATTGGTCATATATGTATTTCAAGAAAACTTTTCTGCTCTGTGATTTGCCTTTTCTCTCTCTTAGGAGTATCTTTTGGTTAACAGAAGTTCTTAGTTGTATTACCATCATAGGTATTATGCTTTCTCTTTATAAAGTTTGTGTTTTTGTGTCCTGATTAAGAAAATTTTCCTTGAGTTTAAAGACATTCTACTACTATATTTTCTTCTAGATGGTTCATTCATTTAAAAATTGATTTATAGGTGTGGTGTGAGGAAGAGGTTAAGTTTCATCTTTTTCCATATATGGCTATCCAATTATTCCAGTACACTGGTTGAGAAGATTTTTATTTCTTTACTTCCCTGCAGAACATGAGTCTGCTTCTGACCTTTCTATTCTGTTCATTGATTTTTCATCTGTGTGCCAATAGCACAACCATCTTACTGTAGCTTTCTAATAGTCCTTATTTCCAGTCAAGTGAGGACAATCATCTTTTTCTTCATAATTGTTTGTGTATTTTAGGCCGTCTACATTTCCATATAAATTTGGGAATCAAACAAAAGGCAGCAGAAACCTCTGCAGACTTAAATGTCTCTGTCTGACAGCTTTGAAGAGAGTAGTGGTTCTCCCAGCACGGAGTTTGAGATCTGAGAACGGACAGACTACCTCCTCAAGTGGGTCTCTGACCCCTGAGTAGCCTAACTGTGAGGCACCGCCCGGTAGGGGCAGACTGACACCTCACATGGCCGGGTACCCCTCTGAGACAAAGCTTCCAGCGGAATGATCAGGCAGCAACATTTGCTGTTCAGCAATATTCGTTGTTCTGCAGCCTCCGCTGCTGATACCCAGGCAAACAGGGTCCGGAGTGGACCTCCAGCAAACTCCAACAGACCTGCAGCTGAGGGTCCTGACTGTTAGAAGGAAAACTAACAAACAGAAAGGACATCCACACCAAAACCCCATCTATACGTCACCATCATCAAAGACCAAAGGTAGATAAAACCACAAAGATGGGGAAAAAACAGCAGAAAAGCTGAAAATTCTAAAAATGAGAGCACCTCTCCCCCTCCAAAGGAACACAGCTCCTCGCCAGCAAAGGAACAAAGCTGGACGGAGAATGATTTCGACGAATTGAGAGGAGAAGGCTTCAGACAATCAAACTTCTCCGAGCTAAAGGAGGAAGTTCAAACCCAATGCAGGGAAGCTAAAAACCTTGAAAGAAGATTAGACAAATGGCTGACTAGAGTAACCAGTGTAGAGAAGTTCATTCATCATACTGAATGGGCAAAAACTGGAAACATTCCCTTTGAAAACTGGCACAAGACAGGGATGCCCTCTCTCACCACTCCTATTCAACATAGTGTTGGAAGTTCTGGCCAGGGTGATCAGGCAGGAGAAAGAAATAAAGGGTATTCAATTAGGAAAAGAGGAAATCAAATTGTCCCTGTTTGCAGATGACTTGATTGTATATCTAGAAAACCCCATCATCTCAGCCCAAAATCTCCTTAAGCTGATAAGCAACTGCAGCAAAGTCTTGGGATACAAAATCAATGTGCAAAAATCACAAGCATTCTTATACACCAATAACAGACAAACAGAGAGCCAAATCATAAGTGAACTCCCATTCACGATTGCTTCAAAGAGAATAAAATACCTAGGAATCCAACTGACAAGGGATGTGAAGGACCTCTTCAAGGAGAACTACAAACCACTGCTCAACGAAATAAAAGAGGTTACAAACAAATGGAAGAACATTCCATGCTCATGGGTAGGAAGAATCAATATTGTGAAAATGGGCATACTGCCCAAGGTAATTTATAGATTCAATGCCATCCCCATCAAGCTACCAATGACTTTCTTCACAAAATTGGAAGAAACTACTTTAAAGTTCATATGGAACCAAAAAAGAGCCCGCATTGCCAAGTCAATCCTAAGCCAAAAGAAGAAAGCTGGAGGCATCACGCTACCTGACTTCAAACTATACTATGAGGCTACAGTAACCAAAACAGCATGGTACTGGTACCAAAACAGAGATATAGACATATAGAGATATGGAACAGAACAGAGCCCTCAGAAATAATACCACACATCTACAACCATCTGATTTTGACAAACCTGACAAAAACAAGAAATGGGGAAAGGATTCCCTATTTAAAAAATGGTGCTGGGAAATGGTGCTGGGAAAACTGGCTAGCCGTATGTAGAAAGCTGAAACTGGATCCCTTCCTTACACCTTATACAAAAATTAATTCAAGATGGATCAAAGACTTAAATGTTAGACCTAAAACCATAAAAAACCCTAGAAGAAAACCTAGGCAATACCATTCAGGACATAGGCATGGGCAAGGACTTCATGTCTAAAACACCAAAAGCAATGGTAACAGAAGCCAAAATTGACAAATGGGATCTAATTAAACTAAAGAGCTTCTGCACAGCAAAAGAAACTACCATTAGAGTGAAGAGGCAACCTACAGAATGGGAGAAAATTTTTGCAATCTACTCATCTGACAAAGGGCTAATATCCAGAATCTACAAAGATCTCAATCAAATTTACAAGAAAAAAACAAACAACCCCATCAAAAAGTGGGTGAAGGATATGAACAGACACTTCTCAAAAGAAGACATTTATACATCCAACAGACACATGAAAAAATGCTCATCATCACTGGTCATCAGAGAAATACAAATCAAAATCACAATAAGATACCATCTCACAACAGTTAGAATGGCTATCATTAAAAAGTCAGGAAACAACAGGTGCTGGAGAGGATGTGGAGAAATAGGAACACTTTTACACTGTTGGTGGGACTGTAAACTAGTTCAACCATTGTGGAAGACAGTGTGGCGATTCCTCAAGGATCTAGAACGAGAAATACCATTTGACCCAGCCATCCCATTACTGGGTATATACCCAAAGGATTATAAATCATGCTGTTATAAAGGCACATGCACACGCATGTTTATTGCAGCACTATTCACAATAGCAAAGACTTGGAACCAACCCAAATGTCCATCAATGACAGACTGGATTAAGAAAATGTGGCACATATACACCATGGAATACTATGCAGCTGTAAAAAAGGATGAGTTTGTGTCCTTTGTAAGGACATGGATGAAGCTGGAAACCATCATTCTCAGCAAACTATCACAAGAACAAAAAACCAAACACCGCATGTTCTCATTCGTAGGTGGGAATTGAACAGTGAGAACACTTGGACACAGGAAGGGGAACATCACACACCAGGGCCTGTTATGGGGTGGGGGGAGGGGGGAGGGAAAGCATTAGGAGATATACCTAATGTAAATGACGAGTTAATGGGTGCAGCACACCAACATGGCACATGTATACATATGTAACAAACCTGCACGTTGTGCACATGTACCCTAGAACTTAAAGTATAAAAAAAAAAAATTGGGGAGTCAGCTGGTCAAATACACACACCTGATAGAAATTTGTTTGGAATTGTGTTGAATCTATAGATTGGGGAGAATTGAATCTTTACAATATTGACCCATCCAACCCATGAAGAGAGATGTTCTCTCATTCAGTTAGGTTTCCTTCCATTTCTCTTTACAATGTTTTCTCATTTTCTGTGTAGAAAGCTTGCATATTTTTGATGAGATTTATTCCTAGATATTTGATATTTTGTGGTTATTTAAATGATATCCCTTTAAAATGTTTATTTTCTAAATGTTGTTGATTTAAATGCAGTTCATTTTATTCATTAATCTTGTAATTAGCAACTTGACTAAACTCACTTTTTTTTTGTTTGTTTGTGTGTTTTGAGATAGGGTTTCATTGTCACCCAGGCGGGAGTGCAGTGATGCGATCATGGCTCACTGCAGCTTCAACCTCCCTGGGCTCAGGGAATCCCTCCCACATCAGCCTCCCGAGTAGCTAGGACTGCAGGCAGGTGCCACCATGCCCAGCTAATTTTTTTATTTTTTTGTAGAAACGGGGTTTTGCCATGTTGCCCCAGATTGGTCTCAAACTCCTGGGCTCAAGTGATCTGCCAGCCTCAGCCTCTGCCTCCTAAAATGCTAGGATTACAGACCTGAGCCATTGTGCCCAGCCTAAACTCACTTATTAGTTCTACTAAATTATCTATAGATTCTTTTGGATTTTATAGTACACAGTTATATCATGTGAAAATAATACATTGTATTTTTTCCTTTTCAGTCATTTTTCTCCCTAGCACTGGCTAGAACCTTCAGTACAGTGTTGAATTAGAAGTGGCAACAGCAGCCATCAGTGTACACTTCTATTCTCAAAGGAAAAGCTTTCAGTGTCTCTCCAATTGCTTTACGAGCGTGTGTGTGTGTGTGTGTGTGTGTGTGTGAGCTACCATTTATCAGATGAAGAAATTCCTTAGCCAGGCGCCATGGCTTTCGCCTGTAATCCCAGCACTTTGCGGGGCCCAGTGGGGCACATCATTTCAGACCAGCCTGGGCAACATGATGAAACCCCATCTCTACTAAAAAATAAAAAATTAACCAGGTGTGGTGGTGCATGCCTGTAATACCATCTACTCCAGAGGCTGAGGCACGAGAATTGCTTGAACTCAGGATGCAGAGATTGCAGTGAGCCAATATCACACCACTGCTCTCCAGCCTAGGTGACAGAGCGAGACATTGGCTCAACAAAAAAAAAAAAAAAGAAAGAAAAAAGAAAAAACAATGTCTTTAGTTTGCTGAGAGAGTTTTTTTTTTAATCATGAATGGATGTTGAATTTTTCCAGATTTTTCTGAATCTTTGAGATGATAATTTTTCCCCTTTATCTTATAAATAAATGTGGCTAATTACATGATTGATTAAGTGGTAAACCAACATATTTCTGGAATAAATGTGATTGAGTTGTGGTATACTATTTTATTAAATAATTATTAAACTTTTTAAATTAAATTCCTGGATTCTATTTGTTAATATTTGTTGAGGATTTTCAAATTCATGTCATCAGTGTGATTGGTTGTAATTTTCCTTTCTCATAGTTTTTTCAAATCTTGGCTTCATAAAATGAGTTAGATTTCATTTTCTCTTTTTTTATTCCCTCGATGAATTTATGCGTGCTGGTTTTTTTTTTCTTTTTAAGTGTACGATGAAATTCACCTGTGAAGCTACATTTGTCTAGAGTTTTCTCTGGGGAGAAGTTTTTAAATTATCGCTCAGTTTCGTATATAGAATTCTCTCTAATTTTATTTCCTTAGCCTGTTTTGGTAGGTTATTGTTTTCCCAGCATTTGTCCATTTAATCTAAGTTTGCGAATGTCTTGGCATCAGATTATTCACAATATCACTTTACCATTTTAATGTCTACAGGGGCATTCCCTTTTTATTCCTTACATTATTTTCTTGGTGCCTTCTCCCTTTGTTTCTTTTGATTAGTCTCACCAGGGAATTATCAATTTTACTAGTCTTTTAAAAGTAACAAATGTGGCTGAGCGCGGTGGCTCATGCCTGTAATCCCAGCACTTTGGGAGGCCAAGGCGGGCGGATCACGAGGTCAGGACATCTAGACCATCCTGGCTAACACGGTGAAACCCCGTCTCTACTAAAAACACAAAAAATTATCCGGGTGCGGTGGCGGGCGCCTGTAGTCCCAGCTGCTCGGGAGGCTGAGGCAGGAGAATGGCGTGAACCCGGGAGGCAGAGCTTGCAGTGAGCTGAGATCGCATCACTGCATTCCAGCCTGGGTTACAGAGCGAGAGTCCATCTCAAAAATAAATAAATAAATAAATAAATAAATAAAATAACAAATTTTTGGGCTTACTAATGGACTCTATTATTTACTTTTTATTTCATGAATTAGTATTATATTTAGTATTTTCTTTTGTATTCCATGGGTTAATTTGTTCTTTTCCTGACTTCTTGAGATGAATAATTCTTAGAGTGTCGACCACTCTGTTTTCTGTTTAGCATTTAAGGCTATACATTTTCTTCTAAGAGTTGCTTTAGCTTCGTCCCACAAGTTTTCATATGTAATATTTTCATTTTATTGGGTTCAAATTATTTTCCAATTTTCACTGTGCTTGGTGGTTTTTTTTTTTTTTGACCCGTGAGTTGTGTAGAAGTATACTTCCTTATTTGCAAACATAGGAGACTTTTGCATTTATCTTTAAGTTTTTTATTTGTGAAGCCAGGCGCAGTGGTTCACGCCTGTAATCCCAGCAATTTGGGAGGCCGAGGAGGTGGTTTACCTGAGGTCAGGAGTTCGAGACCAGCCTGACCAACATGGAGAAACCTCGTCTCTACTAAAAGTACAAAAATTAGCCAGGTGTGGTGGCACATGCCTGTAATCACAGCTACTCGGGAGGCTGAGGCAGGAGAATCGCTTGAACCCAGGAGGCGGAGGTTGCGGTGAGCCAAGAACACGCCATTGTACTCCAGCCTGGGCAACAAGAGCGAAACTCCATCTGAAAAAAAAAAAAAAAAGTTTTTCATTTCTGGTTGTATTGTGCTGTGGACACAGAACATACTATTTTTTTTTTCTTCCAAATTTGTGTAGACTTGGTTTATGGCCTAGAATTTGGTTGATATTGTTAAATGTTTTCTGTACACTTGAAAAGAACACGTATTATGCATTGTTGAGAACAATGTTCTATGTACGTGCATTTGTTAATTTATTTAACTCTTCTATATTCTTACTGACTTGTGTTTTGGTTT
The DNA here is from genome assembly GCF_000001405.40 of Homo sapiens. Lineage (NCBI taxonomy): Eukaryota > Metazoa > Chordata > Mammalia > Primates > Hominidae > Homo > Homo sapiens. The sequence continues at coordinate 52,242,558 of NC_000013.11, read as the reverse complement.
GATTGAATTTTGATAATTTTTTCCTTCTCACTCTCTCCCATTACCTTGGAAGTTATATACTCCTTTTCTATTTTTTTAGTAATTACTGTAAAGATTTCAACCTGAATCCTTGATTTAGCTATTAATTTTTGTTTATGTTGAGCCTGCATCTAGAAATCTTCCTAAACTCTCTCAACTCTCTTGTTAGATTAATGAGTTATTCTATAGATTTACTGACTACACGGACTTACTACACTGGCTAGGCTCTGCAGTACATTGTTAAATGGAAGCAGTGAACAGAGGGCATTTTTGCTTAATTCCAGGCTTTAAAGAAAATGCTATCAATATTACATCATTAATATGATGTTCCTGGTAGGTGTTTTGGTAGATTCCCTTTGTTGAGTTAAAGAAGTGTCCTAGTTTTTATTAATTTTTAAAGTCACAGTTGTAGGTTGAATTTTAGTTAATGCTTTCTCTGCATTAATTGACATAATTGCAAGGTATGTCTACTTTAATCTGTGAATATGATAAATTACATTAATATAGATTTCTGATATAGGATGATTCTTTTTTGTTTGTTTGAGACGGAGTCTCGCCCTGTCGCCCAGGCTGGAGTGCAGTGGCGTGATCTCGGCTCACTGCAAGCTCCGCCTCCCGGGTTCACGTCATTCTCCTGCCTCAGCCTCCCGAGTAGCTGGGACTACAGGCGCCCGCCACCACGCCCGGCTAATTTTTTTGTATTTTTAGTAGAGACGGGGTTTCACCGTGTTAGCCAGGATAGTCTAGATGTCCTGACCTCGTGATCCGCCCACCTCGGCCTCCCAAAGTTCTGGGATTACAGGCAAGAGCCACCGCGCCCGGCCTAGGATGATTCTTGTATTTTTATTTGTTTTTTTAATGGGCAAAGAAATTTTTTTTTTTTTGAGCTTAGTTTTTTGGTATAATTTCCACTTTGATTTTAGATTTGGAAGTACATGTGTAGGTTTATTACCTGGGTATATTGTGTGATACCGAGGTGTGGGGTATGATTGATCCCATCACCCAGGTACTGAGCATAGGACCCAATAGTTTTTCAACCTGTGTCCCCTTCTGCTGTGCCCCCTCTAGAATTCCAGTGTCCATTATTGCCACCTTGATATCCATGAGCATCTATTGTTTAGCTTTCACTTATAAGTGAGAACATATGGTATTTGGTTTTCTGTTCCTGCATTAATTTGCTTAGGATAATGACTTCCAGCTGCATCCATGATGCTGCAAAGGACATGATATTATTTTTTTATGAATGTGTAGTATTCCATGGTGTGTATGTACCACATATTCTTAAGCCAGTCCACCACTGATGGGCACCTAGGTTGATTCTGTGTCTTTCCTGTTGTCAGTAGTGCTGAGAAGAGCATGCCAGGGCCTGTGTCTTTTTGTTAGAACAACTTACTTTCTTTTGGATGCATACGCAGTAATAGGATTGCAATGTCAAATGGTAGTTCTAAGTTTTTGAGAAATCTCCAAACTGCTTTCCAGGTAGCTGAACTAATTTACATTCCCATTAGCAGTGTATATGTGTATACTCTGCAGCCTTGTCAGCATCTGTTGTTTTTTGACTCTTTAATAATAGCCATTCCGACTGGTATGAGATGTAATCATGTTGTGGTTTTGATTTGCATTTCTCGGATGATTAGTGATGTGGAGCATTTTTCATGTTTGTTGGCCACTGGTATGTCTTCTTTTAAGAAGTGTATGTTTATATCTTTTGCCCATTTTTAATGGGGTTATTTGTTTTTTTTGCTTGTTTAATTGTTGAGTTTCTTATAGATTCTGAATATTAAACCTTTGTGAGATGCATAGTTTGCAAATATTTTCACCCATTCTATAGGTTGTCTGTTTACTCTGTTGATAGGTTCTTTGCTGTGCAGAAGCTCTACAGTTTAATTAGGTCCCACTTGTCAGTTTTTTGTGGCAATTGCTTTTGAAAGCTTAGTCATAAATTCTTCCCCAAGGTCAGCGTCCAGAATGCTGTTTTCTAGGTTTTCTCCTAGTATTCTTATAGTTTGAGGTCTTTCTATCTTTAGTTAATTTTTGTGTATGGTGAAAGGTATAGGTCCAGATCATTCTTTTGCATATTGCTAGCCCAATATCCTAGCACCATTTATTGAATAGGAAGTCATTTCCTTATTGCTTATTTTTGTTGACTTTGTCAAAGATCAGATGGCTTTCTGTGTTTGGCTTTATTTCTGAGTTCTTTATTCTCTTCCTTTGATCAATTTTTTTTTCCTGCCAGTACCATGCTCTTTTGGTTTCTATAGCCTTATGGCGTAGTGTGAAGTTGGGTAATGTGATGCTTCTGGCTTTGTTCTTTTTGCTTAGGATTGCTTTGGCTATTCCGGCTCTTTTTTGGTTCCATGTGAATTAGATTTTTCTAGTTCTGTGAAAAATGATGTTAGTAGCTTGATTGGAAAAATGTTGATTCTGTATATTGCTTTTGGTAGCATGGCCATTTTAATGATATTGATTCTTCCAGTCCATTAGCATGGAATGTTTTTCCATTTGTTTGTGTCATCTATGATTTCTTTCAGCAGTGGTTTGCAGTTCTCCTTGTAGAGATCATTCACCTCCTCGGTTAGCTGTATTCCTAAGTATTTTATTTTTTGTGTGGCTACTGTAAAGGGGATTATGTCCTTGATTTGGCTGTCAGCTTGGACATTATTGGTGTATAGAAATGCTACTGATTTTTGTACATTGATTCTGTATCCTAAAACTTTACTGAAGTAATGTATCAGTTTCAAGTGCCTTTTGGTGGAGTCTTTTGGATTTTGAAGATATAGAATCATATCGTTGATGAAGAGAGATAGTTTGACTTTTTATTTTCCTATTTGGATGCCATTTTTTTCTTTCTTTTGCCTGATTGCTATGGCAAAGACTTTTACTACTATGTGAAATAGGAGTGGTGAGATTAGGCATCCTTGTCTTGTCCCAGTTGACAAGGAGAAGCGTCCAGCTTTTGCCTGTTATAATGTTGGCTGTGGGTTCATAATAGAAGGCTCTGTTTTGAAGTGTATTCCTTTAATGCCTAGTTTCTTGAGTGTTTATTGTCAAGAAGGATGTTGAATTTTATCAAAAGTTTTTTTTTGCATCTATTGAGATGTTCATATGGTTTCTGTGTGGTGAATCACATTTATTGATTTGCATATGCAGAACCTTGCATCCTTGGAATGAAGCCTACTTGACCATGGTGAATTAACTTTTTGATGTGCTGTTGGATTCAGTTTGCTGGTATTTTGTTAACGATTTTTGTGCCTATCTTCATCATTGAGATTAGCCTTTAGTTTTCTTTTTTTTTTTTTTTAATTGTGTGTTTGCCAGGTTTTGGTTTCAGGGTGATGCTGGCTTCATAGAATGAATTAGGGAAGAATCCCTCCTGGAGTTTTTGGAATAGTTTCAGTAGAACTGGTACCAGTTCTTCTTTGTATATTTGATATAATTCATCTGTGAATACATCTGATTTAAGACTTTTTTGGTTGGCGGGTTTTAACTTATGGATTCAATTTTGGAGCTTGATACTGGTCTGGTGAGGGTTTCAATTTCTTTCTGATTCAATCTTGGGAAGTTCTGTGTTGCCAGGAATGTATTCATTTCCTCTACATTATCTAGTGTGTGTGCATAGAGGTGTTCATAATAGTCTCTGAGGACCTTTTGTATTTCTGTGGGATTGGTTGTGATGTCGTCTTTGTGATTTCTGATTGTGCTTATCCGGATCTTCTTTCTTTTTCTTTGTTAATCTAGCTAGCAGTCTATCAATTTTGTTTATGTTTTCAAAGAAATGACTTGGTTTCTTTGAATCTCTGTTTTAATTTTGGGGTCTCAATTTTGTTTAGTTTTGCTCTGATTTTAGTTATTGTTTTTCTTCTGCTAGGTTTGGGGTTCTTGTTTTTCTGATTTCTCTCGGTGTAATGTTACATTATTAATTTGAGATTTTACTAGCTTTTTGAGGTACACATTTAGCACCATAAACTTTCCTATTAACACTGCTTTTGCTGCATCCCAGAGATTCTGGTATGTTGTGTTTCTGTTTTCATTTATTTCAAAGAATTTTTTGATATCTACCTTAATTTTATCATTTGCTTAAAAGTCATTCAGGAGCAAGTTGTTTCATTTCCATGAAATTGTTTGGTTTTTAGAGATCTTCTTGATATTGATTTATATTTTTATTCAACTGTGGTCCAAAAAAAATGGTTGGTATGATTTCAACATTTTTTGAATTTATTGAGGCTTGCTTCATGGTGGAACATATGGTTGATCTTGGAATACATTCGCTGTGCAAATGAGAAGAATGTATATTCTGTGGTTGATGCATGGAGTGTTCTTTAGGTGCCTATTACATCCAGTTGGTCAAGTGTTGAATTTACGTCCGTAATTCCTCTGTTAGTGTTCTATCTGAATGATCTGTCTAATGCTGTCAGTGGGGTGTTAAAGTCTCCTGACTATTATTATGTGGCTGAGTCTTTTCATAGGTCTAGAAGTACCTGTTTTATTAACCTGGGTGATCCAATGTTGGGTGCATATATATTTAGGATTGTTAAGGCTTCTTGTTGAATTGAACCCCTTATCATTATGTAATGCCCTTCTTTGTCCTTTTTTACTATTGCTGGTTTAAAGCCTGTTTTATCTGTTTTAGGAATAGTGATCCCTGCTCTTTTTGGTGTTTTGTTTGTGTGAGAGATCTTTCTCCAACCCTTTACGTTGAACCTGTTGGTGTTGTTACATGTGAGATGGTGTCTTGAAGACAGCAGACAGATGGGTTTTGTTTTTTTATCCAACTTGCCACTCTGTGACTTTTACGTGGTGTGTTTAGACTATTTACATTCAAGGTTAATATTGACGTGAGCTTTTCACCCTATCATGACATTGTTAGGTGGTTGCTTTATACTTTCTGTTGTATTGTTGTTTTATAGGCTCTGTGAGCTGTGTACTTAAGTGTGCTTTTATGGTAGCAGGTATCATTCTTTTATTTCCATGTTTAGAACTCCCTTAGGGATCTCTTGTAAGACTGGTCTAGTTTTAATGAATTCTCATGGCACTTGCTTCTCTGGAAAAAAAGATCTTTATTTGTCCTTCGCTCATGAAGCTTAGTTTGGCAGGATGCTCTTGATTAGAATTTATTTTCTTTAAGAATTCTGAAAATACACCTTCCCAATCTCTCCTGATTTTTAAGGTTTCTGCTGAGACGTCTGCTGTTATCCTGATAGGGCTCCTTTTGTATGTGATCTGGCCTTAGGATTTTTTCTTTAACGTTGACCTTGGACTGTTTGGTATATGCCTTGGTAATGTCCACTTTTTTATAGTATCTCGCAGGTGTTCTCTGGCTTTATTGTATCTAGATGTCTACCTTTCTAGCAAGATTCAGGAAATTTTCTTGAATGATTGCATCAAATATGTTTTCCAGGTTGTTTTCTTTTTCTCCTTGTCTCTAGGGAATGCCAGTAATTTGTAGGTTTGGTCACTTCACATAACCTATTTCTCAAAGACGTTCCTCACTTTTTAAAAATAGTTTTTCTTTATTTTTGTCTGACTGCATTAGTTCAAAAGACCAGTCTTCAGGCTCTGAAATTATGTCCTCTGCTTGGTCCAGTTTATTGATAAATCTTTCCATTGTATTTTGAAATTCCTTAAGTGAGTTTTTTTAATTCCAGAAGTTCTGATTGATTTCTTTTTAAGATGTTTATCTCTTCCTTCATTTGCTGAATTGATTTAGAAGTTTCCTTTTGTTGATTTCAACCTTGAATCTCATTGAGCTTCCTTGGAATCCATGCTTTGAATTCTTTATTGTCATTTCTGAGTTTTCATTTTGGTAGAAAGCATTGCCAGAGATCTAGTGTGATCCTTTGGTGGTATCACTACATGCAGGTTTTTCATGGTGCCAGAATTCTTGTACTGGTTCTTCTCATCTGGAGATGCTAGCACTTCTAATTTTTGTAACTGTTTTTATGTGGGTAGGATTTTTTCTTTATCTTTTCTTTCCTATATCATTATTATTATTATTATGCTTTCCCTTTCCCTCCTCCTTAGGTGATGTGACTTTAGAGCAATGCTAGGTAGGTCTTTTGGCCTTGCCTCTATATGCACTTCTATCAGCAGGTTTTATATTGGGTATGTGGTTTGACCTACAAGCCAGTAGATGGCGCCAATGGGTAAGAGCTGGCTGTGGCCAGTGGTGCTGGCTATATACTTGCTGTTTGTTTATTGGGAAGAGCTCTCTGTTGCCTTAGGCAATGAGCTGATTCCTGGAGTACACATTAATCTGAGCTCCCTCCTAAACCCTAGGGGAACGGGAGTTAGGTGGGGGTGTGGGAGGAAGATGGGTGGAGCCAGATGGGGAAGGTTCCCCAGTGTTGTCCTGCTCTCAGTCCAGGTTTGGGAAAATGCCTGCAGCTTTTCCTTGTGTCTTTTCCTCACAAAGTCTCCAAGTCTCTCGTTAAATTAGCTCCAGGACTTGGGAGAAACAGTGCCCTTCCTCGGTCCGGGTTGCTTGGATCCCCAGTGGAAAGGTAAGACAGAGGGATGCTGTCTGCCTCTCTCACATACTGAGGCTTCACTCGCTTTTATCAGTCGAATGTTGTCACAAGAGCTGTTTGCCTGCGTTGTCCTCCCAAGGATCTGGGGTGTCCTTCATAATTCCAGGGAGTTGTCGTTTTCTTTCTTGAATTAAAGTTCACAGAGTTGATCTTTATGTACTATCTTGCTATTTCCAAATGGCTGAGGCATGCTAAAAGCCTGTAATCTGCCGTCTTGGAAAAAAATCCTTGCATTCTTAAGAGAAATGGCACTTGGTATTGATACGTGGTATTTCTACACTGCTGAATTCACTTTGAAAAAATATATATATTTTTATATCTACATTTATATGTCAGACTGGTATAAAGTAATCGTCTACTGTATTTATGCAGTTTTGGAACCAGCTATATTAGTGTTACTAAATGAGTTGGGAATTTTTCTTTCTTACTGTTACCCAAAGGAATTTATATAAGACATGAATTATTGCTTTCGAATAGATTTAGTAAAAACCTCATCTTGTTCTTTCGTGGAGAGGTAGTGAGAAATATTTTTACCGTAAATGTAATTTATTTTCCACCTGTGGGGCAGAGGTTGCAGTGAGCTGAGATCGTGCCAGTGCACTGCAGCCTGGGTGACACAGCGAGACTGTCCCAAAAAAAAAGAAAGAAAATCAACTTAAAATGAACTCCTGGAATATTTCTGAGTGTATTTTTATACCAAGCATGTTCCTTGAACTAACTTTTCTTTTCTAGGAAGAACCGGAACTATGGTTTGTGCCTGCCTGATTGCCAGTGAAATATTTTTAACTGCAGAGGTATGAAAGATGTTACTACAAACTTTGTCTTAGGATGACTGAGTTTGCTAGTTCTGAAACATCACTGGTAGGATGTTAAGATGATTATTTTAGTCATGGTGCTTAGTGAAATTGTAATTGGAGAAGCGGTTGTTAAAAAGTCTGTTTTTGATACTTCCTTGTTTAACATGCACTGGTTAGTAGCTGGCTTAAGAATCTCTTTGGGCCAGGACTAGAGTGAGGTCAAATGAGGCGCAGAATTTAAGAGAATGCTAAAAATTGCAATAATTAAAATAAATGATTTTTCATGCAATATTTAAAAAATAAAAATTAATGCAAAAAAACCATGAGGTATACAATATTAACATTTTAAATAATGACAAGACCTGATGGGGCAGGATTAAGGTGAGGGGAGTAAAGCCATGTTACACAGATACAAAAAACATTCAGTAATCGCAATGGTTCCCTCACCTCACCTGGCCCTGCTGTTCTTCCTTCCTCATGAGAATAGTATCAAGCTTAATTAGATAAATTTTCCAAAGGGCCTTGGCCATCCTCACACCTCTTAGGTAGATAAAAGGCAACATTTCACAACTCAAAGCCTCTCCTGCATGTAAATACCTCTGCTTAGTCAACACATGTGGAGTCTGTGGCCTCTAGAAATTTCTGATAAGACAAGGTGGGCTGTTTCCACCTACAGCAGTGTTCTCAGTCATTTTTCTTTCTGCCATTTTCTTGCTGAGATGCTACCATTTCCAGCAGCTCCGCTTGAGTTGTTTGGCCTACAGTCTAGGGAAGAAGTGGTGGTTCTGCACAATGCCCAGCACTCTAATTCCACCACCTTTGGTTTTTCTAATTTGAGACACACAGATTTTGAAAATGGATGTTCTAGGATGGTGTTTTTCAAGCTATGGATCATGATGTATCAGTGAGTTGTAAAATAAAGTTACTGGGTTGTGACTAACATCTCTTAAAAATAAAATGGAATCGGCCAGGTGCGGTGGCTGATGCCTGTAATCCCAGCACTTCGGGAGGCCGAGGCGGATGGATCACCCGAGGTCAGGAGTTTGAGACCAGCCTGACCAACATGGAGAAACCCTGTCTCTACTAAAAATACAAAATTAGCTGGGCATTGTGGTGCATGCCTGTAATCCCAGCTACTTGAGAGGCTGAGGCAGAAGAATCGCTTGAACCCAGGAGGTGGAGGTTGTGGTGAGCTGAGACCGGGCCATAGCACTCCAGCCTGGGCAGTAAGAGTGAAACTCCGTCTCAAAAAAAAAAAACAAAAAAAAACTAAAGCTAAAACTAAATAAAATGGAATAGAGCAGAATAGAAAATCTGAAAAGGTTTAAGTATTGGTGTGTGTGTGTGTGTACTTCTCCGAGGTTTATTAATGTGGATTGCAACTTAAAAAATGAAAAGTTTGAAAGCCACTGATACAGAGCCCTAGACTGAAAACCAGAGACTTGTATTTCAGGCCTGTGCTGCTTCTAACTGGCTGCAGCATCTCCATGGCAGATTGTGTAGTTTTCTTTTGGTCTCAGTCTTCTCATTTGTAAGATGGAAAGAAGGGTTGGACCAGATGATTTCTAAGGTCTTTCCAGCTCTAAACTTTTATGTCTTTATGAAACCTTGAATGAGAGAAGTCTTTGATGTGACTTTGTTAATTTTGGTAATTTGGGTAGCCTTTGCCAAAAGACCACTGCGGCTAGGCGCGGTGGCTCATGCTTGTAATCTCAGCACTTTGGGAGGCTAAGGCAGGCGGATCTCTTGAGTCAGGAGTTCGAGACCAGCCTGGCCAACATGGCAAAGCCCCCATCTCTACTAAAAATACAAAAAATTAGCCAGGTGTGGTGGTACACGCCTGTAGTCTCAGCTACTCAGGATGCTGAGGCAAGATAATCGCTTGAACTCGCGAGGCAGAGGTTGCAGTGAGGTGAGATTCTGCCACTGCACTCCAGTGTGCGTGACAGAGCGAGACTCCATAAAAAAAAAAAAAATCACTGACTTTAGGAAAGAAGGTGGTTTTAGAAAGACTAAGGTACCTAATATAGAAAAGGAAAGAGTGCAGATGAACCATGGTTCCTTTTTTGTAGGAAAGATTGTACTATTTTGGAGAACGGCGAACAGATAAAACCAATGGCACTAAATATCAGGGAGTAGAAACTCCTTCTCAGGTAAGTTTTCGTTTTAAGAAAGGGAGCTTTTGTAGGGGAGTGGGTTAAGATTGCCATCTGTTATTTGGTTTCATTTTAGACTCTTCTCCTTTGGTGATCAGTCAGCAGCATTAGGGCACCCTGCGACAGGCCTTGGTCCCTCCCTGATGCTAAGGGTCATGCTTCAGGTGCCACCCACACGTTGGGGGGTCTGGCTTCTCCTCAGAGCATCCTGTTTTCTATTCTATACTGGTTATTGTTTACGGAGCTCAGGAGTTGATTATTTTCCCAAAGCAGGAAAGTCCAATACCTAAGGCTCCAGGACCCTGAAGTTTATCTAAAATCACCAGCCTTTGATTTCAATGTAAAAAAGATCTAAGTCTTTCACAGATCCTTATTAGGGCAATTCAACCCTTGCAGAACATCACAAAGACTGTTTTTGGGTGACTCCCGTGTGTGTGTGTGTGTGTGTGTGTGTGTGTGTGTGTGTGTGTGTGTGTGTTGTGGGGGAGGTGTATTTTAAAAGAGAAAGAAAAGGGGAAATAAACTTTTCAAAAACCCTTTTATATACCAGACAGTACCGCACTTTTACATATCTCATTGAAAACCCATAACACCTATATGAAACATATGCTGTTACTCTATTTTTTCTTTTAAAAATAATTTTGTTATGGAAAATTTTAATCATATACAAAAGTCCAGAGAATCATACAATATATCTCCATGTAGTCATCGCTTCGCTGCAACAATCATTTCAGCCTGCAGCCAGCCACGTTTCATCCATACTTTTCCCACTCCACTCACACCCCCAACCCCACTCTCCACTCTTGCTTTCCCCAAACCTGGATTATTTGGAAGGAAATTTCAGTCATCAGATCATTTTATCCCACAAGTATTTTAGTATGACATCTAAGTACTCTTAAAACAACAACAAAAAACCCTTAATAACTTTTATCATATCTGAAATATTACACCTTAAAAATCCTTAATATCAAATTTCTAGTCCATGTTTGTTTCCAAAATTGTCTTAAAATCTTTGAAAATTTAGTTTGTTTCAGTCAGAATTCAAACAACATCCACACATTTCATTTGGTCGCTATGTCTCCTAAGTCTCTTTTAGTTCATAGATTTCTTGCCATTTTTTATTGCTTGTAATTTGTTTACTGCAGAAACCAGAATGTTTATCGTATAGCATTTACAACATTCTAGACTTTGCTGAACCATTCTAAGAGTTTTACATTCACTATCTCATTTAATATTCTCAGTAACTCTATGAGTAGGCACTCCTATGATTCTCATCTTATAAATTAGAAAATTGAGGTTCAGAGAAATTAACTTTTGAACCAAGGACTGAAATCTAGATGTCAGACTCTGAAGCCCATGCTGTGCACAGCTTCTCATTTATATTGCCTTTTCTATATTGCCCCTCAAACCGAAGTGAGAGTGGGTTGGGCATTCTCAAATAGATTTGGATGTGGCTGTAAATGAGTTTTTCTTTAGGTGGTGGGAACTGAATAAGTACTCTTGGCCCTGTTATAAGAACACTAACTACTGTCCCCGTTTAGTTTGGGCAAAAGAACTCAGCCTTATCCACTGATACTTTTCTCCCACACCCAAGCCAAAAACAAAACCAGACAAAGAACAGTCATAGACCCTAAGCGAAAAGGAATGTGTGGATTTACTGAAGTGCAGCCCTACTCATGCCATTTCCATGCTCAAAATCCAGAGTATGTCCCCACTGCCAGTAGCAATAAACTAAATGTTTCAACCTGGCACTCAAGATCCACAGTTTGACTTTTCCAACCTTTTCTTCCACTATGTGCATGCACACATCCCACACTCTAACACATTTAGACTGTGTGCTGTTTCCCAGCCCATGGACACTTGATTCCCTCGTGCCATTTCTCATGCCCCTTTTCCTAGAGTCCCTTTCCCTTCCCAGCCTGAAGTAGTCTCTTGCTTTTTCAGTTCCTAAAGCCCTTTGTGTTTCTCTTAGGGATGATATCACTTTGCATTGTTCTCTAGCTATTTGAAGTGGTGACTTCTGTTTCCCCTTTAAAGGCAAGGCCCATGGCTTACCCATCTTTCCACCCTTTCCTCATAATATCTTCTTTGTTTGTAGTGAGTACCTCCTATGGGTTGGTTGTATGAATTTCTACTACCAGTCCATGTTGTTTTAAGTTGTAGTAGAAAGAAGCATGGGAGCAAAAGCAGCTTGAGGGCCCTGGCAGGTTACAGCCTTTAGGGGAAGGTGGAGAATCTGGTGGCAGGAGCCAAGGAGATGTTAGATAGAGCTCCTTCAGCAACTCACCCCACACGTCTCCCCATCCCCATCTCTTCTGTAGTCATGCATAGTTTCCCGAACTTTAGTCCAGAACTAGCACACCAAAGGCTGCAACTGAATCTCTTCTGATTGACTGAGAAGGCAACACAGGGTCTCAGCTGCACATTTGAGAGATGTGTTGGCAAGACCTCAGGACAGAGTGCCCTCTGTGTCTGGTGGTGATTCTCGGATACCATCACATTCTGATCCTGCATTGTGGGCCATTCTACTGACTACATCTACTCCTAAGTTAAGAACTTTCATGAGCCTTCCTCATGACTGGCCCTTTCTAAAGGAAAGTATGGCAGTTTGTTACTTCTATGAACATTTCTCAATGGGTAAGGTAGAGTCCATGAACTTATGAGTACTTCTTCTTTTTTTTTTTTTTTTTGGAGACAGAATCTGTCTGTCACCCAGACTGGAGTGCAGTGGTGCAGTCTCAGCTCACTGCAACCTCGACCTCCTGGGTTCAAGCAATTCTCCTGCCTCAGACTCCCGAGTAGCTGGGATTACAGGTGCCCACCACCACGCATGGCTAATTTTTGTAGCTTTAGTAGAGACGGGGTTTCACCCTGTTGGCCAGGCTGGTCTCGAACCCCTGACCTCAAGTGATCTGCCCACCTCGGCCTCCCAAAGTGCTGAGATTACAGGTGTGAGCCACCAGCCCAGCCAACTTTTGAGTTCTGAACCAGTTGATTCAGTACCAGAGCTCTTCAACTCCTTGAAGATAGATTCAAGGAGAGCCACTGTGAACAGCTTGCCCTAGGAAAAGGACAAGGCTAAGGGAATTCCGGGGCTTCCTTGTGAAAACAGAATTGGGGAAATGGAAAGTGAAGAAATCCTAGCTGTCAGGAACAAGAGAAGAATGACAGGAAACCTGCTACTGAGATATGGAGGTATTCCTCTTGAGTTTTCACATATGGCATTCTCTCATGCCCAGGAACCTGCTCTTCACTAAACCACACACCTTCCTCTAACTCAGTCACAACTAAGCTTCTATCTGCACACTGCTAATGCTGTAACTGTTTTGTTGTTGGTTCTGATTAGTTGCCCTCTCAACCATAAGCAGCCTGTCAACAAGACCTGGCTCCATCCTTGTCACTTCCCCATAGCACTTAATTCAGTATTTTTTCCCCAAGGTAGATAGTTGTGAGGCAGCATCCCTCAAAATATCTAGTAACATAATGACATCCAGTAAATGTTCCCTTAATTATTTACTGCCCTTAAGCTTTATGCAAAAAAAAAAAAAAAAAAAGGGAAAACTGAAAATAGGAATGCTGACTTCAGGCTTTTCATCTCCACTTAAAGTAAGGCTTCTGTTGCTTTTCAGAATAGATATGTTGGATATTTTGCACAAGTGAAACATAGCTACAACTGGAATCTCCCTCCAAGAAAAACACTGTTTATAAAAAGATTCGTTATTTATTCGATTCATGGTAAGTGTTTATGTAAAATTGAAGAATTGGGCAGGAGGGCCAAGGTTCCCACTCTGGGAGGGTTTTGCTCATTGTTATATACACAGATGATCCTAACTTATACCTGTCTTTTTACGTATCCTCATGCATAAACTCCTCCTTAGGTATGCTCCTCCTCCTGGAATTGCCCATTGATTGCCAGCCCTTAGATGTTCTTCACTTTTTCTTTTCCATCACCAATTTGGAGGACTTCATCCCCTTCCCATCTCTCCTGTTCTCTTTGCTCTTCTGGTCACAACCCAAGGTGGACTTTTCAGGGCAGAGTGAGCCTCTGATGAGGGAGGAGGAGGTCCCATGTGCCTTCAAGACTGGTTATTTCTCAAACCACCTCTAGTTGAGAGTTTGTCTTGGTGGAGGTGTCTCCATATCATATCATTTTCTTACCTTCTTTCAGAGGCATATTTTTTTCTCATCCCCCTGGGCTCTCTCTTTCCCCTCTGTCCTCCATCTGTAACCCTCTCACTCCCAGCCACTCCCATACCTTGTGGCTCTCACTCCCAGCCACAGTGCTGGGGGTCAAGAAAAGCCTCCTAGGAGGAGCGCTTAGGTCTTCCCTGCCTGAATCTACATGAAAATGGAAAGGGTTGCGAGAGAGTGGGGCTCTATGGAGGTATCTTTCACCGGCCTAGCTGTTACCGAGTATTAGCAGTTGTAAAAATCCATATAAACATCACGAGAGCTATTTGCCTGCTTCCAGAATGTAAGCAGAGAGATAAAGCTGGGATGCACTGTTGCCCAGGGACGCAGGGAAATTGGTCAGTCGTACACCTCCGGGACTTGAGAAAGAAAGTGCAGAGAGAAACTGGCCTCCATTTCCATGTCCATTTCTCCATCACCAACCTTGCTTCCCCTGCACAGCTTAACACTCAGTAGAGGTGGGAAAGCAGGATGTGTCTGTGTGGAGGGGATGGGGTCTCACCACTCCCACTGCCAGAGAGGTAGCAGGGAGGCGATGCATCTGAACCCCTAAAGCAAACCTCTTATAACAGCCAGCGTGTGGACCTGAGGTGGTGCCACTGCTGGGTGTTATAGGTGCCATGGTGCCGGGGTGCTTGTGTCCACACAGAGAGCCTAGTATTTTTAGCCTCCTGAGTTTCATTCTACATTTCACTGATTTCTGGTGGACATCAATAGAAAGAAGTTCTGCACCTGGAATGGGAAAGAGGGAACTGAGGCAAGAAACTGATTTCTAATGACCAATGAATATCATGGTGTTAATGAAAACAAAATTAAATGAAAAGAAAACAAACGGCATATGAGATGATCAATCAAGAATAATTAATACACTCGTTTATTAGAATATTTGTTTTAATTCTCAACTTTTAGTTTTGTGCCATTTTAAATTAAAAATAATGTAGAGTTGAGATGAAAGCAATAAAAAATTAATTGGAGCCTGAGAAACAAAGCCTTTGAGGAAATGTTAAGGAAGCGGGTCATTTGAATTGAAAAAAAAAAAGGGCAAAAGAGCCTTTGTCTGTAAATATATGTTGAATACCGTGGGAATTTTTGGATATAACCTATATTTTTTTAGAGATTGCATCAGGAACTAGACTTAAAGTAGGGCCAAAGTAATTTAGACCACAGTATTTCTTATTAAGAATCATTATGATTAGAAGTCTGAAGAAAGCAACACATTAGCAAGAAAGGTGTCAAGTCACCTTCCCTAAATGTATATACATCTATATTTATTCCCTAAATACATATATATATTCCCTAAATATAGATATATATATATTTATTCCCTAAATATATATATATTTATTCCCTAAATATATAAAAAAAAATATATATATATATATATATTTTGGAGACAGAGTCTTGCTCTAAGTCTCACTCTGTGGTCCAGGCTGGAGTGCAGTGGTGCAATCTCGACTCACTTCAACCTCCACCTCCCAGGTTCAAGCGATTCTCCTGCCTCAGCCTCCCAAGTAGCTGGGACTACAGGCATGCACCACCACACTGGGCTAATTTTTGTGTATTTTTAGTAGAAACGGGGTTTCACCATGTTGATCAAGCTGGTCTTGAACTCCAGACCTCAAAAGATCCACCTGCCTAGCCTCCCAAAGTGTTAGGATTACAGGCGTGAGCCACCGTGCCCAGCCATTTTTTTTCTCTTTTTAATCCATAATGTTAATTGGCAAGACATTTTGATCTTCACACTAACCAACCTAACTTTTTAATTTCATTTAGGTGTTGGAACAGGCGATGGATATGATCTAAAAGTCCAAATAGTAATGAAGAAAAAGATTGTCTTTTCCTGTACTTCCTTAAAGAATTGTCGGGTAAGAGAAAACATGTGAATAGAGAAAATCTGATGTTTGTTTTAAGGCTGAATGTCAAACCAGCAATGTTGACCTCCCTAAACTATCACTTACCATAAAGAGATTCCACGATGCTTTCTGGTTACCATCATGGTGTCACTGGATTTGAATGCAAGCCAGAGATAAATTAACCTGTTTGTTCAAAACAGTTTTTTCAGGGTACTTTCCAGAATTTATTTCTGTTCAGTGTTGCTTTGCCTTTCACTTTTCCACAAATGCTGAGCATGTTCCCAGGAATGTATTAAGGATTTTAATTTACATGTCTGGTCATTTTTAGCCATATTCTCCTCTTCTCGGTCATTTTATCTTTTATTATATAGCACTGATTCTAAAATGTTAGTGTGCATGAAAACCACCGAAAAGCTTGTAAAGATTTACATTCCTAGGTTGTACTCTAAAGTATGATTCAGGAAATCTGGAATGGGGGCAGGAATCTATAGACTTAGCAGTGTCCGAAGTGATTCTTCTAAGTCAGAGGTTCTGTGGGATGACCCTGTGAGAAACAATGCAAGAGTGAATGAATTGGGGAGGAATATCTTTATCCAAAGCAAAAGGGACCTGATAGTCAATGTTTTGCTACAATGAAGAAATGCCTAAAACTATATACCTTTTCTGAAACAATAAGAAAGCTTCCTTCATGGGTCTAATAACCATAAACTTTTAGAATTCCTACCCAGGCCTTTGTCTCAAATTCTTTTATTACTAATCCTATTCCCTGGCTCTCTGCACTGCACTCACTTTTTTTGGCCTCTCCCAACTGAGGGCATTCACCCAGGCCTGATCCTTGGCTTTCTCTTCTTAGCAAATGCTTTATTCTTGGTTAAAGAATCACCCATTTCCCTTACTTAAACTATTATTTGTTCATTTACTGACGAGTTATTTCTAGTCGCCCACTGAGTTGTAGATGCAAGAGCTGCAACATGAACAGTTTCCACTCAAACTGAAACGCAGTAGCCAGTCTGAATTATCAAGGAGCTTTCTCTGCTTCTGCAAATGGTACCAGCATTCTCCCACTCAGGCCTTGGGCTTTGATTCTCTTTGCCTCGGCTCCCTAAATCCAGTTAGGCATCAATCCCTGTTGATGATGCCTTTGAAATGTTTCTGTGCTCGCCTTCCTTTCTGTTCTCGCTGCCACTAACTCTCCAGAACCTCATTTGCTCATGCCTAGATTTCTACAATCCTCTCCTTACCTTTTCTTGATTCTTATATAATGGAATGTATAGAATCCTGAAATATGCGTACTGAAATATTGCTCTCATTGTGAAAAGTTGTAGGTAGAGCAGAAGACACACTGCATGCCCATGGTCGAAGCCAGTTAACATCTTTGGCTTATCATCCTTACCTGTAAAATAAATATCACACCTCAAGTGTTATGGGAATTAAGTTAGATAATATATATATGAAGTTGCTTTGTAAACTATAAATCACTAAATAAATGTTATATGTGATAATTATCAGGCCTCTTTGTCACATAGGAAATACCCCACAATATTCTTCAAAAGCCTCACTCTTATTTCCTTGGCTCTTGAACTCTTAAGATATAATAGCCCTAACATACCTGAGCTTATTTTTATCAGTAGCTCGACCAGCAGACTCCATTCCAAATAAACTGGGTCATCCCCTTTGGCTCTTGGAACACAACTCTAAGTTATTTAGTTAGTTAGTTGGTTCTTTCTTTCTTTTCTTCCTTCTTTCCTTTCCTTTTTTTTCCCTTGAGTCAGAGTCCCATTCTGTCCCAGGCTGTAGCACAGCGGCGCGATCATGGCTCACTGCAGCCTCAACTTCCTGAGCTCAGGCAGTCCCCCAATTTTTTTTTTTATTTTTTGTAGATATTGGGTCTTGCTATGTTGCCCAGGCTGGTCTCAAACTCCTGAGCTCAAGCAACCCTTCCACCTCAGCCTCACAAAGTGCTGGGATTATAGACATGAGCCACACTGCCTGACCTTTTTTGTTGTTTTTCTAATTTCTACTTTGCGTTATTGCTGGTCTTTTTCCCTCTGTATGGACTAGATTCTATTTTCAGAGCTTTCATGCCCAATTCAATTTCTACCTCCTCAATGAAATTTTCTGCACCTCCTGTTAACTAGCCTTCAATGGTGCATAAGAGCACACCCAGTCTTCATCATACAGATTGAGAATTATATTCCATTCTACAATTGTTTCTTTTTTTCTTTTTTCTTTTCTTTTTTTTTTTTTTTTTGAGACGGAGGCTTGCTCTGTCGCCCAGGCTGAAGTGCAGTGGTGCCATCTTGGCTCACTGCAACCTCCACCTCCCGGGTTCACGCCAGTCTCCTGCTTCAGCCTCCAGAGTAGCTGGGACTACAGGCGCCCGCCACAATGCCCGGCTAATTTTTTGTATTTTTTTAGTACAGACGGGGTTTCACCGTGTTAGCCAGGATGGTCTCGATCTCCTGACCTCGTGATCCGCCCACCTTGCCCTCCCAAAGTGCTGGGATTACAGGCATGAGCCACCAGGCCCGGCCTCTGCGATTGTTTCTTATGTGTATAGCTCCCTGAAGGGACCAACTGAGTCTGCACCTCCTTTTGTGTTTTTCACAGGGCCTAGCATAGATCCTTCTTACTGTGGGTGCCATTATTTATATGAGAGTGAGTCAAAGAAATAGTATATCTTCAAAGTCATTCATTCCAAAACTTGAACTATCTTTGGTCACTCCATCCGCAGCCGGTAATGGTCAAGTCCAAAGATCCCACTGACAAACACAAGAGTTCTGATAAAACATGATGATCGGGGGACCCCACCCTCCCCTCTCTTGGGAGGGGCAGGTGGGCCCACCCCCCAAGTGTTACAGACCCCTGTTGTTATTTTTTAAATTTAGTAAATGAAAAACCGTGAGTTAAGCATTGTTTTTCGAATGTCAAGGCTAGCTTTAAAATTGAGCTTCTTAACATATTCTCAAAAGAGGCCCTAATGTATGAAAATCAAATGACACACATTAAATAATAATATTTAACTGATTAAAGTGTCTAATAGAAAATTCAATACTTTTGAAAAGGGAGACACTTTTGAAAAGTGCCTCATGATAACCCTCAAACATGTTGGCCTTTAAAAATCATAAACAACAGGGTGGGCATGGTGGCTCACCCCTGTAATCCCAGCACTTTGGGAGGCCCAGGTAGGCAGATCACTTGAGGCCTGGAGTTTGGGACCAGCCTGACCAATATAGCAAAACCCCATCTCTACTAAAAGTACAAAAACTAGTTGGGTGTGGTGGCATGCGCCTATAGTCCCAGCTACTCGGGAGGATGAGGCACGAGAATCACTTGAACCTGGGAGGCAGAGGTTGCAGTGAGCTGAGATCACACCACTGCACTCCAGCCTGGGTGACAGTGAGACTGTCTCAAAAAAAAAAAAAAAAAATATATATATATATATATATACACATATATATATATATATGTATATATATACACGCACACATACACACCAGACACACATACATATAAACAACAGTATTGCAACTAGAAAAGATTATTAATAATTATTTATACATGTAGTGATTGGTCTGTGAGACCAAAAGTACTTGATAAATATAGAAAGTCTTGATAAGTGAAAAGGAACTTCATTGTTATCATTAGCTAGGTTTATAGTTCTAAATTCCATGTTCATTCACAGGTATTTCATGACACTGAAACAGACAGGGTAATAACTGATGTGTTCAACTGTCCACCTCTGTATGATGATGTGAAAGTGCAAGCTTCCTCTTCAGTGAGTAATCAAGAAACGGCCTCTGCCATTGTTCTTGTCTGAACTTTTGAATGGTTTTATTTAAGGTTTCCTTTACTACAGTTCCCAACAAGGGAGATGATAGATGTCATCCCATAGAGGGAGGGGGAGAAAATAAATCAGATCTATAACAAATTTTTTAAAAGAACATATGTAATTTGAATAATTTTTGTTCATTTGTTTTTTCTAAATTGTACATTTTCTAAATTTTTCTAAATTTACATGTATTAATTCACAAATCCAAAAAATACAAAATAAATACAAAAAAATAAAAGCCAAGATGCTAAAAAACCAAAGGTAGGTTTTACTGCATAGCAGTGATTACATTTTGTTTTGCATCATTTTTAATATTACAAATTGAGACAGGGTCTCACTCTGTCACCCCAGCTGGAGTGCAGTGGCGTGACCATAGCTAACTGCAGCTTCACCTCCTGGGCTCATGCAGTCCTCCCACCTCAGCCTCCTGAGTAGCTGGGAGCACTGACTTGAAAGAGAGTTAGGTTTGGGTGACTCAGTTGGGTGAAACACAGAGAAGGCAGCACAATACAACACATGAAATAACCAAAGCAGTTTTTTATTAATTCCAGAGAGAAGAGGGCAGCACACCTCGCAGGGCTAACTGGAAGGGGGAGCCATCCAGGAGACCTGTGCTCAACTGATGGGTGGGGAGCAATAGCGAGAACGAGGGAGGGACCTGAGAGTGGAAGCCTTTATTGGGATGTAAGGTGTTACCTGAGCAGGTTTCCTACGGGGAGGTCTAACTGGTGGATTTAATGCAAGCAGTCATGAGTTCCATGGAGTCATGCTGTGACTGAGAGGTGGTCATTGATATATCCACATGGTCCATGCAGAGTACGGGGGTCTGTAGGGAGGTTATATCTAGCTGTCCCATAATGAAGTAGTCACCAACAGAAGGTTGTATAAGGCAGATACTGGGATCAGTCACATTGAGAAACCTGGAGGAGGTGAACTGGAAACTGTCAAGGGTGACTGAACCCTGCTTCTGATATCAGAAAGTCCAATTTATATTTGAAAGGGATGCTGAGGCACAAAAAAATTGTAAGAATTCACTACAAAAATACTTGGCTATATATAAGCATAGGTCCTTAGTAGATTCTGTTTAGCACTATCTAAACCAGATTCAAATTTCAGCATTTAAATTAAATATCTATCATGGAAAATAAACTATTCCTTGAAAATTTTGGTAGAAACAGCAAGAGAAAGCAATAGCATTTTCTTAAGCCTCCTCCTCTGTGTCTTGAGTGTGTTATTATAGAATGCAGAGTGCTACCTATTGAATGGTTATAATTATTTGATAAATATATAAAGGAATAAAGGAAGGAACTTTGATTTCTTTGGAATGATTAGTTCTTGGCATCAATTTTACTTTTAAAATATTTTTTTTTCTTTTTAGGATTTTCCTAAATACTATCACAACTACCCTTTTTTCTTCTGGTTTAACACATCTTTAATACAAAATAACGGGTATGGATATAATATCAACCCATAGAAACAACCTAATCTTCAATGTCTATGTATAAGATGTAATGGCAAGTCTTTTGCTGGTTGTCATAAGCTTAATTTATAGAAAACAAAAAATCCTTGAGCCACCATTGTTCATTGCCTTACTCCTTTTACGTTGGCTATTTTAAAAATACAGTTGTTCTTGAGACCCCCAGTTGCAGTATCCTCAAGGTCCATGCCATAGGACTGTGTTATGAGCTCAAAAGTATTATAATCAGATCTTAAGTGTGGAAGTAAATTCCTCCCAGAGAAGTTCAATATGAATCTGCTCAGTACCTTCAACATGTCAGGTCCTCAGTAGGTGCTGATTTACCAATGACGAACCACCACCAAATTTTGTGCTAAAGTAAGGGAGGACCTAGGGAAGCTTCAGCTAGCTGAAAAGCTGACTGACACACTTATATCTAGGAGAAGTTACAAGACACAGTAAGTATTAAGAAATACAGCTAAAAAATCATTAAAATTGGTAGTCTCCCATTTAAACATGGGTTTCTAATAACTGAATTGGGAAAACTTTCTTAAAAACTATTAATTGGAGGCTGGGTGTGGTGGCTCATGCCTGTAATCCTAGCACTTTGGGAGGCTGAGGCGGGCGGATCACCTAAGGTTGGAAGTTCGAGACTAGCCTGGCCAACATGGTAAAACTCCGTCTCTACTAAAAATACAAAAATCAGCCAGGCGTGGTGGCACATGCCTGTAATCCCAGCTACTCAGGAGGCTGAGCCAGTAGAATCGCTTGAACCCAGGAGGCAGATTGCAGTGAGCCGAGATCGCACCACTACACTCCAGCCTGGGCGACAGAGTGAGACTCTGTCTAAAGAAAAAAGCAAAAAAACAGAACAACTATTACTTGGATTTGGAGATTATTGTTCCCAGAAAACCTTCTGCCATATTTGGAAACTTATTTCTCAGTCTAGAAGTTCTCCACTTTAAGTAGCATTTGTTCTGTGCTGGTGAAAAACTGAGATTTTTTTGTATTAACCATACTCTTCAATACAAAAAGAGAAAATATTTTTAAAATGCTTCAGGTCACAGTTGAGGCAGTTGCTATGATTGCATGTGGCATGAATTGGTAGTTATTGTTACAACCAGTTCTAGTCTTTTCTTCAAATCTGAGCTGGATCTAATAACTCCTTAAGTCCAGCAAGGCAACAGTAAATTAAACCTCTGGTCTACACACTTGCAATACATACACATTTAATAGATTTTGATAGAGTGAACTTTGGATTGGATGGAAATTTTTTAAAAATTTGTTTCTTGGATGCATACAAACAATAAGCTTTGACTCCTAACATGAGCAAAGTCCCTCAATTGTGAGAGCTGGGTGGAGCTTCATTTGTTGCTGCTCCTCAAATTGATTCTTGGTAAAGGATACAGATTTTTCCTTTGAAACACCATGTTCATTTTGGGGAAGCAATAAGTTAGATCACCTTTATTTTCACTTTTATATAAATTTCTAAAGATTTCTGTAATATTTAAATTTATATACTATTGGTAAAGCTGTTTTTCTTAGTTGTGAAATTGTTGTTTAGCCAAAAATGCCAACTTCTGTCTTTTAGAACACTAGGCATAAATGGGTTAACCAATTTATGCCTAGTGTTCCATTATTGGAATGCTAAGCATGTGGGATTTATTTATATCCTACTGCTCAAGGTCATCGCCAAGGGCTGATTGCAAAAATTCAAAAAATTGCAACCTCAGGCATAAATTAAAAGAGATATAGTATTTTATTATTGGGTTTTGATACATGTCTAATCAGACTGATTTCTGTCACATATAGAAATTTAGATACTGTATTAAACCTAGATGTCATTAATTCCATAAAAAGCAACGTTAAAAGAATCAGTAGCATGTGTTACTGATGTGTTGCTGAAGATTAAGATATTTTTAAGTCTCACCGAAAAGGTAGAAGGAGCCAACTGAGACACAAAAAGGGGCTGAGGTTCTATTCATGGTGAGCAAGTCTTTTTTTTGTTTGTTTCTTCAAGCTCTAACAAGGGTGCCTACTACATGGCTTTTCAGTTAGCCCCAAAATAAAATGTAACAATTTTTTTTTCTATTCTTAGGCTTTATCTACAAAGAAATGAATTGGATAATCTTCATAAACAAAAAACATGGAAAATTTATCAACCAGAATATGCAGTAGAGATATATTTTAATGAGAAATGACTTAAGTTATGTTGTAACTGGTAGCTGATTAAGTATAGTTCCCTGCACCCCTTCTGGGAAAGAATTATGTTCTTTCTAACCCTGCCACATAGTTATATGTTCTAAATCTTCCTTGCTGGTACATCTATATTGATATATGTATACACATGTTCTTTATAAATCTATTAAATATATACAGATAAAATGTCAGGTTTTTTTTCTTTTTGAAGGCATATATTTCACAGTTTCCATCTTGTATTTACATACATTTGGAACACAGTACTTAGGAACATTAGGCGTCATTTTGAAGAACTTTGAAATAGAACTTTCGTATCAAAATAATTGAGAGATAATTAAAAATTGTGATCCCCCAACACCCACTTACTTATACATTTTTGGTCAGGTATTTATTCCCTGCTTTTTTTCACATTTGTAATTTCAGGTTTATTAGAAAGCTAATTTATATTTTTCCTTCTACTCGATTTACAAACTGTTAACAGATTGGCAGCAAAGACTAAGTTTTAAACCCAGAAGAGAGAAATATTTCACACAAGCAGTCCCCCAACTCCCAACACACACTTTTCTCTTGTTCCAAGCACTAAATGGGTAGCTTACTTAACAAGCTTCCTTTAATTACACACAGACATGGGGGTTGGGGTAAGAAGGGCGTAGTAAATATGAAGGAGAAGTAACCTTCAGTAACTTCTGCTTTTGTATAAAATTGTAAGTGAAGTCAAAAGAAATATTTGTTCTTAGAGTAATTTAGGTGTATTATTTTGAAATCCACTACTCCTGCTCACAACCAATGTCACCTAAGCCCTGGGGGAACTCTGAAGGGAGGTAATCTTTTCAGTGTAAACAGTGTTTAGCCCTGTGTCCACAGGGAATCATTATTATTTCCTCATTGGTGCTGGATGCTACTTTTTTATTAAACACTTTCTTTTTTTTTTTGAGACAGTCTCACTCTGTCACCCAGGCTGGAGTGCAGTGGCACGATCTCGGCTCACTGCAACCTCTACCTCCTAGGTTCAAGTGATTCTCCTACCTCAGTCTCCTGAGTAGCTGGGATTACAGGTGCGTGCCACCACACCTGGCTA
The DNA here is from genome assembly GCF_000001405.40 of Homo sapiens. NCBI lineage: Eukaryota > Metazoa > Chordata > Mammalia > Primates > Hominidae > Homo > Homo sapiens. The sequence goes on along the minus strand of NC_000013.11, from coordinate 52,218,451 downwards.
ATTAAACAAAATTTTTTATTTTTATTTTGTACTTTTTGAGACGTGGTCTCACTCTGGTTGCCAAGACTGGAGTGCAGTAGTAGGATCTTGGCTCACTGCAGCCTCAACCTCCTGGGCTCAGGTGATTCTCTCACCTCAGCCTCCCCAGTAGCTGGGACTATACGTGCATGCCACCATGCTTGGCTAATTTTTGTATTTTTAGTAGAGATGGGGTTTCACCATGTTGGCCAGGCTGGTCTTGAACTCCTGACCTCCAGTGATCCACCCGTCTCGGCCTCCCAAAGTGTTGGAATTACAGGCATGTGCCACCATGTCTGGCCACTTTTATACCATTAGCAAAATGCAGAGTAGTGGAAGAGGTTGTCTGAACCAGATTTGAGGAGGTGAAGGATCAGAAATGTCTGAGAAAATGCAAGGGAACCCACCTTTCTTTTTCTTTTTTTTTTTTTAAACAGAGTCTCTGTCGCCTAGGCTGGAGTGCAGTGTTGTAATCTTGGCTCACTGCAACCTCCGTCTCCCAGGTATAGGTGATTCTTTTGCCTCAGCTTCCCAAGTAGCTGGGATTATAGGTGCCTGCCACCACGCCAAGCTAATTTTTGTATTTTTAGTAGAGATGGGGTTTCACCATGTTGGCCATGCTAATCTCAAACTCCTGACCACAGGTGATCCACTTGCCTTGGCCTCCCAAAGTGCTGGGATTGCAGGTGTGAACCACCATGCCCAGCCAGGTGAAATCATTTCAATACAAATTCTAAACAGAAGAAAAAGATTGAACTGAAACCACCCTACAACATCCCCAGAACCTACACTAGGGTTAGTGTCATGATAACTGCCAGTGGTTAGTGTTTACCATCTCCCCCTGGACCTGAAAGGAGCCCTTAAAGCTTTATCAAAATGCAAAAGAAGGCTTACAAAAAATGTTTAAGAATTGTATATGGCTAGCCAGTTTTCCCAACACCATTTATTAAATAGGGAATCTTCTCCCCATTGCTTGTTTGTGTCAGGTTTGTCAAAGATCAGATGGTTGTAGATGTGTGGTGTTATTTCTGAGGCCCCTGTTCTGCTCCATTGGTCTATATATCTGTTTTGGTACCAGTACCATGCTGTTTTGTTTGCTGTAGCTTTGTAGTATAGTTTGAAGTCTGGTAGCATGATGCCTCCAGCTTTGTACTTCTTGCCCAGGATTGTCTTGTCTATGTGGGCTCTTTTTTGGTTCCATATGAAGTTTAAGGTAGTTTTTTCCAAGTCTGTGAAGAAAGTCAGTGGTAGCTTGATGGGGATAGCATTGAGTCTATAAATTACTTCGGGCAATATGGCCATTTTCACGATATTGATTCTTCCTATCCATGAGCATAGAATGTTTTTCCATTTGTTTGTGTCCTTTCTTATTTCCTTGAGCAGTGGTTTGTAGTTCTCCTTGAAGAGCTCGTTCACATCCCTTGTAAGTTGTATTCCTAGGTATTTTATTCTCTTAGTAACAATTGTGAATGGGAGTTCACTCATGATTTGGCTCTCTGTTTGTCTATTATTGGTGTATAGGAATGCTTATGATTTTTGCACATTGATTTTGTACCCTGAGAGTTTGCTGAAGTTGCTTATCAGCTTAAGGAGATTTTGGGCTGAGACGATGGGGTTTTCTAAATATGCAATCATGTCATCTGCAGACAGAGACAATTTGACTTCCTCTCTTCCTATTGGAATATGCTTTATTTCTTTCTCTTGCCTGATTGCCGTGGCCAGAACTTCCAATACTATGTTGAATAGGAGTGGTGAGAGAGGGCATCCTTGTCTTGTGCCAGTTTTCAAAGTGAATGCTTCCAGTTTTTGCCCATTCACTATGATATTGGCTGTGGGTCTGTCATAAATAGCTCTTATTATTTTCAGATGCGTTTCATTGATACCTAGTTTACTGAGAGTTTTTAGCATGAAGGGTTGTTGAATTTTGTCAAAGGCCTTTTCTGCATCTATTGAAATAATCATGTGGTTTTTGTCATTGGTTCTGTTTATGTGATGGATTATGTTTATTGATTTGCATATGTTGTACCAGCCTTGCATCCCAGGGATGAAGCCGACTTGATTGTGGTGGATAAGCTTTTTGATGTGCTGCTGGATTCGGTTTGCCAGTGTTTCATTGAGAATTTTCACATCGATGTTCATCAGGGATATTGGCCTGAAATTTCCTTTTTTTGTTGTGTCTCTGCCAGGTTTTGGTATCAGGATGATGCTGGCCTCATAAAATGAAGTAGGGAGGATTCCCTCTTTTTCCGTTGTTTGGAATAGTTTCAAAAGGATTGGTACCAGTTTCTCTTTGTACCTCTGGTAGAATTTGCCTGTGAATCCATCTGGTCCTGGACTTTTTTTAGTTGGTAGGCTATTAGTTACTGCCTCAATTTCAGAACTTGTTACTGGTTTATTCAGGGATTCGACTTCTTCCTGGTTTAGACTGTGGAGGCTGTATGTTGCCAGGAATTTATCCATTTCTTCTAGATTTTCTAGTTCATTTGCATAGAGGTGTTTATAGTATTCTTTGATGGTAGTTTGTATTTCTGCAGGATCAGTGGTGATATCCCCTATATCATTTTTTATTGCATCTATTTGACTCTTCTCTCTTTTCTTCTTTATGAGTCTGTCTAGCAGTCTATCTACTTTGTTGATCTTTTCATAAAACCAGCTCCTGGATTCATTGATTTTTGAAGCGTTTTTCGTGTCTCTATCTCTTTCAGTTCTGCTATGGTCTTAGTTATTTCTTGTCTTCTGGTAGATTTTGAATTTGTTTGCTGTTGCTTCTCTAGTCTTTTAATTTTGATATTAGGGTGTCAATTTTATATCTTTCCTGCTTTCTCTTGTGGGCATTTAGTGCTATAAATTTCCCTCTACACACTGCTTTAAATGTGTCCCAGAGATTCTGGTATGTTGTGTCTTTGTTCTTATTGGTTTCAAAGAACATCTTTATTTCTGCCTTCATTTCGTTATTTACCCAGTAGTCATTCCAGAGCAGGTTGTTCAGTTTCCATGTAGTTGTGCGGTTTTGAGTGAGTTTCTTAATCCTGAGTTCTAATCTGATTGCAGTGTGATCTGAGAGACTGTTTGTTATGATTTCCATTGTTTTGCATTTGCTGAGGAGTGTTTTACTTCCAATTATTTGGCCCATTTTAGAATAACTGTAATGAGGTGCTGAAAAGAATGTATATTCTGTGGACTTGGGGTGGTGAGTTCTATAGATGTCTATTAGGTCCGCTTGGTCCAGAACTGAGTTCAAGTCCTGAATGTCGTTGTTAAATTTCTGTCTCGTTGATCTGTCTAATATTGACAGTGGGGTGTTAAAGTCTCCCACTATTATTGTGTGGGAGTCTAAGTCTCTTTGTAGGTCTCTTAAGAACATGCTTTATGAATCTGTGTGCTCCTGTATTGGATGCATATATATTTAGGACAGTTAGCTCTTCTTGCTGCATTGATCTCTTTACCCCTTCCTTACACCTTATGCAAAAATCAAGATGGATCAGAGACTTAAATGTAAGGCCTAGGACCATAAAAATTCTAGAAAAAAACCGGGGCAATACCATTCAGGACATAGGCATGGGCAGAGACTTCATGTCTAAAACACCAAAAGTAATGGCAACAAAAGCGAAAATTGACAAGTGGGATCTAATTAAAGAGCTTCTGCGCAGCAAAAGAAACTATCATCAGAGTGAACAGGCAACCTACAGAATGGGAGAAAATTTTTGCAATCTATCCATTGGACACAGGGCTAATATCCAGAATCTACAAAGAACTTTACTAGAAAATTTACAAGAAATTTACAAGAAAAAAACAAAACCCCATCAAAAAGTGGGCAAAGGATATGAACAGACACTTCTCAAAGGAAGACTTTTACGCAGCCAACAGACATATGGAAAAATGCTCATCATCACTGGTCACTAGAGAAATGTAAATCAAAACCACAATGAGATACCATCTCATGCCAGTTAGAATGGTGATCATTAAAAAGTCAGGAAACAACAGATGCTGGAGAGGATGTGGAGAAATAAGGATGCTTTTACACTGTTGGAGGGAGTGTAAATTAGTTCAACCATTGTGGAAGGTAGTGTGGCGATTCCTCAAGGATCTAGAACTAGAAATACCATTTGATCCAGCAATCTCATTACTGGGTATATACCCAAAGGATTATAAATCATTCCACTATAAAGACACATGCACAGTTATGTTTATTATGGCACTATTCACAATTCCAAAGATTTGGAACCAACCCAAATGTCCATCCATAATAGACTGGATAAAGAAAATGTGGCACATATATACCATGAAATACTATGCAGCCATTAAAAAGGATGAATTTATGTCCTTTGCAGGGACATGTGTGAAGCTGGAAACCATCATCCTCAGCAAACTATCACAAGATCAGAAAACCAAACACCACATGTTCTCCCTCATAGGTGGGAGTTGAACAATGAAAACACACGGACATAGGGAGGGGAACATCACACACTGGGGCCTGTTGGGTGAGGGGCTAGGGGAGGGATAACAGTAGGAAAAATACCTAATGTAAATGACAGGTTGAGGGGTGCAGCAAACCACCGTGGCATGTGTAAACCTATGTAACGAAACTTCACATTCTGCACATGTACCCCAGAACTTAAAGTATAATTTAAAAAATGCAACTTCCTGACTTTGACATTATGCATAGTTATTCCATCTAAAGTCTGAAAAGTGGAGTTGAGGGAGGGGCCATTAAGAATAATTCTCAATTATTTCTTGGCAGATAAACCAACTTTTCCAAAGAGTTTGAAAACTGCTTGATCTCTTTTTTAAGCAACAAGCAATACAATCTCTGTGATCCCATCATTACTGTTCATTTCTTCCAGGAGAGGAATGACACACTTCTGCCTTTAATTGTCAAATTATCCCCATTTCTGAATTAGTGAAATACAATTTAATATGATTTTACTATCATAAATTTAGAGTCATTCTCTCCCAGGTACTGCTGGGCTACGATAAAATGAGATCTGAATTACATCAAAATAATTTAATTATTCCAAGAGAAGAGGTGATGGTTAGAATTTTTTAAGTGGCTGTGTAATTTGGATAGCCTAGATGCAGATAAGCTAAATAAAGCATTTAACTCAGCACATTAATATTTTAATGTGATCGTCCTGAACAGTTCGGGCATTACAGGTTCCTACAATACACATATGCTGTCTATCTGGGATAGTTACATTTCCAACTGGGAGGATGTGGGAGACTAATGAATATACAAATGCTAGCAACAACTGTCTCCCGTCCTCTGTGAGGGTAAGCTACCTTCCCATGTAATTTACCACTGATGACATCATCATGGTACTCACTGTGCCCTCAAGTGAGTGAAGACTGTTCTGAATGCCAGTACTAACCATGGAGCCTGACACCTAGTAGGTTCTCAAAGATCTATCAAGTCCATAAAGCCATGAATAAATGACAGAGATTATATTTCTCCACTTGCCTAGAATAAGATCAGAAGTCTGATCTTATTCTCCTTACAAGACACATAAAAACATTCTTTAGGCAGTGTGGTGGCCAGCCAAGCCTCTTATTCCACAGCACTCACACTATGTCATACGTAACACTTTACCAAGGGTGGTGGTTTGGATTTTCAGTCCTTGACATAGAGTTGGTAAATCATGAGATATAGAGGAAACCTATCAGGGCAGAGACAGTGTCTCAAGGAAGGGACAGCTCTGAAGTAGAGGGCAGAGAGATGAGAAGAGAGAAGCAGACTCACATCACAGGACCAGGCCCACCCAAGCAGAGGTGAGACCCTCACACCCCTCTGGAGGCCATCCGTAAAGGTTCAGTTTAACAGGGCAGGGAAGCATATCATTTTCAAGAAACTCCAATCCAAAAAGGTTTGGGGTTGTTTTTAATTTTGGCATTTGAGGGGATAAACTTCAATGATCTGAAATGCCACATTCCCCAACTATGCCAAACAAGGCACCCTGCAACAGTACTCAAAGTAGTGACTGCATTGTTTCAGAGTTGTTGAATGACTAAGTCTTAAAGTGGTACCAAGTTTCCCTTTAAGACTATTTAACTTTTGGGATCCATGTTGCCTCATTTCAATAATTATCTAATTACCTAACTAACTTCTTCAAATCCTCCTTCATACTATCATACTAGCTCTCTAGGTCTCTAGATCTCTTACAGCCACTGCAGATAGGGAAATACGAACTTCCCAGCACTTGAGAGTAGATGAGCTGGCTGAAAACCTGTGTGGTGAGGGAAACTTTGTTTAAAAGGAAAAGGAGAGACACACAGAACAACACATTTAGGCTCCATCCACATCACCTCGGGCTGCAGCTGGCTCTGTGCTTACAGTCGATCACTTCCATGGGTGGTCTCTGCCACAAAACACAACAACACTCTGCTCCTATCAATGGCTGACAGAAAAATCCCAAAGTCCAGCAAGTTCCATGTCCAGAGAGCCAGGGTGGAAATGCTCCAAACCAACCCTTACATCCGGGCACACCACAGACCCATTATGGAGCACTAATGCAGAGACTGCAACAACATCAGACAAGGGACCCAGGGACCACAGTCCTGCCCTGTCTTCACACCATCTAGCTGTGTAACCTTGAACAAATCTACTGCCCCTTCTCTGGGCCTCTTTTCTACAAGATCTCATAAGTGGGAGTCCTACTTTCCATTTGCATTCCTCGGGCCTCACAGTAGAACGGAGGTTTCTGTGTCCTCTGCCCAGCCGCCTCTCAAGTCTTGTTCCTCCTCCCATCCCTTCCCCCCAGCAAAGGGGTTTGTTGTCCTCAGGAGTTAGACTACTTGTGGCAGCTCTGCCTTAGTGAGAGGTGTGCCTGTTTTGCCAGCACAGGGAGAAATACCTGTCCAACGGTGATGGGAACAGATAAGTGACAGTACGTATAAGGGCCCAACAATACATGTTCAAAACATGCCCACCGGCAAATGCCTTACATACCAGGCTCCCAACCTTATGGTTGCAATTTCTATCTTTCAAACTAATTGTAAATTATAAAGATGGCACCCAAATACCTGTATGCCCATAAGTAGGAAAAGTTAAACTTTTTAATTCTATCACTATAAATTCTAGATCTTTGATTGACTGAAGGATATAAAATGTCAAAGGTGAGACTCTCTCATGTGGCTAAACACGCTCCTACTGCAGACAGAACTGAGCCCAACAGCATTCACCTGCTGGTGAGAGGCGCCCAGGGGCAGGCAGATGGTTGCACCATTCTCAGGGTCAGCCTCCTCCCCCGTGTGGTGTGGGGGAGAAGATGGGGCACAGGGCCTGGGAGGCTGTAGCCTGAAGGCACACAGTGCCTACTGGGCACTGCAGAGACTACTGGGCAGACTCCTGCCAGCCTTCAGTTCTCCTGCTTCTGGGGCCAGGACACTCCTTGTGAGCTCTGTCCTGGGAGAAGTGCCCTTCCCAGTACTCCTTATCAGTGTTTGTGAGGCATTCTGTCTAGTGCTCCTCATTAGCATACCTTGACCAAGCTTTGGCTCATAGAAAAACACTTTGCTCTTCTCTGAACAACAATTTCTTTTTCACAATTGAGCTAATGACTGGATGAGAGGTGACCACACTCATGACCATACTCATCTGTTGGTGGTGGTGGGTAGGGGGTGTCCTGGATAAGGAGAGCAGTGGGCAACGCCCCCTCTGGCCTCCCCAGTCCAGGGAGCTGCAACCACTATGGGAATTCTGTGGGAGGCCAGAGTAGTCCACGGTCTCCCTTTGGGCAATCAGCATTCCAACCATGCCTCCTGGTCCCAAGACAACAAGAACTCTGGAGAACTAAATTACCACCATGCACTTCCCATTCCGCCATGTGCCTCAGCCGAGGGTCCTGCTCTTCCTGCATATTCAAGCTGATCTTTCTAAGGAGTAGCTTGCATGGTGCCAGCACTGCCCCCCGTATCACAGGCAGCACCCTCCTGTGCCAAGGAAGCTTCAGCCTGCCCTTGGGCTCAGGTCACTAGGCTCTGGTTAGTTGACATTCCCAGCAAATCCTACAACTTCTCCTTTCCTTTCATGGCTCTAAGACACAGTCCATTATCAGTCTCATTTTTAAAGACATTTCTAAGAGTGTCCTTTCTTTCCCAACACTAGTAAGGACAGTAAGTGGCGTTTCCTGGGAGGGACCGTATGGTGTTATTTTTGCACTACAAGGGTTCTGAAGACTGCCAGGCTTGAAGTGAAGAACCACATCACCTGCCTATCCCAGTCAGGTGACAATGGACAAGGGGCTTCATCTCTGAGCTGTATTCCAGCAGTACTGGGCACATTCCACCCCTCACCCTGACTCACAAGGTGTTAATAATAATGGACACTACTCTTGTCTTCTGCCATGCTTTGAACAACACTACACTATGCATCAAATGGATTCATCCCAAAGGTAAAGCACATTGCTTCTGGAAGGAGAAAGGTAGTATCTTTTTTTTTTTTTTTTTTTGAGATTGAGTCTTGCTGTGTTGCCCAGGCTGGAGTGCAATGGTGCAATCTCGGCTCACTGCAACCTCCATCTCCTGGGTACAAGCGATTCTTCTGCCTCAGCCTCCCAAGTAGCTGGGATTACAGGTGCCTGCCACTATGCCCGGCTACTTTTTAGTATTTTTTGGTAGAAACGGGGTTTCACCACGTTGGCCAGACTGGTTTCGAACTCCTGACTTCAAGTGATCCACCCGCCTTGGCCTCCCAAAGTGCTGGGATTACAGGCGTGGGCCACTGCGCCTGGCCACACCCTGATAATTTTTTATGTTTTTGGTAGAAACGGGGTTTCACCATGTTGGCCAGGCTGGTCTCAAACTCCTGACCTCAAGTGATCCTTCTGCCTCGGCCTCCCAAAGTGCTGGGATTACAGGTGTGAGCCACTGCGCCCGGCCTGCCCAGAGTAATTTCCTTTAATGCCCTAAGACAAAGGGTGAGAAGGGTTTTGGTCTACTTGAGACAGCCACTCAACATAACACGCAGCCACCGCCTTCCCATTGCTTTGGTTCAGCCTTTGTGTATTGATTTTCATTTTCAACACAATCTTCTTCCTTAAACAGGGTGTGGTGAGAAATGCCTATAGTCTTAGCTACTTGGGAGGCCAAGGCAGGAAGATTGCTTGATGCCAGGAATTGGAGGCCACAGTGAGCTATGATGGCACTGTTGCACTCCAGCCTGGGTGACAGAGAGCAATCTTGTCTCTTAAACACACACACACACACACACACACACACACACACACACAGTGTAATTTTCTTTTACAATTTTCAGCCTTGTTTGGATGTGCTGTTGGATTATTACCTATGTAATTTAAGTGATTTGATTGGTGATAGTGCTTAACATGAATGCACACATGAATAGACCTCCCAGGCTGTAGTAGATGCTATGATGGGATCAGAGTGCCTGGTAAATGGGCACTCATCAGAATCAGCACTTTAGAACTTGGGCTTCTGGACCATAATTGAGTTCCAGAAGCAAGCCATGGAGCTGGGATGACTTACCCAAAGTGACAGGGAACATAACTAATTGGAAGCAGATCCAGGAGCCGAAACTACAGTTACAGCAGCCTAGAGGTGTTGGCAGTATCACCTGGTCCAGTGGCTTTTGCAGCTTAAGAAAATGAGACCCAAAAGAACCCTGATTAAGGACAGACTTGGCTGAGTATGGTGGCTCATGCCTATAATCCCAACACTGGGAGGCCGAGGCAGGAGGATCACTAGAGCCTGGAAGGGCGAGGCTGCAGTGTGCGGTGTTCACATCATTGCACTCCAGCCTGTGTGACTGACCAAGACCCTGTCTCAAAAAAAAAAAAAAAAGGATAGACCCTGTTACAGATTAGAGCACTGGACTTGGGGCCAGGATGTTTGTGTAAATGTCCCTGTGTGACCTTTAGTGAGTCACTTAACCTTTTGTAAACCCCAGCCACAGTATGACTGCATTACCAGCTCCTCTGAACCCCCTGTGCTCAGTCTGCTGGAAGAATCCACCGTGCAGGGCGCTTGGTATTTTCCGCAAGCCACTGGGCCCCACCCTAGTGCTTTGTCTTGTCTTCCTTGAGCCCCTTCCTCTCCTGTCCTCACAAGGGCTATTCCAAACTCTCATCATTGCCGAGCCTTCCACATTTCTCCTCTCTACGCCTCCCCTTTGCAACCATCAGCCTCAATTTGTTCTATAAGAAACAATCTGAATTGTGCTCAGATTTTTAATCCCTAATCTACAAAGTTACCTCTTTTTTTACACAAACTCTCATCCATTTGTCCACTGTCCAACTTACTTGCTCTGTCCCCTTGCCTAGCCCAATGGCCGGGAAGAATGAGGATGAGGGAGAAACCAAGGCTTAGAGAGGCTGGGTCACTCCCCAAAGTTACACAGGTGTGAAGAGAAGAGCAGGGACTCAATAAAGTTCTGTCCAACTCAGAAGGTCAGGTGCTCAGCCGCTACACTGTGTGGTGCTCCCTCCCAGAGATTCTTGTTAAAAGCAAGAGAGCTGCAAGAACTGGAAGTTCTTTCTTTCGGGATAGATCTCCTTCCACAGTATTTTATAAAAATCACCTCAGCAGCTTAAAATCCCCCACAACAGTGCTCTTTCTGCTGTCTTTATTTTAGGAAGAGAAATGAAGATATTGATGTTAAAATGCTTCCTATCTCTCAGATGCTCAGAGAACTGATTTCAAAATCACCTGGTTGGCACTAAATCAAGAAAGTGTCCTTGCAAACTTTGTTCTGAGTGTAATTTCCTAGGGATCCTATGGCCTCTTGAGAACAGCATTTTAGGGACATGGATCACTGCTCTCTATAGAGGTAGCTCAACTCAAGAGCATTTTACATGTAGGCCCCAGACAGCAAACATGTCAACACACTGACCTCTCTGCTCCAGGTGACTGTTTGCTACACTGGGGATTGCACAAGTCAGAGACTTCAATGCAACTGGCTTTGTGATGGGTGGCAGGTGTGATGTGGGTCAGAGGTGAGAGGACAGACAGAATGGCTGCATGGAAAAATGAGCATTTGCTATTCTACAGAATTCCATAATGCACTGGTTAATGACACTAAAAGGAGAAATAATTTCACAAAATGTATCCCTGGTCCTGACACCACGTGGGGCGTGTTTTAACAAAGTGAGTTAATTGGGGTTGCAAATAGATCAAGAGCATAAAACATCTCTGACTCAAATGTATTTTTAGTTAATAAGAAAGAAGAGGGGCCCAGCACGGGGACTCATGCCTGTAATCCCAGCACTTTGGGAAGCCCAGGCTAGTGGATCACCTGATTTCAGGAGTTCAAGACCAGCCTGGCCAACATGGTGAAACCCCGTCTCTACTAAAAATACAAAAAAAAAATTAGCCGGGCATGGTGGCGGGTGCCTGTAATCCCAGCTACTTGGGAGGCTGAGGCAGGCGAATCGCTGGAGTCCGGGAGACCAAGGTTTCAGCGAGCCGAGATCACTCCATTGCACACTCCAGCCTGTGCGACAAGAGTGAAACTCCATCTGGAAAAAAAACAAGAAAGAAGAAAACTTCCTTTTGATTATGCAATTTTAGTTCCCATTACATGTTCTTGGCTGCTGATTAGAAATTTAAATTCTAGAATTAAAAAATTCTAGAAGTAGGAGTTTCCAGAGCTGATTAATTTAACTGCTCAAGAGTATCTGGGGCAGCTTCTCTGTAAGTCTCTTAGCCTTTCCCTCATGACTGCAAGATGGCTGCCACAGCTCTGCCTATCACATCCGCACATGCAACATCCAAAGGCAGGAAGGAAGCACGCTCACATATCTTCCTCTCATCAGAGAAAACAATCTTTCCCAGCAGCCCTCTGTCAGGCTTCCCCTTGTGTTTCATTGGCTTAGAAATGGGTCTCATACTCCTCCCAAAAATCAACACTCAGAGGAGACTGGTGTTAGCATGATCGCTTGAGAATAGGGTCAGCAAAGTTCTTCTGAAGAGGACCAGCCAGTAAATATTTCAGGCTTTGCAGGGCGTGGGGTCCATGTCACATCTAGTCAGCTCTGCTCTTGTAGAGCCAAAGCAGCTAGAGACACTGGAAACAAATACATATGCCTGTGTTCCAATGTCACTGTGGACACTGAAATTTGAATTTCATATATTTTTTACCTCTTACAAAGCATTTTTTTTGTTCTTTTTCCAGCAAATTAAAAGTGTAAAAAGCATTTTGTATGGTATGAGGTCATACAAACACAGGTGGTAGGCCAGATTTGGGTAGCAGGCTGTAGTTTGTCAACCCCTGGTTTGGAGCAATGAGGACCCATCCCCTTGGGGCTGTGGGAAGGGACCACCTTCCCTGAGACATCAACACCCACACCTGAAAAAAAGAAGGGTGAGGGAAGTGTTGTTAGGCAACTGAGAATGTCCCCTACAGCATATTAAGGATATAGAAAAATGCTGAGGGTTATGATAATTTTTAAAAAGCAGATTACATGTCAGTAAGGGCAGGATGATCCCAACCAATTCTGCTTGTTGAAATCCCTGCCATTCACTGAAATCTGTGTTAGACGCAGCCACCCCAGAGCACCTGTTTCTGATTCCTGGTTCTCAGAAGCCAAATTGGAGCATCCCTTCCTATCCACGACAGACTTCCCTTTAGCACCTATCCTGTGCTGGATGCTGTCAACCCAAACTAACTGCTGGAAATGCAGAAGTGAAAGAGCCAATGGCTAGCTTCAAAGAAATCACTGTCGCCAGGCGAGGTGGCTCACGCCTCTAATCCCAGCACTTCGGGAGGCCAAGGCAGGTGGATCATGAGATCAGGAGATCGAGACCATCCTGCCTAACACGGTGAAACCCCATCTCTACTAAAAGTACAAAAAAAATTAGCCAGGTGTGGTGGCGGGTGCCTGTAGTCCCAGCTACTCGGGAGGCTGAGGCAGGAGAATGGTGTGCACCCAGGAGGCAGAGCTTGCAGTGAGCTGAGATCACGCCACTGCACTCCAGCCTGGGTGACAGAGTGAGACTCAATCTCAAAAAAAAAAAAAAGAAAAAAAGAAAAAAAAGAAATCATTGTCGAAGCAGAGGAGGAAGAAACAAGCAACTATAATTCAGGGGTGGGTATGCTGCAAGAGGTGTGTGGGTAGGGGGGCATCCCCGGAGGAAATGAGTGAGGGATGGAATAGAAGTTTCAGCGGAGGCCCACAGGAGACCTCCATGCCAACATAAATGGCATCTGGTCCTTTGTTATGAGGATGAATGTAGTTGGTGTATCATCTACTCCAGGGGCCAGGAGAGTTGCAAATAAGCCAGGCTTTTAGTTGTAATCAACAGAAGCACAGAAGAGATTGATTAAAAGGATTAAAAGGTTGTAGAGTGACTCTTCTACTTGCTGGATGGGGAGGTGGAATGCCGTGAATAGCTTCCTGCAACAAGGCCCTATGCCCACCGCAGACCTGGCCTGCAGTGGAAACCACTGCTGTTGCCCCCCTAGAGCTCTGGATGTGATGGTTTGCGATGTTGCCCCTTCTCATACCAGGGCCACAGCCCAGTAACCTTTGCTCCTTCTAAGCTGTTTGCCTGTGTTACCAGCTTTGCCTGATACATCACTTTCACACTGCGTCCACTGCCTTGGATTGCTTATCTCTAAGTTGGTATCTCATGTAGATGCAGCTGATGGAGGGAGGCTGGGTCATGTGCCTGTACCCTGCTCTGCATAGAAGCCTGGCTGATTGGGATCTCTGGCATCTGCCTTGGAGAGGTAGGACTCACTCATGTGTTAGGAAATTTCCAGAACATAGCTGGGGTTTTCAAACAATGCTAGGCAGCCAAAAAACATGACACATGTCCACTCTGCACAGACCGAGCATCCCAGTCAAAGGAAACATGCAAAGGCACAGAGGTGTGAACCGGCAGAGCACGTTTGGGGAAATGGAAGCAGTTTGTTTCTGCAGAAGAGAGCAGTGAGTGTTGGGAGAGTTGCTTGGAGTAGCCGGCAGGAGCCCCTGCTAAACTCGTGGTCCTTGTGGCTCCAACCTCAAGGGAAAATACTTTTTTTTTGAGACAGAGTCTTGCTGTGCCACCCAGGCCTGAGTGCAGTGGCATGATCACAGCTCACTGCAGCCTCGAACTCCTGGGTCCAGGTTCATGTCCGTGTCCTGAATGGCTGGGACTACAGGCGTGCGCCACCACCCCCAGCTAATTTTTGTATTTTTCTGTAGAGATGGGTTTTTGCCATGTTGCCCAGGCTGCTCTTGAACTCCTGGTCTCAAGCAATCCTCTTGCTTTGGCCTCCCAAAGCACTGGGATTACAGTTGTGAGCTATCAAGCCCAGGAAGGGCAAGTACTTGTATCTTACTCAGTGTTCCCTGCTGAGGCCCAGGAGCTGTGACTAACTCCTTGCCGGGCCCAGGGCCCTGCCCCTTGTGAGTTTTAGTCAGTATCTGTCTAAAGGAATTATCTTTGTAAACTGTTGGATTGCATCATTGTTGTGAAATAGCAAGTGTATGCAGCTTCTCTCTCTTTCTCTTCTCTCTCTCCTTCTCTCTTGTGTGTACATTTCCACAATGTACTATTTTATCATTACATTAATAATGGTTCCCCCAGAAAAATAATCTGGATTTAGACCCTTTGTATCTAAATATTTGTATGGCACCTATCACTAGATATTTAGCCATTTATAACATCTTTTTAAAATGCTTTCATTAAATTAGTTATTCTGGGCAAATACAGGCAAATATAACCATTGAAAGGACACACAAATAAAGGCCCAGCAGAGTTGAGATGCCATTGCCTTAGAGATTAGCATGCAAGCTCTGGGTCAGACACCTGAGGGGGAAATCCTAGCCTCTCTGCTTCCAGCTGGATGAGTCGGAAAAGTCTCTTGGGGTGGGAATGAGAGGAAAGATCTGGTTCTGCCAGTTGATGGTCTGAGTACCCCCTGCTCCATGCTGCTGCTTCTCAGCTTCATGCGATTGTACCTTTGAGGACTTCCATGGACCACATTCTAACCTTTTTAATTTTTTTTAAGACACAAAGTCTTGCTCTGTCACCTACGCTGGAGTGCTGTGGCGTGACCATAGCTCACTGCAGCCTTGAGCTCCGAGACTCAAATGATCCTCCCACCTCAGCCTCCTAAGTAGCTGAGACTACAGGCCTGTGCCACCATGCCTGGCTAATTTTTAATTATTTTGTTTGTGTGTTTGTTTGTAGAGAAGGAGGTCTCACTATATTGACCAGGCTGTTCTCAAACTCCTGGCCTCAAAGAATCCTCCCATCTAAGCCTCCCAAAGTGCTGGGATTACAGGTGTGAGCCACTGTGCCCAGCACTAACCCTCTTATTTACAATGGGATTGTTTGCCTCACTGTGCCTAAATTTGTAAAACATGGCCAATTCCCAAATGTTCATCATTCAAAGTATTTAGTCAATTTCTCTGTTCCAATTAAGAACCGGAAATTTGGAGATGAAAAGCCGCACCTCATTTCGTTCACTGAGAATCACAAAGCCAGGCACAGGGGGCTGGGAGCAGTAGAGCATGGTCACAGAACCCAGCCCAGAGGACCAGGAAATGTTCTGGAGCTTGGGGCAAGAGCTGAGCCTTGAAGTAGGAGTAGGAGTTAGGCAGGGAAGAGGAAGGGAACACAGCATTGGATGGCAAGGAGATGGGGGAAGGCATGGCCGCGTCTGGGAGCTGCAGGGGCTCCCGTCAGGGTGGGAGGAGAGGTAATGGGAAGGAGACTAGCGAAGGAGGCAGGGCTGATCTTGAGGGGTCTCACAGGCCCTGCTAAGAGAGTGCAGGGTTTCTTTAGAGGATGGTAGAGGGAGCCGCTGAGTAATACAGACTTCCTGATGTGAACATAGCTGTGTGGAGGAGGCTGACAGCATGGACTCTGGGTCGACTGTCCGGTCCTCAAAAGCTGGCTCTCCCACCTGATGATTTTGTGATAGTGAGAAGCTCCTGTAAGCCTCAAATTTCTCATCTTAAAAGTGAAAAATGGTGTTACTTGCCTCAGGAAAGTTTGTGAAGATGAGACAATACATATAAAGCACTATTATAGTGTCTAATACTTAGTGGTCAATAAATGCTAACTATTGTTGTTATGGATCATTTGAATAATAATGAGGTATACAGTTTGTCTCATTTTATAGACTTGTGATAATGGAATGAATGAACTTTGTCACAGCAAAATAAGTTTAAAATGTTAGTTGTGTATCCTGATAGAAAATATAAACTTAAAAAGATTTCTTTGTGAGACAGAGGTCTCACTATGTTGCTCAGGCTGGTCTCGAACTCCTGGCCTCAAGCTAACCTCTCGCCTCAGCCACTGTGTCTAGCTAATATAAACATTTGTTTATTCATTCCACAAATATTGATTGACCATGAAGGATGTACCAGGCACAATTCTAGGCTCTTGGGATAAGGTAGTAAATGAGGCTGCCCCTTGATGAGGGGTCCCTGCTCTCACTGAGCTTACATTCCAGCAGGGAGGCTGATGATGAGAAAGGAAACCACGTGTTTCCCAAGACCTGTACATTCCGCCAGGGCAGGGAACATGTTGCATTTGTACCTTGATCTATCCCAAATGCATGAGACAGGGCCTAGGTCAGGCACTTGATGAACGTGTTGAGTGAACGGAAGATTATTTCAGATAGTGCTGAGTGCCGGAAGACAAGGAAACAGCGCGACATGACAGAGTGGGAAGGTCGACTTGGCTAGATGCGGTGCACGGCTGAGAAAGCACTGCTGAGCTGAAGTGGATGGTATGAAGGAATCAGTCATGGGACAATCTTTGGGACAGCTATTCCAGGCCAAAGAATTTTCCATGCCTAAGCTGAAGGCCCTGAGGCAGGGCTGTGCTGGGAATGCACAAAGATGGGAATGAATGGACCCCACAGCACGGGGGCCAATCATTTGTGGGTCGTTGGCAGGCATGTCTTTTATCTAACAAGAGACTATGTTTGCCTCCAGAGGGCACTTGAACATAACAAATGCATCTAAGGGCCAGCTTAGGTTAACACTTAGACAGAGAAGCAGTTTCCTGAAAGCATAACTTCAGAGGCCAGGAAAGCAAAAAGAAAATAATCTCAGCTGAAGCCTTTGCTTATTGAAATTTGAAAGCACCTCTTTTAAAAATTAACTTTTATGAGATAGTACAAGTGTAAGCTAGCAATGTGGTCTTTCATACATTAGTGTTAGTTTAACAACATAGCCCTCCCCTTGGTGGATAGATGAGAGAGCAGTTTGACAGGTAGGAGAGGGGACGAAAGGCTAATTTAGAGAGGTCTCGGCAAGGGTGTCAGGCCTGGGTGAGACCCAAAGCAAGGAGGCTCTGAGAAGCTAAAAGGCAACATAGAGAGGGGCCAAGGGACGGGGGGAATGAGTACAAGAAGGCAAGAGGATGGGCTGGGGGAACCAGAGTACTCTCATGCACTTTAGAAATTGACCTGAGGACAGTTCTGCCTGGTCATATCTCTATCGTCTCCAAAAGTCATGTGCTAAGCACTGTTTCAACATAGTTCTATGTCATATGCTGTGCAATACACACTAGTGTGACATGATCCTGGTCTTCCATGCACCTAAAATCCAAGGCAGTTTTACACATGAATATACTAAGAACGAGTCGTCTTACGTGGAGGGGAAAGACAAGTACCTAGACAATCTAATTTGAAGGGCACGAAACCACTTCATCTTCCGTCCCATCTCCCATAAGTCCTCCTGCTGCTGAGGGGCTTTCCGTGCCCCTCCCTCTTACTTTGTCCTTTGGCTTTGGGCACTAAAGCGCTTGTGAAGAAGCTAATGAAATCTAGGAAACTCATCCATCTGGGTGCAACCTCTCTGGGCCTCCACAGGCCTGGCACCTGTTGCATTGCCTATCTTGTTAGTTTACCTGCTCCACATCTGTGATCTCTGCTAGATCACCAGCCCCTTGAAGCAGGGAACAAGTCATACTCACCTGTGTATTCCAAGGGGACTAAAGCTTCATTTTTCACATAGTGTTATACAGTTACACTAATATCATCTACCTATATATTATATAAACATGCACTTATGTTCATCTTTTGCTGCCGTTCTTTTTTTTGAGACAGGCTCTTGCTCTGTCACCCAGGCTGAAGTGCAGTGGCACTGCAGCCTCTGCCTCCTGGGCTTAAGCAATCCTCCCACCTCAGCCTCCAGAGTAGGTGGGACTGCAAGCACACATCGCCATGCCCACCTAATTTATTTATTTATTTGTATTTTTTGTGGAGGTGAGGTTTCACCAAGTTGCCCTGGCTGGTCTCAAGCTTTTGGGCTTCAGTAATCACCACCTTGGCCTCCTAAAGTGCTGTTTTAGGCTGTGTTTGATACTGTAGTTTGATCTGGTTTATAAGATAGACCAGCTGGAGATCTATCTATCCAGATAGATAGATAGATAGACAGACAGACAGATCCAGAAAGAAAGATAAAAATTTCCCAACTTGAAAGATGCAGAGACAAAACAGCTCTTTTTTTTTTTTTTTTGAGACGGAGTCTCGCTCTGTCGCCCAGGCTGGAGCGCAGTGGTGTGATCTTGGTTCACTGCAAGCTGTGCCTCCTGGGTTCACGCCATTCTCCTGCCTGAGCCTCCCTAGTAGCTGGGACTACAGGCACCTGCCACCACGCCCGGCTAATTTTTTGTATTTTTAGTAGAGACAGGGTTTCACCATGTTAGCCAGGATGGTTTCGATCTTCTGACCTTGTGATCCGCCCGCCTCGGCCTCCCAAAGTGCTGGGATTACAGGCGTGATCCCTGTTTTGTCGCGTCCGGCCCGACAAAACAGCTCTTAATCCACCTAAGAAAAAAAGGAAATACCACATCCAGTATGTACCACACACATCATCCCTCACCCAGATCAGGAAACCTCACGATGAGTTATGCCCCCAGTAAGTCCATCCAGCCTCATTCTCTCCTTCTTTCTGTGCCTTTAGCTAGTACATTGCCTTTGGAAAGATGTCCATAATCCATTAATACTTTTGCTAGTAGAGACACAAGTCAATTGAAGTAGGTAGCTGAAACTGCTGGACAACTGGGTTTATTCTGCAGGCTTATTTCACAAAGAGCAAACCTCAGAAAACTGAGGCCATTGCTGGCCTGGCTAGTTGGATTTCCAGATATTGACCATTCCTGGACTCCTTGTTACAGGTTTTCATACACCTGCTGAGACACATGACTGCGCTTGTTGGATAATCCTGATGTCATTGAGGAAATTAAATGAGATGAGGATGTAAATTGTTTAGTGTGCAGTGGGCAGTCAGTGGTGTTATTATCTCATTTCCACATTGCAGGTATTTATGCTGCACCCCGATTTTGTTGGAAACAGTCTTATGTACTTTTTTTACACAGAGGCATTGAAAGTTAATTCAGAGTTGATTTTAGGGGAAAGGATTACTTTGAACATAAAAGACACAAATTTACAGACATATTTATTGGGAAATGAAGTCACGTATATGGGCAATTCTCGTGACTAAAAAGCAATTAATAAAATAAATTACATTTGATTGCCTGTGAAATACATAGACAAAGTAGGTATGATGGAAAATGGCATAAAACAAACAGCAGAATAGGATACATTTTGCTGCACAAGCAAAGTAGCGACAGAGCCTGTAAGCCTCACCTGGGCCATGACATTCGTGTTCTGCCATCCTGTCACTTGGGAGAAGTGGCTTCATGGTTTACCTTTTTGTGTGTGATCCACTAGCATGAACTACTGATTACTTCATGCAGATGGACAGAATATTCTAAATTTTTCTGAATCTTTGTAGATGTATTATTTATTCACTTAGATCTTTCCAAGATGTATTATTTACTAGATCTAAGTGTTTCTTAGAATTCATGTAGTAATTAAATAATGTTAGAAATGAATCTGGGGTACATTAAATATCATGAGAAGTTCATTAAGGTGAATTGAAATTGCTTGTACCATTAAGGTAACGTGCTATTTTAATATCTTTGCTGTGATTTTTGTAACTTTGTAAGAGTTATCTATTTTTAGTATTTCTACGCTATTATGAATACCATGCATAACATAGTTTTTCGGCTTTTCACTAGTCATTGACTCCCACTTCTAATCATTGGCTATCAACTTTCAAATGATCATTTATTCATAGAATGTTTTGGAATCAGGGTGGTGATTATAAAAGTTGGGTGAGCATTATTGTGTTGTATGGCAGTAAATAGAACTGTTGTCCTGGACTCTAGATACTGGTCAGCATGGGCTTCAAAGATTTCTTTTGGGCAGCTGGACCAACCCCTTCTCTGTGGTTCTTCTGCATCCATGCAACCCCCAGAGCAAATCAGATTCTTGGTGCTGGTCCTTCCTATCTGCTCATCCCACTGCAGAAAACAAAGAATGCCTATCTGTGTCTCAGGATAGGACTGATCCTAAGCTCTCATGCTGGACTCCTCCAAAGATATGCTATACTTTGGAACACAGAAAAACACTTCATAATATCCAGTGCTAAGTGCTTTATAATACAACTGAATGCAAGAGCAACACTATTTTCACTTAGATTTCTGACTTAATGATGATTCAAGAGGTCTGCAGCACCGTGAATTATTAATAGCTGGAAACAATATTCTGATTTCTTTTTCTTTTTTATTGAGACAGAGTTTCGCTCTTGTTGCCCAGGCTGGAGTGCAATGACGCGATCTTGGCTCACCGCAACCTCTGCCTCCTGGGTTCAAGTGCTTCTCCTGCCTCAGCCTCTGGAGTAGCTGGGATTACGGGCATGTGCCACCACGCCCAGCTAATTTTGTATTTTTAGTAGAGACGGGGTTTCTCCATGTTGGTCAGGCTGGTTGGGAACTCCCGACCTCAGGTGATCTGCCCACCTCGGCCTCCCAAAATGCTGAGATTATAGGCCTCAGCCACAGCGCCCAGCCTTAATATTCTGATTTCTTAACATTCTTTCATTTTCCTGAGCTTCTGAATGTAGCAATATATTAACACTCTATAAACAACAACAATATATTCTCCTGGACTCTTTGATAAGGTTGACTAATGAAAATTCACTCACGTCCAGAAGTAGTCACTGCTGAAAAAAAAAATGGTTTTGATGTTCTCTAGAAGTGGCTACATTAGAAATCAGAAGCTATCCTTATAAAGAACGGTGTTGTTCGCCGAGCACGGTGGCTCACGCCTATAATCCCGGCACTTTGGGAGATCAAGGCGGGTGGATCACGAGGTTAGGAGTTCGAGACCACCCTGGCCAAGATGGTGAAACCCCATCTCTACTGAAAATACAAAAATTAGCCGGACGCGGTTGCGGGCGCCTGTAATCCCAGCTACTCGGGAGGCTGACAGAGCAAGACTCCGTCTCAAATAAATAAATAAATAAATAAATAAATAAATAAATAAATAACAGTGTTTACTAACCTTCTAGATAATTTAGCAACCTCATCCAAAATTGTTTTTTTTTTTTTTTGCATAGGTTCCCTGATTTTAAATAGACTTTCAAATTCCATTCCACATTTCCATTTTGACTGTAACAGCTACAAACACTTCTATAGTATTTACTGTGTGCTACACTCGGCTGTAAACACTATTCCATATTTAACCCATTTAATCCTCAGAGTATGCCTGCAAGGTAGGTGCTAACATGATTCCCTTTTCCACAGATAAGGCAACTGAGACCCAGAGAGGGTGCGAAAACTTGTCCGGAGTGCCACAGAAAGGGGCGGAGCCTGGCTGCCTGGTTGCGCCCATCCTGCAGCACAGCAGTGCTCTGCTGTGTCTACTCAACACCTGAGCAGTGGAGGCTTAGTGTGACTGCTTTATGCTCCTGCTTTTTATTTCTTTTCTTTTTTTTTTTTTTTTTTGTTTTTGAGACAGAGTCTCGCTCTGTTGCCCAGGCTGGAGTGCAGTGGTGCAATCTCAGCTCACTGCAAGCTCCGCCTCCCGGGTTCACTCCATTCTCCTGCCTCAGCCTCCTGAGTAGCTGGGACTACAGGCGCCCGTCACCACGCCCGGCTAATTTTTTTGTATTTTTAGTAGAGACAGGATTTCACCGTGTTAGCCAGGATGGTCTCAATCTCCTGACCTCGTGATCCGCCCACCTCGGCCTCCCAAAGTGCTGGGATTACAGGCGTCAGCCACCGCGCCCGGCCCTCTTTATGACTATTTTTAAACTATGATGAAAATTAGAATATATAAATAATCCTTTAATATCCATAAGACTTTGCTTTGTGTATGTTCATGATCAAATTAAAACGTAACTTTTGAGTCCTCACAGGTCGAAAGCACAAGCTCCATTATCAAGAGTAATACAACACCCTCCTAATCTCCACATAGCACAGAGGCAACTCCTCACTATTTTTTTTTTTTTTTTTTGAGACGGAGTCTTCCTCTGTCGCCCAGGCTGGAGTGCAGTGGCGCGATCTCGGCTCACTGCCAGCCCCGCCTCCCGAGTTCACGCCATTCTCCTGCCTCAGCCTCCCTAGTAGCTGGGACTACAAGCGCCCGCCACCACGCCCGGCTAATTTTTTGTATTTTTAGTAGAGACGGGGTTTCACTGTGTTAGCCAGGACGGTCTCAATCTCCTGACTTCGTGATCCGCCCGCCTCGGCCTCTCAGAGTGCTGGGATTACAGGCGTGAGCCACCGCGCGCGGCCACAACTCCTCACTATTAAAAAGAACCATGGTAAGATCTGAATCCTGCACTTAGCGGGAACCTGCGACACGAAAGCCTGGCCAGCCCTTGGAGCCATGCAGGGTGCAGTTAAGCCGGGAGCACCATGTACCACTGGCCTGCCTCGCGGCTTCTGCCTTCCCGACGGCAGCAGGAGACAGAGGGGCGGGAAAGGCTGACCGGTGTCACCTCCCACTCACCCTCTGATTGGGTCTAAGCGGGCAGCGGCAGCCGCGGGGCTCACTACATCCTGGGCTAGTCGGGCAGCACAGGCACACGCGCCCCCGAACGGCAGGGAGGACAAATTAAAACTCTCCTTTAAGTTCCCTAAGTGGGAACTCGCGAGAGCGCGTCAGCTTTTACCCACGCTCCCGCAGAGCCGGTTCCCTGCACCTGGCTCTGGCCGAACTCCCCCGGCCTGGGCTGGCGGCCTCCCGCGCGCCCGCGGGGAATCTGAGTAGCTGGATTTACAGGCGTGCGCCACCACGCCCGGCTAATTTTTGCATTTTTAGTAGAGACGGGGTTTCACCGTGTTGACCAAGCTGGTCTGGAACTCTTGACCTCAGGTGATCCACTCGCCTCGGCCTTCCAAAGTGCTGAAATTACAGGCGTGAGCCACCGCGCCCGGCCTAAAATCACTTGTGAAAAATGAAACTTAAGTGTTATTTTGACTCTACATCAAGAATAAAGACTGAAAAGAAACGCTATTTCATCGGGCAGCAGGTCCTATGGTAATTTTTTTAAACCTCTTTGGTTTGAGAACGTGATGAACGCTATAGACCCTTTCCCTCCAAACAACGCACAGTAAGTGTCTGTTAAAGAACAGACTGATCGGCTGGACGCGGTGGCTCACTCCTGTAATCCCAGCACTTTGGGAGGCTTAGGCAGGCAGATCACGAAGTCAGAAGTTCGAGACCAGCCTGGCCAACATGGTGAAACCCCGTCTCTACTAAAAGTACAAAAAAATTAAAAAAAAAAAATTAGCCGCGCGTGGTGGCGCACGCCAGTAATCCTAGCTACTCAGGAGGCTGAGGCAGGAGAATTGCTTGAACCCGGGAGGCGGAGGTTGCAGTGAGCTGAGATCGCACCACTGCGCTCCAGCCTGGGCGACAGAGGGAGACTCCGTCTCAGAAAAAAACAACTTAAAAACGGACTGCGTCTGTAGTTTTTGCACAACTGATCACGCCCTCCACTATCTCGTTCGGCGGTCTCGGCGGTTTAGGATCCTCCTAGGCCAGCGAACCTTGCTGAACACTGGCGAGGACTCAGTCTCCAGGAATAGAATCGCGGGGTGGGTAGGGTCGCCTGGAGGTAGCTGGCTCCGCCCGGCCCGCGGGCGAGTCCGGAACACAGTTACCCACCCCTGTTGCCCACCGGAAAGCAAAGGGAGGGGAACAAGCCAGACCGGAAACGGAGGAGAGCGCGGGGGATGTGTTTGGCATGGGGACGCACTGTTACAGTTGCGCTCCTGGTTGGCTTTGTGTTTCCGCGGTGTTGGTAGAGTCTCGGTGTTTCTACCTCTTAGCACCCTTTCCTGCCACCCTTTGTCCTGTGGAAGCCCGGAGACATCAGCGGCTGCAATTTTGCTACTCGCTGCTCGGCATGGAACGGTCAGGTACCGCAGTTCAGCGCTCTTGGCCCCGCAGGTCCTCGGGCATCCCCGTGCCCCGTGCTGTACATTCAGTTATCCTCCGACTTCCCGGGGTCGAAGGTATTACCTGCTGGGTTTTAGAATCTATTGCTTTACATCTGAGAAAAGAAAAATCCCAGAAAGATAAGATGACTTGCCCAAGATCATAGCGTGCCTGGAAAACAGTGCTCCGATTACAAGCTGGTCGCTGTGCCTCATTCGTCTTGTCATCAACTCCTGTCAGTTTATCCAAGCTCCAAAAGCGAAGTTGTTTTAGCTTTTGCTTCCCAAGATTTATTTGATAGTCTCATTTCTGTTTCCTTCGTTTATTCTTTCGTTCATTATTGGAAAACTTTACAGCGTGCCAGTACTGGTCATAAACCCCAAGTAAGACAGTCTTGTCGTCACGGAGGGTGTAGTTCCAGCAAGTAGACAATACAAGTGCTGTGTAGTGAAGTAATTGCTGAGATAGTGTATGGAAGCACAGAGTACACTATTCATGCAACAAGTAATTGCTAGAGGAGCAAATAGGGACACCTAACCATTGCAGGGGCGACTCAGGATATCCTTTCTGGAAGAAAAGTCTGATGAAATCTGAAGGACCACTGGTTGAAATTAGCCAGGAAAGAAAAGATGTTGCAGCATACTTGGTTTTGCTATTTATCCTCCGAGTACTTTATTGTTATGAAAGCCTAATTCCACTGTGTAACTTCCATGCATAACACTCAGAAGCCAGTTTGGTTAAGTACAGTGCTGAAGCAGATTAGTAGCAGTGAAGATGGGAAGGACCAGCTGAATGGAGGAGAAAAATTGCCCAGGTAGAATTAAGGGGATGTGACATCATGGGATAATGGTAGGGTGGTCAGAGAGAGCAAAGATTTCAACTGGCTGCGTTGGAGTTGGTATCCTTAATGTTAGCAGAAGAATGCAGATCCGGGGTTGAGAAAGATTTTTACATATGTTATAGTTTTTAGAAAACAAACAAAAAAAATCTGTTTATGTCAGGGGCATTTTAATATAGAAGTGTGAAAAATGGAAAGTCAGTCTGAAAGGGGACGTCTTGAATGTCGTTTTGAAGGTGTTGCATTTGAAGTACTGATGCGATGCTGTCAGTGGAAACAAACTCAGGTGGGAGGTTAGGTTTAGAATTTTATTATATTAGTGTTATGGAGTTATTTATACATGGTTTTCCTATAATGTAGATTGCTTTCTGTGGTATGATAGCAGTCTTGAAAGAAAACACGGTAGTAAAGATTATATGTGAGATTCATTCCCCTGATTACCACCTTTCTGTAAAAATACCTTTAGTATTAACTATTTATTTAGAGCCGGAGTTTCGCTCTTACTGCCCAGGCTGATCTTGACTCACCGCAACCTCTGCCTCCCATGTTCAAGAGATTCTCCTGCATCAGCCTCCCAAATAGATGGGACTACAGGCATGCACCACCACACCTGGCTAATTTTGTATTTTTAGTGGAGATGGGGTTTCTCCATGTTGGTCAGACTGGTCTCGAACTCCTGACCTCAGGTGATCTGCCCCCCTCAGCCTCCCAAAGTGCTGGGATTACAGGCGTAAGCCACCGTCCCCGGCCAACTTTATTTATTATTATTATTATTATTATTATTATTAATTATTTTTGAGACAGAGTCTTGCTCTGTGTCCCAGGCTGGAGTGCAGTGGCACGATCTCGGCTCACTGCAACCTCTGTCTCCTGGGTTCAAGTGGTTCTTGTCCCTCATCCTCCCGAGTACAGTAGCTATGTTACCTATGTTACTTAATCCTTACAATCTTAAAGGACAGGCACATACCACCATGCTGGGCTCATTTCATGATTTTTAGTGGAAACGGGGTTTCATTATGTTGGCCTGCCTGGTCTCCAACTCCTGACCTCAGGTGTTCCACCCGCCTCAGCCTCCCAAAGTGTTGGGATTACAGGTGTGAGCCACTGCACCCGGCCAATATTAACTTTAAATGTAAAATAATAGATTATTTTCCTAGATTGTACCATATATTGAATATTATGAGAGTCCTTGTGTACTTAGTATGAGGATACTAGTTTGCAATTGTTTTTTCATTCTAATTTAAAAGTGCCTGATTTGATAGCCTCTGACGTTTTCATAAGCAGATCAAATAGTTTGTTTCAGCATTTTTTGAAATTGCATTTTCTCTTTCATGCAACTATCCTTAGCCTGTGGCTACCATTTTCTGGCTTTGAGAACTTGATATGGTATTAACCTAAGGTCGGATACGGCTCTTGAGCTCACCTGCATCAGAAGCACCTGGGTCTAATTTAACATGCTGATCCCTGAACCCCATTCCAAACTTACAAACTAAGAATCTCAGCAATCTGTGTTTTAAGTCGGCTGCCTATGTGATTTGTATAACCTCTAGAGATTCATAACCACTAACTTAACGTCTGTGGGCAGCAGTTTGTTCTGTAAAACGAGAATAATAAAATCTGTGCTTTAAGATTGTAAGGATTAAGTAACATAGGTAACATAGCTACTGTAAAGTGGTCCCCTGACCAGCAGCATTAGCAACACCTGGGAGTTTGTTAGAAATGGAAATTCTCAAGTGTCTCCTGGAAAAAGCTACTGAATCAGAGTAGTTTGGTGGGACCAAAGAATCTGTATTTTAGCAAGCAGCATAGATACTTTCTATGGGCCAGGGACAGTGGCCCAGGCCTGTAATCCCAGCACTTAGGGAGGCCTAGGTGGGTGGTGGGAGTTCTAGGTGGGCAGATCCCAGGAGTTCCTGGGTGATGTGGGGAAACCTGTGTCTACAGAAAATTAGTCCCAACTACTCAGGAGGCTGAAGTGGGAGGATCGCCGGAGCCCGGCGAGGTTGAGGCTGCAGTGAGCCAAGATCATGCCACTGCACTCCAGCCTGTGTGACAGTGTGAGACCCTGTCTCAAAAAAAAAATGATTTCTATGCATATTAAAGTTTGAGAAGCAGTGCTGTAGCACATCAGCTTCATAAAAGTAGGGACTATGAAATTCTTATTTACTAATATATTGTCAGTACCTAGTATAGTGCCCAGCACAGAGTAGATATTCACTATATTTAATGAATGATTTTTTAAATATACCCTCTTACTGAAACCAACACATTCAGAATTTTTAAAGATCTTCAGTAATCAAATACCAAAAGAGATTTTTAACCCCACAGAATAAAATTGGGTATTTGGGTTACTTAGAATTAGGACATCTTTTGCATGAGTCTAATATAGATGTAATCATTTGTGGTGTTCTCTTTCATAAATGTATCTAATGAAGAAAGCAAAAATGACATTTCTAGCCATTGATTATTCTCTTTTCTGTTCCATTTTAGCTTAGCTTACAGGTGGTTATGGGTTAAGTGTAAGTGGCATGTAGCTTGATGAAAATGATGATCAGGTTAACACCCACTCAGTTTTTGAAAGTAAATCTTTTTGATTGATAGAAATTTATTTTCATATTTAATTATAACTTTTTTTTTAAATTGAGACGAATTTTGCACTGTCGCCTGGGCTGGAGTGCGATGGTGTGATCTAGGCTTACTGCAACCTCCGCCTTCCGGGTTCAAGCGATTCTCCTGCCTGAGCCTCCCAAGTAGCTGGGAATTACAGGTGCGTCCCACCACGCTCGGCTCAGTTTTTGTATTTTGAATAGAGACGGGGTTTCACTACGTTGGCCAGGCTGGTCTCAAACTCCTGACCTCGTGATCCACCCGCCTCAGCCTCCCAGAATGTTGGGATCACAGGTGTGAGCCACCGCGCCCGGCCTAATTATAACTTTTTAAAGAGGTGTTATATCATGTTAAGATCAAGGACTTGCAGTCAGTCAGATCTGGATTTGAGAATAATGAATTGTCATTTATTAACCATGTCAGAGTTTTTCTACTGAACTCTGGGGTAAATGGTGGGAAGGAACAGATTTGGGAGCACCAGCACCCCCAGGCCTCCCCTGGCCACCCCAAGGAGCAGGTGATCAATATCTCAGCATACCTCTACTTATTTGTGGCACCCCAGTGTGTCTTAGGCCTTAGTGAGCTGTGAGGTGCATGACCTTAGGTAAGTTACTTCTCTGATTTTCAGTTTCCTTATCTGCAAAATGGAGACCTTAGGGAGTTAATGTGGGTATGAGAAATGTACATAAAACATATTGCACAAGGTGAGGCATGTAGTGTATGCTAATAAATGGTAAGTTGCTGCTGCTATGGTTGTTAACAATAATTATAAAAAGCAAATGGAAAAGGCTTGAATTGAAAAAAATTTAGACACATAGTTTTTTTCCTTATTAGCCTGCACTGTATTTTTCATTTTTTTTAATGCATCTTTCCAGGACAAAAAATAATATCCAAAGATATTTTGGCACTAACAGCGCTATCTGTAGCAAGAAAGTTGAGCAGTGTGAACTGTTGAGACTTCCAAGAAGACTTCAGAGAACCAAGACAGTGTAAAGGAAAACAGGAAAAAAGACTTGTTAGACATTATTAAGGGCACGAAAGTTGAATTGAGCACAGTAAATGTACAAACAACAAAGCCACCCAACAGAAGTCCACTTAAAAGCTACAACTGGCCCGCCTCAAAGAGCTACAGAGCATGCTCCAAAGAAGAGGTAAATTTAATTGTAATTTGAATGTTGTTTGAAACTAATTTTTTTTGTATTGTTTTGTTTTTGTTTTTTGAGACAGAGTCTCGCTTTGTCACCCAAGCTGGAGTGCAGTGGCACCGTCTCGGCTCACTGCAAGCTCCGCCTCCCGGGTTCACGCCATTCTCCTGCCTCAGCCTCCTGAGTAGCTGGGACCACAGGCACATGCTGCCACGCCAGGATAATTTTTTGTATTTTTAGTAGAGACGGGGTTTCACCATGTTAGCCAGGATGGTCTCGATCTCTTGAACTTGTGATCCACCTGCTTTGGCCTCCCAAAGTGCTGGGATTACAGGTGTGAGCCACTATGTCCGGCTGTTTGAAACTAATTTTTGAAACTCCAGTAAGCTTTTTCTTTTGGCAAAAATATTTTTAATACAAGTACTTGGGAGATGTTGAATTAATGAAGAATAAATATCAGCTTGTAAACACAGGGACTCTAATAATTACTTGAGAAATGCTGTTATTGTATTATATTTAAATAACAAGAGGATATCTGCACACAATCCAGTGAAAGGAAAAGAGATCTCATTGAGAATTCCATACTCTTACATATTTATCGGTGTTATTAACTGCCACTTAACTGCCTCTTTAAGCTGTTAATTAACAATATCATTTACATCTTGATTTGAAGGTAGCTTCATGTCTGTAAAGGACTCGCTTATTTGAAATTTTCCATTTTAAAGATTTTTTTTCTGGAATAAAGTTTTAGCATGTTGATTACAACTGCTCTATATAACTTCCTTTGACCAATAACTATCCATGCTTTCAGCTTTCTTGGCTTCCTCAGAGCATTATAATTACTTGTGCTTGTCAAAAGGGTATTATATTTAATTCTAAGTGCAATCAGTGATATCTTGGCATTGTGTTAAATGGCATGTAGGTTAAATGGCAGTATTTTTTTTTTTTAGTGATACATAATGATGTATTTCAGTGATGTCATTAATTGAAGTAGTAAGGTGTGTGGCTTAGGATACCCATCACTGACTTCCCTTATCAGAACAAACAGATTAATATAGGCTTCTGTTTCCCAGAATGGTTTAACATTTTAATGGAACTTCTTGGTTTCTATGTGGTATCAAAAATACCTCTGGAAAGTATAATTGGGTGGTAGAGTAAGCTAATTCAGACAATCGGTACCCATAATAGGTACTTCCTCCTCCTCCTTTAGAAAGAAAACAGTTATATAAGTATATGGAAGTAAATAACACACACAAACATATATAAATACATATCAAGAATGGCATTTTTAAGGCTACCAGACCTGTTTATGACCCCTCATGCCCTTTATTATAATTTAATTAACTATTACAGAAATGGTAAAGTGAGTTGAATGCTTTGGAAAGAGTCGGTAAAGGTCACGTAAACAATTTCTTTCCAGTTAGGCATGAGTGAGACAAATATACATACGCAGGAGCATCATACCCTTAGATCGCTTTGTAAGCTATCTCACATTCTTGCTCCACTTTTCCACTTAAACCAAAATTGAAAATATTGCAGGATAGGTGTGATGTATATACAATATATGTCTTAGAACCTTTTATCAATGGTCCTGTGTTTAAAAAAGAGGCTTTGGTCCTACATCAAAAGACTGGTGAACAAGGTGCATTTGTTTTGAGTTTTTAAAAGGTGTCTTTTAATGATTTTTGCCTCCCCTCCCCGCTTTTCAAGGACTTCCAGGATGCATGGGATTAGATGAGTCATGATCTTTGCTTCATGAGGCACTGTCATCATAGCTTCATGCATAGCCTGCTTTTCTTTCTTTGTATTATATATTAAATCCCCATTGATAAGGTTACCATGGTTACACTACCTCCCAAACTTAGTGGCATAAAACATTCACTCATTACGCTCACAGATTCTGTGGGTTAGCAATTTGGCTGGAACACAGTGGGGAAGGCCAGTCTGTGCTCTCTGATGTCTGGGGCCTCAGTTAGAAGACCTAGAAATCTGAGGCTGGAATTATCTGAAGTTTGCTCACTCATAGGTCTGGCAGTTGATGCCAGCTGTCAGCTGAGACCTTAGCTGAGGGTGTTAGCAGAAACACCTACATGTGGCTTTCTTTGTGGCCTGGGCTTTCTCACCGCATGGTGGCTGGAGGATTTTGATAAGTGGATAAGCCCATGTGACCCAGACACTTAACCAAGACACTGTGTTTCCCATTTTCACATTCCCAATCAGTAGCCTTCTGTCCTGAGGCAATTGCTGTTTTGTTTTTTCACCTCAGATTAGTTTTGCCTGTTCTGGAACTTGATAGAAATGGAATCATACAGAATATATTCCATGTCCAGCTTCTTTCACTTGATCTAATGTCTATGAGAGTCAGTCATGTTGGCATAAGCTGAGTACTCTTCCATTGTTTGGATATCTCACAATTTGTTTTTTCTTTCTAATAATAGACCTTAGGTTGGTTCCAGTTTGGGGCTATTTTGAGTAAAGCTTCTGTGAACAGGTTAAGCTGCCTCAATATTTGCTTGCAATATGTATTGTTTTTGAAATGCAATAGCATCTAGTTGAAAATTCCACTAATTTATAATGTTTGACGCTGATCCCTCATCCCTCCATGTTAATATATTGTTCTGAGTTAACATTTCAAAGTTTATATAAAAGTGATACCTAATAGTTGAGAATTCTTGCTTTTGTCAGAAATTGAATTGAATGATAACTTTTTTGAACAATAGAAAGTCTTCCCCAAAAAATCATTTTACTTTTCACTAAACTACTGGCATAATAAGCAATCTCTCTTTTTTCTTTCTCATTTGGTTTTCATTTTCTTTTTCAGAAATGAGCCCGTGAGTCCTGAGTTGGTGGCAGCTGCATCTGCTGCTCTGTTTTGACAAGCAAACAAGCCAGAACTGCTCAGGCAGCTCCGTAGCATGAGGAAGAGTCAGGGGCACAGAGAGATGGAGAGAGACCTAGTTAGGTAAGTGAATCAAACCATTAGGTTAGTAATGTTTATATCTCAAAATAGGCCATTTTCATGTGGCTAGTAAGTAATACACATAATACAGACCACATAAGTAGAATTTACATATAGAATATAACATATAAGTGGAATTTTAGCAATTCAAGTTTTTAAAAAACATATGTCTTAAGTAAGATACAGTTTTAAGAGACCAATTGAATAGTTACTTTCCTTTTAGGAAGTTACAGTTTCTTGTCCATGAAACAAGAAATGATAAATTCAGTAATGTTATTAAAAATAACAGAATAAGATAGCTTTTCTGAGAAAAGTAATTTTTTTTTCAGTTAAATAGCTTGCTGGTTTTATGCATGGTATAGCAATCTTCAGGTCTGTTTCCTTCTCTTTTTCCTCCTATTCTTATGTTTAAGCTGACATCTTTCCACTTACTCTCTTCATCTCTCATTATTTTATGCTACGTTAGACTCCTTGCTGCCTACATTGTAGTAAGTGGTAACACTGCTTCATTTTGGAGAGTGATCTAAATCTGTTGTTCCCAGTGAGCGTGTGTACCAGATGTATTTCAGGAAGTTGAAAGAAATGGTCATGTGTGATGGCTCATGCCCATAATCCCAGCACAGTGAGGCTGAGGTGAGAGGATCATTTGAGGCCAGGAATTTGAGACCAGTCTGGGCAGCAAAACAAGACCCCATCTTTACAAACCATAAAAAAATTAGCTGGGCATGGTGGCGTGTGCCAGTAGTTCTAGCTACTTTGGGGGCTGAGGCGGGAGGATGGCTTAAGTCCAGAGTTTGAGGCGGCATTGAGTTATGATGGCACCACTGCACTCCAGCCTGAGCGACAGAGACCCTATCTCTGAAAGAAATTGTATTTTTAAAAAAAGAAAAAGATAAGGCCGGGCGCAGTGGCTCACGCTTGTAATCCCAGCACTTTGGGAGGCCAAGGCGGGTGGATCACGAGGTCAGGAGATTGAGACCATCCTAACACGGTGAAACCCCTTCTCTACTAAAAATACAAAAAAATTAGCCAGGTGTGGTGGCAGGCGCCTGTAGTCTCAGCTACTCAGGAGGCTGAGGCAGGAGAATGGCATGAACCCGGGAGGCGGAGCTTGCAGTGAGCTGAGATTGTGCCACTGCACTCCAGCCTGGGCGACAGAGCGAGACTCCACCTCAAAAAAAAAAAAGGAAAACATAGCTATCTGGACTGTCAGTTCAGTGACTCATTTTGTTTGTGTTTGAACAAATACAAGGCAATAAATAAATATGTCTACCTCTTGGTTTTAATTTAGTTATTGAATGTAGGTGATAGGTATACAGATACTGACTGTACTTTCATTTTTTTGGAATAATTTTTCTTTTTTTTTTTTTTTTGAGACGGAGTCTCGCTCTGTTGCCCAGGCTGGGGTGCAGTGTCATGATCTCGGCTCACTGCAAGCTCCACCTCCTGGGTTCACGCCATTCTCCTGCCTCAGCCTCCCCAGTAGCTGGGACTACAGACACCCGCCACCACACCTGGCTAATTTTTTTGTATTTTTAGTAGGGATTGGGTTTCACTGTGTTAGCCAGGATGGTCTCGATCTCCTGACCTTGCAATCCGCCTGTCTCGGCCTCCAAAAGTGCTGGGATTACAGGCGTGAGCCACCACGCCCAGCCCCTTTCGAAATAATTTTTCATGTGACACTTTTATGTTTGAAGTGAAGATTTCTGAAGAACATCTTTAAAAGATGGGTAAGGCTCTGTCTCAAAAAGAAAAAAAGATGGAAGTAAACATAAATACGTAATGTTCTGTGTTTTGTGAATGTTAATAGATGACTTTTTTAAACATAACTTTGTATGCTGTATAATTAGTGCATAGCAATGAAATAAGAATTAAATGATATCACTCTCCTGTTTAAGAAAGTTTATTACTGTTCTGTAGCTAAGGTTTTTTTTTTTTTTTTTTTTGAGACAATGTTTCGCTCTTGTTGCCCAGGCTGGAGTGCAGTGGTGCAATGTCGGCTCACTGCAACTTCCACCTCCTGTGTTCAAGTGATTCTCTGGCCTCAGCCTCTCAAGTAGCTGGGATTACAGGTGCCTGCCATGATGCCCGGCTAATTTTGTACTTTTAGTAGAGATGGGATTTCTCCATGTTGGCCAGGCTGGTCTCGAACTCCCGACCACAGGTGATCCGCCCGCCTTGGCCTCCCAAAGTGCTGGGATTACAGGCGTGAGCCACTGTGCCCGGCTGTAGCTAAGATTTCTAATGCACTTTACCTTTTTATTATTTCAGTTTCAGTAACAAAATATGAGATACGAAAATTGCCAAATGTGCTACAGCTAGAGTTAATATAAGACCAGAGCATCAGATTCAGTTTGACAAAGGCTATGACAATTATCCTGGCTAGGAGAAGACCGCTGATCTTAGAAACAGATATCAGGCTTTGTAGTCTGCTGGGTTTTGTTTGTGTAGTTTGGTTTTACCTTGACAGTAGATTTACCTTATTGCATGTGTGTATTATTGCTGTTGGATATGTGAGCATTATGCATGCATTTACATCTGTGTTCTCACTCTCTGTATACCAATTCCTAGAGAGCGAACCATGTGCTGGATTTAGCCAGTCCTGCATTTTTCTATACTTCAAATCAAAACGGGCCATGCTTCACATCTACCCATGATGAATAGGGGTACTTTGATTAAGAATAAATAGAGCTGACTGAATTCTGAACAAGTGAGTATTTTGTGAGAATCATTATTTTTCATTTTAAATATAAATGTCGGCCGGGTGCGGTGGCTCATGCCTGTTTCCCAGCACTTTGGGAGGCCGAGGTGGGCAGATCACGAGGTCAGGAGATTGAGACCATCCTGGCTAACATGGTGAAACCCTGTCTGTACTAAAAATACAAAAAAAAATTAGCCAGGTGTGGTGGCGGGTGCCTGTAGTCCCAGATACTAGGGAGGCTGAGGCAGAAGAATGGCATGAACCCATGAGGTGGAGGTTGCAGTGAGCCGATTTTGCGCCATTGCACTCCAGCCTGGGCGACAGAGCGAGACTCCGTCTCCAAATAATATTAATAATAATAATTAATAAATAAATAAATATAAATGCCTAATACTGTGTATTCATTTACCCTTTATATCTCTATACATGCTTATCTTTTGTTATATGTTAGAGAAATGACCCACCATCAACAAAAAGAAAGAAAGGCGTAGGCCGGGCATGTTGGCTCACACCCGTAATCCCAGCAATTTGGAGGGCCAAGGCAGGCGGATCACGAGGTCAGGAGTTTGAGACCAGCCTGGCTAACATGGTGAAACCCCATCTCTACTAAAAATATAAAAATTAGCTGGACGTGGTGGCGGGCGCCTACAATCCCAGCTACTCAGGAGGCTGAGTCAGGAGAATTGCTTGAATCCGGGAGGCGGAGGTTGCAGTGAGCCAAGATCGTGCCATTGCACCCTATACCTTAAAATGGTAGATTATTTGTGGCCATTTGAAGTTCTTAAAGATGCTGAGCCATGTCTTACATAGTTATTTTAGAATCTAAAGTTGTTCTGTATTTGCAGAAAGTTTCTATTCTTTCTCTCCTTTTAAATCCTGAAAGTGGTAGTTGGGAAGGAGGAGCCAGATATTTGGCATGGCCGGACAAAAATTAACTTGTCTTTTTTTTTTTTTTTTGACACGGAATCTCACTCTGTCGCCCAGGCTGGACTGCAGTGGTGCCATCTCAGCTCACTGAAACCTCTGCCTCCTGGGTTCTAGTGATTCCCCTGACGGCCGCCCCAGTAGCTGGGATTACAGGGGCACATCACTACACCCAGCTAATTTTTGTATTTTTAGTAGAGACGGGGTTTCACCATGTTGGCCGGGCTGGTAACTCCTGACCTCAAGTGATCCACCCACCTCGGCCTCCCAAAGTGTTTGGATTACAGGCGTGAGCCACCGCACCTGGCCTAACCTGTCTTTATAGCAGGATATGCTCACAATTGGAGTGTTTTCAATAGATTGTGTATTCCGTGGATTTGTTTTTTTTGTTGTTGTTTGTTTGTTTGTTTTTGAGATGGAGTCTCGCTCTGTCGCCCAGGCTGGAGTGCAGTGGCGGGATCTCGGCTCTCTGCAAGCTCCACCTCCTGGGTTCACACCATTCTCCTGCCTCAGCCTCCTGAGTAGCTGGGACTACAGGTGCCCGCCACCACGCCCAGCTAATTTTTTGTATTTTTAGTAGAGATGAGGTTTCACTGTGTTAGCCAGGATGGTCTCGATCTCCTGACCTCGTGATCCACCTGCCTCAGCCTCCCAAAGTGCTGGGATTACAGGCGTGAGCCACCACACCTGGCCTCCGTGGATTTGTTTTAAGTAAAATCAGGCACTTGAGTTAACTCCTGGGTGTTAAATTACTGATTTATACAGGAAAGTTGGAAAAGGTGGTTAGCAGTTAACACACAAAGTTCAATAATTTATGGTGACTTTGGAATATTATTTGAATTACTAATTTAAAGTGATTTCTTATCTGTTACATATTATTGAATAAAGTAGAAAGTGCTCTTGGAGTTTTACTTAAGAATATTTAACTGAGTCAGTTAATACTGGAGAAAATTTAACTGAATCATTCAGCTTGCATATAATACTGTGCAGCTACATCGGGATGGCATATTTGATTTTTAGTATTAGATTTGATATTTAATATTTTAAAAATTAGGTGGCAAAGGAGAAACTAAAAAAGTAGGAAAGGGGTTCCTGTGCCTTCAGTGTGTTAAAAAGCCAGCTAAAGGGGAGTAAGGGGAAGCAATGGTGAGATGCCAAGTTGTTCACCCTGATATGACTTGGGCAGGGTCTGAGGTATCAACCCCAGACAACCCAGGCCTGGACTTATTGCTTCTGTTGGAAATTGACAGTTCACACTGGCCTTTCTCAGAATGTTGGCACTGCCACTGACTAATTCTGTGACCGGGGCACCTTTTATAGCCTTCATCAGCCTGTTTCCCCAGCTGTAAAATGCTGAAAGTGAAACCTAGCTTAAATGGCTTTCTTGAGGAATAGAAAAGAAACCACGTATAAACTATCTGGTACATAGTAGGTGCTCAGCAAATGTCCATTCCCTTTCTCTGTTGTACATTCCTCTTTTGAAGTTCAGTGCTTTACCAAGGCATTTCCTCTCTGCTGTGACTTGCTTTAATCCACCATCCTGTTCACCGGATGTTCGGTTGAGGGAGAAGAATGCAAGGCACTGAGGAAAATTCTGGCATAAAAACCTTTGTTTACAAATAACTTAGGAACCTGCTAGAGGAAAACTTGTATGACTTGAGATCACATTATTTAACGTTCATATGGTATTTGCATTTTTTCCAGTTCTATTTAGTAGAGAAAAGTAACTTAGTCCATAAAAAAAGAATTTGAAATTATTTTTAAAATTAACCCTCCAGTTTATAAACTGGATTTTAATCTGCCAGTAAGTTTATTCAAGTAAATATGTAAATTGATGCATAAAGCATATCAAGTTTGCAAGACAATGTTACTTATTAACTCTGATATTAATTTCAATAGTTAATTAAAAATCGTCATGTAAAGAAAGTTATTTTACAGAATGCTTTATGAAAGGGAATGTTGTGATTTACCTATGCAATCTTTTGTAATTATAATTTGTAATTAAACATTGCAATGTTTTCTGCCCTTAAAAACAAATGTCGACTTCAACAGCTTCTTTTTTGCATAGTTTTATAGTTTTTCACAACATAGAGTTTTTAAAACTTAATATAAAAGGGAACAAATAAAAATTATGGCAAATTGAGCTAATCTTTTCAATTAGATATTTTGGAAATTAAGTTGCTGTAACTGATTTGTTGTATTATGAAGCAAAACTTCAAGTGCACATTTCTGTTTTTAGTCTATCGGTCCTAAAAATGTGGCAATTTAGGTAAGATGTTTGATGTGCGTCAGTGGAATTATTTTGAATTTTTACATAGAATATTTCACTTAAATTTTTTTCTCATAATTTTTGTTGACAGTTTAAAATATATTCATTAAAATATTCTTTTTTTTTTTTTGTCTTAGGAAAAACATATTCAAGGGGAAGAGATGTAATAGTTTTGACGTGACGACAGTTACTAAAGAAGCACCTGAACAGGTTTGTTAAGAATAACTGTTTCTCAGGTGGAGAAATATTCCATCTTTACAAGATGTCCTGAAGGTTTTGATGGTGTAATAGTCGGATATTTTAATATTCCCTCCTGTCATTGGCCTGGATCCGAATGATGAATGTGGCGGTTGTTAGAAGGAAAACTCGGGACTATAACGTCCCCCCAAATTGGGAAGGCATCGAGAGACCAAAGAATAATTTGGGCAAGTCCAGCTTGATGAATAGATGAGTTTACTAGAACTTACCTACTGGACATTTCTGGGCAGCTGTAGAGTCACCCTGCCTCTTATCTCTAAGCTGCTTTTAAGCTTATATTCTGGCTGTTTGCCTACTGTGTGTGCACGATGAGACTGTTTTCCTTGATATGTTTTGAGGTATGCCCTGGGATGTTTGGGTTCTCAGGGACACCTGCTCCTCAGCTAGGCACTGTGGCCTTGGCTCCCTGCCCAGCCTTCAGGGTTCAAGCAACACACATACACAGTAACCTGGTGGGGGACATACCACACTACAGTTGTTGAGATTGCTAGTTGTGGTTCAGTTTCCCTCTTGAAATGTTGCATTCTGTGAGATAATGGGAGGTGAGTATTACCGATTACATGAATCCAGAGGTCCAGATTAGCCCCTAATTTGGGTTAGAACATTATTAATCACCTACCATTTGCAGTGTATCTCTATGCTATTACATAAAGACATACTGGTTCCTGTCCCTAGGCAGCTTGCTATCTAGAAGAGGAGATAGCATTTATAAAATAACTTATTGAAGTGATTTAGTGATTGTTCAGGAGATGGGAAGAACATTCAAGGAATATATTTAAGAGACTTGTGTTTTTTTCTTAACACATGGTTGGTCTTTGTTCTCTGTTCTTCCCCTTTTCTTTGGGTAAGAAATTTACCATTTAAGTCTAAAAGAGAAATGAGTGTCCTCTTGCTTGGCATTAAATTTGGTTTACTAGTAAAATAAATGAAGAAACTCAATACAGATGGTCTCCAGAGTGTAAGTGATGAGCATTTCTAATGAATAGAAGTTAGTTTTTTGGACTTTGATAGAAATAATGTTGTATATGCACTTAGGAGGCTGAGATGACAGGATGGCTTGGGATTAGGAGTTCAAGACCAGCCTGGGCAACATAGTGAGATCCTTTCTGTAAAAAAATAGAAAAAAATTATCTGGGTATGGTGGTGCATGCCTATAGTCCTAGCAACCTGGGAGGTTGAGGTGGGAGGATCACTGGAGCCCAGAATTCAATGCTGCAATGAGCTACAATTGTGCCATAACACTCCAGCCTAAGTGACAGAGTGAGACCCCCCCTCAAAGGAGAAAAAAAAATGTTGTACGTGATAGATAAGTTCCTAGGCCAGCCTCCAATGGCTCATTTAATCTTTCTACCAGTTACTTACATGAACTTCTGATTTTCCCCCTATTTAATAAACTATGTTAGAGGCTAGATCTCATTCATGTCTATATACCCTATAGCATCTACTCATGTGGCTTACAGATCATAGGAACTAGTTATCTTAAATCTTAAATTCTTTTTGAAGAAACTGTAGTATAAAATATACATCTATAAAGGAAAGTAGTGAATTCAATTAACGTTTGTTCGTTAGAACTGAAGGTGAAGCTAAAAGAACAACCCCCTGTATTACAAAAACTGCATTCTGTTGTGTATGATAAAAAGGAAATGCAAAATGCATAGGGACAATGAATCACCTCTCCCCTGCTCAAATGGTATCCGTTAAGTGTGCATCAGAAAGGAATTTTTTGTCAGGGCAGCTGCTGTTGTCCAGCCAAAAGAGATACTTGGATTCCGGAAGAAGCCAGCTTACTTTTTAAAATAAAAAAATCTTATTTCTTAAACTGAAATTAGTTGGCAAGGAGGCATTTAAATTTTATGTATTTTATAAAACAGTATCAAATGATTATATTCTAGTGAGGAAAGTAGCACACAAATTTATGTAATAATTTAATGAAGTTACTGTTTGAATGTGCTGTACTTGCATGAGTCTAAAGAATGTTTTTTGTTTCCATTTAAGTACAAGAATAACAAAATGTGGAAACTTAAATTTAGCAGTTGTTCATTGTTGTTATCTTATATCCCAAACAATGCTGGAAATATAGTTGGCATTCAGTAATTTTTTTATTGACCGATTGATTGAGTTATTCTGTTCCATGATTCCCACGTCTTGTTCCCCACTAAATTCTTACCACTGCTACAAAGGATATTGTCATAGGCCCTACTGGTTATCCGAGAGTTGACAGGCAGTATAGCTCAACAGAAACAGTGTTGGTGTTGTGTAGAACTGGATTCAAATTCCGATTCTGCTGCACTAAGCTTTCCCCACCTATAAAATGGGGGTTAGTACATACATCTCCGGGATTAAATGAGGTCATCTGAGAAAAGTGTGAGGCACAGTGCCTGGAACGTAGTACACATTTAATAAATGTTTGCAACTATTAGCAAGTGTAAAATATGATGATCCTGATGATGATGGAAAAGACATAGGTCGGTCAGTGTCCACCAAATAAAAGATAACTGAGATAGTTATTTTATTGGTGTGATTGCTCTGTAAATGTGGCTAGTTAAGCCTAACAACTGTGATAGTTACCCAGTATCAGATGATCTAGGTGAAAATACTTAATTTCTGCCAGTCAGTGTGTGATTAGACACATTTCTGCACATAAAGGCTCACAGAAACCCATTCAGAAAAAGCAAATAGATAAAATAAGGCTTACCCAGGTAGAAGAGTAAATGAGCTATTTGTTGACATGCTTTAGGGGGCTTGACAAAAGTGTGTAAACAGGTAGGCTGGAGGATAAATCATATGCAGTCTATGCCTCTAGCCCAGAAAGGTCAAAAATGTTTGAAAAAATAATTAAGGTCCAAAAATACAGGGAAAAAAGTAGCCAAGGGATAGATATTGATATTCATTTTCCTTTTACAACTTTATTAAGGTGTAATTTGTGTGCAACAAACTGCACACATTTGAAGTATATAACTCGACTAGTTTTGACAAATAGATACACCCACGAAACTCCCACTTATAAATCTGAACATTTTCATGACCCTTAAAAGTTTCCTTATGTCCTTTAGCCTGACACACCCACACATACACACACACACACAAAATGCAGGCAACCTTTGATCTGCTTTCTGTTAAAATAGATTAGGTTGCATCTCTTAGAATTGTACATAAATGAAATCACACAGTATGTACTCTTTTGCATCTGGCTTCTTTCACTCAGCTAATGATTTGAGATTCATCCATGTTGTTCCATGTACTAATAATGCATTTTTATTACTGAATAGTATACAGTTGTATGGCTGTATTACTTTTTTTTTTTTTTTTTTAGACGGAGTCTCGCTCTGTAGCTCAGGCTGAAGTGCAGTGGCGCGATCTCGGTTCACTGCAACCTCCACCTCCTGGGTCCTGGTTGAAGCATTTCTCCTGCCTCAGCCTCCCGAATAGCTGGGCTTACAGGCACACACCACCATGCCCATCTAATTTTTGTATTTCTAGTAGAGATGGGGTTTCACCATGTTGGCCAGGCTGTTCTTGAACTCCTGACCTCATGATCCGCCTGCCTTGGCCTCCCAAAGTGCTGGGATTACAGCTGCGAGCCACCGCGCCTGGCCAATGTATTACATTTTTGTACCTATTCACCTGTTAGTGGACATTTGGATTGTTTCCCAAATTACACCCCACATTTGGCTATTACAAAGAAAGCTGCCATGAACTTTCGTGTACAAGTCTTTGTGTGGACATGTATTATCTCTTGGGTAAATATCCAGGAATGAAATAGCTATGATGAATAATAGATGTATTTTTAACTTTTTAAGAAGCCATCAAGCTGTTTTCCAAGATGTTTGTACCATTTTACGTTCCCAGCAGCAGTAACTGGTGGGAATATGGCTCATTCTCAAAAGATGATCTGAAATTTCAAAAGTAAAAAAGTTACTGAAACTTGTAATATGATGGTGGTAATTAGCCAACTCATAGGGTTGGTTCTGAGGATTAAATGTACTAATGCATAAAAAACATTTAAGCACAGAGGAAGTACTCAGTGTTCATTAGCAGTTTTATTGTTATTCTGTTGATCTAACTTCTTTGGTTGTTAACAGTAGTACATTAGTGACTAATTTTGATAGAGTTAAAATAAACAGCCTAGAGTTTAAAAATAAGTCACATATTATATAAAAAATATTCATATTCATAAAAATACCTTTAAACAAAATACAAATTTATTTTTTTTTCCAGTAGAAGGGGCAGTGATTACCTGGCATTGTTGTAAAACCAAAGTTAAGCTTGCCATTATTGTAGTTATAGTCTTTATTTATTTATTTATTTTTTGAGACAGAGTCTGGCTCTGTCACCCAGGTCGGAATGCAGTGGCCCGATCTTGGCTTACTGCAACCTCCACCTCCGGGGTTCAAGCAGTTCTCCTGCCTCAGCCTCCCAAGTAGCTATGATTATAGGCATGCACCACCGTACCCAGCTAATTTTTTGTATTTTTAGTAGAGATGAGGTTTCACCATGTTGGTCAGGCTGGTATTGAACTCCTGACCTTAGGTGATCTCCCCTCCTTGGCCTCCCAAAGTGCTGGGATTACAGGCGTGAGCCTAGTTATAGTCTTTAACATAATTTTTGTTGCAGTTAAATCTCAGTGATACAACTTTCTATTATATACTGTAATTATGAGTGTCAAGGTATGAAAAATACACAATTCAGAATTGGTTATAACATTTTTTAAAAAGATGTTTACACTGACTTGTTCTTATTTAAAATGCCTTATACAGACACATCACCTTCACTTTGGGATGTGGAATTTGCTAAATAAGCCACAGAAAATGAACATCCCTTCAGAATGGGTTTGAAGAGCTGATCCAGTGGATTAAAGAGGGGAAACTGGGAGTTTCCAATTAACAATGAAGCAGGTAAGTGTTAATTTCAGGGGTTTATAAAATTCATTGACTGAGATTATTTCTGCCAGATATTCACTTTTAGAGTGTAGATACTTAGATGAATTTCAAAACACTGGGTAGATATCTTCACGGTGTCCTAAAGACAGTAAGTTGCAGCAGAATGCATGCAATATAACAGAATTTTATAAAATTCAAAAACCAAATTTTGAATATACTTTCTTAGCTCTAAAGGTGATAAAAGTATAGAGAAAATGATCAACATTTCAGGAAGGCAGGGTAATTGAGTAGGGACACCCGGGGGCTTCGACAGTATTATCATTCTGTTCCTCAAGTTGGACGGCAGGTTCACAGGTGGTCATTTCATCATGCTTTTATGTTATTATATGTTGTATATATTATGCTATATGTTAGCTATATTATAATTATACATTATGTTTTGTTTGTAACAGTGTTTCATAATATTTTAAGGAATGAATGGAAATGGGCACATAAC
Source organism: Homo sapiens (assembly GCF_000001405.40). Taxonomy (NCBI): domain Eukaryota; kingdom Metazoa; phylum Chordata; class Mammalia; order Primates; family Hominidae; genus Homo; species Homo sapiens. The sequence goes on along the minus strand of NC_000013.11, from coordinate 52,175,157 downwards.
GAAGATATGCAGTGCCTAGCCATCAGTAGAGTCCCAGCATTATCACATTCCGAGATAATTCCTATACAAAAACAGCAAACAAAGGGCATGTTATCTAGAATGCAAAGCCCATCCATATTATAATAAACTGAGACAATCAAATAGGGAATCCTTCTTTTAAGGATGGCATTTTTTATATGCTTGGAAGTGTTTTGAAGCAGAAATTGGTTTTGAATAAATCTACTGCTCCTTATTAATAGGAACGTATAAGCTTGCTTTTAATGTCACTATTATCCCTGCCAAGAAATTAAAAATCCTGGAGGTAATATTGCTTATGAACTCACTTACTTATTAATGACAGGTGCATTTACCCTCTTAAGGGATGACCATGGGTATTTTAAAAGATAAGAAATTTGCTGAGAATTCCTTAAATTTTTCTAATTTTCACTTGCCAGTGAGGTCATTGTCCCTTTTTTGCAGGTAGCTTTGAAAGATGATGATATCTCCACAGCTGAGACCATGTTGTTAAAACATCCTTCATTTAACCATTTACACATTTGGTTCTAAAGTTCTTGGTTCTAAAGAATGTGTTATCTTGAGATTCTTGTCTTATTACTATTCTTAAAATTGCTCTAAAACTTGCTGAGGTAATCAGCTTTAAATTCTGTAAATACAGATAACAAAACCCTCTTAATCCTAAAGGTGCTTTTAAAGTTCATGTATTTATACATGTATGCAAGTTGCCTGTTAAACTGGGAAGATTTTATTCTAAGTAACCAAATCTTAAGGAGCTAAAGCAAACCTGTTTTATAAAATATATTAATTCCAGGACTAAGCAATTTCTGAAAACAGACTGATTTACTGTGCTGCTTAATATTTCCTCAAACTAGAATACAAGCGACGGTGGCAGAGGGAGGAAGTAACTCATACTAGGAGGAACAAACAGCTGCTGGAATATGCTTGTGGTTTAGAGCTTCTTTTAAAAATCCTGTCAGCTGCAAAACAAAGGAAAGACTAATATTTTCCACGATGTCAGTAACATCTATGAAGATGCTCCTTTTGAATGTGGTACAGAAAGTTGGAAAACACTTAGGCATGGTATCTGGCATAGTGCCCCTTAGGGAGCACTTCACATACAGACGGTCCGGGGCTTAGGAAGGTTTGACTCAGAATTTTTTGACTTTATGATGGTTCCATAGGCGATGCACATTCAGTAGAAACCGAACTTTGAGTCCCCATACACCTATCCTGTTTTTCACGTTCAGGACATTATTCCCATAAATTACATGAGCTATTCAACCCTTTATAATAAAACAGGATTTGTGTTAGATGATTTTGCCCAAATGTAAGTTAATGTAAGTGTTCTGAGTACGTTTCTAAGCTCTGATGCTCAGTAGGTTAGGTGTATTAAAGACATTTTGACTTACGATATCTTCCCCTCCCAATAAACCCATTGTAAGTCAAGAAGCACCTGTAGAGGTCTGCCTTTACCAATTTCAGCTGTGACAAATTTAATGTTCCTGTATTGCTTTTAAATTGGAGAGCAGCAGCAGGTCTGAAACAAATACTGCAGTTAGCTTTGTGTTCTTCACTATTTATTGAACAGTTCAGAGGGCAAGGAAACAAAGAGAAGCGCTCTGAGTGTGTCTTTGCTTGCCAGCTCTTGAATTGTTAACAGTTCTATACTGGCCTTCCTGTATTTTTCTCTCGTTTTTTCTGTTCTCTTCTCTTTTTGACTCTGTCTCAAAAAAATCAAGTAAAAATATCCCTTGGGAATACATAATGTTCATATATGGAAACCCTCAATGCCTTTCTTGCTACCTGTAGGGTAAACTCCAAAATCCTTAGCTTAGCATTCAGATTCCTCCATCAAACTGGGTTCCTAGGCCAGCTATTTCAGAGTTAATGTTACTCTTTTTCTGGGGGATAGTGTCTTGCTCTGTCACCCAGTCTGGAGTGCAGTGGCACAATCATGGCTCGCTGCAACTACCTCCTCCCAGGGTCCAAGCAGTCCTCTCACCTCACCCTCCCGAGTTGCTGGGACCACAGGCCTGCACCATGCCTGGCTAATTGGTTTTTGTATTTTTTGTAGGTTTTCCCCATGTTGCCCAGTCTGGTCTCCAACTCCTGGGCTCAAGGGATCCACCCCTTCTTGGCCTCCCAAAGTGCTGGGATTACAGGCGTGAGCCATTGCACCCAGCTGATGTAAATTCTTTGGTTCCACCCCACCACCATGTCTGATTAATTTTTGTATTTTTAGTAGAGACATAGAGTTTCACCATGTTGGCCAGGCTAGTCTCGAACTCCTGACCTCAGGTGATCCACCTGCCTCGGCCTCCCAAATTGCTGGGATTATAGGCGTGAGCCACTGCCCCCAGCCCAGAAAACATTAGTTTTTAAGAGGCAACAGAATGGTAAGCTGAAAGTCCTGGTTATTATTGTCAGGGGCCACAGAGAGATCAAGTCAGATAGGAATCAGTTGGATTTGATAAGGGGTTACTAGTGGCTTTGAGAAGATTAAGACTAGAGAGGCAAATATTTTTATATTTTGTGGCAAAGGAGATGCAGTCAAAGTAGAGATTGGGGAAAAGGTTGAAGAAAGTCTGCAAGGAGAAAAATCATCCATTGACTGCTTACTGCATGCCAGGTAGAGATCTAAATAAGCCCCAAACCATGGAGTGATCTTCAGTTTCTCTTATCCCACACGTTCACCCATTAGCAAGTCTTGCTGGTTCTAATATATTCCAGCTTATTGTATTTCTCTTCATCACCTCTGTGGCTAACAGCCTTTTCTAGCCTAGATTTAATGTAGTAGTTTCCTAAGAAGTCTCTGTTTCCAGTGCTGATTTGTTATAATGTATTCACCATACAGCAACCAGAATGACATTTTTAAAAAGTAAATTGGACCATGTCTCTCTCCTACTAACAATGACCTTTCCATGGGTTTCCATCACACCTAAGGTCCAAATTCCTTGTAACAGCCTGCAAGGTACAAAGTGAGGCCCTTGAAGTAGCATCTTACAGCTTCTTTGCTCTCTTAGTTTGAGCCACACTTTCTGTTGATTGACTGTAACCCCATGTGAGTTGAGGGGCATCTGTATTCATTGCTTTGTGAGAATTAAACTAGGTTAAAGCTAAGTCAGTGACACATGCGGCTATTGAAATAATTTTACCATTTAAGAAAACTACCAAATCCCCAGAGTTTGTAGGCAGCTGGCAGAAAATAAAAGTGTTCCTGTACTTGCCCTTGATCTCCCTAATTGTGTAATCTCTTACATCATTATTTTTCCAGCTACCACACCTATATGTTGTGACTGCACAGGGTAAAAAAGTCTTAATCTCTCTAATGTTAACTCTTGATCAGTTGCCATAGCCATCTATGAGATTGTATCTGGGCTTTGAACAGAATGTTTAATTGCATTTTATTAGAGTTGTGTGCTATTGATAGAGGATAAGAGAGGGCCAGGTAAGCTTGATGGTGTATGTATTGATTGTCTTAACCTCCCTGAGCTCTAGATTTAACTTTTAGTCTTTTTTTTTTTGGACAGCTTCACATTTTCTAGGAATCTCAAATTCTATATGGAGTTTGAATCTTCTCCAAATTAGAAGGAGAAAATCTGTAATAGTCAATGTATATCAGTTAAACTCTTCAGAATATGTGAGATGATAATAATGACCATTTATTGAGTTCTATAGGCCAGGAACTAAATGCTTTACAGTACAGAGATACTATGTTAGATTGTCTACTTTTGGGAGGAGGGGCAGGAGAAGGGGAGATTTTCTTATGAGGAAAAACTCCAAGATTACATCCCTGTTATCTTTCCTCCAAATAGTTTCTGATAATAAGTTATTTGATTAAAAATTGTTTTAATTAGAATTTCATGGCTTTTTACAAACTGTTACTGACACTCCACATGTTTGTTTTTGTAGGAGCTGACTAAGGCTTTGGAACAGAAACCAGATGATGCACAATATTATTGTCAAAGAGCTTATTGTCACATTCTTCTTGGGAGTTACTATGGTAATTTTTCTTCCAAAGTATATTGTCCCTTTTTAATAAGTTACTTATACATTTTACCCATGACAAATTAGTCAAATAAAATAAAGGTTGTCTTTGAGGATTTTTAAATTGGTCTTTCATACAAGGTACAGTATCTCAAGTGTGACAGACATGTTGAGCAACACCTATTAAATTTTATGGATGTCTCATTTTCCTTCAGTGGGTGGAGAATGTATATAGATTTCATTCATAGTTATTGGGTAGGCTGATAAAGAATAGTATCATATTTACTATTTGACAGAGTATTAAAATGAAATGCTCTTCTTTGTATTTTTTATAAAAACGAATGTGGCCAGGCATGGTGGCTTATGCCTGTAATCCCAGCACTTTGGGAGACCAAAGCTGGAGGATCACATGAGCCCAAGAGTTCGAGTCCAGCCTGGACAACATAGCAAGACCCTATCTATATTAAAAAGTAATGTATTTCTGTATTGTGTAACTTTAAAAAGTTATTCTGATGAAGAATCTGGATAGGGAAAAACTGAATATCTTTTTTTTTTAGACGGAGTTTCGCTCTTGTTGCCTAGGCTGGAGTGCAGTGGCTTGATCTCAGCTCACTGCAGCCTTCGCCTCCCAGGTTCAAGGGATTCTCCTGCCTCAGCCTCCCAGGTAGCTGGGACCACAGGCACGTGCCACCATGCCTGGCTAATTTTGTATTTTTAGCAGAGACGGAGTTTCACCATGTTGGCCAGGCTGGTCTCAAACTCCTGACCACAGGTGATCCACCCTCCTCGGCCTCCCAAAATGCTGGGATTACAGGTGTGAGCCACTGCACCCGGCCAAATTATATAGATTATGCTAATGAGAAAAGGAGATGAATTTTGTGACACAGCTTTATTCATTGACTGAAGAGCTTTAAGAATGAAGCTAAATGTTAAGCCAAAAGGAAGGTACAAGAGTATTATTTATTTGAATTCTGTCTTGGATTAGCTTTTCCTAATTTAAAACCGTTTGGTGTTTCTATCAACTCGAAAACTTAGAAATCTAAAACTGATTCATATTCTTTGTGTATTTGCTAGGATCTGTAAATAACTGACGAAAAACCCATCTGTTTCTACGTAGTTGCTGTTGCCGACACAAAGAAGTCTTATGAACTCAATCCAAATAATTCCACTGCTATGCTGAGAAAAGGGTATTCAATAGCTACTTTTTTGTTGAGCTTGGACTGTAAATAGTAGATGTTTAATTTGTTGAATGAGTTCATTGTAAGCTTTATAAGTAGTAAAATTCTATATTTATACATTTTATAGCAGAGATATGATTCAATTTTAAATACAAAGTTATAGTTCTATTATTTTGTTAGCCATAGTATGTGATAGGAGATCTATACTTAACATATTTTAAAATAGTGATGATTGAAATAACTGCAAGGTATAGATGAAACTGAAGGATTTCACATTCCTTTTTTGTTTATCATTTGGAATTTACTGTATTTAACTGACTAGAGAACATCCTATCCTTCAACCAAGCTGAATAGGCCGCATTTAATGCTATGAAAGCTCTATATCTGTGTGCTTTATATCCCATCTTGTTTCTAAGTGTAACTTTATTCTTTAAGTAAGAAACTTCTTTAATTCCTTTGTATAATTATATTTTGGAATAAGCAAGTATGTACAATTAAAGTGAAATTCCTTCTGAAGCAAGTTCTAAAATTAAATTTTACTGGAAATTGTACTAGATGTTAACAGTATTTTAGAAAGTCTCTTGGCTTACTAACATATACTTAAAATAAATTTTTTCTTTCAACAATAGAAAATACTAAGATGTTTTTATTTAGAACTGCCTAAATGCCTTTCTTTTTTTTCTTTTTTTAGGGGCTGGCGGCATGGAGTCTTGCTCTGTCACCCATCCTCGAGTGCAATGGCACCATCTTAGTTCACTGCAGCCTTGAATTCCAGGGCTCGAGCCATCCTTCTGCCTCTGCCTCCTGAGTAGGTGGGACTACAGGCATGTGCCACCATACTGAGCTAATTTGTTAAACACTTTTTTTGTAGAGACGAGGTCTTGCTACGTTTCCCAGACTGGTCTCTGAACTCCCGGCCTCAAGTGATCCTACTGCCTTGGCCTCCCAAAGTACTGGCATAATAGACATGAGCCACTGCACCTGGCTCCTAAGTTCTTTTCTTGAATAATATCTTTCTTTTTTTTTATTTTTTGAGGTGGAGTCTCACCCTGTTGCCCAGGCTGGAGTGCAATGGCGTGATCTCGGCTCACTGCAACTTCTACCTCCCGGGTTCAAGTGATTCTCCTGCCTCAGCCTCCTGAATAGCTAGGATTACAGGCGTGCGCTACCACGCCTGGCTAATTTTTTGTGTCTTTAGTAGAGATGCGGTTTCACCATGTTGGCCAGGCTTGTCTCGAACTCTTGACCTCGTGATCCACCCGCCTTGGCCTCCCAAAGTGTTGGGATTACAGGCGTGAGCCACCACGCCTGGCCAAGTAATATCTTAATATCATGCCATTGACATTTATCCTCTAATTATTTCAGAGGTGGCCTTCAGAAGAAGGCCTCTTTGGTAAAATTGCTATTGAGGATATTTCACTGAAAAACAAATTTATCTTTAAATTTAAATCCAGGAAAAATTTAAACTTTCAGGCTTCTATTTTTATCAGACAGGGTAAAAAATTTATAACTCAGAATATTACCCTTTCCCCTCTTTGTGTGATGGATTGCTTGGTTTTAGTTACTGATTATTTAAAATAATAAGTTATTCAAATCTAGGATTTTGATACAATAGTTCTTCTCTAGAATATAGTGTGTGTGTGAGAGTATATTTAAAATTTTTATTAAGGCCCATGGGGCAGCCTTTGAGGAAACCAGACCTTGGGGATCGCCAGGCAGGATTAGTGGCAGGAATTGAGAGAACAGAGCCCCACAGAGCTCCTCGGGGACCGTCCCCCAGTCACAAGAGTATCTCAAGGAAGTAGTCTTCTCCCACATCCCCCAAAGATAACTACCAGAGGGTCAGTTCTCTGAGCCCTTCTCAGTGTAGAAAAGACAAGTGTCAAAGCTTCCCCACTCACCCTGAGTTTGCCTTCTATGACAATACGTCGTTTGGCCTCACTGAGGCTGAGCAGAGGATGCTGGACCTCCCAGGATATTTTGGGTCAAATGAAGAGGATGAAACCACAAGTACACTTAGCGTGGAGAAGCTGGTGATCTAGACTGAGAATCAGCCTGAGCTTAACACAGCTGGGGTCTGCTACTCGCGTTTTGTAGACTTTTGTGTAACTATTTGTACCGTAGGACAGAATGTGAGGAGGAAGTAACACACACAGAGGAGGATGTGTGTGTGTGCATGTGTTTGAATTCACAAGGAAGAAATTATTTATCTTGAGCTTTTTCCTTTGTTATTCAGTTTTTATTGGTTTATTACTAATAATGATAATAAAATGTAAACAAGAGCAAATGTGGCTTGGTCTGTCATGTGGCTATGAAAGTTAAGATGTGACTTTTGAGTAGAACATGCTCTGAACATTGCATTGGCAGTTTCCAACCTGAAGCAGAAATCTGAAACCTCAACTAAAAAGGGATGGAGCAAAGTTAACTTGGTGTCATAACTCTGAATTGCAATTTATTAAGTTATAAATACATTAAGAATTTGACTCCTACAATGGCAGCATCAAACAGATTTCATATTTGACTGATTAAGTTAACTATGACCATTAGACTGCTGAGCTACTTAGAAATGGTGATACCACAGATATTCAAGAAGAACTTTCAGATGAGAGTTGAGTCCAGGTGACGACAAAATTATAAGACTTCTGCTTTAAAGAGATAATGTAAGAAGCTGGTGGTTTAGGTAGTGAGTCAAATGAAGACCTATCTGTTCTGAGCAAATAAATAGTAAACATTTTGGAAAGGACAGTATTGTCTTCTGAGGAAATGGGCAGTAGGTACTGACCATGCCACTACCTGGGACCAGGATGCTGATTACGTGTTCCTGGACCAAACTGGCAGCAGAGACCTCAGCGGGGGAACTGGTGCATGTATGTTGTTCTTAAACATAACTTTTATTATGTTGTTCAGAAAATGCATTAATTAACTTTAGGTATATATAAAACAGGGAGAACAGTTTAGAATTTTACAGTTTAAGCTTTTTTTTTTGAGATTGTGTCTTGCTCTGTCGCCAGGCTGGAGTGCAGTGGCACGATCTCAGCTCACTGCAACCTCCACCTCCTGGGTTCAAGAGATTCTTCTGCCTCAGCCTCCCGAGTAGCTGGGCTACAGGCACATGCCCACCATGCCTGGCTAATTTTTGTATTTTTAGTAGAAACAGGGTTTCACCATATTGTCCAGGATGGTCTCGAGCTCCTGACCTCGTGATCCACCCACCTTGGCCTCCCAAAGTGTAGGGATTACAGGCATCAGTTACAGTGCACAGCGAAGCTTTTTAAATTAGAAGCATGAGTTAAAGAAGGAAATAGAGGAAATAAGCCTTTGTAGAAATTTAGAATCGCTTTTGTTTGCGTTTTCAGTCTTCTACACTTGACAGACTTTTTTTTTTTTTTTTTTTTTCCCGTGCAAGGGAGTCTAGCTCTTTCGTCCATGCTGGAGTGCGGTGGCACGATCTTGGCTCACTGCAACCTCTGCCTCCCGGGTTCAAGTGATTCTTCTGCCTCAGCCTCCCAAGTAGCTGGGATTACATGCGCCCACCATCATGCCCTGCTAATTTTTGTATTTTTAGAAGAGACAGGGTTTCACTGTGTTGGCCAGGCTGGTCTCGAAATCCTAACCTTGTGATCCGCCCACCTCGGCCTCCCAAAATACTGGGATTACAAGCATGACCCACCATGCCTGGCCACAGACAAGACATTTGAGGTTCCGGGAGAGTAACAGGATTTGCTAGGACAGGCATGGATACATTATTCTAAATATGCTTTTTCCACTCTGCCATCACAAACTTTACAAGTCTTTTTTTTTTTTGAGACAGGGTCTCACGCTGTCACTCAAGCTGGAGTGCAGTGGCACAATCTTGGCTCACTGCAACCTCTGCCTTCCAGGTTCAAGCAATTCTCGTGCCTCAGACTCCTGAGTAGCTGGAATTACAGGCACCCACCACCACATCTGACTAATTTTTGTATTTTTAGTAGAAATGGAGTTTCGCCATGTTGGCCAGGCTGGTCTTGAACTCCTGACCCCAAGTGATCTGCCTGCCTTGGCCTCCCAAAGTGCTGGGATTACAGGTGTGAGCCACCAAGCCCGGCCTACAAATCTTCTCTAATAGCAGAAACATCAGGAGAAAGCTGGCCCTTTTTTTTTTTGTAATAAGAAGGTATGAAGAGACACCTCTATTAGCTTTTCCCAATGGAAGGAAGCTTCCTGCTGCTTGATGAAATGTTAGGACTGGTCTTACAACTTGCTTTGTTTGGCAGTAAGGGCTAAACAAAAGAACCTTAAGGTTTTATTCCTTTACTAGAAGTCTGTCATTAGTTACCATAGGGGCAGTCTGCAATGTCATGTACTTCGCTTCAACCCTTGACCCTAATGACTTATCTGTATCCCTTGAGTAGCTGCACTTGCCTTCTTTTTCGTGGTGACCTCTAACTGCCACACCCACCCTGCCTTTTAGATTATGTTTTCCTTCCTTTTAGAGTTTATCAGGATGTCAGCCTGCTGGTGATGTTTCAGGGACCACTGGAGAGAGTGGAATTAGATGGGAAAAACATCACAAATATAAATACTACAATTTAAAATTTTTCTCTCATATTTGTTGCATTGCCACTTCATTTGTGTCATTTTAATTGAAAATCTAAATATACCTCCTTTTGGCAATGTTTTAATATTAATTACCTTTTAGGAATAGGAGGGGTAGATTACTCAGAGCTCTCTGACAGCTGGTATTTGCTGATGCCAGGAAGAGGAAATCAGACTTTTTATTCTCCATTTTCTTTGTTTATCATACTAGAAGCTTTGTTGTCTTTCCAAGTTCATAGGCCTGCATGCCAGCCTTTGAGGACAAAGGGTACATGCTTGCTTGTTTTTGATTTCACAGTGATGTACCCTATAGTGTCAGACCAAAACAGATATGGGAAAGGTGGAAAGTAGAGGAAAACACTATGAACAGAAAGATTTTCTGTTAAATTGTGTTCTTCTTCCTTATAATCACACATCTAAATTAATATTGCAGTGAGCTAACGCCAGCATCTAACATGTTCACTATCTACCTAGCCCACTTTTCTGGAGCTCTAAGAATAAAATCTCTGGGCTGGGCGCGGTGGCTCACGCCTGTAATCCTGGCACTTTGGGAGGCCGACGCAGGCGGATCACCAGAGGTCAGGAGTTTGAGACCAGCCTGGCCAATATGGTGAAACCCGGCCTCTACTAAAAATACAAAAACCAGCCAGGCTTGGTGGCTGGCGCCTGTAATCCCAGCTATTTGGGAGGTTGAGGCAGGAGAATTGCTTGAACCTGGGAGGCGGAAGTTGCAGTGAGCCAAGACTGTGCTACTGCACTCCAGCCTGGGTGACAGAGCAAGACTGTCTCAAAAAATAAATTAAAAAAATAAAATCTCTGTATTTCAAAGTTAAGCTAATTTGGTTTCTGCCTCTGAGAAAAAGGAAGATGCCTCAAGCATTGTCTTTGGTGGATATGTGGGAAACTTCATTAGAAATAATCTAGTCTTCACCATTGTGTTCCTAGGTCCTAGCCCTTGTGGCTGCCATAGAGTAGCAGCTCAATAAAATTTGTTCAATAAATGACCAGCTATTCAAAAGCTTTCCAGAAACGGGAACACAAACTTCTACAAGAAACAAAAGGCATGCTGGCATTAGATTGATCATCAGCTGCACTAAAAATGGTGGAATAATAGCTTGAAAGTTCAGGGGGAAAATGATTTTCAACTTGAGACGCCTCTACCCAGTCAAATTACTTGCGAGGGCAATATAAAGACATTGTTACACATGCAAAGACTCAGAAAGCTTACCTGCCAGACACCTTTTCTTAAGGAGGAGTTATTAGAGCAGGTACTCCATCAGTAAAAGAGCAGAGTATCCTGAGGAAGCCATGGGATTCAGGCAGCTGCAGATGTGACTCAGAATGTCAGTTTTGTGGGTGACTAAGCCACCAGTTCATATCTGAGCAAGAACGGGGGATCCAGGAAACAAAGGTATTTCATGGAATATACAGTTGGAAGAACTTGAAGATATACTTCAGGCAAAGAAAAGGAAAATAAGAAAAGTACCTAGAAATTATATTTCCTAAAAGACTCTACAAGAAAATCACAATACAAATATGAGTTAAACTGAGTCATCAGTGGGCTTTCAAAAAAATATTCCAAGAAAATAGAATGGGTAAGATGGCACAGATTTCTTTCAACAACAAAAAAGTACTAGGCAAAGCAACAACAACAAAGTAACCATGATTTTGAGAAACTGAACAGCACAGGGTTGAGACATTGTGATTACACAGGAAAATCAGGCCCAGCAAACTGCTTAGCTCTGCTGTGGACCAACATTTTCATAATGTTAATGCTGCTTATTGGTTATTGTCTATTAGAACCAACTTATAGAAGACTTAGGCCGGGCGTGGTGGCTTATGCCTCTAATCACAGCACTTTGGGAGGCTGAGGCAGGCAGAGGTCAAGACCATCCTGGCCAACATGTTGAAACTCCGTCTCTATTAAAAATACAAAAATTATCTGGGCGTGGTGGTGCACGCCTGCAGTCCCAGCTACGTGGGAGGCTGAGGCAGGAGAATCACTTGCACCCCGAAGGCAGAGGTTGCAGTGAGCTGAGATGGCGCCACTGCACTCCAGCCTGGCGACAGAGCGAGACTCCATCTCAAAAAAAAAAAAAAGAAGACTTAGTTACAGAAGGGAATATAAATGTTATCAGTTGTGGAAATCTAAGAGAGTACAGCTTTGAAAAGTTTGGAGGTACAGAGGTTTGAGGCTGCAATGAGCTATGATTGCACCAGAGGTACTCCAGCCTGGGCAACAGAGGGAGGCCTCATTTCTAAAAAATAAGAAATTTGGAGGTAGAAGCAGAGGTGGGGAGTTCAAGGGAAGTAAGAGTTCTTCCTATCATGAAATGGAGAACCAAGAGGCGCTGTCTGTATTTAATAGAACTAAAAACAACAGTTTAAGGATATTAAAGTTACTAAAGTGAACAATAGGACTAAATCATAGTGTTAACTACCATGTGCACCTTAGGGGGGTGAATTAAGCTGACTTTTTATCAGTCCTTGCAAGAGTCAATAGTGTCACAAAATAGCAGCTTAATCCTATTCATACAGTTGAAGATCATCAGGAGAATTTAAAACCACAAAGGTCAAAGTGGTTGCCCTTTGGAAGTGGGACTGAAGCTGGGGAGATAAAAAGCAAGGAACAATTGCTTTTTGTTCTAGGTCTTCCTCTACTCAACTTTTTTTTTCCCCTTTGACAAAACAAAAACCAAACATAACAATCCTGGTGAGGGTCAGAGATCATCTATTTTAATGCCTGGAAATATATTCGGTGAGTCATCTTGTGGCTCTTAAACCAAACCGAAGTTAAAAAGTATAAGAAAGTCTATATAACTGTAGACTACAAAGCAGTTAATACAGAGTGAAAACTCCCAGTCATCTCAGGAGAAGTGGCGTTTTATTATTTCTGGATATATCCAGAAGCTCTCCTGGCTGGGTATCCACAGCTTGGCAACAGCTGCATAAAAAGGGGGCCAGACCTTCTCTCACCATCCCCTCTCCCTACCCTCACCAGTCTATTCTTACTGACTTACAGGTTGAATTGCATCCCCCACAAAATATACGCTGGAGTCCTAATGTGCAGTACCTCAGAATGTGATCTTATTTGGAAATAGGGTTGTTAAGGATATAATTAGTTAAGATGAGGCCACACTGGGGTAGGATGGTCCCTCAATCTGATATGACTGGTGTCCTTATACAAGGGGAAATTTAGACTCAGAGACAGTACACATAAAGGAAAGGCAATGTGGGGGAGAAGAAGGCCATCTACAAGTCAAGTACAGAAGCCTGGAACAGATCTTTTCGTTCCAGCCCTCAGAAGAAACCAACACTGTCAACACCTTTATTTTGGACCTCTAGCCTCCAGAAGTATGAGATAATAAATTTGATTAAACCATTCATTTAGCTTGTGGGACTCTGTTACAGCAGCCCTGGCAAACTAATACACCGATGGAACAAGGGAAAGAATCCCTTTCATGACTGCCATCATTGGGTGGGAAAGAAAAGCATTAAGCACCTTTGTCATCTTCTCCCCTGATGCTGTCACAAATTTAATCTGATAGAAATCTGTCTTTTGCTCAGTTCTCAAGAGCAGCATTCTGAGTACAGGCATGGGCAGTATTTTTTTTTTTTTTTTTTTAGACAGAGTTTCGCTCTATCACCCAGGCTGGAGTGCAGTGGCACGATCTTGGTTCACTGCAACCTCCGCCTCCCAGGTTCAAATGATTCTTATGCCTCAGCCTCCCGAGTAGTTGGGGTTACAGGCGCCACCCACCATGCCCAGCTAATTTTTGTATTTTTAGTAGAGACAGGGTTTCACCATGTAGGCCAGGCTGGTCACGAACTCCTGACCTCAGGTGATCTGCCTACCTCGGCCTCCCAAAGTGCTGGGATTACAGGCCTGAGCCATCGTGCCTGGCCTTCTTTGTTTTTAATTGAAACTAGTCTTTGTATAGAGTACAAAGAAAGCAGTGCAGATGTTGTAAATGTTGATTTGTAGCATTTCCCTTCTCTTATCACCACACTACAGAATAGTTGTACATTAACTTTGACATTGTGGAAGGAAGGCAATTGGAGCTGGCCAGAGCAAAGCCATTTTGTTCCTGAATGCCATTTTACAACTGCCTGACTGCAGAATGTACTTGCTGATGTTGCAGACAAAATTGCTGCCATTATGAAAAGGACTTCATGCTGAGGACTGAACTTTTCTCAAACCCCTGAATCAAGGACTTTTGCCTAGAAACCAATGAACTGTCATGATAACGCTTTATCTTCAATCAAAATAGTGGGTTACGAAGGTTATGGATGAACTAGTGAGAACTGACTTCTTACTTCCTTTAAAAACCCTACCCAAAAATAGCTGGTCAGGACACAATTCAAATGCTTCTGGAATCTGTGTTCCTTGAACTGCAATTCTCAGACTGCCAATAAACTTCTTTACTTGGATTTCGGTCTCTCTGACTCTGGTTGACACGTTATAATGAACACGTTCAGCGCTTACAAGTAAAGGGTAACCAGATGTTGTTCACAGTAATCCTATGAGGTAGGTTCTATACTTTTATACAGAGGGATTTAGTTACTCTGCTGTATTAGTTTCCTAAGGCTTCTGTAACAAACTGTGACAACCTAAGTGGCTAAAACGACACGAATTTATTACCTTACAGTTCTGAAGTTCAGAAATACAGCTCACTGGGTTAAAATCAAGGCGTCAGTGTGCATGGTGGTTTTCCTGTAGTCCCAGCCACTCAGGAGGCTGAGGTGGGCGGATCGCTTGAGCCCGGGAGCTCAAAACCAGTCTTGGCAACATAGCAAGACCCTGTTTCAAAAAACAAAAAAATCAAGGGGTCAGCTGGACTGTTACTTCTGGAAGCTCTGGGGAACAATTTGGTTTTTGTTTTTTGTTTTTCCCTCCTTTTCTAGCTTCTCCTCCTTTTCCACCTCCCACCTCCTCCTTTATATATATATATATATATATATATATATTTTTTTTTTTTTTTGGAGACAGGTTCTTGCTCTGTCACCAAAGCTGGACTGCAGTGGTGGGATCATGAGCCCTCTCCAGCTCTAGTGATCCTCCTGCCCCAATCCCCCGAGCAGCTGGGACCACAGTGCCCGTCGCTATGTCTAGTTAATTTTTCGTAGAGACGAGTGTCTCACTATGTTGCCCAGGCTGATCTCGAACTCCTGGGCTAAAGTGTTCCTCTCCTGCCTCTGCCTTCCAAAGCACTGGGATTGCAAACATGAGACACTGTGCCTGCTCCTCTTCCAGCTTCTTGAGGCCAGCTGCATTCCTTGGCTGTTGCCCCTTCCTCCACCTTCAAATAGCTTTCTCATACTGACCTTCTTTTTGGGCCCCTTCCACTTTAGAGAACCCTTGTAATTACTTTGTAATTACCCAAGCACACACTCCAAGATCGTCACCTTATTTTAAAGTCCGCTGATAAGCAACCTTAATTCCATCTGCAATCTTAACCCCCTCTGCCAAGCAAGAGAACAAACGCACAGGTTCCAGGGAGTAGGATGTGGACATCCTGAGGCGGAAGCATTATCCCGCCTTCCACAATTGCCCAAGGTCACATAGCTAGTAAGTTCTAGCTAGCACTGAGTGCTGTGCCCGTGAAATTTATCTACATAGGCTTTCACTTAACCTGCAGACAGAACTCAGTTAGTCGGGGACAATTTCCCTCAATGTTAACAGCACTGTTCCACCGCAACGTGGAACAACAGCTTTAAAACGTGCTCTTCGTAGGCCCGGCTACTCCAAGAACAGTGCCTCCCGCCAGACCCAGGCGGCTTCCTTCACCCGCAACCCGAGAGACGACCCGCCGGGCCCGCCCCGCGGAAGCCGCCGGTTGCCAGGCCAAGGAGTGGACTAGGGTCGCCGGGGAAGCGGGTGAGTGGTCCCCGCCCTGGCGGGCTGCCTCTAGAACGAGGAGGGCGGCGCGTGGTCGCGGCGCGGAGCCGAGTGGGAGCGAGGGGTAGACGCGCCCCGGACGCGCGGCCGCGCCCCTCACTTCCGCCCCGCGGTCTGGACCACTCGCCGCAAACCCGCAAGTCCCTCGCCGCCTTGGGGTCTGGGCGCGCGGTGCCGTGGGGGTCAGCAGGGCGGAGCGGCTTTTCCAGGAGAAAGGGCCCTCACGGGTGAGCGGGGCGACTGGGCTCCCCCGCGGTGCAGTTGCCCCGCGGGCGCCGGCCCCGGCTCAACGGATTCTTCTCGCTCGCTGCCCGGAAAGAACCAGTGAGAACCGCTGTTGCAGCAAAAAAAGAAGTTAATAAGCGCAGGGCTGGCCAAACCAGAACAGGGTCTCAGACCTGTCTCCCCGAGAATTCGGGGGCGAGGGTTTTAAAGGGCATTTTGGCTTCGGGGGGCTGGGGAACTGAAACAGTTGACCGGCTGGGGATGAAATCACAAGAGCTTCTGAAACTCGGGGCGGCTTCGTTGGTTCCCAGGAAGGGGTGGGGTCAGTTTCCCTTGTCTTGAAGTTTACACGAAATCCCTCTCCCAGTTATCCTAGCCTCTGTGCTAGAATAAGAAAACGACAACACGGTGAAAACTTAGCCCGTGAGGTTAGAAGCAAGATGGAGTCAGTCATGTTAGATTTCTCGCATTACTTATACATCTGTAAAGGTGGTTTCAGGGACCTTTCTGAACTTAGCCCGTATCTCACTGGTGATCCCACTTCTGGGTATTTGCAAATCACTTTATTAGGTTTTTAAAAGTATTGTTGCAGGCATGCGAAGGGGCCGATATACTTTTGCCATGTCCAGAGTGTATTCAGGTCTTGTAATGATCATATGGGTGTAATATTGAGTAACAGGCAAATGTGGGCAGAAAATATCAAATGTGGTTTTCAGCTAAGAAGTCTGGTTGCTCTTAATTTTCAGTTACTCTCCATTGCATAGAATAAAGCCCCGAAGAAACGAAGAATAAGATCATGGGGAAACTTGGCTTCCATGTTAAACCGTGTAATACCAGGTGTTAGAATAGTAGTAAAGGACTTGTTTCTTTCACATCTATATACACTCAAAAGACCTCATCGATCTTGGAAAAACATTGTTTCGAAGACAATGTGTATGACTGATTTGGTTATATGAAGAAATTATTTCTAGGATTTCCTGGTAATTCTGTGATAAACAGTAATACAAACTGGAATTTTTACAGGTCACTATAGTAGAGGTTTTAGTTTGATTTTTGCTTTGCCTGTCATGCTCTCTCTGCCTTATAATTCTTTGTGGTGTAATTAAAAAACGAACACTAGGGCCGGACGGGGTGGCTCACGCCTGTAATCCCAGCACTTTGGGAGGCCGAGGCGGGCGGATCATCTGAGG